>NC_000010.11:111620368-112870368 GCF_000001405.40 Homo sapiens
CCCAAATCTCATCTTGAACTGTAATCTCCATAATCCCCACATGTCAAAGGAGAGACCAGGTGGAGGTAATTGAATCATAGGGACAGTTTCCCCCATAGTGTTCTCATGATAGTGAGTTGGTACTCATGATATCTGATGGTTTTATAAGGAGGTCTTCCCTGTTTGCTCAGCGCTTTTCCTTCCTGCTGCCTTGTAAAGAAGGTGCCTTTCTTCCCCTTCACCTTCTGCCATGATTGTAAGTTTCCGAGACCTCCGCAGCTATGTTGAACTGTGAGTAAATTACACCTCTTTCCATTATAAATTACCCAATATCACGCAGTTCTTTATAGCAGCATGAAAATGGACTAATACAGTAAATTGGTACCAGGAGTGTGCTGCTGATATAAAGATATTTGAAAATAATCTGGAAGTGACTTTGGAGGTGGGTAACAGGCAGAGGTTTAAACAATTTGGAGTGCTCAGAAGAAGATAGAAAAATGTGGGAAAGTTTGGAACTTCCTAGAGACTTGTTGAATGGCTTTGGCCAAAATGCTGACGGTGATATAGACAATAAAGTCCAGGCTGAGGTGGTCTCAGATGGAGATGAAGAACTTATTGGTAACTAGAATAAAGGTGACTCTGGCTATGCTTTAGCAAAGAGACTGGTGGCATTTGGCCCCTACCCTAGAGATCTGTGGAACTTTGAACTTGAGAGAGATGATTTAGGATATCTGGCGAGAAGAAATTTCTTAGCAGCAAAGCATTCAAGAGGTGACATGGGTGCTCTTAAAACCATTCAGTTTTATGCACTCACAAAGAGATGATTTGGAATTGGAACTTATGTATAAAAGGAAAGCAGGGCATAAAAGTTGGGAAAATTTGCAACCTGATGATGTGATAGAAAAGAAAAACCCATTTTCTGGGGAGAAATTCAAGCTGGCTACAGAAATTTGCATACGTAATGAGGAGCTAAATGTTGGTGGCCAAGACAATAGGGAAAATGTCTCCAGAACATGCCAGAGGTCTTCATCGTAGCCCCTCTCATTACAGTCCCAGAGCCCTAGGAGGAAAAAATGATTTCATGGGCCAGGCCCAGGACCTTGCTGTTTTGTGCAGACTCAGGACTTTGTGCCCTGTGTCTTAGCCATGGCTAAAAAGGGCCAATGTAGAGCTCAGGCTATTGCTTCAGATGGTGCAAGCCCCAAGCCTTGGTAGCTTACATATGATGTTGGGCCTGTGGGTGCACAGAAGTCAGGAATTCAGGTTTGGAAACCTCTGCCTAGACTTCAGAGGATGTATGTAAACACTGGGTGTCCATACAGAAGTTTGCTGCAGGTGTAGAGCCCTCATGGAGAACCTCTGCTAGGGAAGTACAGAAGGAAAATGTGGGGTTGGAGTCCCCACACAGAGTCCCCACTGGTGCACTGGCTAGTGGAGCTGTGAGACGAGGACTGCTGTTTTCCAGACCTCAGAATGGTAGCTCCACTGACAGCTTGCACCATGCACCTGGAAAAGCCACACTCAATGCCAGCCCATGAAAGCAGCAAAGATGGGAACTGTACCCTGCAAAGCCACAGGGGCAGAGCTGCCTAGGCCATGGGAGCCCATCTCTTGCATCTGTATAACCTGGATGTGATACATGGAATGAAAGGTGATTATTTCAGAGCTTTAAGATTTTACTGCCCTGCTGGATTTTGAATGTTCATGGGGCCTGTAGCCCCTTCCTTTTGGCCAATTTGTCCCATTTGAAATGGGTGTATTTACCCAATGCCTGTACCTCCATTCTATCTTGCTTTTGATTTTACAGGCTCATGGGCAAAAGAGACTTGCCTTGCCTCAGTTGAGACTTTGGATTTTGGGGTTAATGTTGGAATGAATTAAGACTTTGGGGGACTGTTGGGAAGGCATGATTAGATTTGAAATGTGAAAGGGACATGAGATTTGGGAGAGGTCTGGGGCAGAATAATATGGTTAGGCTTTGTGTCCCCACCTAAATCTCATCTTGAATTGTAATCCCCATAATCCCCATGTGTCAAGCCAGAGACTAGATAGAGGTAATTAAATCATGGAGGCAGTTTTGCCTGTGGTGTTCCTATGATAGTGAGTTAGCTCTCATGAGATCTGATGGTTTTATAAGTGGCTATTCCCCCTTTGCTCAGCACTTTTCCTTTCTGCTGCCTTGTGAAGAAGGTCTTGCTTCCCCTTAGGCTTCCATCATTATTGTAAGTTTCCTTAGGTCTCCCCAGCCATGCTGAACTGTGAGTGAATTAAACCTCTTTACTTCATAAATTTTTCAGTCTCTGGCAGTTCTTTATAGCAGTATGAAAATGGACCACTACACCTTGCAAGGGTATAAAACATCAGGATGGCAAAATTCATCTTGACCAAAGCAAAGACTAGGGCTTTCTTTCAGAGGTTCATGAGAAGAAGCTGGGGCATAATTTTACTCTTGACCAGCCAAGAAATTAGCAGCCAAATAAATTACCAAGAAAAGTCATACAAAAGCTGGAATGTCGAGGGCATGATTATTTCTCATCCATCCCATTACCTTTAATTTGTTCTCTTGCTGGATGGCAGAAAACTTGCCAGGCTAAGAATGGTTTTAGCAGCAGTATTATACTGAGCCAAAATAACTGAGCTGGTTGCACAGGCATGCAAAAGGAGCAAAGAAGCAACATCATACCACAATGTAATGACCTTCTCACTTCACTGACATTTTCCTATCTCCTTCTGCTAGGCTATCTCTGATAGTTGTGAATACAGAAATGCTGTTTCAGCTAATGTGGTGGCTAGTGAAGTAATAAACTTCTTTTTTGGAAACTGGTGATTTTTTTCTTGAGAAGTGGCTTTAAAAATGAACAAACACCCCAGCCAAGGTTGCAGTCTCTAAACAAATACTTCACTTAGACCCTTGCCTCAATCAGAGGTCTTCCTTCTTGGACTTGGGCCTAATTTTGTTTCATGTATTTATTTATTTATTTATTTATTTATTTATTTATTTAGTTAGTTAGTTAGTTAGTTAGCTAGTTAGTTAGTTAGCTAGTGTTTTTGGAGACAGAGTCTTGCTCTGTCACCCAGGCTGGAGTGCAACGGTGTGATCTCAGCTCACTGCAACATCTGCCTCCTGGGTTCAAGCAATTCTCATGCCTCAGCCTCCCAAGTAGCTGGGATTACAGGCATGCACCACCACACCCAGCTAATTTTTTTTTTTTTTTTGTACAGATGGGGTTTTGCTGTTTTGGCCATGCTGGTCTCAAACTCTGTCCTCAAGTGATCTGCCTGCCTTGGCATCACAAAATGCTGGGATTACAGACATGAGTGACGATGCCCAGCTAATTCCGGTTCTTTAAAATGAGCAATGAAGCAGAATCATATATCTAAGAAGCTAAGAATGGTCAATGAATTACTCCACTGCCTCTTCTCTGTAATCTAAAATAGCATGCAATGGTTTTTGCTTCCTTCTTTTAAGATTATATTTTCTTTTATTTAAAGGCTCAGCAGATATAGACCTTTAACTTTTTCTGGAGTGAACAGAAAGAGCTTTGCCTTTCTTCAGTGACCACTCCTCAGAGAAGGTGTTCTGACTCCTTTTCATCATCACCCATGGGTAGAGATGGTTGGGAGTGCTGAGATCCAATTCTGACTCTCTTATCTGATCTGAGGTGGGCTTATTGGGTAGGCCTTCTTTGCTGTTTGGAAGCAATTTTCAAAAGCAAGTGGGCACAATTTTGAACAGAACTCTGTAAAGGAATACAATATTATTACATGTTCCATTTGTCACCATGTGTGAAATGCATTTTTCTAAGTAAGCAACATATATATTTCAATGCAACTTGCTTACTAGACCAGTTTAAAAAGATCATTATTGTGTGGTAAATGCTAGAATGCTCCTGGTTTATAAAAAGGAATTCAGACAGTGGCTGCTCTGGAATGCTGAATTCAAATCTCAGTTCAGTCTTCATGAATGGGACAGTTCTTGGGCTTTATTAATCCTCAACTTCCACAGTTGTGATATGAGAATATTGGACTGCAGCATTTTATGCTAGGAATGAGTTACTGAGGATTTCTCACAACTCACAATTTACATAACTCACGACTAATTTTCCCAGAGGGATGCATGTAACGTGGGATTCACGTTATTTCCAATTTTATGCATAAAGTACGTCTTTATACTTTTCAATTTCCAATTTGCATAAAGTGAAATCTCATGGTAACGATAATAGTATTATGACCTTATGGCACCTTTCTGAGCAATCAGTGAGATAATTCTTACATGCAAACATTTAGCATCTGGCACAATGCACAATAAATGATTATCATGAGTATAAATATTCTGTGATTATTACTAGCACCACTGCTATTATAACTATTATTACCAGCACCCTGAACCTTGCATACCCCAGCCTTTATCAACTAAAGAACAATTGCTGAATTCTTTACTCCAGCACAATCATTTTTTAAATCTAATCTTTTGAAAAATTGGTCCCTCCAGAAATGGTTTGACTGAATTATGCTTGAGAATGAGCATAATCATACAAAAAAGTTATTATGCAAAGGGGTCCTGTGAAATGTGTCACTGTTCCTTTTGCTGTTTGCTCTTGAGGAGATCGGCCATCACGTCCCGCAAGAGAAATTCCTGGCTATTCTGGCTTCCAGAATGCTTTAGATCAAGGGAATCATTTTAAAATAATGATCCCTGTCAAGAGAGAAACTGATAAATCTTACCTCTTAGACCTCCGAAGAACCACAACTAAATTGGTAGCCTGACCAACACATTTAAGTGTCACTAGATTTCCTTTTACTCTCTTATCTTTCTTCTTTTGCCCCATCTTTAATTTATACCACTTTACATGTGGTATATGCCCTTATTAATTATTGCAGTATTTTATGGACAAAAAAATGAGTATAAATCAATGAATGATTAATGAATTCCTTTAAAAGGAGAGATGAAAAGAAACACATAGAAGAGCCTTCAAGCACATACTTGCTGATTATAAATATTAAGACTCTAAGAATCACTGAAGGGGATCTTCATCAACTCCTACAGTGGACATCTGTCCTTTTTGCAGGCCAAGCATTAATGAATTTTTTCTTTGGGGATCATGGTCTCTCAATCACAGACCTTGTGGTTTTGAGAAATTGGCACCATTCTTGGCTCCCGGGCATTTGACTCCTCTCTAGCCTCAATGATTGGTTCATGAATGGGTTTGTTGTCTCAACTAGGGGAGTAGAGGTCACTCCTGGGACTTCAGGTATGATTCATAAAAAGATGTGCTCTTTCTGGTGAGGCCGCTAAACTGGTATGACACAAGCTTGGGACATCGAGGGGACATCATGTGGCAAGAGCCACATGATGAGAGTTCTTTCAACCTGAGAACAGAGTTGAGAGAAGGGCTGAGTATGGGTAAAATTATTTGTGTTCCTGAGTGTACCTGAAAGTAAAGCTGGCTTGCTTCAAGACTTTCCTGTTATGTAACAAAACAATTTATTTTCATTTAAGTCAATTTGAGTTATTTGCAACAGATGAAGTTCTGACTACTATCCTCAAGTACTAATATTTCAGCTGGTTTTTCTCTTGTTGAATGTCAAGTGAAATATTAAGTGACAAAATCTGAAAAGTCAAGGTTTTCAACCACATCTTTCAGTCTCCTTCAGAACACCCTCAACACTCCTCATCATTTCAGCCTGACTGTTTCCTTGTGACCAGCAAGTTACAATTGAGAAAGTTTAGATAAAATTTCTATTCTCAAATCTCTGGAACTTAAATAAGCCCTCACACCTATGAGCATCTGATCTTTGACAAAGCTGACAAAAACAGGCAATGGGGGAAAAGGCTCCCTATTTTCAATAAATGGTGCTGAGATAACTGGCTAGCCATATGCAGAAGGCTGAAGCTGGACCCTATCCTCACAATATCAAAAATCAAGTAAAGATGGATTAAATACTTAAATTTAAGACACAAAACTATAAACACCCTAGAAGACAATCTAGGCAATACCATCCTGAACATAGAAATGGGCAAAGATTTCATGAGACCCAAAAAGCAATTGCAACAAAAGCAGAAATTGACACGTGGGATGTAATTAAACTTAAGAGCTTCTGCACAGGAGAAGAAACTATCAACAGAGTTAACAGACAACCTATGGAATGAGAATAAAATATTTACAAACTATTCATATGACAAAGGTCTGATACAGAACATCTATAAGTAACTTAGACAAAAATTATAAGAGAAAAACAAGTAACCCCATTAAAAAGTGGGCAAGGACATGCACAGACACTTTTCAAAAGAAGACATACATGCGGCCAAAAGCATGTGAAAAAAAAGCTCAATATCACTTATCATTAGAAAAATGCAAATCAAAACCACAATGAGATACCATCTCACACCAGTCAAAATGGCTATAATGAAAAAGTCAAAAAATAACAGATGCTGGTAAGGTTGTAGAGAAAATGGAACACTTTTACACTGTTGTTGGGAGTACAAATAGTTCAACCACTGTCAAAGCAGTATGGCGATTCCTTAGAGAGCTAAAAGCAGAACTACCATTCGACCCAGCCATCCCATTACTGAGTATATACCCAGAGAAATATAAATTTTTCTACCATAAAGACACACGCATGGGAATGTTCACTGCAGCACTATTCACAATAACAAAGACATGGAATCAACCTAAATACCCATCAATGACATATTGGATAAAGAAAATGTGGTACTTATATACCATAGAATACTAGGCAGCCATAAAAGAGAATGAGATCATGTCTTTTGTGGGAACATGGATGGAACTGGTGGTTATTATCCTTAGCAAACTAATGCAGGAACAGAAAACCAAATACTGCATGTTCTCACTTATAAGTGGGAGCAAAATGATGAGAACTCATGAAGAAAGGAACAATGGACACTGGGATCTACTTGAGGGTGGAGGGTGGGAGAAGGGAGAGGAGCAGAAAAGACAGCTATTGGGTACTGGGTTTAATACCTGGGTGATGAAATAATCTGTATAACAAACCCCCGCGACATAAGTTTGACTACATAACAAACCTTAACATGTACCCCTGAACCCAAAATAAAATTTTTTAAAAAATAAATTTAAAAAAGAAACTCAAAGACAGAAAAAATTCTGTCTTGAACTCTACATGCTACAAACTGCTGGTAAAGAGCTGTGATTGTTGCTTCAGAGTTTGAGATGAAACCAAGAATTTTTTGTGCATACGTGACACTTTCTCCATGAAAGAATCACTCTATATACAGTTCTCGCATGCTTTTCAGTAACATCAACTGCATGATCACTAGGGCATTATTTAAAAAAAAAACAGTGGCCTCAGCAACTATAATTTAGTCTTTGTGAGAAAATATTTTGGAAGATGTTACAGCAATTTCCATCATCACCAATTTTACACCTCGTCTTCTATGATTGTTCATGAAAAACCACAGTGTCTCAAGCACACCTTCAATTCACCTTTCACACTTTGGCCAGAGTGAGCTTTTCAAAATACATGTCTGATGACATCTCTCCCTAATGTTGAACTCCTTAATATGGATTGTGAGGCTGTGTGTGATCTGGGCCCCACCTACCACTCAGTCTCACCACTGTAGTTCTCCTCTCCCTGTCTAGGCTCCAGGCTCACTGATCTTCAGGTCTCCAGTATGTCAAACTGTCTCTTCCCAGGGCCTTTGTATATGTTGTCTCATATGTCTACCATGTTGTTTGCATTCCAACTCTATGTCAGCTTCTTTTTTATTATACAGATGCCCCTTGACTTATGATTGGGTTAAATACATTGTAATTTGAAAATATCATGGTTAAATACACTGTAACTTGAAAATATCGTAGGTCAAAAATGCATTTAATACACCTAGCCTACTGAACATCATAGCCAAACCTACCTTAAACATGCTTAGAACACCTATGTTAGCCTGCAGCTTGGCAAAATCATCAAAGACAAAGCCAATTTTTTTTTGAGACAGAGTCTCGCTTTGTTGCCCAGGCTGGAGTGCAGTGGCACAATCTCGGCTCATTGCAAACTCTGCCTCCTGGGTTCACACCATTCTCCTGCCTCAGCCTCCCGAGTAGCTGGGACTACAGGTGCCCACCACCATACCCAGCTACTTTTTTTTTTTTTTTTTTTGTATTTTTAGTAGAGACGGAGTTTCACCGTGTTAGCCAGGATGGTCTTGATCTCTTGACCTCGTGATCTGCCCACCTCGGCCTCCCAAAGTGCTTGGATTATGGGTGTGAGTGATAAAGCCAATTTGATAATAATCTGTTGAATATCTTTTGTAATTCATTGAATACTATACAAAATGGAAAACAGAATGTCTCACTGCCACTGCCCAGCATTGAGACTACCGTACTGCATACCGCCAGCTCAGGAAAAGATCAAAATTCTAAGTATAATTTCTATTGAATGGGTATACCTTTTGCACCACTGTAAAGTAAAAAACTGTAGGTCAACCATTTTAAATCAGAAATAATCAGTATTCTGTATTCCTTTCCATCAGAGCAA
Source organism: Homo sapiens (assembly GCF_000001405.40). Lineage (NCBI taxonomy): Eukaryota > Metazoa > Chordata > Mammalia > Primates > Hominidae > Homo > Homo sapiens. The sequence continues at coordinate 111,628,859 of NC_000010.11, forward strand.
TTGTCTCCTATTGTAATTAAACACTAACCACGTGGTGGTAAGATCATGTTTCTCCCACTAGACATTTGGTTATAGGAAATTAGGACTTGTGGCTATCTGTGGTCATCTAGGTGCTTACCACAGTGCCTGGAATTCCCAATGATCAGTTTCTTGCCTTCACTTTATTCTCCTTTCAGCAGCATTTGACACAAACAACGAAGCACTCTTTGTAACATTCGTGACTCAACTTCAGGGGCTCCACACTCTCAGGCTGCCCTCCTCTCTTGTGGCTGCTGCTTCTCAGTTTCCTTCACTTACACACCTGCTCCATCTCCTACTGTATCCTCTAAACAGTCACACTGAAGCGGCTATGTTGTCTGGGGTATATATCCTGGGGTTCATTGTCATGCACCAGGAAAATTTAGGACACACACATGAGGAGTTTAGGAACAGAGGTTTAATAGGCAAAGGAGAAGAGAAGGAGAAACAGCTTTCTCTGTAGAGAAAGGGGCCTCCAAGCAGATAGGACTGGCTGGTGGTGAATGTGCCGGATTTTATAGTCCAGTTTGAGGAGGCAGTGTCTAATTTACATAGGGCCAGAGATTGGTTTGATCAGGTATGACATTTACATAGTGCACGGGGAAGTCTGGCCGCCCCACTTTAATCTTATTATGCAATTGGGCTTTCCAGTTGATAAGCATCATCTTGTCTGCTCCTTACAGTACATGTGGCTGTCAGAGAAGGGAAGATTGAACCACCATTTTGAACATATCTAGTCCTTAGTTCTTGCCGGCATTCCCCTGTGCGAGCTCCCAGCTTGCTTGTCTATGTCTGCAGCTCAACTTTACAGGCCGCTCTTTGTGAGAAAATGATTTGGGGCTGCTTTTCATTAAAAAGAAAAGCCTTACTGAGGACTTCTGTACCCTGACTATCTGCCTACATGATTTCTTCTTAACTCCTATATCAATACATTCTGCTGTTATAGTATGACTGATGGGATCTTGCCCAAGAAAAGAGCTCAAGGCCTCAAAAAAGTCACATAGAAAAAAATGCCTATTGCTGTAATATTTACAATAATGAGCAAGTTGGAAGTAATTTGTTGGAAGCATCCAACACTAGTGGAATGGTGCAGAAAATTGTGGTGACATCACTTCATGGAATATTATCTGGCTAATAAAAGTAAGAACTACACAATCTGTCTAGGAACATGAAAAATTTTTATAAACAAGTCTTATGATAAAATGTTCAACAAAAAGGGTATAAAAATATGCTTCAATTATGACAACTTTGTAAACATGTATATAAATACATCTAGTGAACATGGAAAAATAAGTACTGTGCTCAATGGTGGGATTATGAGCATTTTTCTTCTTTTCCAAACATTTATATTTTATAAAAAGGTTGTGTGTGTGTGTATGCATGTAGAGAGAGGGAAAATTATACTATAATTTTTAAAACACAAGAAAAATGAATATACTTCTGGAAATGTCATAAAACATAAAACTAGTGAAGGCCATTGTACAATATTTCATGCAAGAAATTCCCCTAAATTGCAATACTTTGAGAGCTGTCACAGCTCCATGGTACAAACGTCAGGCTCTCCAGAGGCAGCTGACTCTACAGAGTGGAAGTTGGTCTTGCCACAAAGATTTCCCTTCATAATTTCAGGAGTTGAGCTGTCCTAATCCTGGAAAGCAGGGGACCACATTGGCCTTCACAGACCATCAGAAACTCCAGCCTCCCTTTCAGGTTCTTTCTTCTTATTTTATTCAACAAAACCACTTTAAGCCAATGAGTTCCAGGAAACAACAGGACAAACATTAGCGTCTTTACCCAAAGCAGCCATTTTAACCACAGGCACTACTCAAATTCCACAGTGAAGACCAAATGTAATTGATTTCCAGTAGCTCGTGAGGATGAGTGTGCACTACCAACTTCCCGTAAAACAGAACTTCACATATTTCTTACCAAAATATGTTGTCTTTCAGCAGCAGCAAGAATTGAATAGACTTTTAGCAACAGTCCTTTTTTAGGGAAAACATAACTGGATTACTGCATAGTAAATCCTGCATTACAGTTAACAGAATTTCATTCACCTTTCAGCAATATTTGACACAAATGACCACTCCTTCCTTGAAACAGGTCTCAACCGTTGAACTCTGGCACCCTTGAACATAATGAAAAGACTACAGTGATCCATTTCAACCAACAAATGTAATTATGTAATAAACTACAGTATAATCTTATGGATGATATAAGGCTAATTTAGGTAGCTTAAGCCAAACAGTGATAATATTATTAATAACAATACAGCTTGCATTGAGTGAACATCACGTGTCTGGCACTGCATTGACATTTATTCTTGCCACAACCTTGGGAGTCCCATTATTATCTCTGTTTTATAGATGGACAAACTGAGGCCTAGTGAGCCTAAGTAACTAGATATCTCTCTCTCTCTCTCTTGTTTCCAGAGCCCTCTCCATTCTCTGATACCATTTTTGTGTGTTGCTTCTCTACCTGTCACTGGATTGAATCAGGAGACTTCAGCATTTTGCCAATAGTATGCTATCCACATCCTTCAGGTTTTGAAAAGTACTTTCATATTTAGAACGACTTGGGGCACATGTTATAATTTAATTATTTGTTCTATCCATCTCATGAGGGTAATAACCATTCCTGAAGGCCTGAAGAATGGGATCTGCCAGAATTGGCCCAGCCCTTCCTGAATCCTTGAGGAATTCAGGAAATGATTTTCTGTAGGCCGATCCTTGGACAGATGCATCAGTTTACTTTCTCAGCAACTTTACTTATCAACACAATCTGTTATTGTTGAAAGAAAACCACAAGCAAGAGAATCATGTAAATCTTTCCTAAAGCCTGTGAGGTAGCTCTTATTCCCTAATTTCACACATAACAACGTAATGTTCTATAGCTGTGCACCTAAGTCTTATATACTTGCCACGTAATTCAAGGTTGCCAAATACCTGATAGGCAAATAGCCACTTCCCTGTTTTGTGCCTCTATTAGGCATCATTAATCGTTCATGGCATTTGTCTTAGGTTAGGTGCTCCAGAAACAGACACTGAGATGAAGAATTGAGTTTAAGAAATGGATTTGACTTACCAGGAAGCTGTGGTAAGTGAATGGGGAAGCAAGACAAGGACCAGAAAGAAACCAGTGTCTGGCGCATTAGTGAGCAGGTTAACTCCATAGGCAGGTGGGGCTCAGGCCTGCCGGGGGACCTGTGCAGGGCACACAGAGCATGCCTCAGAGTTCCCCTCCACAAGGGCATGAGGTCTAGGATATTTTCCCACCAACTCCAACCAGTCTTTGACTGTTCCCAGGGTCATTAAGAGCCAGGCACTTTCTGCCTGCTCTATGCACACTAATGAAGAGAGTTCCAGAGGACACTGAAAGTCCCTAAGCAAGGTGTTTGCAGTTGGAAGTTCCAGAGTCAGCAAACGCTGAACCACTGGGTACTAAGGAGATGTGGACAGGGCTTTAAGAGGGTTGGCCACACTATTTCCTACTGCCTCCAAAAGTAGTTCTTCATACACCCTCCAAATGGCTACTGCCATTCAGCTGGAACTGGTAAGCAAACTGAAAGCTCCTGGCCATTTGGGTTCTGACTTTACTAATTTGTAAATGTAGATAATTTATCTTCTGACTAGATAATAGGTAGATTACAAATGTTGGCCATGTGTAATATAGCCTGTGATTTCTAACAGAAAAGGGACAGTTTAAACCCTTATAGTTTCTAACAGAGAAAGGGCAGTGTGGTGTAGCAGTTAAGGGCACAGACTGTGGCATCGGAACTTGGTGGTTCCCCTCCTAGCTGCTGGCTGTGCAAGACAATTGTCACATGACCTTGGGCAAATTACTTAACTACTTCATGCTTCAGTATTTTCAGCGGATAACTTAGGAACAAAACAGAATCCCATAGGTGTTTCTAAGAATTAAATGAGTATCTGCCTGCTTATCTATCTATCTATCTATCTATCTATCTATCTATCTGGGAAATCTATCTAATCTATCTCTATCACCTTGTAAGCAATGTATGTGTAACCTGTTATTATCAATATACTACATATAACTTACAAAGATAAGTAGCAGATCAGATTTTAAAATGCCAGTAGAATGAGCCTTTAGTATTCACTTCCCATTCTAAATGGCAACTCTTAAGTCATTGGGTGATCCAGAGACTGGGCTCATTTCACTATACTTGATAATTCATGCAGGAAAAAAGACAGAGAAATAATATGTCCACTCTCTAGAGGAATGTAGACCCAGTTCCTAGAATCCAGGGGAGAAAAGTGTTCTGTTTTTCAATTTATATAAAAATAAAAATTTCCTGAAAGCAGAACTAGGGATCTTGTCCCCGGGTTTCTTTAAATATGAGAGCTGAAAGCACCTCCCTTTCTATTGCTTTCATCTAGTAAGTGGACCGTAGGCTTCTACAATGAGACAGACGTGAACCTCAGGTCTTCAGAGCCTGCACTCTGTAGCCATTCTCTTAGAATCTGAAATCACTGATGATATAAGGGCAGATATATGACAAGTTAAGCCACATTATTTAAATTACCCGTTTTCTCCTTTGGGAAATAAACCAAGCCAGTGGGGCATCTGACTTTACAGAGAATATGTGTTGTCTTTAACCTACTGATTCAGCTCAATTTTAGGCTTGGGAAAGGGATCAGTTGTGCAGGACAAAACATAAATCCCCCTTCTTCTACTCCCTTACAACTGTGCCTGATAGGTCACCAAGCCTCATTGGACATAAAATTATTTGTGTGAGGAAATCCCCAGGAATCTATGCATATATTGGACAAGAAATGTTCACATCCTGAGATTAAAATCACTGAGGATGTATTTTCCTCCTCACTTTCTCCCTTTCCCTTCCCCTGTGATCAGAGATACACCTTGAATGACTTACAGCTCAATGCCCAGAGCGAGGCAGACAGTAGCACTTGGAACCCACATGATACAGTCATTTTATAGCTGTTTCAAAAGTAAATTATGCTTCACCTCCATGTGTTTTAGAATTTAAATTAATTTCCCTTTGTAAGGGAGATGTCTGTGTCAAACGACAACCTATAAAATTTTAGACTAGCTATATCTGCTAATAAAAAATAATTATGAATCTTTGATGCTTAATTCTAGAGTTCTGGTAAGAGAGGGAGGTGTTAAATGACTTGGAAGCTGACATAAGGAGAAATCCAATTGGAAAATGAAGCGTATTTTTAAAAGGCAAGCAATATGAAGTCACATCATACAGTTTTTTTTTCTTTTTACAGGAAGATGCTCAGAAGTTAGCAGGGATTGTCAGGAAACTAAGGGGCAATGCCAAAAGCCAGTGAAATACTTGTTTGTCTACCCTAAATATCAACTGCAGCTTTGGTGGATGATTCCCACAAAGACTGATGGCTTCTGATCTCAAGGACAGGTGTCACTCTGCTTGAAGCCTTTTTCTGCCTATCAAAGGCTATAAACGAAGGGAGTTAAAGCTCTCAGGAGCCATTCACAGCCAACAAGAGACAGAATGTAGAGGATAATATCTCAGGCTTCTTATCTGCGAGACAATCTGGCAACTGAAATGCCAGCTTGGAGGAAATATTCTGAAAGAATGGGATGCATCCTTCAGGAGGCAGTACATTTACAGAGACGTAAGGCACCATTTCCAATAAGAAGTACACATGGGTGCAGGAACCAAGGGATGGAAACAGGAGTGTCTCCATGTATCACTCCCAATGTGTTTCCTGTCCTTGAAACCCTAGGCTCTGCAGGATTGCAGGTCTTGGTCCTGTAGGGGACACATTCTACAAAGGGGACACAGCAAAGTCACCATTGAAGTACAAGTTATGGCTGTCAGCAGGGCACTTTCCACCCTTTGCCGTGGGATTGCAGGTGAAAAGAATTACCATACTGATATGTAATTGTCCTCGACCAGCAGGAGGGTAGAGCTGCTTTTACACAACGGAGACAGGAAGGATACATGGGGAACCCAAGCGATCTATGGAACAACCTCCTGGCACTGCGTATTAACTGTGAACAGACAGGTGCAACATCCCTACACTAAGAAGGGTATGAAAATCAACTTTTCATGTGGTTCAGATACAAAGATCTGGATCACACTACCAGATAGGCTACCATGACCCGTCAAGGTAACAACTCAGGATGAGAGGGATTTAGAATGGATAATGGATGAAGAAGAGGGTACTTACCAGCTGTGGCACCAAGGTCAACAGCAGCCAGGGCATCTGTAAATCATCCCACTAACCTCCTTCATCTGTTCCATCAGGAAGAAGAAAGCCCAGTGGAGGAGTTGCTCCCTGCACCTGCATGGACAAGTCCAAGGTGTGGATTGTGGAGGTCACGTAAATATGTCTCAAGGACCTCTTACTACAGACAGTGTAATCACCAGACACCCCAGATGCTTCACTTTGAAATTATCATAGCATTTGTGCTGAGGCCATGCTAAACCCATGAGTAGGATGTGAAGGCAGACCCATTCCTGCAGCTAAGGATTTCTTTGTTGCCCAACATTGGCTGAATGACTCCCTACTGGCTTAGAATGCAGAGCAGTCTAAGACACTTCCACACAATTTTCTCTCCCCTCTCCCTCACTCTGGGTCTGATTTGCACAGCAGGTGGCTCTTCAACCTTCTCCAGTTCCCTACTGACCTCCTTTCACACAAATATTTCTCTTAATAAAATCCTCATGACTTTCATTTAGTCTTGGTGTCTGCTTTTCAGAGGACCTGGATTGACACAAGGACACTTAATTTTCAGTGGGAATACAAAGGACTTTCATCTCAGTAGACCACTGAGCTTACACAAGCTGTTCTTGACCACATTGAGGAGTTGGGGTTACCTTTGGGAAGAGGTGGCCAAGTATTTTACTTTGCTTTGGAAAGCTGCCCCACTGAGACAGAGAAGGCCTTCCCTGTTTTGGGCAGTGGAGGCAGACTAGAAAATGTGCCATTTCTCCAATGGACCAGAAACTCCTTCAGTCAGTTTAGACATTTTTCTGTTAACACTTATCTGGCAGCAACTGACAATATTTCACTTTTTTGACAATTAAAAACCTACTAATGTAGTACCAGCACTTGCCCATCCTTCACACCTAATGGCATAGAACTTTATTAGATGGTGATTATCTAAAACCAAATCTGTCTCAGTCACATGAATGCACATAAGCTCAAAAAAAGAAAATGGACTCTATAAGTATATGAAGCATGCTCCAAAAAGAAAAAAAAACTCAACTGAAAAAGAGGTATTTATCTTTGCTATTCTAGAAGGTTTTTAGACTGAAGGTATAAAACATGTCATACAAATAAGGAAATAATGTGATTCTTAGGGCACCAAGTTAATCTGTCTTTTGAAATAGAGAGAATTTTCAGTTTGCTTCAGACATGAGATGAAAATAAAATGAGGCATAGAGGAAAGAAATGAACCCATCAGTAAATAAAGGAAGGGGGCTATTTGTGTGGATTACTTTATAAGGGAAGCAGAAAAGTGGGGTGAAGAATGCAGAAGAAAGTATATTAGTCGAGGGATACCCAATAGGCAAAGTGAACACTGGCTTAGTGCACTAGAAAAGCAGGAGTACCAAAAATAGAAAAAGTTAAGAAAGGCTAGAAAGATATTTTAATATTGGCTTACACTTATATTTTGTAAAATTTTGAAAATTTACATTTTATAACTTGTCACTTAGTATTCATTCCTATAACGCATGGCATGCACAACTGTCTTTGTAGTACTTAGAGTCTTTGAGAGATTTCATCTGGCCTGGGTTAGGGTGGTGTGTGTGTGTGTGTGTGTGTGTGTGTGTGTGTGTGTGTGTGTGTGTGTGTATGTGTGTGTGTGTGTCTGAAGAGGGAGAAAGAGAATTTGGGGAGTAGGAGTACTTTATAGGATGAAGAAAGTAAACTTATGCTATCTAGTAAGTAACTCAGGATCTCTGAAATGTAGTCTTTCACAATCAGTCTTCCACCTAGCTTTGTTTTAAAAGAAGTGGACCTTTCCTTAAGAGATGGCTTCTAACTCTGTTTCTTCCAACTTCCATTCTTTCTTCCTATTTTATTTCTGCATCCCATTTTTATGCATGCATAGTCTCATGTGTAATATTGTCATCCTTTCTGAATAAAAAGAAAGGCATTTAAAGTGATATGATTATTTTTCTCAGAATCTCAAAATATTTAACAGCTCATTATGCTCCATAGTGCCCTGGAGGGGAAAGAAAGACAATTAGACAGTAGAAGGGGAGAGAAAGGAGGAGGTTCCAAGATGGCTGAATAGGAACAGCTCCAGTCTACAGCTCCTAGTATGAGCAATGCAGAAGACGGGTGATTTCTGCATTTCCAACTGAGGTACCGGGTTCATCTCACTGGGGCTTGTCGGACAGTGGGTGCAGGACAGTGGGTGCAGCCCACCGAGCATGAGCCGAAGCAGGGCGAGGCATCACCTCACCCAGGAAGCACAAGGGGTCAGGGAATTCCCTTTCCTAGCCAAGAGAAGTTGTGACAGACGGCACCTGGAAAATCGGGTCACTCCCACCCTAATACTGTGCTTTTCCAATGGTCTTAGCAAACGGCACAGCAGGAGATTATATCCTGCACCTGGCTTGGAGGGTTCCACGCCCATGGAGCCTTGCTCATTGCTAGCACAGCAGTCTGAGATAGAACTGCAAGGCAGCAGCGAGGCTGGGGGAGGGGTGCCTGCCATTGCTGAGGCTTGAGTAGGTAAACGAAGAAGCCAGGAAGCTCGAACTTGGTGGAGCCCACCACATCTCAAGGAGGCCTGCCTGCCTCTGTAGACTCCACCTCTGGGGGCAGGGCATAGCCGAACAAAAGGCAGCAGAAACCTCTGCAGACTTAAATGTCCCTGTCTGACAATTTTGAAGAAAGTAGTGGTTCTCCCAGCACTGAGTTTGAGATCTGAGAATGGGCAGACTTCCTCCTCAAGTGGGTCCCTGACCCCCAAGTAGCCTAACTGGGAGGCACCCTCGAGTAGGGGCAGACTGACACCTCACACGGCCGGGCACCCCTCTGAGACGAAGCTTCCAGAGGAACGATCAGGCAGCAACATTTGTTGTTCAGCAATATTCGCTGTTCTGCAGCCTCCGCTGCTGATACCCTGGCAAACAGCGTCTGGAGTGGACCTCCAGCAAACTCCAACAGACCGGAAGCTGAGGGTCCTGACTGTTAGAAGGAAAACTAACAAACAGAAAGGACATCCACACCAAAACCCCATCTGTACGTCACCATCATCAAAGAGCAAAGGTAGATAAAACCACAAAGATGGGGAAAAAACAGAGCAGAAAAACTGAAAATTCTAAAAATCAGAATGCCTCTCCCCCTCCAAAGGAACACAGCTCCTCACCAGCAACAGAACAAAGCTGGACAGAGAATGATTTGATGAGCTGAGAGAAGAAGGCTTCACACGATCAAACTTCTCTGAGCTAAAGGAGGAAGTTCGAACCCATCGCAAAGAAGCTAAAAACCTTGAAAAAAGATTAGATGAATGGCTAACTAGAATAAACGTGTAGAGAAGTACTTAAATGACCTGACGGAGCCGAAAACCATGGCACGAGAACTACATGACAAATGCACAAGCTTCAGTAGCCAATTCAATCAACTGGAAGAAAGGATATCAGTGATTGAAGATCACATGAATGAAATGAAGTGAGAAGAGAAGTTTAGAGAAAAAAGAGTAAAAAGAAATGAACAAAGCCTCCAAGAAATATGGGACTATGTGAAAAGACCAAATCTATGTCCAATTGGTGTACCTGAAAGTGACGGGGAAAATGGAACCAAACTGGGAAACATTCTGCAGGATATTATCCAGGAGAACTTCCCCAGTCTAGCAGGGCAGGCTGACATTCAAATTCAGGAAATACAGAGAACACCACAAAGATACTCCTCGAGATGAGCAACTCCAAGACACATAATTGTCAGATTCACCAAAGTTGAAATGAAGGAAAAAATGTTAAGGGCAGCCAGAGAGAAAAGTCAGGTTACCCACAAAGGGAAGCCCATCAGACTAACAGCAGATCTCTCAGCAGAAACTCTACAAGCCAGAAGAGAGTGGGGGCCAATATTCAACATTCTTAAAGGAAAGAATTTTCAACCCAGAATTTCATATCCAGCCAAACTAAGCTTCATAAGTGAAGGAAAAGTAAAATCCTTTACGGACAAGCAAATGCTGAGAGAATCTGTAACCACCAGGCCTGCCCTACAAGAGCTCCTGAAAGAAGCACTAAACATGGAAAGGAACAACCAGTACCAGCCACTGCAAAAACATGCCAAATTGTAAAGACCATCAAGGCTAGGAAGAAACTGCATCAACTAACAAGCAAAATAACCAGCTAACATCATCATGACAGGATCAAATTAACATATAATATTAACCTTAAATGCAAATGGGCTAAATGCTCCAATTAAAAGACACAGACTGGCAAATTGGATAAAGAGTCAAGACCCATCAGGGTGCTGTATTCAGGAGACCCATCTCACGTGCAGAGACACACATAGGCTCAAAATAAAGGGATGGAGGAAGATCTACCAAGCAAATGGAAAACAAACAAACAAAAAAAGGAAGTCATTGCAATCCTACTCTCTGATAAAACAGAATTTAAACCAACAAAGACCAAAAGAGACAAAGAAGGCCATTACATAATGGTAAAGGGATCAATTCAACAAAAAGAGCTAACTATCCTAAATATATATGCACCCAATACAGGAGCACCAAGATTCATAAAGCAAGTCCTTAGAGACCTACAAAGAGACTTAGATTCCTACACAATAATAATGGGAGACTTTAACACCCCACTGTCAACATTAGACAGATCAACAAGACAGAAAGTTAACAAGGATATCCAGGAATTGAACTCAGCTCTGCACCAAGCGGACCTAATAGACATCTACGGAACTCTCCACCCCAAATCAACAGAATATACATTCTTCTCAGCACCACATCGCACTTATTCCAAAACTGACCACATAGTTGGAAGTAAAGAACTCCTCAGCAAATGTAAAAGAACAGAAATTATAACAAACTCTCTCTCAGACCACAGTGCAATCAAACTAGAACTCAGGATTAAGAAACTCACTGAAAACTGCTCAACTACATGGAAACTGAACAACCTGCTCCTGAATGACTACTGGGTACATAACGAAATGAAGGCAGAAATAAAGATGTTCTTGAAACTAATGAGAACAAAGACACAACATACAAAAACCTCTGGGTCACATTTAAAGCAGTGTATAGAGGGAAATTTATAGCACTAAATGCCCACAAGAGAAAGCAAGAAAGATCTAAAATTGACACCCTAACATCACAATTAAAAGAACTAGAGAAGCAAGAGCAAACACATTCAAAAGCTAGCAGAAGGCAAGAAATAACTAAGATCAGAGCAGAACTGAAGGAGATAGAGACACAAAAAACCCTTCAAAAAATCAATGAATCCAGGAGCTGGTTTTTTGAAAAGATCAACAAAATTGATAGACCACTAGCAAGACTAATAAAGAAGAAAAGAGAGAAGAATCAAATAGATGCAATAAAAAATGATAAAGGGGATATCACCACTGATCCCACAGAAATACAAACTACCATCAGAGAATACTATAAACACCTCTACGCAAATAAACTAGCAAATCTAGAAGAAATGGATAAATTCCTTGACACATATACCCTCCCAAGACTAAACCAGGAAGAATTTGAATCTCTGAATAGACCGATAACAGGCTCTGAAATTGAGGCAATAATTAATAGCCTACCAACAAAAAAGAGTCCAGGACCACACGGATTCACAGCTGAATTCTACCAGAGGTAAAAGGAGGAGCTGGTACCATTCCTTCTGAAACTATTCCAGTCAATAGAAAAAGAGGGAATCTTCCCTAACTCATTTTATGAGGCCAGCATCATCCTGATACCAAAGCCTGACAGAGACACAACAAAAAAAGAGAATTCTAGACCAATATCCCTGATAAACATCGATGCAAAAATCCTCAACAAAATACTGGCAAACCGAATCCAGCAGCACATCAAAAAGCTTATCCACCATGATCAAGTGGGCTTCATCCCTGGGATGCAAGGCTGGTTCAACATATGCAAATCAATAAATGTAATCCAGCATATAACCAGAACCAAAGACAAAAACCACATGATTATCTCAATATATGCAGAAAAGGCCTTTGACAAAATTCAACAGCTCTTCATGATAAAACCCTCAGCCAATTTCATTTGGGTTTATGAGGGTTTATGACAAACCCTCAGCCAATATCATACTGAATGGGAAAAAACTGGAAGCATTCCCTTTGAAAACTGGCACAAGACAGGGATGCCCTCTCTCACCACTCCTATTCAACACAGTGTTGGAAGTTCTGGCCAGGGCAATCAGGAAGGAGAAGGAAATAAAGGGTATTCAATTAGGAAAAGAAGAAGTCAAATTGTCCCTGTTTGCAGATGACATGATTGTATATTTAGAAAACCTCATCATTGTCTCAGCCCAAAATCTCCTTAAGCTGATAAGCAACTTCAGCAAAGTCTCAGGATACAAAGTCAATGTGCAAAAATCACAAGCCTTCCTATACACTAATAACAGACAGAGAGCCAAATCATGAGTGAACTCCCATTCACAATTGCTTCAAAGAGAATAAAATACCTAGGAACCCAACTTACAAGGGATGTGAAGGACCTTTTCAAGGAGAACTACAAACCACTGCTCAACGAAATAAAAGAGGACACAAACAAATGGAAGAACATTCCATGCTCATAGATAGGAAGAATCAATATCATGAAAATGGCCATCCTGCCCAAGGTAATTTATAGATTCAATGCCATCCCCATCAAGCTACCAATGACTTTCTTCACAGAATTGGAAAAAACTACTTTAAAGTTCATATGGAACCAAAAAAGAGCCCACATTGCCAAGACAATCCTAAGCCAAAAGAACAAAACCGGAGGCATCATGCTACCTGACTTCAAACTATACTACAAGGCTACAGTAACCAAAACAGCATGGTACTGGTACCAAAACAGAGATATAGACCAATGCAACAGAACAGAACCCCCAGAAATAATACCACACATCTACAACCATCTGATCTTTGACAAACCTGACAAAAACAAGAAATAGGGAAAAGATTCCCTACTTAATAAATGGTGCTGGGAAAACTGGCTAGCCATATGTAGAAAGCTGAAACTGGATCCCTTCCTTACACTTTATACAAAAATTAATTCAAGATGGATTAAAGACTTACATGTTAGACCTAAAACCATAAAAACCCTAGAAGAAAACCTAGGCATTACCATTCAGGACATAGGCATGGGCAAGGACTTCATGTCTAAAACACAAAAAGCAATGGCAACAAAAGCCAAAATTGACAAATGGGATCTAATTAAACTAAAGAGCTTCTGCACAGCAAAAGAAACTACCATCAGAGTGAACAGGCAACCTACACAATGGGAGAAAATTTTTGCAATCTACTCATCTGACAAAGGGCTAATATCCAGAATCTACAAAGAACTCAAACAAATTTACAAGAAAAAAACCAACAGCCCCATCAAAAAGTGGGCGAAGGATATGAACAGACAATTCTCAAAAGAAGACATTTATGCAGCCAACAGACACATGAAAAAATGCTCATCATCACTGGCCATCAGAGAAATGCAAATCAAAACCACAATGAGATACCATCTCACACCAGTTAGAATGGCGATCATTAAAAAGTCAGGAAACAACAGGTGCTGGAGAGGATGTGGAGAAATAGGAACACTTTTACACTGTTGGTGGGACTGTAAAGTAGTTCAACCATTGTAGAAGACAGTGTGGCGATTCCTCAAGGATCTAGAAGTAGAAATACCATTTGACCCAGCCATCCCATTACTGGGTATATACCCAAAGGATTATAAATCATGCTGCTATAAAGACACATGCACACGTACATTCATTGCGGCACTATTCACAATAGCAAAGACTTGGAACCAGCCCAAATGTCCATGGATGATAGACTGGATTAAGAAAATTGGCATATATACACCATGGAATCCTATGCAGCCATAAAAAGGATAAGTTCATGTCCTTTGTAGGGACATTGATGAAGTTGGAAACCATCATTCTCAGCAAACTATCATAAGGACAAAAAACCAAACACTGCATGTTCTCACTCATAGGTGGGAATTGAACAATGAGAACACTTGGACACAGGAAGGGGAACATCACACACCGGGGCCTGTCGTGGGGTGGGGGGGAGGAGGGAGGGATAGCATTAGGAGATATACCTAATGTAAATGACGAGTTAATGGGTGCAGCACACCAACACGGCACATGTATACATATGTAACAAACCTGCATGGTGTGCACATGTACCCTAGAACTTAAAGTATAATAATTTTAAAAAAAATGGGAGAGAAACAGAAGACTAAATTGGGAGATTTCCATTCTAGAATGCAGGAGGCTTGGCAGCTTAGAATTCTTGTTGGACGTATCTGCCCAAACTTCCCTACTATCTTTGGTTTATAAACCTTTTGTTCAAATCTTCCTTCTATCCAAAGTTTCTGCCTTTCAGCATTTGCAACCAATTGTGATACACATCAGCCAATTCGCTCCTTACTATTCAATGGCATCCACGATGACAGTGACCATGGAAGAGACCAGTTCAGCCCAAAATTAATCCAATGCTCCGAAAATACTGGGTCGATGTTCCATTTCATTTGGACAGACATTTACTCAGTGCATTCTTAAGACAAGGTGTTCCATTAGCTGCACAATCCCTATATTTAAGAAGTTTGCAATCTAGGGGTATGTGAAACCATTAAAAATGTTTTCTGGCCAGTGTGGTGGCTCACACCTGTAAACCCAGCACTTTGGGAGGCGCAGGCAGGTGGATCATGAGGTCAGGAGTTCAAGACCAGCCTGTCCAAGATAGTGAAACTCAGTCTCTACTAAAAATACAAAAATAAGCTGGGCATGGTGGCAGGCACCTGCAATCCTAGCTACTCAGGAGGTTGAGGCAGGGAATTGCTTGAACCCGGGAGGCAGAGGTTGCAGTGAGCCAAGACTGTGCCACTGCACTCCACCCTGGGCAACAGAGCAAGACTCATTTCAAAACAAACAAAAAAAAGTTTTTTAAAATGCTGGAAGCAATCAACACTGTCTTCACTCTCTTTTGTCTTCATGGTGCAGGCAACATTGAACCTCATTTCCTATTTGAATTGCTCCCAGCCAATTCCCTAGGTCCCTCAATTACAGCATTGGGCTTGTATTCACTCTCTGTAGGTGGCTCTATCTTTGAAGCAAACAAACCAGGCGATGGGGCAGAGATGGGTGGATATCTCTCTTGGGGAAATAAATCATAAATCATGTTTTACTTCTGTTTTGAACTTGGGTTTTTGTGTGTGTCAGGAGAAGACATGTCAACTGATATTTATGGAGCTCAGCACCATGCCGGGTATTTCAAGCTCTCAGTCCACATTTGCTGTGCACCTACTATGTTCCAGGCTCAGTGGCAGGCCCCGGGGAAGCAGTGATGGAGAGTTTACAGCCCCTCTATTTCTGCACACAATAATAATTAACTAATTAAATATTATTCAGTCAGCTAAGTATCTTCACTCGAGCATTTAGGAATGTGTAATCCAAGTGAGGACTGTAAAAGCCTAGAGAGAAAAACCTAGAGAAAAGCAATAAAGACTATATGAATTGCACACTATAAAGAAAGAAAGCATAATTTTACTCAATGTCCTCTGCGAAAGGTCATTGTTATCACATTTCAATGAAATTACATTCCAGGTATAGCAGCAATGTTATGTAACAATCCTCAGTTAAACTAATAGAAAAATTTCTCAGTCACAAAAATAGATTAAATGCATTTCCTTTCAGCTGCCCCAAATCATAGCTTGTATTTGTTGTATTCTGTTCTGCCTTCCTGCATCTTGAAGAGAAGTGCTCCTAAATCAGATCATTTAGCAAAAAATTCCAAGTTGGTTAAACCTGGGCCTAGATTTACCAATCATTAGCATGATGACCTGCAGCAAATCCTGTCATCTCTTTCAGTGTTAGGTCTCCATTTATAAAATCAGGATAATATTACCTATTTCACAGGCTTAATATATGTAATAAATGGAATGAGATAATGTATGTAAAGTGCCTGAATCATAGCAAGTGCTCAATAATTGATACTCATTATGGTCACAGTGGTCATTACTGCTATAATTATTATTGACGCTGAGACTCCCAGCTTGACACAGAGTCTGTTTTACCTTTCACATTAGATATAAAACTAATGTTTTGCCTTTCATATCAGGACAGGCATACCATCCAGCTTGTCTCTGAGAATGTCAGTTCCTTGGGAAACAGGCCCCACCCACGCAGTCTAAGTTTTCTGGTACCCAGGCTCTTTGAATAACAGTGCTGCATATATATGCTGAAGAGGAGCTCTGGAGTCTCCCTTCATACAAATGTTATTAATATTTATAGGTTGTCTAAGGTTTTCTATTTTTTTCTTGATTTGGTAATTAATTTCATTTCAGAAATGATTTACTTCATATTAATTTTCAGATTTATTGGCATCCTTTTTTAATATTAGTATTCTAAAATTTCTCGTACATTAGAATTATACCTGCCTTTCCATTGTACATTTTGCTTACTTGTCACATTTAGTTTTTCTTGATAAGCCAGGGAAGAGCCACACCACGACAGTCCATGTAGGGTGGGGGGACAGCAGGACTGGCACAAGGTGACAGTGGGGGGGGGGGATGAATCCCATTCACTCCCAAGCAATAGGGTGTTCTCAAATATGCCACAGTTGATGCCTATCCTGAGTTCTCTAAGTGTTTATCATCACGACTTATAAGTTTCAGGGGGCCATGGACAGCAGCAGACTAGAAATCCAACAAGGAGTGTCTACGTGAAGCCATTTCAGTTCTTCTCCCTTAATACTACCCCCAGAATTACCACTTATTTCAAAAATTCAAAAGCTGGAAAGTTTAATGTGCAAATCGAAGGCCAAAGAAATACCCAGGGTTCTGCTTGGTGTCCTGATGAATGTGTTAAAAAGAAATGTGATTAGAGAGGTGATAGAGTTAAGGAGGGAATTATGCAGCCTGCTCATGTTTTATGGATTCTGATGGAGTCGGTGGGGGAGGGGGGGCAGTGACAGCGCTCTTTTGAATAGTAATAGTCTGAAAATTGTGAGCTGCTTGTGACAATTTTTTTGGGGGTGGTGAGACTTAAAGTGCCCTCACCCCTGATCTGGATAATACTTTCAATGTATTGTATCTTTAAATACAAAAATGTTAAGGAGAACTTGATCCATTTGCACAAATGGAATGTTTTTAAAGTTTTGTTTATATATGTGGAAAGAGAGACCTGGAGAGAATGAGTCATAAAGTCACCAACACAACTGGCAACATTAACAATAATAATTTAATCTTCATGCTATGCGTGAAATCACGACAAGAAAAAAGTTTTATTTCAAGCCAGGATATAGGCAGGATTATATGTGGAGGGAGACATAGTCTTTAGTTTCCAGGCTATAGCTCCTTGTTGGTCTACCTGCTTTGGTAAGCCATAAGGATTCCAGATTCTAGACTGTTTGTGTATTATATGTGCCTAATCTGCTTCATTACAGTAATGCCTCTCCTATTTGTAGCACTAGAAAGCTTACAAAGCATTTTCTTATGTATTATTTCAATTGCTTCTGTGTTGCCACAGGAAATTAAACAGCACAGGTATTATTTTCCCACTTGTACCTTTGAAAAAAAGTGAGGCTCAGAGGTTCAAAAGCCTTTGTGGGTCTAACAGGTGACAATGCTGGGCTGGGACTTGGAAGGTCACATTTGAGTTGGAATCCTAGCTCTGCCAGTTAGCCGGTGCATGACTTTGCTAAAGCAATTTATGAGACTAGCTGAGTCTCAGTTTCTTCCTCAATAAATTGTGGATGATTATACACATCTGGCCTGCCTCTGATAGGAACAGCGGTAACATGCTTAAGGGCCTACCTCTGTGTCTCACAGTGTAGGGGGCTTAGTGAACAGTAGCTCATCATTCAGCCAATTCCAACGTGGCCATACAGCATGCCTTGAGTCTAACACTGTCGTCATTAACCAAGAGTTGCCTAGCAGAATAAATATCATGAGCACATTAAAAATGATGCCAGAAAGGCATGTAAATTAATTAAATATATACAACCATGAAATATTCAGAACAGCTAGATCTAAAAGGAATTTTCAAAGAAGCCAGGCTCACTGAAATCCAGAGAACAAGTCCCCATTTGTTTTCCCTGAAATGTACTTGTGTTCTGAACATAAAGGTTTGGGTAACAGGAAACACAGCAGAGGTCATTTCTAGAGGATTTGCAATTTCCCTGTCACTAATCACCATGGCACTGTGCAAGGAGGCCAAGGTAAAGGCAAAGCTACATTATCCCCAGTTTTGGGGAACTATAGCAGAGGTCATTTCTAGAGGATTTGCAATTTTTCTGTCCCTAATCACCATGACACTGTGCACGGAAGCCAAGGTAAAGGCAAAGCTACATTATTCCCAGTTTTGCAGCCATTTCTACAGATATATATTGCCCAGCTTCTTTCTTCTGCCTTGTGTGTATTCTAATTTCAGGCAGAAAGGGATGACAAGGAGTAGTTCATGAAAATAAATCTAATCTCCATGCCCTTGGCCAAAGAAAGGATCAGAAAAGATATAAAATCCCATACACTGGCAGAACAGTTTCAAATCAGACTGTGACCCAGCATCTCCCTAACAATGTGAGCCAATCTATAAATAATAAGGAAATAAAAATCTGAATTGTTATTCATGTTCTCCCTGAGGATGTGTGTGTTGTATATGTTAGTGCACCTGTGTTCCAGGGACGCACTTTACTTACAAATGAAGCGCTAATAAAATTCCACATACCTACAACTGGCCAAATCATAATAGAAGTCCTTTTAATCAGCTGGGTAGAATGCAGCATTGTAAGCAAGAAAAAACTAGTACCCTAGTTAGAGCTATGGAAATATTTCTCCATGCACTTTGTCATTCTTTGGAGGAGTTTGTGCCCTTGAGTAGCACCTCATTAATTCAGATGTCACTAGTTGCAAAGATGCAGCAGTGAAGTTGTAGGAAGATGGGTACATACAACTTAGGAGGATGCCTGGTATTTTAATAAGTCATCAATAATTTTGGCTATCTTGAAAATCATCATTATTATCACTAGGAATCATAATATATAAGGTGTGTTGAGATATATCAAGCCCTGCATTTACCAACAGCTAAGCCATATGATCCAATCACTCATAGAAGTTAACAAACTGGTGGCCATCAGTCATATAGCCCTGATCCGCCTCTGGGAATGTAAGACCACGAAGCATTTTGATCAAAGCAAAAGCAGCCAGATGCTCCCTGCTGATTCATTACATGAACACTTGTCCAAGTGGGATGACTAAGGCAAAGGATCTGGAAATGGCTTAATTAGAAACAGACAAAGGGATTCTTGCTGATATTTTTGCCTGGACAACCAGAGTTTCTGTTTGGACCATTGCATTCAATAATTGAGGTTTAAAGCTTTCTATATGAAGCATTGATTTTACCTGCTGAACCAAGAAAGCTGGTTTTCATCTTGCAGATATGTGATGGGATTACAAACCATATCTTCTGTGCAATGAACACAGTGAAGGGAACTGCATTAACTGTCCTAATTTCACAAAGAATAAAAGTATCCAGAGAAGGCATGCAGTAAAGGATGAACACATGTTCTACTGTGTATGTGATTCCCCTCTCAGGACATGAGGGCAGTCCCAGTTAGTTTCTTTTGCTTGTTGTTTAGCGCTGTGTTCCAACACCACATCTGTCACAACCTGAGCGATCTTGGGCATATTCCACAGAAAGCCCCATTTTCACATTCTGCAATTACCTCTGAGGGTTGCGGTGAGGATTAAATAAAATAATGCATGCAAGACACTTACTTAGAAGGATGCCTGGTATTTTAATAGGTCATCAGTAATTTTGGCTAACTTGAAAATCATCATTATCATCACTAGGAATCATAAAAATGTGAAGAAAGAGAAATCTATAGTCTACGCTTGGGGCAAACTAATTGATATGGTTTGGCTGTATCCCTATTCAAATCTCATCTTGAATTCCCACGTGTTGTGGGAGGGACCTGGTGGGAAGTAATTGAACCACAGGGGCAGATCTTTCCTGTGCTATTCTCGTGGTAGTGAATAAATCTCATGAGATCTGATGGTTTCATAAGGCAAAGTTTCCCTGCATATGCCCTCTTCTCTGGTCTGCTGCCATGTGAGACATGCCTTTCACCTTCTGCCATGATTGTGAGGCCTCCCCAGCCATGTGGAACTGTCAGTCCATTAAACCTCTTTCTTTTGTAAATTGCCTAGTCTTGGGTATGTCTTTATCAGCAGCATGAAAATGGACTAATACAGTAAATTGGTACCAGGAGTGGGGTGCTACTAAAAAGACACCTAAAAGTGTGGAAGTAACTTTGAAACTGGGTAGCAGGCAGAGGCTGGAACAGTGTGGAGGGCTCAGAAGAAGACGGGAAAATGTGGGAATGTTTGGAACTCACTAGAGACTTGTTGAATGGCTTTGACCCAAATGCTGGTAATGATATGGACAATGAAATTCAGGCTGAGGTGGTCTCAGATGGAAATGAGTAACTTGTTGGGAACTGGAGCAAAGGTGACTCTTGTTGTGTTTTAGCAAAGAGACTGGTGGCATTTTGCCCCTGCCCTAGAGATTTGTGGAACTTTGAACTTGAGAGAGATGATTTGGGATATCTGGTGGAAGAAATTTCTAAGCAGCAAAGCATTCAAGAGGTGACTTGGGTGCTGTTAAAGGCATTCAGTTTTAAAAGGGAAACAGCATAAAGGTTTGGAAAATTTGCAGCCTAACAATGCAATAGAAAAGAAAATCTCATTTTCTGAGGAGAAATTCAAGCCAGTAGCAGAAATTTGCATAAGTAATGAGGAGCTGAATGTTAATCACCAAGATGATGGGGAAAATGTCTCCAGGGCATGTCAGAGACCTTTGCTGCAGCCCCTCCCATCACAGGCCTAGGAGATTTCGGAGAAAAAAATGGTTTCATGGGCTGGGCCCAGGGTCCCTCTGCTGTGTACAGTCTAGGGACTTGGTTCCCTGTGTCCCAGCCACTGCAGCTGTGACTGATAGGGGCCAAGGTACAGCTGAGGCTGTTTCTTCAAAGGGTGGAAGTCCCAAGCCTTAGGCAGCTTCCACATGGCAGTGAGCCTACAGGTGCATAGAAATCAAGAATTGAGGTTTGGGAACCTCTGCCTAGATTTCAGGGGATGTATGGAAACACCTGGATGCCCAGGCAGGTTTACTGCAAGGGTGGGGCCCTCATGAAGAACCTCTGCTAAGGCAGGGCAGAAGGGAAATGTGGGGTGGAAGCTCCCACACAGAGTCCCTACTGCGGTGCCACCTAGTGGAGCTGTGAGAAGAGGGCCACCATCCTACAGACCCCAGAATGGTAGATCTACCTACTGCTTGTACTGTGTGCCTGGAAAAGCCACGGACACTCAATGCCAGGCCCTGAAAGCAGCCAGGAGGGGGTCTATACTCTGCAAAGCCACAGGGGTGGAGCTGCCCAAGGTTGACAGAGCCCACTTCTGGTATCAGCGTGACCTGGATGTGAGACATTGATTCAAAGGAGATCATTTTGGAGCTTAAAGATTCGACTGCCCCACTGGATTTTGGACTTGCATGGGGCCTGTAGCCCCTTTGTCTTGTCCAATTTCTCCCATTTGGAATGGCTGTATTTACCCAATGCCTGTACATCCATTGTAGCTAGGAAGTAAGTAACTTGCATTTGATTTTACAGGCTCATAGGCAGTAGGGACTTGCCTTGTCTTGAATGAGAGTTTGGACTGTGGACTTTTTAGTTAATGCTTTAATGAATTAAAACTTTGGGAGACTGTTAGGAATGCATGATTGGTTTTGAAATACGAGGATATGAGATTTGGGAGGGGCCAGGGCAGGATGATACGGCTTGGCTGTGTCCCCACTTAAATCTCATCTTGAATTCCCACGTGTTTGGGAGGCACCTGGGAGGAGGTAATTGAATCATGGAGGCAGGTCTTTCCTGTGCTGTTCTCATGATAGTGAATAAGTCTCATGAGATCTGATGGTTTTATAAGGCGGAGTTTCCCTGCAAAGGCTCTCTTCTCTTGTCTGCCACCATGTGAGACATGCCTTTCTCCCTTCCACCACGATTGTGAGGCCTCCCAGCCATGTGGAACTGTGATTCCATTAAACCTCTTTCTTTTGTAAATTGCCCAGTCTTGGGTATGTCTTTATCAGCAGTGTGAAAACAGACTAATATATTCATGGAAATGTCAGAGAAATTTTCATGGAAGAGACAAGTAAATACAGAAATATGCAAACTAAGTAGGGAAATGTGGCAGAGACTGGAAGTCTGGTTGGGGATATTTCTGAAAGGCTGCAGATTCTAATGCTACCACCAACCACAGACATGTACTGAGTCTCTACCATGTGCCTAGCAGTGTTCTGGGCAATTTACACACTTTATCTCACTCACTTTACATGTACTCAGCTTATTGGAAGAGTCGATTCAATAGAGTGTAAACAGGAAAAAAAAGGTATTTTTTTCCTCCTCATTATTACCCTTGAAACATTTTCTTTATGATAAGCCTCAATAAAATCTCAAGCAGATTCTTCATATTGTCTTGTCACTTTCATATATAATGAGTCTTATTTGGTGGAGGCTTTTTGACAAATTCCATGTTTTCTAATATCTAACCTTTACTGTCTCAATGGAGTTAAAATTCCCTGCCCTGGGCTTAGGTTGGAATGGGCTTGGAAACCTAGAGTGGGTAGGTGGTGGTAAGCTCAGTGTTCTCTGTGCTTCTTTGCTTCACTTTTCCATTTCTCATTTCTGGCTACTAATCTGGCTCCCTTTCCTCTAGGGTTAGAGTAGAGCAGAGGAGATAAAGGGAAAGGAAAGGTTTCAAGATGTCCTGTGCTGGCTTAGAGAGTTCTCCTTGCTGGTGCTGGAACCACTTTGTGTTCTGTCTCTTGGTTCCGGGATGCCTCTACTCCTGGTCACTGGCCACTCTTCCTTGGGCCCTTCTTTGACTGCATACTCATCCCACAGGCTGTCCTTCTGGTGGGCCTCTTTATGTGATAACCAGAGCCATCTTCTGTACACACTTGGCCCACAATCTTTTCCTGATTATCCCCCTGCTGGCCACTCTACTCCCCCTGTCCTCCCAGCCTCTTCAGGCAGCTTGTCTCCTTCAGATAGTCAGGTACCCTACATCCCCCAAACTCCAAATAACACATGCAGGTGCTCACAATTTAATTCATTTCAAGAATGTATTGGACCACCACCACGTGCCAGATGCTGTTCAAGGTACTTGTATTACAGTGATGGACAAAATAAAGACTCCATCCTGATGAAACATACATTATTCAGTAGAGAGACAATTAACTAATGAACTAATTATATAAATAAATTATATAATAAATTAGAAAGTGATAGCTACTGTATTAGTCCATTCTCACACTGCTATAAAGAACTACCCGAGACTGGGTAATTTATGAAGAAAAGAGGTTTAATTGATTCACGGTTCTTCAGGCTTAACAGGAAGCATGACTGGAAGGCTTCAGGAAACTTACCATCATGGCAGAAGATGAGGGGGAACCAAGGCACATCTTACATGACGGCAGGAGAGAGAGAGAGTGAAGGGGAAGTGCCACACACTTTCAAACAAAGAGATCTCATGAGAACTCACTATCATGAGAACAGCAAGGGAGAAGTCCAGACCCATAATTCAGTCACCTTCCACCAGGCTCCTCCCCTGACACATGGAGATTAAAATTCAAGGTGGGATTTGGGTGGGGTCATAGAGCCAAACCATATCAGCTACCATGGAGGAAAATGAATCAGGGGAGGGAGATGGCAATCACTGAAACAGAATTGCTGTTAAATATTCAAGGAAGAACTCATGGAGAAGAAGACTTGAAGGCAATGGGCATTGGATGAAGATTCTCTACTCATATTCAACACTAGTTTCTTAGTGGCCTTGGGGCCCCAGCTCCTTAACTTCCAGGTGGAGGAAGGGGTTAAACTTCCCTCTTGGAAACATATCCCCTTCTACGCATGGTGGGCTTGAGGTAGAAGAAGGCATATGCCTTTCTCAAAGAAATTCTCTGTCTCCCTGTTATATCTTCATATAAACTTAAATTAACTGATGAACTATGACAATTTTAAATAATCCCTTAGAAAATTCTATATACAAGGTTTGGGCTCCATTTTGAAACATGTATGAGCATTCCATATTTTTTTATTCTCTTAGCTTCTGGATCTCAGTCAAAATTCCAAGACAACACAAAAAGCCTTGCTTAACTTCTGACTAGGCACATTAAAGAGACTGAGGTTTAGTCACTTGATCAAGGTTCCATAAATAAGAGGCTAAACCAATTTTCACGTACACTTTCTTCTATGACATTGTTCATGAATCTTAAAAAGGTATGACTCCAGCAAACAAATAACCCAAACAAACCAAGACTATTTAACAAGTCACATCTCAAATTGTGGCTTATTCCTGCATCAATTTTTACAAGAACCCTTAACATCCAGTCAGCTTTATGTGACACAGACTCTGCTCCCAATTTCTCTGCTATGATGAGATCATTAAAACACAAATTTTTGAAATGATCTTCTAAAGGATATGTTTCAGTCATGTCCCAAAATGAGCAGGTAGTCCAACCCCTGGAACCACTTCCTCGACAGAAAAATACCCACTGCCATCTGCTTGTTGGGAGCGATAGTGCTCATTTACAAAAGAAAGAGTATGTTATCCTCTTAACATCAGCTTCTCATTTTTTATTTGGTAAAGGCATATCCTTATCACTAAGACATAGTTTAGATATTTCTTCTTTTATCAGATTGCCCTAAATAATTTATAGGGTTTTTTCAAAGGATCATAATGCAATTAGTTCTAACTATGATTTGGGAAGTTAATTATCATTTTAATCACCTGTATTCAGAATTATCAAGAGAGCAGGTCTTGGGAGATATGGCTGGCAAATGATGGGAATAATTTTCTCTCTACATTATTCTTTGGACTTTTGTATACATTTTTCCTGTATACTTTACCTAGAGTGGTCTTGTAACTGGGCAACTTAACCTCAAAATGCATTTTAAACTTTTTTTTTAAATTTCTCTTGGGTTTTAAGATATAATCTTGAGGCAAACTGCAGAAACCTTTTTCCTTAGCCTTAAAATAGACTCCATGTCCCTCCCTTTCTCACTGTGTATACACCCTTCAAATTTATCTAACTGTACACTAGTACATAATCATGTGTCTTCTTAGAAGTTCCAGGGGCTAATCTTGAGACAGAAGGACCAAGTCTGGAGACCCTGCTACAAAGTTCCAGCCATTGTTGAGATGATGTCAGCCTGAGGTCCAGGTGGACTGGGACCCAAGATAGCCACCAGAACAAGACACATGGAGATTGTACTTAGCGCAATTCTTGCATACCTTCTTTATCAAGCTTTCCCTTTTCAACCCCTGCCTTCCCCCCCTTCCAAGTTGAAGCAGTTATTTTGGATGGGAATCTGGCTGCCTCTCCTTTACTCATTCGGGTTAATAAATTAACTGCTTCCCTTCCTTCCCTTCCTTCCCTTCCTGCCCTTCCCTTCCCTTCCTCCCCCTTCCCTTCCCTTCCTGCCCTTCCCTTCCCTTCCTCCCCCTTCCCTTCCCTTCTTCCCTTCTCTCTCTTTCTTTCAACAGAGTCTCACCTCACTCTGTCACCCAGGCTGGAGTACAGTGGCATTATCTCAGCTCATTGCAGCCTCCACCTCCTGGGTTCAAGTAATTCTCCTGCCTCAGCCTCCCGAGTAGCTGGGATTACAGGCGTGCAACATCATGCTCAGCTAATTTTTGTACTTTTAGCAGAGATGAGGTCTCACCATGTTGGCCAGGCTGGTCTTGAACTCCTAGCTTCAAGCAATCCACCTGCCTCAGCCTCCCAAAGTCCTGGGATAACAAGTACGAGCCACCACTCTTATCCAAATTCTCTTTCTACCAGACCGTGCTCTTGTTACTTGGACTCTGCAGGTGGCAAGCATCTGGCCTGCTCTGTTCAGTTACAGTCTGATAGTGAGTAAAGAATCCACTAACCTCTATCAGACTTTCTCAGCTTACAAAAAAAATTTCAAAAAGTTTGAGGGCTAATCTGACCCTTATTAAAATTACGTGGGGTTGACAAGGCAAAGTTTTCTCACATGTCTACAAAATTTACTAATAAGTTAACTTTTCCATAACTTATTTTCTCCAACCATTGAGGCACAAAAACTAGAATTGTACCATGTGACTCCATCCTGCCACCTATAGCTGCCTGGGTCAAGGATGGACAACTAACCTAGGTAACCTATTACAAGCCCCATAACAAAGCTTGGTATGAAGGACTCCATCCAAAAGGAGATGAGCTGAAGCTTACTCAGTTTCATTCTAGGGAAGTTGGAAGTGGGAAACCAAGGCACTAAGCCCTGAGTACCTAGACCTGGGGCTTGAGGCACCCACTATGAGATGGTCACGATATGCATAAATAGAGGAAGGCAGTTTCTAAAGCAAGAAGAGAAGCAAGAGAACAGAGAAAACATGACAGAAACAGCCTTAGTGGTAATGGCTCTCTACTTACTCCCCAGTTTCAATTCCAGTAAGGCCTGGCTATTCTGTGCTTCCTCACTAGGTTTCCGTAAGACACCTCTTTTGTCGAATAGTAAGCCTTCTATACATGGGACAGTTTGTGTTACTTGCAACCATTAATGTCTGAGTTGAAACAATCCCTTACTGATAGCTTCTTCCTGACGGCACACAAAATAGAATCCAAAGTCTTTGCCATAGTCTGAAAGCATCTCCCGCCCTTACTCCAATATGACTGCATCTTGTGCCACTCTCCAACCTTTTCATGACACTCCAGCCCATTTGATTTGCTTTAGTTCCTCAAAAAATAAAGGTCTTTTCCACACCATGGGATGTAAGTTCCATCAAAGACTAGGGCCATGTTGTCTTGTACACTTTTGTGTTTGCCGAGCTTAGCACGGTGCCCAGTACTTAATACATGCTGAATAAATATTTGTTGGATCATTCATAGCTTGTAAGTGACAGTTAAGAGGTCAAATCCATATATTTTCATACTCTATTCATTATTTTATATTGTTTGGTCAACCAACAGCCAATCAATTTAAGTTTATAGTTTCTGAATTATAAAATCTACAGTTATCATGAACATCTATTAACCCACATGTATTTAGTGAGACCAAAGAAGAGACATAAGAACCATAGCTGATCTGCTGATACCACCAAAATATGCCACTAGGTTATGCTGAAAACATTTTGGAATCCAAAACAGAGAAAGATAATAGCACAAAATGTATTTAACAAAGAGTGAGTCATGTGTCCTCTCTCCTAGAGTCTTAGAAAATGTTAAACCACAAAATGAACAAATTAGCCAATTTTTAGACAGAAAATACTAAGTAGGTGAATAGAATAATTTTTCTTTGAATCAAAGGCCTGGGGGAACATTTTAGAAATGTTCTCCTGCATATTAATAATGGGCTAATAACTTACAATTACATTATATGCTTCCAAAGCTGGAGTCTATTTTCTTCCCTTTTAAGTACCAGTTGCATATCCGTTATCCAAAGTACTTGGGATCAGGAGCATTCTGAATTTTGGATTTTTCTGGATATGAAAAGATTTGCATATACATAATGAGGTATCTTGGGGATGGGGCCCAAGTATAAACACAAAATTCATTTATGTTTCATATACACCTTATACACACAGCCTAAAGGTGATTTTATACAATATTTTAAATGATTTTCTGCTTGAAACACAGTTTTGACTGTGTTCTGACTGCAACTGGTCACATGGTCAGGTGTGGCATTTTCCACTTGTGGCATCATGTCAGCATTCAAAAATATTGGAATTTTGGAGCACTTTGGATTTTAGATTTTTATATTAGGGGTGCTCGACCTGTACAAGAAACATTATTTGTCCAAGGAGAAGCTGACCATAAGCCAAGGAAAACAGATATCCAGGGAGTCTGAGAATTAACTTTCCTCCTGGTGTTTCAGGAACATACCACAGAACCTGATTTACCTGCATGTGGCAGTGCAGGTGCAACCTGGATTAAAGCGTCCACCAAGTGATTACTTGTTCCCCTCACGCAGCAGGATATGTACCCTCCTGATGGTTTGCCACACATCCAATCATGCAATTTATCCCACCAGTCTAGTCTTTAGCAGAGCACCTGTTAAGTTCATTGCCTAACTTCCTTCCCCACCCAACTGCAGGATCCGCAATACCAGGGTCTGAGTTTTGGCTGCTTTGGAATCCCCAGCAACTAGCCTCATGCTTGGCACATAGTTGTAAATACCAAGACCCATGAGATGCAAAAATCCATCTTGGTTAAGAGTTCAGGTCCAAATCCTGGCTTCATAACTATGCTACATATGTGACTTTGGCAAAGTTGCTTCACTGCATTGTGCCTTAGTTTTCTTATCTGTAGAAACGATTATTAATAGCACCTACTTCACAAGATTATGGTGAGAACTGAATGATATAATGTAAGATAAGCACTCAATAGGTTCCAGCTATTATTACTACTATTAAATTATCATCGAATGAATGAATGAATGGATGTTCTTAGAGATTTCTCAAGTTCCTGGTTTCTTGCCTTGACCCCAGAGTTCTCCATAGCTGCTTTCCCACAAAGCTTCCAGTGCTGTTGGAACCCAAGGGAGGAGATCCTTAGTACATCAAGTGGAAAATCAGGAGGCCATTGAAAGACTTATGATAAGAGTAGCAGGGAAAAGCATAGGAATAATAAAAGAGAACATCTTGTCCATTATCTGCTGGATAGGCACTGTTCTTTTTCTCCACCCTGTTGGATACAAGCATTATTCTGAGCACTGTTGTCACCAAGTAAGGTGGGGACAGGTGAATGAGGAAGAACACAGAATCACTTTGAGTTTACCTTTCCTTACGAATGAGCCAACCTGCAGTTCTTGAGTACCTAAGTGCCAGGACCTCTGCCAGATAAAGGAGGCATCAGTTAGCCTTCATTCCTCATAATCTAGCAGAGAAGGCAAATAATGACCCAGTGGATATAACAACATGAGATGATAGATCAAGCGCCCAGTGTTGAGGCAGAATCTAGCAGTGACACATGGCCCAGTCCAAGGAATTCAGGAGGTTTCTGGAAGGAAGTGATGTTTTAATTGATACCTGAAGGAGAGAAGGATTTTTTTTTTTTAAATGAAGAGGGGAGACGAGAATGTTCCAAGCAGAGAGAACAGCAAGTTCAAAGGCTCAAAGTGGGGAAAGATGATGTGTTAGAAGGACTGAAAGAAGACTAGCATGGCTGAAAGGCAGAGATGGGGAGGGTGGCAAGAGCTGAGGCTGTGGTGACGATTGTCCCATCTCTCCTGCTCCCACACTTCTCCCTCTTCTCACACTCTTGCCTGTACTAAGGGTCTGCCCTGGAAATACCCAGCCTTCTCACCACCAAACCCATTTAAAAAATTGCTTCTGTCCCTTTTGTTTTTGAGTATTTTGTTTTGACATATCTCATCAAACACACAGCATTTATTAAGACATGAATTAATTACCCCATGTTAATTAAAGTTGTATTTACTTGCTAGTCACAGCTTCCATTAGAATGAGATAGACAGTGTTATCACACAAAGCTGATGGAAGTTCAGTGCAAAGCATACAGATGTGACAGTCTGTTTAATAATACTAGGCATTGCTAATGTTGGTTGAATTCTTGCTATATGCCAGGCACTATATGGTAAACACTTTCTATGCATATCTCTTTTATTCAATCCTCTTGAAACCCTAGGAAGTATCCTATTTTCCAAAGGAGGCAACTGAGCTTTGGAGAGGTTACGTAATTTGCCTAAAATCTCACAGCTAACAAGGTGTGAACCTGAGATACACACCCATGAGGTGTGACCTTTAATTCTGTACTCCCTTAATGACTCAATTTGTAGTTTCTGGTCATGCAGATTTACTATAAGTTCATTTTAATTTTTAAAATTATTAAAAATAGCTCTAACATTGTTCCTCCTCCCTTCTCCCCAGTTTGATGCCTTTAAGGGTGGACAAGGCTTTTATACCTTAAGCTGTTCTTTCTTTGCTTGCAATCCTGAGGTACTCAAGCCGATTACAAGATTCACAAAGTAGGGATCAGATTCTGAAACCCTCCTCTAGCCGTGGGGCATGTGCAAGAGTACCTCATCAAGGCCTTTGGTGTGAATTTTAACTTAAACCTTAGAAAAGGATCTATTTGTGCTATTAAGTCAATTTGAAAAGATTTACTATATGCCAGGGGTTCCCTGTGATTTTGCTGAAAAAATGTTGCCACCTTTTTTTGTACATAAAGTACTTGAAAATGGATACCACAGAGTGCACCATGAAATTCAAGACAAAGAAAATAAAATGCAAATGTTCTCTGCAAAGGTCTAATATGATATTAATAAATCAAAGCTAAAATGTCCAAATATCCCTAAAAATAATTATAGATGGATTATGTGGTATCAAAATTATGATAAAGTTGGTGAGAGAATTGTTGCCCTTCAATCTGACAAGTGTTCTATTCTAAAGTAGAAGACAATACATGAAAGAAATTATTTGTGCCATGCCCAGACAATTGCATTAATTTATTTATTTGTTCCTATGGCAACAGAAGATGAAACAAGCTGAGCCTATGTTATGAAATAAACTTTCTGAAAGCAATTATTTTGAATTAAAACCAAATATTAGGTTTCTCCCCAAAACAATGGTGGATAGTAACAGTGTGATGATGGCTTAAATAGTCTACAGAATTCTTCTATTTCCATAACTAGGAGGGATGTCACTATTTGGACTCAGGACTACGTCCATAACAGGATCTATTACTAGTTGTTGCCATCTAAGGTATTTTTCACCACACAAACACCAAACAACTACAGTCATGCATGGCACGATGATGTTTCAGTCAGCGATAGACTGCATATATGATGGTGGTCCCATAAGATTTTAATGGAGCTAAAAGATTACCATCGCCTAATGAGGTCATAGCTGTCCTAATGTTGTAGTGCAATGCACTGCTTACATGTTTGTGGTGATGCTGGTATAAAGAAACCTACCGTGATGCTAGTAATATAAAAGTGTAGCACATAAAATTACATACATTATATTATCAAGTACATAATACTTGATATGATAATAAATGACTATGTTACTGATTTATGTAATTTTTATGGTTACTTTAGAGTATACTTTTATATCCTCCAGATGAAGGTACTATTATCATAGAAGATGACAGTTCCTGAAGACCTTCCAGTGGAACAAGATGTGGAGGTGGAAGACAGTGATATTGATGATCCCGTCCCTGGGTAGGCCTAAGCTGATGTGTATGTTTGTGTCTTAGTTTTTAATAAAAAAGTTTATTAAGTAAAATAAATGATAATTTTAAAAATAGTGAAAAAAGCTTATAGAATAAGAATATGAAGAAAGAAAACATTTTTGCACAGCTGTCCAATGTGTTTGTGTTTTAAGCTGTGTTATTACAAAGGAGTCAAAAAGTTTAAAAAATTAAAAAGTTTATAAAGTAAAAAAGTTACAGTAAGCTAAGACTAAAATTTATTATTAAAGGAACACTTTTAAAAATAAATATGGTGAGGCCTAAGTGCATAATGTTTATAAAGTCTTCAGCAGAGTACAGTAATGTCACTCACTCACTGATTCACCCAGAGCAACTTCCAATCCTGCAAGCCTCATTCATGGTAAGTGCCCTACACAGATGTACCATTTTTTATCTTTTATATATTTTTACTGTGCCTTTCTATGTTCGAACATGTTTAGATACACAAATATTGACCATTAAGTTCCAACTGCCTACAGTAGTCAGTGCATTAACATGCTGCACAGGTTTGTAGCTTCAGAACAATAGGCTTTACCATATAGCCTAGGTGTGTAGTAGGCTATGCCATCTAAGTCTATGTAAGTACGCTCTAGGATGTTCCCACAATGATGAAATCACCTTCTCAGAACATATGCCCATTGTTCAGTGTCACATATTCCCATTGTTTAGTGATTCTAATATGATTGGGAGTTAAATAAACTGAGTCAATCAATGACTTCTTGGGATATGTAGAACCAGGAAGGAGGTAATTTAGTTCAAAAAAAAAAACAAGACTTACCAGCAGTGAATATTGAACCAGGCAACTTATGTGGCAGTACTGCCTAAAAATATTTTTTAAAAATATGCAAAGGAAACTAAATAAATCCCATAGTCATACTTCAGCAAGCAATCACTAGTTACTGGCAGGTTGAAGGGTCAGGAAGATAAATTATGCTTGTCCCTGACTCCCAGGAGATTTAGGTATTTATAGGTTTCTACTTTTTTAAGAGCCTCCTTTTCTCCCTCAGATTTTTAAAACTATTATTCTTAATAGGTTTTATTTTTTAGGGCAGTTTTTAGGTTTGCAGCAAAATAAGCAGAAAGTACAGGGAGTGAATTCCCATATAACCCCTGTCCCTGCATCTGCACAGTTTCCCTCATTGTCAACAGCCTCTGCCAGAGCAGTATATTTGTTAATTTACCAACCTACATTGACATATTGTTATCACTTGAAGTTTATAGTTCACTTTAGGGTTTGCTTTGGAAGACAGTTTTACAGTTTCTTAAAAAGACATTCACACTATACAATCCCACAATCATGCACCTTGGTATTTATTCAAAGAAAGTAAAACTTGTGTCCATGCAGTAACCTGAACATGGATATTTAATGCAGCCTTCTTTA
Organism: Homo sapiens; assembly: GCF_000001405.40. Lineage (NCBI taxonomy): Eukaryota > Metazoa > Chordata > Mammalia > Primates > Hominidae > Homo > Homo sapiens. The sequence goes on from NC_000010.11 coordinate 111,661,693, forward strand.
TACCTGCCAAAACTTGGAAACAACCAAGATATGTCTCAGTAAGTGAATGGATAAACTGTTGTACATCCAAATGATGAAATATTATCTAGCACTAAGAAGAAATGAACTATCTAGCCATAAAAAGACATGGAGAAAACCCGAAAAGCATATTACTAAGTGAAAGAAGCCAATATGAAGAGGCTAAATACTGCATGATTCCAACATCCAATATGACTTTCTGGAAAAGGTAAACTAAGGTCACAGTGAAAAAAAAATCAGTGGTTGATGGGCGGGAGGCAGAGGAAGGGATGACAGGCAGACCACAGATGATTATCAGGGCAGTGAAATTATTCTGAAGAACCTATAATGGTGGATGTATGTCACTACACATTTGTCAAAACACATAAAGTGTATAACACCAGATGCAAACCCTAATATGTACACTATGTACATTCAATGATAATGATCTGTCAATATAGGTAAGAAATGTACTACCCTGGCGCAGAATATTGGTAGTGTGGAAGGCAGGGAGTCAGTGTGGGGAGAGGGTATGTAGAAACTCTCCATACTTTCTGCCCAGTATTACTGTTTAAAAATAAAGAATACAACTGGGCACGGTGGCTCACACCTGTAATCCCTGTACTTTGGGAGGCCGAGGCAGGCAGATCACGAGGTCAGGAGATCGAGACCATCCTGGCTAACACGGTGAAACCCCGTCTATACTAAAAATACAAAAAATCAGCCGGGCGTGGTGGCAGGCGCCTGTAGTCCCAGCTACTTGGGAGGCTGAGGCAGGAGAATGGCGTGAACCCAGGAGGCGGAGCTTGCAGTGCGCCAAGATGATGCCACTGCACTCCAGCCTGGGTGACAGAGTGAGACTCCATCTCAAAAAAAAAATAAAATAAAATAAAAAAATAAAGAATACATGCATATATGTATAGAAAATATGTATATAAAGTAAATATGAAAAATACAGCTATATGTATGTATGGCTTTTGCTCAGAAATAACATTTTTGTAAATACATCACTAAAAGTCTAAGTAAAAATCCTGCAATTTAAAATACATATACATGTTTCAGGGCTGGGTTTTCAGAGCAAGCATTTGTCATAAAAAATGAGATAAAAGGAAAATCATCATGGAAATGAGTCATAAAGAAGAAAGATAGGAACCCATTTTAGAATTGTAGAAGGGAAATTTAACTCAAAGTTCTAATAAAAGCAACTTTTAAGTAGGTTTGTCTCACTTCAAAGTACCTTTACACATTCAGTGCAATGTAACTCCAGGAAAGGCTGGGCTCAAAGTAGCGGGAATTAGAATATTTGGAAAAAGAAAAACAAGGAGGAAGAGAAGGTGAAGAGTCATGATAATTCTATCCATGAACTGAGTAAATAACTTAGATTTTCCATTTTTCTTATACATCCATTCAATATGCTTTGAAGGCCAGATGCTGGGAATATAGAACAAGTCAATTCTTGTCCCAAGGGAACTCACATCCCCTGATAAACATGAATATTATTTTCTTTTAGGATATCAGGATGTTTTCCAACCTCTTTGCCCTCATGACCCATCCTTACCTCTCCCTAAACCTCTACCCCTTTCCATAGTATGCTGCTGTGTTCCATTTAGAAAACATCAGCCAAATTCCTTCTCACCTCTGGGTCTGGTCTGTTATGTCTCTCTTGGGGTGTTCCTGTCTCTCTTACACCATTTCAAAGCTTATCTTCTTTCAAATACCAGCTCTTAAAAGCCTTTCTTGACTACTCCAGTACACACTTACTTGATATCTCATTCCCTGGACTCATTACTTACTGATGGTCAGTGTTCCAGATTCTCAATTAATAATTTCAAATGTGCATCTATTATCTCCAAATCCAGGCCATGAGCAATAAAAAATACCCTGTCTTATGTACATTTCCCACAGACTGTCAGAATACAGGGCATATATGAGGGACTTAGATGTCTTTTAATTGATTTACATAAAACTTTATTCATGCTAATTAAAGTTTACTATTTGAAAGTGACATGCTGTTTTTCCAAATAAAGCCCATGTAACTATAAATCTCATGAACTCATAAGTGATTTTAGTAACAACCTTTGAAATTCCTTTCTCCCTTGAGAGACTCCAAATAGTAACAGATGAGGCAATCTCGTGCTATAGAAATTTAAAATGAAAGCCATTTACGTTGGTGGCTATTAGGAGAAATATTTTATACCTAATTAGTGCTGAAAGGCATTTTAAAAGTTTTTTCAAATTGATTATTGTGAACAGGAACTTGTTGATAATTCCAATTGGTTTAACAAAATTAAATATCTCTAAATTAATAAAAATAGCCTTACCACTAACACAGGCTAATCAAAAATTTTTTTTAATTTTAATAAAATTATTAATGTGTTTCATGCCTAGGTAAGAGAAAGACATAATAGCTTATACTCCTACAAGTGAAGCAGTAGATATATTTGACTGGAGCCATTAAAACATAGAGAAAATAGCCCCCTCCCCCAAGAAGATATCACAGCACCTTATTTAGTTTTGGGATATCTTTACTTCTTTTGCTTTACAAACTTCATTCATTATCTATGCCTTTCCTCATTCAGCTTCCCAATAGTTCACAACTGTTTGCTCACAGAAGTCCCCCACCTTGTAATCTATGATAGCAATTAATAATCATTAAAACCAAGCATAGATGCAAATATTTGTTCTCAAGCAACTCCACTGTGAAAAAAAATGCATCAGAAAAAATCTCAGTCTTCAGCGTCCAAGTTAAAAAAGACCAAACCTATGTGCACATTTCGTCTTCCACTCGTGATCCATCTAAATAATACAAAATATATTTTTAGAAAAAATAAATACATAACTTCTGGTTTTGACAAAAGGGCATACACTTGACTCTCTATGCTCTTCCTCGTTAATTACAGCTATAAACTCTGGAAATAATAAAACAGACAATCATAAGAAAATGATGGAAAGAGGTAATCAGACTGACTGGGGTGCAGAACTAAAGAAATAACACATTGTTCCAAGATATCACAAATACCCTTCCAGCAGCAGATGATCAGGGTCTGGAATCTAAACTACCAACCAAGCAGCACAAGATATTCCAGGTATACTCCGTCCTGTACCAAAGAGAGTCCTGCTGACAACAAACACCTAGGCTTTGAGAAATGCTTTTCATCTCTGAAAGCTGGAGACCGCCTTCCCTCATCTAAAGTCACTGTGGACCTGGCCAGAGGAAGTGCTGTCCATCCTTACAGGGGGAACCATCAGGGATTAGTAGAAGCTTTGGTTTAACAAGACAAAGTAAGCCAAAATAGCACTGCAAAACTTCTGAAAACTAAACTCTCATTGGAATGACAGCCCACAAAAGTAGTCTGGGAGCTGCATGCCCAACCCAAACAAGATCACTGCCTGTATGAAGAAAATATTTGAATAGGAGCCAAAGTCTTTTAACACAATGTTCAGGATACAATAGAATATCACTTATCATACCAACAACCAGAAAAATCACAACATGAATAATAAAAGATAAAAGATGCCACCATAAAAATAAATCAGATATTGGAATTATTTGACAAAGATTTTAAAGCAGTCAGCATAAATATGAATCAACAAGCAAAAACAAATTCCTTTGAAATAAAAACATAGAAAAATCTTATGAAAAAAGAAAATTCTTATAAAAATGGAAATCATATAACTATAAAATACAATAACCAAAACAAAACAAAAACCTCAGTAGACGGCTCAGTAGAATAAATATGACAAAGAAAAGAGCAAGTAAACTTGAAGGTAGATTTTTTTGTTGTTGTTAAATTGTATCCTTTCAAAATTTTTATGTTGAAGTCCTAACCCTGAGTACTTAAGAATGTGATGTTATTTGAAATAGAGTATTTACATTTAAGCAAGTTAAAATAAGGTTATTAAGGTAGGTGGGCCCCAATCCATTATGATGTTGTCCTCATAAAAAGGTGAAATTTGGACACAGACACATTTGGTAGAATGCTCAACAGGTTCTTGCCTTAGTGTTCAATAGGAATTAGCCCTAAAACAGTCTTTCTTTTTGAGATGGAGTCTCACTCTATTGCCCAGGCTGAAGTGCAGTGGCATGATCTCAGCTCACTGCAACCTCTGCCTCCCAGGTTCAAGTGATCATCCCACCTCAGTCTCCCAAGTAGCTGGGGTTATAAGCACCCACCACCTCGCCCAGCTAATTTTGGTGCTTCCTAATAAATCTTATGACCCTAAAGATTAAATCCTTCTATCACTTAAGTGTGACGAATCCCAGAACAAAGTAAAATAATATTTATAGGAATACAAAAGTATTCAACATCTAGTAACATAAAATTTACACTAATATAAAATGCATGCAAGGAAGTATGAAAGTATGATCCATAATAAAAATTAAAATAAATTAATTACAAAGAAACTCAGGACTGACACAGTTGTAAAAATCATCAGAAGAAATTATTATAGTTATTATAAAGGAATTCCATATGTTTAAAAACTAGGGAAAAATTTAATATGCTAACTGGAAATGTTGAAGATATAATACAGACCTAAAGTGAACTTCTAACAGTGAAAACTACAATGTCTGAGATGAAAAATGCACTCAATTAAATTAATGGCAGATTGAACATTGGAAAAATAAAAATAGTATATTTAAATGTATAGCAATATAAATTATCTAAAATGAAACACACAGAGAGAAAAAGAGATTGAAAAAAACAAATACAATAATCAGTGAGCAGTGGGAAAATCTCAAGCCCCCTAATATTCATGCAACTGGAAGCCCCAACGGTAAGGGAAGGAAGTAAAATATTTAAATAAATATTTGCTGAAAACTTTCTAATTGTGATGAAAAGTGTAACTGGTAACAGGGTAGAAAACCTGAGCTGCAAATGGAATCCTCACTTCTTTTACAGATCAAATAAGAGTTGTGATCTCTCAGTTTTTGTTTGCTTGTTTGTTTTGTTTTGTTTTGTTTTGTTTTTGAGATGGAGTTTTGCTCTTGTTGCCCAGGCTGGAGAGCAATGGAATAATCTTGGCTCACTACAACCTCTGCCTCCTGGGTTCAAGTGATTCTCCTGCCTCAGCCTGAACTGTAAAAGAAGTGAGGATTCAAACTGATAAATTGCTGGAGTCTCAGTGTGGGCAAGTCTGAGTTAAAAACTCCAGGAGGCCTCCTCATAGGGGCCCTCAAACTTCTGTGAGTTTTACCTCCAGAAGCTCAACCAAGTTTTCACAGTAAATATACCCTGTAAAATTTCCTTCAAAAGTCAAGGAGAAATAAAGACTTTCTCAGACTTTCTTGAATCTACGCAACTATAAGCCTGCAGATTCAAGAGATGCAACACACTCTAAGATTAGAAATATTTTAAAAAGAAAACTATACCAAGGTATGTGATAATTAAATTGTTCAAGACCAGTAATAAGTAGAAATCTTAGAAGCTAAAGAAAAAAAATTATATACAGAGTAACTAAAAAAAATAATGTCAGCAGATTTCTAATCAGAGATAATGCAAGTGAGAAGACAGTGGAATACCATTGTGGGGAAAAAAACTGTCAACTCAGAATTCTATATCAAGCAAATTCTTTCAAAAACAAAAGCAACTTTTGGTTTTCGGTTCTGCACGTAAGGAGCTTGAAAGTTACACTTTATTCTAACAAGTTAAGAGCTAAAAGGTCTGAGAGATTGGTCAGGTGAGGTGGCTCATTCCTGTAATCCCAGCACTTTGGGAGGCTGAGGCAGGTGGATCGTCTGAGGTCTGGAGTTCAAGACCAGCCTGGCCAACATGGTGAAACCCTGTCTCTACTAAAAATACAAAAAATTAGCTGGATGTGGTGGCATGCGACTGTAGTCCCAGCTACTCGAGAGGCTGAGGCAGGAGAATCACTTGAACCCAGGAGACAGAGGTTGTAGTGAGCCAAGATTATTCCATTGCACTCCAGCCTGGGCAACAAGAGCAAAACTCCATCTCAAAAACAAAACAAAACAAAACAAAACAAACAAACAAACAAAAACTGAGAGATCACAACTCTTATTTGATCTGTAAAAGAAGTGAGGATTCAAGGCAAACTGCTTTCTCCAAGATTGCAGGAACAGACAACGAATAAAGAGAATCATAGTTCACCAGATTAAAGGCTCATAAACAGAAATTGCCATGGTAACTAGTAACAGGGTAGAACACCTGAACTATACTTGATAAACTGTTGAAGTCTCAGTTTGGACAAGTCTGAGAGTTAAAAACTTGAAGGAACCCAGTCATAGGGGCCCTCATGCTTCTTTGAGTTTTACCTCCTGGGGCTCAACCAGGTTTTCACAGTAAATATTAGAGAAAACTGTCTTATGTTTCCAGCAGGGGGAGGAGAAAAGAGCCATTTTTTAATATATGCCAGAACATTATTTTCTTAACAAGATCTGTACTTGGGAGAAATTATTTAATAAGAACATAACCCTGCTGGTTTTATCAGAGTCTAACTGACCTAGAGTAAGTGTATTAGTGAGGATTCTCTAGGGGAACAGAACTAATGGAACATATATATATATATATATATATATATATATGAGTTTATTAAGTATTAACTCACACGATCACAAGGTCCTACAATAGGCCGTCTGCAGGCTGAGGAGCAAGGAGAGCCAGTCTGAGGTTCTAAAACTGAAGAATTTAGAGTCTGATGTTTGAGGACAGAAAGCATCCAGCACAGGAGAATGATGTAGGCTGGAAGGCTAGGCCAGTCTCTCTTTTAATATTTTTCTGCCTGCTTTATATTCTAGCCATGCTGGCAGCTGATTAAATAGTGCCCACCCAGATTAAGGATGGGTCTACCTTTCCCAGCCCACTGATTCAAATGTTAATCTCCTTTGGCTACACCCTCATAGACACACCCAGGATCAATACTTTGTATCCTTCAATCCAATCAAGTTGACATTCAGTAATAACCATCATAGGTCCACCCCTTGTCAACTTGAACCCATACACATCTCCTGAGAGTACACATAATCTTCAAATAAAGACAATAATAAGGTCATAATTATGCCTAACATAATACAACAATCCTTCATACAAGGGGAAATGCACCAATCCCTAACTCAAATACTATTACATAAAGCAAACAATACTTAAATGCTGATGTGAAGGCAATAAATCTTATGTCACATGATAAAGGAGAAAGGAGATAAAATGAAGATATTTTCTTAGTACAAGTGTATACATGCACAAACATGTTTTTAACAAAAGAAGTAGGAAATACTCATGACAATTACAGTCCTTGTTTCTTCAGCTGGTCATGTGGTCATAGCTGGTATTGATGACTACCTTCTTCTACTACCCATTCTGTATTCCCTTTGCTTTCCGGAAGTACCTCAGCAGGCTGTATTTTTTTTCCTAGTGGAGTGACCCAAATCTTCATTCTTGAGGGGTCTGGGCCATTTGTAGTGCTGCCTGGATTGGGCCGTTCTAGTTTCCCATTGACCTTAATCACAGCATGGTAATCACTAGCATGGTAATACTAAGACATGCCCTAATGGATCTCCTGTCTTCCGTGCATACTCTTCCTTATCTCTATTGTGGAGTGGAATTGTAGACTGATTTCATCTTGATATTCTGGGTCAATCACCCCAGCCAACACTGTAACTCCCTTCTTAGCCTGTTGACTTAAAAGTAGGAGGATCCTGAAGTGTCCAGGTGGCAATCTTAACTTCCAGTTTAATGGAATCATTGTTGTGTGTACTGGTGACAGCGTTCCTCCCTCTGGAACTAAAACCTCTAGGCCAGCAGAACATAATGTTGTGGGAACAGGGAGCAAAAATTTTGCTAGTGGATCACTAGGGGCGATGGTGAGTGGTGCCACTTCCACTTCCACCCCTTGCTTCCTGGACCCGTGAATGCTGGCTACAGGAGAAACAGTACCATATACTGGATGCTGATTCAGAGCATACCCGGCCTTCTGGAGACCTTTGTCCCAGCCCTCCAAAGTATTGTCACCTACTTGGCATGGTAATTGTGACTTCAAAAGGCCATCCCATTCTATCAGTCCAGCTGCTTCAGGGTGATGGGGAACACAGTAAGAGCAGTGAATTCCATAACCATGAGCCTACTGCCACACTTCTTTAGCCCTAAATTGAGTGCCTTGATCAAAGGCAATGCTGTGTGGAATACTATGATGGTGGATAAGGCATTCCGTGAGTCCATGGATGGTAGTCTTGGCAGAAACATTGTGTGCAAGATAGGAAAACCCATAACCAGACTAAGTGTCTATTCCAGCAAGGACAAACCTTTTCCCTTTCCATGATTCACCTATTGGGGTCTGCCAACATCTCCAAACAGCATCCCTATCTGCCACTGACCCCTCAAGCACCATTGGATCTGCTGGGTCATATGGCCCAGGTGGCAGAGCAGCTTGCACAGCAGCCTGGACTTGTTTCAGAGCCTTCTCCTGTTCTGGACCCCACTCAAAACTGGCAGCCTTTTGGGTCACTTGATAAAAGAGCCAGAGTAACAAACCCAGATGAGGAATGTGTTGCCTCCAAAATCCAAATAGCCCCACTAGGTGTTGTGCCTCTTTCTTGGTTGTAGGAGAGGCCAATGCAGCAAATTAGCCTTCAACTTAGAAGGAATATATCAACAAGCCCCATACCACTGGACCCCTAGAAATTTTACTGAGGTAGCAGGTTCCTGAATTTTAGATTTATTTCCCATCCTCTGGCATGTAAATGTCTCACCAATAAGTCCAGTGTGTTTGCTACTTCTCGCTTACTGGATCCAATCAGCATAATGCCATCAATGTAATAGAACAGTGTGATATCTTGAGGAAGCGAAAAGTGATCAAGGTCTATCCAAATAAGATTATGACACAAAGCCGGAGGGTTGATATACCCCTGAGGTAGAACAGTAAAGGTATATTGCTGGCCTTGCCAGCTGAAGGCAAATTGCTTCTGGTGGGCCTTATGGACAGCAATGGAGAAAAAGCTATTTGCCAAGTCAATGGCTGCATACCAGCTACCAGATGTGTTAATTTGCTCAAGCAATGAAACCACATCTGGTACAGCAGCTGCAATTGGAGTCACCACTTGGTTAAGCTTACAATAATCCACTGTCTTTCTCCAAGATCCACCTGTCTTCTGCACAGGCCAAATTAAAGAGTTGAATGGGGATGTGGTGGGAATCACCACCCCTGAGTCTTTCAAGTCCTTGATGGTGGTGCTAATCTCTGCAGTCCCTCTAAGGATTTAATATTGTTTTTGATTTACTATTTTTCTAGGTAGAGGCAGCTCTAATGGTTTCCATTTGGCCTTTTCCACCATAATAGCCCTCACCCAAGGAGAATAACCAACTCCAGTCAGCTCTAGGCTTCCACATCAAAGAAGGAAAATACTCACCTTCAGCCCACTTTAGCTCTTCACGTGAAAGAAGGGAAATACTCAACTCTGGCTCACTCTAGCCATTCTCTCCCACCTAACCAGGTATGGTGTGAACTGAAAATCAATTTTAAAGTTCATAGTCCAGAAGCATCTCTTTAAAAAAACCAAAACTAAACAAACAAACAAAGCAAAGCAAAACAAAACAAAACAAAAACAAAAACAAAAACAAACCATGACCTAATTACAGGACTAAAGAATTCTTCTCCTCCCTCCCCACATTTTACCACCACATTAATAAAGGCCTATTTATAGCAGTTTCTTTTATGTGATCCATTATATCTGGCTATCAAGAAAAAAAAAGCCTAATAACAATTTTAAGTGAAAGGGTAAACATCAGAATCAGAAATGGCGGGATGTTGGAATAGTCAGACTAGGAATTTAAAACAACAATGATACTATGCTAAGTGGTCTAATGGATAAAATAGCATGCAGGAACAGATGAACAATATAAGCAAACAGATAGGAATTCGAAGAAAGAGCCAAAATTAAATGACAGAGATAAAAATCAATGTAACAGAAATGAAGAATATTTTTGAAGGGCTTATTAGTATACTGTGCATGGCCGAGAAATTAATCTCTGAGCTCGAAGGTATCTCAATAGAAACCTTCAAAACTGGAAAGCAAAGAGAACAAAGACAAAAACAAAAAGGCAACAAACCCAGAATACCAAAGGACTGACACACAATTACACGAAGTGAAGTAAATACATAATAAAAATGCCAGAAGAGAGAAAGGAACAACAACGACAAAACAATTGAAACAATAATGTCTGAGAATTTTTCCAAATTGATGTCATACACTAAACCTCAGAACCAGGAAGCTCAGAGAACATTAAACAGGATAAATGCCAAAAAACAAATAAACAAAAAACAACACCTAGGCACATTATTTTTAAACTACTAAAAATCAAAGATAAAAAAATTCCAAAATGATGCCAGAGGAAAAAACCATCTATAGAGGAACAAAGATAAGAATTACATCTAACTTCTCAGAACTCATGCAAGTAAAAAAAGAATTGAATAAAATATTTGAAGTGTTGGAGAAAAAACTCAGCAACATCGAATTCTATACCCTGTGACATTTACTTCAAAAGTCAAGGAGAAATAAAGACTTCCTCAGATAAGCAAAAATTGAGAAAATTTCTTTTTCTTTTTTTTTTTTTTTGAGACAGAGTCTCGCTCTGTGGCCCAGGTGGGAGTGCAGTGGCGCAATCTCGGCTCACTGCAAGCTCCGCCTCCAGGGTTCACGCCATTCTCCTGCCTCAGCCTCCCGAGTAGCTGGGACTACAGGCGCCCACCATCACGCCCGGCTAATTTTTTTTTGTATTTTTAGTAGAGACGGGGTTTCACCGTGTTAGCCAGGATGGTCTCGATCTCCTGACCTCATGATCCGCCCGCCTCGGCCTCCCAAAGTGCTGGGATTACAAGCGTGAGCCACCGCGCCCGGCCGAGAAAATTTCTTACCAACAGACCTGCATTGTAAAAAATGTTCAAAGAAGTCCTTTGGAAAGAAGGACAATAAAGAAACTTGGATCCTCATAGAGAAAGGAGGATACACATTAACCCATAATGAATACACATGAATCCATGTGTATGATCCTAACGAAATGTCAAACTATGTGATGCAAAAACTGATAGAACTGCAAGAAGAAATAAATGAATCCAGTATTACAGTAGAAGACTTCAATACTATTCTATTAGAAATGAACAGATCCAGCAGGCAGAAAATCAGTAAAGCCATAGTTGAACTAAACAACACTATCAATCAACTGTATATAATTAATATCTACAGACTACTTCACCCAACGACAGCAGAATATACATTCTTCTCAAACTCATATGGAACAATCACCAAAATAGACCACATTTCATGTCATCCAACACACCTTGACTATTTAAAAGAATAGAAATCATAAAATGTTTGCTTTGAGACCACAATTGAATTAAACTAAAAATCAGTAACAGAAAGATAACTGAAAAATTATAAAATACATGAAGATTTAAAAATACTCTTCTGAATGACACATGAGTGAATGGAGAAATCTCAATAGAAATTTTAAAATATTTTGGACTAAATAAAAATAAAAACACAACAACAAAATTTGTGGGATGCAATGAAAATAGTGCTTAGAGGGAAATGTACAGCATTCAATGCATATATTAAAAATGAAGAAATATCTAAAATTAATAATCTGTTTCCATTTTAGGAAACTAGGAAAAGAAGAGCAGATTAAATCCACAGTAAGCAGAAAAAAATAATAACACTAAGAACAAAAAATAATAAAACAGAAAACATGAAATTAATAGAGAAAAATCAACCAAACCCAAAACTGATTCTTTGGAAAGATCAATACAAGCAATAAGCCTCTAGATAGGTTAACTAAGAGAAAAAAGAACGAGGACACAAATTAATAATATCAGAAATGAAAGAGGGATATCACTATAACATAAGAATATTTTTAAAAAGGAATACTATGAACAACTCTAAGCTTACAAATTTGATAACCTAAATGGAATAGACCAATTCCCTGAAAGACATAATCTTCCAAAACTCACACAAGAAGAAATAATTTGAAAACATACATGTCTTTAAAACATATTCAATTATTAAGACCCTTCTAAAACAGAAGGAATCAGACTTAGATAGTTTCACTGGGGTAGTATTCTACCCAACCCTTAGGGAAGAAATTATACCAATTTTCTATAATCTTTTTCAGAAAATAGAAAAGAGAGGGAATATTTCTTAATTCATTCTCATCATCAGCATTACCCTAATACTGAAATCATACAAAGATTTTAAAAGAAAACTACAGACCAATATTACTCACAGAGATGTAAAAATCAATAAAATATTAGCAAATTCAGTCCAACAGTGTACAAAAAATTATATAGCATGTACCTGTAGAATTCATCACAGCTATGCAAAGCTTATTGAACTTTTAATAATCAATTAATGTAAACCATCACATCAACAGGCTAAAGAATAAAAATCACATGATCTTATCAAGAGATACAGATAAAGTATCTGAGAAAAATTAACACCTATTCAGGATAAAAACACACAGTAAACTTTAGGAATAGAGGAAAACTTTCTCAACTTGATGCATATCTACAAAAATGTATAGTTAATATCACACTTAGTGGTGAGAAATTAGAAGCTTGCCCACTAAGATCAGGAACAAAGAAAGAATGTCCCCTCTCACCACTCCTTTTCACCATTATATGGAAAGTCTTAGCTAATGCAATAAGAAAAGGAAAAGTATATTGACTGTAAAGGAAGAAATAGAGTTGTCTTTTTTGTTGATGGCATGATTGTCTCTTTTAAAAATATGAAAGAATTAACCAAAAAAGTCCTGGAACTAATATCTCATCACAGCAAGGTTGCATGGTACAAGGTTAATATACAAAAATCAACTGCTTTCTTATATATCAACAATGAACAAGTGGAACTTGAAATTAAAAACACAATATCCTTTACATTAGTATCCCAAAAATTTAAATACTTAAGTATAAATCTAATAAAATATGTATAAGATCTATGAGGAAAACTGCAAAACTCTGATCAAAGAAATTAAAGAATAACTAAATAAATGAAGAGATATACCATTTCCATTGCTATGAAGGCTCAATACTGTGAAGATGTCAGTTCTTCCCAAACTGGCCTACGGAATCAATTGCAATCCAAATCAAAATCCCAGCAAGTTATTTTGCGGATATTGAAAAACTGATTGTAACATTTATACTAAGAAGGAAAACACTCAGAATAGCCAATATAATATTGAAGGGAAAGAACAACATTTGAGGACTAAGACTACACAAGTTCAAATCTGACTATAGATTTTTTTCCATGATGTCAGAGTAGAGGCTTTTAGCATGCCTCAGCTACGTGGAAATAGCAGGATAGTGCATAAAGATAAACTCTGTGAGCTTCAATTCAAGAAAAAAAAGGGAATCACTGGAATTGTGAAGGACACCTGTGATGGTTAATATTGAGTGTCAATTTGCTTGCATTGAAGGATGCAAAGTATTGTTCCTGGCTGTGTCTGTGAGGGAGTTGCCAAAGAAGATTAACATTTGAGTCAGTGGACTGGGAGAGGCAGACCCATCCTCAATCTGGGTGGGTACCATGTAATCAGCTGCCAGTATGGCTAGAATAAAGCAGGAGAAAATGGAAGAGCAGACTTGCTGAGTCTTCTGGCCTTCATCTTTCTCCTATGCTGCCCTTGAACATCAGACTCCAAGTTCTTCAGCTTTTGGACTCTTGGACTTACACCAGTGGTTTGCCAGGGGCTCTCGAGCCTTTGGCCACAGACTGAAGGATGCACTGTTGGCTTCCCTACTTTTGAGGTTTTGAACTCTGACTGATCCACCACTGGCTTCCTTGCTCCTCAACTTGCAGATGGCCTATTGTGGGACTTTACATTGTGATTGTGTGAGTCAATTCTCCTTAATAAACTCCCCCTCATATATTCACATATCCTGTTAGTTCTGTCCCTCTAGAGAACCTGGACTAATACAGATTTTGGTACCAGGCATGGTTCTAGAGGAAGAGAATTTTAAGGATGGATGTCTTTAGTTGGTTTTGGAGTTTCTGGAGTTGGCTGCTTAATCTGATTAGACCCAAAAATGCTAAGGTAACTCTACTTCTAATAGTATGGAAAACACTGATAGTCCTTGGTGTGAACTGTTTAGAGAGTTATATAAAATAAATGCATTTGATACACCTAATTTATTGATTGTGAGAGTCAAGGAATTTAGTGACTTTATATATAATACCTTTGACTATGTGTGGGGAACCAAAAAATATTATAAAGTTGGTTGGTTGCTCCCAAGTTCACTGGACAAAGTGATGAAAGAAAAGGATGAGCTCAGGGATTCTAACTCCTAGCTCCAGAAGCACATACTGAGCCTCAAGTCTTCTAAGATTCCCCTGAGTGAGAGTCGTACCTCCTGTAGACAAAGGGTTGAAATTGTAGAAAATCAGGCACAAGCTCTTATCAGGCGAATGGCTGACCTGCAATGAAAGGTACATGCTCAGTCTCGCCAGATGTCTACTATTAAAGTGAGGGCATTGATTGGAAAAGAATGAGACCCTGCAACTTGGAATGGAGATGTATGGGAGGACCCTGATGAAGCTGGGGACACTGAGCTTGTAAACTCTGAGGAGGCTTTTTTTACCCGAGAAAACAGCTCCCTCATCCCCAGTGGTGGCAACATCCCCTCCCCGACCTGCTGCCATCAGCCTTACCACCTTTGTCTGAGGAGATTAACCACGCGCTGCCTGAGGCAACAGTGATGGCCTCCCCTGAAGCAGTTGCCAGGCAAGACAATGCTGATTCTCCTTAGGACCCACCCCCAACATCCCTGTTTGCTTCTAGACCTATAACTAGACTAAAGTCCCAGCATGCCCCTAGAGGTGAGGTTCAGAGTGTGACCCACGATGAGGTGTGCTACACCTCGAAAGAACTGTTTGAGTTTTCTAATTTATATGGACAGAAACCTGGAGAACAGGCATGGGAATGATATTAAGGATGTAGGATAATGGTGGAAGGAACACAGAGTTGGATCAGGCTGATTTTATTTATTTGGGCCCACTAAGGAGGGATTGTGCATTTAATGTTGCAGCTCAGGGAGTTAAAGACAGTTCTTATAGTTTATTTGCTTGGTTAGCTGAAATATGGATCAAAAGATAGACCACTGTGAGCGAGCTGGAAAGGCCTGATCTCCCTTGGTTTAATGTAGAGGAAGGGATCCAAAGACTTAAGGAGATTGGGATGCTAGAGTGGATTAGTCACGTTAGACCTACTCATCCCAGCTGGAAGGGTCCAGAAGAAATAGCCTTCACCAATATTTTGCGAGATAGATTTGTGAGGGCAGCACCTGAATCCTTGAAGAGATCTGTGATTGCTCTTCTCTGTATGCCAGATCTTATAGTAGGAACCACGGTCATTCAATTACAAAATTTAAAAGCAATGGGAATAATTGGATCCCGAGGTGGTGGGGGCCAAGTGACAGCACCCAACTGTCACAGGCAAGATAGGCATAGTTACGGTAATGGACAGCAGAGGCAAAGCAGCAATCAGAATAGTCTGACACGTGTAGAGCTCTGACATTGGCTGATTTTGTGTAGTGAGCAAAGTAGACTGCGGAGTGGCAGTGAAAAACAAGAGAAAAAAAAAACCCAACAAGTAAAAATGATGTCCTGAAACCTGGAAAAGAACATTTTTCAAGAAGGTGGGATGGTTCAGCCACGTGAAATGCTGCTGAGAGGTCAAGGAGGATGAGGGAGGTCAGAGACTTTACTGATTTTGTCAATACGTAGAAAGTGGCTGACCTTGATGTTGATATATTTAAGTAGAGTGATGGGAATAAATAGCATTTGGTGTGGGTAAGAAGCTGAAAGAATTAATAGTTCATTTTCTTCAAATTTCAGATTCAACATGACTTATTTGAAAGTATCCAGTTAACTCATTTACAGATGAAAATGTGGATGATGATAAAGAAACCACTCAATTCAAAGAGAAAGTTTTCAAGTACCCAGTTCACTTTGTTCCTGAATATATACAGCAGTTAGCTTAATAAATAAAGAATCATTGCTTTTTTATCTGGGACATTTTTCTGAGTCATGGGTACAAAGCCACATAAACGTAGATAATAACAGAAATAGTCTATTTTCTTTCATGTTAAAATCACTAGTCTCCCCACACAATGTACCTATAATTAATTGTTATTATTAATATACTTCGCCAACATTATCTGTTTAGAAAATCATTCATTGTGACTCTGTAAAATAAAGTATGTCATTGTCCAAAACATGGCAATAAGCCTAAAATGCTAAAGAAGGCTCTAATTCAATTTTGCTTTTATGACTCATCTCTAGTTCACAGTCACAGAATGACATAACACTTCAAATGGTCTGGAAGGCATACACAAGGAGTAATGAAATCTTGTTGGGATCTAAAATGAAGAGCTAAAACAATGGTCAGGACCAGAGCAACACACACCAATAGCATAAAAGCTGCAGCTCCCCTTGGAGAGATACTTTGCTAATAAATTAGAGTACTACTAGTGCCAAAGGAAGACAAGTGTTAGGGATGCAAAATGTACAAGCTATAGATAGAGAAACTATAACTGCAAACATCTCCAAGGTATATTCTGGGTCCTACAGTTGTCTTGAAGAAAGGGATAAATGAGGGTTATTCAGGTTAACTTCCTCGCCAACTTCAAAGAATCTGGACCTTAGGTATTTTGCTAATATTTGCTAAATGTTGGTATGTGCAGGCACTGTATAAATCCTTTATATGTATCATTTCATTTACTGTTCACAACCACCTTACAAAGTAATTAGTATTATCACTCCTATTTTCTAGTTCAAGAAATAGAAGATCAGATTGCTTGTGAGACTTGATCAAATTCATACAGCTAGAGATTAGTAAAGCTGTATTTGATCCCAGGCAGTCAATACCTCCTTTCTCAATTCCAAAGTCTGTACTGATAGAAATACATAATGATTGGAATTTCTACCTATGGCTACCCTGGCATTGTGATCTAGAAATTAAGAGAGAAATTTTATCTGAGGCTTGCCATTAACTCTCTAGGGGACTTTGGAACAGTCATTTAATCTCAGTCAATCTCAGTTCAGACCATATTTTATGGCAATTAATGAGATAACAATATAAAGATTTATTAACTGCTATTATTGTGTCCATCTTCACACATCCCTAAAAAAGTTTTACTAGATTCTATCTATAAAATGTAGAGCTCAAAATAATGAGAATGACAGTTTCATCCCAGACTCCTGACTGACTGAGTGAACCCATTTCATTCTAGCTGGATGCACAAGAAATCAATTTTTATATTATTCTCTTTGCAGGGGAATCCAAATTACAACATTTCTAATATTTAACCCAGAATGTCCTTTCTTTCCTAAAAATTTCTTCAAGAAAATCATTCTAAGGAGAAAAAAGCAATATATGCAGTAAGGGTTTTTTTGTTTGTTTGTTTTTGTTTGTTTTTTTAAAGAGAAAGAAAGAAAGAAAGAAAAGAAATCAAAACAACAAAAACTTCCATGCACAGCAAAGGGCTGAGAGTTAAGTAAATTATAGGGTACCAATATGATGAAATACAATGCAATTTATTAAATGAAGAATTAGATTTTAAAATATTTAAGGAATATAAAAGTGAGAAATGTAGAATAGAAGGAAATATATACACAATGATTATGACTGTATGTGTGAAAATAATTGGAAAAAAAAGCTCTTAAGAAATGAAATTCAGCATAGTTTGGGGGATTTTCCCCATCATTCGAACATACTTTCTTAAAAATGTTTTATATTTATTTAAGAATATTCTAATTTTTTAAAAACATTAACAACTAAAACATCACTCCTTTCACACTCTCCACGCCGCCCCCCCCCCAAAAAAAAGCACCCTCCCAACTCTTCCTTTATTTCTAGCCCCTATTTAGGCAAAGTGTTGACTTCTCTTTCTAGTAGATCTGCCTTGAGTATAAGAAGTCAAATAACTCAGTCAGTTCTGAAAATCCTCAGTAAAGGACTCTCCAGCAAGTTCAATCAGCTTGCAATTCCTGTCTCTAATTTGGTACTGCGGCCTGATTCTGACCCACCTGACACTCGGTTGCTGCTGTTAGGATACCACCAGTAATTCTTCCAAATCACCTCAGAACCATCCTTGATGCATTTAATCCATTCACACACGCATGCAGTCTACTTTGTGCTAAGCACTGGACATTCAATAATGAGCAAAAACTCATTCCCTGAGCTCACTGAAGTTACTAATATTGACCTCCTCTGTTTAATTTTTTAATTTTTAAATGAGGATATATTTAACAACATTTTTGAAAAAGAGATAAAACTCAACCATATTCCACCATCCTAACACAATGTTCTTTTTGGTATATTGCCCTCCTGTCTTTGTCTTGATGCATACGTATTTTATAATCTTATAATTACAGCATAAGAGGTAAAGTATAATACTGGATTCAGAACTTTTCACCAGGATCATAAAGAGTTTTCTAGTTTTTCAGTTTCAACAATGATCTTTTTTTGTACTTTTCTATGTTCAACCGTATATCCATTCTTTATTTGTCCTTTTCCAATTTCTGAGTATTTAGATTATTTTCAGATTTTATTTTCTGTTTACCCTATAATATCGATAATACAAAAAAGAAAACAAAAACAACAAAAGAATGATTCTGACTCAGTACAACCTGGCCTTTACTTCTTTCTCTAGCTTCTTCTCTTCTCTCTCCTGACCTCCAATTCCATGCTCAGGTCATGGTAATACCTGGAGGATCCGAAAGCCCGGTATGTTGTTCAGTCTCTATCCCTTCGCAGACGCTCTTACCCCTGCCAATGAGCACTTTTCCCCAAAATTGATTCCTAATTCTCCCATCTTCTTTGCCTAGAAAACCCTTCCTCATCTGGTATGGTCTGAATATTTGTGCCCCTTCAAAATTCATGTTGAAACTTAATCCTCAATGCAACAGGATTATGAGGTGGAGCATTTAGGAGGTGATGAGGCCTTGAGGGATCTGCCCTCATGAATGAGATTAGCACCTTATAGAAAAGCTGGAGGAAAATAGCTGGGCCCTTTTTCCCCCGTCCCTTCTGCCATGTGAGGACACTGTTCATCCCTTGTTGTCCTTTTGCCCTTCTGCCTTCTGCCATATGAGGATGCAGTGACAAAGGTGCATTGATGAGGCAGCATCCTGGAAGCAGAAAGGGAGCCTTTCCCACACGCTGAATATGGGATCCTGGATCTTGGACCCCCAGCCTCCAGAACTGTGAGAAAATAAAGTTCTCTTGTCTTTAAATTACCCAGTCTCTGGTACTTGATTATAGCAGCACAAACAGACTAAGACATCATTTTCTAAGTCTCAACTTAGATACTACTTTTTACAGGAAACTATTTGGGAACTTTTTTTTTTTTTTTTTTTTTTGAGACAGAGTCTCACTCTGTCACCCAGGCTGGAGTGCAGTGGTGCGATCTCGGCTCGCAACCTCCGCCTCCTGGGTTCAAGTGATTCTCCTGCCTCAGCCTCCCGAGTAGCTGGGATTATAGGCATGAGCCACGCACCCGGCTAATTTTTGTATTTTTAGTAGAGACGGGGTTTCACCATGTTGGTCAAGTGTTGGTCAAGCTGGTCTCGAACTCCTGACCTCGTGATCCGCTTGCCTCGGCCTCCCAAAGTGCTGGGATTACAGCGGTGAGCCACTGCACCTGGCCCTGGACCTCTTAAACTGGAAGTTCGCACGACAGGACTGTTGTGCTGTTATCCACTCACCAACCCAGCAATCATGGCACTTGGTATTTAATACTCCAAGTCCCTAAATGACTCACCTATATCTACTGCTAGACTATAAGTTCTGCAAGGGACATATCTTCTTTTTTTTCCATTCACTTTTCCTTCCTTTATGCTTTCTCATTTCTTTATAAGACCTCACATTATTTTGTATTATTAAGTATGCTATAAATTCCAAATAGTATATGCAACATAAATATAAATGATAAGGCATAATAATAAAATGAGACCCACGTGTCCACTACCTAGTACAATGTTGTCTTTTCGCACTGATTAGAGTCTATAACAATATTTTGAATAAAACTAGTGAAATCGAGTATCCTTTTCTTTTCCTAAGTTTTCAAGGGAATGCTTGTAAAGCTTTACCATTAAATGTGATGTTTGTAGTAGGTTTTTGGTGGACAACATTTATTAGGTTAAGCAATTTACCTTTTAACCTTAGTTTTCCTTAAGAATTTTTTTATAATGAGTAGATATTGAATTTATCAAATGTTTTTGCTACACATACTCAAATGGGTATATGGTTTTCTCCTTTTATCTGCTGATCTGGTGATTTACATTTTAATAGATGTTCTAATGTTAAAATAACCTTGCATTTTAGGATTTAACAGCTATTATATTTTTAACACATTGCTGAATTGAGGATGCTGATATTTTGTTTTGAATACTTCACGCATGTTCATGAGCGAAATGAACTTCTAATATTCCTTTCTTATACTATCCTTGCCTGGTTTCAGTATCAAGGTTATATTAACCTCACAGGAAAACAATAAACCCTCTGTAACTAAGTCTATTCTTTGAAAAAAATCTAAGACATTATCTATCTTTCAAGTGTTTTATAGAATTCATATACAAAACCATTTGGGCCTAATATTTTCTTTGAGCAAAGATTATCATTACTAATTCACTAATAAGATACTTTTCTAGGTATTTTGTTCATTACATTTCTTTTCAAATTTATCAGCATACAATTCTTCCCAGTACTTACATTGTCTTTTTTTTGTTTGTTTTTTCTGAGACAGAGTCTTGCTTTGTTGCCCAGGCTGGAGTGCAATGGCATGATCTCGGCTCACTGCAACTTCCCTGACCCAGGTTCAAGCAATTCTCCTGCCTCAGCCTCCTGAGTAGCTGGGATTACAGGCAGCTGCCACAACACCTGGCTAATTTTTGTGTTTTTAGTAGAGATGGGGTTTCACCATGTTGGCCAGGCTGGTCTTGAACTCTTTACCTCAGGTGATCCACCCGCCTCGGCCTCCCAATGTGTTGGAATTACAGGCGTGAGCCACCGCACCCAGCCACATCATCTCTTTTAATCATTGATTTATGTATAGTTATGCTTTCCTTTTCATTCCTAATGTCTATGTCTCTTTTCTTTAAATTTTGGTCGGTCTTATTAGACATGCATTGATTTTGGTAGTCTTTAAAAATGACTGTCAGTTTTATAAATTCTATTTGTTTTCTATTTTATAAATGTGTCCTTTCTTATTCTTTTTTACTTTTGTGTGTTTATTTTGTTGTTCTTCTAATTTCTTAAACTGGATGCTTCTCACATTCTTTAGCCTTTTTCTTTTCTAATATAAGTACTTCCTCCAGGAAGTCTTCCTATAACCGACAAATTGGGTTTTATATTATTGTTTCTATTTCCATAAAGATTGATGCATTAACCTATAGCTCTTCTAACAGCTTTTTTAAAATAAATATTCAAGTGTATGTTGCTTTTTGCTTCTTGGTGGTGTTGTTAATTTATAAATGAATTTTATTATATTCACAATACAAGGTCTGTATGAGATCCAATTTCTGGAATTTGTTGTCAATTTTTACAAATCTTTCCTGCATGCTTAAAACAGCATTTTATTCTCTGGCTCTTGGGATATATTTCCTGTGCCCATTAGATCAAGCTTATTAAGTGCATAGTTCAAATTCTCCCCATCCTTTCTAATTTTTGTCTGTTTGATATATCAATTACTAAGAGACAAGAGAGAGAATAAAAATCCCTTACTTCTCTTTGGAGTTCTGGCAATTTTTGCTTCATATATTTTAAACCTATGTTATTAGCTAGCATTACCTCCTGGAAAATTATCTTTTTTCTTATTATATAGTTACTGTCTTTGTCTGTAGTAATGCTTTTTGCTTTGAAGTCTATTTTGTCTATTCGTAACAGACACCAGGAACATTTAATAGTATTTGCCTGTTATCTATCTTTGCATTCTCTGCCTTTCAACTGTCCTCTGTTCTTATGTTTGATGTGTGTTCCTTGTAAAAAATCATGAAATTGACTTCCATATTTTTTGGACTTGGTCATTTTTGATAATCCCTGTGATCTCACTTATAATTAGTCTTATATTTTTATTTTTTTCTATCTTTTTTTGGTGTTATTTGTCTTGCTTTTATGCAGTTTTATTTTTTCTTCTCTTGCTTTCTTTTGCTGTGCTTATCGATTTGTTTGTTTTTCCTTTGAGAAGTTTTATTTTTTGTCTTATAAACTTTTAAAAGGTTAAAGTTATTATGTTGACATTATTGCTGAATAATAAAAGTATCTTAGAAGATCTTCATTCTAATCATGTCACAAAAACTCCACTATCATGTTAATTTTGTTCACAATAGAAAATATATCCTGCTTTACTTAACTCTCAATATTTGACATTAACATTATTGAATTTAATCATTATATTTCATTTATCCAAATTTTTACTCTCTACTTCAGTCAACATACCTTAAATCTTAGACCTTCCTTCTGGGATCATTTGCTGCTTTCTGAAGTACATGTATTAAAAGTTCCTTGTGGCAAAGTTATGTTGCTAGCAAACACTGTTTCAGTTTCTTCTAAAAATGTCTTGCTTTTCTTCTTGTTTTTGAAAGTATAGAATTATACATGGTTCCTCAGTTTTTTCTCAGTGCCTTGAGGCCAGTTGTCCAGAAGCCATTTCTTTAATATTTTTTTCTCTTGCTATTTTTATGTTGCTTTCTAAATAATGAAATTGCAAAAACCTCAAGGGCGAGGTGCTTACAACTGGACTTGTTTTTAATTATTTTGCTTTGGATCCACTGGACTTCCTAAATCTGAAGATTTATGTCTTTAAGTGATTCTGGAAAACTCTTGCCCATTGTATTTTCAAATATTGCCTTTTCATTGTCTCTATAATCTTTACCCAGATGTCTTAGTGAGTATGTGTTGAACCTATTCCCTCTGAAGTCCTTATCTCTTAATCTGTTTTTCTTGGGTTATGTCCCTTTTTCTCCTTCTGTTCTACTCCATGTAACTTTTTGCATCTCTTTGAAGTTGATTAATTTTCTTTTCAGCTTTGTATATTCTGATGTTTAACCATTCCATTTTAGTCGTATATTTAATCTAGAAGCTTTATTTAGTTCTTTTTTTTTTTTTTTTTACCAGTCTTTCTGGTTATCCTAAAATAATTTCTAGTTCCCAATTATGGTATTTTATTTGTCCTTTTAAGAATATATACATTTAACACACTTATTTTGCGTTCTGTTTTAGATCATTAAATTTGTATGGGTCTGGTTCTGTTTTTTGTCTTTTATTTTCTTTTCCTTCTTAGTTGCCTTACATTCATGGTATCCTGTTTCCTTTTGTGTAGGATTTCTTATTATATTATCATAATTATGAACTCATATTTGGAACTCTGCTTACAGGAATCCTGTAGGAATTTCATGGCTTCTAAGTTCCTCTGAGAACATTTGCATTTATTTCTTTTTTGTGTGTGTGTGTGTTTTTTTTTTTTTTTGAGACGGAGTCTTGCTCTGTCGCCCAGGCTGGAGAGCAGTGGCGCGATCTCAGCGCAATCTTGGCTCAAGCTCCGCCTCCCAGGTTCACGCCATTCTCCTTCCTCAGCCTCCCGAGTAGCTGGGACTACAGGCGCCCGCCACCACGCCTGGCTAATTTTTTTTGTATTTTTAGTAGAGACGGGGTTTCACCGTGTTAGCCAGGATGGTCTCGATTTCCTGACCTCGTGATCCGCCCGTCTCGGCCTCCCAAAGTGCTGGGATTACAGGCGTGAGCCACCGCGCCCGGCCGAATATTTGCATTTATTTCTACCCAATACCTAGAAACAGTACTACCTTTGTCCATTTTAAAGTAAAAGTCTCAGTTATGGCTTTTCAGTTCCCAAATGTGTGAATTCAGTCCCCAGTCCCTCATGGGGGCTGATTGATGCTATAGATTCTCAAAGGAAGCTTTTTCTCCACCTTCAATTAAAGCCAGTGCTGAAACCAACAAGTATCTCTCCTTTATGCCTCTGGGGAGCGTAATCGGAAAACCAGAATTTCCACGCATCCTCTGTGGTTTTATGCTTTATCCATCGAGGAGGGTAGGCTGACTCGATGCCTTTCACTCTACTCATTCTTTGTCACTCGTCCTGCTGATAAGGTTGTTAAAACCAAACTATAAACCAATTACTTGGGTTAGCACACACTCCCGAACAGCCCAAAGCTTCACTGTGTTGCTCGCCTCCATTGAGTTATGGTCCTATTCTTTCCCTGACCTTTCTGCCAAGCTCACACATTTATTTAAATTGTCCTTTTAAAATTTCATATTATATTGCATTTTTAGTTGCTTTGTAAGAGGAGAGTTTCTGGCTCTCTGTAACTGTCATATTTCCAGAATGGAAGCCATGAACATTGACTTTCTTGTTCACCACTGAATCCTAGTACCTAGTGTAGTACCTGACATTAAGCAGACATTGTATGTAAATTTATAGAATGAATTAATTAAAATATTTGATATTGTGTGCATACCTTTTTGATTCTGAATCGTTTCTTCAGGATAAATTCTGACAATTTAAATTACTGGGTTCAAGGTATGGACAATATCTTACTATACACACTCTTATATTACTTTCCAAAAAAGATGCAAATACACATAGTAGGTTACTAGGTTAGTATTCATGTTAGGTGTGCTTTAAATTTTTACCAAATGGTTAATAATTTGTTTCCTTTCACCTCCGAAAAAACTACACATCATCACTCGTCTTTGTAGATGTCATGTGTGCTCCCTAATGACCTCTAAAGCACTGAAGAGAATGCTCTGCAGGCCAAAGAGTTTGCTTTGCTGCCAATCTTGAATATTATGGGACACAAAACAATTATTTGGCCCTATTTGTGATGCAAGAATTTCAAAGTCAGGTTAATTAGTATGAAGAAAGCATATTTTTTTCCCTCATGAGACATGACTTCATTGCCTAGCTAAGGCTGTGTCCTATTCTCAATTTTTCTCCTACCCAAACTACACTTATGGAATTTAGATAGAGAAAAACATAATCCTCCTAATGCTTCTGACAACAATTTTGACCATGAAAGGTTAAGTACCTCCATGGGCAACTTGAACTTATATGACTAGAATTTACACACACAATAGACCAAGATCACTATTCTTAACCACACTAATAGGCTGATATTTTCCTAAAGAAAAAAAAAAGGCTCTCCTGTGTATTAATTAGTTTTGGTACTCGCTGATACAGACAAGAATGTCTCCAGGGCCTGGTGTATCCTTTATTATACAACTCGAGTGTAGAAAATCAATTTCAGGGTAACTCTATGTTGAGAAAATCTTCCCTGGGGTTTCAGAAAAATTTAACTGGGGCTCTGAGAGAGATCGTGATTCTGGCATGTTTGTATGTGTGTGTGTGTGCACGTGCACAGGGAGCATAATATGGAAGAGGTGTTCAGCGCGAGTTTGCTGAATGGAATGAAAATAATACGTAGACAAAGGGTTTTTTTTCTGCTTGGCATAGAGGGGTGTGATGGTTTAGAGATGATGTCACCTCACTCAAAATTCCAGGGTTCTTGGAAGATAGAGCTACTACAGCAAAGATCACTCTCCTTCCCTCACTGCTACGATGATCCACCAGATCAGACAGCTTAGAGTGCCCTCTTGTTCTTAGCATGGCCTCATGTCAAGTTCTCATCCAAAAGTCTGGACTCAAGCCCAGTATTCACTCTAATGTGTCTTGGATAACTAATCATGGACAGAGCTTGAATCTGAATCCTGTTAAGTAGTTGTTGATAAACTGTTTGTCAAAAGTTAGTCTGTTAGTTAGGACAGTTATCATAACTACCTGCTGAAACAACTTCAAAATCTCAATGGCTTGGTTTTCCATTCCTGAGTTACTTCACTTAGAATAATAGTCTCTAATCTCATCCAGGTCATTCAAAGTGCTGTTAATTCACTCCTTTTTATGGCTGAGTAGTATTCCATCATATTTATATACATATATATATATTTATATATGTATATGTGTGTATATATAATTTTTTGATTCTGAATCATTTCTTCAGGATAAATTCTGTGTACACACACACACACACACACACACACATATACACACCAGAGTTTCTTTATCCACTCATTGATTGATGGCCATTTGGGTTGGTTCCACAATTTTTCTATTGTAAATTGTGCTGCTATAAACATGCGTGTGCAAGTAACTTTTTCAAATAATGACTTCTTTTCCTCCGGGTATGCAAAGGCTTAAGAATGATACAATGGACTTTGGAGACTTGGGAGGAAGAGTGGGAGTGGGGTGAGGGATAAAAGACAACAAATATGGTGCAGTGTATACTGCTCGGGTGATAAGTGCACCAGGTTTTTTTGTTTTTGTTTCTGTTTTTGAGACGGTGTCTCGCTCTGTCTCCCAGGCTGGAGTGCAGTGGCGCGATCTCGGCTCATTGCAAGCTCTGCCTCCCGGGTTCACGCCATTCTCCTGCCTCAGCCTCCCGAGTAGCTGGGACTACAGGCACCCGCCACCATGCCCGGCTAATTTTTTCTATTTTTTGGTAGAGACAGGGTTTCACCGTGTTAGCCAGGATGGTCTCGATCACCTGACTTCGTGAGCCGCCTGCCTGGGCCTCCCGAAGTGCTGGGATTACAGGCGTGAGCTACCGCTCCCGGCCGCACCAGGTTCTTACAAATCTCCACTAAAAGAACTTACTCATGTAACCAGATATGACCTGTATCCCAATAACTTATGGAAAAAATAAAATAAAATAAAAATCTCAGGGGCTAAACAAAGGAAAATTATCATAATCCCACACAGATCATGTAACTTTCCTTGCTGGTTCTATTCCAAAAAATAAATAAAAAACCAAGTTCCTACCCTCTTATGGCTCTCCCATCCTCTTAGACTTCCTCAAAGTCCTTGGTTGGATTTTTTGTATTTACCCAGAAAGTTAAAAAAAAAAAAAAAAAAAAAAAAAAAGGAGGTGAGAAGGACCTTGCAAGTTGTTTTATAGCCAGGTCCGAAAATGACCTACTTCGATTATATCTGCTCACATTATATTGGCCATAATGAATAACATAGCCTCAGCCAAACTGAATGATATGCTGAGATACGTGCGCAGGAGGAGGAAATATTAGTGAACATCTAGTTCCTCTCGGCCATAGCTGATTTGTGTGTCAAGTATACTTATCAAAATAAATATGAGCCTAATATGGAAAACCCAATATCCTAAAAAAAAAAAGAGAGCTGTTAGTTATCTAAATTATTATAATTTGACAGAATACAGTATATTTTAATATTCAAAACAATGAAATTAACTAAAATTCATTATAGTAGGATCAACTAAATTCCATAACATTTGATGGAAGAAAAGACACCATTTAAAATTTAAGGTTACTAGGAGTAAATCTAACAACAAGTTAGAAAGTTTATGGAGAAACTTATTAAACTTTATTGAAGTTGAATAAATTTGAATAAAGTAGGAGTCACATTTTGTTACTTAAGGTGAAGACTTAATATGTTCTTTAACTCCTAATCTTTGAAGTCAGGGCAATACAAAATATGACAGGCATATTCTGAATTTCATATGAATAGAGGAATAATCAGCTAAAAGAGTTTTGTTAAAGAATAACCGGAAGGACTTTTCCCTACCAGATACTAAGACTTGCTGTAATGCTATAGTAATTAAAAGTGTGTGACGCTGGTACGAAAATAAACAGATGAACAGAACAGAGAACTCAGAAACAAACTTATACATACATCATAAATAGCACATAATAGAAGTGCTATCACAAATCAATGGGGGAAAATGCGGAATAAATAGACTGCTCAATGACTTTCTAGTACAAAAAAGGTCCTATATAAGAAAATGCAAAAATAATTTACATATACACTTTAAAAATAAAATTAAAATAATTAAACTTACAGTGGACAATATAGGCTACATATAGAATTTCTGGCAGTTATAAATTTTTAAAAATGCACTAAGCATTTACCATAAAAGAATAAAGTGACTACATCAAAATTAAAACTCTCGGCCGGGCGCGGTGGCTCACGCCTGTAATCCCAGCACTTTGGGAGGCCAAGGCGGGCAGATCACGAGGTCAGGAGATCGAGACCATCCTGGCTAACACGGTGAAACCCCGTCTCTACTAAAAATACAAAAAATTAGCCGGGCGTGGTGGCGGGCGCCTGTAGTCCCAGCTACTCGGGAGGCTGAGGCAGGTGAATGGCGTGAACCCGGGAGGCGGAGCTTGCAGTGAGCCGAGATCGCGCCACTGCACTCCAGCCTGGGCGACAGAGCGAGACTCCGTCTCAAAAAAAAAAAAAAAAAAAAAATTAAAACTCTCATCATGAAAAATTACACCTCTAAGCTGGCTAAGTGCCAAGCAACAGAGCAGCAGAAAATGTTTCAATGTAAGAATAGAAATATATCCAGAATAGCTAAGGAAATCTTAGAAATTAATAAGAATAAAGCCAAATAACTCAAAATAAATGTGGACAAGAAATACGAACAAGCAATTCAAAGAAATAGATATATGAGTAGCCAATAAGCACATAAAAAGGTGTTCAGCTTTACTAATGACCAAGGAAATGCAAATTAAAACAATAATGATGTATTATTTTTCACTCAGAATGTCAATACCTAAGTCTGATAATGGTGATGGTTGATGAGGGTTTAAGTAATGGTTTTCTGCTAATAGAAAGTCGACTCAACAGAGTTACATTGGAGATCAACTTGGCAATATCTACGAGATTTAAAATTTCACACTCTGTGGCCTGATACTTACTTCCAGATATATATCCTAAAATAATTTAGTATGAATATAGGAAACTTATCAGTTGACATTCATTGCAATGTTGTTTGTAATTATAAACAAATTGAAACACCTTAAATGTACACAAATAATGGAAAGATTGAAAATAAAAATGTTTTATACTATACAGTTGTCAAGATGATCTAGATCTGCATACATATCAATGGGTAGTTGTTAAAAACTTAATGACAGTGAATAAATAAAAAAATAGCATGAGACGTACATTGGATACAATTTGAGTAAACTTTTAAAGTACTAAAAAGTTTACCATATACAAAGGGACTTCGAAAAGTTCATGGAAAAATTGAATTAAAATACAAAAATAAAAAATATAAACTTTATTTCTCAACATAAACTCCGTCAAGTTCAAGACATTTTTTTAAGTGTCTTGATGCCATTTAGTCCATCTCTAAAGAACCGAGATCCTGGGAATTTAACTATGTCAATACAGATTTTTGACACTATTAACTGACAAAAAAAAATGGATGCCCTTTACAGATTTTTTAAGATTAAGAGACAAAAAGCAGTCAGAAGGAGCCAAATCAGGACCGTAAGGTGGATGCCTAATAATTTCCCATTGAAACTCTTGCAAAATTTCTCTTGTTAGATGAAAGTAATGAGCAGGAGCATTGTCATGGTGGAGAAGGACTCTGGTGAAGCTTTCCTGGATATTTTTCTGCTAAAGCTTTCACTAACTTTCTCAAAACACTCTTATGATAAGCAGGTGTTACTGTTCTTTAGCCCTCCAGAAAGTTAAGCAAAATACCTTGAGCATCCCCCAAAATTGTTGCTATGACCTTTGCGTCTGACCAGTCAGCTCTTGCTTTGACTGAACCACTTTCACCCCTTGGTAGCCATTGGTTTGCTTGTGCTTTGTCTTCAGGATTGTAATGATAAAGCTATGTTTTATCTCCTGCTACAATTCTTTGGAGAAATGCTTCAGAATCTTGATCCCACTTGCTTAAAATTTCAGTTGAAAGCTCTGCTCTGCAGAGCTGCTCTGGGTACAGTGGTTTTGGTACCCCTTGAGTGGAAAATTTGCTCAACTTTAATTGTCCAGTCAGAATTGTATAAGCTGAACCAATACAGATGTCTATGTTTTGGCTATTGTTTGTGCTGTTAATCATTCATCTGTGTCTCCTCTTCAATCAAGATACAGACAAGATTAATTTTTTCCTCATAAATTGATGTGGATAGTCTGCCACTGCAGGCTTTATCTTCAGTATTGTTTTGTCCCTTCTTAAAATGAGTTATCCATTTGTAAATAAATAACTGCTGATTTCTTTGGGCACTGTCCCCATAAACTTTTTGTAAAGCATCAGTGATGTCACCATTCTTTCATCTAAGCTTCACAATAAATTTGATATTTGTTCTTGCTTAAATTTTAGCAGAATTCATGTTGCTCTGATAGGGGCTTTTTTCAAACTAGTGTCTTATATTTCTTAGTGCCTCAAACTAGATCCTGTTCAGACATGTTATAAAAAGTTAGCATGAGTTTATTTTGGTGCAAAAAAATTTGACATCCATGTATAGTTTTTTCATAATATTCATTTTCCATGATTTTTTGAAGACCCCTCATTTAGTTTGTGGCTTTATATACTGTATGCTAAGTTATTTTTAAATGTAATAAATGAAAATTTGTTAAACTCACAATAGTAATTTTCCCTGGAATCGACAGCAGGGGAATAGAATTGAAGATGGTAACTCAAATTGCCTTATTTTAATTTAAATTTTAAATTTTTAATAAAGTTATTATATTTTCAATAAAATACCTATTGAGTAAAGAATAAATATGTGCATATATACATAATATGTTATATAAATTCAAATTAGACAGAATGCCAAGTTCTCCTTTAAAAAGGAAAAAGAAAAGAAGAAAGTCAAGCCCCAGCAGATGTTAAAAAGTATTTGAAACTTATAACAATTAAAACATGTTATACTGGCACAAAAAAAATACTGATGAAAATCAATGGGACAAAATAGATAAGCCTGCAAAAAGTTTTAGAGTAGATAAGAATTTAATAAATTGTGAAGGTAGTATCAGAAGTCAATGAAGAAAAAAATATTATTCAATAAATAGGGTAGGGAAATAAGTGTATAATTTTTTTCAAAATTAGATCTTTATACCAAACAAGATGTTGTCTATATAGATCAGTAAAAGCATTACAGACTTAAGAAAATATAGAAAAATTAAACCTGATTTTGAGACATAGATTTTCCAAGCATAAAATAAGCAAAATAAAAATCACAAAGAGAAATAGATGAAATTGCTTAATGAGTACAACTTCCTATGCCTTAAAAACTGCCAGAGAAATACTTAAAAAGAAATATTTGCTTTGTGTATGATAAATGATTAAAAGTTTTAATAAGAAAAAGTACTTATAAGTTAAAAAGAAAAATGGAAATGCCTAAATATAAAAAAGGACAAAAGATGTGGATAATTTATAAAAGTATTAAAGGCCAATACACATAAAAAATATAGTTAAACTCACTAGTCATTGAAAATGCTAATTTAACTACTTAAACATTTTTAGCTCTCTAGACTGCCAAATTTTTAAATTAAAATAATCACTACTGGTAGGAGTACAAATAAATGTGTACACATGTACTCTGAATAGGAATAGGTAGTAACTTTCTGGATGACTGTTGGTCAGGAAGGAAACTACACTTTTACCCAATAATTCTGATTGTGGAATTTTACCCTAAAAAAATTATAAATATGCACAAAATGTCTTTTTAAACTATCAAGAGGATGAGTAGAAGAAAGGAAAGAAAAAAGACTAAGAGGAGAGAAAGAAGGAAGAGGAGAGGAAGAGGCCATGTAAATGATAACAAAAAGGAAGTGGTTAAATAAGTTGCAATAAACTCTTGAATATTTTAATTAATATTTATTGACATGAAAAAGTACTCATGACAATTTTCCTAAGCTGATTTAGAAAGGACTTTCCCTCTGTCTGCTTCCAGCTATGACAGAGTCACAGACATCCCAAAACACTGCAGAATACACATTCTTTTTAAATCCACTCAAAACTTTCACCATAACAATACCATGTGCTGGGAAATACTACCTTCAGTAAATTTCAAAACATTGAAATCTTAAATAGTGGAGGGGCCAAAGGAAGTATTTCCCCATCACCCTTTGCGAGTTCACTGAAAAATCAACTCACAAAATGCCAATTAGTAAGAAAAAAGGCATACAAATTTATTAATATGTATACAGGGGAGAAACACAGAATGATTACTCAGTATCTCCATAGGGCCCCAATACTTATATATTCTTATTTCATGGGGGAGAGGGAAAATAGGTAATTCTGTCAAGGGGCAGTAAATGATTGCTAGGGAGAATGAATAGATGTAGATGAGAGATTAATTTGTAAATGGTTCTCTTTGGAAATTGAATGAGCCTGAGACATGGACGGTATTTTGTGAATGTGTCTATTCTGGTGTGGTTACATTCTCAATCTTCTTTTCTGCAATATATAATGAGATAGCAGGGAGGGAAAGAAAAATGATTGTTCTTCTTGGTGGGTCCATTTGGTCTTTATGTAGATAGGGGAAAAGTCTTTTCTAGCATCTGTTGATACCTTAGGGCCTTTAATTGAAAATATTCATTATACCAGAGAGCCATATTTTGTGGTGAAGTTCCCTGCATTCCTTCAAGGTATATTCTCTGACCAAAAGAGAATCAAATAAAAAATCAATAAAAATAAGTTATCTAGAAAATTCTCATATGATTAGAAATTAAATAATATAACTTCTAAGTAGCACACAGAGACACAAGAAATAAGAGGAATTGGCCAGGCATGGTGGCTCACACCGGTAATCCCAGCACTTTGGGAGGCTGAGGTGGGCGGATCACCTGAGGTCAGGAGTTCGAGACCAGCCTGGCCAACATGGTGAAATCATGTCTCTACTAAAATACAAAATTAGCCCAGTGTGGTGGCACACACCTGCAATCCCAGCTGCTAGTGAGGCTGAGGCAGTAGAGAATTACTTGAACCCAGGAGGCAGAGGTTGCAGTGAGCTGAGATTGGGCCACTGCACTCCAGCCTGGGTGACAAGGGTGAAACTCTGTCTCAAAAAACAAACAAAAAAAAAAAAAAAGAAAGAAAGAAAGAAGAGAAATTATAAAATATACCAAACTGAATGATAATGAAATATCATGAGATGCACAATGTTGTACAATGCATAGAGAGAAATTTACAGCTTTAAATGCCTGTAATGGAAAGAGAAGAAGGGCTTAAAATCAATTATCTAAGTTTCTACTTTAAGAAGCCAAAAAAGTAGAGCAAACCAAAAACAAGTAGAATGAAAGAAATATAAAGAGCAGAAGTTCAAAAAAGAAAATAGACAGCAGAGCAAATTTTAAAAGTCAAACTTTCATTCTTGAAATTATTGTACTTTAATAATTGAGCTCCCCTAGCAAGAATAGTTTTAAAAAAAAATTACAATATCAGAAATGAAAATGGGGATATCACTACAAGCCCTAGAGATATTAAAAGATAGTAATGGGAAATTATGAACAAATATATGCCAATAAATTCAACAACTTAAATTAAATGGAAAAATTCCTTGAAAAGCACAACTGACAAAACTGACTCAAGAATAAAAGTAAAAAAAATCCGAATAACCCTGTAGCTATTAAAGATATTGAATTTGTAATAAAAAAACTTTTCATAATAAAAGAGTTTGCTAACACTTGGAAGTCCTGCATTCAACCAGACAAAATAATGGTTGGATATGTGGCCAAGGTGGAAATAAATGAAGAGATTCTTTGGGTGCCCAAAATAAAGAGGAAATTCAGAGTATCAAGAGGCAGGAAGCCATGAGTTACGGGAGTCAGATCCAGGTCTTAACACTATGGATGTGGTACTAACTTGGATTGGAAAGAGGGTAAGAGAAACAGGCTTCACATTCTCAGGAGGTGAGGAATGACCTCCTTGCCCAAGGCCTGTAGCCATAAAGGGTTATTCCTTTTCTTGAAAGAATAATTAGAAATAGCTAACCCACTGGGCCAGGAGGGAATAGACAACTTGTAGAAAACCCGATACCTCAATTCCTAATATTTTTCTCAGGTCTTTCCTACCCTTAACCTTTCCCTGGCTATTTACTTATTGCTATTTTAAACAAAGATAGACAAGTATTAAAAGGAAACACTCAAAATTCCTGTCACTTGCCCCCACGAAAAAGAAAACCTGCTAAAAATGTTTCAGAGATTTGGAGGAAGCTACTGTGAATTCACCAAGAAACAATTACAACCTTTTTTGATTTCACATCACAATGTTTATCCCAGTCATGAGAAATAAGAATTATATTTCTAAAAGCACTGATCAGTCCATCCTATCCACCAAAACCTAAAACCCTAAAACTAACTGACTTTTTCTCTCTCTCTCCTCTCTTTCTCATCTGGAGAAGCATACAAGTATTGCCTTCAGAAGACAAGAAAGAGAGGCCAAGACGGGAATGACAGTTTGGAGTGGTTCTGAGAAGGGCAGAGACCCATGGCCAACCAGCAGTTTCCCAGATGGGGAACAAATGTGGGATGGCTTTGGATGATGGATTTTAAATGCCAAGTCTTAAAAGCAATAGCAAGGACAGATTCTCTGTAGTGAGGATCTCATAATAGGCATATGGTCATAATAGGGTTACCTGGCTGAATTACACTGATGACCAAGTAAACTAAGGTCCATGACTCTCCCCCTTTTCTGTCTACCATGTAAGTTCTTCAGAATTGCCACTGCCCCGATGAATTGAGAGCAAACTTCCTAAAACACAACAGAGACAGCAACTTTTGAAAGCTTTAGTGAATGGGAGCTCATAACTAGGTTCTATTTTATTAAGAAAAATAAAGTAATGATCCTTAAATTCAAGTGTTTTGGGGGGATCGTACTAATTACATAGACAAATGACTCATGTAATCCATAAAGAAGGCAGATGTCACTGCTATCTTCCCCTCTTTCTGTTATTCTCTCCTAAAACAAACCTAGAAACATTGGAAAGAACAATGTTGAACATCTAAGTCCCTATGGAGTGTCATCTTTTGAGGGAACAGTATTCAGCTTATCAAGACAATTTCCCTGACTGTGATTCAGTGGGTTCCTGCTAACTTTTGCTTCCTTTCTACCAAGGGAAATCATTCCAAGACTTCCTCAAAGGAGTTGAAAAAAGACAGAAGGAGCTGAGTATCAATCTAGACAGAGCTCCAGTTTGAAGTTCCTCTCTTGAGATTAAAGTCTACACTGGGAAACAAAGAGAGAAAAATGGGTCTAGCTTGGGAAAGGAGCTCCTAACACAACCAGGGAAGGGGGTTTCCTCCTGTCCCTTAAGTATCTTGACACATGAGGGCTATGAGTACAGAAATCAGAAAAGGTGGGAAAAAAAGGCAATTATCTAAATGACTCAAGCAAACAACCCCAAATCAAATCAAATTAAGGAATGAAAGCCGTACCCACCATTTTTCATTGACAATCAGGATTTGTCAAGTGAATGTGAGCCTTCTAGTCAAGATTTTTAAATAATTGCCCTAATTCTTTACTCTGTGCGCATATGTATAATCCAAGAATCCTCAGCTATACAACATCTTCCTACAAATGAGTTCCCTAAAGATGGTGAAATAATTTATGTTGGCTGCTTCCTCCTCACCAGACATTCAGAAAGTACAGGAAATTGAGACTTTATTCCCCCTAACAGCAGTGTTTGAATAATGTGGGTGTAAGCAGGTTGATCTTCTGTAAGCACAATTTGATCTCCTCATCCCTTAACTCAGAAACCTTTCACCTTTCCATTATCTAATAAATCAAATCCTGTCTCTACTCCTCCATCAGCCATTCAAGTCCCACCTTTTGTACAGTTTTCTAACCTCTGTCCAAAATGTTCTCCAGACTTCAACTAAGCCAATCCACTTTCAACTGACCACACTTTGCCTGTGCTATTCTAGCTTCTTTATTTATTTATTTTTTTGAGATGGAGTCTCACTCTGTTGCCCAGGCTGGAGTGCAGTCGCACAATCTCCACTGACTGCAACCTCCACCTCCCTGGTTCAAGCAATTCCCCTGCCTCAGCCTCCCAAGTAGCTAGGATTACAGGTGCACACCACCATGCCCAGCTAAATTTTTTGTAATTTTGGTAGAGACAGGGTTTCACCATGTTGGCCAGACTGGTCTGGAACTCCTGACCTCAGGTACTCTGCCCACCTCAGGCTCCCAAAGTGCTGGGATTACAGGCATGAGCCACCACGCCCAGCCTATTCTAGCTTCTAAAGTCCCCTTCTCCCACCCTAGTTGTACACTGCTTATGCAAGTCAAAAAGAACTTTTTCTTTTTTTGATTCCCAAAAACATTTTTTTTATGTTCTTGATATTTGTCAGTTTTCCTTTGTATTAGTGAATAATAACTACTTGAGCTGTGTTTTATCCTCTCTACTCGTGTCGAGATCCATTTTGTGCTGCTATAACAGAATAGGTGAGACTGAGTAACTTGTAACGAACAGAAATTTATTGGCTCATGGTTCTCAAGGCTGGAAAGCCCAAGATCAATGTACTGGCACCTGATAAGGGCCTTTGTGCTGTGGTATCTCATGGTGAAGGAACAAAGAAAGGGTGAAAGAGAGTGAGAAGGGGGCCACACTCATCATTTTATAAGGAATTCACCCCATTCATGAGGGCAGACCCCTCCTGGCCCAATCACCCCTCTTTGAGCTTTACCTCCTGACATTGTTGGATTAGGGATTAAGTGTCCAATACACGCTTTTTGAAGGACACATTCCAATCCTAGCAACTAGCTTTTGAGCCCCTTTGAGGCTCTCCTCATAATCCTGAAATTACCTAAAATGTCGAACATGCTGCCTTTTTGTGGGTATATGCTCTCAGGAGAGCTGCCATTTTTTTTTTAAATTATAGACTGTATCACTATGTGAAACTCCTGGGAATTCATGAGATCCATAAGTATTTGGTGTTAACCTTGAGTAACATTGAGTGGTAGAGACAAAGAGAAGTTCTATTTGGATCCTGCAAGTGAATTGCCATATCCCATGTGGCCTAAAGAATGCAAGATTTCCACTTTGGGTCAAAAATATTACATGTCTTCTATTGTATTTATTAGGCTTGGAATTTGTGGGCTATCTTGTCTTTTCAGAAGGAGGTTTGATACAATCTCAAATCAAATAGAATCCACATGAGTTGAAATTCACCTCCTTTGCTGCCTTACTCCCAATATTTATTTTTCCTATTCTGTTTCTTTCTCTCTCTTCAGTCCAGTCCTCCAGGTATCACTCTTAAGGAGTTATGATAACATTCAAGTGTCTCCTAATTCTCTTTTTAGATTCAAAAGCTGCACAGCTTTCCCGGGAACCACAGTTCTCACAGTTGATTTTTCCCTCCCCTTCTCCCCTGCAGTGGCCTCCATCTCCTCATGTGACACAGAACTGAGGCTGAATCATTTTGCTGGTTTCCATTTGGCAATCATCCTACATTTCCCCAATGGTTTATCAAGCACTTCTATGGCCTCGAGGAACTCTCCATATTCATTTGCACTAAGTCCATTACTGAAAGATACTGAAGACATAGAATAATTTATATAGATACTACCAATCAGAATAACATCTACTTTATGAATTATGAGTTCTATCACTTAATGCCTTTGGCTTGATCTGGCTAATTCTGCTTATGAACTTAGCTTGCCCCTGACCCAGCATAAGGAGCTAGATAGCAATATGAAGACAGCTTTTGGAAAATTTCACCCTGAGAAAATGAACTTCCGATTTGAAATCAACAAATATTTTCCCTTACCAATCTACCAGAGATGGAGCTGGTAGATTGGTGAGGGAAAACAAGAAGCCAATCATTGCCCTTTCAGCTGTGTAATAAAAACAGAAAGGCAAACATCTGCATTTAACTTCTCCAAGCTTGTTGCTAATGATCTGTTTCTTAAGATTTCTTTTTCTAGGACTCTGCTCTCAAATTTTAAAACTCTAGTGTATACCACTATATTTATCTAGATACTTCTTTAGAGAAGCTGCTTCCTTTGATCTGGCTAATCTTACAAAACCAAGCATTTTCATACACGCTAATGGGTTTGTAAGTTAATATAATTAGGAAAACAATTTGGCTAACCTTTTAAAATTGCTCCCTTACTTTTCTACAAAGTAGAAAAAGAAAATAGCCGGGTATGGTGGCACACGCCTGCAGTCCAAGTTATCAGGCGGCTGAGGTGGGAGGATCACTTGAGCCCAGGAGGTCGAAGCTGCAGTGAGCCGTGTTCATGCCACTGCACTCCAGCCTGGGCAACAGAGGGAGACCCTGTCTTGAGAAAAAAAAAAAAAAAGGTTTTCATCCCCTTTTGCCCCTTGACCCAAAGCCTGAAACTCTAGGCGTATATTAAAAACAAAAGTATACAGGTAAAGATTTATTTTCAAAGTTATTCATAAGTAGCTTTTACTATTTATAATAGTGAAAAAAAGAAATGCCCCAAAATGGGAGACTGATTAAGAAAGCATATGATCCCTAAATGGAATAATCTGCATTCATTAAGTCAAAGATTGTCAAGGGATTTTTAATGGGATAGGGAAATGCTTATGGTAGGATGCTAAAAAAATAAAGGTTTGAAGCTAAAATATTTTCAATCACCTACATGAAAAAAGGCATAAAATATTTAAAAATGTTAAACTATATTAAATAAAATGTATAGGAGACCACTGATTTGAATTGAGCTTCTGCACTAGACCTCAACAGACCAAACCAAAATGGAGTCACTCATGCTAAAGTCTCACATAACAAAACCAAAAGTAAACTGTGTGTCTAATATTCCAAGAAATCAGGAAAGAAAGATACTAGCCAAATCTCTAAATAGGCCAGTGTTAGCCAGAATGATAAGGAAGTCCCTACTACTTTAACACAAGGAAAGTAACCTGAAGCAGCCTCACATTAATCATGTTAATCCACTTTTTCTATTATGCCAATGTTTCTTTGTTCCTATTCAAGCTACCTTATAAAAAAGTGACTGTTCTGTCATGCCCACTATAGGACCCCTCTATTTTTAGATGAGATGCTACCCAAATTATGAACTAGAAATAAAAGCTAATTAGATCATTTAACTAAATGTGTTGAAATTTTATCTTTTGACAATTACAACCACTGTTGCTACTAGGCTGTGAGATTACAGATAATTTTTTTCTGCTTCTTTACTCATTTCAGTGTTTTCAATAATTTTGAAAATGAGTGTATATAATTATGTCAATTCAGTTTTAAAAAATAAATCACTAAGAGGAGAAGGAATTTACAAAGACACAGACCAAAGTTATGTCTCTTCAGAGCTCACAGAAAAGACCTGAATTGCAAAGAAAGTTTCCTTAAGGGAACAGCAGGATGGGGTATGACCCCATGAGAGATGGACAAGGAAGAGAGGACAAATAGAAATAAGGGCAAAACCTTTCACTGAAGTTGCCTCAGGGTAAGGCACCAATCCAGTTATTTATGCATCCTCTGTAACTGCTGTCTAAACCACTTGTCTTCACCTAGAGAAGATATATTTTTCCTTACAGTGTGGTGTCACTAAGGGCATAACTTGAATTTTAGGAGGAAACTATTTTAAATATTTCGTAGAAAGTTTCCTCCTAAAAAAGTCACCCATCAGCCTCCAGGGGTATGATCAATAAACTGCATTTATTTAAAATGATGCTAAGAGGATAGCAGTGACATAAAGGCAAAGCTTAGATTAACAGTATTTTGCTAAGATCAGTATTGATTCATTTTAGGATGGTGATGCCAGAGTAACATTAGAGATGATCTAATCCAACTTTCTCATTTTATAGATACGAAACTGAAAACCAGAGATATAAGAAAACTTTGCATTTGACTTGGCAATTCAAACTCTAGTCTTTGTCTACGAGCTCAAAATCTCTTTCCATAATGTTATGCCAACCCTACCATTCTAGAGGAATGATTCATTAATCACACAGAAAGGTTCAGCTCAGCTACCACTTTATACAGTGAAATACTCAATTCCTTCTCTCATCACTTCCCACGTACATCACCTAAATCACATTGTTGCTGATATAGCCAAACTCTTGAGGCTCTGCTTTACTAATCCATATTCCGTTCCTTATTTAGAAAACGAATCTATTATTAGAAAGTAAGTTTATTGTTTGCCAAGCAGAATTAAATATCCATCACAGTTATCTTAAAAAAGAGCTTTTATCTATACATTCAAATCATTTTGATTATTTGAACAGAACATGTTTTTACATTTATCATATTCTTTTTTTTTTTGAGACGGTGTCTCGCTCTGTCGCCCAGGCTGGAGTGCAGTGGTGCTATCTCGGCTCACTGCAAGCTCCGCTTCCCGGGTTCATGCCATTCTCTTGCCTCAGCCTCCCGAGTAGCTGGGACTACAGGTGCCCGCCATCGCGCCCGGCTAATTTTTTTGTATTTTTAGTAGAGACGGGGTTTCATCGTGTTAGCCAGGATGGTCTCCATCTTCTGATCTCGTGATCTGCCCACCTCGGCCTCCCAAAGTGCTGGGATTACAGGCGTGAGCCACCGCGTCCGGCCCCATTTATCATATTCTGATGGCCACTGGTAATGGCAATAACTAACACACAGTGGAGAAAACTAAACCTTGCTGACTCCATTCTAAATGCTTTATATGGATTATCTCATTTAGTTATGCCAATAGCATATTAGACAGATACTATCGTAGGAAAAATATGGAAAGTGAGTGAATTCATAGAAAACACCCAGGTAGACCTGGGATCCTAATTCAGGTATGTTGTGGGTGGCTGGCCCGTGTATTATAGAATGTTGGGCACCATTCCTGGCCTTTACACACAAGATGTGAGGTAGCGCCCCCACACCAATTATGACATAGAAAATCATCTCCGGCATTGCCAGATGTACCCTAGGGATTAAAATTATCCAGGTTGAGAACTACTGCAGTAGGCGGGTAGCCTAGTCTGACTTTTTTTTTTCTCTGCAGAATCAAGACAAAGATTTGCTTCTGTATGTAATAAAGGGAAACAACAATGTCCCCAGAAAGCAAAATTTTACAGAGAGACAATGGCACATGATGGAAATGGCATTGGAGTTGCCACTAAAATGTTTGTTCTTAAGGCCTAGTTCTATTACCTAATGACTATGTGGCCTTGAATAAATCACTTCTCTGAGCTTCAGTTTTCATCTTCCAAACAGGTGTTTCTTAACCAGAAAGAACTTTTGCAATTCAAATCGTGGAGGTTTTACGAGCATGAGCTTTGAAGAGCTAGATTTGAATCTTTCATCAGGTTCTTTCTGTCCCATGACTTCAGACAAAATTCTTTACATCTCCTCACCTCCTTATTCTCATCTGTGTGCGGGAGAGAATGACACCTCTTCTACGGGCTCTCTCTATCTTCATTCTCCAACTGCCCACTCAATATCTCTACCTCAGGTCCTGAGCTTCAAACTCATTTCTGGTTACATAAAGATCCTTCACTCATCCAGATACTTTTTTAAGTAGTCCTTAACCCAGCTCACTCTTCCTTAGCTCCTAATTCCAACTAATTGCAATGTTTTGTCTACTCTACTCTCAATTAGTTCTCTATGCTGTAGTCCTATGACCATGGAAACTTTGGCTCCCCATTGTTATTGGGATGAAAACCAAACTCCTTATCATGACCTATAAAATGTACACATTATATACATGTAAAATGCATACACTACACATTTATTAATACAGAAATCCAGCCTCAAACTTGTTTTCCAGCTTCACGTACCATGGTGCCCTTCCCCTCTCCCACTCAATTTTTACTCAGCCACACTGAATTTCTCTCTGCTCTCAGACCTCATTAAGCTTTTCATACTTCTTCAGCTTTTAGCAATCTATTTCCTGCCTGAAATGCTACCCTCTTCACCTTACTAGCTCCCACCCACCTTTTAAGGTTCAGTTTATACATTACTCCTCCAAGAATGTAACCTTAAACCATCCCAGTCAGATTTCTTCATTCTTCCACATTGTTTGTGCATTTTCCCATAGTATTTTGGGGTATCTTTAGAATGGCTTTTATCACAATATTTTGCCCCTCCTTAATTCCACTTTAATCTCCCCTACTTCATCTTTCCACGATATATATAAAGATTATTACAATGTAAAGTTCCAGTGGCTTTCCTAGAATCCATTTCCCCATTTTGAAAAGCACCATGATTTTCTTTCAGATATCCACCTCTCCTGCACACAGCTTCAGGGAAAGCTAACTCCAGCTGCATTTCTGCTGGCAGTACAAAACGTGTAAAGGTAATCAAATTCTTCATGACATGGATTCGTTGGGTAATCTAGGCCTAAGCTGACTAGAACAGGACACTCCCTGGTTATAGCCACAAGGGGAAGGATGTTTGCTGGGAAAGGTGTTTCCTCACCCTTGAGAGAAATTCCGGAAGAAATATGCTCACTCTTCCTCTGGACATTGCCATGTATGCACATATGGCCTTGCATGGTCCTCTTCCTCTTCCTGCCACCTTTATGTATGAACTGTGGTATGGAGGAGGGCAGAGTTGAGAACATTGTAGAGAAATGGATCTTGATCCCTGGTTAAACAATTCCTGACCTCCAGTCTGCCTTGGGACTTTTTAGTTACATAGCAAATAAATCCTCTGTAATGTTTCAGCCTGTGTGGGTTAAGTTTACTGTAACTCCAGGCCAAGTGCATCCTACAACTCTAACATATCTCAACTGCAGCACTAGGTTTCACATCTGTCCCATTGCTAGTGCCAAAAAAGTGCTCCAATAAATGGCTAAATCAGGAGTTACTATTCCACGATTTAAGTCATTTAAATCTCAAACTGGATCTTATGGTTTTTTATTGCAATATTAGTTTACTGTTATTGTTATAACAAATTACTACAAACTTATTGGCTTAAAAATACACATTCATTTTCTTACCATTCTAGAGAACGGAAGCCTGAAATCAGTTTAACAGGGCTAAAGTCAAGTTGTCAACAGGACTGATCCCTACTGGAGATTTCAGAGAAGAATTGGTTTCCTTGCTTTTTCCAGCTTCTGGGGGCTGCCTCCATTCCTTGGCTAATAACTCCTCTATCGAATCACTTTAACCTCGTTTCTGTTGTCACATCTCCTACTTCCCTTTCTGTAGTCAAATCACCCTCTGACTCATGTATAAAGACACTTAATGATTACATTTAGAACCTGCCCAGATAATCAGGATAATCATCCCTTCTCAAAATCCTTAACTCAGTCACATCTGCAAAGTCGCCTTTGCCATGTAAGTCATGGTTCACAGGTTCCCAAGACTAGGGCCTAGATTTCATTAGAGGTCACTATTTAGCCTGCCACTATTGCCTAACTTAAATCATAAAATTAATGAAAATCAGGCATCTTAAGAGCTTAAAAATATCTGATAGATAACTTCTAATATCTTTATTTTAAAGATGTAGAGGCCAAGACCCAATGAGGTGACTTATTCAAAGTCACATAAAGGTAACTAGAAATAAGACCTTCTGGGTCTAAGATATGTACCCTTGCAAGTCTGCCATGTTCCTATTGCAATTTAATGTGTAATCTGTAATACATGTTATCGTAAAAAAT
This sequence comes from Homo sapiens, assembly GCF_000001405.40. Classification (NCBI taxonomy): domain Eukaryota; kingdom Metazoa; phylum Chordata; class Mammalia; order Primates; family Hominidae; genus Homo; species Homo sapiens. The sequence goes on from NC_000010.11 coordinate 111,705,035, forward strand.
TTATTGTTTAAACATAAGAAGGTTACAGAAACTTGCCAAAATAAGCCAAAAAAAAAATCTCAAATCTCAAAATAGTTTAAATCATTCCTAACCTCCCCAGAAGTCTGACTCAGACTAGCTTCTGGGTTGCTTTGTATTTTTATACTGATAATCTCTCCAGTAATGTTGCATACATTTTCTAGTTTTCACCAACTCAGTCAGTAACAGCCTGAGAATCCCATTACACAACACACTGAATAGGGCCAAAGTAATTTCATCATCCTATATTCTTCCTGTTTTGTTTATTTCCGCTTGAATGTCCATGGGCCATAATGATGTTCCCCACTGCAGTAAATCTGTTTTCAATGGACTGAGCCACTCTAGATCCTTTAGCTGCTTCAAAGTACACCATCTTTTCAAACATACTGATCTACCACCACCGCACGTCTTTTGAAAAATTTTGTTGAGAATGCCTGGTAAACAGGGCTGTGATTTTCTCCATAATTACACCATTAGACTTCATTTTCTACAAATATATAGTCTTGTAGCAAATCATTTGTGCCATATTTAAGCTTGAGTCAGCATCAAGGTATGTGATGGGTGATGTTTTTCATCTCAAAAATGAATAAGCTGTTTTCCTCAATTATGTTCTGAGCTTGTTATATGCTGTTTTAAACTAGTATCATCAGAGAGTTTCTCTTAGTAGCTACTGGCTAGTCAAAATGCATAGTTCATCAAATTATTTGAAAATAAATCAATATGAGCTAGGCAGATGTTATTATTCTGACAAGTCAGTTTTTCCTTATATTAACTTCCAAAAGTATTCTATGACAAGAAAAACTTTTCTCATCTTGATTAACCATCCCTGACGGATCTATAAAACAATTTGCATGGAAAATGTTCAGCAAAATTTTCATGATAGAAGCCAAATTCACTGTTTTTTCTTCCTACAGATATGGAGGCAGCAAAAATGGTAATAGAAACAGATAATTTCTTAAAAGCCTAGTGCCTACTGTGACCACTGTAGGGGCAATCAAACTCATCATTATATTTAACCCTCACAATATTCCTGTAGAGTGAATGTCATTATTTCCATCTGATGGAAGAGACAACTCAGGCTTCTTAGACTTCTGGAACTAGCCCATGGTCATAGTACCAGTTACCTATTTATATGTAATCAGTAATCTCTAAACCTAGTGGGTTAAAACAATCGTTTTTCACTTTTCACAGTTCTGTGGGTTGGCTGGCTGGTTTTTCTGCTGTTTCTCCAGGTACCCTAACATGGCTAAATGCTGCTGGAGGATTGGCTGAGAGCAAGGCTCAGCTGGGACAGCTGAGTTGGCTGGATATCGCTCTCTTTAGGGTCTTTCAATCTCAAAGAGGCAAGCTCAGGCTGCACTTCCTCACAGGGTGAAGGCAGGACAAGCCCCAATACACATGCACTCATCAATCTCTGTTTGAGTCACATTTTGCCAATGTCTCATTGACCTAAGCAAAATTCAGTGCACAGAAGAAGTTCCACCAGTGTGAGGATCCTAGGAGCTGTGATTCATCAGGTGCATTCGCTGAACAAGGACCCACAAGTGCAAGCTAGTAACAGAAAGAACTAACATTCTGGAGCCCTTTCCAGAAGTATGTGAATATAAAAGTGATTTATTAAATGATAACTTCAGGGATGGGCGCAGTGGCTGACGCCTGTAATCCCAGCACTTTGGGAGGCCGAGGCGGGTGGATCATGAGGTCAGGAGATCGAGACCATCCTGGCTAACATGGTGAAACCCCGTCTCTACTAAAAATACAAAAAAAAATTAGCCGGGCGTGGTGGCGGGTGCCTGTAGTTCCAGCTACTCGGGAGGCTGAGGCAGGAGAATGGTGTCAACCTGGGAGACGGAGCTTGCAGTGAGTCAAGATCTGGCCACTGCACTCCAGCCTGGGCGACAGAGCGAGACTCCATCTCAAAAGAAAAAAAAAAAAAAGACAATTTCAGAATATACTGATGGTGTTACAATGAACAATATTAGGCTCTCTTCAAATAGAAAGAATGAAGCTTTCTCTTTGATGATCTTCAGAGCACAGGCAAATATGAGGGAAGTTTGAACTTATAATTTTACTGCCTCCTTGGTTTCAGCAGAACATTTTTTTTCTATTAGGCACACTTCCCAGCAAAAATGATGAAGTTCTGAGAAACTTGGGCTTGCCTTTCTTTCATAGGGGAGCTTTGAGTCTGTGTCTCCAACTGGCCAGCCACATTCATATGTTCTGAATAGCTCAGTGACTAAGCTAGAGCTGTTCTGTATTAAATTATCCTCTCAGATACTCCTTGCCAGGCCTCAATCTCTTCTGAAACTCATAAAACCATAATACATCATCTGCCTTCAAGTCCCATTAGATACTGACTTGGGAGAGGTAAACAACATTTTGTTCGATCTTGCCTTTCCCAGCAGGAACTACTTGAGTATGCCAAACCCTCCTTACTCTTGTCTGCTGCAAAGTCAGGTCAAGGAGAAGCCACGTGCTCTACATTTGGGCCTACCAGTTTCAGGAGAAATGACAGCATTCACATGGGAAAGCAGGACACTTCAGTGAGCCCTTCACTGGGGAGGAGAGAAGGGAAAAGCATGGAGAAGACCCCTGGAATGATACACTTCATCATGGAGTTCTGCAGCTAGAAGAAACCTAGGAGATCATCTAGTCTAAATATGCTAAATAAATTTAATCTCAAGTACCAATTTCTTTTTGCTCTAAAACTGTGTTGAGAAGATTTGAAGAAGTAGGTATCCAGGATCAATTTGCAATATATAGACATGAAACTGGAGATTCATGTCTATGTGCTAAGCATTCACCATCTCTAATTAATCTAATTCTCTAATCTTATAGAGAAGAAAATGTATTAAAAAGAGAAGTGGCTGGTTCAAGTAAGTACTCAAAGTCAGTAAGTGACAGAGATTGAAAAAATGGTAGATAACTCACTTGGTTTCCCGATTTGCAACCCTTTCTGTACCACAGCTATATTACCTACCAGCAATGAGGGTTTTGGCTTCCTCTCTCCTGGCCAGTATTCTCCAAAATGTCTCTGTATGAGATTGTTGGGGTTTTTCACCATCTTGCTTTCCCTTTCTCAAGTCAATTTTAAAATTGCTCAGCCCTTCCATTTTCCCTCTTTTTTTTATTTGTTAGCAATTTATTTGTAATTTTTTTATTATACTTTAAGTTTTAGGGTACATGTGCACAATGTGCAGGTTTGTTACATATGTATACATGTGCCATGCTGGTGTGCTGCACCCATTAACTCATCATTTACATTAGGTATATCTCCTAATGCTATCCCTCCCCCCTCCCCCCACCCCACGACAGGCCCCGGTGTGTGATGTTCCCCACCCTGTGTCCAAGTGTTCTCATTGTTCAATTCCCACCTATGAGTGAGAACATGTGGTGTTTGGTTTTTTGTCCTTGCGATAGTTTGCTGAGAATGATGGTTTCCAGCTTCATCCATGTCCCTGCAAAGGACATGAACTCATCATTTTTTATGGCTGCATAGTATTCCATGGTGTATATGTGCCACATTTTCTTAATCCAGTCTATCATTGTTGGACACTTGGGTTGGTTCCAAGTCTTTGCTATTGTGAATAGTGCTGCAGAGGATGTGGAGAAATAGGAACACTTTTACACTGTTGGTGGGACTATAAACTAGTTCAATCATTGTGGAAGTCAGTGTGGCGATTCCTCAGGGATCTAGAACTAGAAATACCATTTGACCCAGCCATCCCATTACTGGGTATATACCCAAAGGATTATAAATCATGCTGCTATAAAGACACCTGCACATGTATGTGACCCAGGCCACCATCAGCAGAAAGTGGTAAAAGGTCAGAGTGGAAGATTTGGGTTCTACTCCTGGCTTCACCCTTACGTACCTGTGAGGCTCTGCTTCTACCTTAGCTTCCTTGGCTATAAAATGAAGAAGTTAGACTGGATGACTACAGAAAAGAAGAAACACTATAGAAGTTTGTTCACTTATAAATGTTCAGTTTATAAACTCTGAACAAAGCTACATTCCAGAGAAAAGAACACAGTCCTGTTCACCAATAGCTGATGGGAACAATCAAGATCATCTTGGCCACCACAGTGATCTTTTGTTAAGGCACATTTGCTGTGATTATCTTAAGCTTTGGAGTCTTTTATGAATATTCTTTATTTCCTTATATCTCAGTTGAAAGTGCTTATAAGATATATACTAGAATCATGGCAGCAAATACTTCTGGAGGGGGATTTGGAAGGGAAGGAGGAATAAATGGTGGAAACATCAAGCTGATATGTAATAATTCCTTTCCCTCTCTCCCTTACCCCCAACGTTTTAACCTGTATTCAATATACAAGCTTTGTTAGAGTTAGTCATCATTTTTCTCTACTGTTCTATTTGAAATGGTTCATATGAAAGGTAAAATAATGCTTAAAGGAAATGTTTAGATGATATTAAAAACGATGCTGACAAAGGTGACAATGATCAAAACTATGACATATTGAGAAGGGTGTGAGCATGGTGATGCATCAGTAGGGAGGAGACATGATTTTCAAAGTGAAGAGAAATCCATGCAGTATGATCTGTCCTTGACTTGCTCACACACGGTCCCATCTCCTACCCTTCCCTCTCCTTGTTCACTCCACTCCAGACACACCAGCCTCTGTACCATTCCTGCAGCAAGTGAAGACCACTTCTACAAAATACTGCTCCTTATGTCTGGGAATTTTTCCCCAGACAGCAGCATGACTCACTCCCTCCCCTCCTTCAGTTCTCAGTTCAAATATTACTTCAACACTGAGGACTTCTCCAATCCCCCTCTGTACACAAGAATACTCCCTACCCTCCCTGTCCCCGAACAACCAGCAGTCTCCACTCTGCAGCATCTTCACTTCGTTTAATCTTTTCTTCTTCTTAAAACTTACCACTGTTTACTTATTGAGACAAGGTCCCATTTTGTTGCCCGGGCTGAAGTGCAGTGGTGTGATCATGGCTCACTGCAGCCTCAACCTCCTGGGTTCAAGCTATCCTCCCACCTCAGCTGCCCGAGTAGCTGGGACCACAGATGCACACCACTATGCCCAGCTAATCTTTCAATATCTTGTAGAGATGGGCTCTCACTCTGTTGCCCAGGCTTTTATCACCATTTAATATATTACATATCTACCTGCTTATTTTTATAGATAATCTGTTTCCTGCTACTAAATAGCAAGCTCCAAGGGAGGCAGGGATCTTTGTCTTTTGTGTTCATTGCTGTATCCCCAGTTGCACATAGGAAAAATTTAATGAGAAGACCAAGAAATGTGGTGGGGAAGAAATATGTTTGAATGTGTAAGAGCATTATCAATATCTAAGGTCTGATGTCAGTTTAAGAGAGAGCTAGGAGTTTGTGTGATAATTTAAAGTCAAAGCCCAGGGAAAGGGCTCTGGATGAAACTTGTTCCAAGTTATAGGTGATTCCCCAAGCTCACGGGCTTTTTGAAACTGCACAACATCAAGAAGCAGGGATGGTGACAAGTACACACATCACTGCTGCTAAGGAGTCACACTTCCCACTTCCGAAGGGCATCAGGTTACAGGAGAGAGACCCCCATCAATGTACATGGATTCTTCTATTTTGCAAAAAGAATGCTTATCATAATATCTATCAGCAGGAAAGAGAAAATAATTTCTACTTTTCAAGTTCCAGAGGGCTGATTCAGACTCATATTTGGAGGTGATGCCTCTGGAGATTGCAAAGTCAGACTCCTCTTAATCACTTTGAACATACAAGAAAGTAAATACGAATGAAACTTTTAGAAATAAAAAAAAATTGAAGAGCTTCTATAGTTTAAAAGACTATTAGATATGAAAGGAAGCATTTGAGATCAGAGAAGTATAGAATATAGAGTTGAAGAAGCAAAAATAATCAGTAATAACCAATATTTATCAAATACTGTGTGCAAGGCCCTAGCAAATATTAATTTAATTTTCACAACAATTAGTATATTGAGTATACTGGAGAGTATAATTCTGCTCCCATTTTATGAATAAGGACATGGATTCACTGTGACTAAGAAAATAAGCCCAGTCACAACAGCTGGTAAAGGGCAGTAACAGAGTATTAACCTGGAAGTCTGCTTCCAAACAATTATCTAGTACTAAGCTCCACAGAGAGAAGCTGTGCTTTCCCCAAGAGGCTCTTCATTTATTCTTTGACACATTAATTGATGCATCCATTGATGCATTCATTCATTCAAGAAGCATTTACTCATCATCCCCTACGTGCCAAGTTTCATGCTGGGAGAATAACAACAGAGGGATGGTCCTTACCCTCATGGAGGTTCTATTCGAAAGGGAAAAGACAGAAAGCCAAAACACTAAGAAAAACAAGGTACAACTTCAGATGATAAAAAGTGCTAAGAAGAAAAGTGTGTTACATAGTTCAGTTTTTCTCTCCACTTTACAATATTTTTTTCTATGTTCCTGGGAAAATAACCCATAAGTAGGCCCAGAAAAAATGCCTGTAGCCCCTGGCATTGGATTTTCAGTGCTTTCCACCCCCACTTCCCTGCATTCTGCCCCTGAGCCAACCACTGGCATATCACAGCTGCACAAGCTTACAATGACTGCAGGAGGCCACAGAGAAAGCCAAGTGGGAGACTGAATAAATCACCCAGATAATTTGGGCAGAAATACGTCCTGCTGGAGCCTGAATATCTGGCTAAAGTACTTATTTTGACAAATGATTTTGGTAATTATTCAAGCCTTGGTTTCGTTTTGGAAATTTTCTGTTCTTGAGATAAGGAAAGGACATGCACGTCAGTTTCTCTTATGAATGGGGCCATGGTATACATACAAGAAATGGATTTGTCAGTGAGCCTCTAGACTTCGCATGCCCAGGATTAGTTATAATTAAGATAATGTATTCATTCATCCAACCAATATTTATCTAGTATCTACTACATGGAAGACACTGTTATGTACCAGATAAAAACAGGAATTAACAAGACTAATTTGCAGGACAAATACAAATAAAGAAGGAATGATGAAGGAGGGAGTGAGAGAGCAAGAAGAGAGAGAAAGGAGAAGAGAGAGAGAGAATGATTCAAACTTCAGGACAGACAGTACATACACAAAGAAAGAGAGGCAAGGTGAGGGAGGAATGGTATATCAGGTAAGAATTAAGTTCACTGCTTGAAAAGTGATAAGCTTTAAACAAAATAAAGGTTTAAATTTTTCTCATTAAATGAGAAACCCAGAAGAACAAAGCCTAGGGCTATGGTAATCCATAGAGTTATCAGGGTCCCAGAAAGAGTCCTGACTTTCTGTTCTGCCATCACTGAAAAATGTCCCTCTTCCTCATGCTAGCAAGATGGCTGCTAGAAATTGGGAGTTCATTGCGCTATCCTCTCTCCTTTCATATGTAGAGAAAGGTGTGTGTGTGTAAAATATGTATTTAAAAAGTAAATAAAGGAAAAAAAATCCAGTTTCAGCTTCAACATATAAACACTTGGCAGTCATCATTCCCACCCTTACAATCAGAAATAGATAAATAAAGTGAACATTAACTATTTTTCTTTGACATATTAGAGCACTGGATTCACAGAGCAAATTGCCACCCTGAAATCTGGTGAATTCAGAAAGTCTTAGCTCAGATCTATTTACCCATAATGGAGAGAGGAAGGCAGGGTCATTAAATGGTAAAAACATTTGAATGCTAATGCTATGGGATCCTTGGGGTTGTTGCTTTTCTGGTCAGAAACCTCTGTTACCAGTGGTACCTTTGCCTGAGTTTTGTTTGGGCCCACTGGACCCACTCGGCCTGGCAGGCTGCGCTTAGCTCACACTACCAGTGGATTCCCACACCTCCGAAGAGACTAGAGTGGGTCGGTGAGGGGTATGTGAGTGAGTGAGTGTGGGGTCCAGCCACTGTGCACAGTCAGGCACACCAGCTGCTGGCAGCAGGGCAGGCAGCTCCAGTCACTGGCTCTCTGTGAGGCTGCAGCTGGACAGGGTGCACTGCACGTAGCTTCCATGGCTGGCATTGGGTAGCACCGTGGTGCCTGGAAGCTTGGAGACTCCAGGAACTGCAGGGCTCCAAAGGGGTAGTCACAGCCCTGGATCAAGGAGCTCCAAGGTCTGGGCTCCTCAAAGTGCCACAGCTCTTTCCTCCTTCTCTTCTTCTCTCTTCTCTCCTCCTTGTCACCCACAACCTGGCAAGCAAGGGGTGTATGTTTCATCCCTGTTTGTATTACAGCTTTTTTAGCCCTACCATTCAGTGGGTCCTGGGTTATTGTCCTGTGTCCAGGAACAATGAGGTACACAAACAAGCGGAGGGTGACCCAGACCAAGCGGAATTTTATTGAGCAATAGAACAGCTCAGGGGAGACCCACAGTGGGCAGCTCCTCTCTGCAACCATGGTGTTCTGATGAGTGTTCAGCTCTCAGCAGATAAGGTAGCTCCTCTCTGGAGCTGGTCATCCTGTCATCTCTTCAGCTCTTGGCAGAGAGGGTAGCTCTTCTCTGCTAGGCAGCTCATCCCAGTGAGTGTACAGCTCTCAGCAAAGAGGGTAGTTCCTCTCTACAGCTGGTCATCCCATCATCTCCCCATCCTCTCTCAATCCTCTGCTCAAGTTTGTCTGAGTCTGGGGTTTTTATGAGCCTCAGACGGGAGGATGTGTGTGCCTATAGGCCCATGAGTGGCCATGGGCAGGCTCAGGGAAAAGCACCACAAGTTCCCCCTCTGGTCTGTGGGACTGGCAGCCTGGCCGCCAGGCTTCAGACCCTCCCAGCTTGAAGGTGGGGTGTCACTGGGAACCAACACCCTTCTACCCAGGAGCCTATCTGCTTTCTGCCACTGTTCATGGTGCCCAGGCTGCTTGTGCCAAGGAGCACCCACAGGCCAGCACCGGGCTGTCCTCAGCAACCCCTCAGCTTCCCTCCCATGCTCCTTGGTGCCCAAAGTCTGGAGGGGGCCAAAATGGCAGGGGCCTGGTGTGTCAGCATTTCCTGGAGCGTGTGCACACCTGGCCAGGCTGCAACAGCACCTGGCTTGCCCCATTCTTGCTCCAAGATTGGAGTGGGCTGCAGGAGCAGAAAAAGGCCAGGCAGTGGGAGTAAATACCTCTGAGCCTGTGGGGGCAACAGGGGCCTTCCCAAGCCCCCAAGAGTGCAGAGAGATGACTGGGTCCACATTTGCAGCTGCACCCAGGAGGGCAGGGCTCCTGCCTGCTCCTGACCCCCAAGAGCACAGGGAGGCCCAGGTCCACAGCAGTGACTTGGGCAGCTGCAGTCATGCCCAAGAGGGTGGGGCTGCTGCTTGCTACTGGCTTTCACCTGTTCCATGGAGCACAGCACCACTCCAGGCCCAGCTCCACCTTGGGGCCCCTCTCTGATCACTCCTTCATGCCTGATTGCACAGCTTCCCTGCTGGCAGTTTACTCGGCCCAGACCCATCACAGTGGCCCCGAGGGCAGAGGGGTCTGGGGACTGTCCACTTCTTCCCCATGCCCTCCCTACAGCTGCAGCAGGTGAGAGCTGCAGTGTGGGGCCGGGGTCTGGAGCAGCAGAGGCTCAGGCCTGGGAACAGATCCTGCCCAGCCACTCAAGGGTAGGGGGCAGCACAGTTTGCTGCCTCAGGGACACAGGGTACAGGGGGCATGGGGCACAGGGGTCTCACTGCTGCCACTGCAACTCCCGTGGCCATTCCTGCTGCCACTCCTGCCCCCAGCCCCTGCTGCGACAGGCACAAAGGCAGCGGCCACTCTGGATGGCCCACAGCTGCCATCAGTAACTTTGATAAATGGCTGGAGACTGCGTGAAGACTACCTTGAAAATGAAAAACTCTGGGTGTTGCAGTCTTAGGGAGAGGGACTCATTTTTGTGTGTTTTACCTCCAGGAGCCCCACCAGGTTCAAATGGTGAAGAGCCAAAAAGACTCCCTCATGGCTCTGGCAGTGGGGAGGGCAAGAATAATTATTGTGAGAAAAACCCAGAGTATGCTCCATCGTGAAGTCTTCTCTACAAGTGAAAAGACTTTACCACATGGGAGAAGGGCATTTCTCAGACTCCAGCCCCCTCTAACCTTCCTGACTCACTTAAGGACAGGGAGAAACTAAGAATTACATTAGATAACAGAATTTTCCCCACCCCACACTTTACCACCATATTGACACTCCATTATTGTAACAGCATATTTTAGCTGAAAGAGGTCAAGGCCCAGAGCCTAAGGATGAGTTCTTAAGGAGACCTGGAGACAACAGATAGGAAAACTATAGAAACAAGAATCATCTGGCACTTATGGCTACAGCAAGCATTAAACACAGTCCAACTATGAGCCAGGTTAACATAAATCCTTACACGAAATGCCTATTTACCTCAGTTCCTATTATTTGATACATAATTATCAGCTTTCAACAAAAAGTTATAAGGCATGCTAAAACACAAGAAAACACAGTCTGAAGATACAAAACAGACAGAACCAAACTCAGACAAAATAGATTTGGAATGCTCGGACAGAAAATTTAAAATAACCATGACTCACAGGTACATTAAAATCTCAGACTTCACCACTATACAATTCATCCATGTAACCAAAAACCACTTGTACCCTTAAAGCTGTTGAAATTAAAAAAAAATGATTTAATGATATAAAATAATCATAACTAATAAACTAAGGGCTCTAGTGAAAAAAGTATACAACACACAAGGACACATGGGTCATGTAAGTAGATAGAAACTTTAAGAAAGAATCAAAGGAAATACTAACAACTGAAAACACTCAATAGAAATAAAGAATGACTTTAATGGGCTAATTAATTAACTGGACATGGCTGAGGAAAGAATCAATGAGCTTGAAGATATGTCACTGGAAATTTTCCACACTGGAATGCAAAGAGAAAAAATAATAGGAAAAATAGCATACTCTACAAAAACTGTGGAACAATTTCAAAAGCTGCAGTACAGGCATACTTGTAATACCAGAAACAGGAGAAAGAGCAAAAAGAAGAAATATTTAATAACTGAAGTAATCTTAGCTGAAAAATTTCCAAAATTATTAACAGACATCAAACCACAGATCCAGGGACCTCAGATAACACCAAGCAGGATAGATGCAAAAAAAAAAAAAAAATCTACATATAGGCAAATCATATTTGAAGCAGAAAACCAAAGACAAAGAGAAAATTGTGAAAGAGAATAAAAACATTTCACCTATAGAGGAATAAAGACAAGAATGACAGCAGACTTCTCATCATAAATTATGCCAGAAGAATTAAAGTGGAAAAATAAATATTTAAAGAATTAAAAGAAAAAAAGTTTCATCAAATTATCTTTTGAAAGTGAAGAAGAAAACAAGAACTTGAATTGAAGAAATTCATCACCAGCAGTCTTGCCCTAAAAGACAGGTTTTAAAAGGTTCTTTAGGGAGAAAAATATAGTAAATCAGAAACAAATCTACATTAAAAATGAGGCACAATGGAGAAAGAATAAATGTGGGTAAAATAGATTTGTTTTACTTTTTTATTATTAGTCAATCTGAAACATGACTAACAATATATTAGGTGACTATATCTACTATATAGATAAGAGAAATGAATGATGGAAATGTCATAAGGGATGGGGGAAGGAAGAAATTTAGAATATTTTGTAACATATTACCTGCACTACAAGTGAAGTGGCATAGTGTTATTTAAAGGTAGACTTACCTTAAACATATATATTGCAAATACTAGGAAAACCAATAAAAAAAAATTTGTCACAGAAAATAACAGTTATACTAAGTCAGGAGGCAAAATGAAATTATTTGGCATTCTCAATAAAACCAGAAAAGTCCGAAAAAGATGATATAAATGAAATAAATAAATACAATAAATAGAAAACAGTTGCAAATACGATAGATAGTAATTCAATTATCAATAATTACTTTAACTATGAATGGTATAAAGATAGCAATAAAAGGCAATAAATATTTAAAATGGATTTTAAAAAAAGAAAATTACACTGATCATCTCAGATGCATAAAAGGCTTTTGGTAAAATTCAACATCCCTGCATGTTAAAAACCCTCAACAAACTAGGCATTGAAGGAATATACTTCAAAATAATACGAGCTGTCTATAAAAAATCTACAGCCAACATCACATTGAATGGCCAAAAGCTGGAAGCATTTTCCTTGAAGACTTGAACAAGACAAGGATGCCCTCTCTTAGCACTTCTATTCAACATATTACTGGAAGTCCCAGCCAGAGCAATCAAGCAATAGTGAAAAATAAGAGGCATCCAAATAGGAAGAGAGGAAGTCAAACTATCCCTGTTTGTAGACGATATGACTCTATACCTAGAAAACCCCATAGTCTCTGCCCAAAAAGCTCCTAGATCTCATAAATAACTTCAGCAAAATTTCAGGATACACAAAATCAATGTACAAAAATTAGTAGCATTCCTCGAAGCCAACAACACAGAGAGCCAAATCATGAATACAGTCCTATTCACAACAGCCACAAAAAGAATAAAATAAATAGGAAAACATCTCATCAGGAATGTGAAAGATCTCTACAACAAGAATTACAAAACACTCCTCAAAGATATCAGAGATGACACAAACAAATGTAAAAACATTCCATGCTCATGTATAGGAGTAATCAATACTGTTAAAATGGCCATACTGCCAAAAGCCATTTAGAGATTCAATGCTATTCCTATAAATCTACCAATGATAGGCCGGGTGCAGTGGCTCACACCTGTAATCCCAGCACTTTGGGAGGCCTAGGTGGGCATATCATGAGGTCAGGAGTTTGAGACCAGCCTGACCAACACGGTGAAACACTGTCTCTACCAAAAATACAAAAGTTAGCCAGGCATGGTGGCACACACCTGTAATCCCAGCTACTCAGGAGGCTGAGGCAGAAGAATTGCTTGAACCCAGAAGGCAGAGGTTGCAGTGAGCTGAAATCGCACCACTGTACTCCAGCCTGGGCAACAGAATGAGACTCCACCCCCTAAAAAATAAATAAAATTAAAACTACCAATTATATTCTTCACAGAATTAGAAAAAAAAAGTGTTAAAATTCATATGAAACCAAAAAAGAGCCCAAATGGCAAAGGAAATCCTAAGCATAAAGAAAAATGCTGGAGGAATCAAGCTACCTGACTTCAAACTATACTACAAGGTTACAGTAACCCAAACAGCATGGTACCGGTATAAAAACAGACACATAGACCATTGGAACAGAATAGAGAAACCAGAAATAATGCTGCACACCTACAACCATCTGATCTTCGACAAAAACAAGCAATATGGAAAGGATTTCATATTCAATAAATGTTTCTGGGATAACTGGCTAGCCATATGCTGAAGATTGAAACTGGACCTTCTCTTTACACCATATACAAAAATCAACTCAAGATGGATTAAAGACTTAAATGTAAAACCTAAAACTGAAAAACCCTGGAGGATAACCTAGGAAATGCCATTCTGGACATAGGACTCAGCAAAGATTTCATGACAAAGATGCCAAAAGCAATGACAACAAAAACGAAAATTGACAAATGAGACGTAATTAAACTAAAGAGCTGCACAGCAAAATGCACTCAACAGAGTGAACAGACAACCTACAGAATGGGAGACAATATTGCAAACTATGCATCTGACAAAAGTCTAATATCCAGAATCTATAAGAAACTTAAACAAATTTACAAGCAAAAACAAACAACCCCATTAAAAAGTAGGCAAAGGAAACAGACACTTTTCAAAAAGAAGACATACACACAGCCAACAAGCATACAAAAAAATACTCAATATTATTAATTATTGGAGAAATGCAAATCAAAACCACAATCTCACACCAGTCAGAATGTCAAAATGGCTATTATTAAAAAGTCACAAAATAGCAGATGCTGGCAAGGTTGTAGAGAAAAGGAAATGCTTATACACTGCTGGTAGGAATAAACTGGTTCAGCCAATTTGGCGATTTCTCAAAGAACTCAAAACAGAATTACCATTCAACCCAGGAATTTCATTACTGGGGTATATATCCAAAGGAATATAAATCATTCTACCATAAATGTAGGTTAATCACAGCACTATTCACAATAGCAAAGACATGGAATCAACCTAAATGCCCATCAATAGTAGACTGGATAAAGAAAATGTGGTACTTATACACCATGCAGTCCTGCAAATCCATTAAAAAGAATGAGATCTTGTCCTTTTCAGCAATATGGATGGAGCTGGAGGCCATCATCCCAAGTGAACAGGAACAGAAAACCAAATACCACATGTTCTCACTTATAAGTGGGAGCAAAGCATTGACTATATATGAAAACATAGAAGGAAACAACACATACCAGGGCCTATTTGAGAGTGATGGGTGGGAGGAAGGTGAGGATTGAAAAAATACCTATTGGGTATTACGCTTATTACCTGGGTGATGAAATAATCTGTACACCAACCCCTGTGACACACAATTTACCTACATAACTAATCTGCACCTGTACCCCGAACCTAAAATAAAAGCTTATAAAACAAAATGTGAACAAAATAGATAAAACCCTGGCAAGACTAATCAACTAAAACATATAAGACAAAAAATAATATTATTAAAAAGAGTGGACACAAAATATGGATAAAGAAATTTTTTTAATAATAGTAAAATAGTCAAGGTGTGGTACCTCATACCTGTAATCCCAGCACATTGGGAGGCCAAGGCAGGTGAATCACTTGAGGTCAGGAGTTCGAGACCAGTCTCAACAATATGGTGAAACTCCGTCTCTATTAAAAATACAAAAATAAGCCAGGTGTGGTGGTGCTCACTTGTAGTCTCAATTACTTGAGAGGCTGAGGCAAAAGAATTGCTTGAACCTGGGAGGTGGAGTTTGCAGTGAGCCAAGATTGCACCACTGCACTGTAGCCTGGGCAGCAGGGCAAGACTCCATCTCAAAAAAAAAAAAAAAAAAAAAAGGAAAATAAAATTATTTTAATTAAATATAAAAAATAAGACAACTATATGCTAGCTTCAAGAAAGACACTTTAAATAAAATGTAGGTTGAAGGTAAAAGGATGAAGAAAAACTATGCTGACATCAATCAAAAGAAAACTGGAATAGGTAATTAATTTTATACGAAGCAGAACAAGAAAGAGTATTTGGGATTAAAAGAGGTAATACACCATGATAGGATCAATTCTTCAAGAAGACATAATAAATTAAGCAAAAATTGATAGAACTGAAAGAAGAAAAGACAAATCCACTAGAATAGGGGGAGATAGCAATACTCCTTTTTCTGTATTTGATAGTTCAAGCAGGAAGAAAATCACTGAGGATATAGTTGTCCTGAAAAATACTATCATTAATTTAATTGATATTTATGTAACAACCTATCCCACAACAGAATACACATTCTCCTCAAATTCATATGGGACATTTACCAAGACAAACACATTCTGGGCCATAAAGTATACCTTTACAATTTTACAGGAATGGAAATCATACAAAGTATGTTCTCAACACAATGGAACTAAACCATAAATCAATTACAGAAAATACCCAATTATTTGGATATTAAGCTACATAATTTCTACACAACATATAAAGAAGAAGTCTTGAGAAAATTTAAGAAATAGTTTGAACTAAATGATAATGAAAATATATAAATTTGTAAATTTGTAAAATGCAGTGAAAGCAGTATTTAAAGAGACATTTTATATCATTAAATACATATATTACAAAAGAAGAAAGATCCAGAATCAATAATCTAAGCTTCCACTTTAGGAAACCAAAAAAAATAAAAAGAAGAACTTAAACATAAGGCAAGCAAATAAAGAAAAGGAAAGAAATAATAAAAGAGCAGAAATCAATGAAATTGAAAACAGGAAATCAATATAGAAAAATCAATGAAGCAAAAGCTGGCTCTGTGAAGAGATCAATAAAAATAGTAGCACTTTAGTGAAGTGAACTAAGAAAATAAAAGAGAAAACACAAATTACCAATAGCAGAAATACTAATACCATACATATTAAAATGATAATAAAGAAATGCTATGAACAACTATCTACAAATTAGATAACTTAGATGAAATGAATCAATTCTTTGAAAGACATAAACTGCCAAAACTCACACAAGGAGATATAATCTTATATCTGTATCTCATAAGCATATATGACAGGCTTATATCTGCTAATTAAATTGAATCAGCAATTAATAATCCTCCTAAAGGAAACACCAGGCCCAGATAGTTTCACTGGGGAATTTTACCAAGTATTTAAGGAAGAAATTAAACAATCTCTTCCAGAAAATACAAGCAGAGGAAACACTTCCTAACTCACTGTATAAAACCAACATTTCTCTGATACCAAAACCAGATAAAGACATTACAAGAAAGAAATCCTTCAGATCAATACCTCTGACGAATATACATTCAAAAATCCTCAACAAAATATTAGCAAATCAAATGCAATAATGTACAGAAAGAATTATACATCATTACCAAGTGGGATGTATTCTAGGTATGCAAGGCTGATTCAACATTCAAAATCAATCAAATTAATCCACTATATCAACAAGTTTAAGAAGAAAAATTATATGAACTTATCATTTGATACAGAAAAGGCATTTAACAAAATCCAACATCAATTCACAATAAAAATTTTCAGCAAAGTAGGAACGGAGAAGAACTTCCTCAACTTGACAAAGAACATCTAGAAAAACTGTACAAATAACATCATACTTGGTGGTGAGAAAATAGATGTTTTTCTTTTAAGATCAGAAATAAGATTCCATTGGAAGAGTCAATATTGCTAACATGTCATTCTTCCCGGCTTGATCTATAGATTTAACACAGTTACACAAAGCAAATTCAGCCCTCACTCTTTGAATCACTAACGTTCATTTAAGTGTCTAACAGACTCGATTCAAAGTTCAGGTAGAATGGAGTGAGGTTATACCACTACAATGTGAATACTTTATGACTTAATATTATACATCATATTCCTAAAAGTTCTTTACTCATTCCACGACCGGACATATTCATAGTCCTCTCTTTTTCCACAGAGAGCAACCACATTTCCTTTCTTTTCTGAACTCCTCTTATTAGTTTATCTACGACCTTCTAAAATCCTCTTAATTTCTTAATAAAGCAATTTGTCAATGTTTTTGTTTTGTTGCCTCCATTTGGACCATGTTTTCTAAGCCTTACCCTTTCTAATCAAATAAACTTCTCAGTCTGGTGTCACCTATTTAAAAAAAAAATTGCCAAGGAATAAAACATTTAAGTGTCTCAAAGAGAAATTAAAGGGTTTACTCAGCTGACTTGGGTCAGGGAGTACCTGAATACCAGGTAACTCTTTTAATCAAAGCCCACATGGAATTTTATGGGATGAGAAGAAAAGAGGAAGGGTGGCTTTGTGGTCTGACTTAGGTTGCAGTTTTCTTTATCTCCAACTGCTACAAAACTTGTGATTAGACTGGTTGGAGATTTCCCTAGTTTTGGGGCCTTTTGACTCGATTATTGGCCCAATCTTACCTGGCAACTGTGAAAAAATTTTTTTGAAAATTGCCTTGCTGTTTATCAAGGTTCAGCGTTGGGGGTAATAAAGATGGGGGAAAGGAAGAGTAGGAAAAAAGTGGGAAAACGAAGTGGTTGAAGCAGAAAAAACCTGGAGACTCTGTTTTGTCTGTTTTAATCAATTTCTAGCTTCCTCCTTTTAAATTGACAGTGTAAATAACTTGATTTCCAGAACACTCTAATTTCATATCTCAGTAATTCTATAACTTTCCTTTCTTTTTGTCTTTTTCTGAGCTGTAAGAACCTCTTTGTAACTCAACTCTCTAGATTGGAAAATGTGAATGTAATTCCTACCTCACAAAATTATGAGGAGGATTTACAAGATGACATGTGACATTATTTCAATAAATATGGCAAGGAAAATGTATCCTTCTCTGGACCCTCTCCCATTTATTATCATGGACCCTTGAAGTGCCAGCTTAATGTAGAAGACAAAAGAAGCATTTAAATCATAAGTTCTCAGGATAGATAGCCTATAAAGTCTTTAGCACATCACTGAAGAGTTCAGTGGGAATCCCAAACTCATTACAAAATCTTCTATGTTGCTTTCATATCCAGCCCTACTCACCTTACCATTACCATAACAACCCACAACCCATAAAGCCTGGCACAATGAGACACAGATTAAAGTTTATGGTATTTTTCTTGTTCAGACTTATCCCCCTCACTTATTTCCCCACATCTTCCAATAATATCCTAGAGCTCATACCCATCATTCTACCCAGTCTCCTTGATGCCTGTAATAGTTTATAATCTTATGTGTTCCCTTAATGCCTGCCTCCACGCATCCTAAGTCTCAACTTGCATATATTTTATATATTACAATGGATGGAATCACTGCCCCCATCAAGAGTGTCATGAGAAAAGGAAAATGATAATCTAAGGCATTCTAAGGCAATCATTTGGAAACACAAAGGAACAAAAGAAAAGCTACTATGTAAATACAAATGCATTTAAGTTTGAAAAAAAAGGTATTAGATATATAATTCAGACATTAAAAGAAGGAGAGGAAACAATGAACTGTTTTCTGCCCATTCAGGTAGTTTCTCAGTCCTCCACAGGGCTAGGGCTTTGTGGAATTGATAATTTTCCTCACACTCGTCTTCACACCAGACAGATAGAGATCAATATATCAGTTTTACTTTATTAGGGATAAACCTGATTGGAGGATGTGGCTTAGATATGTGAACACAATCAGGCTTCCTAATATTTGTCTCTCAAATCAAGACTTCAGAAAAGTCTCATGTGAGAGTGTGAATAGGAAAGGAGACACATTCCCATACTAGGCTTCTCACTTCCACAGTGGAGAAGGAAAGACTGATATAAAAAAGACAATATTCAGGTCATACTTGAAAGCAGAGCTCTGACTCAACCTGCAGCAACCAGCCCAGGAAAAGGATCCACTATCTATAGGAACCAGCTTAGGAAGCCAGGCTGCTATGTATAAGACTTGTAGGAAAGCAAACTGCTGTCTCTAGTAACCAGTCTAGGAAGCTAAACCATTCCTGTAACAATCAGGCCAAAATGGCCAGCGCTTGATTAGTATCAGACAGCTTCCCTAATTTTTGTCCCCACTTCCAACTTAGGACCAAACAAAGAAAGCCAAATACACACCCCTAAGCAATCACATAAATGCCCCACTTCTAGTTGTCTCCAGCTTCCCCATGCCAACAGATCTTCAATCAAAGTGTATCTGAAACTGCCTTTTTTTTTCAGCTGTAAAGCTTTCCTCCTCCCCTGCCTGCCTTTGCATTTCTGCCAAAATGCAAGTGATGGTGTCTGCCTCCCTTGCATAGCAAGCTCTGAATAAATAGCCTTTGTTCTCATTAGGTTGACCTTCATTTATTTCCGCAGGAAAGAGTAAAAAGAGACCAACAATCTGTTTCTCAAGCCTGGGGTAGGCCATGACTTAGCCTTGGTGGGTAGAGAAGATAAGAGGAAAGTTGGATGCAAAGGCCCTTCAACAGGCTGCTTTGAAAGAAGAGTTTATGCTGAAATGTTTAATCCCTGCTTCCCAGTTTTACTAATTGGATAAATCCTGTCCCATAACCTGAAAAGGAGTGATGGAACTGGGGGTTGAGAAGGAGAAGTGAAAGGGAAATTCCTGCCCCTTTAGAAAATGTGGAAAGTAGGAAGTAGATTCACCTAAAGTATAGTATTTGGTCTCTGTAAACTTAATTCTTTAATACATCTCAACATGATGTATGGTGGTATCATCATCATCATCGTCACCATCATCAAAGGGAAAATACTGAACTCACACACACACACACACACACACACAGACAAACCTGAGAAACTACTGGGCTTCCTGCCAGGCTATTCTTTTTTAATTCCTGAATTATTCTGCCCAGGACCTTGCTTAAAATCTATATAATCAGGAAATGATTATAAAATTCAACATGTCCTCAAACCCCTTAACAGTCAGCTACTAGGGTCTATACACAGGGGTCCTTTCTCTTGATGACTCCTGATTTGGGGAAAGAGAAAAAAGCACAGCAAGTACTCACTCCCCTAAAGATTAAATTATTGGGATTCACAGTGGAGGATTTGAAGTGAGGGTTGGGAAAATATATCCCTATCTTTCTATCTCCTTTGAGATGGAAAAGGTGGGAAAAAGAAGAGTCATTACATAACAACAGTGCTGCCTGCCAACAGTGGCCCCTGTGTGAGAATGTAGGTACAGCTGTGTGCTCACTTCTCCATATGGGGTGAGCTCAAAATACAAGCAAAGGATTCATATACAGTCCTGGCTGTCAAAACTGGGAACCCTTTCAAAGGCTCAAGAAAGCCATTCTGAGCCTAAAAAAGACTCATTTTGTTATTCTTAATTCAGAATTTAAAGCAGATTTATACTTGCAATAATGTCCTAATTGGATAAATAATAGCATCTCCTAGTTGTCAAAATTATTTGCATTAATACTTAGTTTGGACAATGCAATAAAGCACCCTTCTTAGCACATTGTGGCCCGGTTGTGATGAACGGTGTGATTAAACCCTATCTCCCCCCTAACATGATTAAGAAGAATTGGTTATTAGATAAAGGTACAAAACAAAGACAAATGCACCTCTAGCAGAAGCTGCAAGTCACTGCCTAAACAGGTCCACCGAGGACATGGGCACAAATGGCACCACAGCACGTTCCTGGAGTGGCCACAGAGCATGAAGTACAGTTTGGGTCTTTATGTAAACAATGCAAGTGCGCTGGTCTGTGAGGAAGTAAATGAGTAAGGAAATGTTAAGATAAACTCATAAAATAAGAGGCTGTTATCACGGAGAATTAACTCCAAAATGCAACATATTTTTACATGTGATCCAAGAGCTTTTTATCTCTAGTCATCTCCTAGTATGTGGTCTTATTTACTATGGGTTAGTTCAGGGAAATTAAAGGTTCCCTGAGAAGTTTTGATGAATAAACCAAAAACATTTATTTAATACCCATTAACAATAAAGGCTTGTGAGAGGTGTACTGAGCAATATGTGTCTCAGTCTTTGCCTTCAAAAGGCTTATACTTTAGTTGGGACAATAATCCTCACAATTATCTCTCTACTGAGATGGCTAGCCTTACAAGGGAGTATCATGGGGGAATTATCTTGAAGACAGTAAGCAATCCCATTGGCAACTCAGCATTCAGATTAAAAATGAAGAGTTCAGAATCAGACAGATCTGGGTTCAGTTTCACCTCCTTCACTGACTACCTGTGTGATCTTGAGTAATTTACTCAACTTCTTTAGCCCACCATTTCCAAACCTACAAAATAGGATGAATAAAGATATCTGTACATGAGGCTTTAGCACAGAACCTGGCCAATAGTACATGCGTAACAGATGATAGTCATTACTTTTTCTAACTTCAATCAGCACTAGAAAAATAAGCCGGGTGTTTTTGTTTTTAAAATAATTTTGGCTACTGTTTTGTCATTGGGTTTGGGTTTTCTCCCCTCATCATGAATCTGATGGTATGTTCACAGAGAGGATGTGTCTGTTCTCCTAGTTGAATTCATGAGCATGTGTGGCTGAGAAGGAAGTTCATATTTATGAGGATTTGGATGGGCCACGGAGCAAGACAGATGGAAAGTGTGGAGACCTGGATTCATATCCAGTTTACTAGTCATTGTAAAAGCTCTATTAGCTCAGTTCCTTCTTCACTCTGAGCCTCAGTTTTTCCATTTATCTGATGGAAAAGGTGAAAAGAAACTTCCTCTTACTGATTATCAGGTATCCTGATAAGCAATCCTGCATATATCGTCTCATTTAATCCTTACTCAAATCCTTCAAATAACCCAGCGTTGTCTCCATTTTACATATGAGAAAACAGAGGAGGATGAAATCTGGTACTCACAGTCCCATAGCAAGGCAGAGCCACTCTGTGATAAAATTATAGGCTTGGACTCAGGTGGAACTCAGCTCAAATGTGTTCTGAACAGTGTCACCTTGAATAAGCTACTCATCACCTCTTGATCTCAATCCCCTCATCTATAAAATGAGAATAACAATACACTTTGAGGGGCTTTTTAGTATTAAAATAGAATAATTACTTAGTGTTAAGTGTCCAGATCAGTTCCTGACACATAGTTAATGTTCATTACCTGTGAGGATAAAAGCAATGATCTGATATCAAAATAGGATAAATGGCAAGTGTGCATTTTGAATGCCCTGACATTATCTCCTGTGCCCCTGGCTTTAAGTCCTCAAAGCTGGTAAGTTCCATGGCAGTTCCTGGTACACAGAAGCATGGTTGTTCATGACAGAAGCAGAGAGAGCCTTGATCCCAGTCCTTTTGGCTTTCTCTGTTGACTAGCTGGTGTCGACATCCAACTCACAGTTGTTCTCATGGTTGTAATGCAAGAAAACAGCCAAAAGACAAGGCTTCCAAGTTTGTAGCAGGGTCATGAGATTCACTGGAAAACATATTTAATGAACATCTACAATGTGCCAGGCACTCTTCTAGATGTGGGGTTGCATCAGTAAACATGAGAAAGATCCCTACATTCATAATGCTTCAAATCCAGCAGAGCAAGAGACAATAAATAGAATAAGTAAATTACACAGCATCTGAGAAAATGATGAAAAAGCTATAAAAAAAAAAGAGAACAAGATAAGGGATTGGGAGCATGAGGGATGGGGTAAATTGTGACAGCTTTTACACTGGTGTTCAGAGAGTTTTACTCAACTGGCATTATTAATATCACCTCAGAGATAATAGCTCTGAGCTGAATCTGCAAATGTCTAAAGCCACTTTGTGTGAAAAGAAATTGAAATGGTAATTTAGGAATAATTATTTTAATTGATGTTTGGGTATCAGAGAAGCAATGAGCTCACTGGTGAGATGGGAAGGCGTGTTTCTGATGTGGGATGTTCAACTTCATTTATTTCAACGGATTTTTCATTCAAGTCTCTTTTACGGATGGGAGATAACCTTCTCAGGTAATCATGAGAAGTTCTCTTTACCTAGAAATCCCTCTCGTTTGATCTCTCCTGGTGAGCAGAGAGAGATGAAAGCAGTTGAGAGAAATCTCAAAATTATCAGCCAAAGAATAAAGAAGAGAGCTCAAGCAGGTGGCTAGAAAGAGTGCCACTGTGCCTGTTCTGGCCTGACCACATGCACAGGCAAAGCTCATGGGAAATTTTCACCACTCAGTAGTTAATAGAGACACTTCTCTTTCTAATGAAATGAATGGCACTATGTATACGCCTGGCAATTAATTCATGCCCTAATGATGCCAAACAACCATTAAAATGATGTTGCAGGGTATCTGATTACCTGGAAAGATGATCAGAATATATTGTAAGATGGGAAAATTGTATGTGTTGTATGATGTTATTTTTGATACTATTGCTTATGTATAAATGAAAACAGACTAACATATTAACAGAGTTTATCTCTGGGTAGTGGATTTATGGGTGATTGTTCTTTTTATACAATTAGCATGTCATTTTGCAACAAGGAGAAATAAATAATAAAAGTGATTTTAAAACATAACAAACCCAATCACTCATAAATATATCAGCCTTGTTCTCACCAAGACTTGAAATCCCTTTGACAGAATGGGCTGCACCCCCAATTGCATTCTGCATGTGTGTGGTTTTAGAAGGAGGTCACACCAACAGTGTGCTAATACATATTTAACAATTGGCTCTTCAGCCCCCCTCCCTCTCATACACGGACACATTAAAAATCCTTGATTTTTAGTGTATGCCAATTTCTATGGTGTAAATATTCTCTCCATGGCTGATTTCAAACCATCAATGTCATCACTGAACGTGGTATCTCATGTATTTAAAAATCCAGAATTGAGAATATCCATAATATTACATGAAAAAAGAAACATAAGAAAAGTCACTTATGAAACAGGACAGTAAATGTCCTTCTATCAAAAGAACCTATATTATGTCACTGTATAAGGATTTGGAAAGATACATTCTCATGAGCTCGTATGTGCTTCCCCAGCACACCCTGGGGTCATGCTTGCATCTTCCTGAATACAGAGCACGGAGTTAGGCAAGTAAAAAAATTGGCCTTAGACACTGTTTGCTCACTGATGCCCCTTTTTTTCCTCTGGGGAAGGAAGAGGTAGATACAAATACTTCTTGTCTTCGACGATGTTAAGATCTCTAGAGTGTCATAGGGTCTTTAGTTAGCAGAAAATTTGGTGCTCTATTTCTTGAATTCTTGACTGACTCTTCTTATAAGATTTTATTTTTTCATTTAATAGTACGGAGATTTCAGATTCTAAATTTTTCAATATATGAGGTCCTGTATCCAGTGTTTCAGGAACCTTTCAGAGGTACTGTGGGAAGGAGGGAGATAGTCTATAACACAGCCTCTTGCTGTATCTGGGTGGGGCTGAAGCTTTAACATATAAGAAAGGTAATAAATAAATAAGCATTTTGAAGTTGTATTATTACATAAAAATCAGGGCAATGATCTTTGCACTGAGAAACCATTTGATGAAGATGGAAGTAGGTGATGGTAAAAATCTGCACTGTGAAATAATGACTCCCGGTTATTGACAAGCCCTACATGGCAGGAATAATCTCAGCTAAATCTTTGCAAAAAGCCCTATGAACTACATATTGTCACTAATCCCACTTTATAGTAAAGGAAAGTGCCTGGATTTACAAAGACAGTAAGGGTTAGAACTCTGATTCAAACCTAAATCAGCCTTATTGGATTCTACCCAAGTGCATTCTCAAAAGCAAGACATTGCATTGCCTCCCCAGGACGTAGGTCAGACCCTAGTAGCCCGTGTGAGAACAGAGCTACTGTGTCAGAGACACTGCTGTGTGTTTCCAAAATTCATTTTATTTCCTCCTGGTTACAAAGCTAAACTTTAATTTCCAGGCTTCGTGAGATATGCTGGAGCCATATGACAGAGTCTAGGTCAATGGAATGAGGTCAGAAGTAATGTGAGCCACTTCCAGGCCTAGCCCATAAAAACCTCCATGCCCAATCTTCTATTCACTTTTCTCTTTTCACGGTGACTTTGGAAAACATACTTCAAATGTTGAGGTACCATAAAATCAAAGGAATCTGGGTTTCTAAATGATTGTGGTTAAGCCACAGAAACATGGGTTTATTGTTACTGCAGCTCGGCAGGTTCTACCCTAGCTTACTCTCTCTGAGTAGTTCTCCAGGCATTCGTAGCACAGTCCACGTACCTTACTGTATTTATTGCAATCTATACTTCATATGATTTTCTACATGCTCCTCAGAGGCAGGGCTGGACTCTAGAGTTAGTTCAGGCTGACCTTTGGTTGGCATACTGATTGGACCCCACAGGTTGAGCTGTAAATGTCTGAAATGAAAGACTTTCAAGAACCAGTACAGAATTTTGAAATTGTTGCAATGTTTCTTTGCAATTGTATTTTTTGCACTCTTTCCTCTAACACTGCAACTTATGTGGCCCCTTTGCCACCGATCCCAGAAAGGAAACTCCATCAATTGAGATTATAAAACCGTACCTCACCTCTCCTAGAAAAACTGCATTGTAAAGCTGTCTGAGGACGGAGATACTTCTACCCTACAAAGGACATCCAGGTAGTAGGAGTTGGGCAAAAATCTTAGGGTAAGGAGAGGAAGTGCAAGACCACATTCCCCACACCTACAAGCCCGTCCCTTGGCCAGCCAGAAGCCATTTGTGATTGTATGTTTTGGTCACACTATAAAACCAGTGTCCAGCAAGGACCTATTGTTATGTTGTGGGTGCTAAATGTGCAACACTGCCCAAGTGCCCAGACTCCAGGCTGCAGACTCAGAAATGTGCTATTGAAGAGTGAGGAGGACTGAACTAACCCAAGTGCAGCACTCTGCCAGATACTCCACAGGCCTTCTCATTTAAAACTTACAGCTATGCTGTGAAGTACTTGGTGTCACCCTAATTTTACATAGGAGAGAACAGTTCAGTACTAGTAAGTGTTGAATCTGGGATTTGGCCAGGGTCTGACAGATATTAGGGCTTCCGCCCATCCCATCAAACTCCTCTCTTTCTACCACCCAATTCTCTCTTCTTAACCCTCCCCTCCCAGTCTCAGCCTGTCACTCAGGGTCAGAATAGAGTCAGGGGTGAGAAGGTCAGGATGAAGCCCTATTTGAGATGCTGGGCCACAGGGCTGAGGGAGACCCCTGGTCCTCACTTTAGACCCCCTAGATAGCTCTTTACCCAATGCTGGGAAGCCTTACACATTCTCACCAGCAGCTTTTCAGCTCTGGTTGCTTAAAGCAGGCAAAGCGAAAAGCAGGGGAGTGAAAAGCAAAGTAAGTGCACAAAAATTATTTTGAGTCTATCGAGAAAATGGCACACTGTGAGACCAATGAGAAATTAAAAACACCATAAAGCTTTTCAAAGAAAGAATCATTCCACTTTTATCTATCACCACTGTCTTTTCAGACAATCCTCTCTCCAATTCTCTCTTTTTTTCTCTATCACCATATATACCTTGCATACCTTACTGGTCTTTTGCCATATGTGTTATGAGACAGCGATCCTACTAATCCATTTCCACTAATTGGACCAAGATTTTTGGACACAGGGTGCTCCTAGAGACCACTGAGTCCTGTTAGAAAGCAGAGACTAGTGTAACCAAGCACATGGCTTCCCCTCCCTGCTCTGCTAACAGCCACCTTACAAAATCAGGAGTATCTCGTTTCTCAGCTGGGCTGAGTAAGACCAATCCCTAGAGTGTATAGAGAATCATCATTAGGCTGATCTGCTTTTTGTCTCTTAGCCTGGCTATTAGAATACAAATGAATATTCTAAAAATCTCCACTGTATTCAAAATATATAATTGTAGATCCAGAATATAGTCAAAAAAGAAGCTTGGAGTTGTGTAAATAAAGAGGTCTTTGATACCCCTGTTCTCATTATATTAGACCTAGAAACAAGGGAATCATGCCCATTGTGAAGTCCAATTTTCCATTTGAAAATGTGTAATGCCATCACCCTTACTGATCAGGTCTGGTTTCCAAGGGACATTGGGAAAGTGACATTTTATATGCTGTGTTCCCTTTGCTCTGATTTTTTTTGGGTTTTAGGGTTTCCTTAGGCTTCTAAATTAAAAGAAATAATTAGTGTATAATTAAGGATCTGACAGCAATCCCAAGCTTACCTTACAATAAGATAGAGTCCCATATCATCCAGAAGAAACAAAAGAAAAACTCTGAGTTAATAAAATACAAATGCCACAAACTCACTCACATTCTCTCAGGGGATTCTGAAAAACAACCTTGGCTCTCTTCCCAGCTCATTTAAAAGTGAGAAGTCAATGGAATGAAGCTGTTTGTGCCAAGCAATAATAGTGATAAATAATGCATGGGCATTTATTATTTCCACAGTCCCTCCCCTCCCACTTGATCAAGGCCCTAAGCAAACTTTCTCTTCCTCCTGCTCATTCTTTACCAGCTGAAGGACCCAGTAAGAAATGACGGCTGCTTCATGCCCAACCTCATGTTGGAGTCATGTGTGCTCTGCAGGCCATGTAGAAGGATAATGCACCCTACCAGGATCTGCCCTAAATCTCCACTTGACCAAGGAAGCTCTTCCTAATAGCATCTTGCAGCAGGCCTGTGCTTCAGGGATTTGGCCTAAGAGGAGGATGGATTGAATTTTCTCAGAATGGCTGGCCATGGCCATCAGGAAAAAAAGAAAGTAATGCTTTATGCTTGCATAGAGAAAAGGGCAGCCCCCCTGAATTGTCACTCAGTTGCAGACCACAGTTCTACTCTGGTTAAACCTTTTAGAAGAGCAAAGTCTGGGTTCTTTGCTGGAAGCCCTGGAAGAACTTGTTGAGTTGGATAATCTGGCCTAGGTTTCTCAGCTCGAGATCCAAAGAACTCGATGCTAGAGGGAAAGACCATATTCTATGAGTAAATATGTTTAAGAAATAATTGAGTCTTATTAGTACAGACTTTTTAAGAGCAAGAAATACACAATTATAAATTATGAATCTCCAAAAGTGGGGGAGACAACACAGCAAATGGTGGTTCCCAAGCATAATTGACCATAGAATTCCTTTTTCTGCATAACTCCTATGCATATCTAAATTATATCTAAATTTCTTCTAAAGTAGTAGTCCCTGGGGTACACTTTAGGATCTATTTTTCAGGACAAATAAATGATTCAATTAATTTTTAAAAATATTATTTAGGGCTGGGTATGGTAGCCCCACACCTGTAATCCCAACATGTTGGGAGGCTGAGGCAGGAGGATCACTTGAGCCCAGGAGTTTGAGTCTAGCCTGGGCAGCATGGTGAAATCCCGTCTCTACAAACATACAAAAAAATTAGCCAGGTGTGTTGGCACACACCTGTAGTCCCAGCTTCTCTGGAAGCTGAGGTGAGAGGATGGCTGGCTTGAGCCCAGGAGGTGGAGATTTCAGTGAGCCAAGATTGCACTACTGCACTCCAGCCTGGGCAACAAAGCAAGAGTCTCTCTCTCTCTCTCTCTCTCTCTCTCTCTCTCTCTCTCTCTATCTATATATATATATATCTAGATATATCTATATCTAGATATATATCTAGATATATCTATATCTAGATATATATCTAGATATATCTATATCTAGATATATATATAGATATATCTATATCTAGATATATATAGATATATCTATATCTAGATATATATATAGATATAGATATAGATATAGATATATACACACACACACACACACACACAACTTAGATCAGAGGTTTGAATTGTCCTGCTAACTCTTTTATAAGAGTCATTTACTAGCTATGTGACCTTCGGTAAGTTACTTAACTGTATTCTTCAGTTTTGAAGTGGAAAAATTAAAATGATTAAATGAGTTAATATGTGTAAATGACTAAAAACAATGCCTGACCCATATCAAGCTCTACATAAATGATCATTAGCATTTTTTAAAATTTTTGTTGCAGAATCCAGGATTGCCATACATTAAAAGTTGAGTTTAGGACATTAGTCTTAGAGATTATATTTTTAGCATAGTAGAAAGAACATGAACATTGAAATGAAACAGCTATGGTTTCAGATACCAGCTGTCATTTTCTGTCTTTGTGCCCTTGAGCAAGTTAATTCACTTCTGTGCCTCAATTTCTTCTCTGTAAAATAGGAATATTTTCATATGTTGTAGGAGTATTTTGACAATTGAATGAGACGGGTTATATATGTAAAGTTCTTAGCACCAACTCTGGATGAGAACACTTACACTCTAGTGGAACTCCTTCACCCTTCTTTTCTCTGCCACGCCATGCTTGGGGTATACATATTCATACGGTGTATCACAATACAAAGGGTGGCTGAATCCTTGAGTCACCAAGTGGTGGAAAACCCACACCAGCCTTTGTTGTGTTAAGCCACTAGGATTTTGTAGTTTGTTGTAGTATCTAGCAAGGATTATCACAATATACCATACTCTTCTCATTAATGCTTAAGATACTCTCCCTGTTCATAAAGGACTTACCAAATAGTGTGGGACATAAGACATGGACAAATAAAAATACATACTTAATACCTAGAAATGTCAGGAACTGTATCCCTCAAGATCCAATCGGGTAAACAGAAATAACTCTAGGTACATTAAACAGAAGATATTTAAACAAGAATTGATGACAAGGGTATTGCAAGGGCTGGAGAATTAGAAGAGGAGAAAGTAAAGTTACTCGTGGTATTTGCAGGAAATGAGTAGTGTTTCTGGGTGCTCAGAGCAAAAATCTGTCTATTGGCCAGTGTACTGTGTGGCTAGTTCTCCTGCAGTTGGAACCCAGCTGCCTGACCAGGAATCGGAAGCTTGGACTCCAAGGCCACTGCTGCTTCTGCTACAACTACCAGTGGTGAAACATGTTACTGCCACTATCACTGCCACCAACACAGTTCCTGCAACCAACATAGTTTGTGATATTGCTGCCAGAGACATTGCCAAAAGCCACCTTTCAATCTCCCATTTGTGTCCCCTAGTCACAAGGGAGTCAGGGCTATATTTTTTACTGTTCATAAAATGGCAAATAACTGTTATGAGCCAAAATAAAGCAGTAAGGAAAACTCTTGCCATGGGAGCTTAGAGAAACAATTAGGAAAGATTCTACAGTCAAAGACAGATGTATGATTTTCCTATTACTGCTGCAATAAATTACCATCAGTGACCCGAAACAATACAGATTTATTCTTTTACAGTTCCAAGTTCCAAAAGCAGAAGTATAACATGAGTGAGCAGGGCCATGCTTCTTCTGGAGGTTCTGGGAGATAATCTGATTTCTTGTCTTTTTTAGGTTTTTAGAGGCAATTTGTATTCCTTGGCTTGTGGCTTTGCATCACTTTGATTTTGGCTTTCATCATCACATCTCCTTCTTCCGACTCTGACCCTCCTGCCTCTATCTTATAAGGATTAGTGTGATTACATTGGGCTTATCCAAATAACCCAAGATAATCTCCCATCTCAAGATTCTTAATCTTAATCACATCTGCAAAGTCCCTTTGCCATGTAAGGTAACATAGTCACAAGAATTAGGATGTCAACATACATAGGGGGCTATTATTCTACTTACCACAAGAGATTTGAGCCAGAGTCTCAAAGGCTGCACAGGTTTCAGGTGAGCAGAGGGGGCATGGAGATGAGAGAGCTCCAGGTAGGGGAAGTGGCAAGTGGAATTTGCAAGTGGAAGTGGCAGAGGAAGTGGCTGAGAAATCTGCAGTCTGGTGGAGGACAGTGTGTAAACAGGCATGACTAGGAAGAGGGCTCATGTAAAGCCATCGTGAAACATAAATCTAGGAAGGACGTTGTGGGCCAGGTGCTGAAAAGCATTGATTTTATAGCTTAGAAAGTAGTTAATGGGAAAACATGAAGTTGTTGAATAAGGGAATGGCATAACAAAAGCTTCTATCTGATCATGTAAATAATGACAATAACTAAGATTTATTGAAACTTTCAACTGCCAGGCACGAGGTTAAGTATTTCACATTCAATATCTCACAGGATTGTCATGTGGATGACAATCCCATGAAAACGATTAAGATCTCCATTTTACAGATAAGGAAATTGAAGCCAGGAGAGGATCAGAAATTTGCTCAAGGCCACATATTTGGTAAGGGTGGGGGAGACTGCAATGGAAACTAACCAATCTGACTCTGAAGCGTGAGTTCTCAACCCCTGCCTTAATCTTCTTGGGCTTCCATAACAGAATACCATAAACTGGATGGCTTAAACAACAGAAATTTATTTTGTCATGGTACTGGGGGCTGGCAAGTCCAAGATCAAGATTCTGACTGACTTGGTTTCTGGGTTAAGTTCTCTTCCTGGCTTACAGACAGTTGCTTTCCCTCTGTATCCTTATATAATAAAGAAAGAATGAGAACAAAGTCATTGGAGTCTCTTGTTATAAAGGCACTAATCCTGTCATGAGAGCCCCATTTTCATGGCCTTATCTCAACCTAACTATCTTCCAGAGGCCTCATCTCCAAATACCATCACAATGGGAGTTAGGGCTTCAACATGTGAATTTGAGGGGGACACAATTCAGTAGATAGAAACTCCTAAGTGGGCACATAACGCAGAATTAGACTGGTAACAGACTAGAGGCAGGGAAGCCAGTCAAACAGCTTCTACAGTGCTTCAGGCAGTAGATGATAAGGATGAACTCCTGGCTATGGTTTGGAGAAGGGAAAAGTGATTCCGAATCTTCAGTCAGCTGTGAGCTAGGCCTTTTCCAGGCTCTACTTTTCCCAGACATTACTGGATCCATAGACAACCTAGACTAGGCAAGAATTGGATTTCTTAAGTGCTTTCATTGTCTGGAATTCCCATAGACAAACTTTAAAGAAGTTAATTTTGAATTTTTGTGAATAGAAAACAGAGGAACATTAAAGCAACAATGAAGTATCCTTTTATGCCCATCACATCAATAAGCATTTGAAACTATAACAGGCCAGCACGGTGGCCATGCCTGTAATCCCAGCACTTTGGGAGGCCAAGGCAGCTGGATCACCTGAGGTCAGGAGTTTGAGACCAGCCTGGCCAACATGGCGAAACCCCATCTCTACTAAAAATACAAAAATCAGCTGGGTGTGGTGGCATGTGTCTGTAATCCCAGCTACTTGGGAGGCTGAGACAGGAGAATCGCTTGAACCCAGGAGGCAGAGGTTGCAGTGAGCTGAGAGTGTGCCACTGCACTCCAGCCTGGGCAACAGAGCAAGACTCCATCTCAAAAAAATAAAATAAAATAAAACTGTGATAACACCACATATGGGCACACATGTGGCACAAGGGAGGTCAGACCCTGGTGAAAGGGAAGTGATTGTTACATTCTGGAGAACAAATTAGCAAAACCTTGTAAAGGTGAAGATGTTCATACCCTATAAGCTAGAAGTTCCAGCTCCTCGTATCTTAATAGTGGAACTCAGTCACAATGACATAGGGTGACACTTATATGTTTATCATAGCACTGTGTGAAACAACAAAACAGTGAAAACAAGCCACCTATTAATTAGTAGGGAGATAGATAAGTAATCAACGGTCTATTTTAATGTTAGAATAGCACATAGCAGGTAAAATGAATAAACCTGAGGTCATCTATCAAAAGGGATAACTCTCAAAAACATAATATTGAAAGAAAACTGTTAAGGCATACAGTAGCAACTAAAATGCATGCACATTTTAAAAACAGAAGTATTCGATATGTATTTTTTGTGGATGTATATACACGTAGTAAAATTGCAAAAACTTCCATAGGAGGAAAGCTTATGAAGTGCAGGAACGTGAAGAAGGAGGGGAGAGATGAGAGTAGCACTTTAGCTACATCTGTAACATTTCATTTTTGGGGGTGGGGGGAAGGAAACATCTGAAGAGTATTTTGTTAAGTGTTAAAATCTGATAGGTGCTTATGTTGTATTATTTCCTGGACAAGTGTGTTTTTATGCTACAAAATATTCAAATTATTTAATAATTTAAGATAATTGGTAAAGAAATTAAATGGGACCTAATAATACTACTACTCAATTCCCTGGGTTGAAGATTAAATGAGATATACTATCTAAACCATTTTGCACTGTGTCTGGCTCTAGGGTCTGGGAGCTCAGAGAAGACAGGTTTTCTTCATCACAGATTTTCTATCTCACCTTGACATTTATGTAGTGATTTATGATTCACAAAAGACTTTTATATGCATGATTACATTTTATTATCATAACAAGCCAGTGAATGCAGGAGATATCCTTACTCCCATTTTAAGACTCTAGGGTCCAACAAATGAATGTAGATGAATCAAGGCAGGCTGAGGCAGGAACTAGTTCTCCTGACATCCGGCCCTTGACTTTTCCCACTCTCTCTCCAACATAGAGCAGCAGTGGCTTATTAAGGGCCAGAGAAAGCTCTTTTTACTGCAGTGTGGTTCTGATGAGCTTAATTAGCAGGCTATAGGAGAGAGAGAGGGAGATGGATTGAAAGGAACAGGGCTCCCTGAGCAATTCCTCCACTGGCGGCCAGCAAATTCCCTAAGCCTTCTGCCCAAATGTTCCTGTTCATAAAATGGAGATAAAATACCAGTTCCTCCATATCATAAAGCCTTGTTCCCTGTAAATGTTTTAGAAATCTATGTAAATCAAATGAAATAATATGTATAGTCATGCTTTGGAAATAATGTTGTTATAATAAATGTAAAATACTGTTATTGCATAAATAAGCCATTGAACTAAATGTTTTGGTATTTCAGCATCTCCACATGGTTCAGATCCTTCCTAAAGTTCTAAGAACAACAGGAAAGAGGGAAAACTGGAATTCTTTGAGACAGCGATCTACTAAAAAGACCAAGGGAGGATTTCTAATAGCGGGGAACCAATTCAACTGAGCCTAGAAAACACAGAGCTATGTTTAAGTGTGTGTGACATGTGGTTACCACAATGTCTTTTTCAACAAGCAGCTTCAATTTATTCACATTGTCTTCCATGCTGTAGAAGTAATTTCTAATTTACAATATCTGATATGATTCATTAATCTAGAAAATTAGATTTCTGGGGTAACATAGTCTGTGTTTCCAAAACTTAAAATCCAATTCTCTGTGTTCTTTTGTTTTCCTTCAAAGAAACTTTTAGGTTTGCAAATGCAGAACAAATTAATTTAGCAAAACGATTGCTTCCATATTTATAAAATTGCACATTTGACTTAGTTGTCATGGAGCTCTATAGAAAGTGCAGGACAGGAGGGCAAGGGTTGGAGAGCTGATGAAAATGGAAGTGTTAATTCCAGCTCCGCACTGGAGTGGCACTCTAGGCATGGGGAAAAATCTACTCTCTGCTCAGCGACTTGAAAGCTGACACCTGGGATGGGTAACTCCTATTAATACTACAGAGCTTGTCACTTTGATTTTCAAAGCAATGCTTTCTTTAGTGGAGAGTCAAAGTGAACTAGCAGGGAGTTTTCCAGCCAGGTGGTTTGCTGAGGCAGCTGGCTGTATTTGGAACCGCTAACACCTACGAGATAAGGGCCTGGGTGCTGACCAACTGCTGATCTAAACTTTCTCATCTGTACAAAGGAAATAATACTCTCTGAGGACAGTAGTAATGTTTCAGTGATGGCATACTGTGTTTTAAAAAGCCTAATGTATATAAAATGTACAGTGGTATTTTCCCTAAGAAATATTCTGGGGACAAAAGTATCCCCACATCCACATCCGCAATAGATTGGACACTATTCTTTCAATGAAAGTTCTTATCTTACTGACTCTGCCCAAAGCACTTAATGAAAGCTTTTTGAAGTGATCCTTTGGGAACAAGACAAGGGGTTGGGCAGAGAAGTAAATTACTTCTCATTGATGACAGTAACAGAAAACAAAACTCAGGAGAAATTCATAATTATAATTTATGCTTTACTGGGCAATGGATTTCATTTGGATTGATCCACACTGACCATAATTCACTCCCCAGCTCCTCATTGCAAGTCTTATATCTAAAACAATTCTTCCCAAGCTATACATCATAAGCACTACTTCAAACTAATTAAATACTGCTTGGATTTTTTACAAAAATGATTTAGTTCTCTGAGTCTCGTGTTTTTATATCTAGTGTACCATGTGTTTTTAGAATGACTTTAATTTAAAATTTGGAAAACTAGATATGCTTATAACCAAACTCCATTATTTGTACAATCTAAGCATCCACACTTTTTAATGCTGTTATGTTACATTTCAGTTTGTTTCTTTTAAGGGTTGAGTCAACTTGATTAGGTGTTCTTATTGTTCAGTGTAAGCCTTTGCCTTTCTTTTCATTTCTCTTCCTGGTATACCCTATCTCCATTCATACACATTTCTAAGAATTTACACTTGGTTGTATTCAAGTAAGTCTCCCACTTCAAAACATGGATACTCAAAAGTCTCTAAAGTTTTATGGCATTTTTGTCTCCTGGCCTTTTGGCAGTATGGTAGATGGGTAACAAACCCTAAAATAAATACCCATTTATTAGCTCAAGATTTCATGGGTTGAAAATTTGGACTGGGCCAACCTGGGCAGTTATGATATCAGCTAAGCTCACTCAGGCATCTTCCATCAGCTGGTGGTTGATGGCCTTATTCATGTGTTTGACAGTTAATTGGCTGACTGTTAGGATGACGGTGCCAAATGTCCTCATCATCTAGTAGGCTAAACCAAGCCTGTTCATGTTATGATAGTCTCCAGGTCCTAAGGACAGCAAGAGAAAGCAAGCCAAAATAGATGAGCACTTTTCAAGTCTCTCCTTTCTTGACCAAAGCAAGCCACATGACCAAGCCCGGAGTCAGTGTGGTAGAGGACTGCTGATATGGTTTGGCTGTGTCCCCACCCAAATCTCATCTTGAATTCCCACATGTTGTGGGAGGGACTGGGAAGGAGGTAATTGAATCACAGGAGCAGTTCTTTTCCATGCTGTTCTTGTGATTACAAATAAGTCTGAGATTTGATGGTTTTAAAAAAGGAGAGCTTCCCTGCACACGCTTTTTTTTTTTTTTGCCTGCTGCTTTCCATGTAAGATGTAACTTGCTCCTCCTTGCCTTCTGCCATGATTGCCAGGCCTCCCCAGCCATGAGGAACTGTAAGACCATGTAACCTTTTTTTCTTCCTAGTCTCGGGTATGTCTTTATCAGCAGTGTGAAAACTGACCAATACAACTGCCTAAAGAATGTGAGAATAAATTGGGAGCCATTACTGCGACAACCTAACACAAGCAGCAAGGTCTATAATATTCTAACAGTCTTACATTGTTCTATCTTCCTGAATGGACCCCTTTTCCTCACCTTTCTTGGGAGATTTCAGAGGAAGTCCTTACATATACCCTTCCATTCTGCTCCAAACTTAGATCACTGTCTAGCTTCATCTCAGCCTGAACCTAGAAGTCTAGACACCTTAAAACTGAACCAAATATTACAGTTTTTCCTAAATTAGGTTTCACTGAGCACTAATCACTGAGCCACAGGGACACAGGAGCTTGGATATGTCAAACTCAAGCCAGGGATAGCACTGATGAGTCACAGATCACCCTCACTGAGGAAAGGTGAGCCATCACATAAATAAATGGATCACTTTTAGTCTTCAAAAATATTATAAATCGCAAGTCCACTTTGCTTTTATGATGGATTGAACCCCTTACGTCATAAGACATGATTTGTTTATTTCTATGGGATTGCTGGGTCAAATGGTATGTGTAATTTTAAACATATGCTGCTAGATTGCTTTCCCTAAAAGATGTAACAATTAATATGTGTACCAGCAATGTGTGCATGCACACTTAAATTCTCCATCAGGAACAGGTAATAGAGGTCTTTACAATTCTTGTCAGTTTGATAGGCATGTGATATTTTATTGTCACGTCAACTTATATTTTCCTGACCAATACTAGTTTGAGAAGTTTAAAATATGTATGCTAGTCCATTTTTAATTATTTTTCCTTGAAGTGTGTATTCATATTTTTGTCCTTTTTTTTACTGTCCAATTGTTTTTCTTGTCATTCACTCACAAGATCTTTTTATGTAATTAAAGCTGTTAAGATTTTGTTGGCTACAGTGCTATTTATTCCCAATATATGGTTTATTGATTCATATTTTTTTGCTATGCAGGAAGCATTTTAAAAATTATTTCTACATAAGCAATTATGTTTATTTGTTTGTAAATGGTTTCTGGTCTTCCTGTCTGGGTTAACAAAGTTTCCCCCAGCTTTAGATTGTATGTGATCTTCTTGGTTTTCACTAAGATTTTTACATTTTTGTTATTTACATTTAAGTATTTTATCCATCTGGAATTTATTTTTGTAGGTGATATAAAGGCCCCGTGTTATTTTCTTTACCATGAATAACCATGGATAACTATCTATCACATTTGTTTAATAATTCATCCTTTCCCGGCTGAATTGAAATAGCATCTTTAACATCTATTAAATTTTAATATATGCTGGGATTTCTTTCTGGATTATCTATTTTATCTATTTCTCTGACATTTCCATTTTGATTTGATTATAGTATGCTCTAATATCTGATAGGACAGTCCCCACTGTTGTGTTTTTGCAGGCTAATATTGAACAATTTTTATTTCATATAAATTTCTAATTAGAAAAATAAACTCTCTTCAGTTAGTAATTATAGCAGAATCAATATTTTATGCTATTATGTCTTATCCAAGAATACACAATGCTTTTTCATATGTTCCTGTTTTATAATGTCCTTCAATGGCATTTTATAGTTTCTTTCACATAGAACTGTGTCTTTCTTGTTAAATCGATGCCTACTACCTTCGTAGTTTCCTTTAATAATTAAGATTATTGTGTGTGTCTCTATTTCTTGGTGCTTATTTCTAAAATAGACAAAAGCTATATGATATAGTCCAGCGGTAGTATAGCCTAATGGTTAAGACCACGGATTCTGGAGTAAGACTGGCTGGGCTTAAATCCCAGCTCTATTTCTCCCTCATGCATGCCTTTGGTCATGCCATTTAACCTTTTCATGCCTCAGTTTCTCACCTGCAAAGTAGCAATAACAATTGCTACTTATAGATAACTAGCCCCCCACCACAATGTCACACTCCCTCTCCATAATGAAGAGTTATTCCTGAGAAGTGGCTGTCTAGTACCCTAAGGACTATACTTTCCAGATTCACTTGCATCTATGTGGTTCCAAGTAACTGAGTTTATGCCAACAGAATGTGGCATAAACTTTATTCACTAGGTATAGGCCTAACTCAAAAATATCTGAGGCTTTCTCACTGTCTCTATTCACTAATTATTAATAGATGTTAATTCCTAGAACAAACTAAAATAAAGATGGCAGAACCTCTATCCACCTGAGTTTCTTGGATGACCTTGTAGAATGAACTTCCTTTCTTCCATCCCCATCACTGCCTATTATACTTTTTGCTGTTGTTGTTTTTGAGATGGAGTCTTGCTCTGTTGCCCAGGCTGGAGTGCAGTGGTGTGATCTCAGCTCACTGCAATCTCTGCCTCCAGGGTTCAAGCGATTCTCCTGCCTCAGCCTCCTGAATAGCTGGGATTACAGGCACGCGCCACCACCCCTGGCTAATTTTTGTATTTTTAGACAGACAGGGTTTCACCATGTTGGTCAGGCTGGTCTTGAATTCCTGACCTCGTGATCCGCCCACCTCGGCCTCCCAAAGTGCTGGGATTACAGGCGTGAGCCACCGCACCAGGCCTATTATACTTTTTACGAGGGCAACATTGACTTCAACTATGGTAAGCTACTTAGTTTCCAATGTTTGTTAGCTCAGCTAGTGCTGCTCTGTAAAATAGTTCATGGGTGTTGAGACGATACACATGTATATTGATATGTGTCTTTGTGAGTGTGTGTGTATAGTACTATGCAAACAAATAAATGCATATATGTGTGTTATTATAATTATTTTGTATCCAAGAAACTACCAAATGCTCTTATTAATTGTAGCTATTTTTTTCCTTGATTCTCTGGAGTTTTCTGAGTGTACAATTATATTATCAGCAAAAAAATAGATAGCTGCATTTTGTCAATTTTTATGCCAATAATCTTATTTTCTTATCTTACTGTATTTGCCTAAGTTCCAAGACAATGTTGATTTATAATCTTGATAGAAGGCATTCTGTTTATTTCCTGTCATTATAATAAATGGTCTGTTGTTTTACTCTTTAGACTATTGTATGCTTTTGATTTTTGGCAAACAATATATTTAGGTAATTTTATTAAGTAGTTTCTATTTTACTTGGTAATTTTCAGAAATTACTGGATATTTTATCAAATGTCTGCATTTCATATTGATGTTAATAAAGTATTTTCTTTTTTATTCGTTGATATACTAGATTAGAGAGACTTTTCTGATTTGAACTACTCATTTTCCGAATAAACCTTTTTAGTCATATTATAGTATTATTTTGATATATTGCTGGATTCCATGCACTAGTAGCTAATTTGTCATTGTTACATGTTAATTCCTGATTAAGATTTGCCTGTAGCTTTCTGTACTATATCTATCAGATTGGGTATATCTATGATGTTAGCTTCATAAAATAAAGTGGGAATTTTTTCACTTTTTAAATTAAAAAAATAGTTCAAATAATTTTAGATTTATCTCTTTTAAGTTAGAGAGCATTCACTTTAGAACACATCTGGTCTTGGTGCTTTTTCAAATAGTAGATTTTGCATATCTTACCAATCTCTGTGGCAATTGATATATGCAAGATTTCTACTTTGATTATTTTTGGTAATTCAGTTAATCTCCTGAAAGTTTTAGCTTAGAAGTCATGAATTTATTATGTTTTTCTGTGCTGTACCTGAAGATCCTTAAATACTTTTATTTTGTGTTTGCTATTGTTGTCATCCAGTAGCTCTGTGTTGCTGGACTTTGTTCTGTTTGATCTTCCTCTCTCTGTTCCTGAGTACCCATAGATTAGTTATTATTTTTATTATTAGTTGAATATGTTGCAAGTTGTGATAGCAGTCTGGCAAGGATGGAACGTAAAATATTTTGTTCCCTGTGGGCTGTTGTGTTCTCCATCTCCTTGAATTCTTTCAGCCTCAGGAGTAGAGACACCTCATTCAGTGGCTCAGTTTCTCTTTAGCTTTTAGAGGACTAAAGACACCATACTCATACATTACCTCTAGGCTTATGATTCTGGGGCCAAGGTTTTCTCAGAATCCCTAACATTTCAATTCCTGGGGACCTCTGAACCTTCTGTGCAGGCTCTCACCTGGATTCACCTTGCTAAGACAGCCCCCACAGCCCAGAACTTCACAACCGTGTAGATGAGAAGAGATACATGGATTACAGTTGAGAATGGAAGGAAGGTTAGGTACATTTCTATTCTTTCCACGATAATGAATGAATACATGAGATGAAATGAAGGTAATCTCTTTTTAATTCTTAGTTGTAATGAATATGTAATAGTTGTACATATTTATGGAGTACAATCAAAATTTTGATATAAGCATAGCTTATGTAATGATCAAATCAGAGTAAATGGGATAGCTATGACTTCAAGCATTTATCACCTCTTTGTGTTAGGAACATCCAATGCCACTCCTCTAATTATTTTGAAATGCACAATAGATTATTGTTAACTACAGATGTTCATTAATTAAAATCTACAGAGACAATGGGCAGTTCTCATTTTATGTTACTTTTGATTTAGTAACTGTTCTTGTTTGACATTTCCTATTGTAAGTATGGTGGGAAAAGCATCCACTGAATAGCAACCTCTCTAGATGCATTACATACAGTCTACATATCACATTCTAGTAACAATTTTTCAAGGTAGGCACTGACATGACTATTTCATTGAAAATAAGTTTCACTGAGGTTTAGTAGTTGCCTAAACCCACACATTTCAAGTGATAAATCTGTAGGCAATACTTAGATCTGTAGAACTGTGAGGTCTATGCCTTTTTAAATTTTACTACTTCCTTCTTTACACTTGAACTTTGTATTGTTTCTATTTATTTCCAAGTAGAGCTAGGCACAGTCAAGATTCTTAAACAATATTGATTGTCTTTAAGATGCAACGCATAAGAATACATGACATCTTAAAACAAGGCCACAGCTAAGCAAAATGGCAATTTATCAGGTTGAAATGAAGTGTTTATCTTCAATAAAAGCAGGCTGTAAAGGTCTGTCCAATGTTACATGTGCTTTTACAAAGGTTTATTTTCACTCCATGTGGAACAATTTCTTCCTAGGTTGGCTCCTTTGTCTCATCACCTTAATAGCTCATGTCTTGTGACAAGCAGCTGAGATTTGTCAGTAATAGCAATCTGAGTTCTCTCATTGCCCCACGTAAGAATGTCCAGCAAATCTTACATGGAGGACCCATGTTTGTCTGTTTCATATACTGAGATTTTAAGCATGATAGTATTTTCATAAGGTGCTCCATAAAATTTAAAAAGAGGTTTACAAACCATTATCTGAATTAATATGTAGGACTTATGTAATTTTTGCATCTGTCTGATTTCTTAATATGGACGAGGTCCAGATGATTACTTGATACCAAGATTGAACTAGCACCAAGGCACACCATTTTTGCTGATCTCTGGAAATCTCCTTAGATTGTTTAAAGGTATATGGCCCATAACATAAAAACTAGAGATTCAAGAAAAAGGTCAAGGCAAAAGGCCTGAGCCTATTCTATAGATTTTTTTAAATGGGAACAGAAATAATAGAAGGGGAAGACTTATTAGTTCAAATCCATTTTGTTTCAGATTATTGTACTTAAACCAAGCTCTTCCATGGAGTTAGCCTGATTTCTGACTGAGCTTCCCTCTTTACCTTGGGTATCTGTTGTACTTAAGACATGTGCTTGGCCTTGTACGGCAGGCACATAAAATCATTCAGTCTCATCTTTGCCTTTAAGAAGCCAGAAGATATGGAATTAAAGCCGGGGATGAGTTATGAGAATGCAGAGGGGAAAGATGAATCCCAGGAGTGTTTCATGGGTAGTAAAGACCTTCCCAAAGAGGAAACATAACAAAAATATGGGTAAGTATATATAGGTCAGTATGGCTTGTCTGTACAAGGTGCTTAGATGGTGAGCATGAAGGAATCAGTAACAAGACAGGAAAGGTAGGTTAGGATCAGATTGTAAAGGCCCTGAATACTATGGAAAGTTTGGCCCAATATGAAGATGAGAAGATAACGTCAAGAGGTCTTCCCCAAATTGGCCAAGCCCATTTACCATCTTCTGATATAAAAATATCCTGATGGTCCCTTTGGCCCCTGGGAGATGCCTCATTGCCTCTGGGGGCACCCTTCCATCATGACTCCATCTCCCAATAAAGGTGATTTTGATAAGGAAGGCTACAATATTCAGGGCTGTAATCATTAGACCCTCCTTGTTCATGTCAAAACTGTAGCACCTCTAAACTAGAGCTTAACCCTTGATCCTACCTTTCATTACTATCTCACTCCCAATCTGGCCTGGGGATGCATATTCAGTGTGTCCTGCTATCTCTGAAACCCCTCTGATTCTGCACATTGAGGGTGAGTTACAGTAAAGCCTTCAGTCCCCTACTCTGCCATGGATCTCAAAATTCCACTGCAGAAACTGAACCTAGCAAATTGCCTGGAAGGGGAGGCCTTACACAACACTCAGAAAGTACACCAGACTTTTTTAATTCCATTTTTTTTTTCTGGCCACAGTGTATTACAAAGAAGTAAAATGTTTAAATTTTTTAAAAGACAGGAAAACAAATTATATTTTCTGTATGTCACAAGGGGGAAAGGAAGAACAGAATGCAGAGACAAATGGGAAGATTCCTTTACTGTGTTTGTCTTGTTTTTTGGTTATATCCCTCTTTACAGCTGAGCTTTTATCTGTTCTGTACATCCCTGTGGGCAATGGGTCTGCAGAAACATCCAGGATTGGTCCCCATA
The DNA here is from genome assembly GCF_000001405.40 of Homo sapiens. Classification (NCBI taxonomy): domain Eukaryota; kingdom Metazoa; phylum Chordata; class Mammalia; order Primates; family Hominidae; genus Homo; species Homo sapiens. Next base: position 111,747,907 of record NC_000010.11, read on the forward strand.
GGGTTGGAAAGTATTCCTTTTAAAGGGCGACATCTGGACATACTAAAGTTACATTTTCATTTTCTAGCATGATGACTAATTTTGAAAGATTGGGAACCTGTGCTTTGAAAACACATTTTTCTCTCAACAGAAAAGATAGTGTGAGTAATAACACCCCACAAAAATTGATTATTTCAGCTATAAAATATGAGTTCCACAGAGAGGGATGATTTTGAGAATGAGATGAAGTTTTCAAAGATAAAAAGTATTTTCAGTCCAACTTTTTTCACTCTGCAACAAAGACACCATTATCTCAATCATGTTTTCAGCAACTTACTTTTCCTTGTTGCAGCCGTGACACACTTCATGTTGAATGAATGTTCAAAAATTGTATTAAATCAACAAAGACTACTACCAGCTTGAATGGCAACTACTCGCCTTAATTCTCAGTAATCAACTAATTAAATTTATTTATTTATTTAACTAATTAAATTTATTTATTTAACTAATTAAATTTATTTATTTATTTAACTAATTAAATTTATTTATTTATTCATTGGCTGCCTAAACAATTTTATGCAATGGAAAATGTAAAATAAATAATGATATGTAATTTCTATTTCTAGAAGCTTATAGACATATGTATTTTCTATAATTAGAGACAATACACAGACATGTATTTCTTTAATTACAGACAATACATATCTCTACAAGCTTCTAGAAATAGAAATTACAGAGACATGTATTGTCTCTAATTACAGACAATACATGTAGACAAATAACTATGACACAAACAGTATAGGACAGGGCACTGAGTGATTTAATTAATTAAATGCTGTGCTATAGATCAGGGTTTATACCACAAATGGCTAGAGGATCTGAAAGAAATGAAGGGTAGATAAAGCTGGCCTATGAAAGAATCTATAGAGATTGGTGGGGATCGTGGCAAACTCCAGAGTATTTATACTACCTAAAAAGGGTAAGTTCTACTCACTTGAGCAAGAATATGGGCCATCTCTTGCCAGTCTTCCTATTTTTCAGAAGAACCCAAAGACGTGGATTTTTGTATGTAAAATAGCTTAAAAAATTACCCTAAATGAGTCTATAATGCACAAACTGAATGAGATACATACTACAGACTACCACTTTTCGAATTCTTTTTAGAGCCATTTAGAGAAGGAAGTAATTATGTTGTAAAAGATGAAAGTATGGGTTTTAAAATCAGGCAGCAATGACCTAAAGCAAGCTACTTAACTTATAAAACCATCCCTAAAATAACAGGTAATTCTTAGGATAGCTGTGAAGATTAAATGATAGAACACATAAAAATTATTAATTAGGATTACTTAAAATTAAAAATTGAATAATAGTTTCTCTCTCGCCAGTGCTCGCTCGCTCTCTCTCTCACACACACACACTTAAAATGGAAACAATGTTGTAAAAATCTTGAAAGCAGGAAGACCTATGGCTTCTGTATCTATCTTCCAATTGTATGATAATAACAAATTCAGAGTAGATGTTGAATTAAACTGACCACTAAATTCAAACCCTCTATTATAGGTCTCACTTCCTATTTGTGGGAGGGGGCAGGAGAGGAAATAACTAAGATTTATTCAAATACTAGTTTTACACTTTTATACTTATATACCTTTTGTACACTAAACAATTATTATCTTATAGAAGTTATATTTTCACCTTTCATTAAAAATAACTGAGCAATTTTTTTTACCGAAGTCTAGTATGATAATTTTTTCTCTTTTATTCTTTTTTATAACTTTGTTTTCTAATTGACATATATTAATTGCATATATATGAGGCACAATGTAATGTTTTTATATATGTTTACATTGTGGAATGGCTAAATCAAGCTAAGTAACACATCCATCACCTCATATACTTATTTTTTCATGTGGTGGGTGGGAACATTTAAAATGTACTCTTACAGCAATTGTGAAATCTAAGAAGTTGAATTCATTGAAGTGGAAAGTAGAAAGAGTAGAATGATGATTACCAATGGCTGGGGTAGGAAGATGAGGAATGGGGAGCTGTTGTCCAAGGGTAGAAAGTTTTCTTCTACCCTTGTTTTCCTGGCATCTACTTCTAGTTAGTTTCATTATCTGTAAAAATATTATTCTTTTTCTAATAACTTTGTTTTTAAATGTTTTACAGCTTTAATGAGCTATAAATGACATAAAATAAATTGTTTATATTTACAGCTTTACTGAGCTATAAATGGCATTCTTCTACAAGAAGAATGACTTTTAGAGATCTATGCACAGCACCATGACTACAGTTAATAATAACATATTCAAAATTGCTAACTTCCTAGAGCTTAGGTCAGATTCAGGTTTGATTTTGTTATTTGTGTAGTTGTAAGACTATTTTTAGATGAACTTCCGTCTGGAAATGCATAATGTATAGTTATTTATGTTTTTGTGATGGTAGCAGCCACTGATGATCAATGCCTGGAACCATTAATTCATTAGGGATTGCAGAATAGTCATATGATAATTGTATCATTCCTTCTTCATCTGTTAGCTGAAATTCTTCAAAGAAGAAATTTTCTCATGAACTCTTTTGTCACCCTGATCTATAAATCTTACCAGAAAGACAAGATAAAGCTTGATGGTTTTCTTTAATTACCAGTTTTTAAAATGATGAATGGTTCCCTACCATCTTGAAAAGGTCAAAAACTAGTTTATTGATTTTATCATTGTTGCCATGATTAATATTATCATTATGAACTGCTGGATTCAAACATGTTTAATGTCTTGCAGTCCACTGCAGTTATCCTTACTGATGGACAAGGTTCCCCCTGTTTGGTCAGTAGAATCTAATTCAGATTGGCTGCTAAATCCTTTTGCCATCACCCTAGTTGACTTTGGTATCTTTTCTGCTTTCTGTATCATAAAATACCCCAGGATCACCTTGTATACTTTCTGCTGCGACCTCCAGAATCAGCTACTTTTACCTTTACTTCCGGTTCCTTTTAATGGAAAATGACATCGAGAAACCACAATTTGTGTATTTGAGATACTCATTCCTACTAAGTTGATTCTCTTCTTCCTTTTCCTCCTCTTACTCCTCTTTCTCCTTCTACTTCCTATTTTTGGAATAAATCTCAATGTTTTCTGTTATAAAGTAATTTTTCGCAAGGACAAACCACACTCTTTCAATATGTAGGTTCAAAACATAATTTTTTTAATTCCAAGAAGTTTTCCTGACTTATGGTGATTAGAATTTGTTCTCTTCCATTCCTTTGAATTTATCCTTTAGTGACTCAAAACATATGTATAATTTTTCTTCTTTACCTATATTCTTTTCCTGTCACTTTCACACAAATCCTTTTGGTCTGTTTTTCTATTTTTCAAAATTCTTCTTTTTCATCTTCTAAGGAATTATCTTTGGATCTATTTACTCACATATTTTTTTCTAGTTTAGTTTTTATTTCTGAATTTTTTATTTTGTATTATTTTCTGAGTTCCACAAACTCTTGATCTAATCTTCCTTTCCTCTGATCACCTCATTTCTGAATTTTGATAATTCTGATATATGCTTTTTTTCATAGCTTCTGTAACTTCTTAAATTTCTTCTTGTTCAGTTTTGAATATTAGGTAAGATTTCCATTTGTTTTCCTGGCATCTACTTCTAGTTAGTTTCATTATCTGTAAGAATATTATTCTTTTTCTAATAACTTAGTTTTTAATTGTTTTACAGCTTTAAAAGAGCTATAAATGACATAAAATAGTGTATAGTATAAATGTAAAATTTGATAAGTTTTGACATATAAGCATGAAACATTGACCATAATTAAGGTGATAAATATTATCTATCACCCATAAATGATTTTTCATGTGCTTTTGTCATCTGTCTTTCTACTCCCACCCCGCTAAAGGTAACCACTAATCTGCTGTCATATTAGTTTGGATTTATATGAATAGATCATACTCCTCTTAATTCTTACACTCAGGATGATTATTTTAATATTGATCTACATTGTTACATTTATGAATAGTTCTTTTTCTTTTATAGTTGAGTAGAATCTCATTGTATGCATATGCCAGAATTTGTTTATACCTATTTGCCTATTGATGGACACTTCAGATCTCATTTTTAGCTATTATAATTAAAGCTGCTATAGACATTCATGTACAAGTGTTTATGTAGATACATGCTCTGATTTCTCTTTGGTAGTTACTAGTTGTGGAAGAGCTGGGTCCTATGCTAGGCATATGTTTAATGTTTAAAAAAACTACCAAAAGTCTTCTAGAGCTTTTGTGTTCTTTTACATTCCTATCAGTTCCAATTTCTCCACATCTCTGCCAACATGTATTATGATCAATCTGCTTAATTTTAGCCATTCTAGTAAGTGTGTAGTGGTATCTCATTGTGGTTTTAACTTGTATTTCCCTAATGACTAATATTGAACATCTTTTCTTGTGCCAACTTTCCATCGATATATTTCTTTTGGTAAAGGGTTTTTACAACTCTTTTGTTCATTTTTTAACTGATTCTTTTGTCTTATTACTGAGTTTCAAGTGCTTTTTATATACATTCTAGAGACAAGCTCTGTATGATGTATGTGATTTTTTTAATCTTTTATTTCAATCTGTGATTTGTCTTTTTATTTTCACAAAAGTATCTTTCAAAAACTGGAAGTTTAACTTTGATGAAGTCAAGTTGTTATTTTTTAATTGTAGAATTTGTGCTTTTTGTGCCTCATTTTAAGAACCTTTGCCAAACCAAAGGTAACTAATAGTTTTTCCTAATTTTATTTCTAGAAGTTTTGTGATTTTAGCAAACATATTTGGGTCTATGACTCATTTCAGTGTAATTTTTATGTAGTATGAGCTAACAGTTAACATTCATGTTTTTGCTTATTGGATATTAAGTTTTTCCCAGAGCCACTTGTATAAAAGATTATCCTATTCCCATTAGATAACCTTGGCTCCTTTGTGGAAAACCAGTTAACCATATGTACGTAGACCTATTTCTAGACACTCCATGGTGTTATATCTGTATTTCTAATTTTATACCAATACCACACTGTCTTGATAACTGTAGCTTTATGATATGCATTGTAATCAGATTGTGTAAGATCTCTAATTTTGTTCCCTTTCAAATTGCCTAGGTTATAACAGGCCTTTTCCATTTTGCTATAAGTGTTTAATAAGTTTATTGATTTCTATAAAAATTATCCTGAAAGAACCTATAGATCAATTTGGGGAAAATTAACATCTTAACAAAATGTAATATTTTTGATCCATGAACATGGTATATATCCACAATTTAGGTCTTCTTTAATTCCTCTCAGTAATATTTCGAAATTTTTGCCTAACAGGTCCTGCATATATGTGGTTGAATTTATACTTAAATAGTTCATGATTTGCTTGTTTGTTGTTTTGTGTGTGTGTATGTGTGTGCTATTGCACATAGTGCTGCTTTCTAAATTTTAACTTGAAAATTTTTATTGCTACAGACAATTGACTTTGTATTCTGCAACCGTGCTGAACTCATTCATCAATTCTTGTAGCCTTTTGTAGATCTCTTGGAATCTTATACACAGATAATAATGTCACCTATGACAAGAAACAGATTTATTATTTCATACTCTCCCTCTTTTTTTTTCTTTCTGCATATTTTAAATTTTATTTTTCTTGCCTGACTGCTCTAAAACTAGTATCATGTTACAAAGGAGTGGTGAAGGTAGACATCTTTAATTTGTGTAAATCTTAGGAAAAAAGTATTCAATCTTTTACCATTACACAATAGGTTTTAAAAGATATCCTTTATCATCTTAAGGAATTTCTTTTCTAGTCTTATGTTACTGAGAGTTTTTATCATTACTGAGGTTTGATTTTTTTTCAAATGATTTTTCTTTATCTATTAAGATAATCATATGGTTTTCCCTTTTAAGTTTGTTATGGTGATTTATATTAATTTGTTTTTGAATGTTGAAATAACATTGCATTCCTCAGGTAAGCCATACTTAACCATGATATATTATTCTTTTACATATTGTTATACTTGACTTGGCACTATTTTGCTGAGTGTTTTAGCATTAATATTTATGAAGGATATTGTGCTGCAGGTTTATTTTCTTATAATTTCTTGGTCTGCTTTTGGTATGAGGTTAATTGTGATCTCCTAAAGTGAATTTAGTTTCCATAGCAGATTTGAAATTTTTTTAAAAAAATTGGAAATTGTCAGGATTTTAGAAGAATAAAAAGAAAAGTAGCAGGCATTCTGAGTTGTAGTAGATAACAGCAAAAATGTAGCTATGGGAATGCTGAGGCCAATTCAGGGGACAATGAGAAAGCAAGTCTGGTCTAAGAGGAAGTATGGGAGAGGGTTGGAAGAGAAAATTGGGCTGGTACTATTTGAACTTTGGGTTCCAGCTTGATTACTAACTGCATGACCTTAAATAAGTGACAACCTCCTTAAGCCTCATATTTGTCGCCTCTAATATAAGGATAACAATATCCCTTCTTCATAGGATAAAATGAGATAAAGAACCAAGCCTAGCGTTGGGCACATGTTAAATGTTCAGCACATGTTTATGATGATGATGGTAGAGATAATAATGATAATGGGATTAATACTGTGTCATCAATGCCCAGCTATAAACCAAGGTGTTAGAATTCTGTTCCATAGATGATAGGGAACTACTAAAGGGGAGAGTGTTAATGATCAAATTGACTCTTTATGAAGATGAATTTGACTATGTCTTCAAAATGGACTAGGAGATGTAGATCAGAGGGGCAGGAAATAAAGCCAAAATTTTCTGTCTAATAAAAGTTCCGACATGGAAAAAAAAAAAGCATGGAGAAAAAACAATAATGTACATTTTTCTCTCCAACGAGAACACTGTTTTTCTACCTGAGGTTTTGTCCTGGTTGAGCATATATACATTTGGATATTTTCCTACCAACTCAGAATCAATATCAAATTATCTTTTTCTCTAAGATTTGGAATTCTTATCCTGTGATGTAGTCAACTATAGACAGTATAATTGGAATCAAATAAATAGAGATTTGAGACTGATTATCAGGTACTTAATGTTCTTGTTCAAACCAATACGACAAGGACTGAAGAGAGGAGTATAGGACAGGGTATACTTTGCCTAAACAAAAAATTTTCTAATCACTTCCTAGAGCACTGTTTGCTTATGAAGTATAACCTTGTTTAGCCACACTGAGAAGGAGCTCACCAGTCTGATGGGACCAATTAATGAGGCCAAACTGGCAAAGACTTAAGACAGCCGCTTTCTATAGCTGACTAGGAGGAAATAAACATACTCAGTTTAGGAACAGTAGTTCAACTTTCTTTTTGCCAGATAGTCGTTAATGCACAAGATGGCCATTTAATTCATCAAGATGGCTGCTTTGATATTTTCTCCATTAGTAGGTATGAGTTTTTACTGAATTGCCTACAAATCTCTTGGATCACCTTTCCACCAAAAGTATATGTTTCTGAACTGGAAAACTGAAAAAAACAATAACAGTCTGTGTATAGTCAGTAGAGCTGGTCTGTGTCTAAGAAACCAAGTGGACAATAAATGGCCTGCATCACTACCCTACTGTGACATTGCCTTCGAAATTGAAATTTGATCTGGCTTCCTTGGGACTTGGACTGTATCTCTGCGGATCCTTTTAAACCTTATCTCCTAGTGCCAAAACATACCACCACCCTTTCCCCAAACCACTGGCAAAGTCAAAAATTACAAAAGATACCTTTTCATCCTCGATCTGAGCCAGCTATTATTCTACCCACTATTCTAGTCCCAAACTAATCTTTGTTCATTTAATCTACAAACATTTATAGAAGTTTACATCTGTGCCAGGGATCTTGTTTGACCCAAGAGATAGATCCCAACATTCCCAGGACTGGTGTGTAGCTCAGTTTCATACATTTGTTCCAGCCCATATGTTCTTCATTCATGTTTCCAGTCTTCAAGCCGGCAATTCCACATCTTTATCCTCCATGATAGTAAGAGCTTTCCTTATTTCCCTAATCATTTTGTACCTAGTTCCTAAGAGAAACCACAATTGTTGCTCTGAATTTCCCTTTCCTAATTAACACGGTGATAAAAGTCCAAATACTCTCATAGCTCAACAAAATGTGGGTCTGTAAGGACATCTTATTTACTTAGAAACAAATGGCATTTTAATCCGTAGAACATTTTGTGTTAGAATGGTTATCCTTTTAGTTATTGTTTCTACTGTCAGAAAAAATATATATTCTAGAAACACTAGTTATTACTGCTCAGTAAAAAAAGGGTTTGAGGTCTTCTGAATTATTAGTTATAACAAACTATTCCCTGAGTTCATGCTATTGTATTGTGTTTAAAACGATAATCTTTTCAAAAATTAGCGTTATTGTTAATTTGTGGAATCATAATAAAATCTGGTGCATAATTCTAAATAGGCAGGCAAAAGAACAGCCCACTCCAGGAAGGAGACCGGCCTCGCCCCTGTGTCTGAAAGCCAGCAGCTGTGGAGCTGGGGGAGCAATAAATAAGAAAGAGTCTATGGAGAGGACAGAGACAGCATTCAACTCAGCAGAGCCCAGCCTTGCTGTGACATGATATGATCTGGAAGAAATGTGACCTGTATTCCACATTGACCACCCTTGCTCCTCCCCATCCTGTAGAAGACGACCTGCATCTCGGGTAAATTCTGTTAGAAGAGTGAAGCCAGGGATGCAGCAAGCCGGCACAGCTGGGCAGAAAAGCAGTGAACTGAGTCTCATCCCACAAGAGGGAGCTCTCGGTTCCGCACAGCTTTAAGTGACTGCACCTGATGCAACTACCCAAGCAAATCCTTCACGTGGATTTCTGCTGCCATACTTTCGTTACTGAAACACCATTTTATCATACTTCGTACAATCAGGAAAGATCTGTGTCTCCTCTCCCTTCTTTGCAGTTTGTCTCTACAGTGTAAGAAGCTGGAAGGTCCTTATAATTTCTCTGGGTAAGATTTGGTTTGAATTAAAGCTAAGAGAAGGACAGGGACATAAGAGATGTTCGTGTGAAGAAGGCAAAGGGACTTGTTTGTGTTTCTGCCGGAAGACAGGGAGCCTACTGTTCTTTGGGTTAAGGAGAGCAACCATGATGACTCACAGTAAACATTTCCAATGACAGAGCCCCAGGTTCTGGAATCCAGATCCTCTTCTCAAGTTTCCCCTCACCATACCCTTGTCAAATAAAAATAAGTAAAATCTTCCATGTTATAATCCTTTAGGGGAAGAACACTTCCCTTCGTGACTAGAGGCCATGTATGCAGGATGCTAGACACCACTCAAAGCTATCACCTCCCATTCAATCCATCAGTGAAGCTTGCCAGTTCTAGTTTTGAAGTATATCTGGAATATGACCACTTTTCACCCTTACCACCTCCTCTGCCAGCACCTGGACTGAGTCACCATCTCTTACTTGAATTATTGCTTTTGCCTCCTTTCTGAGTGCTCAGTTTTCAAACTTGCCCCTATAGTTTATTGTCTATTTTAAAACCAGAATGATCCCATCACAGTGTAAATCCAATTTTGTGACTCCTTTGCCCAGCATGTTCCAATGATCCCCTCTTTCTCAGAATAAAATCCAAGGTCCTTGCCTTGGCTTCGGATGTCCTACATGATCTGGCCCTCTCATCACTCTGATCTTGCTTCCTATCAGTTTCTAACTTGGCGAATTTACCCTGGCCTGGAACATTCTAACACCCTCCTGCCTGAGAACCTAGATACTCACTGTTCTCCCTGTCTAGAAGTTTCTTCTCCCAGATAGCTAATGGAGAACTGCCTGATTAGGCAGAGGGAACAGTGACTCCTCTCTCCCTTGGTCACTTTTTTGCTCCAGCCACTCCTTACTGGAGGCACTGCCCCTGCTGATCCTCAAATGTGTGGAGCCTCATGCCTCAGGGCCTTTGCCTTTGCTGTCCATTCTCCTTGGAACATGCTTCTCCCAGATATTTGGGCAGGTTACTGCCTTGCACTTGCACTGCACTGCCTTGGTCTCTGCCCAAATGTTACAGTCTGAGAAAAGCTCACCTGACCCTGATTTCCAAAAAGGACCACTTTGTTTCTCATCTTTTCTTTTTTACTTTGTTTTGCTTTGCTTCTTAGCACTTATTACCATCTGATATATTATTCTATGTTTACCTGCTTTATTGCCCTCCCCCCTGCAATAGAATCTAAACTCCCACAAGTACTGGAACTATATCTTTTTTGTGTGGTCATCATGTCATTTATGAAAGGAGTGATTAATAAGTATTTGTTAAATAAATGGGTTGATAGATGAATGAGTAGCCCTAATGAAACAGGAATAAATATCCACATCTTACAGATGAGAAATGAACAGACTGCCAACCCAACACAGCCAGCAACCAGTACAGATGAGATCCAAATCCAAGTCCATGCTCTTAACCACAGACTAAACTCTGATTGATAGTATAGTCCCTTCCTGATGTCCCCTGGAGTTGCAGTACCATGTAGTAATAGACAAGAGAGAATGAGGCACGTGCTAACTCCTCTTTCTTCTCCAGACAGGGACACTAGTGAAACTCTCTCCTCTCTCTGAAGAGGGATTAATAACACTTTCTAATTTTGCAGATCTTAGAAGGAAAGACAAAATTAAGTAGATGCCAGATCTTGGTGGTTTCAATTTAGTTACAGGAGAAGTAGGTTAGTGACTTTTGTAGGTTCCAGAACAATTTCTGACTATCATAGGGTTATTTAATACATTTTTCTTTATTCCCACATAAAGCCTGGTCTTTTAGAAATATACAGCAAATGCACTCACGTAGGAGAAACCTGCAGGGCAGCATAATCTAGCAAACTACATGAGCAAAGGGAAGTCTTCCAGTACTGATGGGTTTTCTTCTTTGCGGTGACAGCCTGCCATTTTGGAGACGTGATTATGTCAGAAAACATTCTTTCTTCTCTGTGTCTATTTTCAACACAAATACATAAATGAATGACAATATCTCAAACATATTATTACTAGGTGTGTGATGCAGAATTATGTCTCTGAGAAAACAGTTACCTTCACTATCCACAATCCTGCTTGTAATTCTTATTAAACTATTGTAGCTATTCAAACTTGTGTGTGATGTTTGTGCACATATGCTTGCATAAGAATGAAAAAGGTGTCTGCCCATACAAAGGAAGTCCTGATGAAAGACAACTTCATTTCTTTGTCATATAAAATAGACATGACCTCAGAAAAGTGGCTAAAACTTTCCACAAACACTATGTTTTGCACCTGACTTCACTATATTCTCAGAATTCTTTCATTTTCTATTTAGATTCTGTCCTATAAATCTGACCCTTTTAGCACACCTTTCAAGTCATCTCCCATCCTTCATACCCAAGATGCACATTACTTTAGCTAAATCCTCTGTCATCTCTCACCTGGAGGATTGCCATGGTCTGTTAACTAGCTTCCAATCTCAGTCCAACTAACCTATCATCCACCCCAATGAATAGTCTTTCTAATCATTTCTCTTCCCTGCACAAAACCCTCCACTGGCTCCACATTATAAAACAGTAGATACCAAGCTTGGCATACTGGTCATCTGGGATGCTTGTAAAAATCTGTAGGATGAGACCCCACCTCTGGGAATTCTGATTCAGTTGGGTGTTTCTAATGTGGAAATCCCGAGGTCTACACTTTGAGAAAACTATTCTAGAGACTAAATTGCAAATTCCTTACCACAGATAACTATGATCTGCCTCCTCCTTATCTCTTAGGGATAATTTCTTACTCTGTTCTCCTTCCCCACCTATCATCCTGCCTTCCAGCTATGCTGACCTACCTTCAGTTCCCAGAACCTGTCTTGTTATTTTAGAATTTATGTCTTTGCTCCATCAGGTTAGAATAATATCTTTCTTCTAACTTATCTGCTTGGTGAACACCTATACATCTTTCTTTATGTGAAACTATTTATGACACCACCATGTTCCCCAGGTAGGATTACTCTCTCCTTTCTATTTCCATTTTATCCATGTGGACCTCTTTCATAGCTCCTCTAGCACCTAATTGTACATACTTGTTTTCTTAAGAGATTAGAAGTTCCTTGAATTCATGAATAAGAATTCATGTTTCATACCTCTTTGTAGCCAGGCATCTGGCGTTGTTCCTGGCACACAGAAAGTGCTCAATAAATGTATGTGTTATAGAATAAATGCAAAAGTAATACAATTTAAGAAATTTATACATTATTTCAAATCATATTAAAGCTGGGAGTCAATGTCCTCCAGCCAATGAATAATGAAGAAAAACAAATCCATAGTTTTACAACACCAAAGCTCATAGACACTCAGTCCTCAGTAGCTTGGGGTACCTCAGTCACTACCAAACTTTACTTTTGGAGAGTTTGTAAAATTCAGATTCTTGAGCCAGTCCTTCAGAGAATCCAATTCTGAGTTTCTGCAGTGCGGACCCACAAAGCTGCGTTAAGCAAGGGCTTCAAGTGGTTCACATGCAGGTGATACCAACAGCACAAGAGGGTGACTGCCCTAAGGGTTGTTTCTCCGCTGAAAGACAGCAGGCAAAGCTTGATGCACAACTCAAATCCTGCAACCCAACACGCTGACACCTGCCAGTATTAATATAATATAAAGAAGCTTAGCCGTGACAAACAAATTTTCCCCTTACGACCCACTGGCGATTGTACACACAATTCAGAGCTGTCAAGTCATGGTCGGTAGAAGACCATAATTATTAAGATGCTAATTGTTGACCATAGCAGTGGAAGTTGTAAAGCTTTTGGGGAGTTAATTGCCTGAGTCAGTGGCCCATTCCAGTGAGCCATGTACACTCTTGGGGGTGCAGAGTCTATGAGTTTCACTCTGTCCTCCAGGAAGCTTGGGGTCAGGCCTGAGAGGCTATGATTTATTCAAAAGTTAAAGCTTTACCAGAATCTCTTCCCCACTCTACAACCTTCCTTGTTGACATTTAAAAGTGAGAAATTTTAGCAGAACAAAACTGCTGGGGAGATTTCTCCACACTATTACTAGTCATAATAGGAAACCAGTATAAAGGGCTAGTCTCTCCTGACATCGCCCCAGCCCTTCCGCTTCCAGGTTTAGCATAAAAACTAATCTTATCAAAACAAGCAGAATCCAAAAGAAACAGGTATTCTGGACAGACATTCTGGGAGGCGTGCCCTACAGAAAAGAAAGTGAAGTGAGGTGAGGGAGTCTTCAGTGGCTTAATACCTCCTGCTCCTTCACAGTCCCTGCTGGGATCTGATCCTTATTTGCGGGTAGCAAAGACAAAGGCAGGTAAATCCATTCTCTTTGATCTAAGTTCTGAAGCCTTCTTGATTTTCCCAGGGGTAAGGAGAAAAAAAAATTACTCCTGTGTGCATTTGTTTTATCTGCAACTTTGAAAACAGTACCCCAGACACAAGGAAATTGTGGTTATAATTATGGGTTTGGGGAGTTTGGTAAGAAGCCATTTTTCTTAGGCGAAACTCTAAGAAGAAAACAGGCAAGAGGCTTTGTGACTTGGTTATACATGTTGAAGTAGGCATCCTGTGTGGGTAATGCCACCTTCTTAGTCAGATTATATTCATGTGAAAGGTGGCCTGAGGAGGGGCCAGGAAATGGCACACAACCCCTGCAATTAGGACTTGCTGCTGGGCCACCATTTTAAGACAGGAAATGCATTAAGCAAAGAAAGGCACGTTAATCTTACTACCTTGTGGAGAATGCCACCCACCATATCTTCCCACCAGAACAGGTACAGAGAGAGTTGTTAAGAACACTGAAAATAGTCTCCCTTTCTTTTTTTATTCATTTTTAATTGATAAATAATAATTGTACAGATGTATGGAGTACAATGTAATGTTTGATCTATGTATGTACTACAGAAAGACTCAATCAAGTTAATTACCATATCCATCACTTTGCGAATCTGTTATTTTTTGTGTGGTGAGAATGTTAACAATCTATTTTAGCAATTTTTAAATGTTCAGTACCCTTATTGAGCAAATACAATATCTTCCCTAAGAAAATCAAGCACAAAACATAATGAGTTGGAGATTAGAAATCATTTAATATAATTTTTCTATTTATGTAATTCACATTTCACACTTATTAAACTTTTTTTTATGTACCTGACTAGGTGCTAAGGATTCAAGGACAGATTTACATATGGAAAAACTAAATGTGGTCGTTTGTTTGCTGATACTATTAGAGGAGTGGCCTTGGCTTCTTATTTAATGATTCTGTACCTTACTTTCTCATTTACAGAATATAGGCAATAATGACACTTACTTCATAGGGTTGTTACGAGAATTAAATGAGATAACCCATATAAATCAATGAACCTGGTGGCTGGCAGAGAGGAAGCATTCCGTAAATGCTACCTGCTAGTCTCAGTTACTGCAAGATGCTGGGGTACAGTGATACAACAATACTGGCATGCCTGCTGCCCTCTAGGGGCTTAAAGTCTGTCATACGTATTAATGTTCCAAAGAGGCTGTAGAAGATCTGTGACAGAGTATAGTCATCACCCAAGGGAACGGTGGTCAATTTGAGCTGGGAGAACCTGCAAAGCCTCTATCAAATTGGCAGACTGGGACAGAGGCCAAGGGGTACTGGAAAGAGTATTTCAGACAGGCCAATCAGTATGCAAAAAGCTGGTGCAGAAAGCCAGGACTGCTCTGGACATGTAGAGAGTTCCTCTGAGCTAGAACACTGAACTGTGGGCACGCAAAGACTGAAGAGGAAGCTAGAGGCTACATCATGGAGGATGTACGTGCCATTTGGTCCTTGCTATGGGTTGAATGTATGTGTTCCTTCAAAATTCATATGTGGAAACCTGACCACCAAGATGATTGTATTAGCAGGTGAGGCTTTTGGGGGGTGCTTAGGTCATGAGGGCTCCACCCTCTTGAATGAGATTAGTGTCCTTATAAAAGGGCTGGAGGGAGCTAGCTAGGTCCTCTGCCCTTCTGTCTTCTGTCATGTGAGGACACAGCAATAAAGCACCATCTTGGAAGCCAAGAGCAGCCTTCACCAGACACTGAATCTGCTGGCACTTTGACCTTCGACTTCTCTGCCTCCAGAACTGTGAGAAATACATTTTTATTATCTATAAATTGCCGAGTCTGTGGCATTTTGTTAGAGCAGCAGGGATAGACTAAGATAGTCCTTCAATAAATATTTTTAATTGCCTACCACATGCCAGGCATCATCTAAAGTGCTATAAGAGAAAAATAGAAGAAAAAGCTTTGCTTCAAAAGCTATTCACAAATAACCCTTGCTCAGGGCAGAGTAGATCATAAATACCATGACACAGAAACCAACAAGGCTGAGGTTCTGTTCCTGCCCCAGACGGTGACTGAGCAAGTTAATTTACCTTTTTTTGGTTCACATCCGTGGACTGATAATAATAATTCTCCCATGCCTGCTTCACCTGAGAACAAGGAGGAGAGCTCAGAATACCTGAGTGGACAATGATGGGAAGGCACCATGAGAACTGTAAAGCACCATTGATGCAGGAGAGGTTATGATGAAAGGATGATGATATTGGTATTGATAATGGTGAAGATGATGATTATGATAGTAAAGGGGTGGGAGAAGATATGGTAATTATGGTGAATAAGATGAAAACAATAAGGATTATAGCAATAATTCATCATCATGATTCATTCAACAAATATGCACTGAGGGCCAACTATACGTTAGACACCATGGATACAGTAATAAATGAAAGAATGTACTTGTCTTATTTTTCACTGGGAGGAAAATCAATAAGTGAGTGATAGTCACATAATTACTAGAGTTTTAGACTGCCAAAAAAAAAAAAAAAAGGCAGAGAGAAGGGATAGAAAATGGTGGGAAGTGGCAATGCTAACAGAGATGGTGATTCTGGTTACAGCTGGAATCCCTCGGCAAAATTAAAAACTTATATGAGAGTCAAGTCCAAGAGGCAGTTTCTAGTGGGCTCCAGCCTTTGTCACTGCAGGCGGTGCTTGGTGGCAGACATGTGTTGTTATGGGATTTGTGTGGGCCTGAGTCGGGTACATGGAGTCCAAGATGTAGAAGAAAAGATCTTATAGATGAGATTTCACTAGGTACATTCTGAGCCCAAGTGACCAAACAGTCTGGGAAAACAAAGACCCTGGTTGTTTCTTTCATATGAAACATGTTTCTGAAGCTTGTCTTCCTTGTCTCCAAGAAGAATTTCTGTGTAAGTTTCAGGAGTCTGGCACACATTATAGGTTAGTAACATCAATTTTCCCCACAAGAAATAATAACATTGTCATAATTGACTTTGGCTTTAAACTTGTGTTATTGTCCTGAGGAAAATGAAGTTAGGGTGGGTGGAGAAAGGCTATTAAAACCCCAGGTCTTTCTGCATTTACAAAGAGCATACAATGATGTTACACAGCCCAGTTTTGGCAGCCAGCATCGGAATCAGCTTGGGCAAACCCCGAGGTAAACACCTGAACATCTGGAAACAGAGAACAGAGAAGTCGAGGGATTGCAGGGAAGCCCAGATACAACTAGTACGTTTTATAATATTTTTAATTTGCTGCATGTGAAAGAAAAGGCTTGGTTGGACTCTGGAACTTAACCAAAAGCAGTGGCCATGTTTTATTCACATTTATGTTCCTCATCTTTTAGTACTGTATCTGGCCAATAAATCAGCAAACACTTCGTTGTTTGAATGAGTGACAGAATAAAAGAGAAAATAAGTGAGTGGAAGAATTAATTAATAGAGACTGGTGTGGAGCAGAAGTGAAAGGAATGAACAGTTGTGGGATCCCATCCAGGCTTCGTCTCCACCAGCTGACAACCTGAGCATAGTCTTGATCCGTGTGCCTCATGAAATGAGGATAATCATCACATCTGAGCTAGCTATTATGAGAATTATAAAGTAACATGTGACATGCTCAACAGAGTCAGTATTAATAATCATGTTAATCATCATGCTTGTGATCATTGTAGGAAAGAAAAGTATGTCCCTAATATGATTTATTTCAGAACCAGAAAAGGAATACATAATATAAATATATTTTAACAAAATGAATAATCACATCATCACTTAGCAAAGGCTTTGATCCATATGTCTGATGCATCAGTCTTACCATCCTTGAAATATAAAGGAATACACATGTATTTATTGATCACTTAATATGTTTAAGGTGTTAAATGCTACGGGGAAAGCAAAGAATTATAAAACGAAGTCACTATTCTTAAGTTGCTTTTACTACTTAGAGAAACAGAGAGACACACATGCATGCGCACCCACTCACACATAGTCACACACTCACACCCCCCCACCCCCCACACACACATACACCTATGACATCAAGAAATCCAGACTAAGTATGACGGGAGGTCAAGGAGAGCAAAAACTATTCAAAGGCAAGATAATTGGAGATACTAGAGTCAGTACAGCTCAGTTCCACTTTCCTAAGAAGCAGATGTGCTTAAATTGAATGATGAGTAAACAAAGCAATGAAAATGGACGTTTAATAATAAACATTTCAATTTAAAGACTTTTGAAATTCTAAAACATCATTCTAAATAAACTTTGGATCACAGAGGAAATAAACACTGCAATTATAGACTTTTAGAGAGTAGCTACTATAAAAATTCTGCATATCAAATTTATGAGGTGGTCAAAGCTGTACTCAAAGAAAATTACATTGTCATAAATGCTTTCATTTTTAAAGATCAATGCACAAATATAAAGGAAAAAATCATTACATTAAAAACATTAGGAAATTAACAAAATATAATTAAGTAGGAGAAAAGAGTGAATAAATAAAATATGAAAGCAGAAATGAGTGAATCAGAAACCCAAGAAACAACAATTATTAACAGGCAGGGCACAGTAGCTCATGCCAGTAATCCCTGCACTTTCGGAAGCCGAGGTGGGAGGATCACTTGAGCCCAGGAGTTCGAGATCAGCCTGGGCAACATGGTGAATGCTGTCTCTACAAAAAATACAAAAATTAGCTGGCATGGTGGTGTGTGCCTGTAGTCCCAGCTACTCAGGAGGTGGGAGGATGGCTTGAGCTTAGAAGTTTGAGGTTACAGTGAGCTATGATTACACCACTGCACTCCAGCCTGGGTAACAGAATGAGACCCTGTCTCGGAAAAAAAAAAAAAAGAATTATTAACAAACAGAAGAGGCGGTTATAGAATATAATCATATACCTAAGGAAAATTTATACATCTTGGGGGGAAAGAAAGGGAGAGAATTAGGGATTGTGGTGTTAGAGGGACAAAGTTTCTTCCATTAGAAATGAAAAAGAATTTATAACAGGTAAAAGGGGAAAGGAAAGGAAACATGAGCATCTTATGTTTGTACTGCTCACCATAGCAGCAGCTAAAAGCAGAGGTAAACTAAGAGGTGAACTTGGGGTCCAGAGGTGTCTGCCACAGTCAACCGTATGATGGTGTTGCATTGAAAAGGTCTTAAATCTTAGATGAGTTAAAAGATGGCCTTTATTCTGTGGCAAAGCAGACTTACAGAACTCTTCAAGGACTGCAAATTCAAAGAGAAAAACAAACTCACACTAGTACCATTTAGAAATCCACAAAGAGAGAAAAGCCAAAGTAAATGGGAGCAGCAATGCTTCCTTTCACAGCTAAGTGGCTAAGAGATCACATGATCCAACGTAGGCCAATAAAACAATGCAAAATGAAAAGACACTTTCCTCTCAAAGAGAGAAGATGTTTGTGACTTTCCTAAGCCAATTACCAGAACCTAACCTAAAGGATTTCTTGGTGTCAGATACTACAGTAGACATTTGATTTGTAACTTTTTTGAATTGACTTCCTGTCTATGTGACGTAATGAAAGCCAACACACATACGCCTTTGTCCTGAAAAACTCACTGGAAACTGTTTTCTGTAACATAAAGAAATCTCTTGAAAACATCCTAGCCTTGAACTCATGCATTATCATCAACCTTGCTATTTGTATATTAAACATCAAGACAAACTTTGGGGATTTGAGCATGACAGTACAACAGTACACAGACATCAGTGATCTATTAAATATTACAGCCTCTCACTACCAGGTAAAAAAAGTCTACCCCAATTTGTAACCAGTAGCATCAGCCACAAAGTTACCTGAGGCCTCTGGTGACTTAGGATCTCCACTTAGCCTCATGACCATTCATGCTGTTCTGGCCTTACTCTTGTCTGAAAACACCCAGAACTTTTCTGCTTCGGGAATGACTGCTTACAAAATTCTTCTCTCACCCATACATATTTCTATCTATCATTGTAATACTCTAAACCCCAACAGCCACCTACCACTCCCAAAAAAGAGAGAACCTTGTGACTGTCATGCTCTTACTCAGGAGTTTTTTTGCCTTGTCCTGACCTCCTTGAAACCCATTTAGAAAACCAAAATTTAGAACTATTTTTAAAGAATGCTATTTAAGAACTCAAGAAGGAGGCTACAAAGCCCGACATGCAACCACAACTCATTCTGCCATGCTCAAATTCAATCCTTTCTGTACAGAAGCTGATGCTGTACAAGTTGATGAAATTGTAGCACTTACTAGGGCCTGCCAGTTAACTAAACACAAAAGATACCTGTCTTTATAGATAGTGAATATGCTTTGAGAGTGATAAATGATTAGTGATATGATTTAGAAACAACATGGCTTTTTAATGTCCCTGATATATGATTATAAATATGTTCTTGCTAATTTCTCTCTGTTTCCTGGTTTGCCAAGAGCCACTCATTGCTATAAAGCAGCCACTCTGGCAGCAGCAAAGACACTTGTGTTTGTTTTTCATTTAGTGGATACCCACATATTTATTTTGTGATAGGAGTACCCATTTCACTGGAACAGTAATTTAAGAATTTGCAAGGCTCTTCCTGTCACACAAAAGTTTCAATGTCCCTAATTCCCAGCGAAAATAGAAAGACTGAATGGTAAATTTAATTTGCAAAACTATCACAGACACTTAAGCTGCCATTGTTAAAGAACTTGCTCTTTAATGGGTGTGAGGTCCACATCAAACAGAAACTCATAGACTATTCCCATATGAGATGGTCATTGGATGCTATAGGTGTCTCAACATCTCACTTCCTATCATTTTGCATTGAGTTATCTTGACACCTTTATCCAAAATCAATTGATCACAAATATATGAATTTATTTCTGGCTTCACAATTGTATTTTATCAGTATACATATCCATCCATAAGCCAGTATTGCACTATCTTAATGACTCTGTAGTAAGTTTTGAAATTGGGAAGGGTGAGCCCTCCAACTTTGTTCTTTTTCAAAACTGTTTTGGCCATCCTGAGTGCCTTGCATTTTCATTTGAATTTTAAGTTCAGCTTGTCCATTTCTGCCAAAAATGGCAGCATGGATTTTGATAGAGATTGTGTTGAATCTGCAGATCAATTTGTGGAGCACTGGCATCTTAAAGACCTAACAATATTAATACTTTCCATGAACATGGGATGTCTTTTCACTTATCTAGATATTTTTCAATTTAATAATTATTTAGACTTTTCAGTGTACAATTTTTACATTTCTTTTGTTAAAATTTTCCAAAGTATTTTATTCCTTTTTATTCTATTGCAAATAGAATTATTTTCTTAATGTCACTTTTTGGATTGTTCATTGCTAATGTATAGAAATGTACCTGATTTCTTTACATTTGTCTTGCATAACACAAACTTGCCTAATTAGTTAGTGGTTATGGTTTTTTTAGGGGATTCCTTAGAATTTCTTATGTAGATTATGTCATCTACAAATAGAAATAGCTCTACTTCTTCCTTTCCAACATGTATGACTTTTATTTCTTTTTCTTGCCTAATTCCCCTAACTAGAACCTCTAGCACAATGTTGAATAGAGGCGACTACACTGAATATCAGCATCTTATTCCTGATTTTAAGAAAAAAGCATTTGGTTTTCATCATCAAGCATGATGTTATCTGTTGATTTTTCATAGATGTTCTATGCATACCATATGGGATATTGCACTTCTAATCCTTCCCTCCTAGGTCTAGTGACACATCCTTTCTCTACATCTTTGCCTACTCTGCCCTAGAGAAAGAAGAGTCATTTCATTGACAGGTGAGTTCCAGAAGAGGAACTGGGCATGAGGTATCCAGCCTTCTCCTCTTCCCTCTATCTTGGGAGCTGGGTACCACATGAAGCACATTTTCTGTTATGCTTCTTCAGGCCTTAAATTTTTAGGGAAATCCTTGACATGAGGAGGTCTGCAGTTGTTCAGAGCTACCTGTGATTAAGTGACCAATTGTAGGGTTTTGGTATAATAAAATCTATCTATGATATGTTCTTTAGTATCAACTTTATCATCTTTACCTAGCTGATGCTCTCTATCCTAATTGAATCCTAAGCTGAATATGGAAAAGGGATGCTATGTGTACCCCTATGAATCCCAAATAAGGACTGAAGGAATACTTTCAGTTCTAGTAAAATGCTATATGAAGAAGACTGAAGATATCCCTGTGTTTAGCTGGGGGAAATAAAGTAATCAGAAAAATCAATCCTTGATACAAGCTTTAGTGTGCTCTCCAACTATACACTTTGAAAGACAGAAAAGCTTCTTTATTATCTTAAGCATGGAAAATATATTTGGCTAAACAAGTATAACATTCTTGGGTAAGATGAAGAGTTGAAGTTGGGTGTGAAAAGAAATGGAGGACTTGAAGGGAAATAAATGTTTTATCTTAGATGATGAATTCAAATGCTCTAATGGCAAGGGTAAGATAGTACCTCTATAAATAATATCAGAGAGGTTTCCTTAGACAGCCAAGGATTTTTGTAGCTCATGGACCTCAGTGTAAATCAGTGGCTGCATTCACTCTCTTTACTTGCTTTATATACAGACAGGTAAAGAGAGGGGGCTGCAGTTATGATTAAAACCTCCCAATAATTGAAGGTTGTCCTATGAAACAGGAATTAGATTTATTCTAAAGCTTTTATAAGGCAAACCAGAAATAGCTAATGACATTAAGATGGAATGAATTTGGTCAATGTAAAGAAAAAGCAAATAATTAACTCTGCTTTAAAAAATAGAATTGGACACTGTAATGGCAAGAGCTACAGTTTCTGGGAACATTTCAGCAGAAACCAGATGCTCACCTGTAGAAAATGTTGTGGGGGGAGATTCCCAAACATGATAGGGATTGAACCAAATGTTCCACGTGGTTCCTTCCAGCTCCGAGATTGTTGAATTCAAGAAAGAAATAGCCTGAGGATGAACCACAACTCTGTAGGCAGAAGACCTGGATTCTAGGCTCAATTTTTCTACTAAGTAGCTATATTACTTTGTGCAAATTTCTTATTCTTTATAGACTGCAGTTCCCTTCCCTGTAAAATGCACATTCAGGAGTTGGAGGAGATAATTGTTAGTTAAGCTCTCTTTTGGCTAAAAAATACTAGGACTGCAGGTAGTGTAATGCCTCCAGCAGCACTGGAAAGTTTTGCTATTCACAATAGCAAAAACTTGGAACCAACCCAAATGTCCATCAGTGATAAGACTGGATTAAGAAGATGTGGCACACATACACCATGGAATACTATGCAGCCATAAAAAAGGATGAGTTTGTGTCCTTTGTAGGGACATGGATGAAGCTGGAAACCATCATTCTCAGCAGACTATCGCAAGGACAGAAAACCAAACACCACATGTTCTCACTCACAGGGGAGAATTGAACAATGAGAACACTTGACACGGGATGGGGAACATCACACACTGGGGCCTGTCGTGGGGTGGGGGGATGGGGAGGGATAGCATTAGGAGAAATACCTAATGTAAATGACGAGTTAATGGGTGCAGCACACCAACATGGCACATGTATACATATGTAACAAACCTGCACGTTGTGCACGTGTACCCTAGAACTTAAAGTATAAAAATAAAAAAATACTAGGACTGAAACAGAGACATAGAGTGTTCTAAGCACTAAGCAGTAGTATGCAGATTGGCACAGATTGGAAGATGAAGCCTTCCTAAGTGCATGGCACAGTGATGTTTGAGAACCAGCCTGTACTATCTCAGGAGAGCCCACTGAGCACCATTCTCCAATTCTGAGGTTCAGTGATATGAGGCTGGTATCATGAGAATATTTACAACATTGACTTAGCAAAAGCTACAAATCTGAGCTTTTTGTTTCGGTTTATCAGCACAACTTTGGTTACCAAGCAGTTTTATCGGATTCAATCTTCAGATTGAAGATTTTCTGATAAAGTAGCTGAGACAGTGGTTCAATTTGCTTTCCCCCTACTTTACAGAGGAAAAGCACATCACACACTATTCCTAATTTTCACTAAGAAGCATTACCCCAGGTTGTAGAAACCTTGAGGGCACTAAACAAAGACACATTTTGAAGTACTGTTATTGATGTCCAGAAAGTGTATGACTAATGACTTGGAAATCAATCCTTTTGCCCAAAAGGTAGTTTTTGGTTTGTTTTTAATAAAATTGAATGGTAACTCAATTTGAGCTGTCAATAAATAGATCACTAGCAATCATTTTTATGATAAGTAACTATAATCTTGCGCATAAAACTCAGAAGCAGTCTGAAAAACTGAATGGCATTGTTATAATAAATCTTGAATATGGTTTGTGATTGTTTACATTTTAAAGACAAAACGAGAAAGAGCGAGAAATAGAATTGATGTTGAATTCTATCTCACTCTAATAGTAAGTGATATTTATTTAAAAATACATAATCTAATAGAAACCAAAGCCTACTCATCTCATTAACAAATACATTTACAACAACATTTTATTTGAAAAGTAATAAATATAATTTTTGGAATTTACAACTTGTTTGTTGTTTCAGTTGATACACAAGGTAATAATTTTAATAACTCACAGAACAAAATTAATGCTTAGAGTCTTATGCTCATAGGCAATAAAAAGTTACATATAAATTTTCATATAGTATTTTATAACTTCCATATATTTTTCTAAATAGAAAAGCATAATCGAGTTTTGTATTAAATAGTTTCAAGTATAAACTACATTACATTAGAATAAAATTCTGTTTGGGAAGTAGAATGGAAATTTGAGTTCAAGGAGAAAAAGAACTGATATAAAAGTTTCACTTGTGTGTGTGTGTGTGTATTTAAACTAAAGATAGTGAGTATTAAATTGCTCAAGTATTCTGAATCTTTTAGACACATTTAAAATGATAGTTTTATTTGAAAATGTTAATATTTATCATGTGTTGAAAATTCTATCCTTGACAGTTTAGTGAGTAAAATGGTTGAGGGCAATTATCTCCATTATCCTTACAGACTGCTAGCCAACCTCCAGCTGCATGCCTACCCCCTTCCCATAATAAATCACACAGCATCAAGGACCATTGGTGCCAGCCATCTCCACCAACTGAGTGACATTACCGTGTGCTGCTATACCTCTTGGTAGACAGGGGCCTCTTAATACATCCTGGATTGATTGATCAGTCTAGTGAAGGACTTCACAGAGATGAAGTCCTTAATTCAATGAACAACTGAAATTCTCAGTGGCTGCAGGCAAAAATGATGCCTTAGTCTGCTAAGGAGTTCTTGCTTTCACTCACTATAGCAACCTGGCAAGAGGAAGACTCAAGCAACATCTAAAGCATCTAAAGATGATGCAATGCAAGAAAGCCTCAAACTTTTTCTGAATTTAAACCTAGGACAATTACATTTGGCCCAACTACAGGCATGTTTGGTGTATTTGTAAATACTCAAGTGGCACAGGAACATTTATTTTGGGGAGGCAGGAATTAAAAACTTTGATCTTTCAAAGCAAACTTTAGAAGATAAGTGGTGAATTCAAGGTATCAGGACAAAGAAAGCTCCCTGGCTTCTTTCTCTGAATGTTTCACCTCTGCCTTCACTCCTTTCTCTAAAGGGAGAAGTGATTATTTGCAGAGAAGCAGCAGGAGATTCTTCATGTACCTTCTTTCTCTTGGAACCCAAAATTCTGGCCTGCTCCTCCCTGTCTGTAATGTTTGGGATAGATCCTCATAAGAAGAGGACAGTGGTTGGTCAGTGTAGACTGTGATTAGGTTGGGAGTCTAATTCTTGGGTCCCAGTATCAGGAAGCCTGTGTTGCTCCATGTCTAAGCCATATCCTGCAACACAGCTTCATTGGCAATAAAGGGTGATAGTTTGTTCTCCACTCTCTGCCTTTGTTGTCTCTCAAACTGCCAGGAAAAGAAGGTTTCTAAAATCTCCAAATTTAAGTGTTCATCTGTAGAAATAAATTAAGAGGTAAATGAGGCTGGTACAAAGATCATTTTTGTCAGAATTTGGAGAAGATATAGGTATCATTGTGGTGTCAATACAAAAGAGGTGAATAGGAAGACAGGGGGAGAGACTTTTGAAATGCCAAGTAGTGAAAGAGTTTGACCCCACCCTTGTCTCTTTGCTTATCTAAATGTTCCCCATCTTTGCAGGGTGACAATGTGGCAATTTTTAAAAACCTGACTAGACTCATCACTAGTCTTCAACCTGCAAAAAGAAGACTGACAGCATAGGATTGCTGTAACATAGTAGTGATTCCTCTCATTGGAATCTTTACCTTTATACTGTATCTACACAAACAGATGGTTTTAAGTACACAAACACAAATTATGGCTGACTGCAAAAATCTGACCCATCAGTAATTGACTTTTTAAATTCACTGTCATTTCTTTTCCAGATTGGCATGTTTGTGCCTCTGACAATGTGGTCTTTGACATACATGTCTAGCTTTTTTATTGAAGTGTATCTACCATTGCATATTCCTGGAGCTCTCACAAGCACACACCTCAGAGGATAAAGACAGTTATTATTAACTTCTGGTAGACCTTTGGGCTGCTTTAGAATATGAACCCTTTAAGTCCAGAAACCACGACCTGATAAACATGATACTTAGTATCAGAAACTAGAACTGATGTGAGGGAACTGAGATTCTATCTGGTCAACTTGGGTAGTTCATTATTCATTCATTCAACAAATATTAATTGCCTGTCCTGCAATAGGTCTAGATGCTTGTCATAAATTAAAAAAAAGAGTTATAAACTCTTCCCATCTCTGTGTCCACTTCCCATCCTGTAGTTCCTCTGTAATGTGATTTCTCCTATCAAGAGAAACAGTGTATTTTTCTAACTCTTTAATCTTGGTTTAATGCCGTGACCTGACTTAGCCAATGAGGACATTAGCAAGTGTGATGCAAACAGGGACTTGCAAAGTGCTTGATCTTTGGGGTTTTCCATCTCTTGACAGTTAATGCATGAACATGCAATTATCTCTATTATCCTTACAGACTGCCAGTCAACCTCCAGACATGTGACTGGGCCATCATCCTTCAGCTGACTGCAAATACATGCATCAACTCAGTGATGCCACACTGAGCAGAGATAACTAGCTCAGCAAAGCCTCTCCCAAATTGCTACCCACAGAACCATGAGCAAATAAGTAAGTGGTTTGTTGTTTTTAGGCTACTAAGTTTCAGAGATTGCTTGTTACACAGCAAGAGCTAACTGACCCCAGTGCTGGAGATTCAACTGCAAATAAAGCAGAAAATGTCCCTGCTCTCATGGAATTGTCATTCTTTTGGGGAAGAACAAAATAAACAAAAAAGTAAATAAGAAAATATAAGATATGGTAAGAAAGAAAATTAAAATGGGGTAATATGATAGCAAGTGCCTGGAGAACTTCTTAGGATTGGGAGGTCAAGGCAGGATGCTTAGGACATCCGAATGGCACAAAGGAGCCAGCCAACACCATTTGGATAAGATTTTTCCAGGCTGAATTCTTTCAGCAAGTATGTTAGAAAGGGAGCAGATTTCTGGCACAAATAGGGATGGCTTCTAGGTGAGTGCAAAGCATTGGCTTTCAGGACAATTTTCTGCCAAATGTCAACATTTTTAAATCTGTAAATACAGGGTTCTCTTAATCAACTAGGACAAAAGGGTGGGAGAAGAAAAGAGAGAAAAAAATTATCATGAATCACAACGAACACTTTGCAAGAGGAGTCCCAAAGACCTTTGTTCAAGGTTTTGCGTTTTTTGCTGGGACCTGGCGAATTTTCCACTTGATAAGTTTGTCCTAGCTATAGAATAAACTTGAAATATGTTTACAATGGTGGCCAAAAACATGCCCTGAAGAAAAGGAAAACAGCAAGATGGATGATGTGGAGGCTGTTCAAGGCTTTACTGGTCAGCATATGTTTTATCAGGACACGAGATGGACAAAACAGTTTATTTCTCACGCTACAACATGAAGGATTTCGATCAACTGCCCATTCATTCTCTGTCACTTCATTTACAGTGGCCCAGGCTGTCAAGATGATACTCAGCCTGTGTCCATAGACCAAAGGGAGAAGAATAATATGGAGGAAAAACATGCAAGAAAAATAAGGGATGGAGTAGAAGGAGCATAGGGGAGCCTATCATATATCTCCCTACCAAAAAAGCAGATCAGGAAGCTTGTTTTGAAGAACAAGAATAATATTTATCAAAAGGAATTATGTCAACCTCAGGATAGAATCCCAAACTGTAGCTTGCTTAGTATATGAAAACTTTTATGTGCACTGATAAAAGGATAGAATCATGGAATAGTGGTAGAAAAGACTGGAAAAGCAACATCAAATACATGTATACATGCACACATACACACACAATGAACAGTTTTAGCAGAATTCCTCATCAATGTTTTAAGACATATGCTGTAGCACAGGACTAAATTCGAGTAGAATTTGTGATAAGGAAGGAAGGGAGAAAAGGAGGAAGGGAGAGGTAGAGGAAGGGAGGGAGCAGATAAAAGAGTAGGGAAGGAGAAAGAAACGTAAGAGATAGAAGCTGCCAAATTAAGGTTAAGAGATTAAGTGTGTGTTAAAGTTACACTGAAAAATCAAACAAAAGCAACCTGCAGGCAATCCACAGAGTTCTATTGGCGATAGACTACAGTGCCATCTCCTGACTGGAAGACTTTTTAGATGTTCACATGCAAAGGCTTTAGAAGCAAGCCATTGTTTCTCCAGCAAGAGAAAGATGGGCTGTTGGGCTGTTTGCTTTTCAATACTGATATCTTCTTTAACTGATTGTGATTCCTACAAATATATAAATGCCCAGAAAAGTAGGCCTTACTACCTTACCCCCATCATTTTTTTAGGTTATTTTCACCTAAATTTAAGTTAAATTTACACTAATTTTAAAGGCTAATATTGCATTTGGCACTAATGTGAACTTTAACATTCTTAGTCATTTGCTGGAAAGCCTTGCCAAAGTCCTATGTTTTTCTCAAAGCAAGTGTGTTAATATAATAATAGAGACACATGCTAGGCATATATTCTAATCGTACTGAGAAATCTTTAAAACTGCCATAGGGTTTTAGCTGAAATGTACTGGCAGAGGGAATTTGTACAATTGAAAACATGGGAAAGGATAGAAGAAAATTTCTTCCTGCAGCTGAATCTGAAAGATCTCAGAAAGAACTCAGGGTCCTGCCTCGGGAGTGTGAGCTCTTTCCAGTAAGCCTCCACTGCACCATGAAGAGGCAAGCTCTCTCTATCCAGGGCCTCAGGAAGAAAAAGCTGGCATGAGAATATCTAAGGAAAAATAGATTTTTCCAAGGCTGATGGTTGCCTGGGGTCATGACAGTGCTTTTCCAGGTCCACATTATGCCACACAATAAAACAGTCCCTTGTTTTCTTACCATTTGAAAGTCATGCTTGCTTGGGACTGAGTTTTTAATGACCACATTTGCTATTAGCCTTACAACCATGATCATCAGGCTCATTCTGCCCACGGATTGGAGGCTATGGCCCAGCTGGGTGCCCTGAGTGAGCTCCAAGGACTCCAGGCCCACAAGGCAATGTGGGGGCCGTCCCCATGCAGAATGTATCAGCATGTGTTAATGATCCTTCTCTGATACACAGCCCTGCCACATCCTCCCCACTTTGCTATGCAGGAGTCCAGCAGACATGCAAACAAAAGCATGGGCTACACTGACATGGAATGAAATTAGCCAAAGGGACTCAACTTCCCTGAAAAGACAACTTTACCAAGCAGTTCGCCGTTGTAAATCATGACAGTTTCAAAGGGTGCTAAGTTCCCTTTCCCCCAAATGGCACACGGTCTTGCACAGGGTAGGTACTCAGTCATTACCTGCTAAGTGAAGAGATACAGGAAGTGGCTGGCCTGGGAGGAGTAAAGGTTTAGAAGCTAGATAACCTCTCAGAGAATGTGGGAAGGGGTGGTACAGTGGATTCTGCAGGCAGATAGGAGGACCAGCCCCCCTACACACAGATGGGAGCTTATATCCAGACAAATGTACCAGGCATTTACCTCAACAAGAGTAATTTGCTCAGCTGCAAAATTAGAATACTAATAATTATGTTACATGGGGTTTGGGGAGAGGTAAGGATTTAGTACGATAATGAATATAAAAATGTCTTACATATCTTCAACAATTGGTGGATATTATTTCTAATTCACCAATGGCAAACTGAGACTCAGAAAGGTGAATGGAGTTTCCCAGGGTCACACAGTTAGCTAGTGGTAATGCCCAACTGGAATCCAGCTCTTCTGATCCTGAGCCCATGGCCCTTTCCACTAAACCTTGTTCCCTCTATCTAGCTGAAATCAGGAAAAGTCAGAAATCTCATGGGTGCTTGTTTTCTTTTGTGACTGGGCACAGGAATGTAGCCATCTTAAGGTCACCAGTCTTTAGAGAGATGATCCACCGCAATGCTCTCACATGAGAAGAAGTGAGAGGTGGTAGAGTGGTGTGGGGATGAGTACAAGCTGTAGGGTTGAATCGAATGGTCTTCAGCTCCACCACTTAGCTCTCTATGATCTTCACCAATTTGCTTAATATCTCTGTCTCATTGTCCTTGAAGCTTTTTAATGCAAAATGGGGATAACAATAATGCTATTGAATACTATTGTTATCATCATCCCCATTTTACATAAAAAGGCACGAAGTGTAAAAGATGTGATCTATGCAAAACATTGATGCTTTCTGCCGTTACCATCAAAACTGTGATTTCCAGCATATTTTAATTGTGCAATGTGGCTGATGATAGGTCTCAATGGATTAGAAAAAGACCAAGGGTTTAGGTTTGGGATCAACCAAACTCCATGGCTCCAATCCCTCTATTCAATGCATACACACAATTACATATTTTTGTTTTAATTAACCCCACATATTCAATTCCAGGACAGATATTCCTCACTTTTGTTCTTTAAGAATGTTAGGCTAAGGTCAACCCTATTGTCTGGGTAGGACTGGCAGGGGTTCCAGCAATGAGGCCAGTGAGAGAGGGGACATGAGCAAGGGACTGTGATAGGTAGTCACCTGGAACTGTGCCCAGAAACATGGAGAGCCAGAGAAGGGATGAAAATCATCACTGTCAACACACACACACACACACACACACACACACACACACACACACACACACACCCCTGATATCTGGGCTGAAGAAGCTAAGGGACTGTCCAGACCCAGAGGTGAGCATGAGAGATAAAGCCAAGGCTAGAAATCTAGATATGGTCTCCACATGTTCTTCTAGCTATCACCCT
The DNA here is from genome assembly GCF_000001405.40 of Homo sapiens. NCBI lineage: Eukaryota > Metazoa > Chordata > Mammalia > Primates > Hominidae > Homo > Homo sapiens. The sequence goes on from NC_000010.11 coordinate 111,778,417, forward strand.
GCTGCCATTTGTCCTCCAAACTTCTCAAAAATGTGGTTTACAGTTGCTGGCTTTATTTCCTCATCTCTCAGCACTCCTTAATCCACCCACATCTGGTGTGCATCTCCATTACTCCACAAAACAGCTCCTGATAGCATTATCAATGAAGTTGCTAAATTCAATGAATATTTTTTTCAATACCCATTTTATTTGACCACTCAACAGTATTCTTAACAGGACTTCTTCCTTCTTAAAGGATTCTCACCTTCTGTTTTCCATAACACCCTGGATTTCTGAGTTTCCTCTGACTTTCTAACTACTTGATTTTAGTCTCCTCTTCAAATCTTTCCATCTTTATGGCAAGTAAATATGTGAGTTCTTTAAGGCTCAATTCTAGACTATCTTCCTTCATTTTACAGTCTCTCCCCAGGTAATCTCCTTGTTTATGATTTTAATGATCTAATCTATGCCAATAGTTCTCAAATTTCTAATTCTGATTCAGACTTATCTTCCAAACCAGAGATCCATATATCTGACTGCCTACTCAGCACCTTCATTTCAAACTCAAAGGTGCTTCAAATTCAAAAATGGTCTGAAATTAATATGTTTTTGTCCCCACACCTGGTCTTCTTCCGGTACTCCCTATCCCACTGAATGGCCTGCAATTCATCCAGTTATGCAAACCAGAAATTACAAGTCATTCTTTACACCATACTAGTTCGTCATCAATTCCTTTTGAATTTATTTTCCAATAGCTGTCTAATCTATCCATTTATCTCCATTTCTACTACCATCCATATTCTAGTCTAAACTATTTTGCCCAAACATCTTTAATAACCTCTTAATTAATTTCTCTACTCTCCCTTGTCTTCCTTCCTAATTAATTTCTCCACATATTCAGGCCAGAGTAATCTTCAGACCATAACTGATTACATCAGATCCCAACCCCCTCCCTCATTAAACACTTCAATGGATTCCCATGCTCTTAGGATAAAATCATGCATATGTGCTAGAAAATTCCGCATGATCTTGCTCAACTCCGCAGACTCACATTAAGCCTCCTTTTTTCTTGGTGGTCTCTATGTTCTGGCCTCAATCGTATTCTATGCGAATCCCTTTGTCTGGAATGCTCCTTCCTCCTCTACCTTCACCCAACTCACATCTGCTCATTCCTTAGATTTCATAGAAGTCTTTTCTTACTCTCTCAGGCAAGGTCAGGTGCACTTGCTCAATGCTATCATAGTATGATGACGTATCTTCTCCAGAGCACTTATCCAGTTTAAGTTTGCATATATTTGGGTTATTTACTCTAGCTCTCATTCCCCCAGATGTTGACAGCACACTTGTTCTGCTCACTATTTTATCTCCAGTCTCTATCCCAGGGTTTGGCACATAGTAGAGGTTTACTAAATACTGTCGAATGGAGGAAAAACAAGGATAGGATGACAAGAAGCTCCCTGACACCTACAGGACCAGAGCTGAGACAACCAAAGCTCCCTTTTTTTTGACATGCTGATAGTATTGTGCCAGGCATCCCCAGGTTCAGGGGTACAGGGCTGAAGAAGACTACAGTCATCTCTAGGAAGACCTGGATCAATGTAATAGCACTATCTTTGTTCCCAAAAGCCAGAATACCCTTAGATGACACAAGCCAGGATAAATGACTGAGCATCCTAAGAGATGAAAGGAAGTATAACTAGAAGGGAATGCAGGCAGATGGATGATGTATGAGGCAAGTGTAAAGAAACAGTGGAGCACAGCTTCTGGGAATCTCACCCCAGAAGCCTTTTCCACAATGATTGAGTCTTGTCCCTGCAGGTGATTAATGTAACACTCCCTGAGCTTCTGTCTGACCTCATCTCTACTGGTTTGAGTATCTCCAGGGTTGGTTCCCTGCAGTATCTGAGTCACTGCATTTTTGTTTTTGTTTGATTTAGGTTTTTTTTAATACATATATACAAATGTACTCTTTCTTCTTAAAAAGACAGCAGATATCTGAGAATGCCCAAGGACCTCTTTTATTCTCTCCCTGGCTGAAGAGACTGAGAAAAAACAACATACTGTTTCATGGTGCACAAGCCATGAGATTTGCTTCTAGCACAACAACTTTTGGGAGACAGGCATACCAACTGAAGCAGCAAATATTTTCCAAGAACTGAAGGAAAGTCATGGAGAGGAGCCAGAAAGCAGGACGTTCTGAGTTACGCTGTCTAAGTCTCATCCCAACCCCTAACCTCCAACCTGACCTCCTTAGTTGCTGTATGACCCTCGACAGGTGACATAACTCCTTTATAGTTCAATTTCATCATTTGAAAGTGGAGTTGATAATACTGTTCTTACCATATTGGGTTGAGGGTAAAGTGAGATTGTGCATAAAACACTCAGTAAATGTTAGGTCTTGATATTTCAAGATATCACATACAAAGTGCATATTGGGGAAGGTGTTCATTCTCAAAAGAACAGAAAATAATTTAACACATTTGGGGGAGTTTCCATGTCAACAGATATTGGATATAACCTTCGGTGCCTTCATGGTTTCCAGGGATGGAATGAGAAGATCAACATCCTTCCCTACCTGGTGTTTAAAGCCATGCTTTTAAATCAGGAATATTTATTACAATGCCAGGAGGATATGTGGCAGTATCTCTGGGACAGATGGTGTCACAGGATAAACATGGCAGATCTTTCTGCAGTAACAATTATAGTTAATGGTATAAACATGTTTGGGGGGTAAAAACATGCACAAGTTGGAGAGTAGAATGTGAAATTATCATTTTTAGGACAATGACTTCAAAGAAATTTCAAGGTAACTGGGGGATCTAGAGTTGTGTTCATAGATCTCTAGAGAGATAATCTTACTCTCCCTTCACTATTAAAAGATTTGGTGGTACAATTTAATAGCATTGATTTAAAGAATAGGAAAAGGATCATTAGGGATGAGAAATTAAACATCCAAGAAAGGAATGCAATTTGTTTAATCCTTTCAAAAATTGCCTTTTCCTTGGTGTTTCTTCCAAAGCAATTTAGAAAGAGTAAAAGAAAAAATATATACAGAAAAAAAGTCACTTGCTTTAAATGATCCAAAAACTAGGGTTCAATGTTCCTGGGCAACTTCACAGCAAATATTAAAAATGGGTTCCTGGCCCCAGGAACAACTTAAATGAGTCCAGCAAATGAAAATTAAGAGTATAGGATCTTATCTCCTGCTCTGTGATGCTTAGATTTAGGAAATATGAAGCTAGTCTAGATGAGAAGCACTCAAGACAGCAGGTTCTTATCTAGGTAAGACACTCCTAAGATAGAAAGTACAAAGGAAGAACCCAGACTAGGGACAGAAGACCCAGTTTACATCCGAGCTCTGAGGCCAACAGGATGTGGGCGATTGTTTAACTTCTCTGGGTTGCCTCAGCTGAAAATTGGAGAGCTGGACTCAATGTCTATAAAACTCAGGGTTAAAAAGGACCTTAGGAACCACTTAACCCAATACTTTCTTGATGCAACAGTTCCAGTCTTTTGCTGGCACATTTCCAGAGATAGGAAGACATTTGTTATTTCTGAATGTCATCATTGGGTGAATGATGACATTCATTCCCAGTACAGAGCTGGGGGTCAGGAGACTTAATTCCAGGCTCTGTAAGCAATTTACATATATCTGCAGATAGAATCCTTTACCGTATTGAGTTTCAGGCTCCTCTTCCATAAAGCAAGGAGGAAGGGATTCAATAACTCTTAATAAGTTGTTTGTGAATCTCCAGGGATATCAAATCCCTAATATTCAAAGTACATTCATTTCCTTTTTCCACCTCCATCCTCTTTGCCCAGGACTACATGAGAGAATATAACCACTATGCCACTCGGCCAACCTGGATTAAATGGGGGAAATAGCCAAGAGGTGCTTTTCTAGGAATAAAGAGGTAAAGCCATGAAAGAAAGAAGTAAAACAGGAGGACTGAAGAAGGTGAACAAATATAGAATAGGCTCTATACTTTCAGGAAGGAGAGCAGCGGGTAGGGATGAGAGGACAAAGCTAAGTCAATGTCTAACATGGGAAAGGGGACATAGGAAGGGCCTTAGAGAGCGGTACCAACAAGGAGTGTGTCCAAGATGAAGGCACCTGTATGAGCAGGGGAGGAAGAGTGAGATTAAAGTCAGAATATAAAATCAATTCTCTTCCTTCATTTCATGGATCCAGCTGCTTTGCCTCAGCTTTGCTTCCATATATCATTCAGGTGAAGATGAAAGCAGTAAACTTTAAGAGCCTGAAATTCATACTGAAATTTCCTGACTATATTATGGTGATACCAGGCATGGAGATCACTGCGCTTGGGGCTCTGATCTCTCAGGTCACTCCCTTCTCTGGGAATCTGCACTTTAAATACACAGCAGTCTCCCAAGAACTTACAAGGCGGTCTTGTCCCTATTCTCCCATCTGCAGTTACAGTTCCCTTTCTCCCCTGGACTTCTATGCACATTCATCTTCTCCCTCAAACACACAGGGAGCAGAAACTGAAGTTGCATGGTAAGAGTGGGCTCTTGCTTTGGACTCTGACTATACAGTGGCTGCTCCAGTAGTCAGAGGCTACTGTTAGGATGGGAAGTCAATTCAAATCAGATTAGGAGAAGGGAGTGGGCAGAAACTAGGGCTCCCTTGGAAGTCCCAGCTTCTCCATGTTCAGTGCAGTGGAGACCGGATTGCCCACAGGTGCAATTTGTCTGAATGTCATCAATATCCAAAAGCTGGCAAAGATTTGATGGTATCATCACTGATGATGCTGGATTTTCCCAGGATGTTGTAGAATGACTGACTTAATGGCCCCAATTAATAGCCTCCCTGATTCACACCTTCGGGAATGCCCTGCCACTCTGACTCTCAGTTTGGTTATGTGATGTGCTTTGAACAATGAGACAATAGCCAAACCTAATGCAAGCAGAAATTTGTGGAGATGCTTGCACATTATTTTTTTCTTTCACCCTTGCTTGCCTATAATTGCTAGGAAAACATGCCTGAGCCAGCCTGCTGGAGGGAAAGAGTGAGAATCACATGGAGAGAGGCCCCAGCCATCCTCGCCAACCTTGCTGAGGTAATTCTAGATCAGCCACTGCAGCCAATCAAGCCCAGCAGTGAGGGAGCCTCCATGGAACCTAAGACACACCCAGCCAACCACAGCCAAAATAGCTGTCCTATGTCTTTCGTCCTTTGTCTTCCCATATTGGATTTTCACACTCACAATCTATAGATTATTGTTTTAAGCCACTGAGTCTTGGTGTGGTTCATTTAAGAACACTATTATGGCACGAGATTGTCAATACAGGGATATTTAATTTCTTTCATTTGATATGTGGGAAATGAAGCATATTCTTTAATTAGGCAAAGTCTGCAATAAGATGCTCTTGCACACAGCTTTCAAAATGCTGCTCTCTGTCCCCCTCCCTCATACCTTTTTGGAGTCAGACTCTCTGAATCCCTTCTGTATTTGTTCTGTCCTTTCACAAAACTAAAAGAAAAAGCCACACTTGTAGGCAGTCATTGAGAAGGGGACTGTGCCCCTTGCTTTCCTGTTGTTTTGTCTCAATGTCCTCAGGTGGCCACTTCTAAGTTGAGATTGTCAGTTGAATTATGCCAACCTCTGGAGCCAGCCAAAGTGAGCCAGTTAGCTCTCAACATTAAACAAATAATAATAATGATAACCTCCCCAAACAGATGGCCTTTCCTGTCAGCATGAAGACTTCCAGCCTCAGCTGGAAACAAGGAGTATCAAAAAAAAAAAAAAAAAAAAGAAAAAAAAAAAAAACCTAACCCCAAAACATTTCTACAGAAAGGTTAAGCTACATTCATATGACCCAAGTCTGATTTTAGACTCTTTTATTGGTCTATTTATCAAGCCTTTTTACATGGTAAGTCACTGGCATCTCATAAGCCCAGCCTCATCTCATAAATCACTATTCCCTAAAGTAGAGAGGTTGGCTACAGTGGACTACCTGGCTCTCTGGAAAATGACAACCTCTGGGTCCTATGTCCTTCAAAAGAGACTTCAAAGATATATTGAGATGCATTTCCCCTAGGTATTTGCTGAACATACTCTGGGTTTCCTGGGCTTGGAGAACCAAGGACATTTGGCATTAAAATCTGTCTTCTGACTCTCTGCATGAGACTTCCTGGCCACTCAGCTACTTGTACCACTCAGCTCCATCCACCTCAGCCATCTGTCTTTCAAGCTGTGGGTAGATTTGACCAAGCAGACAGGCCTGCCCTATTCTTTAGCCATAAATTCCCTGTCAAGGGAAATCATGAGTGAGACAAAGACCTGAGTCAGTAGGGAGTGGTTGTCTGAACACTTTACAAAGATAAATACAGCTATCTCATTGTTCTTCATCCTTCAGTCAGGGACTCGGTCACCATAAAACTCATTAAAGCTGGACACAAGGTCAGGATGGGCTGGCAGCCAGGCAGGTAGGTGCTGAGCTGCTGAGTGCCTCCCAAATATCCCTCATCAAGAGCAGAACTGATCCCAAGTTAGTGAGAAGGCCCGATTTGCAGGGAAGAGAAATCAGAAACAGGAAAGCAGGGAGGCAAAGGTGGTCATTACACAGAAAAAAATTCAAAGGAGTGTGTTGGTCAAAAGTACCAAATGATGTAGAAATGGAGGAAGATTACCAGGTGAGCAAAGGAGGCTCTCCACAAGGGGACGGCTTCTGGGGTTTGGTTCATTCTTCTGGCATTGGCCTCTGAAGTTTGGGATGCATCCAGCTTCAACAGAAGTTAGGGAGGTTCCACATCACTGTTTTGGCTGAGCTGTCATTGGTAATTTCCCAGATAATGGAACGCATGTTAATTGCTTAAGTGGAATGACAAAGCATTCAAGTTTGCTCTCTCCCAAGGAGCCCTTGCTTTTTAACAGGACCTTTGTGGAGACCATGACCCTAACCCTAAAGAACTCATGTAAAGGATGAGTCACATGCCTTAGAAGGCTGGCATATGGATTCATGCTTTGCCCCCACTTACATTAATTGTGTGACCCTAGGAAAGGCAGAATTCTTCTCTTGGGCCAACTTCTTCATGGGCAACTTGGTTCTTATCCTTTCCTAATTCAAATCTAATTATTGTTGTATAGGGGATTTTGCAAAAACCAGATGAATGCTAGTTTCTCTCCATCAGACAGAGTTCCCTCTGGACTCCAAGCAATCCTACAAAGTCTTCTTGCTCCTGAGTTTAAAGGGCTCTGACTTCAGAGTGGCTCCAGCACCAGCAACCAGAAAAGAAGACTGGAGCCGGAGGAGCATACATAATAAATAAACTCAGCTGCCCGCCAAGCAAATAAAGAGATTGTATTTTCTTTTGTTTGGCAAGCATCAATAACACAAAATGCTAAGTGGGGGCTCCAAGTGAAATCTGCCTCCTTCATTTATGTGAATTTATAACTGTCTATATCAGCAAAAACAATTTTACTGAATAAAACTATTTATCTGCTAACTTGTTAATGACATGATACACACGGGCCTTTAACCATTTACCCTTAAAGGCAAGCTTAGTCAAAAAGCAGCTATTTATCCAGGAGAAACATTGGCAATGATTCTTACTATGGTGATTTGGTTTGATAAAACTCTATTGTCTGGGGGCGGCTAGCAGGCAAGAAGCCATTCTGTAAAGCTACAAAACTAATCTTTACTAGATTTGTCACAAACAAAGGATGGAACATTTATGCAAAGAGTCAAGATCCATCCTGGGCTATATGCCACTGTTCCCCCTCCCAACCTACTGAGGAAATTCAATACAATCAAACTAGTCAGCAAACAGACCAGAGACTGAAATTGATTACATCTAAGATGTGTTTATTATGCTTCTTGTGACTTAGCAGCCAGGGCCTCCTAGGGAAAGGGAAGGGGGGAAAAATGCTAAACAAAAAAAAACTATTTGGTATTCCAAGTGGATATGCTGATTTCTGCTTCTTGGCTTCTGTGGAGTGCAACAAATTATGATGGACCAACTATTTTATACCCAGGGTCTGGACTGAGCAGTAAAGGAGGTTGTGGGCTCTCTCTGGACTCAGAGATAAACCCAAATAGATATGCCTGAGACTTGGCTGGGTGTGAAGGATCTCTGAGTCCTACAACTTAGGGTGAAGCTGACAAATTGTAAACTCTTTTTATTTCTCTAATTAAGACCCAAGCAACAGATCTGTATCTCTGTTGATGGGTTCAGCCATAGAAAATACACATGTACAAGCACACACTCTCACACACACACACATACACACGCAGATACATAGACACACTCACTTGGAAATTTTCCATTGAACTTAACTAGTGGTTTCAATAAGTACACTTTAAAAATTGATTAGGAAGTCCAATACAAAAAATGTTCAACTAGTTGTTGAGTAGACACGAACTATCGTTGTGAAGGTATTTGTCTGCACTGGGCCTAGGAAACCTCCCCAGAGAGAAAAGCTCTCTCTCTCTCTACAAGCTGGTGATTCTTGGGTACCAACCGTATTTGCTGTCTGGATTTGCCCACCTTTATTCATTTCCAGTACCTTCTCACCTTCTCATGTTGCCTTGTTTCTACACACACACACACCTCATCCTCTCGACTTTTTTAATTTTTAATTTTTGTGGGTACATAGTAGGTATATATATAAGTATATATATATGTGTATATAAATGTGTATATATGTGTGTATATAAATGTGTATATATGTGTGTGTATATATATGTGTGTATACGTGTGTGTGTGTGTGTGTGTGTGTGTGTGTGTGTGTATGGGGTATATGAGATGATTTGATACAGGCATGCAAAGTGAAATAAGCACACCATAGAGAATGAGGTATCCATTCATCCCCTCAGGCATTTATTCTTTGAGTTACAAACAATCCAATTTTACTCTTTAAGTTATTTTAAAATGTACAATTAAGTTATCATTGACTATAGTCACTCTGCTGTGCTACCAAATAGTTTCTCCTCTTTTCTGAACATGTGGTTTACTTGCTGCTTCCTAACTGGAGAAAATCTTAATAGTAGTTCTTGCCCATTCTTACCGCATTTCAAAACCCTCACATCCCATAACCCAACCACATCTAGTCTAAGATGGCTTTTTAAATGTTCATGAAAACATTGAAAATACTTTTCTCTAAGTGGTGCAATCTTAGGTGATTATTTTTACTTTTTTCTTTGTACTTTATTACATAGTGTACTCTTTAACATTACAGTAGCATGCAACATTTTTACAATAAGAATGAATTTTCATTTTAAAAGAGAAAAAACAAAGGCAGTATGCACACAATAGTGTATAATGATTGTAATTTTTGTTAAAAAAAGCTATCTGTTCAACAATAAAAGTCTGGAGGAGGAATACACTTGAAAAAAATCTGTGTTCACTGGGGCTCTATGTTTGTTGTTCCTTTCTGATTATAAAGTAACTAGTCAATAGAAAATAAGACCTTCAAAAAATGTTTTTAGAATCTGACTGAGCCTGGGAGCCTCAAGCAAGAATTGAGAGAAAGGGTCCTGTCCACTATGCGCACGGACTCAGCATCGCCAATGCAGAGGAAACGGACTTTCCTCTTTGCTGAAGCATTGCTATCAAAGTCTTCTATGAGCATGGAACACAATTCATGTCAAGATAATGGCAATGGCTATTAAATTGAGTAAACAGACTTTCTGTACTTCCATAAATGCGAACACGATGTTGCTCTCCCTAGTCATCAGGGCATCATTCAAGCCTGGATTATCTTTCATCTTTGGCATCCTACAAATTGATGTTAATCCTCAATTTGGGATAAAGATGCCCTAGATAGAATCTGCATTGAAGACTTCAGAAGTGCCAAGCTTTTGAAAAGCAGTCTTTCTTGGACCCTATTTTTCTAATTTTTCTCTAAAGCACCAAAAAGCAAGCACATACCCAAGGATTAGCTGTACCTAAATCTCCATCATAGTGAGAAGAGGAATCTTGAAATGGCCAGCTCTTAAAAATATATTAAAAATTGCATCTCAAAAATGCTTTTATTCAGGGTAGCATTCCTTTTTAACACATCCAAAAGGGAAGGAGAGACAAAGAGTGAAAGAAAAGGAAAGCAAGAAAGAGAAAGTGAAGGAAAGGAAGGGTTTAGAAAGAAAATGTACTCAGGATTCTGTTAAATTACAACTGTCACTCCTTCATTGAGTTTGCTAAAGCTACCTCATCGTTTATAGACCCTCCCTTTTTCGTAAATAGTTGCAATGTATAAATTAATGCAAGAGAGAGACATAAAATTAAATATGTAATCTAGGGTGAGAATTGGGTACTGGGATTCTGTTATTAGTTATAAAAGAGATCCCTAAATATAATGGAAGACACTAGAAGACTGAATGAGGGCAGCAGAGAACAAACCTAATCCCCATGTACCGTTTGCTCAGAACAAGAACACCTGCATGCTCACATTTGTAGCCTCAATATGCTGAACATTATATCGAGGAACAAAAATGGTACAAGTATGTTATAGATTGAGGAAGGAATGTTAAATATTGGCACATTGGGGGTGCTACTGTAATTGCATGATTCTGCACCTTACAGGAGACTACGTTTCAGATTAAAATTGGGAAGTTACTCTTTCAGGACAAAGATGTTGGAATTCTGGATGCATTTATTCCAACTCTGCAGCAAGCACTGAAGATGGTCAACTCTCCTCAAAGCACTCGTGTGCTCTCCAGCAGAGCAGAGAGGCAGTTCCCAGTTCCTGTAAACAGAGCAAGAAAGGCCATTCCCGGGGTGACAAGTGGACCGTTTTTATCAAACATACTATAGGGAACAAAAACCTCTTTAGCAATAGTACTAAAAAATGTCATATTCAAACTTTGGGCACATGTATAAGTTAATGGCAAAGAACAATAATAACAACAGTTTCCTTCCCCCAAATTGAGCGAGCGCTCTTATTCCTGTATCACTAAGGTTGATGAATGACACCATAATCCAGTAGACTGGGAATAATCTTGATACTCACTACAATCAGAACACAAAACAGTTCCATCACGTCAACAAAACACATTCTTGTCATCCCTTTGTAGCCACGCCCTGCCTACCAACCCCACTCCTAGTATTTAGCCTAGAGATATGAATAGTTATGTGCACAAAAAAACCAACACACAAATATTCTATAATAGCCAAAACCTAGAAACAATCTAGATGACTTTCAGTAGGTAAATAGGTAAACATTTTGTGTACAACATACAAGGAATTACTACTCAGCAGTAAAATGGATGCAACAACTTGAATGAATCTCAAAGTCATTAAGTGAATGAAAGAAGCCAGTGTCAATGATTACATGTTCAATAATTCCATTTATACAGTATTCTCCAAAAGAGAAAATTATAGGAATGGAGAACCCATCAACTGCCTATGTCTACAGGAAATCCTACTGATATTTTTATATGGCGAGTCTTCTGATCCATGAACACAACATCTCTCCATGTATTTAAGCCTTGTGTATTTTCTTTATCAGCATTTTGTAATTTTCAAGTTACAAATTTAATATATGTTTTTCTGAAGCTATTGTAAATATTTTTTATTTGGTTTCCAATGATTCATTGTCAGTATATAGAAATATGATTGACTTTTGTATATTGACACTGTATCCTGTGACATTGTTAAACTCACATCTTAGTTCTAGGAGGTTTTCTTGTTTGGTTTTGAGGAGTTTTTTTATATTGACAATCTTGTCATCTACCAATAGTAAAAATTTTATTTCTTCCTGTCCAATCTGTATGACTTTTATTTCTTCTTATTATCACATTGGCTAGTACTTCTAGTGTGCTGCCAGAGGAATGATGAGAATGGACATGCTTGCCTTCTTTCCAAATTTAGAGGGAAACCATTTGCTTTTTTTGCCATTAAGTATGATGTTAGCTGTAGGTTAGGTTTTGTAGCTACTCTTCATCAGATTGAGGAAGCTCCCTTTTATTCCTAGAGTGCTGGCAGGTTTTGTTTTTAATCATGAATGAATATTGAAATTTGTCAAATTCTTTTCTACATTAGTTGATAGGATCATATGGCTCATTGGCTCTTCTTGTTCGGTCTGTTGATATAATGAATTACATCAATTTATCTTCAAATACTGAACCAGGTTTATCTTCCCATGGTGATGATATTGTTTTTATATATCACAGGACTCAGACTGCTAAAATTTGTCAAGGATTTTTGCATTTATGTTTATGAGGGATGTTAGAATACACTCTTCTTATTCTGTTTTTGTCTTAGTATCAGGGTGATAGTGGCTTCAGGAAATAAGTTGAGAAATGTTTTCTCTTCATTTTCTGGAAAAGACTGTATAATTTATATCATTTTATCTTTACATATTGAGTAGAATTTACAAGTAAAACCCCATGAACCTAGGTATTTCTTTTTTGGGAAGTTTTAAGCTTTTAATTCACATTTATTAATACTTATAGGACTATGCAGGCTTTATAGCTCATCTTAAGTTTTTGTAGCTTGTGGTTTTCAAGAAATCAGCCCACTTGATTTAACTTGTCGAATGTGTGTGTGTAGAGTTATTTGTGGTGCTCCCTTATTATCCTTTCAATGTCTACAAGATCTCTAATGATCCCTCCTTTTCAATTCCCAATATTGGCCATTTGTGTCTTCTTTAAGTCTTGCAACAGGCTTGTCAATTTTATTAATCTTTCAAAGATAGAGGTTTTAGTTGCAGTGGTTTTTCCTATTGTTTTTCTGTTTTCAGCTGTATTGATTTCTGCTCTGTATCAGTTCCTTTTTTTTTCTTGCTTGCTTTGGGTTTGTTTTGCTGTATTTATTTATCTTATTTTATTTTATTTTGTTTTCTTGAGAAAAGATCTCACTCTGTCACCCAGGCTGTAGAGCAGTGGTGCAATCTCAGCTCACTGCAGCCTCTGCCTCCTGGGTTCAAGTGATTCTCCTGCCTCATCCTCCTGAGTAGCTGGGATTACTGGCGCCTACCACCATGCCTGATAATTTTTTTTTTTTCAGTAGATGTGGGATTTTACCATGTTGGCCAGGCTGGTCTTGAATTCCTGGCCTCAAGTGATCCACCTGCCTTGGTCTCCCAAAGTGCTGGGATTACAGGCATGAGCCACTGCACCCAGCCTCTTGTTTCTTAAAATGCAACTTTACAGTATTTCTTGGATATCTTTTTTCTTTTATAATATAAGGATTTTCATGCTATAAGTTTCCCTCTAGGTACGGTTCTAGCTGCATCCTGTAGCTTTTGATATGTTGTGCTGCCATTTTGGTACTGTATCTTGGACATTTTTAATATTATCTTATGAGTGACTGGATCTTTTCAAAATTCTATCGAGAATTTTGATATTTTTGTTTTAACTAGGCAATTCACCCAGTTAGGTTCAAGCTGCAACTTATAATTAGCCTCCTATGAATTCTGCTTTCAATGTAGTCTTTTCAGTGCTATTAACATCTATTCCACATGTATACCATTGAGCAGACAGTCCAGGACGTAGGTGGTAGTCTATCCATTAAAATGTCTATGATATGCTGTTTAAGATCAGATCCATCCACTTTGGGTGAGTTCATAACTTCCATAAACAACTTTTATTGCATTTTCCAAGTTTCTCCCTCCCAGAAATCTCCTGGTACTTTTTAGTTCCCTGGCGCTCTCTTTTTCAGTTCTCTAGCAAGAATTACGGGGCTTTATTTACCCCAATCTGCTATGTACTTTCTGACATTGCAAGACCAAGTGGCAAAATATACAAAGAGAAAAAAGAGTGTTTTAAAGGTGGTTTGCTCCACCTTTTTTAGACAATAGCTCCTCTGATTAGAATCCAGCAGCACATCAAAAAGCTTATCCACCATGATCAAGTGGGCTTCATCCCTGGGATGCAAGGCTGGTTCAATATATGCAAACCAATAAATGTAATCCAGCATATAAACAGAACCGAAGACAAAAACCACATGATTATCTCAATAGACACAGAAAAGGCCTTTGACAAAATTCAACAACCCCTCATGCTAAAAACTCTCAATAATTTAGGTATTGATGGGACGTATCTCAAAATAATAATAGCTATCTATGACAAATCCACAGCCAATATCATACTAAATGGGCAAAAACTGGAAGCATTCCCTGTGAAAACTGGCACAAGACAGGGATGCCCTCTCTCACCACTCCTATTCAACATAGTGTTGGAAGTTCTGGCCAGGGCAATTAGGCAGGAGAAGGAAATAAAGGGTATTCAATTAGGAAAAGAGGAAGTCAAATTGTCCCTGTTTGCAGACGACATGATTGTATATCTAGAAAACCCCATCGTCTCAGCCCAAAATCTCCTTAAGCTGATAAGCAACTTCAGCAAAGTCTCAGGATACAAAATCAATGTACAAAAATCACAAGCATTCCTATACACCAACAACAGACAAACAGAGAGCCAAATCATGAGTGAACTCCCATTCACAATTGCTTCAAAGAGAATAAAATACCTAGGAATCCAACTTACAAGGGATGTGAAGGACCTCTTCAAGGAGAACTACAAACCACTGCTCAAGGAAATAAAAGAGGACACAAACAAATGGAAGAACAGTCCATGCTCATGGATAAGAAGAATCAATATCGTGAAAATGGCCATCCTGCCCAAGGTAATTTATAGATTCAATGCCATCCCCATCAAGCTACCAATGACTTTCTTCGCAGAATTGGAAAAAACTACTTTAAAGTTCATATGGAACCAAAAAAGAGCCCGCATTGCCAAGTCAATCCTAAGCCAAAAGAACAAAGCCGGAGGCATCATGCTACCTGACTTCAAACTATACTACAAGGCTACAGTAACCAAAACAGCATGGTACTGGTACCAAAACAGAGATATAGATCAATGGAACAGAACAGAGCCCTCAGAAACACCACTGCGTATCTACAACAATCTGATCTTTGACAAACCTGAGGAAAACAAGCAATGGGGAAAGGATTCCCTATTTAATAAATGGTGCTGGGAAAACTGGCTAGCCATATGTAGAAAGCTGAAACTGGATCCCTTCCTTACACCTTATACAAAAATCAATTCAAGATGGATTAAAGACTTAAATGTTAGACCTAAAACCATAAAAACCATAGAAGAAAACGTAGGCATTACCACTCAGGACATAGGCATGGGCAAGGACTTCATGTCTAAAACACCAAAAGCAATGGCAACAAAAGCCAAAATTGACAAATGGGATCTCATTAAACTAAAGGGCTTCTGCACAGCAAAAGAAACTACCATCAGAGTGAACAGGCAACCTACAAAATGGGAGAAAATTTTCGCAACTTACTCATCTGACAAAGGGCTAATATCCAGAATCTACAATGAACTCAAACAAATTTACAAGAAAAAAACAAACAACCCCATCAAAAAGTGGGCAAAGGATATGAACAGACACTTCTCAAAAGAAGACATTTATGCAGCCAAAAGACACATGAAAAAATGCTCATCATCAATGGCCATCAGAGAAATGCAAATCAAAACCACAATGAGATACCATCTCACACCAGTTAGAATGGCAATCATTAAAAAGTCAGGAAACAACAGGTGCTGGAGAGGATGTGGAGAAATAGGAACACTTTTACACTGTTGGTGGGACTGTAAACTAGTTCAACCATTGTGGAAGTCAGTGTGGCGATTCCTCAGGGATCTAGAACTAGAAATACCATTTGACCCAGCCATCCCATTACTGGGTATATACCCAAAGGACTATAAATCATGCTGCTATAAAGACACATGCACACGTATGTTTATTGCGGCACTATTCACAATAGCGAAGACTTGGAACCAAGCCAAATGTCCAACAATGATAGACTGGATTAAGAAAATGTGGCACATATACACCATGGAATACTATGCAGCCATAAAAAATGATGGGTTCATGTCCTTTGTAGGGACATGGATGAAATTGGAAATCATCATTCTCAGTAAACTATCGCAAGGACAAAAAACCAAACACCGCATGTTCTCACTCATAGATGGGAACTGAACAATGAGATCACATGGACACAGGAAGGGGAACATCACACTCTGGGGACTGTTGTGGGGTGGGGGGAGGGGGGAGGGATAGCATTAGGAGATATACCTAATGCTAAATGACGAGTTAATGGGTGCAGCTCACCAGCATGCCACCTGTATACATATGTAACTAACCGGCACATTGTGCACATGTACCCTAAAACTTAAAAGTATAATTAAAAAATTTAAAAAAAAAGAAAGGAAGGTTACTCTCCTTAAGGGTTTTATGCATTTGTGGGACTCTGCTGACAACACTGTTGTTCCTTCACTGTGACTGTATTGTCCGTAGGTTCAAGAATAAGAGAATAGAGAGGAAAAAAAGGGTGGGGGGGAAATGAGGCATTTTCCCCACTTCCGAGTGTTGATACACCCCGTTCTTCTTCCTCCACCTAGAGATAGAGAACTCTTTCTGTTTTACCATGTCCACTTCCCAGTCTCAGGGTAGCTTGTGTACAGGCTGAGATTACTGGAGGGAAAATAAATGATACACTCATTGCCAGCTCAGTGATACCTCAAATTCTTGTCTTCTTTCCCAACTGACCTATCACTGTTAATTTTTCAGGAATCCCCAAATAGCTCTTCCATGAATTTAGTTTAGATTTTATAGTTGTATTCAACAGTAGTGAAAAGGAGGAGGGTATTTCACCTTACCTGGAACTGTAACCTGATTTTGATCTTTTAAAAACTTATGTCAGAATCTCAAAGTGCTATGGATATAGAATAGAGGTCTGTGATACAAGCTATTCTGTATCTTGTTCGCCTCTTTATTCAGAGTTTCCAGTACATGTCTGACATACAGTAGTCACTCAGTACAAGTTTGATAAATAAAATGAATGGATGAATGAAATAACGAGTGGATCAATATCATATTATAACCTAGATGAGATTAATAAGTACTGTGGTTCATACGGAGAGGGACTCCTGAATGCAGATAATGAACCATTACTGATATGCCAAAAAGCAATGCCTGTTCTATTTTTTAAAACCACAAAGTGAAAAGAAACTAAAATTTTTATCAAAACTCTTTTTCATGATAGTTTTAGTTGCTGCATCTGTAGTTCTTGAAAATCGAATGAAAATAATAGTTACAAATATCTGACTTCTTTACCATTCAGTTATGTGAACTCCCAGACCCCATGAAAGTCCTTCCAATTACTCCTGGGTATTTCCACAGTGGTGAATTCCTGCCTTGTAATGTCTACTATTTTCTCTTCTCTCCTAAGGTCATGTCTTCTGTTTCTTCCAATATCCTGATGCTAACATATGAGCACAAGTTGGACCAGCTTACTCTTTAATGACATTGTCCATTCCTCACTTTTACGTGCCCAGAAGTCCTCTACTGGTGTGAGTTTCCAAAGGAAAATAAGTAGTTGGTGCATTTTTTGAGCTAGACAGGAGATCCATTTACCAACACCTCTATCTGCCTCAGAGGAAATAGCACTTGTGACTAAGGAGGCTCCAGCAAACTCCTGGAAATTTCTTTTATTGCAGTCAATTGTGTTGGCTTCCTTGTCATTCTTTGACAGAAAAATAATTAGAAATGGTGTTATCCCCAAAGGACTTGCTCAAATATTTCCAGCTAATTAGGTAATACATTCTCTGCACCATGATTTAAAGACAAAGGGAAGGAAGTTCCTTTCAGGAAGAAGTAAAGGGAAATGGTGAAGACATGACTACATCCTGAAATGGCATAAGCTAAACGCAAGTGCTAAAGGACATTACAGAATTGATGAAAACGAAAAGCATCTGAAATTACTGCACTCCTTTGATTGTACTTCTACAAACCATTTGTGAGAGAATGACCTGCATCTAACTGAAAGAGTATGCATTGTCATGCTTTTTGTGTATTTTTATTTACGCTTTCAGTATTATACAACTGAATTGCCCAGAATTCTGCATTTCTTTCTGGGATGTGGTTTTGATGGCTGTGGGCTAGCGGTCTTTTTTTTTTTTTTTTTTTTTTTTTTTTTTTTTTTAGGTAATTTTATACTTAATTTTATTTTTTAAAATTTTTTTATTTTTTTATTTTATTTTATTTTATTATTATACTTTGGTTTTAGGGTACTTGTGCACATTGTACAGGTTAGTTACATATGTATACATGTGCCATGCTGGTGCGCTGCACCCACTAACTCGTCATCTAGCATTAGGTATATCTCCCAATGCTATCCCTCCACCCTCCCCCCAACCCACAACAGTCCCCAGAGTGTGATGTTCCCCTTCCTGTGTCCATGTGTTCTCATTGTTCAATTACCACCTATGAGTGAGAATATGCGGTGTTTGGTTTTTTGTTCTTGCGATAGTTTACTGAGAATGATGATTTCCAGTTTCATCCATGTCCCTACAAAGGACATGAACTCATCATTTTTTATGACTGCATAGTATTCCATGGTGTATATGTGCCACATTTTCTTAATCCAGTCTATAATTGTTGGACATTTGGCTTGGTTCCAAGTCTTTGCTACTGTGAATAATGCCGCAATAAACATACGTGTGCATGTGTCTTTATAGCAGCATGACTTATAGTCCTTTGGGTATATATCCAGTAATGGGATGGCTGGGTCAAATGGTATTTCCAGTTCTAGATCCCTGAGGAATCGCCACACTGACTTCCACAATGGTTGAACTAGTTTACAGTCCCACCAACAGTGTAAAAGTGTTCCTATTTCTCCACATCCTCTCCAGCACCTGTTGTTTCCTGACTTTTTAATGATTGCCATTCCAACTGGTGTGAGATGGTATCTCACTGTGGTTTTGATTTGCATTTCTCTGATGGCCAGTGATGATGAGCTACTTTAAAGTTCATATGGAACCAAAAAAGAGCCCGCATCGCCAAGTCAATCCTAAGCCAAAAGAACAAAGCTGGAGGCATCACACTACCTGACTTCAAACTATACTACAAGGCTACAGTAACCAAAACAGCATGGTACTGGTACCAAAACAGAGATATAGATCAATGGAACAGAACAGAGCCCTCAGAAATAACGTCGCATATCTACAACTATCTGATCTTTGACAAACCTGAGAAAAACAAGCAATGGGGAAAGGATTCCCTATTTAATAAATGGTGCTGGGAAAACTGGCTAGCCATATGTAGAAAGCTGAAACTGGATCCCTTCCTTACACCTTATACAAAAATCAATTCAAGATGGATTAAAGACTTAAACGTTAGACCTAAAACCATAAAAACCCTAGAAGAAAACCTAGGCATTACCATTCAGGACATAGGCATGGGCAAGGACTTCATGTCTAAAACACCAAAAGCAATGGCAACAAAAGCCAAAATTGACAAATGGGATCTAATTAAACTAAAGAGCTTCTGCACAGCAAAAGAAACTACCATCAGAGTGAACAGGCAACCTACACAATGGGAGAAAATTTTCGCAACCTACTCATCTGACAAAGGGCTAATATCCAGAATCTACAATGAACTCAAACAAATTTACAAGAAAAAAACAAACAACCCCATCAAAAAGTGGGCGAAGGCTATGAACAGACACTTCTCAAAAGAAGACATTTATGCAGCCAAAAAACACATGAAAAAATGGGCTAGCGGTCTTAAGAAGAAAAAGTTTTAAACCTGAGCTGGGATACACAGTAAACAAGTATGCAGGGGTCTGACTGGCTCATAACAACCTCTCCTTTTCTGAAAACTGCTTCAATATACAGGGAGAAACCCAATGGCCATGTCAGCATTGGGGTGGCCCCCTGATTAACATAGTGAATAAAAGCATAAGGTCTGTAATCAGACTTTGAGTTCAAAAGCTGGCTCTTCCCCATATTGGCCATGACCTTGGCCAGTGGCTTACCTGCTTTATGTCTCACTATTTACCATGTAAAATGGGGATTATAATACTACCTACTCTGGAGTTACTCTTGGGATCAAATGAGATACATACAAAGCACTCTAAGCAGTCCCTTGCCCATGGTGGACATTCCCTATAAGTGTTTATACATCCCGCCATGGGAGACTGATCCAAGGGAAGATATCTCACCAAAAGCAGCCCACTCAAAGTCTTTCTACTCAAAATTGTAACCAGAAACAGAGATCAGTGTCTTGGAGCTATATCACTTTCATGGAAACTTGAGAGATAAGGTCCCTGAACTTCTGCTCCTGAGGGACTGTAGTTCCTATTCTTCCCAGCCTCACCTCTTCACTCCTTCTGAGAAATGACTCAGTCTGCATCCAATAAAAATATGAGTAGCTGAAAACATGTATGATGTCTCGAAAATGGCAGTCACTGCTGTCCTAGCTGGTAACCTGAGAAAAGATGATAGAACAGGGGCAGAAAGTAAGATGAACTCTGAGACAGAAAGACTGGAAAACCTTTGGGAGACTTCTAGTACTGTGTATCATGGTATCTTTCTGCCATGCCTCAAGGCTTTTGCATATGTTCTTCTTTGTTCTGCTCACCTAACTGCCTCACGCCTACACATCCTTCACATCAGCCTGGGTATTATTTCCCAGAAGAAGCCTTCTCTATACCACTGTGCTATATCAGTTCCTTTCCCTCAACCACCATGCTAAGTCAGCTGGACTCTCCTTCCATGCACTTATCACAGCTTATAATTATATATTTGCAAGATACTTAATATGTGTCTGTTCCACTAGCCCGCCCTTGAGAACAGAAACCATCTGACTTGTTCATTGCTGTATTCCCAGCACTGAGTAAGTGCCTGATATAGTTTGGCTGTGTCCCCACCCAAATCTCATCTTGAATTCCCCTGTGTTGTGGGAGAGACCCAGTGGGAGGTAACTGAATCATGAGGGCAAGTCTTTCCCATGCTGTTCTCATGATAATGAATAAGTCTCATGAGATCTGATGGTTTTAAAGAGAGGAGTTCCCCAACACAAGTTCTCTCTCTTTGCCTGCTGCCATCCAGGTAAGATGTGACTTGCTTCTCCTTGCCTTCCACCATGATTGTGAGGCCTCCCAAGCCACATGGTACTGTGAGTTCTCCATTTAACCTCTTTTTCTGTATAAATTACCCAGTCTCAGGTATGTCTTTATCAGCAGCATGAAAACAGACTAATACAGTGCCTGAAACAAACTGAGGCTCAAAAGAGATTTGTTGAATAAATGAGTGAACAAATAAATGTCTAGCACAAAATCTTCCCACAACTATTCTGGTTCCCCAGAAGAATGTGTTGTTCCCTCATCCACCTTCCAAGTGCGCTTGGCAGATACTGATTGTTTTCACCAGATTGTCCCCTAGTTCAGAGTTTCCAAACTGGACTGTGAGCCCCTCTCATGGCAGAGTTTATAAACGAACATCTCATTTTACCTCTACTGCCACTATGCCTGGCACCTGGCAGTTACCTGATTCAGATTTATTAAAATGAAAGAAATTGAATTACCTGCCCCCCGAAGGCTAGAATAATCAATGGGGTCAATCTATGATGTGTTCCATAGAAAAAATAAACAAGTTGGTTATTTTTCTGATTTGTCTATTCAATTTAGTCAATGTGATCCATTTGCTGTGCTCTTATAGTGGACTTACATCAGTTTTGGGACACTTCAAAGAACCTTCAAGTCTACCAGTTCCTTCAGTACCAACCAAAGCCCTGTGAGATGGTCGGCAGGTATGTGTCTATTCCACACAGGAGAACAGAGGATCAAGGAGTTAAATTTGCCTGAAATTAACACATAGGAAAGAGTGAACTATGGAGTCTTCCAGATCTCCAGACACCTTCTGAGTTGGAGGCTCTTACTCCAAAGTCAGGGATCTCCAGTACCCTGCTTGTTGATTTTTGTTAGGAAGGAGTATGTCCTAATTTTTTTGAAGATTCAAGATTACTGAGTGTGTGTAAGGGGTACAGGAAAAGATGACAGAGATATTCCTCAAAGGAGGCAAAAGGGTGAGCGGAGTTCAGAATAAGGAATTTAAAGAGGCGGCCTCTGAGGATGGGGTATGTGCAACTGAGAAGAGCAGAAAAGGGTGTATCTCCATTCCTCGATACAAATCCTGCCAGCCTCAGGAAGGGGAACCTGGAGACCCGGATAGGGGTGAAGAACTTCGGCCACAGCCTGTGACCCAAAGATCATCTACATAGTTAAAACATTGAGATTGCACTCAATCAGCATTTTTCCAATCTATTTCACCACGGACATGTTTTATATTATACTGCATTGTTGATGGGATACCAATGGGCCTCATGAGATATAATGCATGCTTAGATTAAAGTAGACATCTAAAAATGATCTTGCAAACGAATCGCTGCAAGGAATTATGGAAATTACCTTTGATTTATGTACAAATTTAAAATTGTATGATTAAACAAAAAATGACAAATTGGAGAAATCAACTGCTTTATATTTTATTAAAGACACAAACAACAGCATCTCACAAATACATGCTAAAATTATAAATCATATAAATGAAATAATATACAAGTATAAACACATAAAAATTCACATAAATATATATGAATACATATAAATATATAAGCATACATAAATGCTTGTTGAAATTATAAATGAAGACATGACAAAGACCACTGATCACCAAATAGATGACACATATCACTTCAGTGGTTCTTGAATTTGGCCTAAGCATCATGAGCTGATGGAACCACGGCCTCTCCTGTTTCAAGGGATCACACTCAACTTCCTTGCTTTGCTTTACTATTTCTTCATAGCAGACATGGGACATTATCATAGGAGAAGGGTAACAGGTTTATACTTTTTTAAAAGAATCTTTTTCTTAGAAATTCACTTTAAAACTTTTTATAAGGGGTGACCTTTCAAAATATAATTAAAATGCATATTATATATGTGTATATACGTATGCATACATACATGTGTATACATTATGTATGTATTTACACACACACACATAAATAGCTCTTATGTTTCTGGAACCCATTCTGGAATGCAGCCTAGATTAGACCCTCTGCAGATCATTGCCACCTACAACATATTCTAATTCCCATCTTTGCAGTGACTACTGATGCACTTGGTGACTGACTGCTCATCTCACTCGCTTGACCTGTCATCATGGAGAATGGGCACAGCACGAAGCTCCAAGCTGGGGGTGTCCTGAAGTACAAGGGCCTGATAAAGAACTACACAGGGGTAGCCCTTATATCAGACAAGAAGCAGATGGCCTATGCCAAAGGGTTCTGTTGAACTGAATTTTATGAAGGGAGTATTTCCTGAGGTAAGAGCAGGGTTAGGAGAACAAGCAAGAGAAGCTGAGGCTCTCAGAGACTAAGAACCATAGGATCTTTGAAGGGGAGGGAACCGAGCTTCCAGAGCCCCGTAAAAGTTAGAGCCATGGGAGGGAGGCCTAATAAGAGCTGTTGTCAAAGGAACAGTGATTATCAAAACCCCAAACCACAGCAAGGTGCAGCAGAAATAGGAAGAAATACCGCAGCCTTTCTAGGATTGCTAGAAAAATACAAAACACACAGTTAAATTTAAATTTTAGATAAACAACAAATAATTCTGTAGTATAAGTATGTCCCAAATACTTCATGGGATATACTTACATTATAAAATGTTTCATGGTTCTTCTAAAATTTAAATTTTCCTGGAATCCTGTATTTTTATTTGCTAAATCTGGCAGCCCTAAACCTCTCTCCTCTCACCCTCCAATCTCTGCCAGTGCCTTCCATTGTCCAAACCCAGCTGGAAGCCAGAAGTAAGGCAATCTGTGTGGTGCAGGCACTGGAGGTCAGCCTTGCCTGGGGCACAAGGCAAGGCAGAGAATTCTGGAAGATAAGACGTGGGGGTGGGGGTAGTCAACAGAGAATAGCCAAAAATAATCAATGTCTAGCGTCTGCCATTTTAACCTCAGTCTTTGTGGTAGAGTGGTATTTTCTCTGGACAGAACAAGCAATGTTTTGTCCTGGCTTTGTGTACTTGTGTGCTATTCTTTAGTCTAGATCAGTGGTTTTAAATCTCCTATTCCAAACAAAATATTCCATAGAATCCCCACACACAAAGCAGGTAAAAAGGTAGCTGCTGCAGTAGAAGAGGTGCTAGACCTGAAGCCCTATCTGGCTCCCCTCCTGTCCACCCTACCTGCCCACATACAAACACAGTTGCAGTGGGGCCTGCAGAGCCCTGGGGAGCCTTGGGCCTGACCAAAGCTGATCTGAGAGCCCCCACTATAAGCTGCACTAAGTATACAATATACAGCGTGCTATCTTTTGTGAAGAAAAGAAATAAGAAAAAACATATCTCATGTTTGCAAAAGGAACTATATAAAAAATATATCAGAAACTATTAAAAGCTGTTATCTCTAGCATAGAAGTGGGAATGGATTGGGGAAGATGGAAACAGGAGCAGGAATTCTCCAAGCAGAACTTCCTTGCTTTTGCTTTTGAAACAAGTGAGATAAAAAGTGATGGGGAAAAAAAGCAAACTCTGAAATTGAAGACAAACAGAAAAAAATGAAACTGTATTAAATCAATGGCATAAGCACACAAAAAGTTAATTCAAGTAACTTCTGGATACAATTGTCTGATTATAGTTAGAGGGAGAAATTCTAAGATAAAAAGAATGGCAAAGGTGGGAGCCTTTGGTGATGGAATACTTTTTAGAATCTTGATTCTGGTGTTAGTTATAGAAATCTAACCTGTGGCAAAATCACATAAAACTTCTCACATCCACATCCCACCCCCCCACAAACACATATCCATACATCCCCCCATCCCACATGAGTGTAGGTAAAACTAGGAAAATCTGAATAAATTCCACGGATTATATGAATGTTAATTTTCTGGTCTTGATACTGTATTGTAAGTTAAGCAAGATATAATCAGTGGGATAAATATGGTGAAGTGTACACAGGATCTCTCGGTATATTTCTTCAACTTCCTGTGAATCTATAATTATTTTAAAATAAAACCTTATTTAAAAAACTGCAGGCCGGGTACAATGGCTCACACCTGTAATCCCAGCACTTTGGGAGCCCGAAGCTGGCATATCACGAGGTCAAGAGATCAAGACCATCATGGCCAACATGGTGAAACCCCGTCTCTACTAAAAATACAAAAATTAGCTGGGCGTGGTGGCACATGCCTGTAATCCCAGCTACTTGGGAGGCTGAGGCAGGAGAATCGCTTGAACCCAGGAACAGAAAAATCACTGCTTTTCAACCCCAATTATAATAGTTGGCCCAGGTAAGGATTATCAGTATCTGTTAAATTCCTGGGTAAAATATCGGTGGGGATGAGTACATTCACCCAGTTACAAAGTGCTACCCCATAGATTTCTTACTAATTACAAAGGGGAAATGAACAGCAGTAAGATCTGGCAGCCAACATCTTAATTAAAGGATCAAACTGAGCATCACCAGTAGAAAGGGGCTTGGCTGAGGGCAGTAGTGTGCTACAATTAAAGTCTGAACATGTTAGTGCCTCAAAGGAACGAGAAGTTAAGTTCATCAAGAGTGAGGACAGGAAAGGCTTTTTGGGGGAGCTGAGTTTGAAATGTTGATCGGAAAGGAGTCTGATGGCTAGGGGAGGTGGTTCAAGCAAAGAGCACAGCAGAAGCAAAGGCCCAGTGGCTTGAAACAGCCTTCTGGACTGAGAGAACCTTAATCAGTTGAGAATGACTGGGACAAACAGTATAGAGAGAGGGTTAATTAAAGGTGAACCTGGAGAGTTCGGCAAGGCCCAATCATTACAAGTTTCCATTACCAGGCTAAACAGCTTAGACCATATCAGGTGACGGAGACACCCTGAAGGGTCTCTAAGGTGGGTGGCCATAATTATATAGGAAGAAAGTGACAAACAAGAGAGCTGTATAGGAGGTAGAATCTACCAGACGCATAACCAATCAGAGATATGGATAATGAAAGAAGCTAATAGGATGAATCTGAGAATATTTTCACATTCTCGGCAGGAGGGCTAGTCCTGCAGATGGGCAGGGTTCAGCTAGAGAGCTGGATGAAAAGCACCTAAGGTCACGGTCAGCAGGACATGGTGTGTAAATGATTAGTGATGCCTGCTTTGGTTTAGACCAGGGAGAAGAAAAGAGTATCAGGGTGGATGGTGGTTCTGATAACTGAGATTAAAAGCACAAGAACAGGTGTTGGGTAGGAAGGACAAGTGTGTTATTTCAACTATGCTGAATTAGAAAGATTGCCATTTATTTCAGAATTCCTAGTATCTCGTGTGAATTCGGTACACCTTGTGGATGAGTCTTTTGGAGTTCTAATGATAACTTAAAGGCTACTTAATATATAGATTATTTACTCAGTAGACTTCAGGGGCTTCTTCAACACATGCACTAAGGAGCATCTCCTGGATTTAGAGCATGGAGCTTTAATCAGAGCAATCCCATTAGGTTTAACAAGATTTATTTAAACCTGGGAATCCTGCGGATGCTGGAATGAAGAAAACTCTCAGCCTGATTTTGTACTTAATAATAATTAATAATGAGAATGCTCTTCCCCATGGTAGCTAAGCATAGGCACAAATGTCTGCTGCAAAGTCAAATTCCTTGCCTTGGATCTAAGTCCCATGCCAAGGACAGCACCCTAATTCATCAGTGCCTGAGAGGCTGTCTAGCTTAAGAACCACACTGGGTGACTTATAATTAAAACAATTGCAATGCTTTTTTAAAATTTAATTCCGGATCTAATTTCTCATTTGCCTCACGAGGGTACAGTATGCACAGCAGCCTATCTGTGGGGAAATTAAAAGCAGGAGGACATGCACCACACAGTGCTTATATTAAAGTAATCATTCATATTTTTCTGACAACACTCTTTAATAAGTGTCAAATCTTTATTACTTTCTTTGGCATTTGCATCCACATTAATCACGTTGAATTCAGAAGGTATTTATTTCTGGAGGTTGTAAAAATCAACCCAGAGGCTTCCCCAGGCTAATCAATTAGTCCAAGTCCACTCCTAGGGTTCTGATTTGTGGAAGCTTTGCTGGTTCAGAAAGCGACAAGAAAGAAAACTCTTAACATTGTGATGGCCACAGGGAATAAGAGAGGAGATACAGTTCCATCCTGAGACACACATTACAGAGTTTTCCCACTGTCTTGGCCACTGGAATCAGAGTCCTCCAGGGGCAAACTTTCTGAGACAAGAAGCTCACACACCACCACTTCTCCATGGCCACAGAATGGCACTAGATAGGTGGGCTAGTAGCTCTCTGAGCCTTTTTATTACAGAGTAGGGGAAGTCTAATAACGAGAGCTTGCTGGTTCTTCCAGGGTGGACTTTATAAATTATGGAAAGAATACATCTAGTAAAGCAAAAAACTGGAAGCACAAAAACTGCCTGGAGCGACAGATAGCATAGGCCTGGGAATGAGGAAACATGAGTTCTAGTCTCAGCTCTTTCAGTAATGACTGTGAAATTTCAGTCTCTTGGCCTCAGTTTCCAGACCTTTAAGATGGGCTTGCCTAGATGGTGTTTCAGGCTTTGCCAATTCTCGAGCTGATGAGTGACATCTTCAAATATCTTCAACCCCAGGATGAGACTCACAGCAGGGAATTTGGAGGATATGGTGGCCTTGATGTTAAGCTTGACCCAAAGAAGAAGTGACACTTGGGCTGAACTTCATCAATGTCATCCCCATCTTTAGCACTGAACCTGCAATTCTGACACTATGGAAGCAGCAGGGGCTGAGATATCTGTGATTTCTTTGAGGTTTCACTTATTAAGGAAGAAAGACAAACAGCAGGGAAACTAAGTATAGCAGGGCTGGGTCACTCTGCATCTTAACTCACCAACCTGGAGCATCCAGGATCTGGTGTAGAAATGTTACTCACTCCTAGTGCAAAAGATAGAGACCAAATTAACTGGTATATTCCTATTGTACCTACATTTATCTTCAAAATCTCAGAGCAGAAAGAACTTGATAGATCTGATCTTTGCAAAACAGTCAGGTTGGCAGATTTTGTCTTTCCTTCCTCTGGCTTCCCCTTTCCACATCATCTTCTCCATGGGAGTTCCCCCAGGTCTCTCTCCCAGGTGCCTCAGTGTTCTCTCCTTCTTGTTCTCCTGCATCCTCTGTCCATAGGCCATCCTCTCAAGCAACATCCCTTGCCAGTCATTTTTATCTTAGCGTGAATTTGCACAACCACTTCCTTCCTTGAATAGGGACAAGAGACAATCTAGGCTTTGGGGAAACAAGTTCGTAGGTAGAGACTTCTAGTTGTCACCCCAAATTCATTATTTACTAAGAAATAATGAACCCATATCAATAGAACCCCAATTATCAGCTGAGGACATATAAACTGTGTGAGACACAAAAAGGAAATATTTATATTTAACATATATTTTATATTTTTCTATAAAAGGACATGTAATTTCTTAAAATGTCCCGCATAATTATAATTGCTAGCATCTAATCCATCCACTTGATAATTTTTTGAGCCTGGGTAATACTATGGGTATTTGGGGGATATGGCTGGGGATAAAAGTGTGTCTGTAGTTAAGTTTTCACTAGAAAAATCCACTCGTGGACTGGTTTTAATTTGGCCTTTGTTTGCAACTCCTCTCTTCAGGGGATTATCCCCAATTTTCCTCTGAGTCCCCTTGCCTTAATACTTTCAGTGACTGTGTTTTGGGTGGAACTGACTCTACTTCTAGCTCTAGAGATAAGATGTGTGATTTTGTTTTGTTTTGTTTTTCGAGGCAGGGTTTTGCTCTGTTGCCCATGCTGGGATACAGCAGAACTGTCTCAACTTACTACAGCTTTGATCTCCTGGGCTCAAGCCATCCTCCCACCTCAGTCTCCTGAGTAGCTGGACCTACAGGTTTGTGCCACTACACCCAGCTAATTTTTTTGTTTTGTTTTGTTTTTTGTTTTTCTGTCCATGGTTTTTTGTTTTTATTGGTTTTTTTGTTTGTTTTTTGTTTTTTTTTTTGTTTTTGTTTTTGTTTTCATAGAGACAGGGTCTCACTGTGTTGCCCAGGCTGATCTCAAACTCTTGGACTCAAGCGATCCTCCACCTCAGCCTACCAAACTACTGGGATTATAGGCATGAGCCACTGCCAGGCCAGAAAATAAGCCATAAAAATCAGACAATGTTTTCCCTGGCCAAATGATTGATTTAAGAAATGGTGTGAGGCCAGGCGCCGTGGCTCACCCATGTAATCCCAGCACTTTGAGAGGCCAAGAAGGGTGGATCACTTGATGTCAGGAGTTCGAGACTGGCCTGACCAATATGGTGAAACCCCGTCTCTACTAAAAATACAAAAATTAGCTGGGTGTGGTGGGGTGCGCCTGTAATCTTAGCTACTCAGAAGGCTGAGGCAGGAGAATCCCTTGAACCCAGGAGGTAGAGGTTGGAGTGAGCCGAAATCATGCCACTGCACTCCAGCCTGGGCAGGAGAGTGAGACTCTGCCTAAAAAAAAAGAAAAGAAAAAAAGAAATGGCATGTAACCCAATATAGCTGATAAGATTCAAACCACTTTGCTGGGGGGTGCATGGAAGGATTCTAGCTACTTTCTGCTGGGCTTAAGCCTAAAGAGATAGGAGGCTGGAGCTGCTGCCTCTATCTTTGGCACCATGAGGAGAAAATCTGTCTGGGAATATATTTAATGAGAAGAAGTAAGGCCAAGAGTTGTAGAAAGATATCAGCTCCTGGAGATGCAGTGTGAACCCTTGCGTTGCGTGCCTGAAGCTCCCATCTAAGATCTACAGGATCCAATAAGATCCTTCTTTATTTTTTTCATTTAAGCCAGTTTTGGTTCAATTTTCTCTCACTTAGAAAATCTTAACTAAGAAAATAACTAATTTATCTTATTAAGTTTTCCTTCTTTTTTAAAACAATTTTATCTAGGGATAATTACAAACAATAAGCTGCACATACATAAAGTATAAAATTTGATAAGGTTTAACATATATATACATCTAGGAATCCATCCCCACAATTAATATAATGAACATATCCATCACCATCAAACGTTTACTCCCACGTATTCATAATCCTTTCCTTCCTTCCCTTCACACCTACCACGTCCCCTGGCACCACTGCTGATCTGCTTTCTGTCACAGTTTGCTTTTTCTGGAATTTTCTATGAATGTAATCATACAGTATAAACTCCTTTTTGTCTGGCTTATCTTACTTAGCACAATAATTTTGAGCTCCATTCATACAGTTTAATGTACCAATAGTTAATGCATTTTTATTTCTGAGTAGTATTACAATGTGTATATATAACACAGTATTTTATCTGTTCACCTGTTGGTGGACATTTTGACGGTTTCTAATTTGGTCTATTACAAATAAAGATGCTATGAACATTCTTGTACAAGTCTTCATATGGACATATATTATTATTACTCTTGAAAAATACCTAGAAGCAGAATGGCCCAATTCTATGGTGCAAGATTAATCTTTTTAAAAAATTGCTAAAGTATTTGCCAAAATAGTTGTACCATCTTAATTCCCATCAGCTGTCTATGAGAGTTTCAGTTGCTCCACATACAAACACTTGAGATGGTCAATCTTTTTGATTTTGGACAATCTAATACATATGTAGCCATATCACAATATAGTTTTAGTTTGCATTTTTCTTAATGACTAACTTTATTTTCTTTTTATATGCCTATTTTCCATCTTTTCCATCTCCTAAGGTAAAGTGTCTACTCAAATCTTTTGCCTTTTTTAAAAAAAATTGTTTTCTTCTTATTAAGATGTAAGAATTCTTTATACATTCTGGATATAAGTTCTTTATAAATTTGGAATTTATAAATATCTTCACTATGTCAACAATGACTTTCAAAGAACATAATTTCCTAATTTTGATAAAGTCCAAATTATGTTTTTCTTTTAACAATCACTCTTTTGGTGGTTTATCTAGGACACCTTTGTCTAACTCGAGATCACCAAAAATTCCTCCTATATTTTCTTCTAGAAGGGTTACAGTTTACTTTAGATCTTACATTAAGATCTGTGATCAATTTTGAGTTTACTATTAAAGACTCTTACGCTTTGTCCTGGGAAGCAGTTATGTTTCTCGGAAGCAGTTTAATCTCTTGAGTACTGGCTTTAAGCTTTGTTAGTTGGAATCAGAGCAACATGTAATCTAATTTTGCCCACTACTGAGGCAAAACCTTTCTGAATACTCTTCCAGGACTTCGTAAGTTCCAAGGTTTCCTCTCTGGGTGATGACGGGAATAGAAACTATTTCTGGCTCTGTATGAGCTCTGAGCCTTGTTTTTTCCCGCTAATGTCTTTAAATCATTCCTTTCCTGACCTCAAGTAGTTTCCTCACAATCATACATTGATCAATAATCAGCTGAAGACTCAAGGGTGACTCTTTGCAAATTCTCTAGAGTTCTCTATGTAGGGCTCTCTTCTCTCCTTGACTCTGCCCTAAAAACTCTGTCTTCTTTGGCCTCCCCGGGTTCCCAGCTCTGTTTCCTCACCTCATGGAGACGGCTGGACTCCACCTGGATGCCCACCTTGTGCTGTGGCCTAGAAACTCTCCAGTCAATCAGGTGGGCAGTCACAGAACCCACCTTGTTTCTTTCTATGTTTCTGAGATGGGTGGCTCATTGCCTGGCATCCAGAATCTTCAAAACCAGTGTTTCATGTATTTCATTTGTGTGTGTGTGTGTTTAGCTGTTTTTTAAGGGAAGTTAAATGCAGCCTCTGCTATTACACATTAGTTGGAAGTAGAAGTCTCCCACAGTATAATGTGGGAGACATATTCTAAAAGACAGCAGCATTTCCTATTTTAAGTAGGTCAACCATTTGAAAATCTACCCTATGTATGGGCAATAACTTTCGAAAATAATTTATTTACATTTCTATTTTCTTCATAGAAGTTGATCTCTAGAAATCATTGCTGTAACCACAGGATGGAAAATACAGTCAACCATAGGGTTTTGTTCATAGATTCATTTACCAAATATTTGTTAAACAGCTACAGGTATTGGGGGAAATTACTACTCCAGGTATTGAAGGCAAGGGGTCAGTGGAATATATTAGTAAACAAAGAGACAAGATTCTTGACATTAGAAAAGTACCTTTTACACATAACTGCTAAAGATAAGTGTTTTACATATATTAACTCTAATCCTCATAACAACCCCGCTGCATAAGCAGTAACAATTAGCAAACTCCATTTAAAGATGAGGTAACTAAGGTAAAGAGAGTTTGAGTAACTTATCCAGGGTAGTACAAGTAATAAGAGTCAGGGATGGGATTCAGTCTAGGCAGTTTAGCTCCAGGATCTCTTCCCTGGGCCATTATGTGACCTTTTATTTACACGTGTCAACAAAACAACACATTGTAACATGGCAGGGATTCGACTGCTTTACAAGGGCAGATAAAGCAGAGTAAGGAGACAGTGATAGAATGTGCTGCCTTACAGAGTGACCCATGCAAAGCATTTCCTAAGAGGTGGTGTTTGAGGCAGAGAGCTGAATAAAGCAAGAGAGAGAGATGTGCAGCCACCTGGGGAAGAGCATTTCAGGCAGAGGGCACAGCAAGTGCAAAGGTCCTGAGACAGAAATGCTGGATGTGCTCAAGGAGCAGCAAGAAGCCAGTGTGGCTAGAGCACCAAGAGAAGGAAAAAGTGGGTGGCTGAGAGAAGAAATTAATATGATTTATATAAAATGCCTCCCACAATGCCTGGCACTTAGTGGATGGAAGCTAGATAAAGGGTGGACATTATTAGTATCATCATTGCAATTAGCACGAGTGCTTTGAGAGAAAAATGACTGGAGAGAAAGGAGGCACCCTCCATGACTTGGGTTAATCAGAGAAGACTTCTTGGAATGGGGACTTAGGCTGAGCTTCCAAAAATAAGACCTTTCCCCTATTTCCAAGCAACACCATGAAGCCTCTTTCCCCACATTCCTGGGAATGAGGATGGGTGAGTCTTCTGACTTGAAGAGATGACCCAAAGCCGTATACTAAGAGGTCAGTAGATTCACAAAAGAGAAATTAAAAATCATTTATTTTTCCTTCTGAGTTTTCTTTGGCTTCTTGTCTGAGCCTCTCCCTGCTGGCCCTTTGATCTCAGAATCCCTTCATTCCCTGGTCCATTTTTTAAAGATTTTGAAAGGAAGTCTCCAATGAAGATTGTTATTAGGGCTTTAAGCCAGATGGAGTGAATTAAATCAGAGTCAAAGAAAACCTGAGTGGCCTTTTCCACTGATAAGTTTCTATTTGCACTATTTTATCATAGTAGGAATGGCTCTTCTGAATGTCCAAATGGCACTGAATAAGCAGAGAAAGAGAGAAGTAACTCTGATGAAGAACTGTTCCTTGCCCTTAAATGTCAGAGACTTCAATTGCTCATCACACGGAGACCAGGGGGTCATCAGGCTGAAAGAACAGGATGGAGACCATAAGCAGAATTTTTTTAAAATGCCACGTGGGTTTCTAGAAAAAAATGCCTAGTCAGCTTTCTCAGGTAACACTAACTCATAATTACCTTGCCGCCTCTTGTTTGTGATATGAGATGGCTGATTCTCCTGGGCTTACCTTTAGCTCCAAGCTGTTAAAAGAAAGGAAGGGAAGGAAGAGAGCTCTGAGCAAGTAGCCCAGAGCCACAGTCAGAGTGTGGGCTCTGGTGGCAGCCTGCACCTGTATCAAAATCTCCTTGGGGGTTTGAAAAAACGTAAACCCTGGCTCCCTCCCAAGCCTCCTTAGATATTCTGAGGGTAGCACCTCAAGGTCAAATTCACCAGGTGATTCTTAAACAAGGCAGTTGCAGATGAGCCCTCTGAGAATATGCCTGTGCCAGGATCCTTTCTTGAGGCAGCTTCTGGAAAGGTCATCAGGGTGGTGGTGAACTAGGGGTTCTCTACCCTCTCTTGGCACAGAATCACCTGAGAGCTTAAAAGATACAGCTGCCTGGGCTTTTAGGCCTGAGATTCTGCAGCAATCTTCTGTGGTAAGTCCAGCCTTGTCTTGTCTTTTTTTTTTTTTTTTTCTTAAGGTTCCAAAGGTAAATCCAATATGCAGGCAAGGTTGACAACTAGCAGGTCACAGAGCAGGGGCAACAATGCCAGAGGCCATAGGGCTAGGCAGGCAATGGGAATGCGTGAAACAGGCTGTCTGGGACAGGTGAAATAGAAACCCCAGTTCCATTCCAAGACGGTGGCCACTACTCAGCTAGCCAACTCCTGGTTATGTGGAAACAAAACCCATTTGTGCCAACCCTTCTGATTTTTCAAGAAAAGTCAAAAATCAAAATTTTAATATGAAACCTGATTTTTGAAAGCCTATAAATGGCCGGGCACCATGGCTCACGTCTGTAATCCCAGCACTTTGGGAGGCTGGGGCGGGCAGATCACTTGAGGTCAGGAGTTCAAGACCAGCCTGGCCAACATGGTGAAACCTTGTCTCTACCAAAAACACAAAAATTAGCTGGATGTGGTCGTGCAGGCCTGTAATCCCAGCTACTCTGGGGGCTGAAGCGGGAGAACTGCTTGAACCTGGGAGGCGGAGGTTGCAATGAGCTGAGATCGTGCCACTGCACTCTAACCTAGGTGACAGCGCAAGACTTCGTCTCAACAACAACAAGAAAAAGTCTATAAATCACACAAAATATACACATTACTGTGTGCACAGAAGAGAACACACCCGTGGGTGGCTGTGGCTCAGAGACTGCCCATCTGTGACTTTTGCTTGTGAACTTTCTCAGCCTGTGGACACACTAGGTGGCCCCTCTGTGGTGACCTCTCCTTGGGGGCCAGTTCTATAAGTGCTCTTGGTTTGTGTGTAGTCCCATCTGCCTCCCTAGAATTTCTCTTCTTTGATGTGGTTTGCCAGATCTCCTGACTTGTTTGAAGCCAAAGAAGTTGTCTCATAATTAATATTTAAGAAGGAGTATTTTGTATTTTTACTTTCTGTAGAATCCTTTTATCTTAGACAAGAGATATGTGTAAGAATATGATTTTCATAAATGACATCTGAGTGTTTTTTGTTCTATCAAACTCTATGGGCACTCAAGCTTAGAGTGCTCATACAGATTGTTATCAAAACCAGAAGACTCTAGAAAATGAATGTAACTCAAGAGTTAATGGGTGTAAACTGGTTCGTATAGTCAGCTCACTCTGGCTTCACTTGTACAAATTTGGTTCTGGTTAGGAACCCCTACTTATTTGTTTTCTAATTTTTTTATTTCCACAGGTTTTGGGGAACAGGTGGCATTTAGTTACATGAGTAAGTTCGTTCTTTAGTTGTGATTTGTGGAATTTTGATGCACCTATATTCTGAGCAGTATACACTGAACCCAATTTGTTGTTTTCTATCCCGCACCCACCCCCCTACTCACCTTTTCCCCCAAGTCCCCTAAGCCCCTTGTGCCTTCGCATCCTCATAGCTTAGCTCCCACTTATGAGTGAGAACATACAATGTTTGGTTTTCCATTCCTGAGTTACTTCACTTAGAATAAGTCTCCAATTCAATCCGGTTGCTAGGAATGCTATTGATTCATTCCTTTTTATGGCTGAGTAGTATTCCAACATATATGTGTGTGTGTAGGAGGGAGGAGCCAAGATGGACGAATAGGAACAGCTCCGGTCTACAGCTCCCAGCGTGAGCGACGCAGAAGACGGTGATTTCTGCATTTCCATCTGAGGTACCGGGTTCATCTCACTAGGGAGTGCCAGACAGTGGGCGCAGGTCAGTGGGTGTGTGCACCGTGTGCGAGCCGAAGCAGGGCAAGGCATTGCCTCACTCGGGAAGCGCAAGGGGTCAGGGAGTTCCCTTTCTGAGTCAAAGAAAGGGGTGATGGACGCACCTGGAAAATCGGGTCACTCCCACCTGAATACTGCGCTTTTCTGACGGGCTTAAAAAACGGCGCACCACGAGATTATATCCCGCACCTGGCTTGGAGGGTCCTACGCCCACGGAGTCTCACTGATTGCTAGCACAGCAGTCTGAGATCAAACTGCTAGGCGGCAGCGAGGCTGGGGGAGGGGCGCCCGCCATTGCCCAGGCTTGCTTAGGTAAACAAAGCAGCCAGGAAGCTCGAACAGGGTGGAGCCCACCACAGCTCAAGGAGGCCTGCCTGCCTCTGTAGGCTCCACCTCTGGGGGCAGGGCACAGACAAACAAAAAGACAGCAGTAACCTCTGCAGACTTAAATGTCCCTGTCTGACAGCTTGGAAGAGAGCAGTGGTTCTCCCAGAACATAGCTGGAGATCTGAGAACGGGCAGACTGCCTCCTCAAGTGGGTCCCTGACCCCTGACCCCCGAGCAGCCTAACTGGGAGGCACCCCCCAGCAGGGGCACACTGACACCTCACACGGCAGGGTATTCCAACAGACCTGCAGCTGAGGGTCCTGTCTGTTAGAAGGAAAACTAACAAACAGAAAGGACATCCATACCAAAAACCCATCTGTACATCACCATCATCAAAGACCAAAAGTAGATAAAACCACAAAGATGGGGAAAAAACAGAACAGAAAAACTGGAAACTCTAAAAAGCAGAGCGCCTCTCCTCCTCCAAAGGAACGCAGTTCCTCACCAGCAATGGAACAAAGCTGGACGGAGAATGACTTTGACGAGCTGAGAGAAGAAGGCTTCAGACGATCAAATTACTCTGAGCTACGGGAGGACATTCAAACCAAAGGCAAAGAAGTTGAAAACTTTGAAAAAAATTTAGAAGAATGTATAACTAGAATAACCAATACAGAGAAGTGCTTAAAGGAGCTGATGGAGCTGAAAACCAAGGCTCGAGAACTACGTGAAGAATGCAGAAGCCTCAGGAGCTGATGCGATCAACTGGAAGAAAGGGTATCAGCGATGGAAGATGAAATGAATGAAATGAAGCGAGAAGGGAAGTTTAGAGAAAAAAGAATAAAAAGAAATGAGCAAAGCCTCCAAGAAATATGGGACTATGTGAAAAGACCAAATCTACGTCTGATTGGTGTACCTGAAAGTGATGGGGAGAATGGAACCAAGTTGGAAAACACTCTGCAGGATATTATCCAGGAGAACTTCCCCAATCTAGCAAGGCAGGCCAATGTTCAGATTCAGGAAATACAGAGAACGCCACAAAGATACTCCTCGAGAAGAGCAACTCCAAGACACATAATTGTCAGATTTACCAAAGTTGAAATGAAGGAAAAAATGTTAAGGGCAGCCAGAGAGAAAGGTCAGGTTACCCTCAAAGGGAAGCCCATCAGACTAACAGCAGATCTCTCGGCAGAAACCCTACAAGCCAGAAGAGAGTGGGGGCCAATATTCAACATTCTTAAAGAAAAGCATTTTCAACCCAGAATTTCATATCCAGCCAAACTAAGCTTCATAAGTGAAGGAGAAATAAAATACTTTACAGACAAGCAAATGCTGAGAGATTTTGTTACCACTAGGCCTGCCCTAAAAGAGCTCCTGAAGGAAGTGCTAAACATGGAAAGGAACAACCGGTACCAGCCGCTGCAAAATCATGCCAAAATGTAAAGACCATCAAGACTAGGAAGAAACTGCATCAACTAACGAGCAAAATAACCAGCTAATATCATAATAACAGGATCAAATTCACACATAACAATATTAACTTTAAATGTAAATGGACTAAATGCTCCAATTAAAAGACACAGACTGGCAAATTGGATAAAGAGTCAAGACCCATCAGTGTGCTGTATTCAGGAAACCCATCTCACGTGCAGAGACACACATAGGCTCAAAATAAAAGGATGGAGGAAGATCTACCAAGCAAATGGAAAACAAAAAAAGGCAGGGGTTGCAATCCTAGTCTCTGATAAAACAGACTTTAAACCAACAAAGATCAAAAGAGACAAAGAAGGCCATTACATAATAGTAAAGGGATCAATTCAACAAGAAGAGCTAACTATCCTAAATATATATGCACCCAATACAGGAGTACCAAGATTCATAAAGCAAGTCCTGAGTGACCTACAAAGAGACTTAGACTCCCACACATTAATAATGGGAGACTTTAACACCCCACTGTCAACATTAGACAGATCAACGAGACAGAAAGTCAACAAGGATACCCAGAAATTGAACTCAGGTCTGCACCAAGCAGACCTAATAGACATCTACAGAACTCTCCACCCAAAATCAACAGAATATACATTTTTTTCAGCACCACACCACACCTATTCCAAAATTGACCACATACTGGGAAGTAAAGCTCTCCTCAGCAAATGTAAAAGAACAGAAATTATAACAATCTCTCAGACCACAGTGCAATCAAACTAGAAC
This sequence comes from Homo sapiens, assembly GCF_000001405.40. Classification (NCBI taxonomy): domain Eukaryota; kingdom Metazoa; phylum Chordata; class Mammalia; order Primates; family Hominidae; genus Homo; species Homo sapiens. The sequence goes on from NC_000010.11 coordinate 111,816,498, forward strand.
TCAGGATTAAGAATCTCACTCAAAATCGCTCAACTACATGGAAACTGAACAACCTGCTCCTGAATGACTACTGGGTACATAACGAAATGAAGGCAGAAATAAAGATGTTCTTTGAAACCAACGAGAACAAAGACACAACAGAACAGAATCTCTGGGACACATTCAAAGCAGTGTGTAGAGGGAAATTTATAGCACTAAATGCCCACACGAGAAAGCAGGAAAGATCCAAAATTGACACACTAACATCACAATTAAAAGAACTAGAAAAGCAAGAGCAAACACATTCAAAAGCTAGCAGAAGGCAAGAAATAACTAAAATCAGAGCAGAACTGAAGGAAATAGAGACACAAAAAACCCTTCAAAAAATTAATGAATCCAGGAGCTGGTTTTTTGAAAGAATCAACAAAATTGATAGTCCGCTAGCAAGACTAATACAGAAAAAAAGAGAGAAGAATCAAATAGACGCAATAAAAAATGATAAAGGGGATATCACCACCGATCCTACAGAAATACAAACTACCATCAGAGAATACTACAAAAACCTCTACGCAAATAAACTAGAAAATCTAGAAGAAATGGATAAATTCCTCGACACATACACTCTCCCAAGACTAAACCAGGAAGAAGCTGAATCTCTGAATAGACCAATAACAGGATCTGAAATTGTGGCAATAATCAATAGCTTACCAACCAAAAAGAGTCCAGGACCAGATGGATTCACAGCCGAATTCTACCAGAGGTACAAGGAGGAACTGGCACCATTCCTTCTGAAACTATTCCAATCAATAGAAAAAGAGGGAATCTTCCCTAACTCATTTTATGAGGCCAGCATCATTCTGATACCAAAGCCTGGCAGAGACACAACCAAAAAAGAGAATTTTAGACCAATATCCTTGATGAACATTGATGCAAAAATCCTCAATAAAATACTGGCAAAACGAATCCAGCAGCACATCAAAAAGCTTATCCACCATGATCAAGTGGGCTTCATCCCTGGGATGCAAGGCTGGTGCAATATACACAAATCAATAAATGTAATCCAGCATATAAACAGAGCCAAAGACAAAAACCACATGATTATCTCAATAGATGCAGAAAAAGCCTTTGACAAAATTCAACAACCCTTCATGCTAAAAACTCTCAATAAATTAGGTATTGATGGGACTTATTTCAAAATAATAAGAGCTATCTATGACAAACCCACAGCCAATATCATACTGAATGGGCAAAAACTGGAAGCATTCCCTTTGAAAACTGGCACAAGACAGGGATGCCCTCTCTCACCACTCCTATTCAACATAGTGTTGGAAGTTCTGGCCAGGGCAATTAGGCAGGAGAAGGAAATAAAAGGTATTCAATTAGGAAAAGAGGAAGTCAAATTGTCCCTGTTTGCAGACGACATGATTGTATATCTAGAAAACCCCATCGTCTCAGCCCAAAATCTCCTTAAGCTGATAAGCAACTTCAGCAAAGTCTCAGGATACAAAATCAATGTACAAAAATCACAAGCATTCCTAAACACCAACAACAGACAAACAGAGAGCCAAATCATGAGTGAACTCCCATTCACAATTGCTTCAAAGAGAATAAAATACCTAGGAATCCAACTTACAAGGGATGTGAAGGACCTCTTCAAGGAGAACTACAAACCACTGCTCAAGGAAATAAAAGAGGATACAAACAAATGGAAGAACATTCCATGCTCATGGGTAGGAAGAATCAATATCGTGAAAATGGCCATACTGCCCAAGGTAATTTACAGATTCAATGCCATCCCCAGCAAGCTACCAATGACTTTCTTCACAGAATTGGAAAAAACTACTTTAAAGTTCATATGGAACCAAAAAAGAGCCCACATTGCCAAGTCAATCCTAAGCCAAAAAAACAAAGCTGGAGACATCACACTACCTGACTTCAAACTATACTACAAGGCTACAGTAACCAAAACAGCATGGTACTGGTACCAAAACAGAGATATAGATCAATGGAACAGAACAGAGCCCTCAGAAATAACGTCGCGTATCTACAACTATCTGATCTTTGAGAAACCTGAGAAAAACAAGCAATGGGGAAAGGATTCCCTATTTAATAAATGGTGCTGGGAAAACTGGCTAGCCATATGTAGAAAGCTGAAACTGGATCCTTTCCTTACACCTTATACAAAAATCAATTCAAGATGGATTAAAGACTTAAACGTTAGACCTAAAACCATAAAAACCCTAGAAGAAAACCTAGGCATTACCATTCAGGACATAGGCATGGGCAAGGACTTCATGTCTAAAACACAAAAAGCAATGGCAACAAAAGCCAAAATGACAAATGGGATCTAATTCAACTAAAGAGCTTCTGCACAGCAAAAGAAACTACCATCAGAGTGAACAGGCAACCTACACAATGGGAGAAAATTTTTGCAACCTACTCATCTGACAAAGGGCTAATATCCAGAATCTACAATGAACTCAAACAAATTTACAAGAAAAAAACAAACAACCCCATCAAAAAGTGGGCAAAGGACATGAACAGACACTTCTCAAAAGAAGACATTTATGCAGCCAAAAAACACATGAAAAAATGCTCATCATCACTGGCCATCAGAGAAATGCAAATCAAAACCACAATGAGATACCATCTCACACCAGTTAGAATGGCAATCATTATAAAGTCAGGAAACAACAGGTGCTGGAGAGGATGTGGAGAAATAGGAACACTTTTACACTGTTGGTAGGACTGTAAACTAGTTCAAACATTGTGGAAGTCAGTGTGGTGATTCCTCAGGGATCTAGAACTGGATATACCATTTGACCCAGCCATCCCATTACTGGGTATATACCCAAAGGACTATAAATCATGCTGCTATAAAGACACATGCACACGTATGTTTATTGCGGCATTATTCACAATAGCAAAGACTTGGAACCAACCCAAATGTCCAACAATGATAGACTGGATTAAGAAAATGTGGCACATATACACCATGGAATACTATGCAGCCATAAAAAATGATGAGTTCATGTCCTTTGTAGGGACATGGATGAAATTGGAAATCATCATTCTCAGTAAACTATCGCAAGAACAAGAAACCAAACACCGCATATTCTCACTCATAGGTGGGGATTGAACAATGAGATCACATGGACACAGGGAGGGGAATATCACACTCTGGGGACTGTTGTGGGTTGGGGGGAGGGGGGGAGGGATAGCATTGGGAGATATACCTAATGCTAGATGACGAGTTAGTGGGTGCAGCGCACCAGCATGGCACATGTATACATATGTAACTAACCTGCACAATGTGCACATGTACCCTAAAACTTAAAGTATAATAAAAAAAAATTAAAAAAAATGAATATAATGATACTTATCTTGTATTAATGCTATAAAAATTAAATGTTAAAAGGACTAAACAAGAAAACATGTGAAAACACCTGAAATGACGCTCCCTTCCTATTTGGTCAAGTTAATTATTCTTTTTAACTCAAAGTTCTAGCCAGTTCAGAATAGTCTCCAAACCATTCTAAGTCATCTGACACTTATCCATAAATGCCTGCAGCAGTTCATATGATTCTATGTATGTGTGTGTGCATATATATTTGTCTATACACACGCAATGCTTAAAAACCAGGACTCTGGATGAAGACACACTTTAAAAAGAGAAATGCATAATTATTATAAAGGTGGTTCTTTAATTTTTCCATTGACAAAAACCATTTATTCAAACCATCCTGCTTTTTTTTCCCACAGTGAGCATGTATTATTTACATAACCAGGAAAAACAATAAATATTGCTGATTTCATTGTGAAAAAGACATTTCTTAAAAAAAAAAAATGAGAATTGTCTATTCATGTCCTTAGTGTACTTTTTGATGGGATTGTTTGTTTTTTTTCCTGTTAATTTGTTTAAAAGAACCCTTACTTTAAGAAAGCTCCCCAGATAAACTGGATGCAGGTGGTCTGTGGACTGCACTTTTAAACACTGACATTGTAGTAGAAAGGGAAGACAGTAGAAAAATGTCCATTTGGAAGATGGAAACACTGAGTCTAGAGAGAGGACTCACTGACACCCAGCTGTGTAATACTCGCTACATTATAAGATGAGCAGCCAGCCAGCGAGAAAAGACAAAGACAAATACTAATTGCTAACCTCCCACTTTCCTTTTTCCAGATTCCTCACAAAAGTACTTTGTTAGCTCTACTTGATTACATAGTACTTGACTGTCTTCAAGTAAATGCCTAAAGGCAACTGGTAATTAATGACATGCGTATAAGCATTGTGATGAGCAATAAACATATGCTGAAAACATGCATTTTTGTGAGATATGCTAATGAATCTTAGCACCCCAAACTACAAGCAAAACTCCAGAAGGGTTTTCTTTTTATTTATGTATTTTAACCAACGACCAATTGATAGGTAATGAGTTCACTCAGGGCTGGCTTCCCATGCTATGGGCACTGGGGGCGCTGATGGACCCATTTGAAATGCTTCAAAAACCCCTCTGTTTCCAGTGGCAAGGAATTGGCAAGGATAATCTACATTTTATTTCTGTCAGCCATAATCACATATCTGCACAACATAAATGCATCAAGAAATGGCTTTCTTGTTTTTTTGATTGGTGGACTCTCATCTAATGAGCTCGAGTCAAAGAATTTCATGGTGTTGAAGACTACTGGGACCTCTGAGGGTAACAAGCATATTCCAATGCCTTTTCTGGAAAAGCTAAAACAGAATTTAGTGTGTAGACATGGACTATGGATTCTGCGCCCTGGGTTTGAATCCTGGCTCTGGCACTTTAGAGCTTAACTTCTCTGGGCCTCAGTTTCCCCATTTGTAAATGTGGATGACGACAGTACCTACTTCATAGCGTTTTTGATGACTGATAAATAAGCTAATGCTTGTGAAGCACTTAGAAGAGTGCCTGGCACATGGCAAGATCTCTAAATATGGTATTGTGGCTTGAAGGACCTGGCTTCCCTTGCAGCAGAGCCCCCATGTAGGAAGTTGGGTTTAAGGGCCTGTTGGTTGACTTTGTCCTCTCAGTTCTCATATGCGAATCACTTCCCATGTCCCCACTGTGCCAAAAAAAAAAAAAGCATTTCAGTTTCTTCATTTCCTCAAAGTCTCCTTAGGACAATATTAACTTTTGACACAAAGGCTCCCATGAAATTGTCTGTTGGTTGGTTTTAGACAGGAAACAAGACTCCTTGGCTCAAAAGAAAGATTTACCCAGGGAGTTTTGGAGTTCAGCTATGGAGTAGATCAGAAACTGGGGTCCTTCCTGTTCCTAAAAACACACGCTGTAGGCAGCTGAGTATGTTGCCTACAACTGTGCCCTGGCCTTTCTGAGGTCTGTGAGCTGTCCTTCCTAGGGTGAAGTCTGACCTCTCTCCCTCTCCTGTACCAGATATGGACCACACACCACCCTCCCCATCTTCCACCCTCATCTTCAGGAGAGATTGAAACTGTGCAAGTTTCTTTTTCTCTCCTCTCCAGACATTCCATGTTTAGAATCATAGGCGCCTTTATTTTCAGCTTTCAGCAACTGTTCCAGGCAGAAAATGCCTGCCAAGTGTTCTGGGTTGCATTCAGGCCATTTGAGCTCATGCTTTGCTGAACAAAAGTCTGTGCTGACATTTCTAGAAAACAGTAACACTTTGGGGCTGCAGTGAGGCATCCCTCTTCTATGCGGAAAGGGTATTCCTGGGAGAGGTTTGAAACTCCAGAGAAATAATTACAGTGCTTTCTACTTGACAGAACTTTATAGTTTACCAAGTTCCTATGCATCTATGATTTCATTTGCATCTTGTAACAACTGTGAGAAGTAGTCATGACAAGGATTAGGACTGTTATTTTACAGATGACAGAGCTGCAGATAAGAGTGAGGTAAGCATTTGACATTCGTGCAAGAGCTTGGTCTCTTGACTTCCAAACCTATGAGCTTTCCACAAATATCAACATGATAACATCCACACACTGCTTTGATATACAATTTACACTGCACTAACACGAGCACAGTATCATTTTTATCACCATGAATGTCCCATGAGTTACAAGGCGAAGTGTTTTAGTCAGCAAGAATACTCTATGCTGTAGTAACAAATAAGCCCTAATATCATAGAAACTTGCCCAAACAGAGATTGATTTCTTACTCATACCATACATAATCTGATGCAGATCTCTGTAGTGGCTTTTCTCCAAGTGGTAACTTGGATCCAGACTGCTTCATATTATTCTCCTGACATTTAAAAAATAATGGCCTTAGAAGTCACTGGGAAATGAGAACAGAGTGTCATCCATTTTCTGGAAGGTTTTATGGCCAGGCCTGGAAGGTTTTATGGCCAGGACTGGAAGGAGAATACATTATTTCCACTCACGTGTGATTGGCCTGAACTCAGTCATAACTTCAACCTAACCACAAAGGAAAGATAGTCTTGTTGTGTGCCCAGGAAGAATAAATGAAATGGGGTTTGGCGAATACAGAGCATTCTTTCTGCTACTTTGAATTATACCAGTACTTGTTCAGGCTGTCTGTAGTGTGTTGAAAAATAAAACATCATGGTAAAAAACTCGTAATATTGTGCCAACTATATGGTAGCCACAAAATACCTGCAGGACAAATTGAACTATTTCCAACATGAAGCTTCCCACAAGCTAAAGAATGGTGCTGCATATCAGAACAGGTTATCAGGCCAGAACAAAGGATGGCAGATAATTTTGCATATTACTGGAACTGAAATGGAAATATTATGTTTTCACTTTTTTTTGTATTCCTATCTGCATTTACAAATGATTTGAGTGGATTTCTAATCTTGAAGCATATCCAAAATAACAAAACCATACACACATAAAAGGAAGTTAAATAGAGCAGAGAATTAGCTATACCAAAAATTTGAAATTGATCAATCATTACAACTAAGCAATAGGTTTGGTTGCATGCTTACTGAAAGCTAAAGTAAAAAGGCGATAAAGGTAATAACATTTTGAGCATCTCTGATGTCCCAATTACTACATGAAATGTTTTATATACATCAGCATATTTGATCCACGTATCAGCTTGTAAGATAGCTAATGATAGTAGCCACCCCATATTGAATTCTTAGACTAGGCCAGGTCCAAGGCTAAACACTTTACATGTATAACTATTTAAACCTAACTAATGTACCATTTTATAATAAGAAAAGTAGAGGTTCAATGAAATGACATGAACTGTCCAAAGTATAATTAGTGGCCAAGGCTGGATCCAACTCAGCCCTATCTATTCCAAAATCTGTGCTCTTTCCATAAACTAATAGAATTATTCATCATGTAAAAGGAAACATATAATTAAGGAAACACCGGAAATACAGAAGATGCACATGTTCTCTATTAAAAAAAAAAGTGGTATCTTAGTGAGCTCCAAATCAAGTCCAAAACTTTTCTTATTATTTCAAACCCCTTGAAAGTCAAGAAAGAGTTCACTCTTGAGGATATTCAAGGGGACTGCAACATACCTGAGGCAGAGAGAGGGCTGAAAGCCAGAGGAGGAAACAGTGCAAGCAAACAGAGGTTGGAATTCTGTAGGAGGCCATCTAGCAATACAGCACCAGAGCTGCCAAGCCTTCTCCCAGCACTCCATTTATTAGACTGAATTATATCAGATCCTGAAGGCTGAAACACTAGAAATGAAGGAATTTTCATTTTTATGAAAGGACTAGAAATAAACGAGAGAGAGAAAAACATGCAGTCTATGTATTAGTTTACTTTACTGCCTTTGGCTGACACATGGGCCGTCACTGGCCTATGGTGGGGCTGCCTCTCACAGCATCACGTTGCATATCACCTCCCTAATGAGCAGCTGCTTTCAGTCCATGCCTGCTGTAGACTCAAGGCTAAAGGTGCATTCTCTCCCAAAGCCAGGGACAGGCAAACATCCAGGGATAAGCCCTTGGTGAACCTCTGTGCTTTGCCTACTTCATAGCCAGCTGGAAGTGAGGGGCTGGCCTGGAGTATCTCCAAAGTCTAGAGCCGAGTGGATATGTCCTGAATTACAAATGCGGGTAGCCTTCACTTTATACTATTCTGATACACACAGATTTCAGTTACCACCGTTTACTTCAAAAGCAGCAGTCCTTCAACAACACAGTTCAATTTCAGTTAACACAGTATATTAACTGTCAGTATTTGAATAAAGTACAAACCTCACTGCCAGGTCTTCGGTCCCCAAATCACTATGTAAATAATAGATCCACCCCATGTTCTGAGACCAGTCGAGTTATGTCTTTCAAAGCCTGTTGGGGATTGCTCACTGCCCATCTCTTATTTATTTCACATAAAGCCAGCAAAGCATGTAGTTGTGTTACCTTCTTGTCTCCTGGTGATAAAACCCATAGGACATTTTATAAAAATGAATAATCAAAAGAAGGAGTTGGCCAAAAAAAGGAGAGCGCCACAAAGAAGTGAAAAATGAAAATGCTGGAAGTGAAATTGAAATCCAATGCAAATGGAGCATTTTAGCTGATTGCGCTATTCAAGGGACTCTGGATACCCAGCCAGCGGAACTTAGTGAAGGTAAACTTTAGACGTCAATGAGGAAAGTGCTTGTGGCGAAAAGGAGAAAAAATTTTCCTAGAGAAATTAGCATCCTCAAAAAACTTCACATTAAAAGAACTCTTGGAGCTACTTTGTGACATTATAAGTGTAAAGAATAAAATGCTGGAAGGTAATCCAAACTTAGCAAACAGTATGGTAATTTACCAGGGTACAGAAAATATGTTCACGTGTATTGTAACTTACACAATGACAAGAAGACAAGAACTGTTCAAATTACTCTTCATCGCTTTTTTATAAGAAATAAACTTTTCACATTATCAATGTTTCTAATATTTTGAATAACACTGTAGTAACTAAATATTAATGTCACTTTTTTTTGCATTTCCCTATACATTTAAAAGTGACAGTAAGATAGTTTTTAATGTTTTGATGAAAATCTTTAAAGGTCACAGAACAATCATACATTTTCCTATTGATTATTAAGATCATTGTTTGTGGTTTCGGCTTGCATGGTCATTTTTACTGCCACAAAATAACATGCAAAGCAAGAAATCGTGTATTTCCCAGCTCTTTCAGTGAGAAGTTCTGCTCACATACGGCATAACACAAAAATAATGACCTCTAAAAGATGCCCATGACAGGCCCCAGAGAATGAGATTCATTGCTGTGATACTTATAATTCAGTTAACCTCTTGTGAGGGTTCCTGAAGTCTGGATACAGTCCTAGAAAGAAAGGAGGTTGATAAAAAAGGTATGTGATATTTTCCAGAAAAGAGCTTCTGGGATGTCTAAGTGCTATATCACTGGAGGAATATCATTCATCTAAAAGGAAGATCCATATATCAAAGTGGAATAGCCAAGCAACTAGATGGAGTGTCTTATTTGAATCTGTAAAGAAATCTGGTCTAAAGATGAATAATTGGGATTTGCTGCCCTACTAGTCATAGCAAAGGCCATCAGCCACAACTAGGAGTCTGCCTAAGAGACACTGAGGCAGACATTACCAGTCTATCCCCACTACCTTCTTTCAGTGATAGAACTTGGATTTCTGTTTATTTTTACACTCCACATGGTTAGGTATTCAGGGTGGGCCTTCTTTCCAGCCATAGGATGTAAGTTCTGTTAGTCTAAAGTTGTGAAGGTTATTCCATATCCCCTGCAAGGTTTAGGCATGGGCCTGGGATGTAACTCTGCCCATTGAGAAGTAAGGGGTAGGGACTTCTGGGACAGTGTCTCTCGTGGTTGAAAAGAGGTGAGGGGCACAGCAGTGTCTGTCTCTGTTAGCCAGCTTGTATGATGTGATACCTGGTCATGATACCTGGAACTCTAGTGGTTCATGATTCCAGGGACTCCATAATACCTGGAACTCCAGTAGTCCCACGACACCTGGGACTTCCTGATGAAGCATGAAAACAGAAAAGCAAAATGAAAAGATGAAAGTTACTGATGAAAGCAATAAGAAGAGGATAAGCATAAGAACCAAGCCAGGAGAGCAAGACAAGAAGTGAATCGAATCACCTGAGTTGCTGGATTAACTAGCTTGGAACGGACCCATGTGGGGACTTCTTGTCCCCAAGTCAGATTTGTGAGACAAATGTCCTTACATTTTAATCTGTCTCTTACAGCTGGAACATCCCAATGGAACACAGAGCAATCTGAGAAGTGACAGAGACCAGTGGAGAGCCAGGGAAGAAGACTAGAAGAGGAGTCAGGAAGGAGAAAGGAGAATCAGAAAGGTCCAAAGAAGAGACATAGGACAGGGACTCCTGCCTCCCTTTGAAATCTCTGACCCAAAGGGTTTTAAGCAAACAATCTGCCTTCTCTTCCAAGTATTAATCCATTTCCAAACCTAGATGCAAATCAGTGAGGATTTAAGATTCAAGTAAGTAGGGGGAAAAAAAATCACTGTCACTGCCTTAACCAAAGGGAATTTGATATATGTTTTTTTCTTTAAAAATCTTGGTACATCTTTCAAGGCTCTCAAGCTGTTGACACATACAAAATGAAAATGAACATCGTGGCAGGTGGTAGGAAATGAACAAGCACAGGCAACTAGCAACTACAAAAATGAGATAACCTGGAGCTTCAGTAATGCTGAAATTATCCACAACCCAGGAGGAGATTATTCTTAACAAAAAGCTACCGATAAAGGGCCAAATGGAACTGCTGAAAACTAGCCCAATCTTGTGTCTGCCTTTCAAATTAAACAGGATACAGCATCTGTATTCATGCAAAAAATGTCTGTGGAAAGATTTTGTTGTATGTTATTGGACTGGGACGTCAAGACAGCATCCTCTGCTCAACAGTCTTAAAAATTAAATAAGAGGTTCTTGTATAATGAATGCTTCATAATAAGATAGTGCCTAAAGGCCAGGGTGGTATGAATTACTGCTATGGAGCTGGAACTGGAGTTGGGTCAAGAAAGACACTTTTCTTGTCTCATCTCCCAACTATCAGAAATTGAATTAGTTATGTAAAGGCAAGAGCTTGGGCTTTAGAGTCAGACAAACTTGGGTAGTAACAGCCCCATTAGTTATTGGAGGTGTGGTCTTCAGCAACTCACAAAGTCTCTGAGCTTCAGTTTCCTTATGTGAAAATAGAGGCCATTAAAATATAAGGTTATAATAAATATTTAATGAGATTATACTGTAATAACCTAAGTCAAAATGACAGAAATAACTAATATTCATTAAACATGTATTATGTGATGACGTTTTAAGAGAGATACCAGAGAGAGACGAGAGATGAATTCATCCACAGTGACAAGTTAGGGATGAGAAAATGCATGCTTCTGTTGAAAATGTGGGAAATGTGCCTTTTCTTTTAGATTGAGGTGAGGTCGTAGTTTTAATAAGCAAGGCTCATCAATTTCTTAGACAAGGTGTTACCCATACTGAGTAATTTGAGTGACCTTAATAAGACCTGTCCCCCTGAACTTGCTCCCACATTTGTGTTCGAAGTTCCATTATTAGTCCTTCTGTTAAGCTTTGCCCTCTCCCAGCAATATTCTGAAATGCACATTTGTTCCATTAACAGGCCCAACACTTCTTCCCTCGTTCATATCTAACAGTCTCTTGTCTCCTTTGAGTTGCTGCACGTTCCCAACTCCTAGTAGTTCCAGTGGGGCTTTAATCACAATTCCCCAATATCCTGGCTATAAGGGGAAGAGGGAAGACGGGTGAGAGTACATGATTCAATCCTGGTTGATCATTAAAAATTACTGCTACGATCTGAATGTCTGTGGCCTCTCAAAATTCATACCTTGAAACTCAATCCCCAATGTAATAGTATTAAGAGGTGAGCCTTTAGGAGGTGATTAGGTCATGAAGGCAGAGCCCTCATGAATGGAAATCGTGTCCCTATAAAAGAGGCTCAGGGGAGCGTATTTGCCCTTTCCATCACATGAGAATGCAGTGAGAAGGAGCCATCTATGAGGAATGGACCCTCACAGAACACCAAATCTGCTGGTGCCTTGATCTTGGACTTCCCAGCCTCCAAGACTATGAGCAATACATATCTATTATTTATAAGTTACCCAGTCTAAGGTACTTTATTATAGCTGCCTGGATAGACTAAAACACTCGCCACCCTGATCCAGGATGGGCAGGTCACTCTGGGATTTTAAAACTGGATGCTCAGAGACAGAAGCTATCTGTCCTCTGGATTGCAGGCTACAAGGATGTGACCTCCAGGGCCACTATATATTTATTCCAGATAAACATGCATCTCACCTAGCTGCTGGAAGCTAGGTTACAACTACTAGAAGAAAATATATTTGCAGGAAGAGAAAATAAAATCAACAAGCAAAGAGAAGCATAAGGAAAAGCAAAGCTGAATGGTAGGAACCCCCGAAGGCATTGTTTGGGTCCTCACCTTCAGTCACACCTTAAGCTAGCATCTTCTATCATCCCTCCCAGCCGCGGCTACCAAATACATTATCTTTTTTGCTTAAACTACTTTGATTTAGGTTCTGTCACCTTAAATCAAGAGTCCCGATTATTATAGATTTAATCTAAAGCAAATGCAATATCATTTAACTCAAAGAAAAATACTAAAATTTTGTATTGGAAAAACATGATGGAAAGTTGCAGAATGAAAATGCTTAAAAATTACTGGTTTAGAACACAGTTCTACATCCACATATCTTCCAAGTTCCTTCTGAGGTTTCATGGGGTCACTTTACCCTGTGTCTCTGCACCCCCAAGGACTTGTGACTGCCTAGAAAGAACTTTCTCCTTACTCCAGGTGGCCCTTAAAAAAATCATTTGCTGGAGTCACAGTGCCAAAAGCCCTCTTGGGTGTTCAGAGAAATTGTGGCTAAAGGAAAGAGTTCTTGCTGCCAGATTGTTAAAAATGACTCAAGAAAAAAGGTATAGGAGGTTTAGGAGGAGGGTACCTGAAGCCAGCTAAAGTTGGTGAATCCAGAAGAAACAATCACTCAAACTCAAGAAAGGCAGGCCAGAGCATAAAAATAGGAGAAATAAAGATACCAGAACAGTCTTGGGTCTGCCAGTGCCAGGAAAGCTAGTTCCAAGGTGAAATCTGCCTTCAGGCTCTCCAAATATTTATTGAGCACAGTGTTTGATGGCTTTGGAAATTTAAAAAGAAATTATCTCTCATCCCAAAGAGTCAGAAACATGGCATAGGCATACATGTAGGATAAATTTCTTTCTCCTAGAGCACAATCAGCTTAATAAACTATGTGTCTATAAAACCTTTTGTTTCTTGAATGCATGTTGCTTTTGTAGGCATATTAACATCTTATGGATCTATTAGGATTATCTAGGCTAATATTAGCTCTCCTTTATTACTTGCTATGTCCCTCACATCATACTAAGCACTTAGCATGCCATATCTCATTCCTATTTTACAGGAGAGGAAACTAAGTCTCAGAACAATTAAGTGACTTGCCCTAGGTTAGTGCTACCCAAAGTGCTCTTCTGTGAACTCTGCTATCAGTCAGTCAGGGAATAAGAAATTTATATTAGAATGTAAATCAATATACTGTTTTCTGCATTGAGAAAGTCTTGTCGTGAAGGAAAAAAAAAAACAAAAAACCATCAGCTGAACTAATAGGATGTTTGGTAATGTGGCTGGTTTACATTCGGATACAAGCTCCTTTTCTCCTCCTTGATTCCTTGATGGGTAACACATAGTTTGTGGACTAGCAGTGGTTTGCGAACCACACTTTGTGTTGCCCTGCCCCAGGTCACACAGCTGTGGGAAGAGAGGAGTTGGGATTCAAGTCCAAGCATATCTGGCTTCAAAGCCTCTTCTCTTAAGACCACTATGACCCACTGTTTCCTAGCATTCTGCCACCAACCATTTACTCAATTTCCAGACTATGCAAGGTGGATTTCTCAAGCCCCTGATTAAATGTACCCCAAAAAGATTTATATTCCCTTTCAGGGTGAACAAACACATTAGTCTTAGCAGAACCTGGAGAGTCTTTAAGACAAGTGCATTACGACGTGGCCACAGGCTGGGCAGCTGAGCTGGTGCATCCAAGGAGCAGGGAGCCTCTGAGCCCCAAGCTGACTTAAGACTGATCAGGCAGTGGGAGGCCGTCGACAGAGTCCTTTTCTAGACTTGATTCACTGTAGCTTATAATTAGGCATTGTCGCTTTGATAACTGAATGAATTAGTGAGGATGACACGGGGCCGGGCAAAGACTGAAATGGGGAGGCTTTACACAAATAAACAGCCAGAAAAAATTGATCTGAAACAGAAAGTCAGGCTTCCGTGAAGCTGGAGCCAGGAATTATATAAGGCATACTGTGATAATTTAAACAACAAAGGGCTGGGGGTGTCTGTTTTTCTCCTCATCTGGGAATCTTGTCTGTATTTATATTATCTATGAAACAGACATTTTCCCTTCTCTGACTCTTAAAGGGTAGTATCTAAGAGTGAAAGCATAGTTCATTTTAGTGCAGCTCATTCATTTATTTATTACTTCCTTCAAACATTTATTGAGTTCCAGTGTGTGTCAGGCACTCTATTAAGCACCAGAAAACAAAAAATAAATAAAAATATGCTGAAGCATCGCAGAATTTGAGATAAAACAACTCTGCTGTCATAGATCTCAGCCAAGGAAACGGAAAAGTAAGGAAAGATCGGATGATTACACAAGCTTGTTATACAGGCCTGTAGCTAGACTGAGGCAGGTTAGAACAAACCTTCAGGATAACGATAAGAGTAGCAGGTAATGTTTAAACCTGTACTGATGTACTAACTACTGTGTTAAGTACTTTGCATGTGTTATTGCATTTAATCGTCATAGCAACTCAAAGAGGTAGGTCTTATTATTCTCTTTTACAGATGAGAAAACTGAAGCACAGAGAGGTCAAGAAACTTGTCAAATGTTACACAATGAGTGTTATATCATGGCTGCAAACCAGTGCGGTCTGGCACCAGACCTTTTGTTTTTAGCTTTAAACCTCTTTGAAATGACTTGTTAAGCGCCCCTTCTACCAGCTGAAGCCTATTTTCTCTTTCAATTAATTAATCATGAACAAGCAGCTGCTGAATGCAAGCCACCTACCTTTCTGGGCTTGGGGAAGGGGAAAACAACAAGGCCTGAACTGCGATCAGCTCTCTTGGCACTTACATTCTGGCTGGGCTGGCAGGGCAGGACACATGTGCACAAAACCATTTACAAACAAGATGCTCTTTGATACCACAGCATCATCTGATGTTTCACTGCCAAACTTCATGGTTCACCACATATGCAGAGAGATTAGAAAGGGACTAGAGCAATAGTTCCCAAACTTGGCAGTACTTGGTTTTAAGAACATTGAGTGCACCCCAGATGTATTAGTCCATTCTCGCATTGCTATAAAGAACTACCTGAAACTGGGTATTAAAAAAAAAAAAAAAGAGGTTTAATTGGCTCACGATTCCACAGGCTGTACAGGAAGCACAGCTGGGAGGCCTCAGGAAACAAAATCACAGCAGAAGGTGAAGGGGAGGCAGGAACATCTTACATGGCCAGAGAAGGAGGAAGAGGGTGAAGCAGGAGGTGCTCCACACTTTTAAACAACCAGATCTTGTGAGCACTCACTCACTATCATGAGAATAGCAAGGGGGATGTCCACCCCCATGATCCAATCACCTCCCATCATGCCCCTTCCCCAACATTGGGGATTACAATTCAACATGAGATTTGGGCGGGGACATAAATCCAAACCATATCACTGGAGATCTGGATTTAATTGTCCATTAGGGTCCAGCATGGACATCAGAGTCTTAACACCTACCCAGGGGATTTTAATGTGTAGCAAAGTGTGAGAATGACTGATTTATTGGATATTTTGTGGCAAGTTAGAGTAAAAAACTACAGAGATCACTGTAGGTTATTCATTTTATACACAGCTGCCATATTACTTCCAATTTTTACACAAATGTGCTTGTCTATAACTCATTAACCCTCTGAGTCAATGGCTAGCTACTATTATGCCCATTTTACAGATGAGGGAATTGACGTGCAGAGAGGAAAACAATTGGCCTGGGATTTAAGTTGCAGAGCCAAGACTTCCACCCCAGACTAAGAAGGCTGTTCACTTAACTACTAGTCTATTATGCTTCCCACAGGAAGAAAGAACTCTAGGAAAAGCTAACTCTGAACTGAGTCCTACAAGACAGATGTAAGGCCCAGTAGAGAGGGAGGAGGACATATCAGGGTGGGAGGAGGGTGACAGGGAGTCATGAAACCTTAGAAGCCTCTCAGCATTCAGGACAGCAGACTGCAAGTGTGAACTGAGTGATATCTGGGCTTTTCTGCATCAAGACTACTGTAAAACAGTTGCTCTCAGACTTGAGTAGGCATTCAGGTCATCTGGAGAGCTTGCTAAAATACAGACTGCTAGGCCCTACATTCGGGGTCCCTGATTCAGTAAGCCTCACAATTGCTGAGTTTAAATGCTATAACAGTAATGGAGGCTTTTTTAGTAAACTTACTAAAAAGCAAAAAAAAAAAAAAAAAAAAAAAAAAGCTTTAGTCCATCCCATAAAGCCTAATTTTTGATGAATTTTTTGGATTAAAAAAAATGTAAGGATTGAGCTAAAACTTAGTTCTGGATGAATTCATAATCAGAATTGATAATATATACAGACAAAGAGGAAGAGAGAGAACACCTTAGGAATAGTTAATAAATATTTCTTGTTTGAGGGGCTTGGCAAAAATAAAAATCTTACATACATACAAATATTAGGATAGCTTGAGGTGGGAGAATTGGGGATTGCAGAGCTAATTATACATAGTGAGAGGATTGTGAGGACGTGTCCACAAACATCTTGTTTTTATTATTTCCATGAAGTGAGGATTAATTAACCCCTTATAGTTTTGAGATGGAAAAAGAACATTCAGGCTTAGCTACTATTTATAGAGCCACAACAAGTCCCTGACAGCCATGTTGAATCGCAGCATTCCCTCCAAATTAAAAAAAAAAAAAGGCAACAAATGCAAGATACCACAGTTATGTGTGCTTATGGGCTGATTAGTCCTTATGCCACTGAGATGTTTTATTTAAGGGGAACAAGTAGGTGACACTAAGTTTATGGCCCTGAAGTAAAAATCAGATGCCTGTTATAGTTTCCTGCCTGGAACCCCACTCCCCACACACATTACAGACCCGGTTACGGTTTCCTGCCTGGAACCCCACTCCCCACACACGTTACAGACCCGGTTACGGTTTCCTGCCTGGAACCCCACTCCCCACACACGTTACAGACCCGGTTACGGTTTCCTGCCTGGAACCCCACTCCCCACACACGTTACAGACCCGGTTACGGTTTCCTGCCTGGAACCCCACTCCCCACACACATTACAGACACGGAGCGAGAACGGCCACATGTCCTAAGAGGGTTTCTGATTTCTGGAAGCTTAATAGTAAATTCTATTGAAGGTGATGTGCATATTGTTGAGACTTTACCTGAATGCACTTAGAATGATTGCTAAGTGTGCCTGAGAATTTTCTTTTCTAACAAATTCCCAAGTGCTACTGATGTTACTGGTCCAGAAAGCACACTTTAAGAACCACTGCTATAAAATGCCCCTAATAGGACAAACTTCTGTTTTACAGTCACCAGCAATTGCCTGTCTGTAACTGAAAATAGATCCTGGATCTTAAAATTATTGAACCTGGAACAAATATTCTGGGTGCCACAAGCAGTTTCTGCACTTTTGGATGAAAGATGGAATTTGTTTCTTCTTGGGGCAGAACCTCTCCTCCATCCTTCACAGATGAGCCAGTTTGGTGGTTTTATTTGTGTGTCCATCCATTCCCCCCGCCCCCCCCCAGGAAGTAATCCAAATGAGGATGCTTCAAAGATTTAAAGAATTTCAATCAACAGTATAACAGGCCATTTTTACTGTGGACAAAACACATCTCAGGTCTAACACGTTTTAGGAGTGATACATTCCCAGTGGTGGCAGAGTGAGAACTAAGAGGAAAAAAGAAAAATAGGGACCCCAGGAGCGCTGGACTCCAGGAACGGCAACATTTCAAATCTGGTGATGAGTTTGCCTGGCTGTCACTGTAGGTGCCACTTTCATGGCACTTATATGTGTCAAGAAATTCTCTAACTTCTTTACAGCTACTGATTCATTTAAACCTCATAGCAGCTGTATAAAGCAAATTCTATTTTTACCCCCATTTTATAGATGAGGTTCTGAGGTGAAAGGAGGTTAAGTATAATAACTTGCCCAAGATCACGGTTATTAAGTAGCAGAGCCAGGATTTGAGCGCAACAATCTGGCTCCGGAGTCTGTGCTCTTAACCAGCATGTCTCAATAATGACAATAGCAACTCTTCCTATATACTTTCTCTGTGGTAGCCTGATATTTCACAGGCATTATCTCATGTACTCCCAGTAATTACTGTGTATGAGGCTCTATTGTCATCCCACTCATTCCATAGAAAAGGAAACGCTATGAAACACCTCAACCTGGCAGTACCTGTGCTTTGGGAGAATTAAGGCAGGGACTGAAAGGAGAGCACAGTGGACGCTGTCATTGTGATCCTTGCTGAGAAGCTTAAAGCAGCACCTTGAACGAGAGGGGATGCAATTAGACTGGGTTTGTGGGAACCAGCAGCATTCACTGGAGACCCTTGGGAGGGCTTGAGGAGGGTACCACTCCTCGTAGTCATGATGAACTGGGACTAGACTGTGTTCATTGTGTATTACATGTAGGTAATATATCCATCTGGTGTCTGGAGAACTTGGATTCATTCATGCAACACATTTTTAAAAATCTTTTCTATGGCCTAGGCACTGTTGTAGGAACTTGGGGTTTGTTGTGAACTAAAGAGACAAAGGGCATGCACCCTAGAGAACCACATGTGCTTTTACTGAACAGCTTTTACTGGCAGCAAAGCTCAGATGAAAGAACCCTACCACTAAGGATGCTGAATGAAAGGTCAAGAGGTCTTTCTAATGTTTCCTACATAGAAGATTTTATTATCCACACTCTTGGCCTCAGTTTTTCCTTCTATAAACTGGAGAGTATTCCTATTTTGCCTATGTAGTGGCGATAAGGAAGAAAACAAATAGACAATCAAAAGGAAGGCATACTATGCCCAAGAGCAGCAAGCTCTCCCTCTGCTTTAAACCTACTTTCCTGGAAACTTTTATGTAATTGCCAATAACGCGTTTCAGGAGAGCGGGTGAGGACACGCTGTCTGTTATTCTTCATTTGAGCTCCCGGACTCCTGCTCTCCGGAGGGGCTTGGCAGATGATTAACAAGTCATCTGATGAATATGCAACATGATTCAGGCTTAATAAGTCCCGCAGCTGTTGGGAACTTTACAAGAAAAACAAAGCCACAGAAATATGCGATGTTGGAATACTGCCTGCCAACCTCAGAGTCCCCCAAATAGGGTCTCCCAGCCACAAATGAGCCAGGGCTATTTCTGAGATGCAAAACATGCTGCTGATGGGACATACTGACCCAGTTGGGGGAGACCACTCTAGAAACATCCTCTTTCCCCTTTATAATTTGCCTTCTTATCCATCCACCTCCAATTCTTTTTTTTTTTTTTTTTTTTTTTTTGAGACATAGTCTCACTCTGTTACCCAGGCTGGAGTGCAGTGGTGTGATCTCAACTCAGTGCAAACTTTGCCTCCCGGGTTCAAGCAATTCTCCTGCCTTAGCCTCCCAAGTAGCTGGGACTACAGGCATGCACCCAATTTTTAACAGAGATATGCATACATACACATCCTGGTTTTTCTATCAACTCAGAAATAGGAAATGCTTCCTTAGGGACAGACAGAATGGAAAGAGCTGGGATCCTAAGATAGACCTGAATTAAAATCCTGGTTTCCTCTCTTGCTAGCTATGCAGTTTTGGCAATTCATTTACATTTCAACCATCCAGTTCACCATTAGCAAGATGGGCATAATCACCCCTAACTTATGGTGCTGTGACAAGGCATGTTAGTAGAGCACTTGGAATACAGTTGGTGCGTAAGCAGTAATAATTATGTTGTTAATATCATCATCGTCATGTTACCATTTTACACAGGAAGAGATCAAAGCCTTCTTCCAAGTTTTTGTGGACATGTGATTTTCTTGTCCCAGTTGAATTTCCCTTTTCTGGTGGTAGCCCCCTAGTTATCCTCTTCCCCAAAATATAGTGTGGATGGAATAACTCTATTGCCAGCTCCAAGCATGGCTACAAAATCCATTTCTGAAGCTATTCAGGGTACTCCAAATGCCCGGATGCAACAATCAGTTCTTAGAAAGGCATGTGAACCAATCCAAGCCAAAAATATGCAATCCTCTGACGTTACTGGAAACTGTTAGAAAAAGGAGGTATGGTCTGGACTTAAACTCAAGAAAATATAAACACAGCATTGTGTGGGAACACTAGAAACAGGATGGCTGAGACCAACAAAAAACACAGAGGTGAGAAACAGAAAGACATTACTCTGACAACAGTGCCTGAGCCCCTACATCCAGCTATCTCTAAAGCCCTAGAAATTTCAGGGTCACAAAGCAACACAATTTGGGTGCTTAAGCTACTTTGCCTTAAAGCTTTCGCAGGTTTGGTCACATGCAAACTAAACAGGCCTGACTTTGTGTATTTTATTGTATGTAAATTATAACAACGAAAAATATTTTTAAAGTCATTTTTTTTTCTGAGTTCCATATAGCTCAACATGTCTTCCCAGGAACAATTCTCATTGCCACTTCTACAAAGACATTTCCATGTAACTAATTTTTGGCACATAAATGTAGACCAAGTGCTAAAAGCAGCAGGTTCACACCACCTCCTACACAGTATCTGTGATTTGACACAGTCTTGCATATTCAATAGCAATGTTAATGGATGCATTTTGCTCTAACAAAGCTAGGTGGTTTTTAATGTTTAAAGATACGTACATTATAATTCACAGCACTTGTAGACACTGATGTTTAGTTTCTGTTTTTAAGATTGTTATTTTAAAATGTGGGGATCTTCCATGAAACATTAAGGTCTTGTTTACATGCAAACTACAGTTTAATTCTGCAAATCAAAGAAGTTTTATGGGACTCTTTGAGGGGAATGTACATATTAACCACAGTCAGCCTCTTCCCTTTAAGCTTGCTGACATATGGTAAAATTTGCCTCCTTGTTTTCTTCAATAAAGTGCTATTTGTGCTTTGCATTTCTCATTAACGATTCGATTTATTTCAGCTCATTAAAGCCCGGATAAAACCAATGGAAAGGGCATATTGTCCATGTAGTTTCTTGTGCCTGGAAATGTTGCAGGCGAGCGTGGACAGAGAAGAATCAGAAAGATTGACAGAGTACACTGGGGCCTCTCCCATATCTATAGCCCAGCTTGGAGTGGGAGAAATTTCTGGGAGCACTGTGCTTTCTACCCTCCCACTTTTGGCTTCCTATGACTGAAACCATCCTTACAAGGTTAACAAGAACTACATGCAGGGCTCTGGGCAGAAATATAGTTACAATTAAGTATTAATCAGGCTGCACTTTGGCTTACTTCCATGTAATCAAAATTTTGTCACTTAGCACTAGCCGCTGACCATTTGCATACCCATTGTTCCTACAGATAGGATCACTGACATTAGAATCCTAAGCCTTTTGCTTAAGAATTGCTTGGGATGTTCTTCAGATGTAAATTCCAGTGGAAAGAATGACACCAACCAGTTTGAAGACTCCCAAAGAGGAACCAAATCAGCATGTGAGAATGCAGGTTCTCCACATCCCCATCCCCTGACTTCATCCTGCACTCTTCACCCAACCAATGATCTCCACACCTTGGTGCAACCCAAAATTCTTAAAACTTCTAGCTCCAAAGTTTTCGGGGAGGTGGATTTGAGGTTTCCTTCCATCTCTTTGTTCAGAGGCTTTATTAATAAAACTCTGTGCTGCAACCTTCAGTGACTTGCTGCATCTCTGGCAACTAACATGTTACCATCACATGGCAGCCAAATTATTCTCAGCACATAGTGACTAATCTCCATTATAGCTACTTAATGTCTTTATGTTCTATTCTATATTATAGCTACTTATGTTTTTATTTCTTCATAAGGAGAGAAGTGCGTTGCAGGTTGGATGTGCACATGCCTTTGAGTTGGACAGACCTCAACTCAAATCCTGGCTGTAGCCCCCCAAAACACAAGGTCATTCACCTGGCAACTAACAAATGACCTCCATGAGAATTCAGGTTTTGATGAATAGGAGTTTTATTTAGTTGGCACAAGTAAGGAAAACACTGGGAGTATTCTCCGAAGCAATGTCTCCCTGAGAGAAAGTGACAGAAGGGTTTTATGGGGTGATGGAGAGTGGGGAGGGTACATCATTGCATGTAGAGGAGGGGTCCCATTGCACAGATACACTGAGTCATTATGCCAGCACATAGGTCACATATTATGGCAATAAAGTTATAGCTTCTCCCAGGGTGGAGAGCACGGTAATGAGGAAAGTTCACCTAGGTTCATCTGTAAGTTGCCAAGGCCTGTCAAAAGCTGGTCCCAACCAACATGGTGACCACATTCAACCTAGGGTTTGAGAAAAATAGGCTGCAGGGTAGGAAGCTGTAAAGCAGGCTGGTTGCTCAAGTTGATTGAATTCCTAGAGACCCTCCCTGTCTGCTTACATAACCTAAAATCTGAGCCTTGATTTTCTCATCTTTAAAATGGGGCCAATTATATCTATCTTCCGGGGCAGTTAAGATTCAATGGCCTAACACCTGTGAGGCCCCCGGTCCAGGTTCTGATCCATAGGAGATGCTCTACAGATGCTCATGTCCAGGCTCTTCTGCTCCTCAAATGCTCCTCAAGGGCAGAGCCCATGAGATTTTCCCCTTTGGGTGCCACCAGCTCTCAAGCAAAGAGTACGTCTTAAATGTTTTTGGAATGAATGTATGGATAACAATGAGTTTTCGTTCATTAGTGCAATTATTTGAATAATGTTTGTCTCTCTGCCACTAGACTGGACTATAACAAACTCTAGGAGTTGGGTGTGTATTTGCCTTTGCTTATTATTCTCTCATTTCCAGCAAAATCCTGGCATGTATAAGGTATTAAATAGATCTTTGCTGAATAGATGAACACATCATTGGAAGCAACACTAAGAAATAAAGCTCTCTGGGCATGAGGGGTGTAAGTGTGAGTGTGCACATGTGTGTGTCCATTTACATTTCATAATCAGAAAAGACCATTGTATTATTACTCTAATACAATTCCATTCCATTCCAATGTATTAGTGTTCCATTGTATTAGGATTCTGAGGTAGAGAAAGAGGCAACACTGAATAAAGGTATATGGAGGTGGGATGAAAGTCTCTTTTGGAAAAGCTGGAGAAGGAATGAAAGAGGAGAATCAAAGTCTGGTTTAGAGTTTACTCCACAAAATCCATCTTAAGAGACAAAAACAATTTGGCCTCAGAACTCAAAATCTTAATGTTACTGACCACAGGTTCTTGGGCCCTCAATGCAATAGAAATTGACAAAAAGCCAAGAGTTTTTCCAGACAGGGCTTTCTTGGTGCTTATGCACAGGCATAAGGTAGGCAACCCAAGAGACAGAATTCTCAGTCTGGCTCCCCAAAGAGAGTCAGGAGAGTAATTTTAAAGGGGCTAAAGCAGGAAGAGCATGAGGTTTAAGCATGCAGAGGTGGGGAGCTTCTGGCACCAGCACAGTTTGATAACATAATTCTTTGTGAGTCACATGTCTCAATAGCATATTAAATCTCCACCCTGGGCATGGTTTTTAGTATTATAATGAAGCTAAGGTGAAGGGTGAAGGATTGGTCATCCTTCTGGTCTTGTGTGCATGTAGGAGATGGGGCTAACTCCCTTGAGTAACATTTAAGATGGGAGCTGATTATTTCAGCCTCCTCAAGGTCCCACATTCAGTGGGCATGGCACCTTGAGCAAGATTTACGGTGCACAGTCTGGACGGTCTGACTGGAGCTCCTTCTGGCTACACCCCTGTCACCAGCTTGCAATAGAGGTCACTGGTGAGGCATGGGAGGGAGCCAAGTCCTATCCCTACTCTGCCTCATTTAACAAGCTAATAAAAGTAAATATCATTTTATAAACAACACTCAATACTATCTTCAGGTTGCAAGCTCCAAATTTATCATTTCTTTTATTGTGACCCTGTTTCCAGGATGTGATTTATTCATTGCCTTGCCAAGACCAAGGCATCTTGGCATGAACCAGTTTGGCCACTGTTTTGGTCCAGACTGCCTTGATTGCTGTCCTGCCATCCACCAACCAAGCTGGAGAGGGATCTATAACTCAGGGATTCTACCACCTGTCAGACTCTGTGTGTTACCCTTGAAATTTACTGGCTTCTGGGTCCTGAGTCCTGGCTCCTGCTTCCCCCATGTGATTGTGGAAACCATATCTCTTTGTCTCCCTGCTCAGCCTACCCATATAATATAATCTAGAGTATGTTTCTTTTCTGGTTATAAAATGTAAAAATTTGGGGAAAAAAGCACAAATATAGATAAGAAAATTAAAATCACCTGTAAACTCAATACCCAGAAATAACAACTTTACAAGTATACACACACATACACCACATACACACACAACACACACCCTTTTTATCCCCCATAAAATTGAAATTTTACTCTTCATATGTTTGTAACATTTCTGATTTGGTTTTCTTTTTGCTAAGAGTACATTGGGAACATACTTACTCCAACATAAATATTCTTTAAGTTTTGGTTTTTAGAAACCATAAAATATTCACAATATACCATATATTTTAAAGAAATTTCATTTGTTGGTAACAGTGCAGTTTTCTATACTTTACAATTATAAATCAGAATGTCTTTATAAGAAATTCCTAGATCAAAGGCTACATATATTTTAGGATTTTTAACATATATTGACAAGTTGTCTTGCAGAAACATGAGACCCATTTCCACTGTACACAGCCTCGACCCTGAGTACTATACATTTTTTCATGCTTTTTGTGATGTAAAAAAATCCAATACTATTTCCTAATAGGATTTGTCTTTTCTACTATATTTGAGTATGAGTTACTTACAAAGTAAACTTATTCTCTTTTGTTCATATAAAATATATGCAACTTTTTCCCTGTATTTTGTTTTCTTTTGATTATACATATGGAATTTACTGATACATAGAAGATATATGAACTTCAGTAACCATTTAAACATTTAACTAAACATTAAGTTAGTTTTTAACAAAAAATTTTAAAAGTAAAATATACATCAAAAATTTTAAAACAGAAAAAAGCATATAGAATAAAAATATAAAGAAAAAATATTTTTGCACAGCTGTACAATGTGTTTTAAGCTAAATGTTATTACAAAAGAGTCAAAAAGTTAAAAATTAAAAAATATATAAAGTAAAAAGTTATAGTAAGCTGAGGTTAATTTATTATTGAAGAAAAAGAAGCTTTTAAATAAATGTAGTATAGCCTAAGTACACAGTGCTTATAAAGTTTATAGTAGTGTTTGGTACCATCCTAGGCCTTCAGATTCACTCATCAATGACTCACCCACTCACCTAGAGCAACTTCCATACTGTAAGATCCATTCATGGTAAGTGCCCTACACAGGTGTACCTTTAAACACTTTTAAACACAAGTCTGCTTTTGTGGTTATTATTTTTTTACATTTAACTTTTAAAACATTGTTTTCTCAGTGTATAAAACTGATAATTGATATACAGTGATCTGTCACTTAACGTCAGGGATATGTTCTGAGAAATGTGTCTTTAGGTGGTTTCATCATTGTGTGAACATCATAGGGTGTCTGTCCTTGCACAAACCTGGATGGCATAGCATCCTACACACCTAAGCAATATGATACAGTCCATTGCTCCTGGGCTATACACCTGTACAGCATATTACCCTACTTAATTCCGTAAGCAATTGGAACCCAGTGGTAAATATCTGTGTATCTAAACATCTCTAAACATAAAAAAGGTAAAGTATAGTATAAAAGGTACACCTGTATAGGGCACTTACCATGAATGGATCTTATAGGACTGGAAGTTGCTCTGGGTGAGTGGGTGAGTGGGTGAGTCATTGGTGAATGAATCTGAAGGCCTAGGATGGTACCAAACACTACTATAAACTTTATAAGCACTGTGTACTTAGGCTATACTACATTTATTTAAAAGCTTTTATTTCTTCAATAATAAATTAACCTCAGCTTACTATAACTTTTTACTTTATATATTTTTTAATTTTTAACTTTTTGACTGTTTTGTTAAACTAAACATTTAACTTATTTTTACACAAGTAGTAAAATCTAAACTAATAAAAAGTATAGTATAGCAAATACCTAAACCAGTAACATAAGTTGTTTATTACTGTAATCAAGTATTCTATACTGTACATAATTATACTCAACTTTTATGACTAGCAGCTCAGTAGTTTTGTATCCACGAGTATCACCACCAACATGGAGTAATGCCTTGCACTACAACATTACAACCTCACTGAGCAATAGAATTTTCCAGTTTCATTATATTCTTATGAGATCACCATCCTACATGTGGTCTTTTATTGACCAAAACTGTTATATGAGGTACTGTGTGTATACACATATTATATAATATGTATATACGTGTTTATATATGTCTATATGTGTGTATATGTGTATATATATACATATATATGTATATTTGTGTGTATATACACACTTTTCCAAATGGTTAACCAGCTGTATGGACAACATTTAGTGAATAGTCCATTTTGACGATTTGCAATGCTACATATATCATGTACTAAATACCATTTTTTCCTTGGGTCTGTTTCTAGAATTTCCATTCTATTTCATTACTTGCCCACTGCTATTCTCACTTCATGCTATTTTGTTCATTGTTACTTGAAAAACCTTATTTAATATCTTATAGAGCAAGGAATCTCCTGGCCTATCGCATTATCTTACAAAATGTGCTTAGCTATACCCATCTTTTAATTTTTTTCCAGATGAATTTGATTATCCATTTTTCATTTTTAAAAGTGCCTCATTAGAATTTTGATATTAATTGAATTTAAAGTTGTGTAGAATAGTAATCTTCAAAATCTTGAAAGTTTTCATCCAGTAAATGATGCTTTGCTCACTTTTTTTGAAAGAAGTTTACAGGTGTTTTAAAAGTTTTTAAGTATTTTTTATAGATTCTATATACAGAATCTATATATATGTCTTATGAGATTTGTAAATTTTTTTTATTTTTAGTAACCATTGTGCATGAAATCTTTAATTTGGCATTTTCTTTCTAGTTTTTACTAGTATAAAGTGACTTCTCTATATTTACTTTGTAACCAATCAATTTTCTGTACTCATATTAGTTTCACTTTTTTTTTCTTTCAGTTTGGTTCTTTTGGGTTTTCTGGGAAGACCATCACTATTAAAAAAAAGGATAATTTTGAATCCCCTTTACAATATGTCAGCTTTTTAATTCTTTTAATCACATTAGTAAAATTTTAGGATCACTTTTGCTTTTGTTTTAAAATTAATAGACTTTATTTTTAGACCAGTTTTAGATTCATAAACTGAGTTGGGGGACAGATGCGGTGGCTCACGCCTATAATCCCAGCACTTTGGGAGGCCGAGTCGGGCAGATCACCTGAGGTCGGGAGTTCGAGACCAGCCTGACCAACATGGAGAAACCCCATCTCTACTAAAAAAATATAAAATTAGCCCGGCATAGTGACGCATGCCTGTAATCCCAGCTACTCGGGAGGCCAAGGCTGGAGAATCGCTTGAACCCGGGAGGTGGAGGTTGCAGTGAGCCAAGATTGCGCCACTGCACTCCAGCCTGGGCAACAAGAGCAAAACTCCATCTCAAAAAAAAAACAACAAAAAAAAACAAAACTGAATTGAAAGTACAAAGAATTCCCACATATCTTTCATCCCCACCCCCAGACACACAAATACTCCCCACTATCAACACCCTGCATTAGTGGAGTACATTTGTTGTAATCAATGAACCAACATTGACATATCTATGTCATCCAAAGTCCACAGTTTACATTAAGGTTCACTGTGTTTAAACTCTATTGGTTTTGATAAATGTATTATGTCACATAACCACAATACAAATGTATGCATTATAGGCTCATACAAAATAGTTTTCCTGCAGTAAAATTCCCTGGTGCTTCACCTATGCATCCCTCCCTCCTTCCCCTGAATCTCTAGCCACCACTGATTCTTTTTACTGTCTCCACAGTTTTACCTTTTCCAGAATGTCATTTAGTTGGAATCATGCAGCATATAGCTTTTTCAGATTGACTTCATTTCCTTAGCAATATGCTTTTAAGTTTCTTCCATGTCTTTCTGTGGCTTGATAGCTCATTTCTTTTGAGTGCTAAATAATATTCCATGTTATGGATGTACCACAGTGTTTATTCATTCACCTATTAAAGGATACCTTGGTTGATTCCAAGTTTGGGTGATTATAAATAAAGGTGCTATTTGTATGCATGTCTGCATAGTAATAAGTTTTACAAGTCATTTTGATGAATACTCTTCATATTAGTTGCTGGGTCATATGTTAAGATTCTGTTTAGTTGTATAAGAAACTGCTGAATTGTCTTCCAAATTGGCGGTACCATCTTGAATTTTCATCAGCAACGAATGAGGGTTCCTGATGCTTCACATCACTGTTACTGTCAAGTGTTTTAGATTTGAGGCACTCTAATAGATATGTAGTTGTATCTCATTGTTGTATTAATTTGTACTTTCCTAATAATGTGTGATGGTAAGCATCGTTTCTTATGCTTATTTGCAATCTATTTATCATCTCTGGTGAGGTGTCTATTCAGACGTGTTGCTCATTTTTAAACTGAGTCATTCATTTTCCTATTATTGAGTCCTTTATCAGGTATGTGTTTTCCAAATATTGTCTTCCTAGGTCACTTTTTAAATAGATGTGATAGCTGATATTCCTGACTTCAATGGAAATATCCCTGTCATTACAACATTAATATAATACGAGCTACGGGTTTCAAATGAATAGTTTTGCAATTGTAAAGACAATCTGAATTCAAATCCCTAAGTTAATAAACATATTTAACAGAGATGGATATGTAACTACCTGTTTTATTGAATTATTTTTCTCCTTTGATCTATTAATGTGTGTGTTAGTCCATTTTGCATTGCTGTAAAGGAATACCTGAGAATGGGTAATTTATTTTTTAAAAAAGGTTATTTGGCTCACAGTTCTGCAGGCTGTGCAAGCATGGGACCAGCATCTGGCTCAGCTTCTTGTGAAGCCTCAGGATGCTTTTAGTCATGGCAGAAGGTAAAGGGAGGCAGTGTGTGACATGGAGAGACAGGGAGTAGGAGAGAGGAGGAGGAGGTGCCAGGCTTTTTTAAATAACCAGGTCTTTCACGAACTAACAGAATGAGAACTCACTCATTATCATGAGGACAGCACCAGGCCATTTATGAGACATTTGCCTCTACGACCCAAACACGTCCCACTAGGCCCACATCTAATATTGGAGGTCACATTTTAACATGAGATTTTGAAGGAACAAAACCTACAAACCATATAATGTGTGTATCAGTTAAGGTTTTCCAGTGAAAAAGATTAAAAGATAGATAGATAGATAGACAGACAGACAGATAATTTATTATGGTAATTGGCTTCCATGATGATGGAAGCTGGGAAGTCCCATGATACACTGTCAGGAAATCCAGCGGTTTAATTCACTCTGAGTCTGAAGGCCTGAGAACTAGAGGAGCCAATGGTGTGACTCTCAGTCCAAAGGAATACAAACCTGATATCTGTTACTGTAAGTCCCAGAGTCCAAAGGAGCCCTGATGTCTGAAGGCAGGAGAATATGGGTGTCCCAGATCCAGAAGAGAGAGCAAATTCACCTTTCTCTACCTTTTTCTTCTATTCAGACCCTCAACGGATTGGATAAAACCCTGTCACATTGGTGAGAGTGGGTCTTCTTTACTCAGTCTACTGATTCAAATGCTAATCTCTTCCAGAAACACCTTCACAGACACTCCCCAAAATGACTGAACAGCTCACTGGTATCCCTTAATGCAGTCAAGTTGACACTTTAACCATCATAATATCATTTTTATTAATTGATTCTTACTATTAAACTATTTTTCCAAATCACAAATATACCGTTAAGATTGATATGCTCCACTCTCAGGTTTTAATTTCAGGTTTAAGCCCATAAAATAAACTGGGGAAATGTCTTTCTCTCTTTTCTGTAACAATTCATATAATATCAAACTTATCACTTACCTTGAAGTTTAAAAAATCTTTCTTGTCAAAAAATTATTTTTGTTGGCTGGGCGCGGTGGCTCATGCCTGTAATCTCAGCACTTTGGGAGGCCAAGGCGGGCGGATCACGAGGTCAGGAGATTGAGACTATCCTGGCTAACATGGTGAAACCCCGTCTCTACTAAAAATACAAAAAATTAGCCGGGTGCCGTGGCATGCGCCTGTAGTCCCAGCTACTCAGGCGGCTGAGGCAGGAGAATGGTGTGAACCCGGGAGGTGGAGCTCGCAGTGAGCCGAGATAGCGCCACTGCAGTCCTGCCTGGATGAAAGAGCGAGACTCTGTCTCAAAAAAAAAAAAAAATTATTTTTGTTGTATCTACATTAATTTCTACCTCCTGTTTCCTATTGTTTTTCTTATCTAATTATTTATACTATTTAGCTTATTTTTCTTTTTATAAGAATAAAAGCATTTAAGGATAATAATTTACTTCTGAGTTTAGCCTTAGCTATACATTTCCATGCTTGTCATTGTTAATTTCTAAATTCTATATTATTTGTTTTTGCCTTTATTTGTGACCAAGATTTATTTAGTGTATTTACATTTTCCAAATGATACGGTTTGGCTGTCTCCCTACCCAAATCTTATCTTGAATTGTAGTTCCCATAATCCCCACACATTATGAAAGGGACCCTGTGGGAGGGCAGTTACACCAATGCTGCTGTTCTCATGATAGTGAGTGAGTTCTCATGAGACCTAATGGTCTATAAGGGCCTTTTCCCTCTTTGCTCAGCACTTGTCCTTCCTGCCATCATGTGAAGAAGGACATGTTTGCTCCCTCTTCTGCCATGATTGTAAGTTTCCTGAGGCCTCCCCAGCCATGTGGTGCTGTGAGTCAATTAAACCACTTTCCTTTATAAATTACCCATTTATAGGCAGTCCTTTACAGCAACATGAGAATGAACTAATACAGTAAATTGGTAGAGAGTGGGGTGCTGCTATAAAGAGACCCAAAAATGTGAAAGTGACTTTGGAACTGGGTAAAAGGCAGGGGTTGGAACAGTTTGGAGGGCTTAGAAAAAGATAGGAAAATGTGGGGAAGTTTGGAACTTCCTAGAGACTTAGAGGGCTCAGAAGACAGGAAGATGTGGAAACATTTGGAACTCCCTAGAGACTTGTTAAATGACTTTGACTAAAATGCTGAGAGTGATAGCGATATGGACAATGAAGTCAAGGCTGAGGTCTCAGATGGAGATGAGAAACTTGTTGAGAACTGGAATAAAGGTGACTCTTGTTATGTTTTAGCAAAGAGACTGGTGACATTTTTCCACTGCCCTAGAAATCTGTGGAACTTTGAACTTGAGAGCGATGATGTTAGGGTATGTGGTGGAAGAAATTTCTAAATAGCAAAGCATTCAAGAGGTGACTTGGGTGCTGTTAAAAGCATTAAGTTTTATGTATTCACAAAGATATGGTTTGGAATTGGAACTTATATTTGAAAGGGAAGCAGGGCACAAAAGTTCAGAAAATTTGCAGCCTGACAACGTGATAGAAAAGAAAAACCCATTTTCTGAGAAATTCAAGCCAGCTGCAGAAATTTGCTTAAGTAATGAGGAGCCAAATGTTAATAACAAAGACAATGGGGGAAATGCCTCCAGGGCATGTCAGGGGTCTTCACAGCAGCCCCTCCAATCACAGGTCTGAAGGCCTCAAAGGAAAAAAATGATTTTGTGGGCTGGGTCCAGGGCCTTGCTGCTTTGTGCAGTCTCAGGACTTGGTGCCGTGTCCCAGCTATGGCTGAACTGGGCCAACAAACAGCTCAGGCTGTTGCTTCGGAGGTTGCAATCCCCAAGCCTTGGTAGCTTACATGTGGTGTTGGGCCTGAGGGTGCACAGGAGTCAAGAACCTAGGTTTGGGAACCTCTGCCTAGATTTCAGAGGATCTATGGAAATGCCTGGCTGTCCAGGCAGAAGTGTGCTGCAGGGGTGGATCCTTCATGGAGCACCTCTGCTAGGGCAGTGTAAAAGGGAAATGTGGGGTGGGAACCCCCACACACAGTCCCCACTGGGGCACTACCTAGTGGAGCTGTGAGAAAAGGACCATAGTCCTCCAGACCTTAGAATGCTAGATCCTTCAGCAGCTTGCATTGTGCACCTGGAGAAGCTGCAGATGCTCAATGCCAACCCATGAGAGCAGCTGGGAGGGGGGCTGTACCCTGCAAAGCCACAAGGGGAGAGCTGCTTAAGGCCACAGGAGCCCACATCAGCATGACCTGGATATGAAAACATGGAGTCAAAGCAGGTCATTTTGGAACTTTAAGATTTGACTGCACCACTGGATTTTGGACTTGCATGGGGCCTATGGCCCCCTCATTTTAGCCAATTTCTCCCATTTGGAATGGGTGTAACTACCCAATGTCTGTACCCCCATTATATCAAGGAAATAATTAACTTGCTTTTGATTTTATAGGCTCATAGGCACAAGGGACTTGCCTTGTCTCAGATGAAACTTTGGACTTGGACTCTTGGGTTAATGCTGGAATGAGTTAAGACTTTGGGGGACTGATGGGAAGGCATTATTGTGTTTTGAAACGTGAGATTTGGGAGGGGCCAGAGGTGAAATGATATCGTTTGGCTGATCTGATTGTCTTATAAGGGGCTTCTCCCTCTTTGCTTGACACTTCTCCTTCTTGCTATCATGTTACTGCCTTTTGGGTAGAAAATTATTGCCTTAGAGAATATGATCTACTCAATTTGTGATTTTTTGAAATAATTTGGAACTTTACTGCTTAATGTGTGTGCTATTTTTATATATGTTTTGTTTGAGCTAGAATAAGAAAGGTACATTCTTTATAGGGTATAAAATTTGGGATGTATTTATTAAACTAACCTTAAAATTTTATTTTTCAGAATCTCTAATTGCCTATTTAATCTCTTTGGTTTGTCAAATGCAAAGAAATGTGCAAGTTGCCAACTTTTTGTTTTTCTGTCATTTTCTCGTGGTTTTTTTTAGCCTTTGCTTTATGTATTTTGACATCACAATGTTTAATAATTGCATTCTTTTTCTTTTTTCTTGTGTTTAAAAAGACATTATTATCTATGCCAGAGAATTTCTTCTGTGGTAAATATTTGATTTTTCCCAGGTATCAAATCAGTCCTTTGGTATTTCTAATACTGATTAATATTCTTCCATTGCAATTATAGTTTCAGTTTTAATCTATGTAAATCCATTCAGTTTCCTTTTAAGTCTACCTACATCCTGCCTTAATGAGAAAATACATGTAAAATATTTTGAATGGTACCCAGCACATAGTGAGTGCTCAGTTAAGTGTTAGCTATTTTCATGGCTAATGCCATTTAATTTTTGTAGAGAACATCTTTTAAAGCTTATGAAACACCTTTGTGTCAAAAATTGATATACTTCCTGTGTCGTTCAAGACTGAACTCTTCCTAAGCTCCTCAAAAGCAATGCTCTTCTTTTGTCATCGGTTCCATGGAGCTCTGCAGCTTTCTGTTTTCACATCTTGAATTGCTTCTCCAAGCTTGGTATTCGTCCTGAAGCTAGTTGTGTTCCCCCTTGGTCCTATTTACTGAATCACTATTTGCTTTGAGAATCCTCCACTGAAATCTTAACTTGGAGGGCTGGATGATATAAATTGCATTATCAGTTCAGCAATCCAGTAGCCTGGATGGGAAAGGATGGGAAGACACTGGAGCCCTAGATTGGCTACTGTTGGGAAAACACTAAGACATTTCTTCTTTATTGTTTAGTGAATCCTTTGTACATGGGGTCACTCTTCTCAGCCAGCTCACTCTTTAGCCTGGTCCTTTTGCCAGTGACAAGCTGCTGCTTCCCAGATTCCTACTCAGCTCTATTGCCTACTGCCATCTTTTCTTCTCATCTGATGCTATGGAAAAGTTGCAATCTCCAGTGGTATGGACTTTAAAGGCTGCTGACCTACATGATCAAAAAGTAGACTAAGTCCCACATTTTATGCTACACAGCCTCCCTTTAAAATTAGGTGCTGCTTGCAGAAAGTTTTTTTGCTTTATTCTTACTAGGGGGCGGTATCAATGCATTCACTTGCATCCAACTCTATGCCATATGTCCTGGTTTGCCCAGGAGAGTCCCAGTTTATACCGGTTATGGATCAACTAATGCCTACTGATCATTTAACTATTCCCTTTCACTCTCAAAAAGTGTTCTGGCTTAAGATATAAATTATATAATTTCCATATGAATAATCGGTTTACAGCTGCTTACATAGCAGGTGGCTCTGTAAAGAAAGGGCTGATTGCCTCTAAAGGGGATATAGGTCTGAAACCACAAAGTATAAATCTTTCAATAGGGGGTGAGAGTCTGCATTAGCCATTCTTGCATTGCTGTAAAGGAATACCATCTAGGTATTACTCAGGTAAATTACCTGAGGCCAGGTAATTTAAAATAGGTTTAATAGGCTCAAGGTTCTACAGACTGTGCAAGCATGGTGCTGGCATCTGCTCAGCTTCTGAGGAGGCCTCAGGGAGATTTTACTCAAGTCAGAAGGTGAAGTAGGAGCAGGCACTTTACATGGTGAAAGAAGGAGCAAGAGAGAAAGTGGGGGGTAAGTGCCACATGCTTTTAAGCAACCAGATCTTGCAATAAGTCACTATCACGAGGATAGCACCAAGGAGATAGTGCCCAACCTTTCATGAGAAATCCGCACCCCCCCCCCCCCCCCGCAAGGATGCAAACACCTCCCACAAAGTCCCACCTCCAATACTGGGGATTTCAACATGAGATTTGATGGGGACACAGATCCAAATCATATCAGAGTCCAATGAGGTTGCATATGTGAGTGTATGGCAAGCACTGTATTTGTGTGAAATCATTCTCTTTGTTTCATTTGTACAGAACTCTTTTCTCAGAAGCAACCCACCTCCTTGGGATACCACATCACAGCTCAAACTAGTAAACCAACATTTCTAACACATCCAGTTTCATAATCAGAGGTCATCTCTCTGCTCAGCCTCACTCATCTCTCACTTATTACTAATCCCTTTAGCTCTAGAGGGCCACAGCTGACACATGTCTTTAGGTAACAGAAAAGGCGAACGCAAACATAATAAGTTGTCAGCCAGTTCAATCCTGAGCAGTGGGAGGCAACAACAATAATTAGGTTTTGAATAAGTGTAAAAACGGAGGGTAATGAAGTCTTCCATGTTCCATTTGGTTACCAGGCAGTCAGGGCTACTGTAGCATCTCCCTGTGTGGCCCATTCTTAGTCAGGCTGACAAATCAGGTGTGGGAGTCATTTCGTTCACCAAATAATGAACAGGCATATTTGGCAATGGATTGGTTCTGTTACTCCCCCGATAGATTCCCCACTCCGATTGATCCCCAAAGCTCTAACAGAGGCAGGGCGGAGACTTAAAGTAGACCCTGCCTAAACCCCAATATCTGGAGACCTCATTAGGTGCCAAAGTTGAGGGGAGAAAGGAGGGTTAGGCTTTGTAGGATTCAAGTGCTGGTAGAGGGCTGGGGCCCAGGGCTCTCCTGCTCCACTGGCTCTCCCACCTTCAAATTTGTCAGTGAAGACAGTAGCTGTCATGCATTTTTTGCTTTCTGCCAGCAATATGAGGAAAGAGTGAGTACTGACTCCAGCTTTACCCTTCCCCAGCAGATCTTGCCTTCTCTACTCCTTATAAGAGCAGTGCTCAAGAACATGAGGTACGAATCTAGACAGACGTACGTTCAAATTCTTGCTCTGCCACTAATTATATGACCGTAAAAAAGTGCTTGCTTCTTTCTCTGTGCCTCAGTTTTCTCATCTGTAAACTGAGGATAGTAATACTTTCTCATAGCGTTATCACGCGATGGCATTTACAAATTGCTCAGCTTGGGCTTGGCACATGATATTCACAGTGCCTAGGACAGCACCTGGCAATCCGGATGCTCAACACCTATTTAGTAAACCAAACCAAGAGGCAAAACTGCTCCAACTGAGTGCCTGTTGGGAGGATGAACAAACAATGACCACACCAACTTCACATGTTCTCATTTTGAGGACTTTTCAGATGTGTTACTAAATGTCGAAGCAGCCCCATCCCTGGCCAATCATGGGAATCCTCCAGAGGTGATGATCAGATCCAGGTTTCATTCCATATTTATTGAGGACCTACTACATGCCAGACACTTCGGCCTATGGAAAATCTATTCCTCAGACTTGACAGTCTCCTGAAGCAGTGGATGCTGGCTTCTATATTATGCATCCCAAATGCCAAATTTCCAGACGCAAGAGAGCAGGCTGCTTTATTTAGACAGCAAACAAAACTTTTGGTTAGAGGTTTTGAAAATAATGCCATTTATTTTTCCTTCCTCCTAGCTATTTTCCATTCTTATGTAATGTGTGTTCTGCAAAGCTCTAGCCAAGCCAGGAAGCAGAAAGCAGCAGCCAACACACATCTAATGTACTTGGAACCAAGGGGCCAAGGCTCTATACCAGGTGGCTCTGGACTTGCTGGATGGCTTCGCTCAATCCATTTCCCGCAAAATAAAGAGTGCAGGTGAGTTCAAACCCACCAAATATAGCGATAAACAGTCTGAGTTTAGGTGGAGGCCTAAGTAAGGGACAGTGCTGATAATTTGGAAAATGGGCTTAATTGGCTGTTTCCTAGGAGAGGGGAAATTTGAGTCTAGGAGATCTGCTCTCAACTAAGAATCTTTCATTCTGGTCCATTTTCCTGGTTCTCTCCTTCGGCATGTTATTTTCTCTTTGGAGCAAGTGTCTGCAGGTGGCTTTCTAACCAACGGGATGATAGATCTCTTCTGGGAGAATAAATAGGATACTATTAGAAATCCAACAGCCTTCTTCCCTGACCAGAAGTGCTTCTACCTACTAGGGAAAGGGAAGGCAGAACAAGCTAGAATTTTTCCACCACTTTTCCTCTACTCCCTTACTCAAGTTCATGTAACATTCAGCATGCCACAGCTGTCAGATTTAATGCATCCCTTCTAACTGGTAGCACTTTTGCTTTTACTCTCAAGTTTTGCAGACGCATATTGATTCTCATGTTTAATTGAATAATGCATTTTAATAATTGTTCTTTTCTGAGCAGGAGCTGTGAAACACCCAGTTCAATAGTTTTTAATTCAGTATAAAGTGTCTCTTGATACTTTTATGAATATTTCAATACAAATGAGAGGCTACAACTAGCCTAAATGGCTGAAGAATACACAGTAAGCTTCATCTTTACATAGCACAAACTTGAAAATTAATCACTTCAGCTGAAGTGAGAAGGAATAAATGGCATTCTTTGATGCTGAGGTGCATTTTGAAACAGAATCACTTTTTTTTCTTTGGTTTGTTTACAAATAAAACAAACCAAAACTTGTCCTCTAAGAAGAAAAAGTGGAGAAGTGAATATTCTCAGATATGGGTCCTCTAGAAGCACTGGAACTTTCAGGGGTGTCTCCTGCAAACTGATGATAAAAGTAGAAGAGAACTCCTAATGTCCACCTGTACAACAGGCATCAGGATAAGTAGTGAAAAGAGGAATGAGTAAAATGTTTGCTTAAGAAATAGTCAAACAAAGGCAGTACAAAGGCTAAATATTACTGTTCTATGCTGCCTCTCTCCCTTAGAGAAAGATGTCTTGGTACCCACTGGCCAACCATCTTTTGAACTACTTATTGCCTAAAGGGGTCTATCACATCTCTGGAGGCCCCAGTAGAAAATAAAACATTGTGAAATGGGCTGCAATACCCAACTGCAATTGTCAACCCCTCTTCTTTTATTTCTCCATTGCCAGTCAGTATCCAGGTAGCATCAGTATTTCTATTTAAGGCTTCTGCTGCCAGACATCTGAACACCCACTTCTCTATAAGCTCTCAGTATCCTCACATATCCCGCTGTAATACCTTGTCTTCCAGTCCTCCAGTCTCACGCCAATCACACATCATAGTCTAATTCACTACTTAGTGCACAAGAGCTTGGCTAAACCAATGATAAGTCTGGGAATGAATTGGAAAGATCTAGATTGGAACCTGGAGGCCCTCCACTTTCCAGTTGTGTGAACTTAGACAAATTACCCCACTTCTTGGAACTCCTGTCTACTCACCTGCAACATTAGCATAATGATGAATAACTCTTCCTGGGTGGCTATGAGAATTAAACAGAATAACATATGTGAAACCCAGCTAAATACCCGAATGGCTAGCTGCTCATGCATGCCAACGTCATCCAGAAGAATGTCCAAAACAGTCTTTCACTTACGGTGTGAGTTTTATTTTTCAATCTTTGTGAAGTCTTAAAACTAAAAAGTAGGGCCTTGGGAGTAGTTGCTCTTCTTTATTCTACTCACCACTAGCTCCTTACCAGGCCTTGGACTTCAACTGAAGCTTTCATGGCCATTTTACATGGCTACTCCCTTACAGATGCTGAAGAGCAGTAACTCTCCTGGAACTTGCCTTAATTTCCTCCCTTCTCTCCAGGGCTCCTATGTCCCTTTAGTTTTTCTGCTACTCTCTCCTCCAATCCATAGCCCCTCACTTAAGTAGTTAGTGGCTGTGAGGGAAATATTGGGGGTTGGGGCGTCCTTTAAAATATGGAGGGAAAAACATCTCATGATATGCAGCCATTTTGCACAATTGAGACAAGTCATCTCAGTACATTTCCTGTGTGTTATTAAGCTAAAGGTCTCTGTATTACAGCTCTGTAATTACAGGGCTGTAATAAATACACTGTAATAAATACATTGCTGTAATAAATCCACAGAGTGGTCCCAAAAAAAACACACATTTATGGTCATACAGTTCTGTTGATTAGAAGTCCTACATGGGTCTCACTGGACTAAAATTAAGGTATTGGCAGGGATGTATTCCCTTCTAGGGACTCTTAGGGAGACCCTGTTTCTCTTCTTCAGTTTTGCGAGGCTCCCCACATTCCATGATCCATGGCCCCTTTACTTTGTCTTCAAAGCCAGCATGTTGCCTCTCTCAGCCCATTCTTCCATAGTCACATCTGCATCTGACTCCTCTTCTGCTTCCCTCTTCCATTTTTAAGCAGCCTGTGACTTCATCAGGCCCATTTGGCTAATCTCCTTGCCTTAAAGTCAGCTAGTTAGCAACCTTAATGTCATCTGTAACCTCAATCCCTCTTTGCCATGTAAACTGACATTATTTTGAGGTTTCATGGATTCTGACGTGGACATCTTTGTGAGGCCTTTATTGTGACCACCAAAGTCTCCATTTGTTCTTCTACCTTGGTTGGCATTTCCAAATACCCTCTTTTTACATCTAATTTCAATAAATTCCGTACTCCATTAAAAGAGATTAATGTATGAGGCCTTAGGAAAAGGGGTAGGGCTTAAACATCTCTACATATACCTGAATAACTTACTAGAGTGCCTTATACAAAGAAGTTCAAGAAATGTTAGTCTCCTCCCTTCTCAGTAGAAAAGCAAAATCCTATTTACTACTAGAAATGGGCTTACTTTCCTGGTCCAGCATTCACAGTACTCTACCGTCTGCTTCCATCTGCTTATACCCATCATGACTTCCTGGCCTACTCATAGTCCCCAGATGTCATTCAAGCCAATGAAATCCCTTCAGAATCCATTCTCTGTGTTCGGCGTGGTACTAAATGCAGATGAGGTATATTTAGCCTAGCCTTCTCAAAGGTCTTATATTTGAGTAGAGCAGTTTTTTTGAACGGAGCCAGTTTGCCATGTTTTTCTACCCAGCACTCTGCAATTCCACTGTTGGCTCCCTGGCATCTCCTCAAGTTATTTCCTTCTCCTGGTGCATTGATCCATCTTAACTCTTTTGTGAAGCTTACCTGTCAAGAAGCCACCCCTTCCCAGGCTGAAGGGAACTCTCCCCTCTGATAATTCAGAACATACATTAAGCCACACTCATCACTGGATACAGTTTTTAAACAGCCTTGGGATGTCTCCTGAGTCACTGCATGATTATCTCATTTTTCCCAACCAAAGTGTAGATTCCCCAAGGGGAGCAACTGTGTCTTTAACCTTTTTGTATTTCTCACAATCAGAGAGTGGGTGTCAAATTGTGGAAGTGGGGTGATGAGTCTTTGTTTTCAACGAGAACTGCAGAATTGCACTGAAAAAGCAATAAGATCGTTCGCTGGTCACCAGTATGTCTGGTTCTCCTCCTTCTGGGAATATGAGGAATTGCATTTCCCAGGCCCCTGGAAATTAGGTGTAACCATGTCATTCATTTTCCAAATGAAATGTGAGCAGAAATGGCATAATCACTTTCCAGAAAGCTTTGTTAGTGAATAATATACCCTTTTTGTCCCCCTTCCATGGTGACTGCAGCTAGATGTCAAGGTTCCAGGAGCCAGTGTGCTGGAGTGAGGGAGCGGGAGTGAGCCTCAACTGAACTGGGATGTACACGGAGCAGAAGTGAAAATTAAAACCACATTGCTGTATGGCATTAAGATTCAAGTTTTCTTTTAATAGACTTTATTTTTAGAACAGATTTACAGAAAAATTGAGAAGATAGTACCGAGTTCCCATATACCACTCAGCACACAGTTTCCCCTATTATTAACATCTCACAATAGTGTGGTACATTTGTTGTAATTACTGAACAAATATTGATACATTATTAACTAAAGTTCATAATTTAGTTATATTTTCTTAGTTTTTACGTAATATCCTTTTTCTGTTTCATAATCCCAACCAGGATACAACATATTTAGTTGTCAGGCCTCCTTTAGGCTCCTCTTGGCTATAACTATTTCTCAGAGTTTCCTTATTTTTGATGACTTCAATAATTTTGAGTATTGGCCAGGTGTACTATTGGATGCCCCTGTATTGAAATTTGTCTGATGTTTTTCTTATGATTATGCTGGAGTTGTATATTTTAGGGAGGAAGAGAGAAAGTACTATTTTTATTATATCAAGGATATATGTAGCCCACAGGATGTCACTATTGATGCTGACCTTGACCACCAGACTAAAGTAGTATATTTCAGGTTTCTCCACTGTAACGTTACTCTTCACTAAGCCCCTTTTCCATATTGTACTCTTTGGAAAGAAGTCACTGTGCATAGCCCACATTTACAGAGTGGGGACTTATGTTCCTTCTCCATAGGGTACACTATCTACACAAATTATTTGGAATTATTCTGCCCTGAGCAATTTGTCTCTTCTCCTCCATTCGTGTTTTTTTTTTCTTCAACTTATTTTAACTTCTGGGGTACATGTGCAGGATGTGCAGATTTATTACATAGGTAAACCCATGCTGTGGTGGCTTGCTGCACAGATCAACCCATCACCTAGGTATTAAGCCCAGCATCCATTAGCTATTCTTCCTGATTCTTTCCCTCCTCCTGCCCCCAGAACAGGCCTCAGTGTGTGTTGTTCCCCCAACATGTGTCCATGTGTTCTCATTGTTCAGCTCTCACTTATAAAAAGGAACATGTGGTATTTGGTTTTCCATTCCTGCATTAGTTTGCTGAGGATAACAGCTTCTAGCTCCAACCACATCCCTGAAAAGGACATGATCTCATTCCCCTTTATGGCTGCATAGTATTCCATGGTGTATATGGAACTTTCTTTATCCAGTCTATCATTGGTGGGTATTTGGGTTGATTCTATATCTTTGCTATTGTGAATAGTGCTACAGTGAACATACGCATGTATGTATCTTTAAGCAGAATGATTTATATTCCTTTTGGTATATACCTTGTAATTGGATTGCTGGGTCAAATGCTATTTCTGCCTCTAGGTCTTTAAGAAATCACCACACTGTCTTCCACAACGGCTGAACTAATTTACACTCCCCAAAACAGTGTAAAAACGTTCCTTTTTCTCCAACCTCACCAGCATCTGTTATTTCTTGACTTTTTAATAATTGCCATTCTGACTGGCATGAGATGGTATCTCACTGCGGTTTTGGTTTGCATTTCTCTAATGATCAGTGATGTTGAAATCTTTTTCATGTTTGTGGGCCACATGAATGTCTTTTTTTGAGTAGTGTCTGTTCATCCTCCATTTGTTAATTTAGTTAACTATGTCAGAATGGACTCATGAATATTTATTATATACTACAGGTTATAATCCAATATTATTTATTTTGTTGCTCAAATTTATTCTGCTTTGTGAATTGTATGCTCTTTCAGTTGGCTCTTTTGCTCCTTTGACAATTCCCTATTATTTTGTTTTTCTGAGCACTTTCTCACTTTCTGGAACTATAAGATATTCTAGGATTAGCTTGCATATTTCTTGCCCCAGTCCTAGAGTCATCTATTTCTCCAAAAAGCCCTAGTTCCTTTTTTTGGAGATTGGTATTAGAAACCAAAATCTGGGTGCTAGTATGTTCTTTGCTATTGGGGTGTCATTGGTTTTAGGTTCTCCCATTGGACACAATCAAGAAATGTATGTGTATATACTAATCCATGTATATACATATATCTAAAAAATATTTCTCTGTTCAACTATCTGTATCCATATCAATCTAAACATGAGTTCTTACTAATATAACTGCAATCTATTACCACATGGATCATTCTAGTCTCTGCCCCTTGCTTATTTGTAAATTCCCACTCCAACAGTACAGAACCTGGCTCCCACCATCTGCCGTTCATTTACTTAATTCTTCAAGTAAATATGTCAAGCAGTATCAGAATTAATAACCCATACTGCCATGGTAAGTAACTATCAACTAGAGTACAGTGCTTATGTGCAGTTCCTTTTGCCTTTAGTTTTATAGCCGCCACTAATTTCCAGTTACTTGGTCAGCCAGCCACCCCTTTCACTGAAGTTGTTTCATATATTTGTAATACACTTAAATCTCTTGTCATAGTCTGCATTCCTTCCAGGCATCTTGGAGTTGCTTTTAACCATACTGATACAACATTCTAATTCTCCTTTTTATTTGCCAGCTCATGACAGTGGTTATTGTATATATCCATTTTTTAAAAATAGACTTTAGACTTTGGTGAAAATGCATACTTTTCCTGCCTCACCTGTCACTCTTAGATCACAGGAAAATTCAAATTTACCCTAGGAATGTTCTCTGTGTTCAATATCAAATCTTATTACTCAAAAACATAAAGAAAGATATGGACTTTGAGCATTAATATCCATCACATCTAGATCATATGGCCCTTTTAAGGCCTGGGGACAGATACAATCCTGCCCTGATTATTTTTCCTTTGTCCACAAACCATTTTCCAAGATCACAGAAGAATTGGGTCTTGACCATATCCCTGAGGTTTGGGGATTAGCAAATTTTAACTCACTGGGGTAGTAAAGAGGTCAACAAGAGCCACTGACTGCCACATTGCTAGTCCTCCACTGTGTCTGTATTCTAACCTAGGCTGTTCCTCAGCTGCCAAGCCCTACTTTATGACCATGCTCTTAGGAAGTACAACTGCATTTTGAATCTTGTTTTTTCAGAAGAGAATCTTAATAGGATTCTGGCTGTGACCTTGGAAAATCCAAAATTTAAGGAGAGGTAGCTACAGAAAACTGGCTTCTCACATACTCAAGATAGATCCTAATTATATAAAAAATGAGTATGAATGATCACCAAGCTGTAGAGGTCTAGGTTATGCTGACAAATTTCAGAAGCAAAACTTCAAGAACATGATGTTGTATCTTGGCCTCAGCTCCTCAGAGCTAAACTTGACTTTCATTGTATGTGGATGCTGCATTCAGATATGGTGGTCTTGCCTGCTAGAGCTAATTTGAATGGCACACACATAGGGAAACTTCTGGCCTGATTGTTAAATGGTGGTACAGAATTATGTTTCTAAGTAGCAGCAAATCCCTTGTCAAAAAATTGCTTTAAAACCCCAGGGAGTTGTTAGCACTGAGTAATTAATAATAAGAAAATGTTCGCAGATTAACAGAAATACTAAGATTGCCTGACACAAAACAGGTAGAAGCACACACACACACAAAGGATTTGCACACTATAAAGAGGTAAGAACTCTTTCTCAAGGCACCTCTTCTTACTTAGAAGATACACATTTAGGAATATTTTTAAATTATTAGAAATTGTTTTATATTA
The DNA here is from genome assembly GCF_000001405.40 of Homo sapiens. Taxonomy (NCBI): domain Eukaryota; kingdom Metazoa; phylum Chordata; class Mammalia; order Primates; family Hominidae; genus Homo; species Homo sapiens. Next base: position 111,860,737 of record NC_000010.11, read on the forward strand.
TACTCAGTGCTCATAAACACTCACATTTAGGAAGCTTCAGTAAATATAAGCTGGTACTAAAATGGCCTAATTGGATTTGCTACGGTTGTTTTTTTTTGCTTATTTTTCAAACTTTGATTACTAAAAAATCACCACATGCCTGCATCCTCCAGTTAAGGAAACTATTACCCAGATCTCCAACCTGTGAGAGAAGTGTGTGCTCCCAACAGCCACATATTGGGAGGCTTCTAGTCTTACAAGGAGAATACCAGTGTGCACATGTCAAAGCACTCAGCTACACTGCAAGCAGGAGACAATACATCAAATACAATTTCGAAAATGTAATGTGTCAATTTAAAACTGCCGTTCACAGAGTTTTAAAACTGAAAACCAGTTTTCAGAGGAGCGGGTCAGAAGTGGTAAACAAATTCCCACAGCTAAGAAGTTGCCGATGTAAATTGCCTGAAATGAAAGATTTTTATTCATGAGCACAGAGGGCTCAAAAAAATTAATTTAGGGAATTTTTTTCACCTTCCCTAGAGTGTGCAATTCTTAAATAAATGATCAATAGCTGACTTGAGCCAAACAGAAGGACTTGTCCAGGATCAGGCAGGTAATTACTTACAGTGATATGCTGAAGAAGTTAGGCAGCCAGGGACACAGTGGCATTAATCATGGCTTTAAACCATTTCTCCCTTTCTAGTTGCATCATTTGAAAAATCACTGAACAACTTCCTCTACTAGGAAATTCATGGATCAGGGTATATGTTTCAGGTGCCTCCATTTTCAGAACCACTCCCAGGGCAGGCAGAAAGAATGACTAACGGGAAGCAATATCATTTTATGCCTTTAAGAGACACTGGAGTTACTGGTTAGCTGGGAGAGCCTGGGTGAATGGGGGGTTGGGAGAGGTGAATGAGACATGAGCAAATTGGGCCTGAAAATATCTGTTTAGCTCCCTGGTGGGAACTGAGCATAGAACATTTGCTTCATTTAGTCCTCAGAACAAAATGCCCACAGCTGATGCTAAAACTTTCTGCCTCTACAAGCCTGGCCAAGATGAAAAGGCTAATGTGGAATAAGGCTGGGACTTCAGCCCTGGAAGTTCCTTTTCCCTAAGTGTGATTAACTTACAGGCCTATGGAAGAAAATGGCAGCGTGGTACCACGAAGGAATGCTGACGTGCAGACATTGGCCCCACAAAATCCACTTTTAGAAATCTAGGAATCATTGCTCAAATATGTAAGCATAGCCATAGTTAAAACAGTAAGCAATCTTATGTCCATCACCAGGGAGACTGCCTAAATAAAAACCAAGTATTTTACAGCCATGAAAAATAAAACGGTAGATGTATGTGTGTTGCATGGAATAATTTGCAAGATAAATTATTAAGTGAAAAAAAAGCTAGAAAACAGCACATGATATGTAGTTTGTTTCCGTTTGTGGGAAAGATTATGTATTTATAAATATTTTATATATAACAATTATATAGACATAATTTCTGAAAATCAACTATTCACTTGGAGAAGTGGGGATGGGAGTCATAAAAATGGGGAGAGAGATTTACATTTTCTTTGTGTTCAACTTTTCTTCTTACTGCAAGCATGTATTTGTTAAAAAATTAAAATTCAGTTAATAAAAGGCCCCCCTTTTATAAAAGGAGGGCTTTAAAACCTCAGGGAGTTGTTAGCACTGAGTAATTAATAATGGAAATGTAGCCCTTAGTTCTAATTCCTCCAACATTGATGACCAATGAGAAATTTCTAAAATGGTCTCAAGGGGTCAGATGTGGGCTTTACTATTTACTAGTCATGTGGCCTTGGGGAAGCCCCTTCTGGACTTTTCTGTCAATGAAGAGGTTGGACCAGACTTGGGATATGCAAAGGAGATGTTGCATCTGCTGCCTTGGCTAAGGGTGTGGAAGAATAGTGAAGAAGCAGAGGAATTCAGATATCTCTGCTTCAAGAGTGGATTCAGCCTTTCCTAGTCTACATATATGGAGCATCCATGTAAGTCACAGTCAATACGAGGGTCCTGAGGTTAAAATATACTGAAAAATCTTATATCCTGTGGATATCATGAATGCACATCTGACATTGGTTACCATTGAGTGCTTATGATGTGTCAAGCACTGAACCAGCAACTTTATATGCAGCCTTTTATGAATTCTTAGAATAACTCCGTGAAGTAGGTACTATTATCTTTCCCATTTTACAGTTGAGGAGACATTAACAGCCTTTCTTGCCCTGACCTATATCCCATGGCAGGAAAGTTTTAAGTGAAGATGGAGAACAAACTCAAGAGCTTCTGACACTCAAGTCTGTATACTTGATGACTATGAGACAACTGTCTGGCACTGAAGAACAGAAGGTATGTTCCCATCTACTCAGTCTTGTGTAAGTCATTAGAAGGCTCACTGGCTGATAAGCATGGAAAGGCAGATGCTTGACCAGTGCTACTTATAGAGTGGTCTGGGGATGAGCAGAATCACCTAGGAGCTTGGGAGAAATTCAAAGCCAGAGGCCCTACCCCAAATAAACTCAATCAGCGTCTCTCGGGGTGAGCTCAGTTCTAGACCGGTGGTCCTCACCACTGCTGGAAAGTTCTTTAAAACTAGTGGTGCTCGGGGCCAGGCACAGTGGCTCACGCCTGTAATCCCAGCACTTTGGGAGGCCGAGGCGGGCGGATGACAAGGTCTGGAGATGGAGACCATCCTGGCTAACATGGTAAAACCCCGTCTCTACTAAAAATACAAAAAATTAGCTGGGCGTGGTAGCAGGTGCCTGTAGTCCCAGCTACTCGGGAGGCTGAGGCAGGAGAATGGTGTGAACCCAGGAGGCGGAGCTTGCAGTGAGCCGAGATCGTGTCATTGCACTCAAGCCTGGGTGACAGAGAGAGACTCCGTCCCAAAAAAAAAAAAAAAAAAAAAAAAAAAAAAAAAAAAAAAAACAAAACTAGTGGTGCTCAAGCTCCACCAAAGACCAGTTAACTTATAGGTGGAGCATGGGAGTGTATATTTGCAACAGCTGCCTAGATTATTCCAACATGCAAAATTGATAACCATTTTCCTAGACTGAAAACTTCAAAAACCAGTGAATCTCAACCTTTAGTTGGACATTTAAATCAGCTGGGGAGCATTAAAAAATACTGATGCATGGGCCCCCCAGATATTTTGTTTTAATTGCTCTGGGGAGTGGCATGAACTCCAGGATTTTTTTTTAACATTCCCAAGCAACTCGAACATACAACCAGTGAAGAACTACTGTAAGAGATATGGAAGGAAGGTCCCAACACATACCTGGTTTCTGATTCTACCTGGCCCATCCCCAGCTGGAAGCAGTAGATGCCTAAGGCTAATGGCAAAGTCATTCCAACGGATACCCTACCAGCACCTGGGCACCCTGAGAAAACTCCCCGGCCTTAGCACTCTAAGACACTTACTTATCAACATGTTTACCACAGTATAAACATTCTGCTGCAGCTTTGCTTCCTGTTGCCACCTTCAAACCCTCCAAATGGTAAAAATGAGTTACAGATACTGCAGTATAGGAGCTTGACACTTATTTAGCTGTAAGCTCAGAAATCTGAATAATCGTTCTCAGGGAACAGCTAAAATTGCAGCCTGTTGAGGAGAAGCTTAAAGGAAATAAACTCAGACCCCAAGTACTCCTGAGAAAATTACTCCTTTTGGGAGAAAAACAATGCATCATACCTTTTAATGAACAGGATATAGTCACTTGGGCCTCATGTTAATTTAGAGCTCATGCTAATCCCAGCTGAGAAGTCAAAATTTGCATTTATATAGAGGCTGAATACTCTTATCAAAAGGCATCTGTTCTAAAAATTTATTTTTCGATAGGAAATGTATTGAAGTGCGATGTCATCATTGGGCAAGGATGCCACACAAAGCATGTGCTTCTACATCAGACAGATTCAAGTTTGAGTCTAACCTCTACTTTTTACTAGTTGGGTAAATTATCCCATTTCTCTAAGGCACATCTTCCTCATAAAAGGGGATATTTTTTTCACAGGTTGATTGGTAATAATCAAATAATATCCATAAATCCCTTAACACAGTGATTCAAATGTTGTAGGCACCAAATTAATGTTTGCTTCCATCTCTTTCTCTACTTTGTCTTTTCAAACAGAGAGTGAAATTGCTATATTACCATTTATTAAAATCCATTCTGGTACCAGAAAGGGCAGCTATCGGATGTCACCTAGACCAACCAAAGCCAACATTCTATTCCTTGGGGACCTCGTAAATTCTCTAGGCTGTTTATTAAGCAGAGACTACCACGACTTACACTGGGGAGAATAAGCATCAGAAATTAAAAAGCAATGAGATATTGAAAGTCATCCAAGAAGAAAGAAAGAAGACTAAGGAATCAGAAGTAAAATATGAAATAGAATCATTTATCCATGAGCTTGACCGACCCAGGCATTCAGAAAAATATGCAGTTCAATGTTTCTTTCTCAGTCCCAGGTCCCCAGTCTTGGGCCATGCACTCTAATCTTTCCTGCCACCACCTCCCTTCTTACATTCTACTTTGTCAGAATATTCTCTCCTGAAGAAACTTACTTTTAGAAGTAACTAAAACCTCATATATAGTATTAGACACATGTTTGCTAATACTACAGTACTTTCCCCTCCTTAGTTTCAATTGTGCCCCAAATGAACCCTGCCAACTTCTAGCTTTCTTCTGGATAAGATGCAAAAATGGCCATGGTTTCTGGGAAAACGGTTCAGGTAATTTAGTGACCATAACTTTTCAACCAAACCTTTCTCTTTGGATCAAAACCCAAAGTATGCGTTGAAAGCCTTTGCAAAGCAGAATAAAGGTGTTTGGCTACAAGCAGAGGAGGAGTGAGGTTGGGTCGATGAAGGGGGAAACAAAACCAGTCCCATCAAGAAGGTTTCTATTGATTCAGAGCCGTGAATTCACCACCACCACCATGTCATTCAACCCTCTGCAGATCCTCACCTAACACCTTTGTCTACTCCCTTCTGCTCTAAAGGGATTCCTCCCTTGGCTGCTGTGATAGCACACATTCCTTGACACCCTCCTGAACATCTGGCACCTCTTTCCCAGTCTTTATCTCATGTTCTTCTTCCCCCTGGCCACCTCTTGTATGCTATGTTCTCTCAGAAAAAAGGAAGACAGCTAAAGGCATAAACTTAGACTCTCGTCCTCACCCATGATTTCAAGGACAGTATTTATAGGAGACTACTCTCAAAACCAGTCTCCATTCCATGATCCTCTCCCGAGCTCCATATCTCAATATCCAAAATGCCTGCCTGATAGAGATACCTTGATTTCCCACTGAAATCTGAATTCAACATGTCTAAAACTGAACCAGCATTTTCCCCAAAATTTGTTTTATCCTATAGTTTACATCTCAAGACACCTCCAGTAATACAGTCACATAAGTCAGAAAACATCTTTGACACTTTTTCCCATAGTAATGATCAATACGTCCTGATTACTTGATTTTTGTTTTCATTCATTCATTGGATAGCTCCAAAATCTGTCTGCTTCCTATTGGGGAGGCCAGATATCTAATATGGAAAATTGCTATTAATAAAATGCAGTTTTCATTTATATGTTCAATAAATATTTGTCAAAGTTTTATTTATTGGTACATATTGCCCTAGGTTTTCCAATAGAGAAGAAAACTAAACAGAAACTCTGTCTTTGGGAAGCTCATAGACTAAAGAAGGAGAGAAGAAGAAATTCATATATCAATGACTAAACTTCAAAGTTGACTATGATAACTGTAATACTTGCTAAACTAAAGTCAACCTTAAACATTTTTAGGCCAGGCATGGTGGTTCATGCCTGTGACCCCAGCACTTTGGGAGGCCGAGGCGGGTGGATCACCTGAGGTCAGGAGTTTGAGACCAGCCTGACCAACACGGAGAAGCCCCCATCTCTACTAAAAATACAAAATTAGCCTGGCGTGATGGCACCTGCCTGTAGTCTCAGCTACTCGGGAGGCTGAGGCAGGAGAATCGCTTGAACCTGGGAGGCAGAGGTTGCAGTGAGCCAAGATTGTGTCACTGCACTCCAGCCTGGGCAGCAAGAGTGAAACTCAGTCTTTAAAAAAAAAAAAAAAAAAAAATTTAGAAGACCTTATGGGGACATGGAGTTTGAGTAGGAAATATAAGGATTAAAAAGTATATCAGGAAGACACTTCTTCCAACATTACTGTGATTACTGGATAATATTTATGATTAAATACCTTACCACGTACAAGGCTCTGTGTTGTGTTCCACAGACTAGACATATTGTCTCCTTCAATCCTCACAAATGCCCAGTATGATGGAAGCTTCAATAAAAAGATTTCCATTTTGCAGATGAAGAGACTGAAGTTTATAGAGGTTGATTCGAGGCCACAGTTGCACAATTAGTAAATGGCAGGGGTTCAAACTCAGGTTCATTTTCTAATCACTACGCCACATGGAGAATGACATGTCTAGCAGAATATAAAATAAATTCCACAAGAACGCGCCAGAAGGCGGGGCTCGAGCTGCATTCTCCACTAAAAGTGTATGGCTTCTGAGCACTTTATGGCTACTCCAAACTGAGATGTGTGCCATAAATGTAAAATACAGTCCACATTTTTAAGACTTTGGATAAACAAAAGAATACAAAATATCTCAATAATTATTTTTATGTCGATTGTATATCGAAATAATATTTAACATATGTTGGGTTAATTAAAATTAGTGTTACCTGTTTCTTCTTACTTTTTTGTGTGACTGCTATAAAATGTTAAAATACATAGGTGGCACACAGTTGTGGCTTGTGTTATATTTTTATTAGACAGTGCTGGGTGAGAGGCATTTGAAGAGTGGTAAGATGACTATGAGTTGAACTATTTGGTAAAGTATCACAGAAAAATCATAACCTAAACTGAGTGTTCTGAAAGATGAGTAGGGGGGCAGTAGCAGATTTTTCAAGTGGAAGGAAGCTAAGGAGGAAAGACAACCTGATTTCTGTTGGGAAATAGAGTAGAGGTCAGCAAAAGCTAAACCACAGAGTTTGTCCATGGTATCTGGACATAAATTAAAACTCTCATTTAGACTGATGTGTATAAACAGGAAATAGCTTTTATCGAATCTTCATTAGTGGCCTATTGTAATTCTACGGCAAAAGGAAGTGAACTGTCAGTTTAAATAACTGTGCCATTTGGAGAATTGTTATTCTGTGAAATTATTAAATAAGGCAGGTCATCAGAAATTTGAGATTTCAATTTGCTCATTCTTGGAATTTTCAAGTTTATTATCTCTAACTTAAATGTAGCATGCTAACAAAGTAAAGATATTATATTTCAGATGAAAGACTGTAATTGTGACAATAGGTTCTAGACCTAAATAGTGGCCCTAAATTTGTGTTAAGCTTTCCCTATGTATAAAACATTCCTCTAAGTTTGTCTTCAGTAGAGATGTTATGTTTGTGTATAAATATGAAGTTGAGGTTGACACTCCATGGGAAAGTTTATGGGTTTTGGAGTCAAATACATCCAAGGTGCTATTCTGATTCTCCCACTTATTGGCTGTTTACTTAGGTGCTCGAAATTTGAATACCCTCATCTGTAAAATGGGGCCAAAAATATCTATCTACTCACAGAGAAGATATAAGGATTAAGTTTTTTAGAAAGGTAGAGAATTTGTAACCATCCAATGGGTTCACCTTGCCTGCTGCCTAGACAGCCAATTGATCAAGACAGAGGAATTGCAATGGCAAAAGAGTAATTCACGCAGAGCCAGCTGTGCGGGAGACTGACCAGAGTTTTATTATTACTCAAATCAGTCTCCCCAAGCATTCAGGGATGAGAGTTTTTATGGATAATTTGGCGGTTATGGACTCAGAAAGTGGGGAGTGCCGACTGGTCGGATTGAAGATGAAATCATAGGGAGTCAAATGAGTTCTTCTTGCTGACTTCTGTTATTGGGTGGGATCGCAGAACTGGTTGAGCTAGATTATCTGTCTGGGTGGTGTCATCTGCTGCATCAGGATGCAGGGTCTGCAAAATATCTCAATCACTGATTTTAGATTTTGCAAGAGTGATGTTATTCCCAGGAGCAATTTGAGGAGATTCAGACTCTTGCAGCCAGAGGCTGCATGGCCCCTAAACCGTAATTTCTAATCTTATAGCTAATTTGTTAGTCCTACAAAGGCGGACTGGTCCCCAGGCAAGAAGGGGTTTTTTGGGAAAGGGCTATTATCAATTTTGTTTCAGAGTTTAAACTATAAACTAAATTCCTTCCCAAGGCTAGTTAGGCCTACACCCAGGAATGAACAAAGAGTTTAGAGGTTAGAAGGAAGTTGGGATCAGTTAGATCTGATCTCTTTTACTGCCATAGTTTCCTCAGCTATGATTTTTGCAAGGGTGCTGATATAGTGTGGCCGTGTCCTCATTTAAATCTCAACTTCAGTTTTAACTCCCAGAATTACCATGTTTTGTGGGAGGGACCCAGGGGGAGGTTATTGAATCATGGGGGTTGGTCTTTTCCATGCTCTTCTCGTGAAACTGAATAAATCTCACAAGATCTGATGGGTTTATCAGAGGTTTCCACTTTTGCTTCTTCCTCATTCTCTCTTTGCCTGCTGCCATTCATGTAAGATGGGACTTGCTCCTTCTTGCCTTCCACCATGATTGTGAGGCTCTCCCAGCCACGTGAAACTGTCAGTCCAATTAAACCTCTTTTGTAAATTGCCCAGTCTCAGGTATGTCTTTATCAGCAGCATGAAAATGGACAAATACAGTAAACTGGTACCAGTCGAGTGAAGCGTTGCTGAAAAGATACATGAAAATGTAGAAGCGACTTTTGAACTTGGTAACAGGCAGGGGTTGGAACAGTTTGGAGGGCTCAGAAGAAGACAGAAAAATGTGGGCAAGTGTGGAACTTCCTAGAGACTTGTTGAATGGCTTTGCCCAAAATGCTGATACCGATATGGATAATAAAGTCTAGGCTGAGGTGGTCTCAGATGCAGATGAGGAACTTATTGGGAACTGAAGCAAAGGTGACTCGTTATGTTTTAGCAAAGAGACTAGTGGCATTTTGCTCCTGCCCTAGAGATTTATGGAACTTTGAACTTGGGAAAGATGATTTTGGGTATCTGGAGGAAGAAATTTCTAAACAGCAAAGCATTCAAGAGGTGACTTGGGTACTGTTAAAGGCATTCAGTTTTATAAGGAAAGCAGAGCATAAAAGTTTGGAAAATTTGCAGCCTAACTATGCAATAGAAAAGAAAAACCCATTTTTTCCGGGGAGAAATTCAAGCTGGCTGCAGAAATTTGCATAAGTAGGAAGGAGCCTAATGTTAATACCCAAGACCATGGGGAAAATGTTTCCAGGCCATGTCAGAGACCTTCATGGCAGTCCCTCCCATCATAGGCCCAGACGCCCAGGAGAAAAAAGTGGTTTCATATAAGATGGGACTTGCTCCTTCTTGCCTTCCACCATGATTGTGAGGCTCTCCCAGCCACGTGGAACTGTCAGTCCAATTAAACCTCAGCCCAGGGTTCCTATGCTGTGTGCAGCCTAGGGACTTGGTGCCCTGCGTCCCAGCCACTCAAGCCATGGCTGAAAGCGACCAATGTAGAGCTCGGGCTATGGCTTCAGAGTGTGGAAGCCCCAAGCCTTGGCAGCTTCCACGTGGTGTTGAGCCTGGAGGTACACAGAAGTCAAGAATTGGGGTTTGGGAACCTCCACCTAGATTTCAAAAGATGTATGGAAATGCCTGGATGCCCAGGCAAAAGTTTGCTGCAGGGGCGGGGCCCTCATGGAGAACCTCTGCTAGGGCAGAGTGGAAGGAAAATGTGGGGTCAGAGCCCCCACACAGAGTCCCTACTGGGGCACTACCTAGTGGAGCTGTGAGAAGAGGGCTACCACCTTCTAGACTGCAGAATGGTAGATCCACTGACAGCTTGCACTGTGCACCTGGAAAAGCTGCAGACACTCAACGCCAGCCCATGAAAGCATCTAGGAGGGAGGCTGTACCCTGCAAAGCTACAGGGGCAGAGCTGCCCAAGACCATGGGAACCCACCTCTTGCAACAATGTAACCTGGATGTGAGACCTGGGGTCAAAGGAGATCAATTTGGAGCTTTAAAATTTGACTGTCCCACTGGATTTCAGACTTGCGTGGGCCCTGTAACTCCTTTGTTTTGGCCAATTTCTCCCATTTGGAATGGCTGTGATTATGCAATACCTGTACCCCCATTGTATCTAGGAAGTAACTAGCTTGCTTTTTACAGGCTCATAGGTGGAAGAGACTTGCCTTGTCTCAGATGAGACTTTGGACTGTGGACTTTTGGGTTAATGCTGAAATGAGTTAAGACTTTTGGGGGACTGTTGGGAAGGCATGATTGGTTTTGAAATGTGAGGACATGAGATTTGGAGGGGCCAGGAGTGGAATCATATGGTTTGGCTGTGTCCCCATTCAAATCTCAACTTCAATTGTATCTCCCAGAATTCCCACTGTTGTGGAAGGGACCCAGGGGGAGGTGACTGAATCACGGAGGCTTCATGCTAGTCTCATGATAGTGAATAAGTCTCACGAGATCTGATGGGTTTACCAGAGATTTCTGCTTTTGCTTCTTCCTCATTCTCTCTTTGCTGCCATCCATGTAAGACAGGACTTGCTCCTCCTTGCTTTCTGCCATGATTGTGAGGCTCTCCCAGCCACGTGGAACTGTAAGTCCAATTAAACCTCTTTCTTTTGTAAATTGCCCAGTCTCAGGTATGTCTTTATCAGCAGCATGAAAATGGACTAACACAGGTGGTTTCAAGTGCATTCAGCATAGTGCCTGGGATGTAGTGGAAGCCCAGTGAATGGCAGACATACCTATTCATACCCACCCCCAAAGGTACCTGGTATAAGAACTTCAGAACTGATTTTTAATATAGTGACTGTGAATGCTGAATCAGCATGGGAAAGTATATGCAAACCTGTCCAAGTGGCTGCCTAAATTACCACAGCACTGCCCAAGACCACTCTGCCCTTGCTGTCTTTAGCAGTCTTCAGAATGCTCTGTTAATGGCAAATAAACTGAAAATAAATCATTGTGTAATAAACAACAACTTCCCTTTTCAAACAACATCCTTTCCTATAGCAAGATGTGAAAACAGTCTTTCAGAGCAGAAAGTATATCGCAAGAGACTGGGCACATGTTGATTTGGTCTCAAGCCTAACCTTACAAAGCAATTCAACACAGTCAGAAATTGGATCATTCTATCAACCATAATGATTTATTTGCTTTCAGCCCTTCGCACAAATGTAAATAATCAAGCCAATTCTGAATTAATAATGTAACCACTTCCGAAAGAGCAGACTACATGCTTTTATGGTACTGATTCCTAAGATACACAACAGGGTTTTGAACTGTGAACCTTGAGGGTAAGAATCATCTTATCCATACTTAAATTCCCCAGCAATGATTAGCTCTTGTGCCAACCAAGTATTTTGTTGAATAAATGAACCCATGAATTAATGATTTCATGAGAAAACTAACACGTTTTTACATGCTTTTATGGGGAATGAGTCCACCCTAGTAAAGAAGAGAACTGTCCAAGGAGAGAAGTGTCCATAGACCCCTGGAACAGTAATGTGTAAGCCTGGTTACAATTGGAAACCAAGAAGGAACATTTCAAATTTGCAGATATCCCCACCACTTGTTCTACCATTGTAAGATGGGGAGCAAACTATTTCTTCCAGACAGCTCAGATACTTAAACACACTTGGGACTCACTGTCTTAGGGAGAAGCAGTAGGGGAATAAAGACCTTAAGACCAGGTGAAACTCACTGAATCTCTAATCAGAATCCTGAAAATTGTTCATACTGAGAGTAGGATAGTTAATGGGCATGTCAGGAAAGCAGATTTCAAATATTTTGAAGCAGTGATAAATAACTAGTTCCAATCCCAAGAGAATGGGTGTGAGTTTTTGGAATTCATTAGTCATCATAGACTTCTCAGGTGGATGTGTTTAAAGCAATAAGGCAATGATGAATGACGTCAGTCGAGTCATTAGTGGGGCAGGCTTTTCTCTGGTGGTTTCTGGTGCCAAGTTAATAAATGGAAAGTGAAACTCATTGAGGTAACTAGAAGCCAGACTGGCAACTGAGATGATTCTTTACTGAATTTGCTTAACCAGGAAGGAAGGAAAGGTACCAGTATGAAAGGATACTGAAGAAGTGAGGAACTGTAGCCATCACGTCTCTATTGAGTAGCAGAGTAGAAATGTGAAAGGCTGAGTGTACATGTGTGGATGTATTATTTCACAAATCAAGAGGAAGGTGGGCAGTGAGACTTCACATGAACATCTCAAGCTCAGAAGCTAGTGTGGGATAGATGCATGGTTGCACCCTCCTCATCTTAAGATCCTAGGTGAATTTCAGCAGCCTTCCCCAACCTCGGGGCGCCAGTGTTGTCATGCTTAGCAGAAGCCCAGCCAATTTGAAAGAACGCAGATATAGGAGGAAAGAGATTCAATCTCCACTAGAGAAGCACTTATGCAGCTGATGTGACTTGACTCAGGGCTATAGGTGGGTCAGGTAATCCCATTAGCTCTCATCTCTAAAGACCTCATAGAAAATGAAAATGACAGCTTAGAAATAGCCAGAAGAGTTATCTGGTTGTTAACAATGATGTCTGTGGGGATATACAATCCAAAAAGAAACAGAAAGCGGCAGGCAGGATAGACAGGGTGGCAAGGGTGCTCAGTGGTAGTTGGCTAACATGGATTTAGTTGGACTTCATGGATTTTAATTCCTGTCCTGCCTTTTGCTGGCTGTATAAGCTTGGAAAAGTTAACTTTTTGAGCCTGTCTTTCATCTGAAAAAGGGAACAAAGAGTGTCTAACCCATAGGGCTGTCATGGAGGTTAAATGAAGTAATTATTGTAAATTTCATAGCTGAGTGACTCCCACCTCTTGGCTCAGATATATAATCACGGTCTGTTCAGCATCTGCTGGAGGCATACGTAAATGGCAAGATCTGTTTTGGATAGGTAAATAAACACACTTTGTCTAAAGGCTGAGTTACCACTTAAGACAGGGTGACAAAGAGTTTCATTCTCGCTCATTCTTTAAAGGCTGAAATGAAGAAGAACGCTGAAGAAGCTGACTTCATTGAGATCAGCTTTTTTGGCCTGAGTTTGGTCCCTCATGCTCCAGGATACATGCCATGTAGCCTTGAGAAGTCAGTCATCTGTGGCACCATAAATCCATATCTAATTTGCGTCAAATGTGTCAACGAGTTAACAAAAAGACAGCGAGGCTGGTACTTTTGGCACTCATATAGTCTCTCTGGCAGCTAATTTACAAGCTAAATTGAATCATCAGCACCCAATTAAATTTCTTCTGCATCATGGCACAAAATGCTCATTTTTATTTTCTTGATGAAGAAGGGGAAATGGGGAAGGTTGGGAGAGCCATCACATTCTCATCCATGTATTTCCTTGAATTAAGAGTATGTTTCACTCTTGAATTAATCTAGTTTCCCCAAGTCTAGTGAAGGAAATGTTACATTTCCTGGTTGCCTACATATTTACCCCTTTTGCTATAATCTTGGTTACTCATTAAACCCCCACTGACTCTATCAAGGTTAAAAAATTTATCTGCACAGATCCCAATATCCGCTGCAGTCCCCAAGCACCCATGAGCCAGCAGATTTTGCACAGACTGTCATCCAGAGAAGGGGTTTATCATTTCTGGATGGCACCTGCCAATGAAATATTAAAGGAAGTCTCTGTAGTCTCAACAACCACCACCAGAAATCATCTGTTCTTTCTAGCTGGGACAAAACAGAAAATTATTCCTCCTGGAAAGAAGGTTTCCAAGTAAGAAGCAATCCCACCCAGCTGCAACTTCCAAAGTCCTACTGTTGGCACCACTGGTCGCCTGTCTCAAACCTGCTTTGCACTCTCATGCTCTAGCTAGGCAATAAAGACAAGTTGAGAGCACCCTTGCCAATACCAGATCCAATTTCATTTCTGTCTGGATTCTAATTTGTAGCCACATTTCCTGTGTACAACCTCACTTTTGCCCTTTACATTTGATGTTCGAGATGACAACATTCCAGACATAAGTCTTTCCCTCAAAAACCATGACTCAAGGTTTTGCCTCCAGCTTTTCCAGTTTGGTCTACCTTAGGGATGTTTTCAGTGTGGTTTCTTCCAAATCAGACTCCGAGTCATGAATTTGGGTACAAGATCATCTCAGAAGGCACTGTAAGTGGAGGAAGAAAATCCAATAAGAAAGCATATGTTAATAAATAAGTTAGCGTTGTCAGCAGCTTGTAGTCAGTCCCATAGGCATCATCCAAGAGATGCTGTGGAGGCAACTTAGCGTTGTTTCACGAATGAGTGAAAAATCCGGGGAGTTGACCTACAAGCCCCCATCTCTCCTCAGTAGTTGCTTCTGCAGCATGAACCCCCCTGGGACATCCAGTCTGACCTATAGGCAGGATATACACCACGACCAGAGAAAACCTTCAGGCAGGGGAGCTCAGGAGGCCAGAGGATATCTGTATCGACCTTCCAGTGTGCTGAAGGGATAGAGCTCGGCACCAACAGTCTTCAGTAAGGACATTATCATCCCAGCTCAAAATGAACACAATCTGATTGGTCACCAGTTAATGGAGTCAACCAATCAGAGCTGGTGTCATGGTGGTTGGCATCCCCTTCCAAGAACACCTCAGACAAGAGTAACAGATGAATGTACTGAACTAAATTAACAGGTCACAAAACCACAGCTGCAGGTTAGAGTTTGTCTATTGTGGGGATGGAAAGTAATGGTTAGGGAACGCCCATCAAATGCTAAGCAATGCACAGAACTTTCCATAGGTTATTGTGTTTAATTTTCACAATGACATTGTAAAGTAGATCTTTGCATTCTCATTTTACAGAGGAAACTGTCAAAGTTTGGACAAGCTAACTATTTTACCAAAAGTTATCAGTAAGTCATGAAACTGGGGCTGTGACAAACACCCACAAAGCCCTCCCCTATTTGCAAGGCCACAGCCTTCTTGCTCCCGCTAAAGCAGGATTGGCCTACTGGGGAGATGGAACCAATAGTCTGCACTGTCTGCAGGGATCTGGGGGACTTTGGGTAAAACACCCCCACCCCCACCACTACCACCACACATGTGAAATATCTTCATTCCTGGACCGTAACCGATGTCTGAAATTCCACAGTCATCAATTCATTCTTCTGGGGCAAGCATAAAAAGACCACATAACCCTCTTGGGAGGTACAGCAAATAAATCCATTAGACTCTGAGCTAATCTAGGGCAAGGACCTTATGATTCATCATTTTGTCTTCAGTACCTAGCACAGAGCTTGGTACGTTAAAAGGTTCTTAGTATTTGCCTGTTGAATAAATGAATAAACCTTAGTGTAAATGAATTTAGGAAATATATAAAAGTAAAAAGTCTAAATATAAAGACAGAAAAGAATAAACGATGCAGGCAAAGAGAACCTGCAATTTTCCCTATTTCCCATTAATCCTATTAGTCTAGGAATCTGTATATAAACATTCTTTTTGTAATCAGCACAGCCAATATTTACAGGCTCCCTGCTACTTTCCCAAAGTCTTCCTGCATCTGTTTACCTGTTACGGCCTTAATAGGGTCCTAGATTCCCCTCTAAAGTCAATACTCAGAGGAAATCAACTTTATCTGCTTTCTATTCTACTGTATACTTATTTCCTGCTTAGCATTGGCCCTAACAGGATGAGATGAGCTATATGAGTGAGATTTTCAAAATTGGGTGGCTGATCTTCACATCTAAAGAAAGCTTGAGATGATCAGAAAATGTTCAGAATTGCTGTTTGCTAGAGAGGTCATAGGAATACACGACACTCAAGAAAGACAGACATTAAACCCTACCCTTTTCCACAAGATGAGTGTGTTCAAGAAAAAAAAAGAAACCCTACCTTTTAACTCTACCTTGGAGGAAAAGGGTTTCTGTGGTCTCTCTTAAATCTGGGTCAAAATATTCTCCTTCATTATAAACTTGAAGGCTATATTGCTTTTCTCTCCATAGAGTTTTGGGGGATTTTATAGGGATAACATGGGGACAATAAAACGTTCCAAGTTTCTACCTACCAGATGTATCTCTGTCTCTTTTAGATTACCCAAAAACGTCAGCAGGCCACAACTGCTAGTGGGTAAATTCTAAACTATGACACAGGTATCAGGTTATTTTATTCTAGTCAGAACAGTTCTATGATTCCTTCTAATTCTCAGACGTAGTATTATTTTACCAGCAGTAAAATAATTTTACAAATTAAACTGAACCAGCAAATGACAAAGAAGGGACTTAAGCCTTGAATTGTGACTCTGAATTTAGTGCTTTTCTACTACATCAAACTGAGGGCTGTATGGCAATGGGAGTGTTAAAGGATAATTATTTTTTAAATACAGCAAAATCATGACTCATGTACAAATATAAATGAACACATGTCAAAGATTTTATTTTTAGTCCAGTTAATAATGAGAGAAGCATTAAGATGTTATGCATAGTTCAAAAGAGAAGCCAAAGAACAGACATATATTACATATGTAGGCATTCAGAAACGTTAAATTTTCTAATACATGCAACACTGACCTCTCCACAAGAAGGAAATCAAATGCATCTTCACGGGACAAAACCATTTGCATTTCTATGATCAGGAATCATTTGCATCACTATCTGGTGTCTACAGGTTTACCTCTCTCTCTCTCTACAGAATTGCAAAACAGTGAAAGACAATAAAAGGCACAGGCCCCCGTATAATCAGATAACCCTGGAAGGATCCTCAAGACAACACACAGGTCTTATTAATATCAAAAGGACACCAAGTAACATTTTGCCCATTTCAATGTCTTTAAGAAATTTTCCTGGTGGTACTATGACATGGAATGAGATACCTCTGAGGGCTTAGTTAAAAGGACTATCTAGCTAGAAGCCCTTTTAGTCTCTTTCCCAACCTGTGCTATTCCCTACCCGAAAATGTGAGTCTGGATCCCATCCCGGGGGGCCCAGTTTAGGGAACTATGTCTAAATGGGAGAGAAGAGATGCTGTGGAGGCCTCTAGTAACCAAAGAAACCTCAAGCTGCAGCAGTTCTTTACATAGAAAAAGCACAATGATGAGCTTCCCGACACTCAAAAAGCTACTGCCAAGCACTAATCATTCAGATAGAAAGGGAATAAACCACCTCACCAGGAAGCTAGGCCAGCTGATGACCCACTCACAGAAGCAGTACTCAAAGGATGAAAACTAATTTAGAGCAATTTTTCAATGTGAGCCCAGAACTCTGTGCTTTCTTCCTTCCCTGTACATTTGGATGTATATATACAAATTAAACATTTACTGAACACTCAAGGTATTCATCAGTAGACCAGGCTCAGCAGAAGGTACGGAAGGAGGGGAAGGAATGTTTCAGATCTGGCTATATGTATAACACAGAGCAATATAACACATTGTTAATCTGAGGATGAGGTTGTATAAAGACATTTTAGGGGATGTTTAAAGGAGTGCAAGAGAAAGGAAACCTAAGATGGTATCAGGGAATACTGAAGGGTGGCAGGAGTAGACACTACAGCTGGGTATTGAAGGACAGGTAAGAGTTAGCCAGGTCAAGGAGGCTGGGGAAACAGCATTCCCCTGCTAGAGAACTGCTATCATAGCTGCAAATAACTTTGAGTTAGAGCATAGCAAACTCCAATTAATCTCCTTTGGTCTTGCTGCTTTGGCTTAGAAAAACTAGCCTGATTTTCTTTTCTTCTTAAGTCTTTATATAGACAATTACCTACATCTTGTCCAGTGTAGAAGTGGCAGCGATTAAATGTATCAAACTAGTTAGCATGAGGATTTATGCCACCAGCATGAATGCAGTTGCATGATGGACAGAAGAGGATACTGGAAAAGAATTCGTCCTAAATCTGAAAGTCAGAGAGGTTTCCAGGTCAACGTAGCAGAAGCAGAGAGTGAGATTATTATAGTGAATACTATAATAGACGAGACAATATGTAAAACCTTTGATCTAGGGTCTGGCACTTCCTAAGCTACAATAATTGCTAGCTATGAGGCGCTCTAACTTGCTGCCTCTCTGAGTGCTTAATTTAGTAGCAAGAAGAGAATCCTGGAAACTTATCTGATTTTATTCAGTACCTATTGGAGCAATCACAACATTTGATATCAATCATTTATTTTGTAGATCTTATCCACAATGTACAATCAAAAAAAGAAAAAGAAAAAGAAAAAATCATTAGTAAGACAAAGTCTTCCCTTATTTTCATCCATCCAGAAGGTCACAAGTCAATGTTGTTCATTTCTATATTGTAAAACCATTGTAGATGCCTCCACTAAAGAGATGCTTTTAAAAACAGCAGCTCTGTGAATCTCATGATGCTGCATAAAGGACTTTTATGAGGCTATTGGCTTTCTGCAAAAAATCACCTTAGTTATATATCCTAAATGTAATTGTAAACACTCAGTGAGGCTATTTAACCTTAATGACACTTGAGCAGGGGAAAACAGAAAGAATGATGACCTCCCTAAAGAAAAAGTGAAAGGTATGAAAATGGGAAAGGCTTTGTCTGCTAATTAAACAGAATGGATGTACTGGTCTACATGGAGGCAGAATCCTCTGATGGTTAAAAATACAGGTTTAGGGATCTATGCTAGCTCACTGACCTCAGATCATAGCCTTTTTTTCTTTTTTTTTAGATCTAACCTCTTTAAGGCAACTTTTTTCTTCTCTATGGCATGAGGATCATGTTAAACAAAGTTCAGGCTTAATTCACTTAAATGAGTGCCTAAATGGAAAGTGTTTGGCACACAGGTGATCAATAAATTGTAACTATTGTCACCATGAACATCATATATGTACACTATGTGCCAGGATCAGAGACTCTTTGCCATGTCCCTTCACAGGCATTAAAAGTCACTGAGCTTCCTTCTGGAGAATTCCTGCAATCAGAAGGATCTCAGTGAAAGCTGAGATACTGTGGCAGATAATCCAGGCCTCTAAGTGTAAACTACAAAGGAAGATTTCCCTCCAGACTTGCATATAGTTACTTTGTTTTGGGTCTATACACAAAAGGATTTTATAAATAAGATCTGTGGCTGGAGGGCTCAAGCATGAATGAGGGAGCAGAGAGTTCCCTCCAAAAATGTCTTTTCCACACTTACTTTCAGTACTCTATCTGGACTGCAGTTTGGAAATTTCCATTATGCCACCTGGAATCTGTTTTGCCACAGAGATATTAAAAAAAAAAAAAACAAAAAGCAGCGTAGCTTATTTGAGATGATGGTTTACAATCTATTGTTTTTAATTAGACAGGCTGTGGAGGAGAGTACAACAACAAAAAAGCACTCATCAAAAACAAAGTTCAGACACCCTCTTCCAGGACATGTGTTGACTCATACAGACACACACACTCCCCTCACCCGCAGACTGTGACATCAATGCTTGACATTACACCCAGGATGACAGTTGTGAAGTGTGTGTGTGTGTGTGTGTGTGTGTGTCTATGTATGTCTTTTTTTTTTTTTTAACAATGATGCAGATAAGTTAGTGAAAGTTTGGGGAAAAAATAAAAATATGAGATAATCCTTACTTCATCTATATTTCAAAGTAAATCCCCAAGCAAAATGAGTCAGTTCTTCAAAGATGTTTTCCATCAAAGGGCATTCTGAGATTCCAAGACAAGTTTTACTGTGGAATCCCAAATAGATCAATTAACCACCTTACTAGAACTTTGTAGTCAGCTCTCCTCCAATAATTGGGGGTTTATGCCCCTGCTAATGAACTTGGAAAATCTGCTTTAGACTCCCAAGCATCCTCAAGCTGGCAATGCTCTTAGAATTTACCTGTCCAATTCCCTCATTTTACAGATGTGGGGCAAAACTCTTATATCAGTCAGGATGTTTGTGACAGAAACCCCCAGCTCAGACTGGCTTACAGCAGAAAGGACATCTTTATCAAGTAACTGAAAAGAACTGGGTAGTAGTTTTCAACATAGCTTGATCAAAGTAGTTAAACAGTATCATCTGAATAGTGCTTTCAACCCTTCATTCTATTTGTGTCTGTGTTGCCTTAGTTTTACAGATTCTCTCTCTGAAGAAACAAAAAGGGCTGGCACGACCTCCTGCTTATGTCCAGAAAGCCTTGAACTTCAAGAGAAAGAAGGCCCCAGAGTTCCAACAAATACCCTAGAGCTTACATTCATTGGTTAACCTGGGTCATATATCCATGTGCTCATGAACATGGGATGGATGGAACATGCTGGTGGGCAGACCTCAGGCACACCCCAAAATCATGGGCCAGAGAGGAGGCAGCAGCCACCAAGGAAAACGAGGCCACTCTCACCATAGAAAAGGGATGAGTGGATATTGAGACAAAATCAATAGGTGTTTATTGCAGTCATTGAGAAGGGCTGTGGCTTACCCCAAAATCACACACAATTAATGGAACACAGATCTCTTGCACTATGCATATTGACTTTTGACCCACAAGAGTCAAACCATTATTCAGAGGAACCAGAAAATTGCTTCTTTTTAATTCAGCAGATTCATTCATATCAGGCTACCTCAATAGTATGTAGCTACATATTATCAATTGACAAAATATATAATGACAAATGCTACTATGAATTCAGCAATACCTTTCAAATAATTACAAATGACAAAGGCATCTACGCAAATTTGAAAAATTATCTTTCAAGTATGCGCCAGGACACCTACTTGCACAGTTTACAGACAATTCTTTGTGCCCACATGGATTTTCAGCACCTCGCTGGGTTCACTGCTTAGAGAATCATTGTTTTAATCCAAGTCCTAACCTTGCCAGAAAAGAAAGCAATGTCTTTGGTAAAACTCAAGCAACAATCATTCCGAGGGACCACTCTGTGGTGGAGATAGAATTTGAGATGAATGCTGTGGGAAGAGTACGATCACAACATTGACAAGGGGCAGGCTTCCTTCTATTTGGCGGAAATAACAGGAAACCAGCCTGGGTGGTATAGAGAAGTGGGCTGGGGACGGTAGTAGGCTGGATTTTGGGGAGTCAGGAAATTGGCTTCTGACCTCTGTTTCCATATATCTACTGAGGTGTGTCTCTTACGCAGGATTCAATGTGAGGACGGTTAAGATCTTTAAATTGGCAGATAAAAGGATGAACATAGAGATAACCTATAAAGAAATAAAATCCTTGGCTCTCTTAGGAAACCAGATTCCCCCCCTGAATCTCGTGTTTGTAGAATTACAACAAATTCATTTCAGAGTATCAGTCTTTGAAGATTAGCCATTTTAGGCTCCACCGAATCTCCTTCAGGTGATGAGCAGAGCATCAACTTCCTTGTTACCATTGTACATAGAAAATAAAGTGGAGACTGAGTGGGAAATGCTGGCCAGGGCAGCAGAAGCTCATAGCCCTACTCTTGTTCTGATGAGGCAACTTTCTTGGTACTATATCATCAAGTCAACAAGAATTGGTTACTTCATAAGGTTGCCAAATTGTCAAAATTATTCCAGTCCTCAAGGCCCCTACCAGATGTTGGTATCTCGACTGTCAGCCATATGACCAATATCAGCCCTGCTGCTCTTCTGCCTTCTACTCTTTGTATTGGCTATTTGAATGGTCCACCACTGGACCATGCACTCGACTGAAAGAAAAGCCTATGCTCTTTATTATAGGGAAAGTTGGGGGAAAGAAAATGAAGTAAATTCAGAAGTGATGAAGCCAGAGACCACTTTAGATACATTCTCATTTGTTTTCTTAATTAACTATCCCAAATACACTGCATGATAGGTATAATTGCCTTCATCTGAAGAGTAAGGCTCAGAGAGACCAAGTGACCTACTTAAGAACACACAGGCCAGGCGCAGTGGCTAACGCCTATGATCCCAGCTCTTTGGGAGGTCAAGGTGGGAGGATCACTTGGGTCCAGGAGTTCAAGACCAGCCTGGCCAGCACGGTGAAACCCCATCTCTACTAAAAATACAAAAATTAGCCAAGTGTGATGGGGCACACCTGTAATCCCAGCTACATGGGAGGCTGAAGCACAAGAGTCACTTGAACCCAGGAGCAGAGGTTGCAGTGAGCCAAGATTGCACCACTGCACTTCACCCTGAGCAACAGTGAGACTCTGTCTCAAAAAAAAAAAAAAAAGAACACAGAGCTTGTAGTTGCAGAGTTGATAGTCAAGATCCTATATCCAAAGTCCATGAACTTTCTAATATATTATACAGCTTTGACAAATCACGACATGGGGTAGCAGGGGTGGCAGAATGGCTTTTTCTATTATTACTCCATGACTATTAAAGTGAGAAATACAGGGATTTTGAATAATTAGGGAGCCTTACTCTGCACACCTCTCACTCCTTAGACTTAGATCTAATTGTAGATGATCATTTTTCAACCCATATCCATCCAATTTAGTTTGAGCTCACCTATGGATCTCCTATAATATGCTAGCCACTAAGGTACTTGATCTCATTTAATTCTCACAAAAACTAAATGAAGTAGGTACCAATTTTCCTTATTTAATATATGGAAAAAATCCAAGGAACAAATAAATGAAGTAACATCCCTAAGGTCACACAACAAGAAGAGTGACAAGGTGGGATTCCATTCCATGTCTGATTCTAGGCCCTAGCTCTCCCCTGAATGTCGGATGCCCAGCCATGCCTAGTATCTCATGGCACCACCAGCCATTTTGCTCCCAAACCTCCTGCCACAGAGTTTCATTAGGCTCTGGAAGGTCACTGCCAACCAAGCATTCAAAAGCCTCCTTCCTCAATTATCAATTTTCCCAAACAAATGGAAACTTCAGGAGGGTCCCTCTCTGTTCAAGGTACTTGCTGCCAAAGAACAATTGGGTATTCCCTATAAAGCCAAATGGCACTGAAGTTGCCAGCTGTCACTAAACATCAAATTCCTTCTTGGGGTCCTAGCACCCTGACAAGCTGATTTTCAGGTGTTTAAATCAAGTGTCGAAAGATTTCATAATTAACCCCCCTCTGCTTTAGCAGCATCATTTCTCTTCCTGCTGAAGCTGCCTCTGCTCCACTTCATCTGCTCAAAGTATTCCCAAGCCCTAGGCCTTAAGTCCAGGGAACCCACATTCATTTAGCATGGCCAGTGTAAGCACGGTCAAGGAGATCAATCAGCTGCAACAGACATATGTGTTGTGCATTTCCAAGCCAAAAGTATGTTTGACTATAGACTGGTTTATTTGCCATGGAACTATGAACCTCTATTATTGTTTGTTTGTTTCTTGGTTTGTTTTTTAAAGCAGAGAAGGTAAAATTAAGCCTTATAGTCCCAAATATCTCTGTTCCCTTTTTTAGGCTGAAAGAGTTAGAAATTATTTCTAACTTCTCCAATTAGTTTCGAAGGCTTATATTCCCAGCTAAGCTTATAACCTTAAAAACTGCATTTATGGAGTTCTCTAGGCTGTAAAGCAACCCTGTATGAAAGCTTAAGGTAAAACAACCAGTAATAATTAGGATGTAAAGCAGAAAAATGATTTTCTTTGCTGCTCATTTAGTACTCTTTCCTTTGGGTAACACTGCCCTTCGAGTATTCTCCAGAGAGTTTGGAAGTTCACCAACTGAAGCTCAGAAAGTTGGTGCTCAAGAACTGAAAAAAAGAAATACACCTCCAAAGCAAATTCTGACCTCCTGAAAATCTAGTCCAACCTCCCTGGCCAATCTTACAATTTTAACAAACATTTACAGATTGTCTATCATGTGCTAGCACCAGATGCTATAAACACAGAGTTTAACAAAACAGTCTTTGGGGACTCACAAACCCAAATTGTTGAGGGCTCAACAATTATCTCTAGAAATCCTTGCTGTTAGAGAAGGCTGTACAATTCCTGTAGAAACTCGAAGGAGGAATAAGGGGGAAGAGAGGGAAGAATGGCACTCCAGATAAAGGAAAAGTATGTACAGAAAGTATATATATTGGGGGAACTATATGTGATATAGTTGGAATGAAGAGTAATGATAAAAGGAAGCTAGAAATGTAAGCAGAGACAAGATCCTGAAGAATCTTGAACATAATATTTGAACATTATTCTGAAGGCTTTGGAAACCAATTCCAATCATTGAAGAAATTTGAAATTATTTAAATTGTATTTTAGAAAAGTCCTTTTGATGGCAGTGGGAAAAACGGATTGGGCAAGAATAAAGATGGGAAAACCATTTAGGAAGTTATTAAAACCATCCAGAGTTTTTAAAATGTGTTTTTAAAACTGTTATTCTAAAGTATTCAGAAGGGAAGACAGAAAGGCAAGAGTGAGTTGAGAGATGTTTAGGAGAATGAATGAAGAGGAGTTCATGCTAGATTAAAAGTAGGGGTTGAAAAGACCAAAGGTCAATAAATGACTCCTGAGTTTCTGATTTTGGTGTTTGGAAAGTCATGCATTCTCTAGGGAAGATCAGACTGAAGAGGAAGGTGAAGAGTAGACTTTTAGAAATGTCAAGTCCATGAATCATCAGATGAAGATGTTTAAAAGATTTATGGATGTATATGTCTGGATTCCTAGATGGAGCTAAGGATTAGAAGATCCACAGGATGTGGTGAGTAGTTGAAGCCAAAGGCAAAGATGGCACTATCCACTGAACGAGTATAGAAATAAACAGATTAAACCCTAAGATACAGCAGCACCCAGGTCAAGCAGATGTCCTGGAAATCAAGGACAGAGAAAGGTCAGAAAGTAGGAAAGGTCAATATTGAGCTAAATTTGATCATTTCATTTAGCACCAGAAAGTGACCATTAAACTTTAACCAGTTCCTATGAAACTGAGTCTAGTTAAATGTGGGAAGAAACAGTAGAAATGGCTTTTTTCCTTCTTGGAAGTAGATTATTTCTTTTTGTAAAGGCAAAAGGTTTCAATTGTTTATACACAAAAATATCTATCCATTTTTCACTATGTAAGTCTTGGAGTCAGAGGTGGAGAACAAGCCTCTTTGTTCTAAAATCATCCTTTTGTTTCCATAAGCTCCAATTTTTTTTTCATAATTAACTCTCTCCTAGATGCCTGTATTAGTTTGTTTTGTGTTGCCATAACAGAACAACTGAGGCTGGGTAATTTCTTTATAGAAGAGAGGCTTATTTGGCTCATGATTCTGATGGCTGAAAGTTCAAGATTGGGCAGTTGCATTTGGTGAGGGCCTCAGGATGCTTCAACTCATGGTGGAAAGTAAAAGGGGAGTGGAAAGTGAAACAGGAGTGGGAAGTTACAAAGAGAACACGCAACAGAGGAAGCGAGGGACAGAGACCAAGAAAATCAGATTATTTCACAAACCGTTCTCACAGCGCCTTAATTTCACAAGAGTGAGAACTCACTCACTCCATTCTCAAGACTTGAGTGAGAATTCACCTATCCCTGGAGGAGGGTATTAATCTATTAATGACGGATCCACCTGCTCTTTCACAACACAAACACCTCCTACTAGGCCCCACTTCCAACACAGCCACACTGGGGATCAAATTTCAACATGAGTTTTGGGAGGACAAACCACATCCAAACCATAGCCATGCCCAATTACGAATGCCACTTTAAAAAATAGTACCCAAATACAAATTGATGCTACACGTAGTCCTATCTAGAGAGACTGTTGTGTTCAAAGAAACACAATCTAAGAATCATAAACATTTTAAAAGTAACAATCATTAAAGAACGTGCAAAGGAATCACGTTCATAATACTCCTCTTTAATGCTTTTCCAACCCTCTTTCTTTCTTGCTCCACCAGCTGCTTCAGGGCCTCCCACTCTTAGCTCCACACTTTTTCCCTGTACCTGCAAAGCCCTAGAATCCCTGCTCTCCTCCTCCCTGACTCTTTGGGCTGGGAACTAGCTGCAGAGGCAGTGCCCCCATCGAGACAGAGAGAGAGAGAGACAGACAGACAGACAGAGAGACTAAACAAAGATTAGCCTCTCTCAAAGTCAGTAGTGAGGAGTTCAGAAAAGACTGTGAAATGCAAGTTTTAATAAATTTTGTCCCAGCTACACATATAGGACTTTGAACTTTTTAAAACACACTTGTGTTGTATTCTCAGATGATCTTCAAACCACCACCTCTTTGAGATTGATGGAGCTGATATCAGTGTCTCCATTTCTAGACAAGAAATCTGGCATTGTAAGTGCCCTTCATGCATAAACAAGGGAACTTAAATCCATGGAATAAGAGTATGGGGAGAAATGAACTCCACATTCTTAAATTTTTATTACCGCTGTAGCCTAGGCGTCTCCTGTAGATTCAGCCAGTGATCTTAAATATCATTTTTATGCTTTAATTTTTTACGCCTACAATTTTTGTTGAAATAACACCATTTTGTGCCTCTGCCTGACAGTTTGCCCCAACCCATCATCTGCCAGATGCACAAATTTAGAAAGAAATGCTAGAAAGCTAGCCCCCTTCTCTTCAAAGATAATTAAGTATGAATTATTCAGAAATCCCATATTACTGAGCAGTATTTGGGAGGCAATTTTGCTCAGCCCCTATTTTTCCTCATGGTACCAAACAAAACTCAATCTTCTACAGGATATGTTATTTCATCTGTTCTTAACTTTCAAACTGTCTTAATTGAAAGGCAAATCAAAATTGTTTTTTTATTTTCGTGGAAGAAAATCATATATCTTCATCAGATACTAGTTTCTATGTTATTGTGCTTAGATGAGCAGAGGGAATAAACAACAGTTTTAGTAACAGCAGTTCTTCACATGGCATTTGGGCAGCAATCTGGATCCTTTTTCTGACAGTTAAGTCAGGGACCTGAGTTGGAAATAAGTGTTGAAACTTTATTTATTTTGCACATCTTGGGGGAATATCCCTGTAAAATTAAAAATACTATTGGCACCAGGTGCATGCTCAGAATGTAAGTGGTGCTGTTAATTTACTCTAATTAATTAATTACAGTAATGCCTCGGTCTACAGGGAATTTCCCTAGAAAGAGATATGGAATGGTAAAAATTCCTCCAAAGCTGCTTCATCACTCACACTGGAGGAAGTTCACCTTAGAATGGCTGTTCTAGGTAGTCTAGAGCAATGGGGGAAGGAGGACATCACAAGAAACCCCCAGGAGGAGCTGGTATTCCAGCGGTTCTCAGAATCTGTCAGAACACCAGGAGGGTTTGTTAAAACCTACAGTGCCAGGCCCTGCCCCCAGAGCTTCTGGTTCCATTCTAACAGGTTCCTAGGTGACACTACTACTGCTGGTCCAGGCACCACATTTTAAGAAGTGCGGTCCTAGACAATTAGCCCACAGAGTAGGGGGCAGACTGGGCTCTGGAATCGGGCAGACTGGGCTCTGGAATCAGCCAGACCAGCTAAGTGTGAAACCCCGTGGAGGTACCTTAAGCACTCAAGGAGACAGGCTGCTCATCTGCAAATGGGGATAAGAGCAAGTCTGTGGAGCTGAGAAGTGCTGCTGTGAAAAGGACTACAGAGTCTGACACAGTGTGTGATGCTTAGCAGGCTCCAGACAGATGTGACTGGCATCAGCAGCAGGCACAAAACTCCATCTTCTCTATGCACTCAGGCAAAATCTTCATCCATGTAAAACAAGGAAAGGATACAAATGTGCCCTGAATGTTCTTTCTGTGCCTCTTTGGGTCCACTTTTCTTTCAAAAGCTCTGTTTAAAAGTAAAGACTGGCACCCTATGCAGGACAAAATACAACATAGAATAATAATGACAGTAACTGACAGCTAAGGAGCACTTCTGAGATGCCAGGTGTGTCATACCATGAGACTTACCATGTTGACATTTAAACTTCATAACAACCATATAAGATAAAAAGCATCATCATTCCTAGAACAGGGTGACTGAGGGGAAGCTGAGTCTCAAATAGGGTAACTTGCCCGGCATCAACCCAGCAGTGAGTGGTAGAACTGGGATTCAAACTGAGATTGGTGTAACTCCAGAAATCCGGTGCTAGCCATTCTGCTGTGGGCTTACTTAGGAGGTGACAAGGATGGTATTTTGCATTTGCTTAGTGCTTTCCAGCTTCCACAATACGCTCATCTCTATCACCATGACTGTGCTCTTACCACCCTAAAGAAGAGAAACTAGGTAAGCATTACTCTGTCCGCTTTACAGACTCAGGGAGATAATAAGTAGCACAACTGTGACTCAGCTACAGATTCTGAGGCTCGCTGCACTATCTTTTCATTACCTCGAGACCAGCCTCGCTGGCATGATTAAATTTGAATCTGCCTTCTCAGGAAGGAGCAGCCAACTGGCCATGAGCGTAGGCAGTAAATGCTGGTCCCTGTTTTCATGCAGTGAAAGACTGGAGATTCAGCATTAGCAGTGGAGTACATGGGAAATAACAGCCACTGGGTTTGATAGAAATCAAACTTACACGACTTACTTGCTGCGTACCCGTGAACAAATCATTTAACATCTCTGAGTAACCTTATAAAAGCCTCAGCAGCTTTATGAGTATCCGTGGGAGTAACAAAAGATGGAAGAGGAAAATAAATGTCAGAAAAGAGAATGAGATTAAACCCCATTAACCCTCCACCCCACTCATACCAGTTCAAGGATTTACTCACACCTATTAGAACAGAGGGCGGTATTCTCTAATCCCACACACCAGAGGTAGATTAAAAAGTGACACAGCTTGGAAATAGGAATAGTTATTAAGAGAAAGGACAGAAATTTTATACTGGCACTCTGATATGGGGCTTTACATAAATTTGCATATTTAATTTTATCCTTCTTATAGCACCTTAGGAGCAATAGGAATGTTTCTGTTTTACAGGTCAGCTTAGAGAAGTCCAGTTACCCAGCAGGACATATGCAGAGCTGTTCACTTCCTACAGCCTCTTTCCATGAGAAACCCCATTAAGGTTAGGACACAAATGAGCCTGGCACCCATTCCTACCAGTGATGTGTGTAGCAGGCTCCCTGCTCATTATCTACATCTCTTCCAAATTCCATGTTGCATAAGATCACCTTGAGAGCTTGAAACCATCCAAGTGAGAGTATTTACACTAGAGAAATCAGCAGATGCTACAAAGGAGGGCTTCCTCTCCCCTCTTTCCTTCCCCACCCCTAGCCAGTTTATCAACACACGACTGCTCCCATCCTCCCTCTTATATTTCTTTTCAGTTAAGGTTTGTCTCCTATCAGGCAATAGAGAGGTTGCAAGGGACCACAACACTTCCTAAAATTTCTGGGAAGAAAACCAAAGTTGCCTTGATCAAATATTGTGTTGACTTCAAGAAAGACTTTGTTCCTTTCCCTTCTTTACCCAGTGGATGGTGTTCATCATCCCCAGTGCGCAAGCAGAGCATGAGTGTTCTGGATACATGGTTCCATTTGTTCAGTTTGACCTCTTCAGATTCCACAATGAGAGCGGAATTATAGCCTTAGGACCAAATAAAGTGAGTCCATGAAAACGTCAAGCAGCAAAAACAAATAAAGGAATCTTCACTTACATCTCCAGGATATTACTTTCCAGGGGTTGGAAAGAGCCCTCCTCCCTGGGCTCATGAAAACAAAGGGATCTTGTCAATATTGATCCTGAAAGGCTTTACGTTTCCTTCTGTGGTCTGAAGCAGAAAAATTCCTGGGAGGTCTATCCCTCTCTGTCTCCTTAGGATTCCATTTCCCTCTCAGTAGGATGATTAAACTAATCAAAAGAGGCCTTTACTTTCTCTTGCCTTTAAATTGTCCTTCATACTCCACATACTGCCTGGGGCTCATTAGGGGCTTCCTGTCTGATGCTTCTTTCTCAGCCCTTCACAGATATTGGGATACAAGAAATGCTGCTAATACTCTCTTTTGCATTCCATAAGAGCGAAAAATAACTTTTGTTTGTGTTTCTTTTCACAAAAATATAAACATAGGAGTTTAAAAACAAAAATCTGCCTCTTGTCTACGTTCAGGTAGAAAGCATCTTATTCTAGTAGATATTTCTATATTTTTATTCCTCTCCTGTTATTCTTTTCAGGGATTACTTGATATTTCTACTCACTAATAAGCTCTAGACTCACTTTGTGGTCTTAAAATTCTACTCTCCTGCTGGAGAGAGAACCGGTTTATAGCTCAGTGTCAGACTGGCCCAGTTGGCTGCATCTCCAAGAAGTAGAGAAGAAACCTGAAAATAAGACTGAGCCTAAGGAACAAAAGCCACCCAGAATCTCAGAGCTCCTGGGAGAAGACTAGAGCTCTTCAACCATGTCATGAACCCACACCTAAAAAAGGAGCTTAACTACTTCCTTTTTTAGTAAAACATAAATAAGAGAGATTCACTTAGGAAATAGAACCTGACTTTAATTCCCTAGTCTAATCTGTCAATGAAAGTTTGCTTTTTATTGTGGAAATAAACTTTTTTTTTGGATGGGAGTGCATATTTATCTCATCAACATAGAAGTTAGGAGAACATAGAAGATAAAGTTAAAAATGAGAAGAAATTAGCCCTCAAAAACCAAATAAAAAAAAAAAAAACAGAATCATTGAGGATGGAGCCCAGGCATCTTGCCAACTTGCACCATTTTTTAATGGTACGATTTTTTAAGTTTACCAACTCTATCAGTCAGGGTTTTCCAGAGAAGCAGAACTGCATCCATCCATCCATCCACCCATCCATCCATCCATCCAACCATCCATCTATATATCTATCTATCGAGAGAAATTTTAAGGAATTGGCTCATGTGATTGTGGGTGCTGGCAAGTCTGAAATCTGCAGAGTAGGCTGGCAGGCTGCAAATTCAGGTAAGAGTTAATGCTGCAGTCTTGAGTCCAAAATCTAAAGGGCAGGTCAGCAGGCTGCAAATTCAGGCAGGATTTCTATGTTACAATCCAGAAGCAGAATTCCTTCTTCTCCAAGAAGCCTTGGTTTTCTGCTTCTAAGGCTTTCAGCTGAAGTCCTTTATCTTCCCCACAGTGATTGCCTCTGACCATTTGTACACCCTGGAATCCTCCATCCATCCTCACTGACTTCAGAAAAGCTTACATCCTATCTTATTGAGCAGATGGAGGCAAAAAACAGAGAGCTGTTTCCACTCCTAACATTTTCAATATCTATCAGTGTGAGCCATTTATTGGGTGTTCTACATTACAATTATGTCCAGAGAAGGAATTGGATGGGGTACTGTTCCTGCTGCTGTGATCATGGTGTTCCCAATCAGTTACCCCAGTCAAGTCAGCCACCTCTTCTCATCTATGGATATGTTGCCAGAGAGGGGTATGGACTGTCTCCACTTTATGGAGTTAAACCACATATGGTTTAGCAATATGTGAATCATAGTTTCCCAAATAAGTGATTCCAGAGAAAGGTTTTTCACAAATCCAAATTTATAGTTCCTAGTGGATTGAGAACTATCATTCTAAATAGTCTCTGAACCTCAGTCATTCATTCTCATCTAGAAAGATGCTGCTGAATCTCCCAATTTGGGGTGGCAGGAAATGTCTTGGATTGTCTGTCATTATAACTATGGCAATAGATGCAATAGAAAAAGAATCAAAGCTTTAAATAGATGCACATGAAAAAATAACTATAAGGGAATACTACAAACAAGTCTTCATAAATTTTATAACATAGACAAAATGGTTTGAATTTGTCAAAAAACACAAACTACCACCACCTACTCAATTTGAAATGAATAATTTCATTATTCCTAAAACTATTTTTAAAAACCTTGGATTCATAATTTAAAAACTCCCAAAAAGACACCTCTAAAACCAGATGGTTTTGCTGGAGAATACTATCCAACATTAAAGAAAAATTAACACTAAATCTACACTATTTCTTTCAGATAACAAGAGGATGGAATACTTCCCAGTTCATTTTTTAAAGCTAGTATTACCCTGACACCAAAAACAGGTAAAGATAGCATAAGAGCATGAAAAGAGAAAACTACAAATATTTTTCATAAACACAGATTAAAAAATTCATAACAAAATATTAGCAAATAAAATCTACCAGTATCTATAAAGAAGCATACACTTTGACCAAGTTGGAAGTATTTCAGGCATGCAATATCCAACAATCAATCAGTGTAATTCACCATATTAACAGACTATGGGAAAAAAATCATATGATCACATCAATTTATGTAGAAAAATATTTAATAAAATTTAATACCCCTTTTATTAGTCTGTTCTCACACGGCTAATAATGACATACCCAAGACTGGGTAACGTACAAATAAAAAGAGGTTTAATGGACCACAGTTCCATGTGATTGGGGAAGCCTCACAATCATGGCGGAATGTGAAATGCACGTCTTACATTGCAGCAAGCAAGAGAGAAAATGAGAACTAAGTGAAAGGGATTTCCCCTTATAAAACCATCAGATGTCGTGAGACTTATTCAATACCATGAGAACAGTATGGGAGAAACTGCCCTCATGATTCAGTTATCTCCCACCAGGTCCCTCCCACAACATGTGGGAATTACAGAAGCTACAATTCAAGATGAGATTTGGGTGGGGACACAGCCAAACCATATCAGATGGGGAATGAGAAATTGCCTTGAGTATAAGTGCAGACTCTTATTGTGGGACCCTACCATACTTATTCAATACCCCACCATACTTATTCAATATCATGAGAACAGTATGGGAGAAACTGCACCCATGATTCAATTATCTCCCACCAGGTCCCTCCTACAACATGTGGGTATTATGGGAACTACAATTCAAGATGATATTTGGATGGGGACACAGCCAAACCATATTACCCCTTCATCATAAAAACTCTTAGAAAAATGGCAATAAAGGGTATGATATAACTCTATGTATATATTGGTTTTCATCAATGGTTCCTGGCTTATAACTCCCACAACACTTGTTACAGTTTTTTGTTATAATATTGGAGAACTTTAGGCCTCAGAAGCAGGTCTCAGGAAACAAAGTCTCCCCTTCTCTGACCTTATTCTGCCCTCCTTTCACTTGCTTTGGATAGGGGAACACACGGTGGTATCGGGAGGGTGGTGTATCCAAGGAGGGATGGAAGCTCCACGTCCCTTCCCCATTCCTCACACCATGTGCATCCCTTCATCTGCATCTTTTGTAATATTCTTTATAATGAACCAGTCAATGTAAGTGTTTCACTCAGTTCTGTGAGCCAGAACTCCAGCAAATTAATCAAACCAAAAGCAGGGGTCATGGGAACCCAAATTTGAAGCCAGCTGGTCAGAAGTTCCAAAGGCCTGAGACTGAGGCCTCAAAAGGGGAGGGGTGGCAATCTTAGGGACCAGGCCTTTAACCTGTGGGATCCAATACTATCTCCAGGCAGATAGCATCAGAATTGAATTGCAGGACACTCAGTTGGTCTCTGCTACAGAATTTTCGTCTATTCTAGAGTTTTTCCCAAACAGAAGGGATCTTCCTCCACTTGATAAAGAACATGTACCAAAAAATTATAGCCATTATACTTAATGGTGAAAAACTAAATGCTTTTCAGCAAAGAAAGGATATCTGCTTCTACTATTCTTATTCAACATAGTGCTTGAAGTTCCATTCCATGCAATAAAACAACAAAACAAAATAGAAGAGAAATTCTATTTCCTGAGACCTGCTTCTGAGGTGTAAAGCTCTCCCACAAAAGACTGCAGTAAGTGTTATGGGAGTTAGGGGCCAGGAATCATAGCTGAAAAATAATATATAAATAGTCACAATATCACACCCCTGTATTTCCATTTTGGTAAGAGTTTTTATATACATAAAACTTTTTTATACACATAAAAATTTTATATAGATACAGATTAGACAGAAAAAAAATAAAAACTGGCCCTATTTGGTTGTAACATAATTTTCTCCCTAGAAAGTCCCTAAAAACTAATAAGTGAGTTCAGCAAGATCAAGATCACAGGACGCAAGATAAACATACGAATATTGATTGTATTGCCATATGCTGGAAATGAACACATAAACACCATATTTTATATCAAAATCATTTAATTGCTCAAAAAAATGAAATAGGTGTAAATCTAACATAACATGTACAGGACTTGTAGGCCAAAAGCTATACAACACTGATGATGACAGAAAAAAAAAATCAAAATCACTAAAGGGACATACTATGATTACAGCCTGAAAGACACAACATGGTAAAAAATTCAATTCTTTTCAAATTGACTTACAGATTTAATTTCTGTCATAATGGGACCAGAGTTGGTTCCTTCCAGTGGATTCATGGTCTCACTGACTTCAAGAATGGAGCTGCGGACCTTCACAGTGAATCTTATAGCTCTTAAAGATGGCACAGACCCAAAGAGTGAGCAGCAGCAAGATTTATTGTGAAGAGTGAAAGAACAAAGCTTCCATTGCGTGGAAGGGGACCCAAGTGGGTTGCCGCTGCTGATTGGGGTGGCCAGCTTTTATTTCCTTATTCATCCCCACCCATGTCCTGCTGATTCGTCCATTTTACAGAGTGCTGATTGGTCCATTTTACAGAGTGCTGATTGGTCCATTTTACAAACCTCTTGTAATCAGAAAAGTTCTCCAAGTCCCCACTCGACCCAGGAAGTCCAGCTGGCTTCACCTCTCAATAATCCAAGCATAATTTTAGTACATGTAGATAAGATGGTTACAAAATTTATAAGGACAAAGGAACTATAATGGCTAAAATAATTTTGAAAAAAGAATGTGGGAGGAAAAATGTCTACTCAATTCCAAGTCTTATTATATAGTTACATTAATCAAGACTACATGGTATTGGCAGAGGACTAGACACATAGAGAATAAATAGACGCACACAAATATGACTGATTGGTTTTTTTTTTTTTTTTTTTTGAGAAAGGTACAAAAATGTCCTCAGTAGAAGAAAGACAACCTTTTGGACAAATGCTGCTGGAGCAACTGGATATACACAGTCAAAAACAAAAAACTCAACCTAAGTCAAAATGGATCATGAGCTTAAAGGTTTAAAAAAAAAAAGTCTTCAAGATCTAGGGCTAGATACAGAGTTCTTAGACTTGACACCAAAAGAATGACCCAAAAAAGAACTAATAAATCAGGCTTCATCAAAACCAAATACTTTTGCCCCATGAAAGACCTTGTTAATGAGATAATGAAAAGATAAGCTATAGAGGGGGAGAAAATATTTGCTAATGGCATATCCTCCAAAGGACCAGTATCTAGAATATGTAAAGAATTCTCAGAATTCAACAATTAAATATCAAATAATCCAGTTACAAAGTGGGCAAAAGACAAGAAGAACCATTTCATTAAAAATATAAAATGGCAAGTAAGCACAAGAAAGACATTTGTTAGCCATTAGAGAAATGCAAATTAAAATCACGAGCTATCACTACACACCTATCAGAATGGCTAAAATAAAAAATAGTGAAAACCACCAAAAGTTGGCAAGCATGAGGAAAAACTGAATCTCTCATACATTTCTGGTGGGAGTATTTGGCAGTATCTCATAATACTAAATTTGCAACTACTATAAGGCCCAGAAATCGTACTCCTGGGCTTTTATCCCACAGAAATGAAGATATGTTTACATAAAAAAACCTGTACATGAATGTTTGTAGCAGATTTATATGGTTAAAAATTAGAAACAACCTAATGTCTCTCAAATGGTGAATGGTTAAATCATACTATGTGGTACATCTATACTATGGAATACTAGTCAGCAACAAAAAGCAAACAATTATTAATACTGGAAACCACATATATTATGCTGAATAAAAAAAGAAGCCAATCCACGAATGTTACATACCACATGATTCATTTATATAACATTTTTTAAATGTTAAAATTATAGAAATGGAAAATGCATTAAACATTGACAGTGTAGGGTGCAGGAGGAAAGTGCAATGTGGATAAAAACGGGTGGCACGAGGGGCCCTTGGGTGATAGAGATGTTCAGCATGTTGATGGTATCGTATGTCATATGTCATATGTCAAAATCCTGACTGTGATATTGAACTACAGTTTTGCAACATGTTACCATTGGGAAAACTGGGCAAAGGGTACAGGGGATCTCTCAATGTTAATTTTAACAACCATCCAAATCTACAATTATCTCAAAATAAAAAGTTTAATTTTAAAAAGTTGGAAAAGAAAATCAGGCTTCTGATCAACATGGAACACCAGGGAACATGTTTAGCCTCTTTCCTGAACAACTAAAAACAGAATAGAGAAAATGAAAGAATATTAACAACTACAGATTTTAAAACATTGGACATTAGGCAATGACGAAAATGACTGCTGCATGAGAAAAATGATTACTGCATGAGGAGAATGAATGATGTGAGCTCCATGACGAAGAGAGAGTTGCCCTAGAATAGAGAGAGTTTCTGGGCCACAGAACAGAGAGGAAAGTCTGCTAGAGCTTGTGGTCTCCCTGAGTTTAGGAAATGGTACTGGAAGTCGGAGGTTTGGGGGAACTGAGGCAACTAGAGGTTACAGACTAAAGAAGAGGAAGCTGCAAAGACAGAGAACTCTAGAAACTTAAAAAAGGTTTATCCTTTAGTAACCAGCTGGCTACTTTACCAGTACATGAGCGTGAGAAGAAAGTAACCGAAGCTGAGAAAAGAACCACTCAAAATGAAGAGAGTAGTTCCTGTCCCCCCAGTTAAAATGGAATGCCTCATAATTCATAAGGCATGAGCTAGAGTACTAAAAAGGATTGCCTTATTATTAGGAGAAAATCAGCTTAACAGCAAGACATGAGAGGATCAAACTGTTTTCTAGTAACTTACCTATGTCTTAAGAGAAATCTCAAAAACAGTCATATGGACAACAACAACAAAAAAAAATACTCAGCATCCAAAAGGGAAAATTTACAGTGCTTGGCACCCAATCAGTTTACTAGACCCGCAAAGAGGCAGGAAGATATGACCCACTATGGGGAGAAAAGTTAATCAATTAAAGCCTCATGAGGAAAAAAAAAACCAATCATTGGAAACTAACTAGAAATGACACCCATGATAGAATTCATAGACAAAAACAAAAAAGTTACTGTAACTGTATACCATATGTTTAAGATATCAGAGGAAAGGTTGGACATGATAAATGAAGAGATAAAAGATATAAAAAAGTCCTAAATTTGACTTCCAGAGATCAAAACTACAATGTCTGAGATTTAAAACATATACATATATGCTAGATGAAACTAAAGGTAGATTAGACATTACAGAAAAAAGATTATTGAACTTGAAAGCAAAACAATATTCCAAAAGTAATAAAAAGACAAAAAAGGTAAAAGAAATGAACATAGCATCAGTGAGTTGTGTAACATGTTCAAGTAGCCTAATATATGTGTAGCAACTGGAATCCCTAAAAGAATAAGACAGAAAACATGCCTCAAGAAATAATGACCTGAAAATGTCCAAATTTGATGAAAATTATAAACTCCACAGATTCAAGAATCTCAACAGACGCCAAAACACAAGAAATGTGAAGAAAACTACACTAAAGCACGTTATAATGAAATTGTTTAAAGATAGTGATAGAGAAAAATACTTAACACAGCCAGAGCCAAGGAAAATTATTTCTAGAGGAGGAATGGGACTAGTTCTCAGGGGCTGAAAGATATTGGAGCTGGAACTACCTGCTGTTGCTAGAGCTATACTAACAGCAAACGGAAGAAACGTGAAGTAAGTCCCTTCTCCCCTGCTCCCACCTTCCAACGTCCTTGTAAATTAGACTCCCTCTGATTGATAAACCCAAGGAAGTAAGGAGGGTGGAGAAATCCAGTTTTCAAAGTTCTAGCCTGGAACAACAGAGCAGAATATACAAGGATTAATTTGAAGTTGAGACAGTAGGTAAATACACAGCAGAGTTATGAAGAGATAATTTCTAAATGGAATTCCTAAGTGGAATAGTAAAGAAAAATGATTAAAAAGTTATTTTATCTCATGAGTGGTCTATAAAATGCAAATTGAAATAAACAACAATACCATTTTTTTCACATCAACTTAGAACCATAAAGAGGAGTGATAGTATCCAGTACTGGATAGGGAGGGAGCAAATGGTCCTCTCTTAGATGGTTAATGCATGCGTAGGCTGCTCCAGTCCTTCGGAGATGTTTGCAGTATTTATCAAAGTTTAAAATAGGCAAACAGTTCAACTTAATATTTCTACTTTGGCTATTTTTAAGATTGGAAAACACTGGCCATGTGCACAAAATACTGGCCATGTATTGTTTGTAATAATAAAAAAATAGGAACAATAACAATAGAAATCCTAAACACTCCCTTGCTGAAGAAGAATACAACTCCAAACCATTAACTTCACCTCAAACCATTAATAGTGATTACTTTGGGAGGGAAATAGGATTGAGAGGGTAGAGTAGGGGGAAAGGAAGCTTTTGCTTCTTAATCTATGTACACATCTGTATTAGTGCTCTCCAAAGAAACAGAGCCAATAGGAGATACATATATACAGCCTTCATAATTGAGTGAGCCAATTCCCATAATATATTTCTCTCTCTCCATACACATATACATATATATATATATACACGCATATTTATATACATATATCTCTTTATACACACACACACACACACACACAAGAAAAGGAACAAGAACAAGGAAGCAATTTTAGCTCAAGACACTCTTCTGAAATCAAACATTCAGCCCCCAAATTGTATTTCTCAGAAAGATATAAATGAATAGAGATGTTTCAACCTAAGACACTGCTGAAGTGGAAATCTTGTTCACTACCATGGCTACCAGAATGTGTTTAAGAAGGAACAGAAAGAATATGACAGAAAGAGATAGTGAATACTGACTTTTATTTCTGTCCAATGATACACCAAGGTCAGAGCCTGTAATATGAACCCCCAGCTCTGTTCTTCTCCCAGATTCTCACCATTGTTATCTCCAATCTGTTTCTGTTCCAGTCTCCTATTCCTGTTCACACAGAAGCAATGCAGAATAGAGAAAAAAGGGCTTAACTAGAAGTGAGGAAATATACTGCCAGCCCTGGACTTGTCACATTTAGCAGTGTGACTTTGGGTACTTCACTTAACCTTTCTGTTTGTTTCCTCATTTATAAAATAGGAATTATTGCTATCTTTCCAAATCACCAAGTGTTATATTTCTATCATAGCCACAAAGTTTAAAATATTACTGCATTTATCATTGTCACTACTTCCTTTCCAGGTTCTTAGGATCAGAAGTTACTCCTCATTTGACTTAACTACATGCACATCAAGGCTGATCATCCAAGGAAGAGCTAAAGTTATGACCTGACAGTAGTTCTCACTGTTTGGAAAATTGTTATGGGTTATGCAAACTACTCATATGTATTATTCCAATATAAAATTTCTAATCCTTCAAGGCCAAATGTCTTGTTGCAAAACATTTCTCATAAGGAGGTTTTGCTGACATTAGAATGTCTCAAAAGTAAGATTCCCGAATGTGTTCTTCACAAATTAATCTCATAAAATGCTTGAGGTCAGGGGAAGATAATCCTGATTAAGTTTGGGAATAACATACACCAATCCCCTCCCTTTGAGAGTCACAGTAAATATTAGCAAATCAAAAATTCTGGGAAGCAGACACTTGTGTAACTTTAATCCAAAACTGCCCAAATTTCTTTGACTAAGGAAGAAATTTCATGTGTGTCTTTGCATTGGTTCCCGGAGAACAGGACTTAAGATAAGGATTTGGATGTAAATCATTTATTAAGGATAGAGAAGGAAGCCAATATAAGGTATGATGACAAACAAGTTACTTCTGTGGGTTCTTCTAGGGACATTTTCATGACAGTATCAAACATACCTCAAATTGTCCCACTGAAGGAACAAAGAAGCTGGGGATTTGATCTGCCAGCTCCCTTCCATCCTTAAAGGCTTATCCCAGGGCTACCAGCTCTTCAGCATCTCCAGTATGTCCTGTATATGGACTGAGCTCCCTAGAGAACTCTCCTCCTTGGGTAGAGAGTTCCAGGAGCTTGCAGAGGGAAGCCATCAGAGTTCCTGAAACAGTAGATGCCAAGAAGAGACAGGTGGCCACTACCGGCATCTGCTACATTAGTGACAAAGTGACATCTGCACCATGTGGAATTAAAATCTCATTCAACACTTGGAGAATGGTAAATTCTGATGACAGCAGTCTTGAGGGTTCTTTTTACTGTTAGGTTGAGAGTTAAGGAGAAAAAAACTGATACAAGAAGGAATAGGGGGCACCCAAAATGACTGTGCTAACCCTGCTAGTCTTCTGACCTCTGATGGCATCTGTTCTCATTTCTATGCTGCCTTATTGCAATGACTATGACATGTTTTAGAGAGATGGGGTTTCACTATGTTGCCCAGGCTGAAGTGCAGTGGCTATTCACAGGTGCAATCATAGTGCACTGCAGCCTTGAACTCTTAGGCTCAGGCAAATGCTTGGGCTGCTTCAGCCTCCTGAGTAGCTGGGACTGCAGGTGTGTACCACTGTGCCTGGCTATGACTTATTAATTGTCTGTTTTCCTCATTTAGCAAACATTTGAGGGGTATCTACTACTTGCCATGTTCCAGGCTAGTAACAATGTTCAGTAAGCCAAGGTCCTACTATACAATAAATAAAGCAAAAAAAAAAAAAAAAAAAGGAAGAAGCATTTTTTTTTTAGCCAAGGGTAAAAGAAATAAATCCATCAAGACCCTCATCTCACATTTTTGATATTTAGGTCTTCAAAGGAAAAGCCAGTGTAGAAAATAACAGCATTCGGCCGGGCGCGGTGGCTCACGCCTGTAATCCCAGCACTTTGGGAGGCCGAGGTGGGCAGATCATGAGGTCAGGAGATCGAGACCATCCTGGCTAACACAGTGAAACCCTGTCTCTACTAAAAATACAAAAAATTAGCCGGGGGTGGTGGTGGGCGCCTGTAATCCCAGCTACTCGGGAGGCTGAGGCAGGAGAATGGCGTGAACCCTGAAGGCAGAGCTTGCAGTGAGCCGAGATCGCGCTACTGCACTCCAGCCTGGGCAACAGAGCAAGACTCCGCCTCAAAAAAAAAAAAAAAGAAAAGAAAAGAAAATAACAGCATTCATCTATCCATAGGAACCATCACTTATCAAGTTGATTCTACTGTGTATATGCAGAAACTTAAAAATACCTGTGATATTTAAGCCTGCAAAACAACCCATAAGGAAGAAGGTGGGGCAGACAGGGGCAGATATAACCCTAACATTAGAATGTTACTGCCAGGTTTAATGTCTAGCAACAATTTGCTAACACAGATCAATAGTGACTAAGTTGTTTACTATCCACCTAAATCATGGTGACAATTGAGTTATGGAAATAATACACGGAGAGTTTTCCTTAGAAACTGATGAGAATCAACAGCTCTTCAGATACCTTAAGTATTTCTCCATATACAGGTGTTTCTGACATAATTAAATGCTAAGCTCTGGCCAGGTTAAGAAGCATAGCTCGACTTGAAATTAGGCAAGCTTAATAAGACAGTATGACCACTTTGTATCCACATACTCAGTTAATTCTGTCATTTATTCAGAAAATATCTGAGTATTTCCTATGTGTCAACACAAGACAAAGTCCCTGCCCTCAAAGAGCTTATGTTCTTTTGAAAGTAACAAAGAGGAAACTGACACTTGGTATATTAAATGCCACAAGAAAAGAATTTCTGGATTGGCTGGGAGAAAACACAGGGCAGGCATACATCTAAGTACTTAGGGGTGAACAATGATTTCCAAGAGGAGATATTAGGGTGAGTCTATATTTCAAAGTATCAAAAG
The DNA here is from genome assembly GCF_000001405.40 of Homo sapiens. Taxonomy (NCBI): domain Eukaryota; kingdom Metazoa; phylum Chordata; class Mammalia; order Primates; family Hominidae; genus Homo; species Homo sapiens. The sequence goes on from NC_000010.11 coordinate 111,902,386, forward strand.
ATGAGAGTGAAAGTGGCTCAAATAGAGGCCTTATTCAGCTGAGAACTTCAAGGAGTATCTGAGACCAGATACTCTCCAAGTAAAGCAGGTTTGGAGTTTTAAAGGGTGAGTGGAAGAGAGGGCTATGTGTCTGTGTAACTGGGCTCAGGTAGCAGGTTTTTTTCTTTAGCCGCTGCAAAACTTCCAGTTAAAACAGTGAGAGATTGTTCTATTCTTTTTGCCTCATTCTCGGGATAGGTGGCACAATGCTGTTCTGATAACTGTCAGAAAACTACTTTTGTTTTGTTTTTTTGAGACAGAGTTTCACTATTGTTGCCCAGGCTGGAGTGCAGTGGTGTGATCTCGGCTCACTGCAACCTCTGCCTCCCAGGTTCAAGCAATTCTCCTGCCTCAGCTTGCCAAGTAGCTGGGATTACAGGCATACACCACCACGCTCGGCTAATTTTGTATTTTTAGTAGAGACAGGGTTTCTCCATGTTGGTCAGGCTGGTCTCGAACTCCTGGCCCCCAGTGATCTACCCACCTTGGCCTCCCAAAGTGTTGAGATTACAGACGTGAGCCACTGCGCCCAGCCAGAAAATTATTTTCAAGAACTGTTTTAGCAGGCCTTACAGTTTTCAACTAATTAAGGTTCAAGGTTCAGCAGCAGGGAATATAACAATAACAACAACAACGGTGGAAACGGAAAAATTAGAGAAGGCAAGGGTGAAAGGCAAGGGAAGCTGGAGACCCTCTGTCATGTCTGTTTTAGTCCTTTGCAAAAGGACTTTTAGTAATATCACGGACCTCATTTTATCCCATCTTTAAAGAACAAAACTTCAAGAGACCATTTATACACATAAAATGCTTAATTAGGTCTCCCAAGGATTTTAGCTAGGTGGTTTCAAGTAATCCCTCCAACCAATGAATACTCAGGAAGACCATGCCTATTAATATTAATACTAAAAGCAAGTGGCACATAGAAGTGATTATTTGTAAAAATACTGTGTATTTCTGAACATTTATTAACTAACTCTTTTTATGGAGTAGAAAAATACATTTACTTATGGTGTGGGATGGTACCCAGTTTTATAATTTCCAGAACTAATTCTTGGTGCTAGGTCTTGGTGACCTCCTACATGTTGAAATGCATGGTTTGGTCAGGAGCCAGCGCTTGCAATGTGGCAACAATGTTGCCAACCTGGACCAAATGGAGTTTGAAGATAAAGAGTAAGGGATAAGGGGCATGTGTACATGTTCTTGGGGTGCATCTTGAAGTAGTTTACTTTTGTTCTTGTAGACATGGTGGGATCATCCAGGTGGATGACAGTGATTCTTTGCATCTTTATCCTGTTCACCATCCCAGACTTGATCTGCCCCTGGGATGAGCACTGCTAGTGAAGGAGCATTTCTTGTTGATATAAGTACCCTTGATGTCCTTCCTATATGCTTAAAGTATGCTATTAATAAAGTGAGGCTTCTCTTCGCCAGTTTCTCAGACCCTCTTCTTGTCTTGGAACATAGTAGACTGTCTTTGGTTAGGACACGCAGTCTAAATATTTGCCAGCTCTCTGGCCCCAGGGTTATCACAAGACAGGGTTATCACAATTTAAGTTTTATAAAATTAAGCTTTAGATTCCTAAAATGCAATGCATTAAACATGAATTCCCTATTTTGAAGGTTTTAAATTGTACCAGAATAGCTTGTGGTGCTGAGGTGGTCAAAGGGGCAAACTTTTAACAGAATCGGCTTTATTTTATTTTTATTTTTTGCAACAGGGCCATGCTCTGTCACCCAGGCAGGAGTGCGGTGGCACAATCACAGCTCACTGCAGTCTCAACTCCCCAGGCTCAGGGGATCCTCCCACCTCAGCCTCCTGAGTAGCTGGGACTACAGGCACATGCCACCATGCCTGGCTTATTTTTTGTATTATTTGTAGAGATTGGGTTTCACCATGTTGTCCAGATTGGCCTCAAACTCCTGGACTCAAGTGATCCACCCACCTTGGCGTCCCAAAGTGCTGGGATTACAGGCATGAGCCACTGCACCTGGTCAAGAATCGGCTTTCTTATCCAATATTTACATTTGGTCTTGGACAGCTACTCTTAAAGTTTTTTGTCTTTGAACTCTTTAAGTGTTGTATGTGAAACAAAATTGGTAAATTTGTTTACAATAAAATATGAATAAATACAAACATGTATTAATATTTGATTAATAACTCTTAAGATCTGCCAGAATGAGCATAGTAGGCACCAGGTTCTGCCTGCTGAGATAAAAGACTTGAGAGTGGTTTGATATTCTCAGAAGAAAGGCACAGTCTGTACTCAAGCTGTTGTTTCTAACGCCGTGAATAATCATAAATATAACTACACATACTAATGACGAAAATTTTTGAGAAGCAAAGAAGATAGTAAAAAATTTTCACAATTTAATTGCTTTGCCAATGCTAACATTTGTGTTAGAAAAGGTTAGGGACCAACGTATTTTCTTAAGAAAATCACTCTGCCCTTCTGCAAAGGGCCTCAGTTTCTTCATCCGAGCCATGAGGATATTGAATGTGATCATTGGGAGGGGCCCTTCCTGCTTAAACATTTCAACACTCTATGTTTGGCTCTTCAGCCAGGTAGCTGGATGGGGATGGAGACTGTTTCAGCTCTGCACCTGCAGGCCTGATTTCACAGACAAATTCTTTGCTATGAATTGGATTATTTCCCACTTCATGACATTCAAAGGTCTGTTTAGGGCAGAAAACTGTGATGGAGGAGGAGAAAAATAGAAAGGGAAAAGTGTAACCAATTTCTTAGGGATAAGTACAGTGCTTCTAGCTCCAGAGACTCAGCTACTCTTGGGTATTAGAGAAAGAAAGCCTCTATTTCACAGATTTTTTATAGCAGAATCATGGAGAGGCAAGATTGATGATGGCAATAAATAGAGACGGTCAAGAAACAGCAAAAATTTGACTGGTAGGACCCCAAATGACTGGTTTTGTTTGAAATGTAGACACAAAAATTAAGAAGAGAAAAAAGCAGTCATCAAAAGTATTTGATAAGTTGGAAAGCCTCACAATATAATACAACTCCTTCTAGACCTTTGCAAGTAGATCCCACTAGGATTCTCAGCCTGGTGATTCCCAACGAACATACCAACATCAACAGTGGTCCTCAAGAACTCGGAAAGGGATCAGTCAACTCATTGCATCTCAAATATATTACAGCTACATCCATTTCTATTCTTTGGTCATTTTGTTGTAAAACTATTTGCAAAATTGAAACCACATATAAATATTGCACTCACTAAGTAGCAGATGTATAAGGATAACTATGGCCTAGACACCAATCATTAGAAAACAATTTTAATGATTAATGCAAGTTCATTCTTGCATAGCTATAAAGAAATACCTGAGACTTGGGTAATTTATAAAGAAAAAAGGTTTCATTGGCTCACATTCCACGTGCTATAAAGGAAGCATAATGCTGGCATCTGCTTGGCTTCTGGGGAGGCCTCAGGAAATTTACAATCATGGTGGAAGGCAAAGGGGAGCAGGCGTCTTACATGGCAGGAGTAGGAACAAGGTGGGAGGTGTTACACACTTTTAAACTATCAGATCTCAGGAGAACTCACTCACTACCATGAGAACAGCACCAAAGGGATGGTGCGAAACCATTCGTGTGAAATCCATCCCCATTATCCAGTCACCTCCCACCAGGCCCCACCTCCAGCAATGGGAATTATAATTCCACATGAGATTTGGGCAGGGACACAAATTCGAACCATATCACCAACCATTGTTCTAAAGACTGCAAATGAAATATGCTTTTGAAATTAAAAGGGTGTTTTGTCATTGTCATGAGATTTGTTGCTGTTGTTATTGTTGGGTTGCTTTTGTTTGCTATTCAGTGATTTTCAGCACATAGCCTTGCTTTTAGAACCCTAATTTTTGTTGTTTCTGAAATTGTTGCTTATTTCTTGATATGGTTTAAATGTGTGTCCCTTCCAAATCTCATCTTGAAATGTGATCCTCAATGTTGGAGGGGGTCCTGGTGGGAGGTGTTTGAGTCACGGGAGCAGATCCCTCTTCGATGACTTGGTGCCCTCCCTACATTAATGAGTGAGTTCTAGCTCTGTTAGTTCACACGAGAGCTGATTGTTAAAAAGAGCCTGTCATCTCCCTTGCTTCACCTAAGTGGGCCACCTAAAACTCACTGCCTCCCATCAATTGCTCTGCTTGACTCTATCTTGGGCTGCTCTCTGAGTTGCCCACTCTCTGGACCTCTGCAGCTCTGCTGTCTTTTTCTTATGAGAACTGAAATTATCTAGCCCACATAGCTTATTTCATTTGCATTAAAATGACTTTACTATTTCATTATCTTTATCGACACAACTTTAACATTCCAAAAGACTCTTGCCCAGGCAAATAATTTATAGGTTCATTATAAGAACTTTCCAGAACTCAATATAAAGCATCAACAAATGGTTTGCACTCATAGGTTCCTTGAAATCCTCACCTTGATGCTTCCACCAATCCTAAACTTAGTTATGTTGTGAACCTCGTGCAATTCTAATCAAACCCCACATTTGCAAAAAGTAGTTTTCCAATAACTCTGCATATTTATTTTATACATTTTATTTAAATAACTGGCAATGATTCACTGGCATAAAAGGCATTCCCCAACTCTTAACTTGGTAGAAAGAGCACTGAACTAGGAGTCCAGAGTGTTGAGTCTTGCTTTTGACTCTGACATAACCATGTGAATTTAAGTCAGTCTTTTCCCCACTCTCTAGGTGTGACTTTTCTCACTTGAAAAGGGTAAGGATTCATTTACTAAGCATTTATGCAATAAATATATATATGGTATCTACTTCGTGCCAGGCATTGTCAGATATCTCCAGTTCTAAGTTTCTACCATTTCTATAAAATTCAGAACCTAGAAAGGGTTATGACAGAGTCAACATGCTGACTGCTCACCATCATAGGGGGCTAATATTTTGCGTTAGTAAGTCATGAATATCAACATCTATTACCACGACAATTCTAAAAGTCATACCATCACTACAGTTATAATTTCACTTAGTTCTCACAAATTAATTTGTGGCATGCTGGTTAAGTTTTGAACACTATTTATAGAAAACACAGAGCAAAAGAAAAGAAAGTTAAGACTGTCAGATTCCAGAGATCATCAGGGCATGTTTTATGCATTATTTTAATAATTTTTCTGTTAATTAATTAAGTTTGAAACTTCTGTTTCAAACTTAATGAAACAGAGAAGTTCCAAAAGTTTGAATGCCTTGCAGAGGAAGTGCATCATGTCCTGAAGATTTGGCTGGTGTAATTCTTTTCCTAAACCTTTTCTTCATACATAAAAAGCTTCCAGCATCAGGAATTTTTACAGCCCAAATCCTTAGGGATAGCAAAAAGTAGAACATTCAGGCTGAGTCTAAGAGGCAAAAATCTAGTTAGAAATTGCCCAGGAGAATTAAGACAAATACACAATGCTTAAGTCCTGCGACAGAAATTTAAAAATAAATAAAATCAACCCAAAATGGCCAACCCTAAAATGATTCAGAGGCTTTCTCTGCCCAGGGATTGCTTTTATAATGTATGACTTTATGCCTAATTAAAATGAGGTCATAAGTTGATAGATGGCTGCACCACAACTTAAGAGACATGGGTTCAAGTCTCTGCTTTGACCCAACCTGTGTGACTTTCGAAAACATACCTCTTCCTTCAACCTTTGCTTGCTAATCTAAGAAACAGGAATCATAAAATGTCCTACCTATTAACTGGAAAATGAGAAAACACATATAAAAGGTCTCCAAGATCTTAAAGTGTCACTTTATTATAAGACTATGGACTGCCAAGCAAATCACTTGTATAAGCCAATAAGGCAATGCAGCAGGGTCACAGTTGTGCCTAGAAATGTTGGTTATCTACAGTGGACCTTGTCATTGTTCTTATCATCCACTTCATCCAAACGACTAAACTGAAGCTAAGTCAATCGTGCTAGCCCATTTCCTTGTCAGTGATTGCTTCAGAGGCAAGTTGGAAAAGTTTACAGCAAAGATACGTAAGGAGAGGCAGACTTGGGAATGGGAAAAAACGAGTCTCTCTCCCCCACTCAACATGCATAAGGAAGTGCATTGCCTTACCTCTGCAGGCAGCCATTTTGTTTTCATGACATAAGCTAGAGCAGAGACAGTCAATGAAGTATAGAAATAATCTGGATATCTGCAATTGGGAAAGAACCTGTGTACCTGATGTTACTGAGTTACTAAAAGACTGGCTCTGCCTCTGTATGATCTGATATGGGGTTCCATAATGGAATAGCTAAGAGAACTGGCTAAGGAACTATGTTTTCAGTTCAGATTTTGGCTCTACCACCAATTACTTAGGTGACCACAGGCAAGTTACTTAATCCTACTGGACCATAATTTTCCATCTCTAATATGAGAATAATGATAGTATTTCCCCTACAGGGTTGTGATGAGGATTAAGTAAATATTTTTAAGGCTGTTGGTATCTGGCACAGGGTAAGCACTATATAAAAGTTTGTAAATAAATAATTTAGAAATATAGTGTTTATTTATTATTTTAAACAGTCTGAGTTGGGCTTTGTTATTTGGTCCCAAAGGAAAACAAAATAGACTGTTTTTCTTAGTCTTCTGAGCCAGCCATCATTAATTGTGATGTCAAAAATCACGGATGTAACAAAAGTACATTTTACTAATAATTAAAATATTTAAGTTATCAAATTATTTACTTTAATATACATGTATACATATATATGCTTTTGTATGTATATACATGTGTGCATAAAAAGCTTCCAGCATTAGGAATTTTTAAAAACCCATTCCCCCAAGGTGATCTGAAAACAGCAAAAGACCAAAAGTAGCAAAAAGAATTTAATATACATGATACATATATATGTATGTATATACATGTGTGAACATATATGTATACATATGTGTGTATATATACGTGTGTGTGTGTGTGTGTGTGTGTGTGTAGAGAGAGAGGCAAATTCAACATTATCTTGATATCTACACTATTCTTACAAACTTTGTCACAGTTAGCTGTGTGGTCTGGAATCGACATTTTTCTTTTCTAGGTCTCAGTTTCCTGAGAAATGACTGGCATTATACCCAGGAAGCACAGGGAGTTGAGAATAACTCTGGGTTTACCCATGAGAGTGTGTTGCACATGGGGGACCCAAGGGCTGCACACTACTTCTCAACCTCTACAATAAGCCCCCCAGAAAACCTAACTAGAGTCAAGTCTGCTGTTCCTGTTATGCCATCTTGCTTGTGGGAAAGGCCAAGGTCTCCAAACATTGCCCTTTGTGGCAGAGATTAGCTAGATGGGCCCCTCACCCATTACCTCTCCTTCTTGGACACCCAGCTAGAATACATATTTTAGCCTCCCTGGCAGTTAGATGGGCACGTGATTGAGTTTTAACCAAGGGAATGTGGGTGAAAGTGAGGTGAGCCATTTACAAGCCTAACTCATATAAGTCTCCTACGTTTGGTCCTCATCCTCTTTCTCTAACCAGCTTCTGACTGAAGAGGAGGTGAGGCCACCAGGTGGAAGGAGGTTTTGGAATGACTGGTGGAAGGCCAAGTATTCAGAGTCAACTGCATTGGACAGGAATGTAAAATAGAGATGAGCTTGCGTTGTGCTAACTCCCTGAGAATTGGGGATTTATCTGTTAAAAGAGGTCATGTTTCTCATGTTTTCTTAACTGATAAACTTAGCAAAAAGAAAAGTGATGCCCCTTAACTAGACACTGTTCAGTTTAGAAAGAAACTTAGAGTTGCTCTCTGGAATTTTGCCTTTAGCAAAATTAGTAATGAGGTGATAGATTTGCTTGTTTGCTTCTATATGACACACAAGAATACAGGCGAAAATGGCCATATTTCTTTGTTGAAGTCAAATCCCAGCACCCACCATCACTCCAGCTTTTATTTGACTCTCTACAAGCCCCACAGGACATGCTCCTTTTTGCTTTGAGGAGGAAATGCCTTTTAGGGAGTATGTCTGTGCATTCAGGAAACAGTCATAAAAAGAAAGGTTATTAGGCTACTTCCCATCACGATTATCCCTTGCAGTAGGTGATGTCATCTGCCAGAATGACTTTTCAGAAGCACCTAAAATGCATTTGTGAACTCCTAACATGGACTCAGCAGTAGCCGCCGCCAGTCAACCACATGTCCCCTTGCAAGGGGATTTGGCTTGTTAGTTAACTCTGATGGCTCCCCTTTTCCACAGCTAAATACCCTTACTTCATTAAAAAAGAGGGGGAAGAAGGTAAGTTGCATGGTATTAAGCAAAGAGGCTGCTGCCATCCCAAAAGTCATTCTAGAACATTCTCTACTGCCTGGTCCTCTAACAGTTTCTGTAACTAGATCAGACAGCAAAGTTAATGGATGTTCTGTCTGTTGCCCTGTCTCATATACTCCCTCTCACTTTTCCCCCCTTTTGGACTCATATTTAAATACACGTATTAACTGTGGCATCAGCTACATTTTGTATAACTTTTCAGGCCCATTTTCGTTAGTGTGATTCAGAAAACCTAGACCATGGTGGGACACTGTTTAGGACAATCACACTTAAAGATCTCTCAGAAGATATCCTAAGGGTCCCCCAAGGTAATCGGAAAACAGCAAAAGACCCCAAGTAGCAAAAAGTCATTAATTTAGATCCAATGCCAACCCACTCAACCCTAACTTCTCATCACATTCCCTTTAAGAAAGAAAAGAGGGCTTATGGTGGGCCAGGTACACTGGTGTCCTCTTCTGTTTTAATCAGTGAATTCATTTAGCAGACATTAACCAGCCTCCCGTCATATGCCAGGTATATGTACAGTCCTACCGCCAAGGCTAACTGAAAGAAAAACACACTGAAAGCATTGGGGTTTTTAAAGTCTAGTTCATTGCTAATAATTAATATTTTGGGTCCATTTGAAGTTAAAAGCCTTTGACATTAAAAGCTTTAAAAACATTTAACATTAAATGATGGCCTGGGGCCAAGCGCAGTGGCTCACGCCTGTAATCCTAGCACTTTGGAAGGCCAAGGTGGGAACATCACCTGAGGTCAGGAGTTCGAGACCAGTACAGCCAACATGGCAAAACTTCGTCTCTACTAAAAGTACAAAATTTAACTGGGTGTGGTGGCACACGCCTGTAGTCCCAGCTACTCGGGAGGCTGAGGCAGAAGATCCCCTTGAACCTGGGAGGTTGCAGTGAGCCAAGATCACACCACTGCATTACAGCCTGGACAACAGAGCGAGATTCCATCTCAAAAACAAAACAAAACAAAACAAAACAAAACAAAACAAAACAAAAGATGTGATCATTATTCATCACATTATTTCTCAGGGAAAATACACTGTGAGTTCCAAACAACAGCCTTTTATTTGTTCATAATTTCTCCTCCATCCTTTCTTCCAAAAAAGATTTCAGGTTGTTAGTCGAAGATAAATGGGAGAAATAAAAAGTCATCTAACAAAAAGAAGAGCACATCATAATAGGGATATGCTATAAAAATTGAGCTATAAATTAGTTAAATAATGGAGTTATTAAAAAGTTAAAAAAAATAAATTGAACCAAATTTTCAAGTTCCTACTAGATGCCAGGCTTACAGCATAGAATAAGATAAGCTCCAGCTCTCATGAAGCTTATACTCCAGAATGTTGTAGCAGGAACAGTAGTGAAAGAATTCAACAGTAAACAAAGAATACATATTACTACCCAAACAATTCCAGCCAGTGATAAGTGCTGCAAAGCCAATATGAGCTACGATGAGTGTTGTGGGTTGAAGAGTATCACCCCAAGATACATGTCCATCTGAGACCTTAGAATGTGGCCTTATTTGAAATTAGGGTCTTTGCAGACGTAATTCATTAAGTAAAGATGAAGTCCTCTTGGATAGAGTAGGCCCTGCATCCAGTGACTGGTATCCTTATAAGATGGTCACATGGAGACACTGAGGAGACACACACAGAGGAAAGGCAGCAATGCGAAAATGGAAATAGGAGTTAGAGCAGTACAACTACAAGCCAAAGAATGTCAAGGATTGCCATCAGCCATCAGAAGCTAGGAAGAGGCAAAGAAGGAGTCTTCCCTAGAGCCTTCAGAGGGAGTATGGCCCTCCTAACACCTTGATTTAAGACTCCTGTCCTCCAGAAATGTGAGACAGTACATTTCTCTTGTTCTAAGCCACCCAATTTGTGGTGCTTTGTTACAGCAATCCCTTGTAAACTAATACAATAAGTTAGAGTAACCAGAAAGAAAGCTAGCTAATGTAATTAGACTGGATGGATAAGTCACCTTTCTCAAGAAGTAACAAGAGAGCTAAGATCTACAGAACACTAACTTTTCCTCTGAGCTCCCTAGCAGGCAAGGTGAAAATGAGCCATGGTGTTTCCTTGCTATTAAAAGCAAGCACATCCATGTTCATTTGAGGAGACAAACATTTTAGTAATTACCTTAGCAGTGAATCTGGGGGACTAGAACCTGTTTTCAGGTTAGGGATTCTTTGTCATAAAGGCCAATCTTGCTATCTCAAAGTTTTTTTTGTTTGTTTGTTTGTTTGTTTTTTAAGTTAAAGTACCCAGTTAGTTATAGTGCTTTTCTCTTTTCCTGGTACTGGGGATCTGTCTAAAGGCACCAGGATTTGACACAGCAGACTGGAGTAGGCAGTGCTGTTTTTCCCTAGCCCTGGCATTCTGCTTGAGTCTCAACTGTTACAAAATGAAATAAATTGCGCTTGCTGACAGTTTATTTTGCATGGCCCCTTTTAGGTAATTTATGTCATCTGCATTACTCTTAAGAGTTAATGATTCAGTATAGAAAATAGTATATGGCATAAATTATAGAAAACAAGGCTGAAATGACATTGTGCTGCCTGGAGGAAAATCACAGCATTCAGTCTTTAGGCCATTAGAAGAGAGAAAGATAAATTAAAACACCAGAACAGAAAAAACAAGATGGGCTCTGAGATCAGATCCTGTAAGGCTGTTAAGTCAATGAGGTGTGGAGAAACACAGGACAGCAGAATTGTGAGTGTTCTTGAAACCACAGTGTTGATCAAATGACGCTCTTTTAAAAATGCCAGCTGTAGAACATTTCATGAACTTTTCAGTGTGTGCGGCATTCATTCAGAATCAATGCAATATAGCTAGTTCCATCCCTGCATTCCGCAGAGATCTAAAGCTTGGAAGTAGTAGGACCATTGAACTATAAGCCTTACCTCTTCCTCACCCCAACCTTTTTGGTATTTACATGTAGTTTTCAAATAGAAGCACAGAGAGTCCTAGTAGAGCAGGTTACAGGCTCAGCCCTGCTTCAAAAGGGTAGTTTCTTTTATCTGTTTCAAGTATAGATGGTCTGCATATGAGTTCATTTTTTAAAAAAGATTCCCACTGCTCTGTTTTTTCTTTTTTAATGGAAAACCACTTTTCTTTGTACAAAAAAAAAAAAAAAGTAGCAATAAAGCCATAAAGATTTGGACTTTATGGCCTAGAACTAAACCTCTAAGGAAGGGTCATCATTTTATTTTGTAGAAAAGGCCATCTTAAAAATGGACTTTAAAATCTGTTATAGCTTGAGCAGAACATTGGCCAGGAAGGGCAGGGAGACTTCACTGGGTAGCTGCTTACAGACTCCAAAGAAGTCATTCACCTTGAGGAATTTATCATGGCTCACCTATGGCATCTGCCTTTAAAGTCTCAAAATCTGGATTTTGTCAGCACCACAACAGTGGAACTAATGATCTGGGGTTGAATCATTTTAACCCAATCTAAGAGAGACTAATGTAAAAGCCAAAGGCCAAGCAATTTGTTAACATGATGAGAAATAGAAATGTCACATGAACCAGAGCTCTCAAACAGATATGACTAAAGCATTCTCGCCTGTAGACAAATCTACATGAAACGCCAAAAGAGACTCCAAAGGCAAAAGACTAAAGAACAATTCCTTGTCTTGAATGATTCTCAGAAATAATTGATCAAGCGTGTTCACTTTTTGTTGCCAATGTCCACGATCCCTGAATCCCAACCTTCTAGTGAGGAAAGCTTTCACACAACGGCAACCCAAGATAATTTCATCCACCCAGGCCCCTCTCCCCCGTGTTGAGTTCAGTAGGGAGAGGAGAATGGGTAAGTGTGGATTCTGGCTGTCTTACACTCCAGGGGCTGTCCCCATCAGCTAGGGTAAGTCAGACATGACTGGTTTTGACTAGAACAAGTTTCTGCCAAAGCTGTCCTATATCAATCAAGCAAAAGCAACTACTTTTATGGGGGTTTTGAGGGCATTAACTTATTTTACCCCTTAGCACTGGAGGCTGCACCTGGGGCTGCAGAGGAAGCCAGTCACCTTTACACATCTAAATACTGCAGCAACCATTTTTATTACTTCAAACTTTAAATCCTCCATGCTAGTGCACGTTTCTAGCAGCCAACCTGCCCTTAGCAGTGACTGCATCTTACTAAAGGGAACACTGTTATAATCAGACTCATTACTTTGAATATTTCATTTCTGCCAAACCACAATTTATATTATCACTTCAGAGAATCTTTTTGAGACTACCAGGGCTACAATCATCACCAAGGGCACATGTACACTTTTTGGATGTGTTGTTTTGTTTTGAGACAGGGTCTCACATGTACACTTTTTGGACATGTTGTTTTGTTTTGAGACAGGGTCTCACTTCGCTCTGTCGCCCAGGCTGGAGTGCAGTAGCGTGATCTTGGCTCACTGCATCCCTGACCTTCCAGGCTCAAGCAATCCTCCCCACCTCAGCCTCCCAAAAGCAATCTTCCCACCTCAGGGTCCTGAGTAGCTGGAGTAGCTGGGACCACAGGTGCACACCACCCTACCTGACTAATTTTTGTATCTTTTTTTTTAGAGATGGGGTTTCTCCAGGTTGCCCAGGCTGGTCTTGAACTCCTGGACTCAAGCAATCCACCCACCCCTGCCTCCCAAAGTGCTGGGATTACAGGGGTGAACCATCACACCTGGCCTTGGACGTCTTTAGGCTAATCTAGCTCTCTTCTGCTCACACAGTCTCTTTCCCTACATGGTACAATTTGATTAGGTTTCTACTTAATAAATTACAATTACATGCCTGTCTTGTCCCCCTGGGGATAAACTCAGATCACTTTATGTAGAGTTGTGTGTGTCCTCAAGGTCTTCAAAGTTAGAGGTAGAATCATATTTAATTTTACACCCAGGCAATCAAAGCCATCGTATGTGTAGATTTTACCAATTTAACTCCCAGAGAGCAACCTCATTTCTCTGGTAGCTGCGTTTTGGGTTGGGTCTCATTATTAACCTGATGTCATACCAGCAATATTGATACCATTGGTGGGGTCTTGGCCACTTGTCCAGCAATTACGTCTCAGCTTCAAATCCATTCTTCTCTGGTCAACCTGTGGTGCTGAGGTTGGACTCTGCAAAAGCATTTCTTCTTGATCTGCTGGCTGCCTGCTAAGTTTTACCAATATGGGGCTCTGGAGGGAGACCCAAAGTTAAGCAGTCTTTGCTCCTTCCCGTTTACCTGCTGATCCTGCTCTCCTATTTGAAAAGGAAGCCACTCTCAGGTACGTGCCTCTTGGCTGATTGAAAGCAAAAGGTTTTATTACTTTTTTTTTTTTTTTACAGTCACCCTAAGTTTTATGAGTTTTGCAGAAAGCACCAAAGTTTGGGAGACCCAGCAGACTCGGAGCTAGAGCTTTTGGAATCTATGGCAGAGGTTGGCAAACTATAGCCCCAGGGCCAAGTGAAGCCCGCCACCTAATTCTGTAAAGTTTTATTGGAACTAAAGTTTTATTGGAAATAAGCATGCTTATTTATCTTTATATTATCTATGACTACTTTCACACTATGGCAGAGTTGAGTAGTTGTGACAGAGGCCATATGGCCCACAAAACCTAAATATTTACTACCCGGCTTTTATCAGAAAAAAAGTTTGCCATCTGTTGACGTAGAGGGTAATAAACCCTCACTGCTACCTTCACAAAGGTATTTACATCCTAGCTAATCCCTCTCCCATCTTCTCTGCCTCTCACAGAAGACCTGTAATTAAACCAATCTGAGACCAAATGGAGAGGTTCACAGTTGAGATGAGGATAAGGTAAAAAGCCCTCCATTTCACCCAAGAAAAAGTCGGTATGTGCAATTATTAATGGCTGTGATGATTCCAGGAGAAAGGAGAAAGAATGACTCTTTGATCTTTCAAAAGCATAGTCATCTCACTCAGGGAAGGCTTTTACAGCCAAGTACAGGCACTTTCATCCATCTCCCAAATATACAGCTCGATTTCCAAGCATCTGGCAGCTTTTTTTCTTTTTGGCCTCTTAAAGGGTAGACAGAAAGTAGAAACCCTCCTTGCTAATGCTCTCTCATTTCCCAGAAGCAGATGAAAATCAATGTATCATTGCTTTAAAAAAATTCTGCCTGGATATTCAATTTGGGGCTGAGAAATGAGAAGAAAAGAACTCAGAGAAAGCAGAACACATGGTGATCACCTGTAGGAGCCTGAAATTTGTGCAGCAAACCAAGATTTCCACATCTGAAGAGGAGGAACAGCAATGTGCATGAAAGTGGGGCTCATTCGTCAAACATTCATTATCTTGGGGGAGAAAAAGATGAAACACATGTGTGGATATATATATATATATATATATATATATATATATATATATATATCCACATGTGTGCGTATACTGTCCTCAAGGAGTCAATAATCCAATATACAGGTGACAAATCATTAGACAAAATAATTATAGTATTATTTGATTAGTGCTGTAAAAAGTACAGGCTTTTTGGACACACAGGAATAAATATTCTAGAAGGATTGAGAAGTATTTGCAAAAGCCATATTGGAGCTGTCTTTGAGATATCTGGGAGTTTGCTGGGGAAAACACAGACCAGGCAGAGGAAAACTAATCACTATTATCAGGATGCTTCCTCACTCCCCTCTGAGAACCACAGGCTTCCTGGGGAAACCCAAGCAATGGAAAAAAGGACCAAGGACTGCAGGACTCACTGGCTCTTCAAGGACATTTTTTGGCCACAAGATTCCTCCTGCCATCAGAACAGAAAAAGTGACACCTAAAGTCAGGCTCAAAGTAGTTCGGTGTGACAGAAATGTACACTGGTCACACCCTTGTTTACAGTGACAAGTCCTTTTCCAGACATCCATCAGCATCAACCTCCCTTCTCTCTGTGGAACAATTCATTTTATTTCACAAGCAAAAAACAGGACAAGCACCCAAAAATGTCCATTTAACTCCAGCGTGTCCCCAGAAGGTGTTTGTCTTCTCCGAATTCATCTCCCACCTTCTGTTCTTGACATTCATTGGCTGAAGCAGTGATTTGCCAAGCGCAGTTCCTGGTTTAGCAGCTTCAGTAGCACTTGGGACCTTATTAGAAATGCAGATTCTCAGAACACATCTCAAACCTCCTGAACTAGAAATTCTGGAGTTGGGGACCAGCAATCTGTGTTTTAACAAATTCTCCAGGGGATTCCAATGCACACTCAAGTTTGAAACTACCAGGCTAAACAGTTATTGATGCCACAAATACTGCTCAGAATTTTAAAGGGTCTCTTCTTTATGATTACTTCAAAAGAATACAGGCATCACTGGGTGGCCTAATGTGTAGACTGGGGAAACAGGGTGTTAGAATGAGTATAGAATAGTAGCAAGTTAAGACAGAGAAGGAATTTACCACATATCCCAGCTCAGGGAAACAGATGAAAATACCTGTCCATGTTTTCAGGTGAGTGTGCCCTATTTTTAAGCTTCCTCTATCTACTGGGCACAGTGGCCCATGCCTGTAATACCAGCACTTTGGGAGACCAAGGCAGGAGGCTCACTTGAGCCCAGGAGTTTGAGAGTAGCTTGGGCAACACAGTGAGACCCCATCTCTACAAAAAAAATTTTCAAAATAGCCAGGTCTGGTGGTGGGCACCTGTGGTCCCAGCTACTCAAGAGGCTGAGGTGAGAGGATCACTTGAGCCTGGGAGGTAGAGGCTGCAGTGTACTCCAGCATGGGCAACAGAGTAAGACCCTGTCAAAAAAAAAAAAAGCAGAGATCATTGCAAAGTCCCAGACACTTGGAAGAGCATGGAGTTTGCTGTGGCTCAATTCCATAACAAGAGTGAGGAAGGATGGAAAAATAGGCCATAAAGGTAGACTGGAGCAAGATCATGAAAGGTTGAGTCCATCTCATACACTGGGACTTTTATGTAATGATAACAGAAATCCACTAAAACTGTTTTTGCTATTTGAGCAGTGTGGTGATATAAGGAGATGATGGTTTCAGATTATTATTCATTATTCAAGGTCAGGGTAGAGTGGCAGTGATGGAGAGGAACATGGAGGTTTATCACTTAAGAAGCTACTGTTAGGAGATGACAACCAAAATCAGGGACCCCACAAAAGGAATAAGGAGGAGTTGTCAAATTATAGGCAAATTTCAGGAAGAACTTCTAGGACATGGTACCAGACTGAGTGTGGAAAGTGTGGGGAGGGGTTATTAAAGACACTCAGCTTTCTAGTTTGAATGTGGATAGAAATAGTGCCGCTCATCAAGGTAGTAATACCAACAGGAAGAGGGTGTAGGGGAGAAAAACAAGTTTTATTCTTAATAGATGATGCTTATTGAGTCTGTGTGAAATTCACATAGAAGTATTAATACCTAATACCATTTAATTTCTATATCCGTAAGGGTACAATGCACACAGCAAACTCACACGGAGGTCTAATCTTCACTGCTCCCATCATTCCCATGACTTACACAGACATCTACCAATCTATAATCTGAAATAGTGAAATTTAATGAACAGTAGATATGCTCTCTCAATCCAGGTGTGTCTATGCAACCCAGGTTTGCAATATGACTTAAAATTGAGCTGTAATGCAAAACATTTTACATTTTAAGGCATATGTAGGATATTAATTTTTAAGTGATATTCCTAGTCAACTATTCAGATATCTGAGGACTTGGGCTGAAAATTAAGCCAATTTAAAACAAAATCCACTACACTCTCTGGCATCTCAAGGTTTTAAAGAATAAGAATTAGAAGACACTGCCAGTTACCTGACATGTGATGTGAATGTCATGCAGATTAACAGACAGCCCCTTTGCCAAGTTTTAATCAATAGTACTGAATTGAGAAGAAGGTACCAGTCCTGATAATAATGCTGTTTCCTCAATCTCTCCATAAACAATAGACTCCATTTGTCTCCTCAAATCACTTTTTAAAAATTACTCATTCCTGGCATTCTGAATTTCTTCTGTCTGTGGTTTAATGAAGCTAAAGGAAATGTGCCCAGTGGTATAACCCAATGTGAGAAATGGGCCAGAGCCCATTTAGACATGATGCATTCCCACAAGTCTGGGAGATTCACCTCTGGTGCCAGAGTTTCCTCCTCTTGAAGAAATATAGCAAGTTTGTAAAAAATGAGATATCCTAGCAGTGGTCCTCCAAAGGAAGTTATTTGCTGTATTTTAGGTTTGCACCTTGACTCACTTAGAGAATATTTTCTAAACACATCCTGGTCAACCAGTGAATAATATTTAGGATGAAATGTTCAAGGATTAATTAGTGAGGAGAATGTAAGCATGAGTGATATCATCAGCTAATCAATCATTTGCATTTAACCAACCTCAGAGCTATTGGTCAGTCTAATAGGATTGGATCAAAGTCTTTTGATGTTAACCTCTCAATAAACAAAAGGTCAAAGTCTGTCATTTATATTCAAACCCCAGTCCTGGGACAAAAAGGTTGAGGCTAGGGAAGGCAAGAGTGAGGCAAAATATTTGTATGCCTTTCACTGCAGAATCAGAAATTTTCTTGCCCATCCACACACATGCACACACACACACACACACAGCACAAATCCACAGAGCACACACCTGTGTGCACAGACTCCCTTGATGACAAGAGTGGTTTTGGCTGTTGTTGTGGCCATATGAATGAAGGACATATGGTGTATATTCCCAAAGAGAGTACTATCCTGGAAATAGGAATATTTTGTTATTTTTTGTTATTTTGTTATTCTCATTATTTTTAGGTAACCAGTGGCAATAACAGCCAAAATCACTCTTGTCATCAAGGGAGTCTGCGTACACAGGTGTGTGCTATGTAGATTTGTGCTGTGTGTGCGTGTGTGTGTGCACGCGCGCACATGTGGATGGGGGGGTGGATGGGCAAGAACATTTCTACAGAACCCAAGAGGGTATTGCAGAAATCACTCTCCCAGATAAGTTCCCTTCCTCCTCTTCACACCCTCTCTATCAACTCAAAGCATGGCCACTGGCATTCTGAACACAAGGCAAGAATCAAGCTTATTAGTATTCAGCATACTAACTGACTTTGTGTTATTCAAAGGATGCGCAAAGCATCTCATTCATATGGCTTAAACAATTGAAATTGTCAGGAACAGAATTTGCTGAATGGGATGAAGGAACATAGGGAGTCGGCTCTGGCTGCCGCTCTGGGTCCATCTCCCCACCAGGCAGTAGTCCCCGGAGCATTGGCCATCAGGGCAGCTTTACTGAAATCCCGCTCCAACTCTGGAATCTTGCACTATGAAGGGTTCTATTTACTTTTTCATATAGAAAACAGCTTCAAAGGGCATTTTTGGCTTTGGTTTTTCTTTGGACAACATAAAAGGGGAGAACAAAGGGAATTCAGAACCTTTTTTTTGCCACAGGCCACTCAGTCGACATCTTAGTTCAGAAGTGTTGGTGAAGTGCTGGTCTGCTCCTCTGCATGCCCAATGCAAACTGCCCTTGACGCTGCAAGCAGGCTCCTAAAGCTGCTTTTTCACAGAACAAGGTGGAAGAAGGTCCCTTTTCAGGGCCAGGAAAAAACTTAGTGGAGATCAAAGTTAAGAAATGTGTCTAAGGGGCTGAGTGCGGTGGTTCACGTCTGTAATCCCAACACTTTGGGAGGTCAAGGCAGGTAGATCACTTGAGGTCAGGAGTTCAAGCCCCACCTGGCCAACATGGTGAAACCCCACCTCTACTAAAAAACACAAAAATCAGCCTGACACGGTGGTGCACGTCTGTAGTCCCAACTACTCGGGAGGCTGAGGCACTAGAATCACTTGAACTTGGGAGGCGGAGGTTACCGTGAGCTGAGATCACATAACTGCACTCCAGCCTGGGTGACACAGACTCCATCTCAAAAAAAAAAAAATGTGTAAGGTCCCATAGCAAGTCCGTGGCTCCCACTTCCCTTACACATTAGTGTTGGAAGCAGGAGCTCCACTATTAGGCGTCCTGGTTTCAAATTCTGGTTTTGTTACTTCTTAGCACTTTGTTCTTGAGCAAGTTATTTAACTTCTCTGTGATCCTGTTTCCTGATTTATGAAGATAACAACACCTGCTTTATAGGATTGCAGTGAGAATTAAACGAGATAGCATACATTGCTGATACATATTGAATGAATCAATGTTAGGTGGTTTTGTTGTATTATCATCGTTATCATAGAAACCAGCACTTAACTGTATAATTTCCTGATTTGTTCTATGACTACTTCATAAACTCCTTAAGGGCAACAGAATTTGTGCATTTAAAGAACACTGATCTTGAGATCAGAAGATCATGAGATGGGAGTCAACATTTCAGCCAGGCAGCTGACCAACCAGGGGACCACTGCCGAGTCACTATGCCATCCTGAGTCTCTTCTATTATCTATAAAATGGGATAATATTTGTCTTTTAGCCTTTATAGGGTTGTTAAACTCCATATTAGGATTATTTGTCCTTAAGCCATAATGCATTATATCAATCTTAGTTATTCCTGTTTTCTCTATTTCACTCTCTTACCTTTTCATTTAGGGTACCTAACACACACTGAGGGCATAGCTGAGACTAATGGAATGGGAAAGGGAAGGGAGGGGAGGAGAGGGGAGGAACTGGATGATTGCTTACTTGCTCAAAAAATGGTATATTTTTTCATTTAATAAAATGTACCTTAATCTACTTTCTATGGTTGGAATTGGTATTAATTTGCTACCCTGAATATGAATAAACATTTGCTATATTAAATAAATGAGTGTTAACTTTACAGATCTTGTGGAAAGCTGCATCTAGGACCCTTTGGGAACTATTAAGTAGCTTCTTCCCTATGTATCCATAATCCCGCTCCTGAGAATTTGTCCTGGAGAAGTATTTTAAAAAAAGAAAAATAAAAAAATGATTCATAGTTGAAGTTGCTTACTGCAGTATATATAATACAAAACCACTGAAAACCACCTAAATGTTCAAACATAGGAGAATGAACTAGTAAATTAGAAGATATTAACTTGATGGATAATACTGCAGGAATTACTAATGAAAGTTGTGGCACTCAGCATTAGGCAAAGGCAGAACACCAAGTTTAATATAGATCATGATTATTATCTAATAAGCAGCCAGTTATATGAGTGTGGTGAAGTCACAGAGGATATATACAAATTTTTTAATGTCTTTTCAAGTTTTACATTGTTTTTTGTGATCAATGAAATTGAAAGACTGTCATTTTTAAGACATGTAGTTGTCAAGTCTTTTGGCCTAGGAACAAGAAGTTTAAAGAAAGACAGCTATCTTTAAGTTATTCATTATCTGAACTGGCCCAGCAAAATGGCCAGTATGTCTTCCCAGTGGGGAATGGCTCACAAAATTCAAGTGTTAATTTATAATGCTTAGTAACTCCAAAAAATATCTGTATTTTAAGAGGAATTTCAATTAGCAATCTTTTTCAGCCCCAAAGGAGGAGATATTGATCGAAAATAGAACACTGGAGTCAAAATTTGAGAGATGAAATAGAAGCTAACATGTATAGAAACTCCCTTCTCTGAGTCCTCAAATATTTGCATATTTACTTTCTCAATGACTTCTCATGAGACAAGCAAAGCATTATAAATTATGTTTTTAGTATACCTCACAAAGTCTGTGTTAACAGGCTGAAGGTCATACAGCTAGAGAGATTCTAATTGAACATAAAATTTATGGGGACAGTAAAATAACTTGGAAAACTGTATTTGGTATAGTGTCAACTGAAAGGAAAAAAAACAGTTACACTGTAATTACTACGATGTAAAAGCATTCAGCTAATTTAGAAAGAAACATGGGGAAAATTAAAACAGTTTTGCAAGAGTGGTTAAATTAGGAGTAATTTTTTTTCAACTTCTTTTATTATTATAATATTGTTTTTGCAATAAAGAGGCCTATGCTATTTTGATTGCACCACACTGCATGGTGTACTCTCACCCTGAAGAGACCTGGGATGCCCTGGCTTAAGCCATAATTATATTAAAAACGAAACTGAATAAATGAATAATAATGATAACAATAAGAGATGCTGTGAATTAACCCTAATTGTCATGATGATTAGAGCAGCTATGAATTAAGAAGCCAATTGTAATTGTAATGGCCATTGCAATAATGACTTAGAAAATGAGTGCGTGTAAATGGATCCTGAGGAAAGGGGCTGGGAATATATGGCAGAAGACAAAGGCCTGTGCATGGAGATGGAAAATTACAAGAGCATCATTCCCGCCAAGAGTGGATTCCAACAGAAGTATCAACCAGAGAGAATTCCTCCACAGAGTAGCTTGGGCTGTACTACAAAGGACCAGATCTAGCTAGGAAAAGCAAGTATAAGACATCCCAGGTGCCCATTGATGTCCAGGTGCTGTAATTATGTAATGGCAGGGATGAACTTCTCCAAGTGGAAAGAAAACCACGCAACTGCCCAATAAAGTTGGCAAGGCTACACTCTGACACTCTACCCTTATGAGGGGTATGTGCTGGCTCTAAAATATGTGTAAAATAAACTCCAAATATAGAACTAATTCTTTGGATGGAGTGAGAATTCCCTCTCGGAATGACTCTGTATCTCTAGACCTGCAGACATGGCTGCTCAGAATGTAAACTCAACAACTTATAACCCTATAGGCAACATGTGCTATGAGGAAATGACGTGTGTACACATGCTGATGGTGGCGGTCATTAAGAACATGGATTTCAGAGACAGAGGCCTGGGTTTGAAGCTGCCCCTTATTAGATGTACTTATCAGACCAGTGCTTACCTTCTTTGGTTTTTTTCACCTGTAGAGCAGGGCCAGTAGTAGAACCGCTCTGACAGAGTTGTAATGAGAATTAAATAAGGTAATGCTTGTCAAGTTCTTAGCATAGTACATGGTGTACTTTGAGTGCTAAACAGTGTTAAAC
This sequence comes from Homo sapiens, assembly GCF_000001405.40. NCBI lineage: Eukaryota > Metazoa > Chordata > Mammalia > Primates > Hominidae > Homo > Homo sapiens. The sequence continues at coordinate 111,924,592 of NC_000010.11, forward strand.
ATTACAGTTAATGTTCTTAGAATAATAAGATTAAGTGGTGTAGTTATTTGTAAATGAAAATTTTATTTTTAAGCAGAATTGCATACCTATTGGCATGCTCTTTTAACTTTCTTTCCTAAGATTCTGCATTATAAATATTATCTTATTGTATTTGAGGCAGGTGACTGGCAATGTCAATTATGAAATGTCAAAATGAAGTCCTAAAATGTCAATTATGAGGTCTTGTCTATTTCCAGAATAGATATGATGTGAGGAAAGGGATGAAAGTATAAGATTTTTAGAGTAGACAAGGTACCTGGTACCAAGGGATGCTGAGGGAGTTCACTCTTGTGACATCATTATAGGATAGGGAACCTTCTATTTTGGATCAGTAAGGAAATAAATGGCACTTATTAGAGGTATCAGTGTTTAACATATTGATCTACCATAAAATAATAATTACAAGTAAATAAACATCTAAGTATATGCCAGTAGTAACAGCTAATATTTATTGAGGGTTTACTATGTGTCAAGCATGATCCAAGATACTTTGTATTCATTACCTCATTAACAAGTCAGTGCTATGAAGTAGGTGATTGCTTATCCCCATTTACAGGTGAGGAAAATTGAGGCAGAGGAACTAAGTAACTCACTCAAAGTTGCAATAATGGAGTTGGGATTCAAGCCAGGCAGTCTGGCTGGAGAGTCACTCTAGGGTAGTGATCAAGAAACAGTTTGTACAAACTTTTTCTAAACTGCAAAGACAACCCTACAAAGTAGGTGTTTTTATCCTTATTTTACCCAGCTTTACAGATGAGGAAACAAATTCAGTGGCATACCAGACTGTAGCGGGGAGATGAGAGTGGAAACAGTCATCCCTTTGGGGAAGAGTACTTTATTTTTAATGTCATCTAAAATTGCTAGTGTTTAGTGAAAACAAAAAGCAGATTGACTTTGATTTGCTGTTATTCCTTGAAATTTTCCAGATAATGTGCCCCCTTATTGCCAACGTCTAGGGTGGGCTCCTCCCCCAGCTCCTTCTTCCTCACCCAAGCCTCTTGTCATGCCATCAGCTCAAAGAAATTGAATGACTAATATCACACAGCTTTTAAACGCTAGACCCCAGCGTCTGAAGCTAGGCTTACCTGGTTTTGAGGTAGGAAGGCACCACACTTGATTCTTCTCAATTAATTTATTAGAATCACTTGGGAAGTTTAAATATATATATAAATGCCCAAACTCATCCCACAGACCAATTTAATCAGAATTCAGAATTCCCATTGAAGAAATATTTACATAAATATTTTATACCTCACTGCCTCTATTTTAAAGTGCATCCAGAATTAAGGCCTATAGCAACTTAGAATTTTATTCTGGTATTGATTTATCTTGTTTTTTTAAAAAAAACCTCTAGGTAAGACTCCTATTTAGAGACAATCACATATTGAATTACCTTCTGAGCTATGTCTCTAAATTCTCAGCCCTGAGATGGTTCCAGGCTAGCCTAAGACATTTGAGTATCTGGGAATGGCGGACATGAGATAGCTTTTGTGCCAAGCAGCCCCTCTGGTAGAGATCCTCTACAGACTTTTAAAAGTGAATATAAAAAGCTGGCATATCAAATAGAAGCAGCAAAATGTAAACAGGACAGAGAGTTCCTTCTTCCAAAGACAGCCAAATACTGACTAGAGTGTTTGCATATCAAACACAGTTTAGTAATGCGTACGAATCATTTCAGTCTATGCCACTGAGGCTATTTGTAGGGTTCTGGGAACAGAAAATTTTCCTGACCTCCCCCTATATTCACTCCAGATGCTCGGACAGCCGGGAAGCTAATATGACCTTTAACAACTTAATTTGAACAAAGCAACTTCTGACCATCCATGCAGGCCATCAGAGCAGATGGTAACACCAAGGGATACCAGTTAGAGCTTGGCTTTGGAGAAATCTAGAAAGTTTTAAAAACACATACAGTACTTCAAATTCCTGGCTCCTCTTAGCTTGTCTGATTCATAGCCTTCAGCAATGAAGAGATTTAAGTTTTAAAAGCTCCCACAATGTGATTCTGAAACATCAGATTTGGTTCACAGCGTGACAGAGGCTTTGGGCCACGGTGCAACTAGGAAAGCTTAGGTCTATGGACTTCAAAGACCTCCATCCCCAGCCTGCTCACCCAAACACCTGAACAGTTGCCATTAAAGTAACACCCTTTTGGCTGGGCATGGTGGCTCAGGCCTGTAATCCTAGCACTTTGGGAGGCTGAGGCAGCTGGATCACCTGAGCCCAGGAGTTCAAGACCAACATAGGCAACATGGCAAAACCCTGTCTCTACAAGAAAAAAAAAAAAAAAGCCAGGCCTGGTGGTGTGCACTTGTAATCCCAAGTCCCAGCTACTCAGGAGGCTGAGGTGGGAGGAATGCTTGAGTCTAGGAGGTCAAGGCTGCAGTGAGCCCTGATTGTGCCACTGCACTCCAGCCTGTGCAAAAGAGTAAGGTCCTGCCTCAAGGGGAAAAAAAAAAAAAGTAACACCTCTTTGAGTCAAGCAAGAATGGCCCAGCAGTCCCCAAGAACAGTCAAATGCAAATGCAGTGAAGAGGTTCTGTATAGGGACCTAGACCGTGGTATTGGTAAGTCTGGGGGTAGAGCACATGCAGGTAAGACTGAGTCAAGAAGCCTTCTGTACAGTGGACAGATATGGACCTCGAAGTCAGGCCGGTTTGAATTCTATTCCTGCCTCTACCATTTTACCAGCTATGAATACTTGAATTATCAACTTAATCTCCCTCAGCCTTAATATCTCCATCTGTAAACTGGAGAATAAAAGTGCCTCCCTCATGTTTGTGATAATGATGTATTGAGCCAGTCCTGAGCCTTCTTGTTCTCAAATTGATTTCTCATCCTTCCAATGGTCTGCTTCCTATGGTAGGGGGCTGTTGCCTATATGCTGTGGTTCTTGGCTGGCTTGGCCAACAGGAAACCCCAAGGAAGACTGGAAGGTGAGAAAAAAGAAGAAGCCGTGGCATTCTCCCTCTTTCTGACTTGGTGGCATCTGTGCAGTGACTTCTGTTACGGCTCTTGTTCCCACCAGATTTTCCCACCATGGTTCTAGCTCCTACTGAGTAACCCCATCCCATGGCCTCTAGCTACCCTTCATCCTTCTGTTGTCCTTCCAGCCCAGGAATGGAGGTAGGTGCTTGCTATGGCTAATTTCTGGGTTGTCTCTTGTCCCAGATTGTCTTGTTGGTTTTTCCACAACCAAGTCCCTGGTTTATTTTCCCTTTGTTTCAAATACTTCTCAGTGGTTCCTTTTTTTTCCCCCTTTTTCCTCCTAATTAAAACCTTACATTATAATGCTCCAAGTATAGGGCTCAGTACTATTTATGCTGTGTAAGTTGGAGGTATTACAATTAAGTCTATTATAATAAGCTGCTGCTTATTCCCAGGGGCCTCCTGCTGTTGTACTCAGTATGAGTACACTGGGGCAAGATGGCTGACCACAGCCAAATCTGTTTGAGCAGCTTTCCCAAGCTTGAAATAGTAATGATAGTCAACATTTACATAATGCTTACTTTGTGCTAGGCATGGTTCTAATTGCTTCATTTAAATGAACTCACTTAATCTTCACCATAACCCTATGAGGTAGACACTATTACTATTGGGAATGAGGCAACAACAAAAAAATACAGTGACTTGCCCAAGGTCATAGAGCTAGTAGGTGATAGGGCCACAATTCAGCCCCAGGAAGTCTGGCACAAGAAGCTGTGCTCTGTAACCCCTATTCTACGCTGCCTCTCAAGATGACTGCCTCAGAACCAGGAAAAACAATTTACTTTCATTCTCAGTGGCCACTGCCACTCAACTTGGAAGCCTCCTATGTGAAGACATCTCTCTCTCTCATACCCAATTTCAGACCTGCACAAGAACCATGGCATCTTGATACAGCATCCCTACCCAGCCCGGCCCAGGGAGGTCCGGCATCTAGCTCTGAAGCTGCTTGGCACCTACTGCCCTTTTTTCTGCTTTAATAGACACCCCTAGTGGAGCCTGAGCATGCAGGAATCCATAAGCCATTAACTGGAGCTATATTAAGCCTATAAAAATCAATGCTAACTTTCCAATAACCTTCTTATAAATTAGTTTATCAGATGATTTTACTCATTCACTAATTAACTGAAGGCAGAAGGGAACTAACATTTATTGCATGCTTACTCTGTGTTCAGCTGTCTAGAGCTCTACATGTAACATCTCTTTTCCTGTTCATCCTCTTAGAAACCTGAGAGGAAAATGACTCCCACTTTACAGATAGGAAAACTGAGTTCAGAAATGCTGAGTGACTGCTGAGTGAGACCATAATTTAAATCCTCATCTGACTCCACTATACCACAGTCACCTTTGAGCTAAGATGAGGACGCTGTCTAAATGGGAATTTTGAAGTGTGGTTACAAAAAAAAGCATAATTAGGAAGGTTGGGACACTTCCCATGGAAATTCCAAAATTTCTATAGACCAGCTACCACTCTGTAGCTCACGTTTTTCCCTTTTGAACAGGAATGTCTATAGCAGTTAGGCTATGCCTGCCCCACCACTGTATGTTGAGTGGGGCCCAGCAGGTAACTGCCTCTTTAATTTCATAGATCCTCATATTGACAGAAACTGTACTCAAGAAACTGTGCTTAACTATATTCAAGGAGTCTCATCCTCCCCTGAACCTGATATGCATCATGATATTTGGAACATAGAGCTGATACTTTATAAATGGTTTTTGGGAATTACTGAATATACTTTGCATGTGAGAGAGATGTGACTTGTCAGGGACCAGAGGGCAAAAGGTAGTAGGCAGCCTTTAATGTGACTCCTAATGATCCCCACCTCCAAGTATTCATATCCTTGTGTAATTCCCTCCCCTCATGAGCTGGACCTAACAATTTGCTTCTAATGAATAGAATACTACAAAGGGGATGAGTTTGGGTTACAAAAAAAAGACTCTGGCTTGTGTCTTGCTTATTCCCTCTTGCTCTCTATTGTTTCCTCTGCTATACTCTAGTTGCCATGTTGTTAGCTGTCCTTAGGAGAGACCCACGTGGCAACTCAGGGAGATCTCAGCCTAACTGCCAGCAAAGAACCCAGGTCCAGCAATCCACAAGAAACAGAATGCTGCCAAATCCAAGAGTACATTTGGAAACAGTTCTTTCCCCAGTCAAGCCTTCATATGAGACTGCAGCCCTGGATGGCATAGTCATTAAAGCCTTGAGAAAGATCCTGAGACAGGAACATGTAGATTTATGATCCAGAGAGACTGTGAAATAATAAATGTTTATTGTTTTAAACCACTAAATTTGGGGGTAATTTCTTATGCAGCAATAGACAACTAATAGACTGAGTATCTCATCTCATTCATGATCCCTTCCAAGTGGTGCTTGAGAGAATGCCATTTAGTTCCAAATTCAGCTCTCCAGGAAAGAGGAAAGGAAGGAAATAAACACTTATTGAGTACTTACTAAATTTTAAGCACTTATCTTGGTGATTTATTATCACATTTTATCCTCTCCCCAAAAAAACCCTCTTATTTCCATCTTACAGTTGAGGAAGCTGAGGCTTTGAGTCAGTAATTAGGTCACCTAGGTCATGAAGCTGATCAGCATCTAAGCTGGGGGTGAGGGGTTTGAACATAGGCTCCTCAGCCTGCAAAGCTAATTATCTTTCCACTAGCCACACTGTTGAAGATGGACATACACTGTGCCTAATTCCATGGCAGTTGTTTTGCTGCATTATGTTATTTAGTTTGTCAAGTTTTCTAAAGAAAGAAAACAAGCAGATCAGCAGACACCGAGAGCAGACATTTTTCCTGTGCTTGAGGCACAAAAGATAAAGGAGAAGGAACTTGTTGAATAGGATAAAAGGATACAGTTTCACATCCTCTCCCCATACCCCTTCTTGGTCTCAAACCTCACACACAAACCCTCTCCCCCATCTAACTTCATTTGGCTCTTTATTTGCAGATGACCAAGCAGGTCATCTCCATATTGGTGGAGAGCTCCAGAGACTGCTTGGCTGAAAATGAAGACAACCTTTAAACATGGTGGGAGGGAGGAGCAGGATGGGGCAAGGGTGGACACGGACAGGAAATGCCCTAGGGCACCAAGTCTCTTCTGGGGAAACAGCCACAAGGAGAAAATCAATACTGATTACACCTTTGCTCCAATTTTAAATATTTCCTCTCCCCAATACAAGCCTCTACTTTGAGATTATTATTACCCTTCCTCCCCACAGGGCTTCTCTCAACTAGTCTCTGCCTGCCAGCTTCCTAGACCCATGTTGAAGTTGAGGCTGTGGTCTTCCAGCAACATGGCTAGTATATTCGCCCCATACATTTTGGGAAAATACATATTCTCCAAAAATAAATAAACTTTTTTATGTTAAATAGAAGAGTACATTTTCAAACATATATTTTTCCAGGATGTCAAATATATATTTTTAAATTTTTTGAGTTAATTGTAGATTCAGATGCAGTTGTAAGAAATAATACAGAGAGATCCTGTACCATTTACCCAGTTTACCACAATGTTTGCAAAACTATAGTACAATATCCCATCCAGGACATCGACATTGATGCAGCCAAGATTCAGAACAGTTCCTGCACCATGAGGATCTTACTACCCCTTATGGCCAAACTCACTTTCCTCCTACCACCTTCAGCCCCCATATTAGTTTGCTAGGACTGCCATTAAAAAGCACCACAAACTGGATGGCTAAAACAGAAATTTATTTTCTCACAGTTCTGGAGGCTAGGGGTCCAAGATCAATGGTTCAGCAAGCTGGGTTCCTTCTGAGTGGTATGAGAGAATCCTGTTTCATTTCCTGGCTTCTGATGGTTTGCTGGCCATCTTGGGTGTTCCTTGACTTACATATCTCTGCTTTCATTGTCACAGAGTGTTCTCCCTGTGTGTTATCTTTAAATTTCCCCCTTTTAAAAGAGCACCACTCATATTGGATTAGGGTCTCACCCTACTCCAGGTTGACCTCATCTTAACTAATTTTATCTGCAATGACCCTATTTCCACATTAAGTCCCATTCCGAGATACTAGGGGTTAAGACCGCCACATGTGAATTTTGGGGAGATAGAATTCGATCCATAACACCCCTCCCTATCCTCAGCCTCTGGCAATCACCAGTCATTTCTGAAACCCCTGTCTATAATATTGTCATTTCAAGAATGTTATATAAATGGAATTCTACCTTAGGTATTAGCTTTTTTTCACTTAACATATTTCTTCAGAGAGTCATCCAAGTCATTGAGTATATCAATTGTATATCAATTGAGTATATCAGTTGTATGCTGAGCATTATACAGATGGACCATGGTTTAATCTTTCACCTGTTGAAGAACACCTGGACTTACTCTAGTTTTTGGCCATTATAAATAAAGCTGATATGAACATTCACGCACAGGTTTCTTCATACGAATGTAAGTTTTTATTTCTCTAGGATCAATGCCCAGAAATGAAATTGCTAGATTATATTGTAATTGTATGTTTAGTTTTTAAGAAACTGCCAAAGTATTTTCCAGAATGATGGTACTATCTTACATTCTTCCACAGCAAGGTATGAGTGATCCGATTTCTCTGCAACTTTGCCAACAATTGCTGTAACTAATTTCGTTTTTAGTCATTCTTATAGGGCTATAGTGATATCTCACTGAGGTGTCAATTTGACCTGATGGTTAATGGTGTTGAATGAACATCTGTTTGATTATCTACCATGGGGACATCCTCTTCATAGAAATGTCTCGTGTCTTTTGCCCATTTTCTAACTAGATTGTTTGCTTTAGTTTTTAACTTGAGCTTTGATAATTCTCTCTATATTACAGATACTAGTGTTCTGTCACATTTGTGGTTTGCAAATATTTTCTCCCAGTCTATAACTTGTCTTTTGATCCTCTTCACATGGGCTTTCTCATAGTGGAAGTTTTTAATTATGAAGAGGTCTAATTTACCAATTTTTGCTTTTATGGATTGTGCTTTTTTTAGTGTTAACTCATTGCCCTAAATCTTGAAATTTTTTTTCCTAAAGTTTTATCATTTTATAGTTTTATAGTTTACATATAAGTCCATGATCCGTAATTTTTATATAATACGTGAGACTTAGTTGAAGGTTTTTTCTTTTCGTCTTTTGCCTATGGATGTCCAATTTTCGAGTACCATTTCTTGGGTAGGTGGATGGGTGATTTGTTATTGTATCCTAGTAATTTTGTCTACTGTGTTAGAAGCTTTTGGTCCTATTTAAGTCTCTTATTTTAGCAGAATGTCACCCTGTTTAAGTTGAGGTTAAGCTCATGTGTCTTGACTTACTGTTGCGGGCTGTGCTTCCAAAGGAACCTCAGATCCTTTGTGGCGTTTGGTTTGCTTGGTTTTTCTGGTGATGCTGAGGCTCCACTGGTTCTCCACTGGTGCTACCTATGAAAGTGGAAGGGCTTTCTCCAGGCTCTACCACCAAGTATAGCAGAGAGGCAGAATCATTTTAATCAGACAAATGATATAATCAGTATTGTATTCTAGAATTGCTTTTCTCATGTAATAATGTAAGCATATTTTACTATATTGCTTTTATGTAAACTCTGAAGCACTCATCTTTAATGGTTCTTATATTTTAACCCCCAGGTTATATCCAGAAGTTAGCACCCTGGGATATAAGAAACTGAGAACTTAACATTGGTATTCCTGTCTCATTTTGTTTTTTAGGAGATATCTGGTGAGTTAATCTCAGATGTTGTCTTCCTTGCCCCCTTAACATTCCAGGAAAGAGTTCAGTGAAAACAATTGTTTCAAGGCCAGAAGAGTTCTTTGGGGAGTATTATCCAGCTCTGGAATTTGAATTGTGAGTTTCAATTCCCCTTTTCAAAGTTCTATAAAATAAGAGGTTACGTTTTTTAACTATGATTAATTTTAAGAACAGACGAAGATTAACATTATCTTCAGGCCTTTTCCAACAAGCTGGCTAGATATATAAGCTCCATTTGGCTTGGGGATTCTTCTACAAGCATAAGCAAAGAACACAGAGTTTCTACCTAATCCTATGACACTGGGATGCCCCTTCAAATTGTTTAGCCCTGACAAACCCATCATCTTCGTCTGTAAGGTCTTTTCTCTGCCTAGTCTTCTCCAGTGAAATTGTTCTCTGAAGTAGCAGGGCATTGCTTCCCACAGCTTGAAAAAAAATAATAGCTCCTCTCTTGCTTTCCCAGATTCTGAACTTTTCTTTCTGGTTCTAGGAAAACGCTTTTATTTTCACAGATTAGGTTATAGAGCAGACTACAGGTTCAAACCCTTGCTCTGCCACTTATGGTCCAAAGTGCTTCAGTATTCTCATCCATAAAATGGGAAACAAAATAGAAGCTACCTCATAGGATGTTATGAGGATTAAATGAGCTAATACATGTAAAAGCCCTGAGACTGGGACCTCACATTTAATCATCGTCATCACCATCCTCTTCATCGCCATCTGCATTCTCGTCACCCTCTGAGGCACTTCCTTTTTTCCCCACCAGGACACCTAGCATAAGCTCCTTCATGCCTGGGGATGCTGAAAAGCAAAGTCACAGACAGGCTTATCTTACAGCCCATGTTTGCCCTTCGTACAGCCACAAACCTCTCCAAGCCAGGACCCTAGAGCCCACTACTCATTTTGGAAAACGGAAAGCAGGAAAATCATAAATCATTATCTGCAAAGATTACCCTGTCAATTATGATGGTTTCAAAACTGCATATATTTGTCAAATCTCATTGAATAGTATACTTGAAATTCATGCATTTTATTGTATGTAAATTATACCTCAGTAAAGCTGACAAGAGAAATTACTCTGCTGCATGAATAACACTATACTTAAAGAAATTATTTGGGGAGAAATACCTTGAAATGCGGATTTATTTAATGGGAGAAATTACCATTCTAGGTTTTCTTAGTTTTTCCAATGTCTCTGCTATGCAATGAAGCCAAAGCTTTTAATCATAAATTACCCAGTGACTTGGGTGGTGGGGAATGATATTTGCCTGTCTATATATTCAACAAATAAGAGCAGAAAACAGTCTTCTGTCCCTAAATTTTTTAAAAGTCTGGGATCACGACAAAATAATAATCACAACTTTTGTGTGCGTTTGTTAGCGCTAATTTAGAGCTACACATGCCTACACAAGGTACTGCATTTGATTACTTCAATGGCCCAATGTGTCAGTAAGCCAGATATTGTCCCCACTTGACAGAGGAGATATTCATGTCCAGAATGAGAAGGTGACTTGCCCAAGGTCGCACAGATGGGAAGTCCCATCCAGGCCTTGAGCCCTGGTATTTTATAGCTAAATACCCTGTTTTATTTGTTACATCATTGGACACAATCATCATATTTTCAGGTCCTGGAATTGGCCATATTTCCCTCCAGGGTCTAGCAGTACAGATTCCTATTATAAAGTAGGATGCTGCTGGTGTGAGTCTTGAGCCTTGTGTTGTCATCCTGCAGTGAATGCCATATTGTTATCACACTGGCCTCACAGGAACAGATGGAGAGAAAATGCAGAATGTTCTTCCTCCTGCTCCTGTTGTCTTGATCCACATGAATTGTGATGCAGCAGAGGGAAAATGAAAAGGTAGCAGTTTGCCTCTAAAGCATCAAATTGCCATCTGGTCTGAAGGGAATTATTTATTATTTAACCATTGCCACGTAGAATTTGAGACAGCTCCAAAAAGAGAGTTTTTGTTTTTCATTGAGGAGTTGGACAGTTTCAGAAGCAAATTTTACCATCTTTTTATTTTCTGGCCCACAGATAAGGGGTCATTTCTTCAAATTAGACAATGAATTGATCTGCTTAACACTGCAAGGATCTCCTGGAATCTCTAGAAAGAAAAGGAGAATCAAATGGTGATGGATGAGATTTCCATCTGCAGGAATGACCCAGTTGAGTTGTGCAAATGGAAGCTGGAAAAACCTGGGAACAATCAAGTTTAATCATTGAGCATTGGAGACACTCTCCAAGGGCAACAATGGAACACACTGTATCTCAGAACGCTGCAACCTCTTTGTATTAATTTGCTAGGGCTGCCATAACAAAGTACCACAGACTGGGTGGCTTAACAACAGAAATTTATTTTCTTGTGGTTCTGGAGGCCAGAAGTCCAAGATAAAGGTGTCAGTAGGATTTCTGATGAGGTCTCTTTCCTCAGCTTGTACATGGCTGTCTTCTCCCTGTGTCATCACATGGTCTTCCCTCTGTACCTGTATCCAAATTTTTTCTTCTTATAAGGATAGCAGTCATATTGAATTAAGACCCACCCTAAAGACATCATTTTAACTTAACTATGTCTTTAAAAACCTATCTCCAAATACAGTCGCATTCTGAGGTACTAGAGATTAGCCTTCAACCAATGAATTTAGTAGGGTGAGTGGAATCACAATTCGCTTCATAACACTCCATGAAAGTATTTATCTTACACACTGGGGACTGTTGTGGGGTGGGGGGAGCGGGGAGGGATAGCATTAGGAGATATACCTAATGCTAAATGACAAGTTAATGGGTGCAGCACACCAACAATGCACATGTATACATATGTAACAAACCTGCACGTTGTGCACATGTACCCTAAAACTTAAAGTATAATAATAATAAAACTTTTTAAAAAAGTATTTATCTTGTGGTGAGACCTCTGAATCTCAGATCTATTTCCAATCTTTACCTTGACCTATTTACTGCCGAAAACTACATTTCCCAGGCTCCCTTGCCAACTGGCTCTGGATAGGTAGAAGGCATTGGTGAAAGACCAAATGATGGGAGAAGAGGAACAGCCCTCTAAAAGTAGCTGACTCTTCCCCATTGACCCAGGGCCATGTGCTCATTTCTATTGAGCGTATCTCCAGAGAGATAGCCATGGTTTCCAGATTTTTGTAACCCCATCTCCTTCCTTTATCTTTCCATTCCTAAGGGTGGAAGTAGCTTTCCGCAGTTGTTAATCTCAGAGGTGCTTCAGTATCTTCTGTTTGGCTTCTCAGCTCTTCATTGCCTAGCTAGCCAATTTCCAATATTAACTTCACTCTTTCTGAAAGACTCAGAATGTCCTGTTTCTCTACTGGACTCTGAATATTATGTCCCCAATCTGAGAAAAATGTTTCCGTCAGAAGGCAAAAATAAAGGTCAGCCTAGAATCTTAAAACACAAAGGAATGACGCCTATGTGATAATAAAATAATAAAAAAAATTCTCTCTACTAGAGTTTCTTTCTAGGTGACAAGATAGACATTAGTAAAGGTCTCACAAACTGCAAAATTATGTGATCCCCAGACTCACAGCCAGCAGCCAAAGCCACTGAGAAAGCTTAAACTTCAATGTCCCCAACCTTCATGGGCCCCTTCCAAGGCCCTGAGAGAAACCTCAGCTATGTGTTATATGGTCATTTTTTTTTTGTAACATTTTTTAAAGAAACATATTTTTGCATTAAAGAGAATCTCAAAATTTGCATAAGCTTCAAGCCCAGAAAAACTTCATTACACCTGCTGCAATTATTTTAGAATTGGCAAGCAGGGCTTAGCCCTTACAGAAGCAGATATGAGCATTTGATTGAAGACCTCAATCTGTTTGTTCTCTGGACTCTTGAATCTTGGACACTGATCATTAGTTGGAATCAACTCCTGGCCATAGTCATTCTTGTTCTTCAAAATTCTGCTGAGGCAACAGTTTGCAGTTAAGTATATGCTCTAGGGTCAGACAGCCTCGACTACATTCCCAGCTCCACCTCGACTATATTCCCAGCTCCATCTCCATATTACTGTATGACCTTGAGCCTCTCATTTCTCATCTATTAAATGGAGATCATGTTAGTACCTAGTTTACAGGGTTGTTCTGAGGATTTGGTGAGATGATCCAGGCAAACAGTTTAAAGGGTGCCATAAACCCTTTATGTAGTAAGTGCTACATGAATGTCAGCCATTGTTAATATTAATATGGACTTGATCTCATACCTCCTGAGCCTTTGTTCCTATCTCTGTGTTTCTTTGCCGAGACTCACTCAGCCACCCCACTGTGAACACTTTCCTGCCTCTGAATGGTAAGCTGACTGCCTGGCCTCTGCCAGCTGTGTCCAAGCCTCCTTGGAAAATGGACATTGACAGCTTTTTTTTTCAGCCCACTGGTGCAGGGGCTCCACACTGCTCCTGGATTTCTCTTGGCCTTCCTAGCCACATGCAGCACTGCTCCCACCAGGTAGCAGGTTAACTCTGTTTCTAGAAGCATCTTCTTGGACCACAGCAGCAAATGACGAAGCTTAACAAGCAGGAAATTACTGCCAGGACCTCCTCCTACCCTCTCATGAACTCTGTTTCTCCATTTCATGCCAGAGCTCCTGTGACATTTGATATTTTGGGGTCCTTTCCAATACATTTTCCTTAACTTCCAACTCTATGCTTTCTACTGCTATGTCCCCACTTCTGCCAAAATTCCCAACTATTCATGGCCTATCTTTATTATTGTTACTATTAGGAAAGAAAACTGATATGAGTAAGATGGGAATTAATGACAGCTCCATTTGCATTTTTTTGAGGTTTTCTTTCTTTAAATAAGTATATCATGTAATACTTAAGATTTACAAAGAGAAATAAATAATAATACAGTGAAGCTCTATATACAGGTATCCAGCTTAAGAAGTAAAATATTATCATCTAAAGCTCCCAATGTACTCCTTCCCTAGCATTTTGCCCTCCCTCCTCCCAGAGGTAACCACATCCTGAATTTGGTATTAATCCTTCCCTCGTTTATATTTTCCCTACATACAGGTAGATAGGCATTCCTACAGCGAGCTAAAGAACACAAATAGTATTTCTATAAAGGGTAAAAACAAATCTAGTTGATTTTTTACCCAAATGACTCTATGGTTGGCCCAATAAGAAAGATTTGGAAGATGTCAGAAGGGAAGGCCAAATATTTGGTGAGTGTTTCATTTTTAAATTTCCAGCTCTAAAATTTATTTTGGTTCTACTTTTTATAGTTTTATTTTTCTATTGATTTTCTTTTCAATAATTATGACTATCTTTTTTTAAATTCTTGAGCACATTTACAATAAGCTCTTTAAAGTGCTTGCCTGCTAATTTCAAAATCAGAATCATCCTGTCTTTCTTTACTTACTGTTTTTCCTCTTGACTATGGCTCACGTTTCCCTGTTTCTCTGCATGTCTAGTAACTTTTTTAGCATGCTGGACATTGTGCACGGTAAGTTGCGCAGACAATAATCTGTCACATTCTTCTGAAGAAGGTTGGGTGATGAGTGCACTGGAGGCATTAGGTCAGATTTCTGGAGAGTCCTGTAAATCTTTGTCTAACTGTTGGTCCCGGTAGGAAAATGCTAGTGCCTATGAAAAGTGAATTTGAGCATTCATATGGGAAATAGAAGTTGTCCTGCTTACTGCAAAATTGTATTTACTTGATGAGTTAGAAGCTTCCAGTGGAATTATACTGATAGTTTACTTAAGAAATATGTCCTATAATGACCATAAAGTTTGGGCAGAAAGTAAAACAGGTCTATAAGCACAATCCATCACAATATTTTTGTTGTGGAGAGTTTGGTGATATAAGAAATTATTGAGGCATATTACCTCCTCCAAGGCAGTCCCTACTTACCAAGAAAATACAAACCATATTTTTGTGATACTGTTTCCAGGTTATTGAAACAGCCGAACAGATTTACCTGTGAAAACTCAAGGTATAATACATATGAAAGCACTATTGCTCTGTTTGAAGTAAATTATGCCAAGAACTTTGTTCACTGACATCCCTGCCCCAGGAAAAGAGGTTTTTGAGTTACGTATCAGTGAATAGGTCTCCGAAGGACAGAGTCTGCAAACTATTCCTGTAGACCAGTGGTTGGCAAACTTTCTATAAAAGGCCATATAGTAAATATTTTAGGCTTTGTAAACCATATGGTCTCCATTCACAATTACTCAAACTTTCCATTGTAGCACAAAAGCAGCAATGAACAATATACAAATGAATGGGTTTGGCTGTGTCCCAGTAAATCTTTATTCATAAAAACAGATGGTGGGCCAAATTTGGCCCACAAGCTACAGTTTGCTGATCTCTGCAAGCCGAAAGAGGAAAGGATCCTTTTTAGAAAGCCTGAGTGTCTCCTCAAAGCCAACACATGCTTTTTTTGAAGGTCTGAAATGTTAGGTGCTTATCATTTCCATAAAGAATTTAGTACTGTAGATTATTTTATTGTTATTATTAACAATTTGCCTTGTCAACCAATTAAATAGCCATGGATATTCTCGGCATCTGGGAAGTGTCTTTGTTTATTTGCTGGAGAAAGTGTTCACTAGAAGAAACGCAGAGCACCAGTGATGATCAAGAAGTCCCACTCCAACTAGCTGTGTAAACTTGGTCAATTTTCTTCATGTGTCTGAGCCCCTCCTTCATTATCTATAAAATGGAAACCAGAGTATCTAATCGACAAGGCCGTCATGAGGATTAAATAACTTCAGAGTCAGTGCTGAATAAATGGTAGGTCCTTTTTTCTTTTTATTAAACAGAGGACAAGAATAAATGTCTCTGAAAAGTGGAATAAAAGGAACAAAATTTAAAAATCCAACTTGCCTAGGAAATTACTCCAGTAATCCCTGCCTAAATGTCAGAAATATTTTTGAAGTACCCCAAATTCTTCTCTATCAATGGAACATGCAACAGGTTCAGCCTGATAAGTGGGAAAAGCTCCAAATCGGGAGAAAAGTCCAAGTGACCCAGGTTCTTGCTCTACATCTGCTATGTGACTTTGTGTAAATCATTTCTCTTTGTTCTCAATTTCTTTAATTTCCTCAGCTGTCAAAATGAAGTTAGCTGGACTAGATTGGTGATTCTCAAACTGTCAGAACATAGATTCAGGTTCTTGAACCCATGCAAGCATCAGGCATCATCTGAATAAAATTCTTTCATATGGAGTAGAAAAAACTTAATGTTAACAGTGGTCCTAGAATGCAAAAGTGTGAGCAAAACTAGGTTAGATGATTCTTCAGGTGCCTACCAGTTCTAACAGCCCATGTTTCAGTGAAACTGTGCAGTTCTATTATTTCCATGCACCTCACATAAATGTAATCGACAATATGACATTGTTATTCAGGAGGCATTTATAAGCCCTATTGAGTTCACACTATGAACACAAATTTCGGATATAGATTCTTTCCCTGGCTTAAAATCAATTGAAACCAGCTCCACTGTAGGAAAGTGTGGTACAATGTACACAATCAATCTTTCCCTCTTAAAGGAGTTACAATGTCCAATGACAAGCCAGCAGGTTACTATGATGGGGGAGTAGATGTGACACAGGCTCTCAAGAGTGGCTGGAGTTAAGCAATTTCATTCAGCCAATGCACAGCTGCTGCTCTAGAACTGGAAGTAAATTATAGGAGACATGTGTTACCTTTGCCTGATGAGGATCCATTCCCATTCTTTTTGCAGTGCTTCCATTTTTCTTGGAAGGGGAAGGAGAGTGAATCACATACTCAGTTGTATGAACACTGATTTCTGGGGAGGACACATGATCCTAGCCTGGCCAATCGGAATATTCTATCTACCTACCTGTCTGTAGGGATGGACTTAGAATTGAACACATGGGTCAAATAGATCCAATGAGATTTTGTTCCATCACTTTTACTGGAACCAATGACAAAGATCCACTCTCTTTCCTTTAAGATTATTTGACTGGTAGAATGGAAGCCATAATTTGCCACCATCACCAAGCACACACATATGCAAAATTCTCAATTTACACAAATGTACAACTATCTGAACAGCTGGATTCAGTTGTGCCTGAAGCTAAAATATTCCCAGACTTTTCAATTATGAGACCCAATAAATTTCCTTTTTAAAAAAATTACTATGAATTGAAATTATGTGACATGCAACTGAAAGAGGTCTGATTGACTCAGAATGTCTCAGAAAAAGCAAACTCTGAGGTGCTGTTACACACACACACCTACATACATCCTTTTGTTCAACAGTTCCAACTTCTCCCATTTAGTTGAGTCCAAAATCCAGAAGTCTTCCTTGATTCCTCTGCCCCATCTCTATCCAGTCCCCAAATGTGTTTACCCAACTACAAAGTCCCACTGACACTACCTCTTAAATATTACTTGAACTTACCTGCTTTTCTCCAAACCCATGGTTAATGCTTCCTTGAGGTCTTCCTCCATCCTCACCAAGACTATTCCAACACCCTCCTAAAGACCCTCCTGCATATAACATGATTGTTATATCATGAATGGGGTTATATCAAATCCCATTCAAGCACTGTCCAGATTCTTCTGCCACAGCAAATTTTTTTTTTCTTTTTGAGACAGGGATCTAGTCACCCCGGCTGGAGTGCAAAGGTGTGATCATAGCTCACTGCAACCTTGAATTCCTGGGCTCAAGTGACGCTACCACCTCAGCCTTCTAAGTAGCTGGGACCACAGGCACATGCCACCATGACTGGCTAATTATTTATTTATTTACTTTTGAGACAGAGTCTCAATCTGTTGCCAGGCTAGAGTCCAGTGGCATGATCTCAGCTCAGTGCAACCTCTGCCTCCCAGGTTCAAACAATTCTCCTGCCTCAGCCCCCCAGGTAGCTTGGACTACAGGCGTGCACCACCACGCCCTGCTAATTTTTGTATTTTTAGTAGAGACGGAGTTTCATCACATTGGCCAGAATGGTCTCGATCTCTTGACCTCATGAATTTTTTAAATTTTTAATAGAAATGAGGTCTACGTTTCCCAGGCTGGACTTGAACTCTTGGCCTCAAGTGCTCCTCCCATCTCTGTCTCCCAAAGTTCTAGGATTATAGGTGTGAGCCATCATGCCTGGCATCAGAGTACTATTTCTAAAGAATAAATGTCACCAAATTCTTTAAAGTTAACCAGACTCTCCATTGCCTTCAATTTAATCCAAATTTCACACTGCTGTATGCAAGACTACTGCATCCAGACCCTAGCTACTATTCTATCCTTATCTTTCAACAACACTCCTTTGTCCCTTGTTCTCCCTTTCCACTTCCCCACCACACACGCTACGCTTCTCCGTGCCAAACTACTTGAAGTTTCCCAAACAGAACAGACAGAAAAGAAGCCCTCTCTGGTTTGTAGAATTGAATTAACCTCGACAAGCAGCATCTCTGAAAATATGTCTGAGTTATGTCTGCTCTATCAGAACTCACCATATACTCACAAGTTAACAAATGCTGAGCTGCCATTAATTACATGGGAATTTAAACAACTGCATTTTGCTCTGTTTTGACACAGCCACTGCTAGGCCAAACCTCTTAACACTATTTTCAAATTGTAATGTGGATGTTAACCCAAATGATTAACTCCAACATAGAAAAAGCAACAAGAATTAGGATCTCCAATTTTGCTGATAGCTCCTCTAGTAGATTACATAGAAAAATAGTTATTTTTGTGTCTTCACTTCTGACTAAGATGGAGTAACAGCTACACCCTCCCTCCGTCCTGAAACAACCAAGTAAAAACACAATATATGAAACAATGGTTTGCAAGACACTGAACGTCAGGCAACAAAGGACAATAATACTTGAGAGATGGGAAACAAATGAAGTGATCCTTATGACTGACCCAGCATCTCACCTTAAGAGCATTTCCAGGACATAGTACAGGGAGAGGAAACCTGGAAGAAGCTGGTGGATTCACTGAGTTGAGGAGAGAAAGCTGAGCAATCAAAGCAGTTGGAGTCCATGAGGAACAGAGTACCAGGGAAGACAGAGCTACACAAAATGCCCAGCCCAGAAATTTAGAGAGGTTTTCTGAATACCAACCATCACAAAAAGCCAGCACGGCTTTGAAAAGGAATGAAGTTGGAAGACTAAAATTACTTAATTTCAAGTCTAATAATAAAACTCTAGTCAGCAAGACAGTGTGGCATTAGCATAAAGACGAACAAATATACCAATGGAATAAAGTAGAATTTAAAAATAGGCCCACACATATATGGGGCAATCGAGTTTCAACAAAGATGCAAAGCAATTCAATAAACAGAATCATCTTTGCAACAAATGATACTGAAATAATTGGGAGATCCATAACTCACACCATATACAAAAATTAAATAAATGCAGCACCTAAACTTTATAAAATGAAAATAAAATTTCCAAAAGAAAAAAAAATAAGAGGAACCCTTGGTATCTTTGGGTCAAGAATAGTTTTTAGATACAACAAAAGCACAATCCATAAAAGAAAAAAGATCGATAAATTGGACTTCAGCCAAGTTTACAACTTTTTCTATTCAAAAGATGCAGTTAAGAGAATAAAAAGAAAGGCCACATGCTCAAGGAGAACATTTGCAAATTATATTTTTTAAAAGAGACGTGTAGCTAGAATGTATAAATAATGCTTAAAACTCAGTAATAAGAAAACCAACTTATTTTCAAAAAAAAATGGTTAAAAGGTTTGAACAGACCTTTTAACTAAATAAGATATATGAGTGGCAAATAATCACAGGAAAAAGAATTGTCAGGGAGTGAAGATGGCTGACTAGAAGCAGCTACAGTGCATGGCTCTCACAGGGAGGAAGAAAAGGGGCGAGTAAATACAGCAACTTCAACTGAAACATCCAGGTTCTCGCATTGGGACTGATCAGGGAAACAATTTGACCCACTGAGAAGGGAGAAAAGCAGGGCAGGGCGACGGCCCACCTGGGAGGGACATGGAGCCAAGGGAACCTCCCCCTGCCCAGGGAAGCACTGAGTGAATGTGAGACCCTGGGAAACCACACTTCTCCCATTGGTCTTTGCAACCCTCAGGTCAGATCTCCTCACGAACCTACTCCACCAGGGCCTTTGGTCTGACACACAGAGCTGCGTGAAGTCTCAGCAGAGCAGCTGCTCGGGCTTGCACAGATTCCCAGGAGCTTTACATACTCCAGCCCCAGGATCCCCGGCAGGGGAGACTGCAACTCAGGCAAGGCGGGAGGTCAGATATACATACACACCACTAGGAGGACAGCTGAATCCAGGAGGCCCAGCGGCATTGGTCTGTGGGCCCCAGTTCCACAGCACCTCACAGGAGAAGATCCACTGGCTTGGATTTCCAGCCAGCCCCTGGCAACAGTGTTGCATTTACCTGGGGCAGAATGGAGTTGCCAGAGGGAGAAGCAGGCCACTATCTTTGCTATTTGAAAGACTCAGTCATTCCTTCCTGCAGGTTTAGGAGAGTCCAAACCAAACGGACCAGGGACAGAAGGGACCCCCACAACAGCACAGCTGCTCTACCAAAACATGGCCAGACTGCTTCTTTAAGCAGGACCCCAATCCATTCCTCATCTGAGGGGCAAGGCCTCCCAACCAGGGCCTCCAGCCAGCCCCACCCATATTCTCTGGCAGACAGTTTTGATTTCTCCCTAGGATGGAGGGAGGAACCGGCTGCCATCTTTGCTGTTTGGACAATTCAGCTGTTCCAGCCTGAAGGCTTAGGAGAAACTAAACCATCCAGGGGCAGAAGCAGTACCCCTACATAGCACAGCTGCTCTACAAAAGCATGGCCAGACGACTTTCTTAAGTGGGACCCTGATCTGTTCCTTCTCAATGGGCAGGATTCCACCCACTCCCACTGATGTTCTCTGGTGACAGAGGTTTGAAAACTTCCTAGGACAGAGTTACTAGAGGGAGGGGTGGGCTGCCATCTTTGCTGTTTCAGCTACTTAGCCATTCCAGCCTCAAGGCTTTGGAGAGCCCAGCCCTACAGGGGACAGAAACAATACCTCAGCACAGCTTGGCTGCTCTATGAAAGTGGGGCTAAACTGCTTCTTTAAGTGGGTCCCTGATTCCATTCCTCCTGGCAGGGTGAGACTTCCCAACCAGGGTCTCCAGCCACCTCCTAAGGTGTGTTCAGGCTGCCAACAGGCCTGTACCACCCTGGGATGCTCCCAGTGGAAGGGGCAGGCCGCCATCCTTGCTATTTCACAGTCTTCACATACCTCCAGGTACTGGAAAATCCGAGGTGACTAGGGACTAGAGCAGATGCCCGGCAAACCACAACATGTCTACAGAAAAGTGGCTAGACTGTTGAAAAACAAAACAAAACAAAAACTCCATCCAAAGGTCAGCAACCTCAAAGATTGAAGGCCAACAAAGATGATAAATAATCAGTACAAGAACACAGAAAAGTCAAAAAGCCAGAGTTCCCTCTCTCCTCCAAATGAACATCACCTCTTCAGCAAGGGTTTGGAATAGGGCTGAGGCTGACATGGCTGAAATAACAGAAGTAGACCTCAGAAAGTGGATTAAAACACATTTCTCTGAGATAAAGGAGCATGTTCTAACTTGATGCAAGGAAGCTAAAAATCACAATAAAATATTACAGAAGCTAACAAAATAGCCAACATAGAGAAGAAAATAACCAACCTGATAGAGCTGAAAAACACAATACAAGAATTTCATAATGCAATCACAAGTATTAATAGCAGAATAGACCAAGCAGAGGAAAGAATCTCAGAGCTTGAAGACTGTATTTCTGAAATAAGACAGACAATAATAGAGAAAAAAGAATGAAAAGGAATGAGCAAAACCTGTGAGAAATATGGGATTATATAGAGACAGAATCTACAACTGATTGGTGTACCTAAAAGAGCTGGGGAGAATGGAACCAATCTGGAAAACATATTTCAGGATATCATCCATGAGAACTTCCCCAAATTTGCTAGACAGGCCAACACTCAAATTCAGGAAATGCAGAGAACCCCAGTGGGATACTCCACAAGTCCACAAGAAGACCATCTCTAAGACACATAATCATCAGCTTCTCCAGATTCAAGTTCTACAAAATTGAAATGAAAGAAAAAACGTTAAGGGCAGTCAAAGAAAAGGCCACTTACCTACAAATGGAAGCCCATCAGACTAACCGTGGACCTCTCAGTGGAAACCCTAGAAGCCAGATGAGATTGAGGGCCAATATTTAACATTCTTTAAAAAAAAAAAAAAAAATTCAACCCAGAATTTCATATCCGGCCAAACTAAGCTTCATAACCAAAGAATAAATAAGATCCTCTTCAGACAAGCAAGTGCTGAGGGAATTTGTTACCACCAGATCTGCCTTATGAGAGCTCCTGAAGGAAACACTAAATATGGAAAGGAAAAAAACACTACCACCCACTACAAAAACACATTGAAATACACACACCAATGACACTATAAAGCAACCACATAAACAAGTCTGCCAAATAACGAGCTAGCATCATGATGACAGCATCAAATCCACACATAACAATACTAACCTTAAATGTAAATGGACTAAATGCCCCATTTAAAAGACAGGGTGGCAAGCTGGATAAAGAAACAAGACCCATTGGTATACTGTCTTCAAGAGACCCATCTCACATGCAAAAACACACATAAGCTCAAAATAAATGGATGGAGGAAAATTTACCAAGCAAATGGAAAACATATAAAAGCAGGGGTTGCAATCCTAGTTTCTGACAAAACAGACTTTAAACCAAGAAAGATCAAATTACAAAGAAGGGCATTACATAAAGATAAAGGATTCAATTCAACAAGAGCTAACTATCATAAATACATATTCACCCAATACAGGGGCACCCAGATTCATAAAGCAATTACTTAGAGACCTTCAAAGAGACGTAGACTCCCATACAATAATAGTGGGAGGCTAAGGCGGGAAGATCACCTGAGGTCAGGAGTTCAAGACCAGCCTGACCAACATGGAGAAACCCCATCGCCACTAAAAACACAAAATTAGCCAGGCATGGTGGTGCATGCCTGTAATCCCAGCTACTTGGGAGGCTGAGGCAGAAGAATTGCTTAAACCTGGGATGTAGAGGTTGTAGTGAGCCAAGATCATGTCATTGCACTCCAGCCCAGGCAACAAGAGCTAAACTCCGTCTCAAAAAAAAAAAAAAAATAGTGGGAGACTTGAATACCCTATTGACAGTATTAGATCATTGAGACAAAATTAGCAAAGATATTCAGGATCTGAACTCAGCTCTGGATCAAGTGGATCTGATAGATATCTACAGAACTCTCCACCAAAAAATAATAAAATATGCATTCTTCTCATTGCCACATGGTGGCATGCCCATCAGTGATAGACTGGATAAGGAAAATGTGGTACATATACACCATAAAATATTATACAGCTACGAAAAAGAACAAGATCATGTCCTTTGCAGGGACATGGATGGAGCTGGAGGTCATTATCCTTGGCAAACTAACACAGGAATAGAAAACCAAATACCACATGTTCTCATTTATAAGTGGGAGCCAAATGATGGGAACACATGGACACATAGAGGTGAACAAGAAACACTGGGGCCTATCAGAGTGTGGGGAGTGGGAGGAGGGAGAGAAGCAGGAAGTATAACTAAATGGGCACTAGGCTTAATAACTGGGTGATGAAATAATCTGTACAACCAACCCTCATGACACAGGTTTACTTATGTAACAAACCTGTGCATCCTGCACATGTACCCCTGAACTTCAAAGTTAAAAAAAAAAAGAAAAAAAAGTCAAATTATAATCATGAGAGATTCAAATAAAAACCTCAACAAGGTACCACTGTACATCTATTAAAGCAGCTGAAATTTAAAAGATTATACATTCCAGCTGTTAGCTAGGATTTAAAGAAACTAGAACTCTCATACACTGTTGGTGGGAATGTAAAATGGTACAACCACTTTGGAAAACAGTTTGGCACTTTCCTAAAAACTTAAACATTAACCTACTTTCCAATCTGATCATTCCACTCCAAGGTATTTACCCAAGAGAAAAAGCATATGTCTGCACAAAGACTTCTACATAAATATTTATAACAGCTTTATTTGTAATATTAAAAACTAACAACAACCCAAATCCAAAAAGAGGTAAATGGATAAAGTGTATTATCTACACAATGAAATATTCAACAGAAAGAAATGAACTGCAAATAAATAATTCAACATGTGTAAATCTCAAAATACTTATGCTGAGGGAAGAAGGTACCCCCAAAAAAAGAGTAACTACTGTTTGATTCCACTTATATAAAATTCTAGAAAATGTAAATTAATCTAAGGTGATAAAAGCAGATCAATAGTCACCTGAGGATGAGGGAAGGGGCAGGAGGGAAGGATTACAGAGGTGCATGAGGAAATTTGGGGGTGTAGGGGTATGTTCATAATCTCAATTGTGATGGGGATTTTACAGGCATAAGGAAATATCAAAACTTATCAAATTGTATGTTTCAAATATGGGCTATTTACATGTGCTAATGATATCTCAATAAAATTGTTTTAAACAATTATAACTGTAAGTATTTCTCTTCCCATATTCATGCCTTTTGTAATGCAAGTTTGTAGCTACTCCCATTAAGAGGCAAAAGTCAATTTCTAGATCCTTTGAATCTGAGATGGCTAATAGAATGTGCTGGAAGTTCTGAGCCTAGACTTCAAGAGATTTGCACATCCCTGCCTATCATTTTCTCAGAACCCTATTGCTTGCCACACAAGCAAGTTTGATGGAGGATGAAAGACACATGGCCCAGTCACCCCTAAACTTCCCAGTCCCCACTGACATCCGTCCAACTCCCAGAAGCAGAGCCATCTAGCTGGCCTGCAGCTGAGTGAGCTGAGCACATGAGGGAGCTCAGCAGAGACCTATGACCTGCCCAGCTGAGGCCATCTCAACCATTTTCAACCATTGGATCATTAAATAAATGGTTATTCTGGTAAGCCACTAAGTTTAGAGTAGTTTCATATGCAGTATTATTTGCAGCAATACATAGTGATTTGCCTTCAGCCAGGATCATACTCCTCTTTGCTTAACTCTGCTTGACCCTTATAGGGCAGCTACAGATTTAGAAATGGTTCACTATAACAGATCAGAAACAATTACTTCATTGAAATCTCTCACTTGTTCACATACTAAACGCCGAGCATCTACTAGGCTGTCAGTATTGTGCTAGACTCAAGGTGAAGATATGCAAAAGAGACAGTCCCACCACAGGAGATTAGCGATTACAAGCCAGAGAAACATGCCTGCATGCTGGGTCTATCAAACTCATTATTCTTTTTTTTCCAGGTTGACTTTGTTAACCTACATTTTTCCAAATCAGTTCATTTCTCTCTTTCTATGGCCTGAATGTTTATTTCCCCCAAAACTTCTTATGTTGAAATCCCAGTGCCTGCCACCCAAGGTGATGGTATTAGGAGGTAAGGCCTCTGGGAGGTGATTAGGTCATGAGGACACTATTCGCATTAATTAGGGAATTCCCTAATTAATGGGAATAGTGTCCTTATAAAAGAGCCCAAAGAGGGACTCCCGTACCCCTTGTACCATGTGAGGACACAGCCAGAAATGCCCTCTATGAATCAGGAAAAGCTCCTCAGGAGGTAGCAAATCTGCCAAGGCCTTAATCTTGGACTTCCCGGTCCCTGGAACTGTGAAAAATAAATTTCTGGCTGGGCACAGTGGCTCATGCCTATTATCCCAGCACTTTGGGAGGCCAAGCTGGGTGGACCACCTGAGGTCACGAGTTGAGACCAGCCTGGCCAACATGGCAAAACCCTGTCTCTACTAAAAATAAAAAAATTAGCTGGGCATGATGGCATGCACCTGTAGTCCCAGCTACTCGGGAGGCTGAGGCAGGAGAATCACTTGAATCTGGGAGGCAGAGGTTGCAGTGAGCTGAGGTCACGTCACTATACTCCAGCCTGGGTGACACAGCGAGACTCCATCTCCATAGATAGATAGATAGATAGATAGACAGACAGACACACACACACACACACACACACACAGAAAAAAAAGAAAAATAAATTTTTAAGCCACCCACTATATGGTATTTTGTTACAGTAGCCCAAGTAGACTAAGACATCTCTGAACTAATAACAATTAATCTCTCCTCTAAGAAGAGCTAAAGAAAAATGGAGTCAACTCCCAGTGAACCATGACAAAATTCAGGTAGCATTAGACAAAGATGCCAGTCAAAGAAAGAAGTGACCAGGGCATGGAATAAGAGTGCTTATGCTAACAATTGCTAAGATACAGTTACATAGCTTGAGAGCAGGTATTTTGAGAAGCCACAGAATTCAACTGTTAAAAAAGAACCAGATTCATCAAGTGCAATTATCAAGCATTTGTCCTTTGTATTTTTTATTTATTTAATTCTTTTTAGAGATGGGGGTCCCACTATGTTGCCCAGGTTAGACAGCAGTGACTATTCATAGGTGCGATTATGAAGGTCTCTTAGGATTGATCGCTGAATCCTCAAACTCCCGGATGGCTCAAACCATCCTCCTGCCTCAGCCTCCTAAGAAGCTGGGATGACATGCATGTGCCACGGGCTTATATTTTTTAATGTTATATTCTTTATATTTTTTAATGTTTAAAAATATGGCGTCCAGGTGCTCTTTCCACATTGGAGACATTGAGCCAAGAGACAGGCTGTTAGTCTTAGCCAATTGCCATTAACTGTCTTTCCCTCAATCAGGAAAATAGATTTTATAAACTATCCTTAGAGAGCATGGCCCCTCAAGACTGGGGTTTTCCATGCCCAAGAGATGCTTTATATGTGAAACAAGAGCAAATAACAGAAGTATGAGGTGTTCTTTGCTCTTTATATCTTTATCTAGATTAAGAGAATATTCATGGGATTGTCCTCACAAATATTTCTCTTGGTAAACCCAGAAAATCCACCTGATGGTGCCCCAAATGTCATCCCAGTTGTTCAATTCCTATAAAAGAGAGTAGTCAGGCTGGGCGCAATAGCTCACACCTGTAATCCCAGCACTTTGGCAGGCCAAAGCAGGCAGATAGCTTGAGCCCAAGAGTTTGAGACCAACCTGGGCAACATGGCAAGACCCTGACTCTAAAAAAAAAAAAAAAAAATACAAAAATTAGCTGAGTGTGATGGCACATGCCTGTAGTCCCAGCTACTTGGGAGGCTGAGGTGGGAGGATCACTTGAGCCTGGGAGGTTGAGGCTGCAATAAGTGAAAATGGAGCCACTGCACTCCAACCCGAGTGGCAGAGTGAGACCCTGTCTCACAAAAAAAAAAAAAAAAAAAAAAAGAGGGAGAGAGAGTGGTCCGTCACCTCACGGCACAGGAGCAGTAGCCAGGTCATGTCCACAGAGCTTGATCTTGGACAGATCTATTTTGTCATCCTTCCTAAGTCAGGATGGCTCATTAGTACTATACCAATGCTGAAATAACTAATGACTGGTAGTTATCCACTCATCTGTCAAGGGCTGAAGAAACAATGCAAGTGTAGATGGATAGTTCAAGCTATTTTGAGGAGAAACTAAAAAGGACACAGCTTCAAAACCCACCTGACTGATGTCTGTCTCTCAGTTGCAAGCCTTTTACTCACCTCCTTTTTAAGTAATTAATCTGTGACCTGGCAAAAGAAGAAAGCCTCCCCTAATCCTTATCTATGCATGCCCCTAAGACAGACACCCAGGAAGAATTTGGAGACAAACCTAACCCCTTCTGCAGCCCTTCAGGGGTGCTTTCCAGGTCCCCTGGGAACAAGCAGGCCCCTGTCTATGTAGCACAGGATTGACCCTCAACACCCAAGCACTGCTGCTTCTCTCTTGGGAGCTCTGGGCAACCTGTGCACGCCAGGGCTCCCCCCAGGGAACTCCCACCAGGAAACTCATCCTTCTCCCACATTTCATCTTTTTCAGTCCTGGAAGAGCCTTCACTTCACCGTGATGGAGGAAGGTCTCTTTTTAAGCTAGTTACCTCTTTTCAAAAATTGCCTTTTTTTTTTTTTTTTTTTTGCTTTGACAACTTTGTGCCTTTTATCGTTAAAAGTGCAGTATCATTTAAATAAAGGTGAAGAGTGACATTTCTAAGAAAATGATTCCTGCTTGAGGACAGCACTACTAATTTTAAAAGGTTATTTGCTTCAAAGAACACCCTTTTAGCACAGGATGTTAAAGGGTGTGAAACTTAGCGTGCCGACTGGCTATACACCAGCAATGTTCCTTTGGTTCTGAGACCTCAAAGAGAATCCTACGTGCAGAAGCAACTCAGCTGCACCACCAGCCCTCCCACCCCAGTGCTGCTGACAGCAAGGCGACAAGCCAAGGTCACCTGCTTAGTGAGCAAAACTGGATGTTCTCACTTTCCAAGTACCACTGAAAGAAAGCAGTCTTTTTATCTTTGTTAAGAACACCCTTTCCTCACAGGTGTTCTCCACTTCTGGCCCCACTTGAAAACAGGCCAATCCCAGGAGCCTTGATGGAGGAGCTGAGGTCCACTGAACTTGTGAACCCTCTGGACATTCAGTCGCCACAAGAGGCCAAGGAGACCTTTTCATTATAGCCTGTATTAGAATATCATGGTAGAGGCCAGGCGCGGTGGCTCACGCCTGTAATCCCAGCACTTTGGGAGGCCGAGGCGGGCAGATCACGAGGTCAGGAGATCGAGACCATCCCGGCTAAAACGGTGAAACCCCGTCTCTACTAAAAATACAAAAAATTAGCCGGGCGTAGTGGCGGGCGCCTGTAGTCCCAGCTACTTGGGAGGCTGAGGCAGGAGAATGGTGTGAACCCGGGAGGCGGAGCTTGCAGTGAGCCGAGATCCCGCCACTGCACTCCAGCCTGGGCGACAGAGCGAGACTCCGTCTCAAAAAAAAAAAAAAAAAAAAAAAAAAAAGAATATCATGGTAGATTAAAGAGTCCATAAATCAAACTCCAAAATAAGCTGGCTAGTGCCCATTTCACTGGCAGACTGAATTAAGTACCTTCCATATGCTTTGGCCTCTGGAACTGCAGCCAAATGGCAAACACCATTCCATAGGAAAGAAGATCACCTTGGCTAGGAGACAAGAATGTAGGATATTAGCGTTTCGTGGCAGAGTATTTTTTACTTTTATACTTAGTCAAAACCAATATCGTTATATTAAATAGCCAGTAGCTGGGAGTAACTAGAATGGACCTGCACGTTAAAAAAATAAACTATCAGTTACCAACCCTACTTTTATTGTTGCATATACTGCTTAGAGAAAATACTCTTGCTGGAGCTTGTCTGTTTTGTAGCCTATAAAACTCAGAAAGGATTAGGAGTAAAAGGGAATTAGAGGTTCTTTTTCCCACAGCCGAGGTACTTGCATTCTGAGAGAAGAATCAGTCTGAAAATGCACTCCTGGGACATTCTTTAGCACTGCTCTATACCAATCAGGAAATTACTGTTGTCATCATACATATTGCCTCTGCTAACAAAACCAGACTCCTTCATCTCATCTCTCTTCAATTTAACCTTGTGGTTCTGCTGGAGAGGCCAACATTAAGTCCAGATGTAATACTGGTGGTTGAGAAAATATAATAAATGCTGTCTCCAGGACATACAAAATTAAAGTTGGTCCATCAAATTGAAGATCTGTATCTACACATTTTGAAAATTCATCATGATTCCCCCACTATTGAATAAGTGAAATCCTTTTAAATTTCCTGGAAAGAGCTTGACAAATGAAGATGTAGCAGGTGTATACCCATTTCCTTTAGAAATGGATGGTTTAGGGATAAAAATCATAATGCATTCTGTCAAAATCAATGCCGTGGATGCAGTTTAATCACAGTGCTAATAGTGAATGCCACATTACAAAGCTTGCCACTTTCTTGACATTAAAAATGACTTGTTATCTGTCACATGGAAAAGGCTGACAATTTTAATCACATTGGGGAACATTCCATCTGCTGAGGACATCAGCTCCTTTCTTCAGATGCTCTTCCATGTGAAGATGCTACTTGAGAACCAATTATGACACTGGCAAATCAGAAGTCTTTTCAAGGCTGATCTCCAGTGTTGGAGAATGGCATGATGAATGTCTCCAGAGATATCTAAATTCAGTCGCAGAGACCAAAGCCTTCACAGACTCTCAGACTCAGTTCCACGTATCAGTTTTAAAGCTCTGCTACACATCTTTTTTTAATTCCCACACATTGATTTGGTTGTAGCCCAGATTAAAATCAGACTGTCAGCTGGTTGCACATTCTCTCATACTCGAATACCAAGAGCATCTGTTATCCACATTAGCTATCAGAAGCAAATATCACAAAATGAATAGACATTTCGTGTCTGCTACTGAGTTGAGCTATTACTCTGTGAAGTTTATACATTCTCCACATTTATGTCTCCTTCTCTGAGAGGATTAGAACCAGTAATCCCTGAGACCTCTTTCTATTCTAAGATTATGTGCTTAAGAATTAACAGTAAAACAAGTAATATATATCGAAAGACTTAATGATTCAACCTCAAAATATTTGGAAATTTATTTAAAGTGCCCTGAGTTGAATAACAAGTTCCAGACTTTTTTCACCATGAAGGAAATGTCCATTTTTTGATGGAAGTAACACCAAGGAAAGCAGAGCATAGAAGGAGAGAGACCAGTTACAATAGCATTATACAAGCACCTGGATGGAGCCATTACTGAAATAGGTGTGTTCCTTGACCTTTCAGCTATGTAAGCCAATAAATTTCCTTTTATGCCTAAGCATGTTTATGTTAAGTTTCTAGTCACTCAAAACCAGGTGATTCCTGCCTAATGACAGGCAGAATGGGGAATTTTGGGGGCCCTGAAGCATGTTCATTATTTTAGCTTTTCTCTGTCCCAGATATAATAATAACTTCAACCTCAGAAATTTGATCTTTAAAAGAGGAAATGAACTTTGTGACAACCTTGTCAGGTTGAAATCTGCATTTTTATGGATTAGTCTGTAATCTAGTGGGAAAATAATCTGTGTAGGCTCTACTAAAGGAAAAAGAAAAATGTAAAAGAAGAGTAAGAGTTAAATATAGGGATGAACTACTTAGTGCATAACCACATATCCCAGAAGCCCTGGGATGGGTACCCAGCGGCACTGGCCAAGACCACCACATCTGTGTCCTGGAAGCTGGAAGGGCGATTGGGCAGAGTAGTCAAGGGTGATGGAGGCAGAAAACAAGGGCACCCCACATCTAAGAAACTGCTGAGTGACCAACCTGGGAATGAGACCAGGCTAGAATCAGAACAAAATTTAATTCAGAGAGACTGAGGCAAGAAGTCCAGTAATAATAACCAAACAGGACTGGATGTTCACACCTCACTGGAGGCAGGTTCCAGCGGCTTTGTACATGGGCGTCAGCCAAGCAAAAGAGCTCCAGGTGGATGAAAGGCATCACATCTTTAGGTTTAGGAGAGAGAAGAAAGAGAAAAAAGGGGACTAGATGAGGAAAAAAAAGAAGACGACTACAAAGGTATTAGGTTGGTGCAAATGTAATGGCAGGTTTTGCCATTATTTTCAATGACAAAATCCACGATTACATTTGCGCCAACCTAATAATATAAAGAAAGCATTGCTATTTCAACCTTCCTCAATTCTCTGACTTTACAAATATCGCCTTCCTCCTACTCTCTACAGAGTGAAGAAAAGCAAGATATGTTCGCATTTTTAAGGAATGAAAAAGGAACAAAAGCTAAGTGACTGTCTCAGGCCACATGAGAACCTCTGAGTAGAAATGGGGAGGAGTGCTTTGGCACAGACAGCTCGGGAAATGTAGCATCTTCTAAATAGCATTGCCCAGGCTGTCAGAGATCCTATTGCTTCTAAGTGCGTGTGAGAGAAGATGGCAGAATTAAATCTATAATGCCCAGATTCACTTTTCTAAGAAATGGAATAACAATGTGAGAGAATGCTTTGTAAGTGGAAATAATGGCATGAAATTGAGAAAGGAACAAATGCAAGTGAACTGGAAAATGCCACCCAGATCCTGACATGTATTCAATTGCCACAGGGTCTTTTCCAAAGGAATTGCAGGTGCAGCCCCACTCCAGCTGTCTGAGCTCAGACAGGACAAAGAAAGGAGGCCACACATTGTCAAGAGCATCCTATGGCTCTGGCCACTGATTCAGCCTTTTCTCTCTTTCATGTAGCTGATTCTGAAAATGCACTTTTTAAAAATTATACTTTAAGTTCTGCGATACACGTTGCGGGAAGTCAGGGAACCCGAATGGAGGGGCCGGCTGAAGCCACAGCAGAAGAACATAAATTCTGAAGATTTCTTGGACATTTACACTTCCCCAATCAATATTCTTATAATTTCCTGTGCCTGTCTTTTCTTTAATCTCTTAATCCCATCATCTTCGTAAGCTGAGGATGTATGTCACCTCAGGACCCTGTGATGATTGCATTAACTGCGCAAATTGTTCCTAAAGCATGTGTGTCTGAACAATATGAAATCTGGGCACCTTGAAAAAAGAACAGGATAACAGCAATGCTCAGGGAACAAGGGAGATGACCATTAGGTCTGACTGCCTGGGAGCCAGGCACGACAGAGTCATATTTCTCTTACTGCCGAAAACCGGTAACAGAAACATTGCTGAATTCTTTCCCCAGGAAGGAATATTAATAATTAACAGCCCAGGGAAAAGAATGCATTCCCAGAGGGAGGCCTCTAAAATGGCTGCTCTGGGAGTGTCTGCCTTATGTGGTTGTGGATAGGGATGAAACACGCCCTGGTGTCCTGCAGTGCCCCCAGGCTTGCTAGGATTAGGAAATTCCAGCCTGAGAATTCTAATCAGACCGGTTCTCTGCTCTTGAACCCTGTTTCCTGTTAAGATGTTTATCAATGACAATGCGTGCACAGTGGGACATGAAACTTCATCAGCAATTCTAGTTTTGCCCTGCCCTTGTGACCTTGCCCTACCCATTTGCCTTGTGATATTCTATTGCCCTTGAAGCATGTGATCTCCGTGACCCACACCCTATTCGTACACTCCCTCCCCTTTGAAAATCGCTAATAAATACTTGCTGGTTTTACAGCTCAGGGGGCATCACGGAACCTGCTGACATGTGATGTCTCCCCCGGACACCCAGCTTTAAAATTTCTCTCTTTTGTATTCTTTCCCTTTATTTCTCAGACCGGCCAATGCTTAGAGAAAATAGAAAAGAACCTATGTTGAAATACTGGGGGCTGGTTCCCCCGATAGATACATGTGCAGAACATGCAGTTTTGTTACATAGGTATACATGTGCCATGGTGGTTTGTTGCACCCATCAACCCGTCATCTACATTAGGTATTTCTCCTAATGCTATCCCTCCCCAAACCCCCAACGTCCTGACTAGCCCCAGTGTGTGATGTTCCCCTGTGCCCATGTGTTCTCATTGTTCAACTCCCACTTATGTGAGAACATGTGGCATTTGGTTTATTTGGTTTTCTGTTCCTGTGTTAGTTTGCTGAGAATGATGGTTTGCAGCTTCATCCATGTCCCTGCAAAGGACATGAACTCATCCTTTTTTATGGCTGCATGGTATTCCATGGTATAGATGTGCCACATTTTCTTTATCCAGTCTTATCATTGATGGGCATTTGGGTTGGTTCCAAATCTTTGCTATTGTGAACAGTGCTGCAATAAACATATGTGTGCATGTGTCTTTATAATAAAGTTCACAACTTTAAATTTTTTATCATTCCTGCCATCAGAAATACATTAACAAAATAAAGAGAAATGCACATAGAAATGGATTCTAGGTTCCAAAGCAGCTCTCTGCTGCAGGGCTCATGGAAGGAAGATCCACAGAGACCTGGAGTTAAAATATATCAAATGTAGCTGGAACTCTCAGAGGAAGAAATAGCCAGTTTCAGAGAAAGAGGGATTTTATGTATGGCAGACTTTAACATGCTTAGTAAATGCTCCCCAAAGTAGCAAATCTCCAAACCAAAATGTGAATTTCAGTTAAAGCAGAGAGTTGCTAGAGATACTGTTGGAAACCTCTATCGGCCCTTTCATTTAATATCCAGGAGGAGGAGGAAGAATAGAAACACACAAACACCATGATCTTGGCAGGTGGATAAAGACCTCTCATCATAATTTGCTCCAGGATAAGTTAAAGAAAAAATCGTGATTTCAACACCCTCATATTCATTGTATTGCTAAGGATAGAACCTCAACAGATGGCTTTTGTGCCTAGCCAAAATAAACACCTCAGCAAAGTTTCTTTAGACCTACAAAGGGAGGTTGGGAGCCTAACATGACATCAAGATTCAAAATTTAATTGCTCTACATAACAAAGTAACAAGAATTTTGAGTCTTCTGTTGGTGCATAGGAGAGTAAGGGATCGGGGAACCCAAGAATGAACAAAAGAGAAATATAAGTGAAAGTATCAGGTTGGTGCAAAAGTAATTGTGGTTTTTGCCAATTCAATGACCAACTGTAATTACTTTTGCACCAACCTTATAATTCTAGAGCAGTAGTTCTCAGCCCAGGGCAGTTTTCCCCCTGGGACATTTGGTAATACCTGGAGACATTGTCTGTTGGTTATCACAATTAGGGGGAGGATGCTACTGGCATCTAGCGGGCAGAAGCCAGGGATGCTGCTAAACATCTACAGTGCACAGGACAGCCCCCCACAACAAATATTTATCCTGTCCAAAATGTGAATAGGGTCATGATTAAGAAACCCTGCTCTAGAGGGACAGAAAGAGGAACCTGTCAATGTCTGAAAAGTCACAGATTAAATAGACCACCAGAGAGAAGTTCCCAGTGAGTAGGGAAGGACTGGGAAATATTAATGATGCCACCTATGAAATTTTAAGCGTTTTATATGCTTAGAAGTACCAAGATCTCTTTCCATTCCCCTAAGTTAAAGTCTGCTATGCAACAGAATTAGTAGTGATGCTTTGGAGAATGAAGGAAGAGGGGCTGCCTCTGTCAAGGAGCAGAGAAATAGGATGACTAGGTACAATGGCAGAGACCAAAGGTGATGTTTGAACAAAAACAGAGAGGGTGGTGGCAGGGCAGACTGGTCTGTCCTTATTGCAGCAATCTCCCCAAATTATTGGGATAGTACAGAAGATCTCCCAGTATGTGGCAGGAGACTTAGGGAGATGGTGGCACAGGTAAGGATATCCCAAAGTAATAAACTTACTTGCTGCTTGATTAAAGTAAGTAGAATTGCATTTATACCCAAAGTTGGCCAGAGCCCAGGCCATGGTTCTTGTATGTACAGCATCTTCCATTCATCTCTGTACTCCAGAATCTAGTATACCATTTGTGCATGTAATGCACCCTCACATCTTGTAGGCTGGATTTTTCGCTCTGACTTGCAATCATGGTAATTTATTTCAGTTGATAATTGTTTTGTTACATTTGCATTCTAAGTAGAAAGAAAATATCATACTTAAAATCAACCAAAGACATGAGAACCCCAGACAGAGGAACAGACAGCTCTATTCTCCACCCTCACAAAACCTATAGCAAAGTTTTCAAAGATCCTCATAAGCCAGACATGACACTTGGCACTTTTAATTGGCAGAGGACTATGATACACATATAATTCTTCCCATTTTAGTGATGAGAAAACTGAGGCTTGAAAAGAAAGTGACTTCCTGGAGTCACACAGATTGAAAATGTTTGAGCCAGGCCTGGAACCCTTTAAGTATTGAGGGATAAGTTACAGTGGAAATACTATAGAGAATAGAACAGAAATGGGTACCAAGCACACAAATATATTTTCAATATTATTAGTTCAAGTAAATGTGAATTAAAACACAGTAACTTTTAAAAATCTATTAGCAGAAGTAAGGAGAAGTGAGGGTTAAGTGAGTATAAATTGAAACATACTTTCAGGAAAGCTATTTAGCAACAAACATAAAGAAAGCTATGTTCTCACTTGTAAGTGGGAGCTAAATGATGAGAACACATGGACACACAGAGGGGAACAACACACACTAGGGTCTATCAGAGGGTAGAGGGTGGGAGGAGCGAAAGAATCAGAAAATATAACTAATGAGTACTAGGCTTAATATCTGGGTGATGAAATAATCTTTACAACAAAGCCCCATGGCTTTACCTATGTAACAAACTGGCATGTGTACCCCTGAACTTAAAATAAAAGTTTTTACAAAAGAATGCTAGTAATATTCCTACCATTTGACCAAGTAATTCCATTTCTAGAAACCCGCTGTAAAGAAATAACACATATGGGGGCACAGATTTATGCACAAATGTTTACTATGGGTGATTTATTACAGCAAATAATAAAAAGAAGCTGTCTGAATATCACTATTAGGGAAACTAATGAATAAATGTTCAAATATGCATAAAATGGAACTGTATGTAACACTAAAAATTGTTTTACCAAATACTTAATAGTATGTGAAAAACACTTGAAATATCAGAATAGAAGATCCTATACAATGGTTATCTTTGCAATGGTACCAGCTTTTTAAAAATATCTAAGAAAATGTAGAAATAAAATATGCCAAAATATTAGCATGATATTTTTTTCTTTTAAATACCTTTCTGTATTTTTCCAATTTTCTCCAAAATCCATACTTCACCTTTATAATCATCAACAAAATGAGGTGGGGTGGAGAAAGACCTAGATGTTGCAGTAAGCTGCAAAAAGAATTTTATCAATGATGATTGGGTTGAGTGATAGAAGAGAGAAATAAAACACTCCTTTGTTGAAGGCCTTCATTTTGCAAAACAACACTATAATACTTTCCAAGCCCAGCATTACCTGTGAGGTACCAGAGATGCACAAAGACTCACCGTGCTTCCACTGAGAGTGAGCTCAGGAGGGACTGAAAGGAATGCAAAGCCCTGAGGAAGGAGCAAAACTCTCCAATACGAGTGAAGTCAGGTGGGTTAACAAAGGCAGATGCCAGGCTGATATTGGAGAGTTTTAAAAATTCTTAAAGAAGGTCATTGTAGCCCTTAGAAGGACCAGTTATGGCAATCTCTGGCTATTTTAATAAAGTAGTAGTCCCTTGACATTTATGTAATAAAGTTCTCCCTAGTACTATACAATGCAAGGAGGCAACTCCACAACAAGCCAACCCTTGAGACAGAAGTCAGCTGCTTTTTCTATAAAGGTACAGATGGTAAGTATTTAGGCTTCATGGGCCATAGAGTCTCTGTTGTGGCTACTCAATTCTACCATTGCAGGGAAAAAGCAGCAATAGACGATAGGTAAATAAATTAGCTTGGTTGCATTCCATTAAAATTTTATTAACAAACCCAGGCATTGGGCTGGTTTAGTCTACTGGCCATAGTTTGCTGACCCCTTAGGGACATCAAACATGAGTAGCTTTCTTTAAACATTTCCTATCAATCATGACTCCTGGTACGAA
The DNA here is from genome assembly GCF_000001405.40 of Homo sapiens. NCBI lineage: Eukaryota > Metazoa > Chordata > Mammalia > Primates > Hominidae > Homo > Homo sapiens. The sequence goes on from NC_000010.11 coordinate 111,961,693, forward strand.
GGAGCTAGCATTTGAATTTGGTTAATTATGTGACTATTTGGAGAAGATGCTGACTGGAACCCAAGTAGACTAGAAAATGTGCTATTTGCGGAACTGAATGGACGTTAAGCCTAGTGCTAAATCCTCCTTAGGGTACTACAAATCTAGTGGGTGACCCAAGTTGGTGGACCTGAAGCAGCAGACATAAGTGATATGAAGTTTATCGCTGACCTTAGTAGAGGTGATCTCCATGGATGGATGGAGAGAGAAGGCAGAGAACAGGCATCCAGGAGGGGAAGATGTGGAGACAGACAGCTGCACATTCTTGGAATGGGGTTAACTGTTGAAACTTTTAGAATGAAACTCCAAAATCAAGGCAATGTTTTGATTGGTCACATATCATTCACTTTATTTCTCACCCAGAAAAAAATTTAAATGCCCAACAACATTGAACTTTATCTGATTCCCATGATCCTGGAAAACAGTGAAGGTTAAGAAACGCCCACATGCTTCGTATTCCAGAAAAGAGCTTACTGAAAAAAACCACTCTTCCCATAGGATTTAGATAAGACTCACGGACGCCCTGCCTCCTTGTTTACCTATGACAAGGCCAGGCAAAAAGCCTCCAAATTTCTATTTTTTGCCTCATAAGTGATTTGCTCAACTGCTTGTCCCCATTGAACAACTAGAGCAAATGCTTGTTTAATCAAATTTTGGTTATGCTTCTCTCTCCCTCATCTAGGGCCACCCTCAGCCTGCATCAACACACAGACAGCCCCTCCTGAGAACAGTCTGGCCTTGCAGTGAAACATTCTCTGAACTACCATCTGATTACACTATACGTTCAATCCACTTCCCCACACCTCGTCTTCTCTAGCCTTGTTTATTCCTCTGTTTAAGAGAAAAACACTTTTGGCCTAGCCCTTGAGACATTTGCGGATCCTACGGTTACCATGTCCTCCCTGTTGCAATTGTTCCCTTTGCTCTTGCAATAATCTTGAATAAATCTCTCCCTACCAAGTCTGGATTGTTATTTGACAGGCCCTAGATGACATGATTCCTGCTACCTCTCTTCCTCTTTCTTTCACATCTGCCCTCTCTCCACCCCGGCCATACTATTCTCTTCACTATCCCTTCAACTCCAAGCACATTTCCATTCCAAGGTCTTTGCATTCATGCAGAGCTTTATCTGAGTTTCACCTCTGCATACATCAAAGCTTGCTTTACATCAAGCTTTACCTGAAGCTTCTATAACCTTAAAACTACCTGAGTTACTCCTGCACTCCCTTCTAGGGCTTGCTCACATGGTAGCCTTCCAGAGAGGCCGTCCTTGAGAGCTCTCTATAAAATAGCAATCCCGTCTCTTACCTCTCCCCCTATGCCTCTCTGCAGTTTACCTTTCTTCATTGTACCTATCACCACCTGACACGTACTTGTTTATGGTCTGTCTCTCAACACTGAAGATGTAAACTCCATATACCCAGAAACTTTGCCTTTTTTGTTTACTGATGTCGGTACCTTTAGTGCCTACAACCTTGCTTCAGATGGGACAAAGTAAACTTTTGATAAATACCCTATTAATAAAATAATATGACTAAATCAAATAAAATGAAAACTACTAGCTACATTTATTGGAAGTTTACTGGGTAGCAATAAATACCCTATTAATAAAACGATATGACTAAATCAAATAAAATGAAAACTACTAGCTACATTTATTCAAAGTTTACTGGGTAGCAACACTGTGCTATGATTTCCAACCATCACAATTATCTGTCAAGGTAGAGATTATCATCTCCTTTTACACGTGGGGACACTGAGTTGTAAAGATTCACTAAAATGTTCCAATTTAAACAGATACGATGTGCTCAGTTTAAAATTCAAATTGACTCCAAACTTTTTATTTTTTTTTTACTGTAACATACCAGGCTGCTTCCTAACCCTTTATTGAAATTGCCTAGAAGAATAGCAGAGATGAGTCCTAAAGTACTACTTCCCTTTGGCACACTTAAAACTGGGAAGAATTTAAGAGGGATTGTGCTAGAGGTAGCATGTGAAAGTTCCCTAGAAAGATGATGCATTTAGATATGCGAGAGGAAGAAAGACCCTCAATCTCTTTCTGGGACTCACACAGCCCCAGGCTCCTTGTCCATTGCATTTCATTGTCTCTGATCCAGTGTACAACCTGCCTCCAGGAGATGTTCCAACTGACCGGCTCCTTCATGGAGTCACAGAAATTATCGAACTGGGGATAGAATTACATGACTCATTTATTTTTCTCAAGATCAGCTCTAAGTATTCAGGGCAAAAATAGCAAGCATTGAATACTGTTACCATTTCCTTACATGTGCAATGAATTTTTAAATACATCTATATTTTTTGGCTGAAAAATATTTGCCAATCATGGTAATAACCTAGCTTTTACTGAACTCCTAATATGTGTTTGGTACTGTTTTGGGCATGCTACATATGTCAACGTATCTAATTCTAACAAGAACCCTGTGAAATAGAGATTATGTTCATTTTACCAAGGGGAGACTGAGGTTCAGAGTCCAGCATCATATCAGTTATAAATCAGAGTGCAAACTCAGGAGCTCAGGTCCATCTGACTCTAATACCCTTACTTTGTTTATTACATTATTTTGCCTTTCAAGACACGAAATTTTTACTAACTGGCTTCTTCCTGTTTTGCTAACTTAAGTACCCACACAGAAGCAGGGTTCTTCTCCCAGGAAATCAGCTCCCTTGGGTAGAGAATTATCCAACACAGTAATTGGTGCCTAAAATTGCAGGTGTATTCCCAATTCATGAGCACTGAAAGTAGAAAAACAAACTTAGCAAGCAGATAAATTAAGGGCCACTATTTACTTCACAAAAGGATTCTGCCTTTTGCAAAAGACTGAAATCCAGTTTCAATGTATTTCATTTTTGCTAATAAAGAATTTATCAGTGTCCTGGGCAAATGGTAATCAATTTGCCTGCCATGACAATTTCCTGTTATTTAGTTCATTTTCACACTGCTAATAAAAACATCCCCAAGATTGGGTAATTTATAAAGGAAAGAGGTTTCATTGACTCACAGTTCAGCACTGCTGGAGAGGCCTCAGGAAACTTACAATCATGGTGGAAGGGGAAGCAAACATGTCCTTCTTCACATGGCGGCAGGAAGAAGTACCCAGCAAAAGGGGGAAAATCCCCCTTATAAAACCATCAGATCTTGTGAGAACTCGCTATCACAAGAACACATGGGGGTAACCGCCTCCGTGATTAAATTACCTCCCACTGGGTCCCCCCCCCATGACATGTGGGGATTATGCGAACTACAATTCAAGGTGAGATTTGTGTGGGAACACAGAGCCAAACCATATAATCACAGAGCCAAACCATATATATAATCTTCCCATTTCTCTGCCTGGGCAATGGAAACATTTGGTGGCTAGTGATTTGACCCCTGGTCACAGCTGATTGTCATGATGGACAATCTGATCCAAGCTGATTAGATTCTCTCCTGAGGCTGTTAGGGAGCCCAGAGATTGAGCTGGATTGTGCTAAGCATTGGAGCAAGAACAAAGTCAGGGCAGCTATAGCTCCATGGCAACCCCAAACCATGCACAAGCCAGTGTTCTTGGAAAGCAATAACAAAGATAAATCAATATATAGGATGAGAGGGTGGGAGGGAACAGTACTTAACAGACACAAGAGGCCATGCCACTCCAAAGAGCCAGAGCCAGAAAGAGCTGCTGACTGACATTTGCTAAGTGATAACTTTCGACTTCTGGAAAACCCGACTGTATTTCCTGAAATTAGGTTCTGTGAGATGTCAACTGAAATTAAGGCTGTTCAGGCAGAAATAATTTGATAAAGGGTTATTGGAAGCTAGATGGGAAGATCGACCTGGGAAGACACAACAACAAAGTTGGGCACATTCCAAAGTCTATTACAAGTTGAAATGCTTTTATAGGAAAAGGAGAAGTTTAGGAGAAGGAAGATGGACTCCTATCAGAGTTGCCTTTTTTCACTGGAGAATACAATACAGAGGTTACAATCATCGGCTACAGATGACAACATACAAGCTAAAATGTCCTATGTTCAAGACAATCGGTACAACTTCATGATTCAGAAACAAATCAGCAAAACTTCATAAATCAGAAACAAATCAGCATCCTTTTTGTTGTCAGTAGTTTACTGATTCATTAGTGTATCAATAGTTTGAGGAACTCATAAGATTTGAGGGACTCACGGTAAGATTCTTTACTCAGGGACAGGATATAAGCCATGAATCTTAACACCTTCCCCAGGCGATTCACTTAGAAATCTGCCAAATGTGACCTGTATGTTATCAGAGATTTCCCTGATTTATTACCATTTATTTCTCTTTATTTAAGCAGTTTTCAGGCAATGTAGTAGTTATCTATTGCTATGTAACAAAGTATCCCAAAATGTAGCATTTTAAAACAATATTACTTACTATCTCTCACAGTTTCTGAAGGTTAGGAATTCAGAGTGGCTTAGCTGAGTGGTTCTGATTCAAAGTTTCTCATAAAGTTACAGTCAAGTTGCGCTATTGGCTGGGTCTCCAATCATTTCAAGGCTCGACTGGAGCTGGAAAGTCTACTTCTAAGCTTATTCACATAGTTTTGTCAGGACTTATGTCTTTGCTGGCTGCTTTCCCCAGAGAGAAAAAGACAGACAGAAAGAGAGAGAGAGAGAGAGAGACAGACAGACAGACACACACACACACACACACACACACACACAGAGACAGAGAAAGTAAGAAAGAAAGACGGGGGAGGGAGGGAGGGAGAAAGAGAGAGAAAGAAAGAAAGAAAAGAAAGAAAGAGAGAGAGAGATAGAAAGAAAGAGAGAAAGAAAGAGAGAGAGAGAAAGAAAGAAAGAAAGAAAGAAAGAAAGAAAGAAAGAAAGAAAGAAAGAAAGAAAGAAAGAAAGAGAAAGAAAGAGAAAGAAAGAAAGAAAAGAGAGACAGACAGGGAGAGAGGGAGGCAGGAGAGGGAAGTGGGGGAGGGAAGGAGGGAGGGAGGGGGAGAAGGGGGAGAGAGAGAGAGAGACCGACCAAAGAGACCAAGGTGAAAGCCACAATCTTTAATAACTGAATCCCAGAAGTGACATACATTATTTCTGCCATATGCAATTGTACACACAAACCAACCCTGGTACACTATGAAAAAGGGACTATCTAAGGCGATATGTAAAAGGAGGAAGACATCATTAGCAACCCTCTTGGTGTCTATATACTATAGGAAGATCTCTGTTTCAAGTAATCAAAGAATCTCAACCAAAACATTAGGCATACATAAATGGAGGTAGACTTTCAGCAGTATCAGTTGAAATCCAAAGTCCAGTAAGAAATCGGAATATGAGTAGAAAGAGATTTCTAAGCACTAAAAAATTTCAACAAAGCCTTTGCATTAGACTCACGTGGATAGTCAGATCACTCTTGGATCATTAGCAATTTGCACAGAAAACAAATAGATTTAAAGCAATAAAAGAGGACACTTACTGAATGCCTTACAGCATTAAAAGGGTACAGAAGAATCACCAAAGCAGGGTTCTTTGGGTCTCTTTAGTATTGAAACAAAAAACTCAGAAGATGTATCAGTCAGGGAAGGCAAAGTTATGCTGCAATAACAAAAACACAAACAAAAGAAGTTTTGTGGTTTAAAACAACTAACACTACACATCCATTTGTGGGCTACCTGCACTCTGCACTCTACTGTTTATTGTTGTCATTCTTACTCTAGGATCAGGGCTAAAAGAGCAACCTCAGTCTAGAATAGTCCAGTTGCTGTGCCAAAGGGAAACGTGGACATGACAAAGCATGTTCTGTATAGACCAAGACTTGTATCAATGAGATTTTCCTGTTTTTGATTTTTAAGAAAGCAGATATAATTAATTAAACCAATACTGTTTAGAGTCACAAGTTTTTGCCCCCACCTATAATGTGATGCCATTTACATTTTGTCAGGAGTATGAGGTTACATAGCTACTGAGGAAGCAGAGTGTTTCCTATGGATGTGCATTGCTCCATCTGGAGGGTGGAAGAGGCAATGTAGCGCTGTGGTGAAGAATAAGCCCTAGAGCCAGATCCATCAGGTTCCTCTCCTGGCTCACCTTTACTAGCCCTGTGACTGTGAGCGAGTCACTTACCTGCTGGATCTTGGTTCCCCATTAATGGAAGGGACTCATATCAATAGCAACTATGTCTTAGAATTGATAGGAAGATACAACTGCAACTTAATGAAGGCATGTGGAATGCTTAGAACAGGTTCTGACACAGAATCCGTGCTTGCCAAACGTTACCTGCTGCTGTTTTCTGGGTCTGCCTTTCAATAGGTAACTTACTCCCATCCCAGAAATCCCTAAATCTCAAAGCTAGAAGCAGCATGTTCTCCCTTTCTCCCAAATACAAATGAGGAAGAAAGAGATAAAGATAAGTAAATAAGGTTTTTCAACCAGTAAGAACCACACAAGGAAATGAAAGGGTACCAGGAGAGACTGCTGTTGATTCTTCATTTGTACAGAGAAAGTTCAAATCGTCCCCATATTCTCTAGTACCTCCTCTATTTCACTTCCATTGTAAGAACTTTCACGATGCTCTTTAATGCTAATAGGATCAAATGCAAAATCCTCAGCCTAATCTTTAAGGACTTTCACAGGCTGGGTACTGACTACCTATACCAGCCTTACCCGTAATAATTTCTTACATATATTAACTGCTTTGGAGACACTGGCCTCCTCAACCTTCTCTAAGCTCACGATCCATTTTTCTGCATCCTTTTTTTGCCACTCCTCTTCCCTCTTCAATCTTTCCAAATCTCACTCATGTTTCAAAGGCCCACCTTAAACTATCTGCTCCATGCAGCCAGTCACTGAACATGCACTCATAAATGGTTGCTTCTATTTCTGAATTCCTGTCTCTTTGGGCAACTTATTAATTCATTTGTTCACTCAATTCAACTATTATTAGCAATTGATAATTTTCCTTCTGATTAAAAAAGTTAGAATTCTACACCACACACAAAAATAAATTCCAGATGGATTAAAAAGCTAACCAGAGTGAATAGGCAATTCTTTAGAGACAGAAAATAGATTAGTGGTTGCCGGGGACTAGGGAGTTGAGGGGAAATCAGAAGTGACTGCTAATGAGTAAGAGGTTTCCCTCTGGGATGATGAAAATGTTTTGAAACTGATTGTGGTGAGGGTTGCCCAATCCTATAAATATACTAAAAACACTGAATGGTACACTTTAATAGGTAAATTGTACGGAATTTGCATTATACATTTGTTAAATATTAAAAGGGTATATTTTTTCAAACTTCTGAACAAAGCTAACTAGAAACAAATACTTATGATTCGTGCACTTTTGTGTGTGTGTTACACATCAATAAAAAGTTTATTCTTAAAACTTTAATTGGATAAAAAGAGACTTATAAAATTCCTAGGACACATTGCAGGAAAACATTTTTTAATAATACTTGGATGGTAGGGACCCTTCTCAGTGTGGCAAAATACCCAAAAGCCATAAAAGAAAAAAATAACATGCCACATTTTACTACCTGTACAGGACATTAAATTACCTATTGGTAAATAACACCATAAAAACTTAAAAAAAACAGAAGGGAATCTTTACTATATGTATATGAACATATATATACACACGTAATGTATAACTATTAAGAATTTAATGTTCCTAATATAAAAAGAGATCTTATAAACCAATAAAAATTACAAACAACAAAATATTAAAAAAGCCAAGAAATGAATGAGAGATATGAATGGCATCAACCAAGAAAAAAGTACGTCGCTTGCAACCGCTGGGAAGGCTCTATGCCACCCATCTCCTCAATTCAGTGCCTAACACAGCGTCTCCTATGTAGTGAGGTTCACGCATTTATCAAAAACAACATTCTTATTTTGTCTTCCTCAAGGTTTAATTTGCCCTGTGACTTTTTCACTCTAACAGATTTTACATTATCTCTTCTTCTGCAGTAGAACATGTTCCTTTTTTAGAGTTTTATTCAAAAGCTAAAACATTTTGTATATATGTGGTTTTGTGTTTTTTTGGATTTGTTGTTGTGGTTGTTGTTGTTGTTTTTGTTCCTGTTTTGAGATGGAGTCTGGCTCTGTTACCCAGGCTGGAGTGCAATGGCACGATCTCGGCTCACTGCAACCTCCACCTCCCGAGTTCAAGTGATTCTCCTGCCTCAGTCTCCCGAGTAGCTGAGATTACAGGCGCCCGCCACCACGCCCGGCTAACTTTTGTATTTTTTTTAGTAGAGATGGGGTTTCACTACATTGGCCAGGCTTGTCTCAAACTCTTGACCTCAGGTGATCCACCCACCTCGGCATCCCAAAGTGCTGGGATTACAGGCATGAGCCACAGCACCCGGCCATATTTATCTTTTTTTAATTAAAGATTATTTTTCTCTTGATATATTGCTGCAGCCCAAACAATTCTCTTCCCTCACACACTGCGAATTATGCGTGATCTGCTGAGAACAAGTGGGTTAACATTTCAATTTATTACGAGAGTGGGGGATATGGGTACTTAGCATTTTCATCAGGAATTCCGTCCTTGGCGTAACATGCAAAATGATTATGCTTTCAGGAACTTAAAGTAATTACCTCAGGCAAAAAATAGAAATTCCCATTTCTTAATGAAAATACTAGAGTTCTAAGCTACTACTAAATTGGTTTCAGTACCATGCTTCCCTCTTAAATAGCATTTGAAGAAAAAAATGCACAATTTCTTATCAATTCTAAGAAATAAAAGAAAATTCTTAGTCTTGATTAACCACAATAACATGATGAGAGCTTACAAAGAACTGTGACGTGAATTTTTTTCTGTCTTGTGCGGAAGATTTTAATGAAAAAAAATTCTCTCAGGAAATGGATTTCTTACCCTTAATTTCCTCACCAGCTACTGAGTTTGAGAGAAGCACTGAAGTCAAAGGATGGAGTCTCGAATCACCATGCTTTCCCCACACAATACAGTCTACATTTAAGGTCTGTTTACAAACCAACTGAAAGCCTTATGGGCACGTGAAATACCACAGGGACAAAGCCCTTCTAGAAGCTGTTCTTCTTCCATGCTCCTACAGCACCATAAACCCTGTCACCCAGACGAAAACACTGGTCCTTCCAGAATCCTCCCTCCCTTTCCCTCACCACCCAACCAGTCATGCACTGAGAGTTTGCCAGCAAGAAATTTCTCAACCCCCTCCAGATTATCACTATTCTTACCAGCTGTGGTTATTGTCCTTATCATTTGTCACGTGGACTTTTGCAGAAGTCTTCTAATGGGTCTCTTTGAAGCTGACCCCCTCAAACCCCTTAACTCCCCATTCCACTCCCCACCCCACCCCCCACCCCAAATGCAAATCCAACCTTGGCATTCTACTCAATAAACTGTTCAAAATTCTCCTTAGCTAAGGCTCCATCCAAGCTTTGGCATCACCATTACAACCCTCCACAACCTGCACCCCACCTGCTTCTCCAGCCTCTTCTCTCTCCACTGCTTCCTCACAGTGGATATTCCAGTCTCCACAAGCTCTTTGAGGCATGAGATACACGTCATACTTTGCCGCATATTCGTCATTGCTGGTAGAAAAATCTGTGCCTATAGAACAGCACTTCCCCTGGCCACATCCTATACATCCTTCGATATTCCCAAGCCCCCAAATTTATCTAAGTTCTCTTATCACTCTTTTACCTCCACGACAGCACCTACTTCATCCAGTTGAAATAGCCTGCACAGATGTCTGCTTCCTTTACTAGAATATTCACTATTAGGGCAAGGAAGCCTGCCTTCGTCAACCTTGTATTATCAACAGCTGACAAAAATGTCTGCTCCAAAGAAGACTTGCAACAGTTACATATTACACATAACTGAATTGGGAAAATATCTCTGTGTCCTTTCCCCTCAGCAAGTATTAGTAAGGCACTTACTTAAGTATGGAGCAGTTCTTCCTTTCCAGAAAGCAGAGTTTCCTGCATACCTTCAAGGCAGTCCTGTCCCCTCAGAGGCACTTTCCTTGTAAGATCCAATGAGTTGTCTATATTACTAATTTTCAAAACTGATGGCCCATTAGAATTACCTGGAAGGCTTTAAAAATATTCGTACGCCCAGTCCCAATCCTGGACCACTGAAATCAGAATCTCTAGGGGTAATTCTTAGGCTGTTTTTAGCAAGTTTTCCAGGTGATGGTAATGTGAAGTCAAGGCTGAGAAACACAAGCCTACCTAGAAAGTAAAACAATGGAGAGCGGAGACAGCTCTCCAAACAGTACCACCTTGGGCAGCAAGCAAGGCCCTTTCCCAGGGATACACACTTTGGAGTCTTTTTCTGAAAAATTTCTGAGCTCCATTCAGATGCCTAGAATTGGTGCAGACCAGCAACACCATCCTAGGCAGGAAGCTCCAAAACCAAACCAGGACCCACATGGATCCCAGTAACCCCATGTAAGAGGTTGACCAGATGCCCTAAGGAGCTACATAACTCACACATATGGGTCATCCTAGCGTTTAGGACGCTCCTACTGATTGCCATATTTCTTTCACAGGATAACATAAGATTGGGTCAGCAGAATGGTGTTAACATGTTTATTTTGAGTGACTCACTCACAGCAAACAATGGTTGAGTTCAGGACTCTGGGCTGCCCAATGGTCCACTGCCAACTCTTAGGTTTAGACTTGGTGTGCAAGCCTGGTGTGCACTGGCTTTCCTTAACGCGAGTTGCCACCTTCAGTCCACAGTATCCGGGTGACAGGGGTGGGTAATGCCAGGCATTCTATATCCTGAGCATCCCCTATTGTTGGCACCTATGGCAGTTACTCTGCCTCTTCCAAAGTTTCCATGCCATATGGTAGGCAGTCTATGGGGAGTGGCTGCACCTCCTGAGGGCATTTGAAATTGTTGCTCCAAAAATTCTACAAGCCCCTCCAATTAATGTCCTCTCTTGCCTCTGACTGATGGGGTAATGTTGTACCCTCTTGGGTCAGTCTGAAGGCGTGCCAGACAAGAAACAGACATTCCTTACATAAATGGAACTACTACTTTCAGTCCACCAGTGGGCCCCTGGTGAGGGCCCAGAATATGGTCAACATTAAAAGAGATCACATATTCTTTCAGCATATAGCCTAAAGAGTTTAAGAAAAGAGAGCTGGAAAATATGTTGTTCTTATAAATTTTACATTATAAAATTCTGAATGGTGAACTTATCTCAAATAGAAAATGAATTATCATTCATATTTTCCTAGATACTCCAAGCAAGACTTGCATTTGTGATCATCATTTAAAAAGCACCTTAACAATCTATTTTAGTCCATTTTGCGTTGCTAATAACAGAATATCATGGACTCAGTAATTGTAAAGGAAAGAAACTTACTTATCAGAGTCTTGGAGGCTGGTGCCAACATCAAGGTGCCAGCATCTGGCAAGAGTTTTCTTGCCACATCATCCTATGGCAAAAGGGAAAGAGGGTGTGAGAGACAGAGAGAGCAAGAGGGGTTCCAAATTCACTTTTATAACTAACCCACTCCCATGAGAATGGCATTAATCCATTTATGAGGGAAGAGCCATCAGGACCTAATCACCTATTAGGCTAGCCCCACCTCCCAATAATCCAACATTGGTGGTTTTCTAACACATGAATTTTGGGGGCCACATTCAAACCACAGCACAATCTAGAGAGCCATTGGAAGTCAGTATTCACAGGCAGACTGACAGATGAGGCAGTGTCATGAGCAATGATAGAGCCAGCAGGAAATAAGTCATATTAGGGAATGGCAGAGGCCAGAAGTTCCACACTGATTTAATACAGACAGTTTCTAAAGAACCATGGCATGGTGAGTAATAACGTTACCACCTTTTTCTTTCTCAGTAGGACTTAGAAAATTAGCCAGGAATGGTTCATTTGACAGGAAAGAATATGAAGAAATTGTTTCAGGCCTGAACATAAAAAAAAAAAAAAAAAAAAAAAAAAAAAAACTGCGTCTGAATACTGTGAAGAATCTTCATGCACTCTTTGAACAATAAACAAATTGTTGTCTCTTTTCTACCCATTATTCTAAATCTTTATAAATGTGTCACTACAATGCACATGGGCCCATGACTTTTGTAACACATTCTTTTTGGCCCTGTCCCCAGATTATTCAAAAGGGAGAAAAACACATCTTAAGAAATTTGAATTTTGGTAAATCCCATTATACTTTGCTTAAACTTCATTTACAACCCTGAAATGTGGCTTCTCCAACTGACTGAGCTCCTAGGGTTCAGTGGGTGGTAAGTTGAGGACATGTTATTCATCCTTGTTTTGCCAGAAACAGACACCATGACACATAGCAGGTGTTCACATAAATGTTTGCTGAACGAACAATGCCTTCTTTGTACTTTTGATCTTTGTCTTTGTAAGATTAAGAATATCCCACTTAATTGCATTTATGAAACATTTCTGATTTTTATTTTTAACTAGAGTATAGACTTTCTGGTTTACAAAGCACTGTAGATGAATTATCTCATCAGCCAGGAAACATTTCCTGAGCCTTATTATGTGTCAGGTTCTTGGAGACAAAGATGAAAAGTCACTGATCTCCAGGAACTGAAATTTCAGTGGAAGTAGTAGTCAGTCTAACATGATAAGGGCAGCCTGTTAAGGGCTACAACATAGGCTTCAACATCAACTGTGTGACTGAAACACACGAGTGACACTCAAAGTGATGGTAGATGAAGTCGAAGAGGCTGGCAGGAGCCCAATCACGTAAGACATGTGTTCTTCCAACACACCAAGCTTTTTCCTACTTTACAGCCACAATGTTTGCTCTTCTCTCTTCCTGGAACACACCACTGCCTCCCAGACTTTCATGTGGCTGGCTCAGGCCTCCTGCCCCGTGTCAGTTCCTTAGGAATGACTTCCCTGACCACTAATTCAAAAGTAGCCTCCCATCCTCACCTCCTATCTATGATTCACTTTATTATTTTTTTTTTTTTACTTCAGAGAACTTTCTAAAACTGCTTTACATATAAACATAAATAGATTGTAACTTGTCTTTTGTTGGTCTTCCACATTATATATTCTGGGAGTCAAGGATCTTGAGTAGCTGGTTCACTGCTATAACTCCAGAATCTAAGAGAGCACCTACCAATAGTAAATTCTGAGTAAATGGTTTCTGAATAAATTAATGGCAATGGGTTGCATGATCAAAGCCAAAGGTATCAAGGCTGCATGTGGATATTAGAGTATGAGACATCTGGAGGAAATCTAAAGCTAGAACAAGCTGGAAAAGTAGTTACACCCAGCCCTGTGAAGGTATTTGAATATGCTACAAGGTTTGAACTCGATCATATAAGGGATAGGATACCCAAAAATATTTGGAGCAAAAAAAAATGATAACAAGATCTGTGTTTTAGGGAGATTAATTACATGGTAATGTTGAGAATGTCTTGGAGAAAGGTTGAAAACTGCATGCAAAGAATCCAGCTGGGAGCCAAAAATCCAGACATAAGCAAATAAAGTCAGAGACATTGGGAAGAAGGGAGAGAAGACTGATTTGAGAGGCATAAGGGAAGAACTCACCCATTGATTGTACGGTAAGAGATTAAAATGATGGACACTGACTGAGTATATAGTAGGTGCTTGATAAGTGCTAATTAAATAAGTGAGCCCGGCTTGGATGACTTAGTACATGGTGATGTAATTGACCAAATCAGAATGTGTCAGGGCATGAGCAAGTGTGGTGGAAAAGATAGTAAGTGCAGCTGTGGACATACTGTATTTGATCTGCCCATAATATGTCCAGGTGCAGAAGGTACAGACACGAAGCTTAGGAGAGAGGTTAGGTCTGGAAATATGAATGGATGGCCACCAGCTATAGGTAATTTCTCAAAGGTGGTAAAAGAAGATAATTGATTATTGACTATTGGGGCATGTTATATGTAAGTAGTCAGAAAAAAGAGAACTAGGAGGAAGGGCTAAGGAAGAGTGGCCAGGAAGGAAAAACAGGCAAGAATTCAGGACTTTAGGAGTCAAGTGATGAAGGAATTAGATCTATTTTATCTTAAACAGCCTTTCAGTGGGGGCCAAAAGGCTGGTATTTTTGCCTCCACTTCACAAATATAAAAGTGACAACTCACAGGGGCTTGGAGATCCAGCTTAGGCCACATAGGGAGCAAGAAGCAGAGGTAGGACTCAAACTAGGTCTTTCCATTGCAAGTCCAAAGCCCTTCAACCAAGCCTTGCACCTCAGAGTAGGGAAAGTTGTGTTAAACGTTGTGACGTGAGGGGGTCTCAGATGGCTCAAACTGAACAGACACTTTTAGTACTGCCTGGAAATTTTTGTCACCAACATCACTCTTTGGGGTAAATGAATTTTTAGAAGGCCCTTAAAATGGCACATTTGCAGGGAGGATTTTAACATATGAACACATTAACAGCTCTTAATGTGCTGTTCTCAGGACAGCCCTGCTCACAGCTCCTTTTCATCAAACTTCCAGAGAAGAAATGACAAGTCATGAAGGATGCCAGAACGTGAGGAGGAGAGAGAGAGTGTCTTTTGTATGCTGAAAAATTTCACAGCTACCAATTAAATGTGCTTCGACCTAAGCAAATGGACTCCAGGACTGGAGTGGAATCGTGCAGCCAGCATGGCAGCTGATGGTCTCAATTAGGCTTAGGTTCTGCAGAGCCGGAATTGGAACAGGGAACCCCTACACGAGGCAGCAGGGGCAATGAGAATCAGAGGGCATGGCAAGTATCAAACTAGCACGACCAGAAAGGATGTCCCAAATACTAGAGGCCACGGCAGGATTGGGGAAAGGAGATCACAGAACCAGACAGAAATGGAACAGAAGTGAGAAGGTTGGGAACAGGTAAAGGAGGCTGGAGGAATGGCAAGGAGGGTAGCAGAAGAAATATGACCACAAACAACCATAAATATTTATGACTAGTGTTCATGAGCCAATGAGTGCATGAGTTGGTCAGGAGTGGACCCAGCACCACGACCATCTAGCTGTATGACCTTGGAAAAGATACTTTGCCTTTCTGAGTCTCACTTTGCTCATCTATTAAAATGCTGACTTGATTAAATCATTTTAAGATCTTCTCTAGATCTAAAACCAAATAAATTTTCTGCTCCGCTGTTGGAATCAGAGCTACCTTATACTTTTAACTCAAACCCCAAAGCAAAATCACACTCAAGATTTTTTTTAAATCCATTTCTTATCTACATTAAGGAAACTGTCAGATGCTTAAGAAAAGAAATCACCCATTGATTTATTTCTTACCTTCTAAGCAGCTATTCCTTTTAGCAAGAATAAAAGTGAAACAAGCCAAGGGGTGGAAACAAAAGGGCATTTTAAATCTCTAAATTGAAACAGAAAAGGAGGAAAGGTTTAAAGGTAGCATAATAACAGCTTTTCTGTTTTCCCACTAAGTGCTTTTTATCTAAAAGGTTCACTCAGAATGCTAACAACAGAGCTTCAGAAATGCATCAAATGAAACCATTGCCATGTCCAATAGCATTAATCTTCTCTGTGGTTCAGGAAGAATTAAAAATAACCCTAAGGAGTTGGCATCCCCTAGATGCTTTCCAAGTACACCTGTCCAGGTGTGCTGAGGCAAGGGCATCAGCCTGATTCATGCCACATTTCTGCCACAGCTCCACAAACTTCTTCTTAAGTGTGTCATACTCTGAAGTCACCGCTTGCTGCAAAGAGCACCAGTCAGTAAGCAACTGGATGAGAGTTCTTCTACCAAAGGAAGCTCACCATTGGAGACTTCATTTCCAAGACAATCCATCTATACATCATATTTATGCTGATAATATTATTCTATTAAAAAATAAAACATGAAATTTCCCACATAATTAAAACTATGAGATTGGGTAAATTCTCCCTTCTGTGTGCTTTTTTCATTAGCCTATTCATTCCATTTATACAGAACTCTGTCCTATACGTTATATAAATTTATTCTATTTATACAAGTGAGCTAGCTGGCAGCACTTGGAGCTAGTCATTCTATTTCAGTACTGGTCAGTTACATCTTTGATCAATATACCAAAAAGGAACTCTCTCATGCTTTTAAAAATATGAAAAAATGTGAATAAAGGAGAACATTTGTAAACCATGTCTTAAATTCTTCAGGGACCTTCTCTCTAGACCATTGATGCAGCACCAGCAACATCTAATTCAACTGCCACTTCATGAAGGTCTTGGGTGAGCATGAGCTGCTTTACTTTCTCTAGCTTCTGTTTCCACTCCACTTGGGAAACTTGCTCAAACTTATACAATAAGAGACCAGTTATATAGGGTAAGCCACATTGCAATCTCATCAAAATCATCTTTGAAGTTTCATTTCCAAAAGAGCATCTGTAATTTTCAGCTCCCACACACTTAGTAATTAGAGATGCTACTCATCCGGAAGAAAATGACAAAGTTGACATTTCTACTGAAAAGTCACTGGAGCCAATGAATCTGTCTCCAAATGTATTGATTAAAAGAAGATACTTTTGGATGGTGGTTGGCGGTAATCATTAATGCTAAAAATAATGTTTTCTCTCCATCAGTTATGCCAATTTCACTCGGGTCTCATCTTCTCTATTAAGACTTTTCTGATAGTGGGCTTTGCTTTCACTCAATATAATACAAAAAGTATACTCATTAAATGTTCAAATGACCTCAAGCAAATGGGGTTTGCTATACCATGGGGATAGACCTAGAGTTCAAATTGGCAATGACAGATTGGATGGGCTGTCTAAATCCCAGCCACTGCATGCAAGGAGCACACACATACACAGCAGAGCCTCTGAGGAAGAGGGGAAAAAACTCAGTGTATCTTGGGTACTATGTCCTGCAATGGTCAAAAAGGTACACAGGCTCAGTCTGTCCCCAGAAAGTTCCTGTCTTACTCATAACCAGTGAAGAACGAAGTCAAGGCACAGAAAGTGAACCAAAATTTTTTTTTACTCCTTTTCAGTATCCTTTTAGTCAGGACTGTGGCATCTGCCCACATGAGTGTCCTGAAGACCTTTCTCCTGTTTTTTCCATCAACTCCCTTTCCCTACTAGTCTCCTCCCAGGTTCATTTTGAGCCTTCCTTTGTGTTGAAGGTTCATGGCTTTCTTCTTTCATGCAGTTGCTCCCTGACTCTTAATTAACAAGTCACAGATCCAGTTTTACTGACACTCCAAGAATCTGCCCTGGCAAGCAGTCTGGTCTGGGATGTTCACATCCATTGGTGTTAGTTACATCTATAAAGAAAAAAATCTTTCTTTTGTTAATGTAAGTCATCTCTCATCAGATAACTTTGATGTATTATTATGCCCAAAAGAACCCCTGACCACCTTGACTGGAGGAGGAGCGGGAGAAAGGGAATGCTCTGCCCTGCCACACACACAAACCTGGAATCGGGTCTGGAACTGCCACTACCATTCATGTGCCTACAGGCAACACACTTCTCTCTGGGCCTCAGTCTCCCCATCTGCAAAATAATGGCTTAATCTCAGATCGCCAGATTCCCTTCCAGCCCTACTGTTCTCTAAATCTTGTCCCTGTATCGATCTTGCTCTTCTGCCCTTGGCCGACTCCACGCTCTCCAGCCCCTGAGAGTGCTATTCTCAGGCTGTTCATTACATCTGAGGGCAGAAATAGATCTCAGCCAAGTTCTAATCAGCCTCAGAAAGAAGGAATAACCAGACAAAACTCAAAGTTGTTATAATCTGTACTCTCCATTGTTCCAAAGAGGATTCATGTCAGTTTAGCATGATGCTTTTTAAAAACACAGCCAGGCATAGCGACTCAGGCCTGTAATCCCAGCAACATGGGAGGCTGAGGGAGGAGGACTGGTTAAGCCCAGGAGTTTGAGGCTACAGTGAGCTATGATTGCTCTACTGCAGTCCAGCTTAGGTGACAGAACACGATTCATCTCTTAAAAAAGGGAGGGCAGGGGAACACATAAATCAGTAGAAGAAAAGAGAAAGCAGTGATAGGGACATAGATGGAACCTGAAATACACCACAAGAAACAAATAATAAACCCATCTTTATCAATTCATTTTAATATTAAAATATTTAACTGACAAAAATTGTATATATTCAAGATGTGCAACATGATGATTTGACATACATATACATTGTCTAATTATCACAGTCAAATTAATATCACCTCCATCAGCATCCATAGTTACCATTTGGTGGCGGTAAGCCAATAAGGACACTTAAAATGATCTCTTATCAAATTTCAAGTAAACAATATAGTATTGTTAATTACCATTACCATGCTGTGCATTAGACTCCTAGAACTATTCATCTTACAAGTGAAAGTTTGTGCCTTTTGACCAACATCTCACCATTTTCCCTACCTCCCATCCCCTAGGCAACCACCATTTTACTCTTTGCTTCTATGAGTTTGACTTCTTTTAGATTCCACATATAACTGTGGTCATACATTTGTCTTCTAGTTTCTGGCTTATTTCACTTAGCTTAATGTCCTCCAAGTTCATCCATATTATCACAAATGGCAACATTTTCTTCTTGTTCATGGCTGAATAATAGTTCATTGTATATATAACATATTTTCTTTATCCTTCCATCTTTGATGAACACTTTGGTTGTTTAGATATTTTGGCTATTCTGAATAATGTTCAATGAACATGGGGGTGGACACATCTCTTCAAGATACTGATTTTATTCCCTTTGGATATATACCCCAAAGTGGGATTGCTGATCAGACAGTTCTATTTAATTTTTTGAGGAATCCCTGTATCATTTTCCATAATAGCTGTACCACTTTACATTCCCACCAACAATGTAGAAGGGTTCCCTTTCCTCCACACCCTTGCCAACACTTGTTATTTCTTGCCATGTTGATAATAGCCTTCCTGACAGGTGTGAAGTGATATCTCATGGTTTTGATTTGCATTTCCCTGATGATTACTGATATTGACTATTTCTTCATAGATCTGTTGGTCATATGTATGTCTTCTTTGGGAAAATGTCCATTTAGGTTCTTGGCCCCTCTTTTTTAGTTCTTTATTTGATCTCTTGCTATTGAATTTTGTGAGTTCCTCATGTATTTTGAATATCAACCACTTATTAGATGTATGGTTTGCAAATATTTTCTTATTCCGCAGGTTGCCTTTTTCACATTGATTGTTTCATTTGCTGTACAAAGCTTTTTAGTTTGATATAGTCCCATTTGTTAATTTTTGCTTTTGTTGCCTAGGCTTTTGACATATTTTAAAAAATCACTGCCAAGACTAATGTCAAGAAGCTTTTCCTCTATATTTTCTTCAAGGAGTTTTACAGTGTTAGGTCTTACATTAAATCTTTAGTCCATTTAGAGTTCATGCCTTTTGCCAAGTCTGTGAGTGAGCCGTATATTTGGCTCTGAGCTCTCTAGTAGCCAAAGGGAAAAGGGAAATCCAGTGAGACTTCCTCTTCCCTGAAGGCTCTTTCCTCTATTTCACACTGCCTTTTGGCTGTTCTTACTAAACTGCTCAAAGCTAATAGTCATTCTCTGAAGTGGTATTGATTAATGAGGCTAAAACTCTTCAGTCTTTGACTAACTTTCAGCTCAGGAAGGAAACAGAAACCATAGCCTAGAACACTACCCCTGTGTCATATCATGGGTAGAACAATGTTGATCCTTCTTTGCATCCCTGCCAGGGAAAACTACAGAGAAACATCGGTTCATTGCAGTTTTTCCAGGTTTTCCTGTAATGTCTTACTCACTGGCATAAGAATTGAAAGCTGATTGCTGAAAACATGTTTCTCACTCTGTTTCTTTATAATACAAAAGCCTCCATGTGTTCTAAAAAGAGCCTTTGATGCATAATTAAATAAACACCTGGCTTCTCAAAAAGAGACACCTTTTCTCAGCAGGGCAAGGACTATTTCCAAACAGTTAAAATCAAAGCATCAGAGGAAACAAGTTCTACCTTCTCCTCAAAGAGCAGCCACTGACAGGAATGTTACTGGAGTGAGAAACCCGGCAGAGGGATAACTTTTCAGGAGTCTGGGAGACAGTGTGGTACTCTAGAAATAAATCTTTTAGTATCATTATATTTAAATACAGTAATCCCTCTTATCCACAGGGAATGTCCCAAGACCCCCAGTGGATGCCTGAAACCCCAGATAATACCAAACTGGATTGCTGTCCATCAGAACACGTGTCTGTTCATATCTTCCACCCTCAAATTTAGTGCCTTTTCCATCTTAACTGAGAATTTGTCATACACTATGGTCATAATTTTGCAGTTGAGGTGCCACAAAGGTAGCATGAGTTTCTTTTTCCTTCTTTACAATTTCAAGAGAGAAGATTTGTTCTTACTATAGATCTTAGCAACCTCCATATACGATTATTTTCCTTCCTTAAGTGAAGAACTTTCACTTTTTCACTTAAAAGGAGCACTCTACAGCTTCTCTATGACATATCTGAAGGGCCAGCATCACCACTCTTGCCATCACTTTGGAGACATTATTGAGTAAAATAAGTGTGGCTTGAACACAAGCGCTTTGATGCCACAACTGTTGATCTGGTCACTGAGGCAGCTACTAAGTGACCCATGGGTGGGCAGTGTCTACAACAGGACAAAGGGGGAATCTGTGTCCTGGGTGATTTCATCACGGTCTAGTACTCAGAGTGGTATACAATTTAAAACTTATGAATCGCTTATTTCTGAAAGTTTTCATTTAATATTTTCAGACCATGGTGGACCGTGGACAACCATGAAAAGCAAAACCTTGGATTGCGGGGGACTACTGTAATGGCCCACAGTTTCCAAAGTATTTATATATATCCTATCTGTCACAAAATCTCTGTGAGGTGGGAAAAGGTAGTGTTATATCCCCAGAAAATGGGGATAAATCTAAAACTGATTAAGGAAGTCCTTAGAGATGGGTCACATAGCCATGAGTCCTGTCTTCTAATTTCAAGTATAGTAGAAAGCCCTGAGGTATGGGAGTTGAAGAGTGAAGCCCTGGATCTGCCTCCCACTAACTAGTTGTGTGACCTCAAGCAAGTCACTTTCTCTTCAACTGGGAGCAGGGAAGGAGGCAAAATGTGATTCCACCATCACTAGTGGGCAAACTTAAAGCTCATTCCTAGAGCCCATCTCTGTCTGTCTATGTGTCTTCTCAGGTCCCTGTCTTCATTGGGACATTGACTTCAGTGTTTCCTTCTCATAGTTGCTCCTCCTAGTATTTATAGAAGAACAGAACCAGACTCATTTAACTTATTTATCTACAAGGTACAATCACACATGGGCAACTTCAGCCCTGGCTGCCTCTGCCATCCATGAATGACTTTAACATGAGGCAATTGGGTTATACATGCAGGATGGTAGGAACATTTTGTCTAGATAAAAATCATCTTTTCATCTACTTAAATCTTCTTTTGCACATAAACAAGATAATGATGCCCCCCAACTGCTCCAAGAGATTCCTTGCCACTTAAGGTAGCAAACCCCAGTTAGCATTCTCTGGTGTAACTATTTGTGAATGAAAAGCATGTAGCTCCTATTATGTCCTTTAGGCATCTTTTGAAATTAGAAAAGCCAGAACAGCCTCCCCCCTTGCCTCACCTCCCCACAGTAATTACAAATGAGAGCAGCTTTATCCTGTAGGCAGTACACCACCTGCCCCTACCCATCCCATGCCCACCCCCAAATCACCACCATCCAAGACCCATCAGGACCAAGGCAAGAGAAAGAGATTGTCCCTCACTCCCTAGCCTCATGCCCTCAGTGCTGTATTGCAGCCACTATAACCTGATGATGAATGTTGTTTTGAAAACCTGCTTCATTCCCAAAGAAGGTCTCTGGATGTTCCCATTAATACAGTAAAGAAAGGCCAGAAAGGACTGTAGATCCTGCAGCCCCTAAATTCAGCGTGGGCCAGTTTAGAATTACTTGTCAGGAAGAGTACCATTTCTACTTCTTGGCCATGTTTACTTCACGGCCCAGTTTAATCTTTCTCTGTAAATGGAATGTGTTTTCATCAGTTCTTCTCAGGAGCTGCCCTTCTATGAAATGATACACTCTAGTTAATGTACTGGAGCTAGTCTTTGATGGAAACTAAGAATCACCCTTCTTCTTTGCATTGTCTATTTAGCAATGCCAATGGCAAGCTATAGAACAAGAACTAAGAGTAGATTACAACCTATTGTTTCCTATGGTCATATTAACCTTAAAACTCAGAAAACAATGAATTTCAAACTGATGCTCCTTTAAAAGAACTACTGTGAAAATCTTTGGGATGTCTTCCTAGCATTCCAAGGGGAAAGCACTTTTGTTGCATTACAGCAACAATTCCATTGTTCCTGCTGAAATAATAATTTGTACACAATACTGCCAATCATGTCCCAAAGTGAGGCAGGCAGGCCTACAATCTCCTACAGTGAGAGTATAGCCACAAACTGTGTGTGTGTGTGTGTTCAAAACTTGTTCACTGTCAATGCGTCTCTGTAGCCAAGGGAACTGTCTACCAGACTGACTTTAGCATCCACACATTTATAATTTACCATTGTGACAGCATAAGCTGTTCACGCATTACCCAGATCCCCTTTACAGGCTGGTGCGGTAACGCTCCTCCCAGTCTCCAACTGGGAGCGTTGGCTGCAAATGGCTCACAGCTGTCACCCTTTCCTTAAGAATAATCCTTATCAACAGGAACCATTTTCTCCAGCAATCCCGTAGAGATTACCCAAAGCACAATACTGCAAGGAATGGGGCAGGGAGAAGACTGCTGCCATTGACTGAACAATATGTGTATTAGAAGCTGGCTGCCTTACCTCCCCAGGGACGACACTGGGATGCTTCTCATGCTCCAGAGCTCCTTCTGTCATCACACTGAGGCTAGGATCCTACATCTTCATCCAGGTTCTTCCCTAGTCTTCTCCTGCTTCCCTGGCTCCTTTAAGGACCATACTTGAGAGCACTCACTCAAGAAATCACTTGCATACGAATTTTGTCTGACTCTGCTTCTAGGAAACCCAACCTAAGACATTGAGTAAGGAGCAAGTCTAAGCACAGAAAATCACACCTGGATGCAAATGATGGCAGCCTCTTCCTTGTGACATGCATGTCTCTTATTTTCATCCATTGGTGCTATTTGGTCATCAAAGAACAACAGTAACAATGGAGTTTAAGGATTCGGTGTCTGTTGATAGGCACATAGCCCACATCTTACATAACCAGCAGGGATTATGCTCTAAGGAACGATTGCTATGGAAAATATGTCTTAGGAATATATGTACTTGCATAAGGTTTTTAAGAAGGTACTACTGATTTCCAAGTAAAAACAAAGTTCACTCATTTAACTGCAGGTGGAATAGACTTAAGGTTAGGGCAGATGTATATTTAACTATTGGGAAGCCTGATCAAACATTGAGGAATCCCATGTACAAAGTTTTGTACAAGTCCCTTGCATTTGAACAATTTGTCCAAACTAGATTTCCAAGTCTGAATTCCACTCAGGAATATAAATACGTGTTAATTTTTTTGCAGCAAAGTTTGTAAATAGTTTGAGTACCAGACTCTAAGCTCCTTGAAGACTGAACTTGTTTCAGATATATATGTCAATCCTCTTGAAATGGGTATCTACTATTTTTGGCCTGTCCAGCATCTATTCTACCTTCCAGTAGCAGAATCTTAATTGTCCCTTGTAAATTACCTTTCTCAACTTTCAGCCTGAGTGGCTCTGGTGAAGTTAGCATCATTCCCCAGATCCAGGAATAACTCAGGGCTAGGAAAAGTGACTTTCATATTCCTTGGTAACAATGGTTGGTTCAGGGATGGGCCCATGAGCCAAGCTTGGACAATCAGAGCTTATAAAAGTCAGTTTGAGTTTGATGCTGGAATAATTGAAAAGAATTTTGTTTCTTCTATATTTTTGAAGCTTATAGAATGTAGGCCTGCAGATGCCGGTGCCATATTTGCATAACAATGAGACACCCTACAGGAGAATAAAGTCAATACAGAAGCAAGCACACCTGAAAGATTTTAAAAAAAAAAAAAATTTTTTTCTGAACATAGTTCTGGTATTCCCATGACAAACAGCAATAAATTTTTTAAAGTCTAGGTCATTTTGAGTTGGATTGCTGTCAGTTCCAATCAGATAGCACAACTAAGGTCTAAATCCATGATAGTCATTTCATACATGTCTTAGGTAAGTTTACGTTAATCAGAATGTTTCAGTAACTTATTAACAAGTAGACAAATACTGTTAACCTACAGCAATTGCATCTAATGTAACAAATATCTATTGATTGCTTACTCTGGGCCAGATACAGGACTGGGATCTTTGAAGGATTCCAGGAAGATTAAGACATGATTCCCTTCCCTTAAAACATTTATAATACTTGTAGCTTCCAAGAGAAACCCATTAGATTTTAATGGTAGTCTGTTGTACTAATCTCCATTGGAAATAGCACATGGACATCAATTTGCAAGTTTATGTTGAGAAATGTTTTATTAAAAACCCAGTGGAGAAATAGGTGATTCAAGTTGTTTCCTGGATCTAAATCATAAATTGTTGTACCAAGCCATAGATGATGACTCCATTGGGACACAGACATGTATTTTTAAACTTTTGAGATTGGAGAGTAGCTTGAATAGAACAACCAAAAAGAACAGCCTGTCCTGTTGAATGACTCACTTGAGAAACTTTCATTTTTGTGGCATTTCAAAGCAGAATTTTCAGACTTAAAATTTGGATTGCTTTAAAAGTAGATGTGATATTTGGGTAACTTCATTTTGATGACAAACCAGGTCACCACATCATAGATATGATGCCCTCTGTTTTCATCAACCTTTTTGATAGTCATTAAATCTATTTTTCTAA
This sequence comes from Homo sapiens, assembly GCF_000001405.40. Classification (NCBI taxonomy): domain Eukaryota; kingdom Metazoa; phylum Chordata; class Mammalia; order Primates; family Hominidae; genus Homo; species Homo sapiens. The sequence goes on from NC_000010.11 coordinate 111,986,523, forward strand.
GATTTGGATAAACTCATGAGCAACAGAGACATGAGTTACTAGTGGCAATATCCTACTTTTACATGGCACTTTCCTGCTTATGAAAGCATTTTAACATGTCTCATCTCCTCAGAAGTTTGGTGTCAATTCCTAAATATATCTAAATGGTTACTTATCTTTGGATGGGATGTTTTTTATTTTGCTCACTTTTATTGCCTTTTCTAAATTTCTGCTCCCCTAAGAGAGGCTCACACAATTTACCACTCACTTGAATTTTGTAATAGCCTCATAACTTATTCCCATTTCTTGGTTTTTATTCTCAATATTCCTCATGCATAGTTCTGATCATGTTTTTTCCCCAGCTCTGGTGTTCCATGCTTAATAGGCTAAATCCAGACATCTTAGCTAGTCATTTAATGGTCCGTTGTTTTTTTTTTGGGTTTTTTTTGTTTTTTTTTTTTTTTGGTGAGGGGAGATGGAGTCTCATTCTGTCGCCAAGGCTGGCATGCAATGGTGCGACCTCAGCTCACTGCAACCCCCGCCTCCCGGGTTCAAGCGATTCTCCTGGCTCAGCTTCCTGAGTAGCTGGGATTACAGGCGCCCACCAGCATGCCCAGCTAATTTTTGTATTTTTAGTAGAGACAGGGTTTCACCATGTTGTCCAGGCTAGTCTCGAACTCCTGACTTCAGGTGATCCAACCACCTCGGCCTCCCAAAGTGTTGGGATCACAGGCATAAGCCATGACACGCAGCCCCATTTTACATTTTCAATACCAACTCCTACCACCCTTCACTCTGACCAGTTTCACAGAAGAAGAGAAAGTTGGTATTACTGAAAGAAGGATGTATCTTAACGGGAAGATAGAAGTAGAAGCATATTCCTGAAGGAAGGACATGGGCAGAAATCATATGAGTAAAAAGACTCAACGTGCACCCAAGAAGGTTAAGGAGGTCAATTTGCCCAGAACCAAGCCCTGGAGAGATGGTGATACCCGCAGAGACGTGTCAGCTCTAATATTCCTCAGTTCTACTCAATAACTCAATACTCAATAGCTCAATCTAAACACTTGAATGCCCCTGAAGGAACAAAAAAAAAAAAAAAGGAACAGAAAGGAGATACAAATCTCTAACTACAGAATGGCTAGGGCTTTAGCCCACAAAGCTAGAAAAGGTAACTCAGAGGGAGAACCTCTCCAGGGCTCGCAAGTTCACGAGGGCTGAGCCTTACGGTAGAGCCCAGAGCCCAGCTCCAAGCACAGTTTTGTCTCCCAAGACTGTAGTCATCTCTTTGGTAAAGCCCAGAGGGCAGGCCAAGATGGCACTAACGTCCCACTAGCAAAGGCTGGGTTGGTCCCCAGGTTCTGAAATCATTTCAGTCGTACACACTATGGCCAGCCACTAGCTGCTGTAGTAGGAGAGAAACTGCAGCATATGAGATTTTTTTTAACATCTAGTAACAGAGCAAACTATATTTCCAAGAATGCATATCTAATATCGTTCAACAGCAGGTGGCTTGGAGGAACTAATAAGTGACTCCAGTGAAAAGCCTGTGAGAGATGTGAGTGTTCAACTCAGGCAAGTCCACACCTGTGCTGGGCTGGTTATGCCCAAGTTCCCGGGAAGCTTGTTAAAAATACACATTTCCAGGACCCCACCTCACAAACTCAAATTCAGTAAACCTGGGGTGACGCCCCAAATTGCAAACTGTTAACACGGTTTCAGGTGATTTAGATACCCAGCCATCTTTGCAAGACAGAACAAACCTACTTTACAAGTTGCCCTAGCAGAGGACGCTGCTCTCCCTCACCCCAGCTCCCTTGCTCATTGGGCTGCTGATGAGTCTACTAGGCACCAGCTGTTTATCAGTTCCTCTAGAGCAGTGGGTCCCAAGCTGTATGCACTTAAGAATCACTTAGGAGTCAAAGTTTCAAAGTCCAGGCCTTTCCCCACCCCAATTAAATCACAGTTGTGGGGAAAAGTGTTGTATTAGTTTATTCTCACATGACTATAAACGACTACGTGAAATTGGGTAATTTATAAAGAAAAGAAGTTTAAGCGGCTTACAGTTCTGCAGGCCGTACAGGCTTCTGCTTCTAGGGAGGCTTGGGGAAACTTGAAATCTTGGCTGAAGGGAAAGGTGAAACCGGGACATCTCACGTGGCCAGAGCAGACGGAAATGAGCAAAGCGGGAGGTGCTACATGCTTTTAAACAACCAGATCTCGTGAGAACTCACTCACTATCACGAGACCAGCAAGGGGAAAATCCGCCCCTTCGATCTAATCGCTTCCCACCAGACCCCTCCTTCAACATTGGGGATTACAATTTGACATGAGATTTGGGCCGGAACACAAATCCAAACTATATCGGGTGTTCACACATGTCAAGAGTTGTTTAAGCTCCCCAGATGGTTCCAACTTACAGATAGGTCTGGGAGCTGCTGCTGATCTATAGTGTTGCTGCTCAGATAGGGGTCCACAGACCAGCAGCAGCAGCGGCGTCACCTCAGCGTCACTTAGCACCTTGCAAGAAATGCAGAATCTTGGGCCGCACCACAGCAGTAATGAATTAAAATCTACATCTTAACAAATCTCCATGTAATGTGTGCACACATTCCAGTTTTAAAAGCCCAGTTCTATCGATTTTAATCCATTTGTTTGTGAATATCAAGGTCAGTTCTTAAGTAGACAGGGAAAAGAAAGACAGCACTCCCCAGCAGACAAGCAAGTTCACAGAAGCCATCCCGAAAGAAATCATGTTTAAATGCCTAATGACTACAGGAAGATCCAGTCTGTCCCCCCAGTTATTCAGCACTTACAGACACCACATGCTCGTTCTGACATTTCTATTTGGTAACTGTCAAAGCTAAAAAAGCCTTGCACATGTTGATTCGTTGGTGGGGCTCATCCTCAGCCAGCCTAGCCTGCTTAGCTATGGGAGCCTGCACAGAGAACCCCCATAGTCTCAGTGGAGCCGCGACCACCCCAGATTCTGCTTCCGTGAGTTTTGTGCTAGAGACACCTGCGTGACAGTGGCTCTGACTGCTGTGTGGCTGAGGACGCCAGAGACCCAGCTGGCAAATTGCCTGCGCGGCTCTTTCCTCCCCGGGAGAGAGGGGAGGAAAGGTTCGCAGAGATGCCGCAGGCAACACCTGACTCAGGAGGAGGCAACCTGCTGTTGAAATCTCTGGCAAGCACGAGCTCAGGAACAGAAGTCCAGAGCAGCATTATTTCCGCTGTAATTGCCAATTTGTCCATGTCAGCACGGCAGCCACATCTAATTTACCGTGCATAAGCAGCCGTGCTCGTGGTGGGAGTCAAAAACATGGCAGAGCAGCAGCTTGTTACCTACCAATGAGCAGGACTCTCCCATGCCCACGAGGATGGATTGGTCCTCCAGCAGAAGCTCTCTCTCCCTAGTCAGGGTAGCAGGAAGAGTAAATGAGATTGTCTTTCAATGCATTTTAGCTGTGGCAATTTTGTTATGTGTTGATTAGGCTACTTTTAGGGTGACAAGGAATAATCCCTATTTTTTTCTTGCATCCTCTCCTCCTTGCATATCAAAGAGGAAATAAGTTCATTAAAGATGTTTTTCCTGTCTCTCCTCTCTTCTCCCCCTTTTTAAACCCACCCTAGCACCCTTTGTAGAGATATTCTATGGATCAGTAGTAGCTAGGAACCTCTGAAGACTGCTCAAAGCAATCAAGAAAAAGAACCATGCCTCGTGAATTGTGTGCTAGTTATAAGTTGATAGGGAGAGGGAAGCCCAGACTGGGCAGATAGGAAGAATTAGCCCAAGGCATTCATCTGTAGCTGCTCTTACCAAGTTTTCAGTGGCTCCACTAAGAGTTACACTAGTGGTTCTCAGACTTGAGCATGCAACAGAATCCCCTGGGGTGAGAGTTAAAATCCCAAATTGCTGCACCCCACCCTCACAGTTTCTGAATTAGTAGGTCTGGACTGGAGCACAGGAATGTACCCTTCTGTTAAGTTTCCAGCTGAAGCTGATGCTGCTGGCTGAGGAACCACACTCTGAGAACCAGTGAGCTAGGGTGACCCCAAGAGCAGCTGTGGACTTCAGGATGTGAAGAAGCAGTATCACTGTGGAACTCACCCCATCCTCATTTAGCGAGGTTGCTCCACACCCTCACCAGCACTTGTAACTATCAGCCCTATTGACATTAATCCTTCTGGGGGTGATATACAGGTATTTCATTGTGCTTCATTGCTCTTTCTAGGTAATTCATTGCTCTTTCTGGAAATTAACATTCTAGGAAAGAGAATAGCAGAATATTACTTATTGGGGGAAAACAATCTCCAAGTTGTGGTAGAAATGAAATTCCCAGGCTTAAAAAGCATGAGAGGGGGTCACTAGGTCCCATCTATTTAATACTCGGATAAGAGGATGCTGCTCAGGAAAGATGGGTTGCGGTGGCCACTAGAGGAATCAGGGGCATACTGCACTAAAAATTGACTATGATCTCCAGTAGGAATGTGATGAAAGGAGGAAGAAGCTGGAAAGGAAAGAGAAGAGAAACCAGGGGAAAAATAAGAGGAAGAAGAAATGGGTCGGAAGAAGCCTCCATTGATCTAGGCTGTTAGACTCTAGGGGCTAAGTAACCAGGGCTCAGGCACTCAAACTTCTCTTAATAGAAACAAATTCTGCTTGCTTTTTGCTTTGCTTCTTAAGGCAAAGTAGAGGTCAGAAACTGTACCTTCCCAGATGTAACATGAAAAGCTTTTTAGGTGTTAACAATCTGGGTTTTCATTTCATTGGTGATGAAGTGCACCCCAACTGAGTAACAGAGAAGGAGGAAGCTTCCCAAATGGCAGAAACCCAATCTGTGAGTGGACTTCAAGACAAGGGCTGCTGCTGCAGAGGTCCCAGTGGAGTGGGCAGAGAGAAGGGCCTCTGCCAGGGAACTGTTTGAGTGCATGGGGGTTTTGTCAGAGCCGAGCTTCTTGGATGACTACATAGTCCTCCAGTGCATGGGGCATCCCACCCAGAGCCAGTAGGTCCAGGAGTGGTGTGATACCTAACCCATGCCATAAATTACCACACTACATCATTTGGCTGTCCTCCAGAGATATGTCTCCATGGTACTCCCCACAACTGTGAGATCAAAGAGAGGCAAAGGGCAAGTCTCTGTATGTGAACTTGGGGCTGAACAAAATACACTGCGGTAACCTCAAGCTAGATCACTGTGGAGTGGGCACCTTTATTTTTATACATGTGTTATTTCATTGAATTATCCAGACCACTCTGTGTGGTAGATATTATCTGTACATCATTTTACAGATAAGAAAACTGAGACCAAGGGCATTTTGCCACATGACCAAAGTAACAATGCTAGTAAATGAAGATTTCAAGAGTAAATCAGGATTCAAGCCCAAGCACACTCAGCTCCAAAATGTATGTTGCCTGAGACCAAAGAGGTGAGAGCAAAAGGAACAGAGTCCTATTCTTGCCTTAGCTAAACATTTTGTCCCCTTGCTTTTATGCCTTGATATCTGACTGTAAAATGAATGACCAAATGAATTCATGAAAAGCAGGGTTGAGATGAGAATGCAGAGAAAAGAAAAATAACATTTTCTTCTGTTTGTCCTGTATAGGCCAGCTTCATTGTTTTGTTTGTCTTATTTTTGTATTTTAGTTTCATGAAACTATTAAGACATATTCCAGGCATTTGAACATGTAGTTGTTCCTCTGCTGACAGTTCTTCTTTCCTATTTGCTCCCTGATTAGCCCATTTGTTGGACTAACTTGAACTCCTACAAAAGTCTCAGCTTATATATCACCTCTTCCAGGAAGTGCCCCTGAAGCCTCCTGCCTCCACCTACTCTTCCACCCACCCATCTGAGCTTCCTGCTTAGTCCCTCCATAGTACCGTTCCGCACATAGACCAAAGCTCCATGATACAGGGCCCTGTCTTGTTCCCCATGGCATTCTTTGCCCAGAGCCTGGTGTGTAGTAGCTTCTCAAAAAATATTTGTTAAATGAATAAATAACTTCCCTTGCATTTTGAGAAAATGTATATAGTTGCTGCTTAAAAATAACATATTTCTCATTCATTCCCCATCACTTTTGTGCTGTTTGTTCAAAGGAAGAAAAGTTGGATAGTATCTTTGAATTGCCAATGCTGAGCATTCGCTGATGCCCCATGCCTTTCCCTGAGCATCCATATGAAGCAGGGAGGCAGGAGACAGACAAGCAGGATGTCGCCTAAGCCCACATGGGCTGTCTCCCTTTCCCAACCTGATTCTCTCTAATGTTTGTTCCCGACCCTTTTCTACTAGATAAAAGAGGATAAGGGGCTCCTCTATGCACATCCCTTGCTGATGTGCAGCCAGGCAGTGGTGAGGAATTGAAAGCAGACTTTTTCACCTTCCTTTGTGGGTTATAAGCAGAATACCTGCTGGAACACTGGCCCCTGGAACACAGCAATTCCCCAAGCATCCAGGCTGATTGCTAAAGCCTCAGTTACTCTGACTCAGACTCAGAAGCAGCCTCATTCTCTTTTCTACTTGTACTGGAGATTGATAACTTTAATTTGATCTGAGTAATTCATGTGGTGGCCCAAGTGTCCTTATCAGAGCTGTCACTAGGTAGGAAGTTATAAAATCAAAGGCAGGCCTCAGAGAAAGGCTGGGATTGCTGGAATGGGGTTGTTTTCAACTCTGGCTGCTGCTAGTCCCAGAGCTCTGAACTTTCTTCTTGGCTTCACTCAAAAACAAAGACATGCAGTGATTCCCTCTGCCTCCAGCTAAACAGCCAGCAGCCTCACATTCGAGGCCCTCTGTGAGATGACCTGACCAGTTTTTTCAAGTTCAGTTGTCATTACTCCCTGGGCTGCGGAAGCCCACACATAGCATCCCTGCTCCCACACCTTTGTACACCCCTATTTTCTTTCCCTGCTCCCTCAGCCTGAGTCTGGAATGCCTCAGTCTCTCACCTTTTGAATCCTAGCCACCCACCAAATTCAGTTTGGGATTTATCTCTTCTGAGAATACTTGCCAGACAGCCTCAGCCTCAGGGAGTACACAATCTTCCCAACAAAAGCAGTGTCTGCAACACTCAGTTTATCTCTTAAACCCATATCCAATTAGCAACACAACACTCTACATTTTACATCTGGTTTCTCCAACTAGAATGCAACATTCCAGGGTCAAACATCTTTATGTGTCTTCTGGAACTTTGAACACAGTAGGTGTTCAATAACTGCTGATAAAGATTTTTCAATTAGGAGTTTTGCAAGTATCCTATTATAATCTAACCTTTATGTTTCTAGCAACTCCACAGACTAAAACCATAATTAGGTACAAACCTAATCTGAGCATGATGTGTGCTTGTGTGTGTGTGCTTATCTGACGTCAGTGGTGTCCTTGAAATCTAAACACAAATGTTATGGCCAGTCTAGCAAAGGCATGTTAACACTCTTTTTCATACAAACCATCCTGGACTTTGGAAAGCCACCTCGTGTTGCTTTGATTTTTCCTATATAAAACCCCTTTCCAAAGATTTCTCAGGAAATTGGTTTCTTGTCTGGTTCCCAGGAACACATACTTGTCAGGAAAGCTTTGATGTGATCCAATGGAAGCTTTTATCTGCGACACTACACACTACTTGCTCCCATCTTCCTACTCAGAAATACCCATTGCTTGTCAAATCTCTCCCCTTGCAATATCTTATGCTGCTACTATGGTTATAGTTGTCAATCACCCTGTTTCACATGTAGTTGGCTTTTATTAACTCAGGGAGAGAGGATGGTAGGCGTCCACTTAACATGTATAAAGCTGAATGTGTGTCTACATCACAGCTGCAGTCTAGAAGCTGTTTAAGGCTATCAGTAATTGCTTTGTAATAAATGCTATTAGTGTTAGGTGGAACGGCTTACATTTTTATCCAGTGGCTAATTTTCTCTCCATAGAGTCTCAGGAAAAGCTATCTTTATGGAGCCAGATGGAAAATGTAAATTATGCTTCTGTTTTCTCTCTTGCTCCCAAAGCTATGATTTATGTTTGTTCATTGTTTGTGTTAATATTTGCACATCTTTTCAAATAAACTTTGAAACATTTTACATAGGCACATATGAGTCTATAATTTAAAAAAAAAATGAAATTAGGAAAAAGAGCAAAAAAGATGAAACCAGATAGCAAATTGTATTTTGGACAGATAGATGCAGCAGTATCTCCCATATTCTAGAAGCTCTTCGACAACATGACCTCGCACATACTCCTCCCATGAAGAAGTGAGGTCTTTGTCCCTGTTTCCTAGTTGAGTAAGCTTTTGGCAACCAAGAGACTGTGGCAGATGTTAAAAGACAATTCAGCTTGTGACTTGTCTAGTGAAATACCTGCACTTGGAGCCCTGAGTTGCTATGTAAGAAAACTATCCTGAGGCAGCCATGCTGTAAGGAAGCCCAAGACACAGGGAGAAACCACATGTAAGTATTTCAGTCAGCAGTCCTGGTCTTATTCCCTCTCTAAGTACTGGTTATGCAAATGAAAGAATCTTCAGGTTATTTCAGCCGCCAGCAATAGAGTCACCTCTAGCCTTCCAGTATTCCCAGTTGAGGGCCCCAGATATCATGAAGCAGATTCAAATCATTCCCACTGTGTGCTTTTTTTGGAATTCCAGACCCACAGAGTCTGGAAGCTTAATAAAATGGATGTTGTTTTGCTCAACTAAATTTACAGTAATTTGTTCTGCAGCAGTAATAACTGGAACATGTAGTAATGGTAATTCACAGACTTGCTTAACATCAAGATGTTCAGTGTTCACCTGTGAAGGAATTGGATTCCTTTGATGTTCTAAAAGGCTTCAGTGAAAACAACTATCCTGTAGCAGCAGAATCACAGAATCACTGTGATCACTGTGCTGTTTTAGAAGTGAAAAAGCAAGCTGTCTGACTCCAGATGTGTCACTAAAAAGACACTTGACTTGGAAAACAATAACACCTGCATAATGCTCTACTTTCCATTTCCCAAACTTCCTTCTCCATTTATAATTTCATTTATTCTTCCCAAGAACCCTGGGAAGTAGAGCAAGTGTTCATCTCTCTGGACCTCAGCTTCCACACTGTAAAACTCTTATGAGACTCAAATGAGACGGAGTAAGTCAACACACATTTGGACACCAAAAAGTAAGGTTTTGCCAGCTAAAAAGACAAGAATGTCAAAACAGGTATAATATATTGATCTTTGCTAAATATGCATCATCAGTAGCTACATAAATGCACACATTCTAACGTAAACCTCATGTGCTTGTCACCTCTGAATAAATGAACTTGATTGAAAGCACCACAAATCAGGGAAACAGAAGCTTCCTTTTCCTTCCAAGTAATTCAAGGAGACTGCTAGATTCAGTCCATCCCTCCCCACTTGCCATAAGATCCCTTCAAGCAGATCACAGATGGAGCTCCAGGTCTCTTACCAGAAGTCCCTTAGGCATCTTTGCCATGTTCACCTCGGCCATGTCACAGAACAGAAGTGCAGAGACCACGGTGCATGGCAGAGCTGGCTTGTGCAAGGAGTATTGTGAGGTGGGAGAGCAAACATGAATGAGTAGTAGAAAACACTGTCCAGTGACAAACTTCACACTCACTTTCTATTCATCTCCCAGGTAGCCTCTTTTTGGAACAAAACTAAAGAACTGAGATGTTTCACGTCAACAAAGGGACTGATATCTAAGAATGAGAAGGTAGTCTTAAAAGAAGAATGCACACAGCCTGAGAGTGCATGCACCTGGGTTTGTAGCTCAGCTTGTGGGCAGGAAAGAAGACTGTGACAGGGTTATCACCCCAGCTTCACCACTGACTCATTCTTGGATAAGTCTCTACTGAACCATGACCTGCTTGGGAGCAGATTTGTGTGTGGCCCCACTATATCCCTGCATTAGCACAGTGTCTGGCATATAGAAGATGCCCAAGAAACGTTGTTTAATTAATGAATGAGTTTCTTTTTTCTTCTTCTTCTTTTTTTTTTTTTTTTTTGAGACAGTCTCACACTGTCGCCCAGGCTGGAGTGCAGTGACACGATCTCCACTCACTGCTAGCTCCGCCTCTTGGATTCAAGTTATTCTCCTGCCTCAGCCTCCCAAGTAGCTGGGACTATAGGCACCTGCCACCACACCCGGCTAATTTTTTGTATTTTTAGTAGAGATGGGGTTTCACTGTGTTAGCCAGGATGGTCTCGATCTCCTGACTTCGTGATTCGCCCACCTCGGCCTCCCAAAGTGCTAGGATTACAGGCATGAGCCACTGCACCAGGCCCATGAATGAGTTTCTTTAATGAGGCAGCCAAGATTGTGGGTTCTGCAACCAAAAATAAACTAAATTTAAATTCAAATTCCATCATTTTCTATTCGTTACTCAACATCTATGTGTTTCAGTTTCCTTATCCATAAAATGAGGACAATACTACCTCCCTGTAACAGGTGTTGTTAATGTTCTCTCATTTCCACCCCCCTTCCCATAGGCACAGCTGAGTTTCCAGCTGAAGCTGACAGCTTCCCACCTCAAGTACATCTTCCTGTCTCTTGCTTCTCTTCTGGAGGACGTTCTCCAGCATCATAAGAGCCTGCTCAGCCAGAGGCAGAGGCAATCCCCAAGTGCCAGAGGGTTGTCCAATGTAGAAGCCCCAACCTCCCCAGGCTCTGGTCGAGCAATTCTTTTTTTTTAAGATGAAGTCTCACTGTGTTGCCCAGGCTGGTCTCAAACTCTTGGGCTCAAGTGAAAGCCTCTCAGGTAGCTGTGATTACAGGCACTGCGCCACAATGCCCAGCTGGTTGGGCGATTTCAATGTCTGTTGTCAGCAGGATTGAGGTTTATTAAGACACCCTTTATTGGCTTTTCTACATGTCTCACTTTCACTTACATAAACTCAACTGTGCTTCCCAAATGGATGGTCTGCACACAAGTTCTTGTCTGGGAGTCTTTTTTGGGAGTGTTATGGGCTGGACTGTGTCCTCCCAAAATTCATATATTGAATCCTAACTCCCAACAGCTCTAAATGTGACTCTATTTGGAGATAGGACTTTTAAAGTGATTAAGTGAAAATGACATCCTTAGGGGTCCCTAATCCAATATGACTGATATCCTCCTAAGAGGAAATATGGACACACAGAGAGACGCCAGGGGTGTGCACATACATAGGAATGGCCAAGTGAGGTCACAGCAGACGGTGGCTACCAGCAAGCCAAGAGAAAGGATTCAGGAAAATCCAAACCTGTCAACACTTTCATCTTGGACTTGTAGCCTTCAGAACTTAAGAAAACGCACTGCTATTGTTTAACCCACCCAGTCTGTGCACTTTGTTGTGACAGCCCTGGCAAACTAATGAAGAGGAAAGGTAAAATAAGTCACCACCTCTTGAAGTTATTATGAGGAATAAATAAGACATTGTGTCTAAAGTACCTGGCAGGTGCCTGGAGAAACTCAATACCTGTCCTTTAGGGCTATTGTTACTGTTAGTACTAATAGTAGCAACAATAATAGCAGTGGTATCACCATTATTTGTACAATAATAATTGCTCTGCTACAATTCTTCAAATGGTAGTTGTGAAGAACAAAGAAGAAATTAGATGTGAAAAGATGTTAAATGTTTAACATCCACTCACTCATTCAACTAACTTATTAGCACCAACCATGTCCCAGGCAAGAACTACACAGCGTTGCATTTTTCAGTACAATAGACACTAGTCACATGTGGCTCTTGAGATTTAAATTTAAAGTATTAAAAATACAATAATATATAAAATCTAGTTCCTCAGTCATATTGACCACCTTTTATGTAGTTCTTTAATGTTCAAGAGCTCCAATGTACATGGTAGCTACTAGGCTGAGGCAGGGGAATCGCTTGAACACGGGAGACAGAGGTTGCAGTGAGCCGAGATCGTTCCACTGCACTCAGCCTGGTGACAGAGTAAGACTTCATCTCAAAAAAAAAAAAAAAAGAAAAAAGAAAAAAAAAAAGAAAAAGAAAGTTCTATTGAACAACTGTTGTAAGGAAGAAAAAAATAAATTTCTCCTCTCAATCACTCTTAACCAATTACAAATGCAATCTGATGATGATAATATTTCTGGAAAATGTACTCAAAAGTCCATGGCCTGGGAGATTAGTCTTTGTTTCTGAAGGACAGAGGATAGTATAGTGATTTCAGACATCCGAGCTCTGAGAATAAGCAGTTGCTATTCAAATCACTGCCAATAACAGCAAGGATATTCTTTCATTCATATAACATGATCGAATGCCTACTCTGTGAAAGTCATAAAACTGGGTGCAGTGGGGCACACAAGAATGGAAAAGCAGCAGGTCCCGTCCTTAAGAAGCTTCCCGTTTAGCTGGAGAGATAATCGACATACACAGGTAACAACAGATATAGAGGACTGAAAGTAGCATTACATGAGAAGCAATCATCCTAACAGCAGCTAGCGTGGATTAAGCACTTAGCACGTGCTGGTGTGACGTTAAGAGCTTCACAGACATGCTCTTGTTGAAGCTTAATAATCAACCTAGTAGGTTATCAGCTGGAATCATTTTCATTTTACAGAGGAAAATACAACAAAATGCTGAAAATGATCATGCTATTTTGTATTCTTTCATGAGATGGTCAGTCAGGTGCAGCCACAAGGAAAGAGGCTCAAGAAAACAAAGTATATTATACCCACGGGTCCTACAGACAGAAGGCCTCTGGCAGACCATGCAGGACCACATGGGAAAGCACCTGCATGGTCAGGAGGCAGAAGAAGGGAGCCAGGGGAAGGTGGAGGCCAGAGCCTTCAGTGGGGTTTCCCCAGGAAAGAAAACGAAAGGCAGGCAAAATAGTTTGGGATTGGCTACTTTGAATAATTTGGGACACTCTACAGAGTTGATTCCTAGCTGCCTGGGCCCTGGCCCTGGGATGTCTGAGGCAGATGAATGTTGCCTCCTAGGGTGCATGGGTCAGACAGGGGAGGCCTGGCTCTGGATTGATTAGTTTGCATATCAAAGGCATGCTTCTGGCTGAGCCCTTTGTTGCCTCTAAGAGTTGACTAGTCCTAGGAGGGGCAGTCTCTTCTCAGCCAGAAATGTTTGTTTTTAAGAAGTCAAAATATCACAAAATGCCCAAATAAATATATACCTACATATACACTTACAGTATATACATGCATGTGCACGCACACACACACACACACACACACACACACACAAGCACTGCACATGCTCAGGGTCACATTGTTTAAAAGAAGTAAACCCAGACAGCCACATCCAGGGCATGTGCTCTCATAGTTGGGTGGTATGGCTCAGTGTCGAATGTGAATGAGGCTGAAATAATAGAAAGACCCACTTGGAAAGATAAAAGTGAACGTGCCCCTCCTACACACTTGTTTTAGTTTGGGTTCCCTCCCAAGCAGAGCAAAAGCCACCAAGAAAGGTAGAGTGTTCTATGTAGCAGATAATCTCAGGAAGCAGGAATGAGGGAGGAGGGAGAATGAAACAGGGAAGAAGGAAAAGCAAACATCAGGGTGTGTTACCGGGGTTGCTGCTGTGAGCAACAGGAAATCACTTCTACACATACAGGATGCCTGCCACAGTTGTCCACCTAAAAGACAAGAGACTTTATCCACCAGTGTGTATTCACCAGCTGCCAGCCTCACTGGCTGAGGGTTGCCCAGCGTGTTAATGTCACCCCATCTCTAGTCTGCAATGCACAGCTGAGCAAATTCCTGTGACCTCCAAGAGGACCCTGGGGCAGAGGGCTGGAAGACTCACCTTGCAGCCTTGCATATCTGAGGTGGGTAGCTAGCAACACGAGGTGAGTCCATGGAAGCTGCAGCTGATTCAGAGGTAAATGAAGGGATGTGGCACGTGCAGGCATCAGAGGCATCTGCTATGTCACTCAGATTTCTCCCCTGTGGACTCTTTCCATTGAATTTTACCAAGGACAGATTTGTGACCTAGGCACTAGGGATGCCCTGTCCAAAACAAGACACCAGCTGTGTCCTCATGGAGCTTACAGTCCAGTGGAAATTCATTTGGGACCAGTTTTCAAATAGGTATCTTCCCAGCGTCCACCAAAGGGGCTGACCTCTATCCTGGAGAACCACCCACTGTTGCACAAGCCACTGAGCTCCTTTTCTGGTCACACTACTTACTGCTTTCCTAGGAACTGGCTGTTTCCCAACAGTTACTAAGCATTTTCCTCCTAAACTTTAGTTGGCAGAATTTTATTACTTTAAATAACCTCATTCCAGCAACCAGAAAACCTCATGTGCTTCTCTGTCAGGCCCAGAGCATTACTCAGGAAGAAATGAACATGAGGGAGAGAAGGGAAAACACACAGAAGCAATATCGTTAGGATTTGTCTGTTCCAGAGCCAGGCTGCCCACATTGCCATTTCATCTTCATGCATATTTACTCAAGGCCCTTCAGTTCTACTTTGAGTCCCAAAGTTTGACATTTTCTTAAGGAAAGAAAGATGAGAAAATCCACTTTATTAAAATCTAAGATTTTCACTTAAAGTTTGGTAACTTCTTTATATCACTGAACTCCAGGGGTAGATTTCTCATGTAAAATAATAAAAGTTTTTTAAATGCCTCCACACAAAGCATAGCAATATTAAAGCACTAAATTAGAGTCCAACTTTTTCTGAGACTGAGCAACTTTAAAAATCTATTTGCAAAGGGGGCTGTGATTTGAAGCACTTTGCAGAAGGCAATTAGTGATCACCGAAATACAAGGAGGCATGATGTGGAGTGTCCTTCAATGATCTTATTATGAAAAAAGACATGTCCACACTGGGGAATTTCTGATCTTCATTATATTGATTTCCACCATTCCCACATCATTAGCCTGGTTAAATAAATAATTCAGAAATTTGTGCTATAGAGTCAAAGGTGTGGAGTAGCTCTATATCCAATCAGCTTGTCTGAGTCCATTGTTGAGACTCAACCTGAGATATTACCTTGCAGCATAGGCTATGAACATTCATCAAAACGGGAGGTGATGGAGAGAGTGAATGGATCCATGGAGCCAGTCTGAAATATTGCAAACACTTAGGATATCAGGTTGGGAGCATAGAAGCTTGTCACCTTCACAGGCGTGAAGATAGAGTTGAGTTAGATCTATCTGGGTGTGATCCTTTGACAACTTGTCATTAAGTCTGAAAATCTCCAACCACAAGTCAAAGACAATCCTGTGCCACAAGACAAAGCTGTTAGAAAACCTAGATATGGCCAGGTGTGGTGGCTCATGCCTGTAATCCCAGCACTTTGGGAGGCAAAGGTTGGTGGATCGCGAGGTCAGGAGTTTGAGACCAGCCTGGATAACATGGTGAAACCCCATGTTTACCAAAAACACAAAAATTAGTGTGCTGTGTTGGCGGGTTCCTGTAATCCCAGCTAATCAGGAGGCTGAGGCAGGAGAATCACTTGAAACCGGAAGGCAGAGGTTGCAGTGAGCCAAGATGGCGCCACTGCATTCCAGCCTGGGCAACAAGAGTGAAACTCCGTCTCAAAAAAAAAGAAAGAAAGAAAAAAGAAAAAAAAGAAAGAACACCCATATTCACATCTACAAGAGCTGCCTAATTCCTTTGTTAGTGGATATTGTTGACATCACCTTTTGATAGCTTTTGAAAGAACATTCCAGTCTTCTTTTCCATTATTGAAACTGTCTTGCAAAAGTTATAGTAGTAAGAGAAATCTGACATAACTGACTCCATCTGGCTTCTACTGGGCTAAATTGCCTTTGCTTATTCTTGTGCAAAGCCATAATAGTCCTTTCCTTGAATTAATTCCCTCCTTGTTCAAAAATTGAAACTGTATTTGTAAAGACTAACAAAAGATCACAAGGCTGGAATTACGGTAGGGGCATGAACTTTGCTAAAGAATAAGCATAGTTAAACAATAACCTACCATGCTTAGCTTGCTTCTCTATAAGTGGTTGACTGCCCCAGAGTCACATAACCAGAGGTCACAGGATTTACAACTTCCCCAACTACTGGGCTTTGAGATATTTTTCAGATGTAACATTTTGGCAGATCAAGACATGCCACCCGGTCCTGCGACCCCCTCCTGGAAACTGACTAAGCCTGTGATTTCATCTACAGCCAATCAATTATCTGTCTAAGCCTGTGATTTCATCTGCAGCCAATCAATTCTTTCAGTTCCCCAGTCCCCCCTTGCCACCCCAAGTATTTTTAAAAACCCTAGCCTCTGAATTCTTGGGGAGGCAAATTTGAGAAATGTCTTCAATCTTCCTGCTTGGCTGGCCCTTCAATAATTAAATTCTTTCTTTGCTGCACCGCCTGCTATTCTCAGTGCATTAATTTTTTTCAGGGCAATGGGCAAGAACCTTTATGTCTCCCTTGAAATCCGCCCTCATGCGATTTTTTTCTAATCATCAAGTCATTTCCTATGGCAGAAAAACTACTCCTGAGAAATACCATAAAATATCAGTAAATCTGTATGCTCCTGACTATTCCTGTGAGATATTTCTCCCCTAAGGCTAAGGGTGTGAAGATTTGGACAAACTTTGAGTAAATAGTATTGCAAATGCAATAAGATAAGAAAAAGAAGTGCAATATAAGAATTAGAAAGGAAGATAAAAATTATCATTTTTTGCAGATAATACAATTTAACTGAAAGATCTAAAAAGATTTTAGGATTCATAAGCACTTTCAGCAAAGTGATCCAAAGTGAGATCAGCACTCAAAAATCAATACAGGCCAGGTGCAGTGGCTCACACCTGTAACACCAGCACTTTGGGAGGCCAAGGCGGGAAGAACGCTTGAGGCCAGGAGTTTGAGACCAGCCTGGGCAACATAAAAAGATCCCATCTCTACAACAAATAAAATAATTTTATTTAAAAAATATACAAATAAAGTAAAAAAACAATAGCTTTTCCTATACACCAAAGACAATGCATTATAAAATATAACAGAATAACAGATTCTTGTTCATAATAGAAATTATGAAACTAGCTAAGAATACAGCTCACAAAAATTTCTAAGACTTTAATGAAGAAAATAATATTTTAGCAAACAGTATAAAAGAAAACTTACCTAAAGGACCAGCAATACCAGTGAAAAGGCATTTGTCTTGGAGAAAAACAAGTACCTATGTATAACAATTCATGTTTTATAATGCTCACTATATAAAGAAAAATAAAAACAACCTAAGTCTCCATTAGTAAAAGATTAATTAAATGAAATGTAGCATAATGATACTACAAACTTCTATCATGTAGCAGGTAAAAAGATTGAGTGCCAACATGGTAAGGTATATAACTAAGGAGAAAAAAAAAGCTACAAACAATAAATGCAGAATAATATTATTTATTAGATAAAATATGCATAAAACACAAAGGCACATTTTTCTTTCTATGTGTGTATGTGTATGTATACATTTAAATAAATAAAAGCATCTGGATAAATGCTAATGTGATAACAGCAATGACCTTCAGAGAGAGAAGTCATACTTTTTTCTGTTTGCTTGAATACTTTTATACATATATGAGGTTGGTGCAAAAGTAATTGCTCTTTTTGCCATTGAAAGTAATGGCAAAAATCACAATTACTTTTGTACCGATGCAATATATGAGGACTGTATGCATTCATTACTTAATTACTTAATGCAGTACATTATTACTTACAAATAATGTGTTAACTAAAGGAAAAAGCAGAAGACGAAAGACAAAGTGCAGCTTTGGACCTCTCGAGTGTCCTCTCAGTCTTCCCCTTCCTTCCTTCTCCTTGTCAGTCCTCCACCTGGGCTGAAACAGGGAATGGATGGAATGCAGCACCAGGCAGCATGCTGGTTCTGGTTCCTGAATGGCTGCTGGAGTCAAGTGGACAAAAGCCAAAGGTGTGAAGAGGTGGCTGCTGGTAACTGAACTTTGACCAAAGGAAAATGGGAGCCAGAGAGGACTGGGAGAAAATTTCCCTGCGAGGCCAGAATCGTTCATGTAAATTCCCACCTCCAGACAGGTGTTCAGTAGCATTTTCCCTTTTTGGAGTGGCCCCCTCCCCATGCAGGTATCAACACACAGACACTTCCTGAGCACTTATTATGTGCAAAACATCCTGTGAGGGGCCCTGGGGGATCCAAAGAAGATCTGAGCCACAGGCCTCGTCCTCATGGCATCTGCCGCTATCTTTGTCATCCCGTTGGAGACAGCAGAGAGAGGAAAGTCCAGCAAAGCAAGAGTTAACCCAGGCATAGGATCAGGAAACAGGAGAAGCAATGAAGCAAAGGAACACCAAGTGCTTATCCACCTTCTCAGGGCTAGATCACAGGGCCTGAACTCCTCCTGCCTGTTATAAGATCCCCGTAATCCATATTTCCTTTTTCAATAATAAGAAGCAACATTTTCTAACGCCAGGCACAGTGCTCTGCAGTTTGTTTGCATTATCTCGCTTAATCTTCACAACAGACCTATCACGTGGGTGCAATTAGATTCCCATGTCATAAATAAGGCAACTGAGGCAAGCACAGCTACATTACCTACCCGAGGTCACAAAGCCTCATAAGCTTCGTAAGTATGAGTCCACTGTTCACTTATAAAATGAGGGTAAAGAGAAACTATCAGAGTCTCAGAGAAACCAAGAGGGGAGCAGTCCAAGAGAGACTTACAATGGCAAAGAAAAAACGTCCCTGGGAAATTACTGCTGGTCCTGGAAAAAAAAAAAAAAAAAGACCCTATGAGCCAAAGACTTGTGATTTGCAGTTATTAAAACTGTCCAGCTGCCATAGCAACAAGTGCAGCAAGCACACAGGCTCTCTCCTAAGACAGAATATTTTATGATTGTATTACGGATACATACTCAGTGCATTATGTCAATAATGACAGGGGTTTTGCTGTCTTCCTGAGAAAGAATGTCTCCTTTTCCCCATGTTCTTTAAGTGCGCAATTCCCATTTGTTCCTCCCTGGTGGGGGATGCCAGGAGGAGAAAGGACAGGGAGGAGAATGGGGTACAAGTTGGTAAGATTCTGGGGAACTTTTTGGTCTAGAGTTTGAAGTTTCTACATCAACAAAGCTCAGAATTAAAGAATATTTTCTCTCCATGGTCTTCTCTCCCTTCCTGTTTGCCTTTCCTCTGTGACACTCCTCTGCGACCACCATCAGAAGCACCTTTCTTTGCCAAGTGACCACTGCAGGGTGGGCTGTGATAGTGTAATTTACTGAGCCCTGGGAGAGCGCATGATATTGGAAGGGGGAAGTGAGGAGAAAGGGGAGCTGCCTAGAGTTAGAGTCTCTAAAATTCCATCTTGCAGCACCAACAGAAAAGTAGCATCCTCAAAGGCAATTAGCTCAAAAATTTGGCTTTATTACGGATCACTGGGATTCTGGATCTGAGCACCTAAATGAGAAATAGCCCATGGAATGGAAAACAGTTAAAAGTTGTTATCTGGTCTAAAATTGGGGATGGAGAGAAAGAACTGGAATTGGGTATCAAATGATGGGAGAAGAACAACGCACACTGGCCTGGAAGGGGCAAGGCTTGGTGGCAGCCAATGGGGAGCCAAAGGTCAACTCAGATTGAAGCTTGTGGATCAGGCCAAGCCATCAGCATGGGGAGCATGTTTTCCAGGGAACTTTGCACTGGGGGTCATGAACAAATCCACATAAGGTGAGGAGGCTGAGCCTCAGCAACCAGGGCCACCTTGGCCAATCAGGGTTCACTTCAGTCTTGCCAGGAGAAGACCTAGGAGAAGTATCAGTGTGTCTTCAAGCCTGGTTAGAATAAGCACAAGTCAAGAGAAATGCATTTGCCCCATGGTGGTCTCCTGCTATTTTTTCCAGCCCAGGATCCTCTCTCTCTTTAACTGGTAACACACCATGATGTATTTTCAGGACAACCAGCAATTTCCCAGGGATTTTTTTCTTTGCCATTGTAAGTGTCTCTTCGCTGCTTCCCTCTTGGTTTCCCTGAAACTCTGATAGTCTCTCCTTATCCTCATTTGTGTAAGTAAGCAGTGGACTCATACTTACTAAGCTTGTGAGACTTTGTGACCTTGGGTAGGTGACCTAACCATGCTTGTTTCAGTTGCCTTATTGATGACCTGGGAAACATAACTGCACTCACATGACAGGTCTGTTATGAAGGTCTGCTGTGATATGCACATGCACACATGTGCACACACACACAGCTCATTTAGTTGAGATAAGCCTGGCCTCATTGTCAGCTCCATCCCTGGTTAACCAATGACACACTAATTTCCCTCAGCCGCAGGAACCGCAGTGTTCAGAAATGTGCATGGGATGGATATCTCCCATCTGATCCACTCTCTCACTCTGCTCTATGCCCAAAAAGTTGACCAGTGCAGGCTTCATCAGTGAGCTCCCTTACCTTCTGGCTTCCAGTTAAGAGTCTGCCGTTGGCAAACACTAGCAAAAGAGCAGAGGGAGGAAGGAGGTCGAGTAAGCTATGTATTCACCGTGGGTAAATGCAGCCCTCAAAGGAAGGTTGCAGTCCATCAGACAGTCCTGGCCACACAGCTCTTTCTGTTTCCGTGCCTAGGAATAATAATAGAATCCCAGTGTTACAGCCTCAGGGTGCCTCCGTTCTCTGTGGTTTCTCTGCACACTGCCTACGTATTTGAGAACAGTCCCTAATTAAAGTCTCCTCAAAGCATCCAATTTCAGTGAACTATTTCCTGTTAGGGTCCTGACTGATATAGAGTATGTGACACAAGCTGAGATAATTAAAGCCAACCCAAGATTTCGGGAAAGAGAAGCTCTCTTTCTGCAGAAGTTATAATGCAAACTGAAGCCAGCATGGAGAATGCTGCCTGAGAATGAAGCCAAATTGAGGAGAGCCAAGCGGTAGGGAGAAGAGGAAAGAGACCCGTTCCTCACACCGTTCTTTGAGCACATGGATCAAGTCATACATGAAGACTCTCCACTCCCTGGACTTGTAGTTACACAAGCCAATAAATCCCCATTATTGCTTAAGCCACTTTAAGTGCCTTCCTTCACTGGCAAATAAGTAGTCATGACATCCCTTGTTCTCATGTCCATCGTGCAGGCTGATCTGAACAGAGGGGCACACTTATGCTCAACACATGATAAGTGTCTGGACTCGTATTTAGACATCCTTAGAGAGGCATAAATGGGAAAGGAGGGCAGAGAGGTGAAAGCTATAAGCACCCTGCGATTCCTGGAAACAAGAGTCCAAATGTCAGTGCCTTGTAGGATTCAATCACTTTACATTACAGAAGAGGTAACTGAGGTCTAGAGGAATGAAATGACAGAGCTAGGACTAGAAGTGGGGCTTACGCCACCCAGAGCCACGTAGAATGGAAACTGTTTTCCTCTGACCCCAATTGCAAAACGTGAAAAACTCACATAAGAAAGTTATTTGTGCTTGGGAGCCACCAAGAGAGTTCAGCCTTTTGCCTTGAGATTTCTTATAAAAGCCTGATTTTTCAGAGACAAGCTGGCCCCAATGTCCTGAGTTGGAAGCACCAGGGGAAGAGCTGTGCAAAGTATCAAACCTATGGCTTGCAGTCTGCAGGGGGCTTTCAAGAAGCTGGGAGTGTGTCAGGAGATAAAAACAAGCTCAGTCTTATTTCATCTTTTTTTTTTTTTTTTTTTTTTTGAGACGCAGTCTCGCTCTGTCGCCCAGGCTGGAGAGCAGTGACGCGATCTCCGCTCACTACAAGCTCCGTCTCCCGGGTTCACGCCATTCTCCTGCCTCAGCCTCCCGAGTAGCTGGGACTACAGGCATGCGCCACCATGCCTGGCTAATTTTTTGTATTTTTAGTAGAGATGGGGTTTCATCGTGCTAGCCAGGATGGTCTCGATCTCCTGACCTCATGATCCTCCCGCCTCAGCCTCCCAAAGTGCTGGGATTACAGGCGTGAGCCACCGCGCCCGGCAGCCTTATTTCACCTTGATGGCTATAACATTGTCCCTTCCTACAAACAGCTCAAAGAAGGAGGGAAAAAGGTTTAGTTGTTTGCTTTCGTTTTTACCAACTGGACATAGCAAAATAAATAAGACCTACTTGTTAAGGTAAAATATTTAAGATTATACAAAGATGAAGATGAAATTTCTCAAAGTCTTTAGTCCTTTCTTCCGTACATGTATACATATATACATGTATAAATATGTATAAATACATGGGAACAAATCAAAGGAAGCATTCACAAATTCAATCTTATCTTTAGGAAAGAATCCCAGCAAACTTGGAATCGAATCAGTCTTCTTAGATCTGATAATGCTAATTTCCCAAAATCCTGTATCAACTATCATTACTTAATAGTGATATTTTAAAAGCATTTGCATTAAAGTTAGGAAACAGGAAAGGATGTCCATTCTTATAGCTTCTATTTCACATTGTTTTGCAGAACCTAACTAAAATAATAAAACAAAAAATGGAAAGGGAAGTGTAAGGATTGTAAAGAAATATCATAATCTAAAGTCAACATGATCATCCCAAAAGGAAACCCAAGAGAAAAATGACAAAATTATTAGAATAATGAGAGAGTAGTCTCTTATGCCAGCAATAATCAAATTAAAATAGAAAACAAGATAACTATACAAGTGTGAATATTACCCAATGCTCCCTTTTACTTGATCTCAGGACCTAGATATAATATTTAATTTTTCTGATCCCCAGTTCCCTCATCTTTAAAAAAGTTTTTAAAATATTGAGCTCACGTATTTATGAGTTAATTTACTTACATCCATATAGCCCCTAGCATGAAATCTGGAATTTAGTAAGTACTCAACAAAGATTCCTTCTTGAGGGATTATTGGCTATATGGCTGTTTATTATATGTAATAAGAGCTAAGTGTAGGGATTTAACCATTGAAGAAAACATTTTGTTCAATCATCAAAAAAGCTAGTCACCTTATCCCTGTTTGCAACCACAAACCCAGTTGCTACCAAGAAAGGAGAAAGAGTTGTAAATCTTTTGGAACTTAGTCCTTTGGTAAAGGAAGTAAAGAGTGAAGGCCTCCAAATTCTCTACTGTCAGTTACTCTGAGGGTAACAAAACTTCTCTTGTAATGGTCTTGCCTATTAACCAAGAAAGGTACATGTTTTTGCTCTCTATATGTGGCCCACAGTGTTTGAAGTCCTGCACAGGCCCTAACAACTAGAGATTTTTGAGTCTGAAATGTTTGAGGTCTGGAAAAAAATTAGCTTTAATATATACAAGAAAACTGTGAAATTGAATTTAATAAATATGTAAATAAATGTCTACAAAATCTAACATTATGCAAACTTTTTAAATAAGCATATTTAATTTTATTTAAAAATTGACACTTAATTTTAGAAACAACTTATTGGTTAGATTTTTCTCATTGTATGAGTATGAACACATACTCAGGAATTCTTGCAATGATTGTTGCTAAATTGTAAACAGTAGTAAGTTACATTATAGGAAGCCAAATTATTTAAAAGCAAAAATATTAGAAGTTCTTTCAAACAATTATTAACAGAATGTGATATTTAATGTAAGACATGATGCTTTTTAATCCGTCTCATAATATATAAGGATAACTGTAAAATGGAGAGTTGCCTAGGTTTATGAGTGTTCAAACAGCAGCACACATTTCTTAAACTGAAAGATGTGTTGAAAAGATTTGAAATCATGCCGGGCACGGTGGCTCACGCCTGTAATCCCAGCACTTTGGGAGGCTGAGGCGGGCGGATCACCTAGGTCAGGAGTTCGAGACCTGCCTGACCAATATGCTGAAACCTCATCTCTGCTAAAAATACAAAAATTAGCCAGTCATGGTGGTGCGTACCTGTAATCCCAGCTCGGGAGGCTGAGGTAGGAGAATCACTTGAACCCGGGAGGCAGAGATTGCAGTGAGCCGACATCATGCCACTGCACTTCAGCCTGGGCAACAAAGTGAGACTCTGTCTCAAAAAACAAAACAAAACAAAACAAAAAACAAAAAAAGATAGAAATCAAAGAGTATTTTAGAAAATCATGGGCAGAAGGCCCAATATATATATGAAGCAGGAAAATTATAGCCATAGACCTAAGCCTCTATACCTTTACTCAGGAAAGACTTATATTGTCAACTACATCAGTTCCTGTGGCTTGAATTACTTCATAAGCAAATATAAAATATTTTTATATTATATATATAAAATGATAAAATATTTTTATATTGTATATATAAAATGTCCATCCTGTCAAGTAAGACAATAAAACTCTCAAAGTCACGATTCATAATCACTGTCTCTTTTTTCATCTCATCTTAAGATATGCAGCAATCACTCAGTATCTACATTTAAAACTGAAGATTAAAAGAAGCAAGCACCTTCAGAAACATTTTTTAAAAAAAAGATTCTTCCAAGTTTGTTACTAACAACAAATGAAAAGAAGCTGAAACTTTGAATTGTAAAATGCTGCTGGGAAATTACATTTTCACGAACATCTATTGTTCCTTTGTTCCTTGCCTGAAAATATGTTTCTCACTGGGATATTAGCATATAACAAATAAACCCGAAAGTACCTTATTTTCCTGCCCATATGCAGTACTTAACTCTGGTTGATTTCTTAGCTAAAATTACTTACAGGAAGAAAATTGCCTAAGTGTCTTTGATTACTATGGAATATTTGAGTCCTCATCAAGCCATACCAAACATTTTACACACACACATACACACAAAAAACGCCTTGAACGGCATTGTATTTAAATATGATGATGTTTTTGATAGGGATAACAAGAATTATTATTACCTATGTGAATTCCCACCTAAGGATTAACCTTGCTCTATGGATTTCATAACTATGGCATTATAGCTGTGCTTTTCATAATGAAGGGAAAAATTCAGCATCAAATAAGAAATTTGCCATGGTTCACGTACTCCCCCACATCTGTGAGAGAAGGATATTCAACTATTCCAGCTACAAATTTCTAAGCATTTTGTTTCCTAAAGGGGAATTTACCTGAGCTCCTATAGGGAAGAGATTCATGCTCACAAACTTAAGTCATAATGCCCCGAACCACAGTCACAATTTTAACAGCATTTATTGTATTTATTTATTTTTGCTAATTCTTCTTCATGAAAAGAAGTTGAGAATAGTCTCAGACTTCTGCTAGAGAACAGGAAAGAACCAACTGTACCAGATGTAGCTCCATTCACCCTCCCCTGACACTGACCCCCTCCCACCCCCCACCAAATAACAGTCTCCCAGTCAGAATGGGAATTGTCACAAAAGATGGATAACTGGAGTACAATTAACTGCGAGATTTGAGTCTTTTAAAGAACCTGGACCAAAGAGAGAGAAATTTGTTCTCTTAGCTAAATTATTCCTTCTGAACTCATTCTTCCCAATACCTTTTGCTCATTAGCTTAAATGAACTCAATGATCTCCCAGCCCAACCAGACTGCTGGGAGTCTGTGATTCAAAGCCCTCACCTGAGCTCAGAGGTCTCCAATCTATTCATCACCACGGAGATTTCCCATTCTCCTCTACCTTGCCCACTCACCAAGTTTTCAAAGGTTGTGTTCATTAAAGAAGCAGCACTGATTATGTCCAATTAATTAATTTTTCTACTTCAAATTAAGTAGACACAGATAACCACCAAGCAGCGTGGTTGAGCAGCATGAAAGATCCAGGATTACCACAATACCACCCTAGCTGCTTCTGAGGTTCCTATACATGATGTTTTAGGGTGGCGAAATATAGGACTTTCACTAGATTTTCTGAAATATAGAGAATAACTTAAGAAATCTGAGTTTGGGAGCACTGCCTCTGAGCCCCCATACAAGACTATCCTTGGGCGAATCCATCCTATAGGACTCATGTGAGCATTACCCCCGTTTTGAGAGCCCCCAGCTAAATTGGGGCACCTGCACTGGAGCAGCCAACAACCCTTTCCTAAAAGGAAATGAATAGAGCTGGATGTGAGTGTTGCAGTGTGCCTTTCACAAAATATTCCCTTACCTAGTGGACAGCCTAATGTCTGGTTGTCTGAACTGCAACCAGGTAGTCCCTCACAGAGGAAACTTGTTTATACTGGCAGATGCCTTTGTGGCTCTTGTCTGACCTGTGTCCAGTTTATTCCTGCCTGACAATTGCTCTGATGCTGGGAGCCCAGCTTTGTGTTTTCCTCAGCATCCCAGGGATGACCTGGCCTGGGGCAGCCCCCCAGTCTTCAGACGAAAGGTACGAATTCAATACACCACCTCAACAGGAAACATGTGTAGAGATTTTTACTTACAGATCCTGGACAGAGGGGGTGTCGTGAGTCCTCAGGTCACAAAGCAGGAAGGAAGAGTCAGGAAGAGAGAAGGGGCGTGTGTGGTAACTAGTTGCACATCTAAGGGAGTAGGGTGTGGGTCACTTTAAGTTCATGGGCAAATGTCTGCATGGTCCTTTTAAGTGGAGTTGTAGAAAAGCAGGGAGCCCATCGGCTAGGCCAGAGAGATGCCTCTAAGTTCTTATCTTTCGCCACCAGCTTGAGCCACCTGGATGTGGTTCAAAACTGGAAACTGTGTCCAGGGTGACTGAGCCCTGCTTCTGGTACAAGAAAGTTAAACCTGTATTCAAGATGGATGCTGAAGCAACATAAAATGATAAGAATTCACTAAATCTCCACCTCCCTTAGAGTGGGTGTCCTGGCTAAACTGCATAGATATATCTATTTCAAGATGTTGCTGTATATTAAGCATGGTACTGGATGCTTTACAAACACGACCTGAAAAAGTCGTCATAGTAAGTAACTCTATGAAGTAGGTATTCAATCATTCATCCAACCACTAATTCAGCAAAACTCTGTATAAGGCTTACAATGTACAAAGTACAGTCTAGGCTGGTAGGTCTACAGCACTGGAAAAGACCCATGAAATACTTCCCTCCAGGAGTGTACACTCCAGCCTGGAGATGCAGATGACAAGTGAAGAAACAATTGTGCAAGGAAATAAATAGGATAACCTAATAAAGAATGAAGAGACACACTACTTAGATAACATGCTCAGAGATGTTCTCACTGAGGCCCTAACACCTGGTCCAAGACCTTACGGTCCTACACCTACTTTGCCAAGGGAAAAACGGAGGCTCACAGAGGTTGAGTAAAGAGCCTGACATCACAGTTAGTGACACCAAGCCAGATTCTAACCTAGAGTTGTCAATCTCCAAGCCTGTTGACTTTTCACTACAACAATTGCCTCCCAAGAGGGACCTGATAAACATCAAATTCTGCTCTATATTACAGGCTATTGTAGCAGAGGTTTCAGTCTAGCTAGGCTGTACAGAGAGGAGAATGTTGACAAAAAGAGAGATGATAACAAGGAGATAAAATTCATAACCATCCTCATGTATATGAGTGGAAAAACATAATGGATCAGCACTTAATTTCTCTTTCTTCATTTTCTTCCTCTATTAATTTTTCATCAAAACCAAAACATTTGATTTTTTCTTCCTTGGGGATTCTGATAAATAGAGTTCTGGTTTATTCCTTAGATGTAATGTATTTTCAGAGCCTGTTTTTAAAGATATGAACGTTACATAAACACAGATGTCCTCATCAAAGTCTAGATCATCACCACCCCCAAATCTTCATAAAGAAGTAGAGGTCCATTTAAAACGCACACAAAGGAAAAAAGTTCTCGTTGGCTGATTGGGTAAGTAGCACAGAGAACTGCCTTGATTACAAATGACATTTAGAGGTTCTCTCTTGTACTTGGCCATTTTCTCTGTTGAGTAATCCTGAACAGGAGCTAAGGTGTTCATTCGGAATGCTCCCAAGAACAGTTTTATTGAACATAGGTTTTACTGAAACTGAAGCACCCAGCTATCTTTGAACCCCACAGAAAAAAAAAAAAAAAAAAAAAAAAAACTTCTTTCAGTAAATTAAGGGCTATTACCTGAGAAAGGAGAGCAATTGAGGCCCTGCCTCCAGAGGAAGAACAAAGCCTCCAGTTTTAAGTGCAATGGAAGAAATTGGGGCTCAATTTAGAGAGGAAAGCTCTGACAGAGAAGTCATTAGAGACAAGGAGGGAAAACCATCAGGAGAGCTTGATTGTGGCCACTCCTAATTCTCTTTTCGAACAAGACAGCTATTAATCTCTGCGATGTGCAAGTAGAACAGCAATCCATTTCAGTCCCACAATACCCTAATATGAAGAAAGGCCCCAAACCCAGGACTCCTGGAAGAAAATGTCACTCCGACACAAACTGCTCCCCAGATGGCCTGAAGTGATCGCCCTGTTTATGGTACCCCCTTAATGGCATGATGTTGCTAATAATACAAAGTATGGTTGGGGGAAAGTTTCTGGAGGTTTAGAACCTGGGCTTTGCAATCAGACAGAGGGGTCTTGGCTCTGCCACTTGATAGCTATGACGTGGGATTTTCATGAACCCGGAGTGAACTTACTATTTTTCCAAGGCCTTGAAATACCCTACACAATAATACAATATAGTCTTCTCCACCCAATTAAGAAAAAATAAAGCATGTTTTTATAGGTGGTAGCCAAAATTTCAAAATCAGAGATAGATATATATATAAAAATATATACACACGTATATATACATACCTATATATATATATATATATATATATATATATACACACATATATACATACATATAGAGACAGAGACAGCTAATCAGAATCCTTGTTTGAGATTTTCTTCTTAAAACTGAGAGGAAGTTAGGCACCCCCTTCCCCAACCTCTGCAGAAGTTGCAGGGTACAAGCTGTTGGGAGTTGAGAGCTTACTGCAATAGTCTGCAATGAGAATGGAGAAACTTAAACTGAGGACAACCGAGGCAAAGAAAGAAGGTCCTACAGGGCCTCAGGTCCCAGGTTCTAAGTGTTCTGAACTTGGCTGCCTGTGTGACCCTTTTATTATTTGGTTATGCAAACTTCCTTGAATTATCTAAAATGGCTGTCTGTAAACTAAGGGTCTACAAGACAAATCTGGTCAGCTTATTTTTGTAAATACAGTTTTATTAGGACATAGCCACAGGAATTTGTCTACTTCCAAATTGTCCACGGATGCTTTCACACTACAGAGGCTGAGTTGTGTCACTGGGACAGAAACCATATGAAAATGTTCACTATTTGGACCTTTACAGAAAAACTCTGTCAATCCTTGACCTAAAACAATTCAGAAGTCTTTCAATGATTTCTCCTTTTTGCCCAAGTTAACTCAGGTTGCTTTCTGTCGCTTGCCACCACGAATCATGATTAGATCAGTCTTCAAATTTCTCTTGTGCTTAGCACACCCAATGCACAGCTTACATGCTGTCCAGTCCTGTGCTAAAGCCTTTTGTCCTTTTTTGTGTTCATCTTCTCTTTATGATCATTCCTTTTGGTGCAGGAGTTATGCCATCCTGCTTTAGGTTATTAGTCAGGGGTTTCGCCATGTTGGTCAGGCTGGTCTTGAACTCCTGACCTCAGGTGATCCACCCGCCGTGGCCTCCCAAAGTGCTGGGATTACAGGTGTGAGCCACCATGCTTGGCCTGTTTTTTTTTTTCCCCTAAAGTTTTGGTTAACTTCCTCAAAACACTCTCATAATAAGCAACTGCTATCATTCTTTGGCCCTCCAGAGAGTCGACAAACAAAATGCCTGGAGCATCCCAAAAAACTGTTGCTATGCCCTTTGCTCTTGACCAGTCTGCTTTTGCATTAACCAGACCACCTCCATCTCTTACCAGCCATTGCTTTGATTGTGCTCTGTCTTCAGGATCATACTGAGGAAGCCATGTTTTTATCTCCTGTTATATTCTTCAAACAAATGCTTCAGGATCTTGATCCCATTTGTTTAAAATTTCCATTAAAAATTCTGCTCTTGTCTGCAGCTAATCTGGGCACAAGAGTTTTGGCACCCATCAAGTGGAGAGTTTGCTCAACTTTAATGTTTTAGTTACAACTGTGTAAGCTGAATCAATCGAGATGTCTACGGTGTTGGCTATCGATTCTGCTGTTAATCGTTGGTCCTCTTCAATTAGGGCATAAACTAGATTTTTTTTTTTTCCTGGAAAATTGATGTGGATGGGCTGCCACTGTGGGCTGTATCTTCAACATCATCTATTCCCTTCTTAAAATGAGTTACCCCATTGTAAACAGCTGATTTCTTTGTGACATTTCCCCCATAAATTTTTCATAAAGTGTCAATGATTTCACCCTTCTCCCAGCCAAGCTTCGCCATAAATTTGATGTTTGTTCTTGCTTCAGTTTTAGCAGAATTCATGTTTCTCTGATAAAGGTCCTTTTCCTTCTTAGTTCCTCAAACTAGATCCTGTTCAGACATGTTATAACAAATTAGCACCAGTTTATGTTGGTGCAAAAAAATAAAATCCATGCATAATTTTTTCATAATATGCATTTTCCATGAACTTTTTGAAGACCCCTCATAGGCCCTCCCTCCTTCCTTCACCTGTCAACTATAAAGGCAAGGCAGGAGCTATTTTCATTCATCTTCGGTTTTTCCCTTTCTTGGTGTCTAGTGCAAAGTAGATACTCAAAAAGCATACGTTGTATGTATCTTGAAATAAATTTTTAAATATTTCTTCACTTTCCAAAAGAAGACCAGTTTCCATGCCAAATGTTAGCAGGAGAGCCATTCCACCAAGAAACAAAATAAATCTTCAGTCTCTAAACATTTTTAGTACGATTAGTCTAAAACTGTCATTTCAAAGCATGGTCTATAAGCAGCAACAGCAGCCCCACCCAGGAACTTATGAGAAACAAATTCTCAAGGCCCCACTCCAGACCTTGTAAATTAGAAACTGATGGGTGGGACCCAGCAATCGGTGTTTTATCAAGACCACCAAGTGATTGTGATGCTCACTAAAATTTGATGCTCTAAAGCAAAAGCAACAGATCAGCAAACTTTTCTGTAAAAGCCAGATAATAAATACTTAGGCTCAGGGTCAAGAAAATCAAAGATAGTAGATAGTGTTTACATAACAAGAGAGAACACGAATTTTATAAATTTCCGACGAGCTTTAGAAGTATGTTATATAATATATTGTGATAATAATGGGATATAATTTTTTGTAATACAGGTCTACTAATTAAAAGAATAGAATATGTTTTTAGGAATAACATTTTGATTAATTGTAGTTCTAAGTTAATTTTTACTATTGCTGTGGTCTGAATGCTTGTATTTTCATCCAAAATTTATATGTTGAAGTCTAATCTCCAGTGTGATAGTATTTAGAGGTATGGCCTTTGAGAGATAATAAGGTCATGAGGGTGAAGCCCTCTTGACAGAATTAGTGCCCTTATAAGAACAGACTTGAGAGAGCTTCCTTCTCCTCTCTGATTTCTGCCATGTGAGAACACAATGAGAAGATCGCCATCTGCAAACTAGGACGCTGGCCTTCACCAGACACCAGATCTGCAGGCACCTTGATCATTAACTTCACAGCCTCTAGAACTATGAGAAATAAATGTTCATTGTTTAAGCCACCCAGCCTATATATCATAGTACATATTTTAAAGCAGCCCAAACTGACTAAGACAGATATCCTCAAATTGATTGTAAAATATTCTTCTTTAAAAACAACTATTAGTTCATAAGAACAGGCTATGAGACAGATGTGGTCCACAGGCTGTGGATTACCAACTGTTACTCTAAAGCACCAATGCCCACAATCAAGAGAGGGACCAAATATTCAGTGTAAGGTAGCAGAAAACCTTTGCATAAATTAGCAGTCTTCAACCGGGAATGGCTTTGCCTCCAAGGGACATTTGGCAATGGTTAGAGACATTTTAGGTTGTCGCAACTGGGGAATACAAGGGTGCGTGGGTTTGGGGCATGCTATTGTCATCTAAAGGGTAAAAGCCAGTAATGCTGTTAAACATCTTACAGGACAATCTCCTACGACAAAGAATTACCTGGCCCAACAAGTCACCAGTGCTGGTTGAGAACCACTGGGACAGAGACTCTCTGTGGATCACTGCAGGCCTGAGAACCTCTTTTTCACCTCCTGTCATATTTCTATACTATACAGGCAGGTGCTCCAGTCTTATTCCTATTGTTAGTTTCCAATTCACACCTGAACTAGATATCTTTAAATGTTTGTGCCAAGATATTTGCAAGAAGCAAAGCTTCTCTTTCGGAGTTTTCAAATTTTCATTATTGAGGCAAACTTAATGTCAACTCTAATACTATTTAATTTCAGAGCTATCCTTCAGAAGCAGCCTGGCGCCTATTTTCTCCCAGGAATAGCATCATGACGTTGGATATTTGTTGTAAGGAGGAAAACACAAAATGCTACTCAACAGGATCTTTGGCAAAAGAAAATGTCCCAGAATGTCCTAGGGTGTTGATGACTGTACAGGACATTGGAGAATCAAGAGGCCTTCAGTTTGGAAAACTTCTAATGATTCTAGTTGTGGAAGGGATGTAATAATCATCGATAACTTATACCCTTCCCCCATTCTTCCCTTTAAAATAGGACACATCAGAAGCCAAGACATTCCTGAACCCGCTACCTGAATCAAAGAAAAAGTGCCTCCCCTTCTCCATGGTGTGGTCTAAGTTCATCATTAAGCTACAAAATCATAGATTTGCTGAATCAGGTGATGGCTGGCAAATCAGTTGAAGTTAGGTAGCCTGTAGTTGAGGGTGGAGGAAAATATTGCTCTGTGCTAGGGAAATGTTAGCTAATATTTATTGATATTTACTACATGCTGGGCACTCTCCAAGTGTTTTGGGATATCCTATTATTTCATCCTTACAACAATCCTATGAGACAGATCCCATTATCCTCTTTTTACAGATGAGGAAAGAGGCACATTAACTTGTAAAGCCAGATAACTGGTAGAACCAGTATTGAATCTAGATATTTCTGACTCCACACTTGGGATCTTAAACATTATTGCATCATTAAGGCTTTCTAGATGCAATGGAACCACATCATTGATAAATTAAAAATTGGCTGGGTGCAATTTTTAATTGGTTCATGCCTGTAATCCCAGCACTTGGGGTGGCCAAGACAAAAGGATCCCTTCAGCCCAGTAGTTTGAGAACAGCCTGGCAACATAGTAAGTCACCATTTCTACAAAAAAATAAAATAGCTAGGCATGGTGGTGTGCACCTATAGTCCCAGCTACTCAGGAGACTGAGGTGTGATGATGATCACTTGAGCCCAGAAGTTTGAGACTACAGTGAGTTATGACGGTGCCACCGCACTCCAACGTAGGCAACAGAGTGACACCCTGTCTCAAAAAAATAAAAATAAAAAAGCTGACAAGGGGAAGAAAATTAGTTATGTCAATACCCTAAAAATATGCCAGCTATTGACCACTGTCTAAATGACTACTTGAAGGTGTACTCCAGATGACCAAGACTTAAATCCAAATGAAAATAGTCAAGAACAATGATATTAGTCACTGTATTAATGGCCCAGCCTAGTGGCCAGTAGAACTCCCAAGAAGCATAATGCCCAATTCATCACAAGGGTCCTAAGGAGAATTATCCCCTAAGTTAATTATACTTGGTTCTTCTGGCAACACTAATGAATGTGGGGGGGAAATGTAGAAAGCTAGTTGGCTCAATAACAATGATATCTGGATGAAGCCTAATAATAAAAATATTGCTTATAAGCCATTACCCGTTGTTAAGAGAAAAGCCTTATAATTAGATATTTCTCTCAAAAATACTTTACTTAGGCAGGTTTTCAATCAGATTCAGAAGCCCAAATAAATATTTCTAAAAATGTGGGAAAAAGAAAAACATATACAAGAATATCCATGTATGTATCTCTGAGTAAATGGACCATTAGGATGTGCTTTAAATGTTTATGCATTTTTCAAATTTTTTTTAATAAACAGGCACTATTTTAATGAAAGCAAACCTTCTAAATATTTAAATACAAAGCAAATAAAAAGCAAAGATTTATATCCTGAGATTCTGCTTATATTCTGAGATTTGAATGTACTAGTTTCAAAAAATAAAGTGATCTCTCTAAAAAGTAGTGTACCATTCACCTTAATAAACTGACCTGAGTCCTGAAATTCAAAGTATGACAGATTTTAATTTCATTTCATTCCATGAAAAAAGATAAAATAGCATACCTTTAGGAGAAAAATTTTATTTAAACGTGTTTCAACTATCAGTGAGAATAGAAAAGGAAATATTTATGAGTCTGGTAAAAGAAAAATAATTCTTTCAAGTTCTTAATGAAAGACACAACTTTAGGAGAATTAGCTAAAGGGAAAAAATTGCATAAAGAGTTGAAAAGAAGGATAAATTATTTATTGGCTTTCCTCCTGCAGCGCTTTCTAAACTTTAGATATGCATCAAAAGTTGCCTGAAGTGAGCTAACTTCCGTAGCAAATTTCCATTTAGAATTATATTGTAGGTTTCAAAATGCTCTTGTTCCATTGTGTGCATGTTACATGTGTGAAAGGGTGGTCAAGTACAATGGTAATCTTAATCATATAACCAGAGCTCTCTTGATAGGGTACATATGTTCCTGGAAAGATGTATGCAAATCAAATTTTATTTGAAATGCACTTGGGAATTCACCCAGCAGTGAATTATTTAGGAAACCAGTAATTCCTGGATAATATGAAAAAGAAAAACTAAAACACTAAATTCTCCATCTGGCAAGCTTAATTGTTTTTCTTATTTGCTTTCTTCCAAAAGAACATGTTTGGACAATACGCACAGAAACCCCTGACAAAATCCATTATTTGTATGAAAGGTTAGAGTTTTCAATTTAAGAACCAAGAACATTTGACCAGTTAGAGCAATCTGAGTGTAACTAAAAACATATGCTTCACCCTAGTAGAGGTAAAGCAATGCTTAAATACGTTTCCCGTATTAAAAATTTTCAGCATACAATTAATGTAAGACTGGATTTTCCCCCTTATGTTAATCAATGGCATCTGTAAGCCAATTGGCACCTATTAGGAGCTGCATGAGTTCCAGATAGCTTTAAAAGGGTAATTATTTTCAAACCACTCGTGTATTTTTAAATATTTAATTTAAAATTCAGAATAAAATTTGCCTCGTATGTTTGACATTTTGTCAGAGAAAATACAAATCTTCAAAACAATGATAATATCAACTGTGATTACAGCAAATTAGAATCACATCCAGTCTCCTCCCCTGGGGTGGTTTTGGGACCAAGACAAACACAGCTCAAGAAATTGAATTGCAATAACTAATTTGCCTTGACATTAAGCAAGAAAAATTGGAGGAGGCAAAGGTACCCGGGGTTACCTAAACCAGAAGCGCTGTTTCCTCAGTTCAGCTGACCGTCATTCTGTCAGGAAAAGTGAGGGATGTAAGAACACTGAAGATGCAGATCTTGGGTTGAGTAGATCACTCCCCAGTTCTGCAGATCAATACCTGAAATACTCACTGGGCCTAAGGGTGACCACTTGCTTGGGGCAGATAACGTCACATGATGTATGAGTGGGGAAAAATTCAGATCTTCTTCATAACAACAGCTATCGTTTATTATGTCCCTCTATTGGCACTCCTCTTGGGCAAGGCTTTCTGCATATTTACCTCATTTGTTATTCCCAACACTGTTCCAAAGAAGGTATTACAATCCTCATAGCAAACTGGAACTAAGTTAAAGGGACTTGCTCAGAGTCACACAGGTAGTGAGTGGCAGAGTGAGTTATTTTCAATCCATATCTGAGTCTCAAACCCAAATCTTTTCCAGTGTGTCAAGAATTTATAGCTAGTTGTGGCTGCCAGTCTCCAAGATTCCAAGATGTCCCCCAGCAATCCCCTCTTTGTGACATTCACACCCTTGTATAGTCCCCTCCCTATTGTACCAGGGTTGACCTTGGTGACCAATCACGTATGGCAGAAGCAATGGCATATCACCTTTGAGATGAGGCTGTAAAAGGCTGTGGCTTACCTCCTAAGTGTTCTCTTGTTCTCTCTCTCTCTGTCTGTCTCTCTCTCTCTCTCTCTCAGCCTTTGCTCTTTGGGAAGCAAACTGCCATGTTGCAGCAGCCCTATGAAGACACCTGCTGGTGAGGACCTGAAGCTGTGGCCAACAGCTGGCAAGGACCTGAGTTTGGAAGTAGATTCTCCAGCCCAGGCCAAGGCTTCAGGTGACTGCAGACCTGGACAATGGCTTGACTGCAGCCTCATGAGAGATCCTGAGTCAGAACCACCCAGCTAAGCTGCTCCCAAATTCCTGACCTTCAGCATCTGGGTAACATGTTTACTGCTAAGGTGCTAAATTTTGGAGTAATTTGTTACATATATAACCAATATATGTATGCAAAGCCTCGTATAAATACAATGGGAGAAATAAAAAAAAGCTTAAGAATAACATGCTCCTGCTAGCAGCTCTCAAGTAGCTTTGAGACAGAAGGAAAGAGAAAAGCATATATGAGGGTAAATCACAAATATTTTAGAAAATAATTCTGTGATCTTCTCTTGGGTTTTTCTGTGTGCAGCACCTTCTTCCTAATTAGCCCAAATTATCGAATCTGATACTTTAGGGGTATTGGGATTATTATAGAAGAGCTGCAAAGAGAAAGATTATAATTGAGTTTCCAAAATTCAAAATAGCATTTGTATGCAAGATAATTGGTCATAAGGCAGACATTGTTAAAAATGAAACAATTCTTTAAATTTCTTTAGCTCCCATTTAACATATCAAGGGCTAGTCTTGGCATATTAAATCACAGACTTTTTCCACAATATAGATAATATAATTTTCTACCTATGATGGCTTGCCCAGAGTCAAAAGAAGACATAGGAAAGGTAAAGGAAAATTCTAACTGCGGTGGACACCATGGTTCTCAGATAGTATGGCTTCCCAGGAAGCCCTTTCTGTCGGCCTTCTTAGGAACTTGCCTTAGCTGAAGAGTCATCTTGCCTGGGCTGTGCACCTTGGCAGGGCAGCTCCCATCCAATAACTGGTAGATGCAGGGCAATGTAAAGGCCTGTCCCTTTTGCCCCAACTCAGAATATCTCTGAAGGGCATCCCAGCTTCAGAGTTCCCTTAGGACTGTCTGGAGCCATCAAGATTGCAGCAGAGTACTCTACCCAGTCAGGTTTCCTTCCTGTGCCTTCCATAGGTGGTGATGACTAGAGGACTCCCTAATAAGCCTTCTATATATTCATCTATATCTCAGTATCTGCTTTCCAGAAAACCTGTGACAAGATCCCTTTGAGTCCAGTGGAATGTGGGGACAAAGTAGGGGAGAGGTAAATCTAAAATATCAGATTTATGTCCTAAAGCACAAAGCCTTGGAGAAGAGGGAGGTAGCTGATCAACACATTGCTGGCAGATGGCTTTGAGCCCAGCTTCCTATTTAGGACTTGGGAGCTCATCCTGCAGACCAGCACTGCCCCAATGCAGGGATCCCCCATATAGTCAAGAAGGCAGCACAGGAGGCTCAGCAAACAGATCAGGTTTGCTCTCCCAGGTTTCTCTGGGTTTCATTGCACAGGGAATGCAAAGCTGAGAGCCAACAGACCAGCCACAGAGCCTGCTAGGGTCAGCTAGGTGTGTGGGAAGAGAAGGCCCAGACCAGGGCCTGGCTGACGGATATAGCAGAGTTTCAGAGGGGTTTCTGGTCCCTAGACGTTAAGGGAAGTCTAAGGAGATAGGGAAGGAAGAAAAGACCCAGGAGAAGCTGGAAGACATGAGAAGGAGATTTAATAGCAGCAGTGGTGGCAGCAGCCAACATGAGCAGTGGATGGAAGCAGAATGTCCAAGTGTGGACCAGGCCAGCAAACCCAAAAGTCTAGCCCAGGGCCAGGTGGCCCTCTTTCACCCCAGTCCTATCAGGTCACATAAACCATTCCTTCCTCCATCTTCTTGGCCACCATATTGGACAGGAGGAGAGAAGAGAGCAAGGGGCTCTGAAGACTAATGTATTTAGCTGAGTCATCCAAGCAGAGCAGCCTGTCAGCCTCAGTTATGGTACTACAACTTTAATGGTTGCTGTGAAGGTTCCAGGAGACATTGTCAATGCAAAATGTGCAAAATGTACTTTCATAAAATGTATGTTTTTAAAATGTATTAGGTTATCAGGATACTTAACCTCCTGTCTTTGACATTTCTATTTTTGTAAAGACTTTGTTTTCAAGTGGACAAGATAATTGTTGATGGTTGGATACATATTAAATTAGATGAAACCTGCTTGCATAAGCATTCCTGCTGCATTGTATAACCTGAGAGCCAGCACATCTGCCATGGTGCCCCCACCATGATGTAGGTGTGGAGTCAGACTGCCCAGATTAGAGACCAGTTGAGGGCCTGAAGGAGATGAAGAGGAGTTGGTAGCCCTTAAGAGTGAAAGGGAGGCCAAGTCAGCCACCCGGTTGTGATTAAGAATCCCTGAATTTGTCTATGTTCAAAGTAGGATAACCATACACCCTGGTTTTCTTGGGATAGTCCCGGTTTTTACCTAAGATCCTCATGTTCCATCCAATTAGTATCCCCTTTCTTTCTCAAAAGTGTCCCACTTTAGATAGGAAATTATGTGGTCATATTAACTAAAAGCTATTTATTTAGAAGGAAATAATTATATATTTAACAGGAAATTTCTCTGTTTAAATAAGCCTATAATGAATCCTTTGATAAAGCAAATAAACATTAAACATTGCCTATCCCATTACAAAAGAGAGACTGGTTTACAGATTAATTGATTATTGGTTTGGACAGAGATAACCAGATGTGTTGCTTGGTTTTTTCCTCATCACAATATGTGGAGGCTTAGAAAGAGACCAGATCAGCTACAGACATGAAGAGAGCCAATTTCATCTACACGTCTCAATTGACTGAGAGTAAATTTGTAACCCCCTACATACACAAAAATTAGCCATCTTAGGCAGCTGATTTGGTACTGGGCAAGTGGTGCAGACAGGGGCTATTGACATTCAGAGGAGAAAGAAACCACGTGTAACTCTGATTGTCCTCAAGGCTTCATTTTGAGGAGAATGTGGCTACATCTTGAGCTCAAGAGAGAGGGAGGAGAGGAGCATCCACAGGCAGGGCCAGACCGCAGATCCCAGAGCCAGAGGGAGAAGGGACACGGAGGACCAGGAAGAGACAGGCTTGGCTGGAGCACTGGGCTGCTGCCAGGAACAGGGACACAAACATGGAAGGAAGGTGAGGACTGGATCAGGAAAGGGCCCAGGCCCAGGGAGATCCTGCCAGGTTTGGGGAAGACAGGGTCCTTTGGGATTGTCCGTGGGAGGTAATTTGAAATACTCTACTAGAGTTAGATGAAAAGATGCTGACCAATATGAGAGTAGGCATCAAGATGGCTGGCTTTGCTATTGCTTTAATTTAACGGTTTGAATAGGTAACATTCATATGGTTAAAATTTCAAAATGGACAATATCATACATAATTTTGAAATGTTTTCACTCTCCTTCCCAGCCACCCATTTCTTCTCAGAGGCAACCAATACCATCCCTTTCTTGCTTATTCTTCCAGAGATATTCTGTGCCATGCAGACCAAAAATATTCTCATTCCAATCCTTTTCTGGTTTACATCAATAGCAGCTTATGATATGCACTATTCTAACCTTGCTTTTTTCATCAAAAAAAAATCTTAAAGATTGTTCCATATCAGAAAATTAAAAGTTCCCATGTGTTCTATGCTCTTGTAGTATTCCATTATATGGACATACCATGGCATATTTAACAGTCTCCTATTAATGGAAATGTCAATATTTTGCTCTTAGTAGCAATGGTTCAATGATTGTCCTTACAAATTCACCATGGCACACCTCTAAGTACATCTGTAGGATGTTTCTAGAAGGGGAACTGCCGAGGCAAAGAATATGTGCATTTGTAGCTTTTTAAAATGTATTTTTAATTGACAAATCATAATTACATCTACAGAGTACAATGTGTTTTATGTATACAATGCGGACTGATTAAATCAAGCTAATTAATATATCCATCACCTCATTTACTTGACTTTTTGGTGATGATCTATTTGAAATTCACTCTCTTTGTTATTTTGAAATATACAATACATTATTATTGACTATTATCACCCTGCTGATGGAATCAACCTAAACATCTATCAATAGATGAATGGATAAACCAAATGTAGTGTATATGCACACAATGGAATATTGTTCGGCCTTAAAAAAAGAATGAAGTTCTGTCATGTGGGACAACATGGATGAATCTAGAGGACACAATGCTAAGTGAAATACGCATTTGTCATATCTTGAGACATTGCCCTCGGTGAAACTTGCACCAAATTGCATTCCCACTAGAGGGCCTGTTTCCTTAGAGCCCAGCGAGCTCCCTGGGTTGTCAAACTTTGATTTTTGGCCAGTACTGAGAGGTGTAGATAGAGAAGCACTGCTTACTCTATTTCTGCTATTTCCTGATAAGTAAAGGGGACCCCCATGGCTCTCTCCACTCCCTGGAAGGTAAAGTCATGTATTAGATTGGTCAATTTGGGAAGCATAACCTTGGTGTACTTCTCTCACCTCCTCCTCTCAGCACAAGCTGCCCCAGAAAACAGTTCCTTTTCGTTCCTGCCTGAAGCACAGGGAAGCCTGCCTCAGTGCACAGAGACTGAGGACACGCTGTCCCATTCTGGGGTTCGTTGGTGGCTTGTTTGGCTCTCACACTCAACCTCATCCTACAAATCCACTCTTATCAGTAATTAGGAGGATATTTCAGCCCCCCATCTGCTATTTCCTTCTTTTATTCCTTAACTTGTTCATCACTCAAGCAAGAAGAAGTTCAGAGACCCAAGTAAGAGGCTTACATTTTAAAAATTGTTATCTTACTCTGTCCTAAAAATTTACTTCTCAACTAGGCAAAATTACCAAAGACTTCAGTTGTTTACCCAAGGAGTATTTCTCCAAGTAGAGTCATCTGCCTTCAAATCACTGGGGAATGTAGGGATAGGGAAACTATTTAAAATGCAGAGTCTAGGCCCATCCCAGAATTTCTGAAATGAAATCATCAGAGGGCAAGAGGGAGAGAGGTGAGGCCCAGAAATCTTCATTTCATTACAAACTTCTCTAGAGGATACTGAAGCCTCATAAAGTTTACAAAGCATTACACTAAATAAAGCAGTACACTAAATTACTAGTCAAGAAAATCCTAGGTAACTTATGTTATTATCACGACCAAAGCTAACATATCACACAAAGTGAAAGAGACAGCTAAAGAAAATATGATCCAGGAGAGAAAACTTGAAATGTTAAGAACTTGCAAGTGCCAGCTAAGAATAATAGCAAAGCAATATTCATGAGGCTATTAAAGAAATAGATAAATAGCTTTCTGCCTCTGTTAGGGATGGTACTTCAAAGCTGAGTGGCATCAAAGAAGAGGGCTGAATAGGACAAATGAAAGCTGTGGGCTTCAATTATTTATTGGCATGGTGAAAAATGAAATTTGGGGGACTCAGAGCCTTCAACGTATTCTAAACCACTCTTGCCTGGCTAGATTAATTAGTATGTTAAAAGACTGGGTGTTAATTAGTTGCCTTTACACTGCTCTACCTACCCACAATACAACTGAGGAGTTATTATCTCCTACTTGTTAATTGGCTATTAACAGCAGGATGCAACTGCTTTGAAAATTATTCCCTTGAAAGTGCTTTAGGTCTCATGTTGAGAAATGTATCTGTGTACATGTTTGCACATGAGCAAAGAAATAGCCTAGCATGCCGATACTTCCTCATATTTTCTGAACTATGAAGTAGCTTTCATTCTTTGCATCTAATTGCTCATATCCATACTTCTAAATCAGATATGAACCAGCTTCTTGGCCAACGGAGCTTCCCTAGGCAGGAACAGAACACACTGCATTGGTCACATTTGTGTGATTTTATCCGATTTAGTTGAGTAGTTATCTTATTTATGTCTTTTTTAATTTATGCTATTAAATATAAATCAGATATAATTAAATATCATTAAATATGTTACATATAATAATATTAGAAGGTTTATGACTAATTTTTATGGAGGTAAAAACACATTCGCATGTGTTAACATAGTTTGATGTGACTTTACATCTCTATACACCTACATAACTTCTGCACATGGTGCCATTCCCAGAATGTTCTCTAGGGCCAATCCCAAGTCTATATCCAACCCCCAGAGGCAACTACTATTCTGTCATTTTGGCAATGTTGCCCCATTTTGAACTTGATATAAAGCCATATAATATTCATTCTTTTTTGGCTGACTTCTTTCCTCAACATAATATCTGTAAGATTATCACTAGTCTTGGGTTAAGTTTTACTAGCAAACCCTTAGCCAGGGGAGAGCTGGCACTTCCATGGGGAGAGCTGGCACTTCCATGAGAAGCCGTACTAAAGCAGAGTAGCTCATGCTTCATTCTGGGGACCATGGGTTCTAAGGAGTTTGCATGTGCTCCCCTCTGGAACAGGATGGAAGTGGCATTGCCCAGATGGAGTTTCTAGTAGCTCAGGAAGACGGGTGAGGCTAGC
Source organism: Homo sapiens (assembly GCF_000001405.40). NCBI lineage: Eukaryota > Metazoa > Chordata > Mammalia > Primates > Hominidae > Homo > Homo sapiens. Next base: position 112,028,836 of record NC_000010.11, read on the forward strand.
CCAGCTGGAGAATCATTTCCTCTGTTTTGACACCCTCTTGGCATTGAGTCCCTAAAAGCTGAGCACTGGCCTTGCCTCCATTGCACCCTTAATAAGCTTGCTATTCCCTACAACTGTGTTCAAAAACATCAACAAGCATCAGAATCACTTGTAGAGCCTGTTAGACCACAGACTGTGGGGTCCCAACCCCAGAGTGATTGATTCAATAGATCAGGACGGATGCCCCAAATTTGTGTTTTTAAAAAGTTCTCAAGGGTGATGATGCTGCTCTGGGGACCACACTTGAAGACCCACTGCTCCATAGCCGCACTCAGGACTGGGGCGATTATGTTACTTAGATAAGGCAGGACATTGCCTACTTTGGTAAGCTCACTGTCAAAGATGAGCAAAGTCAGACAGTGAAGTAGTGAAAAGGATTGTATTAGGTATCCACTGACCATAGGGGAAAGAGCTGAGCTCCAATCCAGTTTATGATTTGCACAGAGGTGACTGGACTTTTTAAAGGGAGAATGAGAGAGTAGGGAAGGGAAGATGTCCCAAGCAGAGTCAGGGAAGAGAAAAATGGCAAAGAGTTGATGGGTGAAAATGTAATTAGGCCAGCTGGCTTGGCTGGCTGGCTGGCTATTATGGAAGGTAGGATTTCTAACTCCTCACAGAGATTGTGAGACAGAGCCCCTATCTTTCTGATGATCACATTTCAAAGAATGGCTTTCAGGTCCTTGAGAAAGACAAGCCTACATTATAGGAAATATGTATACATGTCAAAGGGACAAAGGAAAAATTCACAAGCATGAAGTCCTTTTCAGGAAAGGGAGATCATGAGCCTCTCATGATGTGGTGTCAGTTAGAGCAAACAATTTCATATGACAGCCCTGAGCTTTTCTAGACAGAAACTGAAAAGGAGACTGGGTTATCCCAGGGACATGGCCTTAGGTTGCTAGAGGGGTTGACAAACCCCTCTAGCAGGGGTTCATCAGGTCTCATCAAGTCTCTTAGTGCAGGGGTTTGGAGAGTCATTATTTGCCAGGAGTTCTTTGAAGTTCTTCACCACCCAAGTGGAAAATGGAAACTCCCCAACACATACACTGGCCCCACTGACCCTAGATAGCTCTGGATTTTCCCATTCTCTTTCTTTCCTCACTGAGTCACTGTTTCTCATCTCTCTTTATATACCATGGCTTTAATGTAGAGGAAATCAAAACTAGCACTCCTAATTCTGAGGAACTTAAAAATGTACCCATAAATGCTAACCAAATGACTACAGCTACAGGATATTTACTGAGTACAATATCCCTATTGGTGGAGGATCCGGGTAGTAAAAAGCTATTTCCACCTTACCCAGGTCATCCTGTAGCAGAGGCTTTTAAAATGTGGTTTGTGGACTCCTGAAAACTCCCTCGGGACTCTTTCAGGGAGTCTTCAATGTCAAAATATTTTTTAATAATAAAATTAAATGTTATTTGTTTTTTGTTACCATGTTGACATTTCCAGTGACAGCATAAAAGCAATGGCAGGTAAAATTGCTGGTGCCCTAGCACAAATCAAAGCAGTGGGTCCACAATGTACTACTAGTCATTGCATTCTTCACTGCCATATATGCCCCATTTTTTTAAATGCCAGTTTTAACTAAGAAATTCCTTTATGAAGTAGTAAAAACAATATTAATTTTATTAAATCACAACCTTTGAGTACACGTCTTTCTAATATTGTGTGACAAAATGGGAAGGCTACATAAAAAATTCTGCTACCTAGCAAAGTTTAATAGCAGTTTCGTAGAAAAGTGTTTGTGTGATGACTTAAGTTACTAGCTAAACTAGCCACTTTTTTCATGGAACATAATTTTTACTGGAAAGGAGAAATGACAGACAAACTATAGCTATTTAGACTTAGATAATTAGTAGAAATTTTCTCAAAAATAAATGAAGAAAGTTTGTCATTTCAAGGGTAATAAATAATATCATTTGTTTTGCTAATTTTAAAATGGAAACTTTGTAGTTGAAATTGAAATTTTGGAAAACTCACATCTACTGTCATGAGTGTGACAGTTCTCAATATTTAAATACTTTATGAACTCAGCAGTGATATTAATAAATGTGACTTGACAATTTATTATATGAAATGAATCCACCTTATGAAGATGTATTTCAGAAGATCATTATTTTCCACATGGTCAATGTTGTTACAAAATCATGCATTATAAAAAAAAATTCATTCAAAGTGCAAGATAGACCAATAGGTTTTAATGTAACAGAATACAAAATTTTCATTGATATGGTTTCACATTCTACATCATTACTAACCTCTAAGAAATATCACTTGTCAAGTTTTGATGTAGTATGAAAAAATAGCCACAATTATCTGAAAAGCTATTAAATTACTCTTCCCTTTTCCACCCACATATCTATGTGAGACCAGATTTTCTTCATATATTTCAATCTAAATAACACATTATATCTCATTGAATGAAGAAGCACATATAAGAATATAGCTGCATTCTATTAGGCCAGACATCATCTAATTTAATCATTCATTGGCACATATACTCCATGTCATGCTTCCTGGGCCTGACAGGTCCTCTCTTTGATCAGACTTTATCAGCATAATTGAACACTGGAAAAGAAGCATTCTGAGGGCAGCCACTTGGATCAGAGGAAACAAACCATGAGAATGCACTGATGCAATTTTCAAAATACTTTGTTGAAATGCAAAATTGAAACAATGAAATATTTTATTACTTTAAAAAATGGCAGATGTTTTTATTATTATTATTACTAGGATTACTGTATATGCCACCCGGACAGAAATGCTTTCTTGAATATTGCTCATGGAAGCATTATTCAGCACAAACTTTCTGGAAGACTGGCAGTTATGGATGTTAAAATCCATACCTAATGTTACAGCACTGTAAGACTAGCACAGTTTCAGGGGTCACCATTCTAATTTACTTGGAGTTGACATCTAGGTGAAGTTGGCATGGCCAAAAGTAGTGACTCTACAAGCATACCCTTTGACCCAGAAATTCCACTTGTAGGAGCTTTTTCCTAAGCAAACGATTAAGGATACTTGCCAAAACTAAAGTCCTCATCACAACGTAACCTACAGTGGTGCAAAATGAAGAAAAGCATAAAGAATCCATAATAAATGAAGTAAATTAGTACATCTCTACCTCAATTACTAGGAATGAGATGGGAAGTGTATATTCAGTGACCTTTAATGACATAGCATTTAGGTATCATGTGGCTAAAACAGTATATATGAGAAAATTTGCATTAGAAACTGTAGTCAAACACATTTGAGCGTCACCATATTGTAGTAGTAAACTATGCAGCTCTGCAATCAGATTGCCTTGTTCAAATACAGGCTTTGACTGTTTTTTACAAAGGGGTTTTGGGTAAAGAACTTTGCCAAGTGGATTTGGAATGTGGTTGCTGCTTATAGTAATGAGCACCCAAAGAGAGTAGAGAGAGATAAAGAAGGGCTCCATTTTTCCATCTCAACAAAAACTCATGAGAACAATGTCTCTCCAAATCTTCCCATACCAGAGAATTCCTGGTTGGCTCCAGCCATGACTGCACTCAACAGCGTTCACAGCTACATAGCCACAACCTACCTCCTGGCCACATTTGTATCAAGATGCCCAGTCCATGTTGCTGATATTTACTTACTACTGGTAATTTGGCTTCTCTAAAGTTGACAGTTTGTTTTATTTGTATTTTAAAAATTTATTTGCATATCATCAGAGAGTATTCCTGGTTTGCTTTTGGAGCAAAATACCAAACTATAGACACAAAAATATCCCAGCAACTATTATCATTAGCTTGTTTTCCTTAGCACTGAAGTAACTCCCTGAAACTTGCTAGTGATTATTTGATAACAAGATCACCACGTTGTCTGTAAAATGGTGATCTAACTAAATAGGCTAATTTTCTCACTTTTTAGAAATTCTTCCCTGCTAGGTTATCCTGAGAATAGGACCTGAGCTTTGAAATCTGTGAAGAAAATTATTCCAAAGCTCAAAACTCTCCTTCACCATTACTGCAGGCCTCCTTAGCCCTGACCTTTCTCACTGGCACTGACTGTAGTTGACAGTGTTGCTGACTTTCCTCCTTGGCACTGGGGGGATGGTACTTCTTTGGCCCACTTGAGGTCAGGTGCAGCTAGGCCAGTTAGTTTGTGCAATGAAATGAGAGGAGGAGTGTATTAGTCTGTTCTCATGCCACTAATAAAGAATAAATTTACCCAAGACTGGGTAATTTATAAAGGAAAGAGGTTTAATTAACTCACAGTTCCACATGGCTGGGGAGGCCTCACAATTATGACAGAAGGTGAATGAGGAGCAAAGTCATGTCTTACACGGCGGCAGGCAAGAGAGTTTATGCAGGAGAACTCCCTTTTATGAAACCATTAGCTCTCACGAGACTTATTCACTACCACGAGAACAGCATGGGAAAGACCCACCCTCATTATTCAGTTTCCTCCCACTGGGTGCCTCCCACAATACATGGGAATTATGGGAGCTACAATCCAACATGAGATTTGGGTGGGGACACAACCAAATCATATCAAGGAGTAATGTGTCATTTCTGGGTGGAAGTTTTAATCCCCAGTGTGAAATTATCCACTGCTCCCTTTGCCCCAACACAACCAACCTTGATGTTCCACATGGTGGAGGCACCATTATCTAACGTTTTTGAGGGAGGATGACATGGAACAGCCTCCTAGAATGGGGAAAGATAAACCATTGTTGTTTTAACTCAGGAAACTTTCTCTCTAAAGGAGTAAAGAGTAAATATTTTCAACTTTGCAAGCCATTTGGTTTCTATCACAACTGTTTAACTCTGCTATATGTGGCACAAAGCAGTCTTGGATGATATGTAAATGCATGAGTGTGGCTGTGTTCTAACAAAACTTTACTTATAAACACAGGAAATAGCCAAATTTGACCCTGGATCATAGTTTCCTACCTGTTTTAAGCCACTGAAATGTTAAGGTTATTTGTTACCACAGCATAACCTAGCTTTGACTGACCAACAAAATAACAATAGGATTTTAGGGCAACATACTTGAAAAACAAGTTCCAGGCAGTGGCACAATTTATTATGGTGACTTAGATCATGGTAAAAAGTCTTTTGAAGTAACAGTCCTTTGAAGCCAAAGTGCCTAGCCAAAGCAAAAGCAGCTTGGAAAAGTGGATGAGACATGAGGAAAAAATAGAAAGGTATTAACAAAGGAGAAATCAGACCTGTCGTGCTAGTTGAAGGCAGGTGGTTCGATCACCTTAGGAGCTGCCAGTGCACTTCAGAGCCACTAAGAACACATTCTCCAACCCCTTCCCACTATGCTAGACCTAACATGTTCCAGATAGAAGTCCCTTTCCAGGAGAAAACCTCTTCAGCATTGATTCTCAATCAGAATCACCTGAGGGTTGGTCCAAAACCTCTACTGAGAGAGGACTCTGCTCCCAGAGTTTCTGATTCAGAAGCTCTGGGGCAGGGTCAGAACATTTGCACAGGTAACAAACATGATGCTGCTGGTCCAAGAGCTATACTTCGAGATCCACTATTTCACAGTGAGTAGAAGTCCCACCTCGGGAAAACACAGAAAGGAACCCTCAGATTCAAAAACAACCTACGTTCTCAGAGTGTGTTTTACTCTTGCTTAAGGGTGATGGTTTTAATGTTAGAGTGACCCAGATTCAAATCCTGTCGCTGACCTGACTAGCAGTGTGACCTTGGACAGTTACTTCTCCAGGTCTCAGGCCTCTCTTCAGGAAAAACATAGGAACAATATCTACCCCACAGAGGTGCTGACTGTGAAGGAAGTGACATTTGTCAGGCTTCTAGAATGCTACCTTGCTCGGTAGGTGATTTCCCTAAATTGCAAATGTGGACAAGGTCCAACACTTTGGGAACCAAGCATCAAGGGCCATTTCATCCATCTTTGAGATCATGTGTCCTCAGCAAGGATGATATCATTCCCAAGGCAGTAAAAGTTGGTTCTTGGGGAAGGGGTGAAAATCTGGACTCTTTAAAACAGATATACAGTATAATATCGATGGCAGCAGTCCCCGACCTTTTTGGCACAAGGGACCTGTTTCGTGGAAGACAATTTTTCCGCTTACAAGGCAAGGGGTGAGGGCGTGGGGTATGGTTTCAGGATGAAACTGTTTCACCTCAGCTCATCAGGCATTAGTTAGATTCTGCAGTTCACAATAGGGTTTGTGCTCCTACGAGAATCTAATGCCACCACTTATCTGACCAGAGACGGAGCTCAGGTGGTAATGCTAGCTTACGCACCACTCACCTCCTGCTGTGAAGCCTGGTTTCTAAGGATCTGTGGTGCCATGGCCCCCAGGGGTTGGGGACCCCTCATCTATGGGATTCATCTACGGTATGAAAATTTCATGGAGAGGGTGCAATTATGAAAATATACATATACATAAAATGTTTCTTTAGCTTTGATAATAAAACAAGGAGAAATACTGTTTCAGATGGTGTGTCATAAAAGTTGAGTAACCGGCTCAAGGTCACACAGATTCAAGGTAGCAAAGCCTGATGATGCCAGGTCTTAACTCCAAATCCAGTGTTCTCATCCCAACATGATTTTGCCATTTACAAATAGTATCATAACACAGCATAAAAAATAAAGGAGAAGAAGAGGAGAAAATGAGATTCCCTCCCCCCAAAAAATAGCATGACATCATGCTTACTTGACTTTACCTAACTTAGCTGTCTTAGTTCATTTTGTGCTGCTCTAACAGAATACCTGAGATGGGCAATTTATAATGAATGGAACTGCATTGGCTGACAGTTCTGGAGGCTGGGAAGTCCAATAGCAAGGCTCTGGAATCTGGCTAGGGCCTTCTTGCTGCATCATCACATGGCAGAAGGCAGAAGGGCAAAGAGGCAAAAGGGGTCAAACTTGCCCTTTTATAACAGCATCAATCACACCTGTGAAGGCAGAGCCCTATGGCCCTATCATCTCCTAAAGGTCCCTCCTCCTGACATCACCACAACAGCAAACAAATTTTAACATGAGTTTCAGAAGGGATAGACATTGAAACCATAGCACTAGCACAGAGCAAGAGTGTGTTTTGTTTGTTTTTAATTTCCTTGGGTGCGCACCTTTGAGGCTAGAACTGATGTAAGAAACAGTATGCAAGAATGCAAAACACATTGGAATCAGACAGACTTGGATTTGAGTCCTAGCTCTGCCACTTACCGATTGGGCAATCTTAGCCCGTTACTCAGTCCCATGAGACATCATCTATAACAGGGAACAGCAGACTTGTCTGTAAAGGGCAAAATAATATTTTAGGTTTTGCCAGCCATAACAAGTGGTCTCTGTTGCAATTACTCTACTCTGCTGTGTAGCATGAAAGCAGTCATAGACAATATGTAAATTAATAATCTTGGGTGTGTTTCGATAAAACTTTATCTACAGAACAAGGTGGCAGGCTAGCTTTGGCCCAATGGGTATAGTTTGCCCACTCTGATCTACAAGATAGGGGTGATGATACCAACAATTTTGGATAACTATGGCTGCTTAATAAACCACCCCATGACTGAATGGCTTAAAACAATGTTAAATTATTCCTCACCATTCTGTGGGTCAAGAACTCAGGCAGGGTTCAGATGGGTAGTTCTTTGTTCTAGTGGCATCAGCAGAGATCACTCACTCAGCTGTATTCAGTAGCAGCTAGGAGGGATGCATGCTAAGAAAGCTTCTCCACCTTGGCCGGTGCTTTCCCATGTGGCCTCTTGCTCTCTCTCCACTGGTGTCTCATCATTCAGGAGTCCAGCCTGGGTCCCTCCCACAATACATGGGAATTATGGGAGCTACAGTCCAAGATGAGATTTGGGTGGGGCCATCTTTACATGGGGCCTGGCTTCCCCGGAGAGAATATGAAACCTCCCAGGCTTCTTAAAGAACAGGTCTGAAAATGACATAGTGTTGTTTCTGCCACACTCTCGTGGCCAAAGCAAGTCACAAAGGCATCTCAGATTCAAGAGAAGAGCAAAGAGGCTGTTGGTAGGAAGAGGCAGTATGTGTGTAAGGGAGACAGAGGAATTGCTTGCAGACATCCTTCAAGAGTATGGACCTGATTGAGAGGTGAAGAGGAGCTAATACAGGGAAAATGTTTAGCACATAGAATAGGTCAATACTACCCCAAAAGCACTGGAGAGTCCCTGTGGCGGGCAAGCTCCTGAGTCACCCTTACTCTTGCTTAGATGACTGCAATAACCACCTTTCTGGTCGCCCTGCTTTAATTTTTGTCTACGTTGGTCCACTCTCCTCACTGTGTCAGAGCGATCTTGTAGAAAAGCAAGTCAGATGATGTCACACTATTGCTTCAAACCCTACAGTGGGATCCATGGTATTTAGAATAAAGTGCAGGCTCCTTCCCTTGTAAGGCTTGATTTTACCCCCAGCCCACTCTACAGCCTTGTTTCCTCCACTCTTACCATTGCTCAACCCGCTCTGGCTGCACTCGTTTCTCTGCAGTTGCTTGAAAACGACAAGCGTGCTCCTGCCTCGGGGCCTTTGCATTCCTTGTTTCCCTTTTGCGGAGTACCCTTTCTTCACAAATTCATGTGGCTGGGTCTCCTAATTCTCTGGGGTGTCTGCTCAAATATGCCCTCATCAGAGAGGTCTTCCTGGCTCCTCCTATCCAAAAGGGCATGTGTCATCACTCTCTAGCCACTTGCCTCACCTTATGTTTTCACCACAGTGCTTATCATGACTTAAACTATTATTATATATATGTATTGATTTATTTGTTGATTGTCTCTCCCACTTGCATATAGGTCCCCCCGTAGTGGGGATTGTGTTCACTGTTGAAACCTCAGCACCTAGTAATTAGCATGTAGTATGAGCTCAATAAATATTTGAAATAGGAAAGAAAAAAAGGAAAGAAGGAAAGGAGGAAGGGAGGAAGAGAGGGAGGGAGGGAGGAAATGAATGGAGGGGAGGGGAGTGGAGAGGAAGAGAAGTCTACGAATGTGATACCACCTTAGGTTGCACGTCAGACAACTCCATGTAAAGACTTGACTACAGAAATGTGGGGTTTTCATCAGTCAATTTCTCCCATCCCCGCTCCATGGTACGAATCTTTTACAGGCATCTCCTTTATTGTATTGCAGGTTCTATTTCACTTAGACCCCAGGCTGGCTTGCAAGAACAGAATGCATTCTTAAAAGCTACTCTGTGCCAGTTTCACCAAATGCAGTGTTTCAAAGGGTACTTCGGGCCACTCCTTGTCTTGTTTTCCCTTTTCTGTGATTCGTTATGGTCAAGATGAAAGCAATCTGCCAATAAACCTTTTCAAGGGCACTTTAATTGAGATGCTCATGTTCATGTTTTTTAGCCTCAAAACAAAATGCTCAAGGGAAGTCATGTTAGATGAGTTGAAATAAAATCTAGGGCTTTGCTTTTTGTTTTTGTTTTTGAGACAGAGTCTCACTCTGTCACCCAGGCTGGAGTGCAGTGGTGCAATCTTGGGTCACGTCAACCTCTGCCTCCCGGGTTCAAGTGACTCTCATGCCTCAGCCTCCTGAATAGCTGGAATTATGGGCGCCCGCCATCACACCTGGCTAATTTTTGTATTTTTAGTAGAGACAAGGTTTCACCATGATGGCCAGGCTGGTCTCAAACTCCTGACCTCAAGTGATCTGCCCACCTCAACCTCCAAAGTGCTGGGATTACAGGGGTGAACCACCACTGTCCCCAGCTAGGGCTTTGTTTTTAACAAATACACTGCTAACAGTTGGGCAGTGGGGAAATGAGGACCTTCCAAAGAAAGCAGGAGGTAAGTGAGGAAACTAAGAGTATGAATTTGGTGTCTGGCAGAACTTGAATTCTAGCTCTAATACTTACAAGTTCTATAACCATGCAAATGTTGCCTATACTCAGTTTTATCACATAAACTAGAATCTTAATTATCTATTCTATAGGACTGTTTTGAGGAATAAAATGAGTTGATGAATATGAAATGCTTAGCATAAGGCTGGGCATGGTGGCTCACGCCTGTAATCCCAACACTTTGGGAGGCTGAGGCCAGCAGATCACCTGAGATCGGGAGTTCGAGACTAGCCTGGCCAACATGGCGAAACCCCATCTCTACTAAAAATACAAAAATTAGCCCGGCATGGCGGTACATGCCTGTAATCCCAGCTACTGGGGAGGCTGAAGGAGGAGAATCGCTTGAACCCAGAGGCAGAGGTTGCCGTCAGCTGAGATCACACCACTGCACTCTAGCCTGGGCGACAGAGCAAAACTCTGTCTCAAGAAAACAAAACAATACAAACAAAAAAAGAAATGCTTAGCACAACATCTCTCGCTGTTAAGGGCCTAGTTAATGTAAGTCCCCTTCACTGTTTTTAAGAGAGAAACATTTGAAGCCTTAAAGCAGTGTTCTCTAACACATTCCATGTTTCATGTTTAGGACAAGAGAGCTGATTTCCCCCTAATGACTGAATGAGAAGGCAGTACAAGGAAAAGCTTCTGGGATTACTAGAAAGTGGAGAATGTCTGACTATGAATAAAATTGCTGTGGAAAGATCCAGCTCCTCAGCCAGCAAAGCACTGAGTTGCTACCAGGAAAGCAAATAGCAGAACCTGGCACAGCTGAGGTTTAAGGGGAGGTTCTTTTGACAGAGGCTATAACAGACATCTCTGAAATCTGAGACCTGTCAAAGACTACAACTACACCCTTCCCAGCCTCCCCAGGAACCATGACCGCCCTCCATCCAAAGCACTTTGAAGGGAAGACGAACTCAGCAGGCAAAGGTGAAACCAAGAAGTCGTAGTCCTCTGTGAACTCAAGCCAAGCTTTTACTTTCAAAGGGAAACCAATATCTAGGTTAATCAGAAACGTTAGGTGAATGACTTGCTCTATAGAAGCTGGCCAGAGATGAGAGGAAACAAATAGTTCTCTCATCCTTGAAACCAAAACAAGCTTTAATACATTTCAAAACACAAACTTATCTAAGTGGATGGTCAGGGAGGCTGGCTACACAAGGCACCCTCTTTTCCACTAGTGGTTCCAAGTCCCCCAACAACACTATCTCCACATAAAGTGCTAGAGGAAAATCTCCATTTTCATTTAATTTGAGTGGAAAGCAAAGCTGTGGAACCAAAATCTCCCTCCTCTTTTAAGCAGCTGAATCACCGTAATGGTGAGCTCGGACACCCCAGGGCAAACAGGAAATGAGTAAATATTGTCAGGGTTTGAAATTGCCATTTTCCCCTAAAGCATGTGTATATGCAGCAGAAGCAAGAACACAGCAAAGTATGCTAAACCAAGAGTCAAAAATACGCTTTATTCTCTAGCAACATACTCATGATTGAGCCCTCAATCTTTTAGGCCAGTCCTGATTCTTGTTTTATACTTTACAATAATGACTCTTTATTAAACAAATCCTAAATATAGTAGTGTATGCCTTTCACATAAATAGAAATATAAAAAGAAATCTTTTGTAAAGACTATATGACCAAATATTTTGGTTACCATATTAATTTGAATTCATTTAAGTTACCTCCCTAGGCTCTCTTTCCTTTTCATTTTTCAGGTTCTCCCTGAGGAGTGTTACTTACCTGTTCTCCAATGACTCCATAATCTGTAGTGGACTCACATCTTATGCATGACTTAGGTCCCAAATTAGAGACCAAGGCAAAATTTATGAACATTACCAAAATCATCCATGAACTTCTATTCTGCACTCAGCCAAGCAAAATGCTCCCTTCATGAGAGGCACATAAAAACTGAGATTTACCAGGAATCACAGACCCCTGCCTCCCATCATATGCTCACTCCAAGATGTTTGTCTTATCGAATAGTAGATTCCACCTATGCCCTACCTGTTATTCTCCCTTTTGCTCTTTCTTTTGGAGAATGCATTAGTCAATGCAACCAAGCCTTATGGCTCAAGCAGAACCACTAGGCAATGCACAGGTACATCTCTGTAAGGCTGTTCTTTTTATATCTGATGCAGAAACTTGGAGTCCCCAGGGCAGGCAGTTGGTAGGGGAAGACTGATGTAAAGTGAAAGAGATTAAGATCAGGCTGGAACCCACAAGCAAGAGGATGGAACCCAGCCAACAAGGATAAACTAAAACCTCTGTCATTTCTTGTTGCTTCTCACTTTGATAGCGTGGGTCCCTGCAGAAGCTGGAGTATTTTGTCATGGAGCTAAACATACATAACTGAGCTAGGAGTCGGAGAAGCTAAAGGCGGAGCCTGTCAAGGGAAAATGGAGCAGTTACAAGGCCACTGCTTCTTCATGCAGATGGGGCAAGTCAGCAGATCAGTGACAATGCCTGTGAGCCTCAAAATGGCTGCTGCTGCCCTTCCACCCACCAAGTCTCCCAAGACTCTCTCTTATGACTCACCCTAACCAGAAACACACAAAAAAAGGAATTCTGAGAAACTTAGGTGGCCTATGCAAGTTGACGTTTTACAAAGTTGACTTACCATCACGCTGAGTATTTGTTGAATGTTGTCAAGACTCTTCTCCTGTGTAAAAGAATAGAAATTATAACAAACTGTCTGTCAGACCACAGTGCAATCAAACTAGAATTCAGGATTAAGAAACTCACTCAAAACCGCTCAACTACATGGAAACTGAACAACCTGCTCCTGAATGACTACTGGGTACATAATGAAATGAAGGCAGAAATGAAGATGTTCTTTGAAACCAATGAGAACAAAGACACAACATACCAGAATCTCTGGGACACATTTAAAGTAGTGTGTAGAGGGAAATTTATAGCACTAAGGGCCCACAAGAGAAAGCAGGAAAGATCTAAAATTGACAACCTAACATCACAATTAAAAGAACTAGAGAAGCAAGAGAAAACACATTCAAAAGCTAGCAGAAGGCAAGAAATAACTAAGATCAGAGCAGAACTGAAGGAAATAGAGACACAAAAAACCCTTCAAAAAATCAATGAATCCAGGAGCTGGTTTTTTGAAAAGATCAACAAAATTGATAGACCGCTAGCAAGACTAATAGAGAAAAAAAGAGAGAAGAATCAAATAGATGCAATAAAAAAATGATAAAGGGGTTATCACCACCGATCCCACAGAAATACAAACTACCATCAGAGAATACTATAAACATCTCTACGCAAATAAACTAGAAAATCTAGAAGAAATGGATAAATTCCCGGACATATACACCCTCCCAAGACTAAACCAGGAAGAAGTTGAATCCCTGAATAGACCAATAACAGGCTCTGAAATCGAGGCAATAGTTAATAGCCTACCAACCAAAAAAAGGCCAGGACCAGACAGATTCACAGCCAAATTCTACCAGAGGTACAAGGAGGAGCTGGTACCATTCCTTCTGAAACTATTCCAACCAATAGAAAAAGAGGGAATCCTCCCTAACTCATTTTATGAGGCCAGCATCATCTTGATACCAAAGCCTGGCAGAGACACAACAAAAAAATAATTTTAGACCAATATCCCTGATGAACATCGATGCAAAAATCCTCAATAAAATACTGGCAAATCAAATCCAGCAGCACATCAAAAAGCTTATCCACCATGATCAAGTGGGCTTCATCCCTGGGATGCAAGTCTGCTTCAACATATGCAAATCAATAAATGTAATCCATCATATAAACAGAACCAAAGACAAAAACCACATGATTATCTCAATAGATGTAGAAAAGGCCTTCGACAAAATTCAACAGCCCTTCATGCTAAAAACTCTCAATAAATTAGGCATTGATGGGACGTATGTCAAAATAATAAGAACTATTTATGACAAGCCCACAGCCAATATCATACTGAATGGGCAAAAACTGGAAGCATTCCCTGTGAAAACTGGCACAAGACAGGGATGCCCTCTCTCACCACTCCTATCCAACATAGTGTTGGAAGTTCTGGCCAGGGCAATCAGGCAGGAGAAAGAAATAAAGGGTATTCAATTAGGAAAAGAGGAAGTCAAATTGTCCCTGTTTGCAGATGACATGATTGTATATTTAGAAAACCCCATTGTCTCAGCCCAAAATCTCCTTAAGCTGATAAGCAACTCCAGCAAAGTTTCAGGATACAAAATCAATGTGCAAAAATCACAAGCATTCCTAAACACCAATAACAGACAAACAGACAGCCAAATCATGAGTGAACTCCCATTCACAATTGCTTCAAAGAGAATAAAATACCTAGGAATCCAACTTACAAGGGATGTGAAGGCCCTCTTCAATGAGAACTACAAACCACTGCTCAAGGAAATAAAAGAGGACACAAACAAATGGAAGAACATTCCATAATCATGGATAGGAAGAATCAATATCGTGAAAATGGCCATACTGCCCAAGGTAATTTATAAATTCAATGCCATCCCCATCAAGCTACCAATGACTTTCTTCACAGAATTGGAAAAAACTACTTTAAAGTTCATATGGAACCAAAAAAAGAGCCCACATTGCCAAGACAATCCTAAGCCAAAAGAACAAAGCTGGAGGCCTCACACTACCTGACTTCAGACTATACTACAAGCCTACAGTAACCAAAACAGCATGGTACTGGTACCAAAACAGAGGTATAGACCAATGGAACAGAACAGAGCCCTCAGAAATAATACCACACATCTACAACCATCTGATCTTTGACAAACCTGAGGAAAACAAGCAATGGGGAAAGGATTCCCTATTTAATAAATGGTGCTGGGAAAACTGGCTAGCCATACGTAGAAAGCTGAAACTGGAACCCTTCCTTACACCTTATACAAAAATTAATTCAAGATGGATTAAAGACTTAAATGTTAGACCTAAAACCATAAAAACCCTAGAAGAAAACTTAGGCAATACCATTCAGGACATAGGCATGGGCAAGGACTTCATGTCTAAGAACACCAAAAGCAATGGCAACAAAAGCCAAAATTGACAAGTGGGATCTAATTAAACTAAAGAGCTTCTGCACATCAAAAGAAACTACCGTCAGAGTGAACAGGCAACCTACAGAATGGGAGAAAATTTTTGCAATCTACCCATCTGACAAAGGGCTAATATCCAGAATCTACAAAGAACTTAAACAAATTTACACGAAAAAAATCAAACAACCCCATCAAAAAGTGGGCGAAGGATATGAACAGACAATTCTCAAAAGAAGACATTTATGCAGCCAACAGACACATGAAAAAATGCTCATCATCACTGGCCATCAGAGAAATGCAAGTCAAAACCACAGTGAGATAACATCTCACACCAGTTAGAATGGTGGTCGTTAAAAAGTCAGGAAACAACAGGTGCTGGAGAGGATGTGGAGAAACAGGAACACTTTTAAACTGTTGGGGGGACTGTAAACTAGTCCAATCATTGTGGAAGACAGTGTGGTGATTCCTCAAGGATCTAGAACTAGAAATACCATTTGACCCAGCCATCCCATTACTGGGTATATACCCAAAGGATTATAAATCATGCTGCTATGAAGACACATGCACACGTATGTTTATTGCCACACTATTCACAATAGCAAAGACTTGGAACCAACCCAAATGTCCATCAATGATAGACTAGATTAAGAAAATGTGGCACATATACACCATGGAATACTACACAGCCATAAAAAAGGATGAGTTTGTGTCCTTTGTAGGGACATGGATGAAGTTGGAAACCATCATTCTCAGCAAACTATTGCAAGGACAGAAAACCAAGTACCACATTTTCTCACTCATAGGTGGGAATTGAACAATGAGAACACTTGGACACAGGAAGGGGAACATCACACACTGGGGTCTGTCATGGGGTGGGGGGAGGGGGGAGGGACAGCTTTAGGAGATATACCTAATGTAAAAGACGAGTTAATGGGTGCAGCACACCAACATGCCACATGTATACATATGTAACAAACCTGCAAGTTGTGCACATGTACCCTATAACTTAAAGTATAATAGTAAAATAAAATAAAATAAATAAAATAAAATAAAATAATGGTAACAGTCAAAACACAACAAAACAAAAGACTCTTCTCCTGATTTCAACATCCCTGTATTAAAAAGCCTTCCGGACTTCTTCCCCATGTTGTCCCCACAAGCACTTCAAACTCACTGTGCTCCTTACTGTCATAATGACTTTCCTGTCAAATCTATGCTCCTTTCTTTCTGATCTTGGTTAATAAAACCATCTAAGCCTAATACCTGAGATCAGCTTCTCCTCTAAGCTTCTCCACATCTATTCAATTCCAAGTCTCATCAATCCCAAACCTTAAATATCTATCCCAGACTCACTGCCGTCTCCTCTTCTTTTTTCCTCTTTCTTTTTTCCTTTCAACCATAGCAGCCTCCCAACTGGTCTTTCCGCCTCCAGCTTCATCTCCTCTAGATTCAGTGTGTAAGAGTCACTTGGAGAGCTTATTAAAGCACAGATCGCTGGACCCTTGGCTCATCCCCAGAGGGTCTGCTTCAGAAATGCTGATGCTGCCAGCCCACTTTGAGTAGCACTGCTCTACTCAAAGAGAATTTGTTTTCTAAAATGCAACTCCAATATGTCCCTTTCTTCTAGAGAATAACATTCACACTTCCCATATTAATTAGGATCTCTCTCTCCCTCTTTTTCCTGGAAGACATGGCATACTCAAAGAGGAATATGCCTACTTTGAGAAGAGCATAGTAAAGGGACTATTTACAAAGAGCAGAAAGGATAATGCAGCAACAGTCATGCCCCATTACCACTGCTGGGCCTGAGAAGGGGTGCAGATGGATGGTTACCAGAACCCAGACACAGAAAGAATTTCATTAGTGTCATGGAAAGGGCCATCCAACAGGAGCTGTGAGCTTTGGATGAGAGAGGCAGCCAGCCTGAACTCATCTTCTCCATTCATCCAGTCTTCTGCCGGTGCTCCCTATTAGCAGAATCCACCTCAAAGGCAGAGAACAAGGGAGCCCACTGATGTAGCCCAGGTCAGCCACAGGAGAGACAGAGTGCGTAGAAAAGGGTTGGGGAGTGGAATTGGAGTGGCAAGTGTAAGATACGTGGCTCTATAATATTGTACTTAGAGTTCAGGAAATATTTAATGAAATGAAATGGCTTTATCTTCTCAGAGTGGTGAATGGCCCATTGGGCTGAGAATGCTAAATGATACTGGGCACAAATCCTAATTATGAGCAAACACAGGCTTTCCTGACAGTGGCATTCCTTTAAAATAATGGGACACTTCTGATGTGTCTGTAGGCCAGATAGAAGAGAACCAGGTGGACAGCTGGAGACTGGAGAGGACAGGAGAAAGGAAGCACATTACTCATTCCCTTGGAAAAAGCAGTAGAAGAACGAGTCCCTGATGGCTAACAGATGTTATGCAAAAGTTCCGAGTCCAGGGTCTCCCGCTGCTTTCATTCCCCACAAGAACATGATCCTGCAAAGTTTAGTTCTTGTGGAGAGCACATTGCAGAACAATTTGCTTGTACAGTGGATGTGGACATTCCTCTCACACCCCTTCATTTACTAGTTGGCTTTATTTAACAGCAGAGCTGCTTTTGTAAAAGAAGATGAAATTGGAGACTTCATGGAGAAGAACAAGATGGCTTAGATTAACAGTCACAGTTGTATCTGAGAGAATGACTGAAAATATGGGTTATACATCATATATTCCATTTAATCAGCAAAGTTATATTAAGCATCTATTCTGTGCAGAAACTAGGATAAGAGATAAGGATAAAAAGATGGAATCAGAAATATGAGCTTATAGTCTGGAACAGGGAATAAGACATTTATATAAACAGTTAAAATAGAAAGTAAAGAATTATAACACATGACAGAGAGGAGATGCAGATGAAGTGACTACCCCAGGATCGGTAGAGATGAACATCTAAGAGGAAGAAGCACATGTAAAGGCAAGTGGTCGAGAAAGCATTGAGTACATACAGGTGAAGCTTGAAGTAGGATTTAAAATTAGAAAAGTAAGGCTGGATGCAGTGGCTCATGCCTGTAATCCCAGCAATTTGGGAGGCTGAGGAGGGAGAGTTGCTTGAGCCTAAGAGTTTGAGACCAGCTTGGGCAACATAGCAAGACCCCGTCTCTATAAAAAATAATAAAAAATTAGCTGGGCATGATGGTGTGCACCTGTAGTCCCAGCTACTCAGGAGGCTGAGGTAGGAGGATCAATTGAACCTGGGAGATGGAGGCTGCAGGGAGCCATAATCACGTCACTGCACTCCAGCCTGAGTGCAGAGCAAGACTCTGTCTCAAAAAATTAAAAAATAAATATACATAAAATAAAATTAGAAAAGTAGAGTAAGCAATATCACAGAAGGCCTAGAAGACCAGGTTAAGGAGCAGGACCTGGATCTGCTGCACATCAGAGCACCAATTAATAGTCTGCATTAAGAAACAATATATGCACAGCTGTTCTTCTCAACTAGTAGCAGTGTATAGGGAACATCTTTGGACTCTAAACTTATTGTATCAGGCATCCTGTAAATAAAAATATTTTTGGGTGTGCAATAAATACATATTTATTTATAAATTATATATGCAAGTCACTGTTCTAGTGTACTATGTACTTAATAAGGCATATATCAAAAGACAGACACTAAGAAATGAAAATATGCAAGATAAGTAAATAGAAGTGCTAATATTTTCTTCCTACATTCCAATGGACTGCTTTTGTGTGTTCCCTTGGGTCTGTATCCTCTGTTCTTAGAGACCACTAAGAAACAGGCAACCTTCCAAGGAGATGATAGGAAACTTTTCAATATGTGCCCGTGCCTTGGAGTGGAAGATCATATGTCTATTTCAGGGGCTGGGTAGCCTGTGGACAAAGACTGAATGGGGAAGAGGCAGGAAATGGGGATTTTATTAGGGAGGATTAAGTGAAGCCCCAAATTAGGCTACACACAGTGGGAGCTGTTCAGTTTCTTGTCTCCAAGATCATTTTTTGAATTCATTCTC
This sequence comes from Homo sapiens, assembly GCF_000001405.40. Classification (NCBI taxonomy): domain Eukaryota; kingdom Metazoa; phylum Chordata; class Mammalia; order Primates; family Hominidae; genus Homo; species Homo sapiens. The sequence continues at coordinate 112,047,733 of NC_000010.11, forward strand.
AGCACTGCCCATGACACAGAGGACATGAAGTAAGCTCCCATCTTCAAGGAACTTTCTTTATTTTGAAGCAGAGTTAATAAACATGCCTAGGGGTAGCAAGAGATATGCATCATTAACATGCTCAAAGAGCTAAAGGAACAGAGGCTAGAGACAGCTCACTTCCCAAGGGGAGCGGACAGGAGAGGAGTCAGAAAGGAGTATCTCCAGGAAATGATTGAGCTGGCCCTGGAAACATGGTTAGACTTCCTCCTGGTAGCGGTGGCTATTCTAGGTTAAAACCAGGGGCTGCAGCCAGGAAGTGGTGTGTAGTCCAGCATTATTACAGCACAACAGATAAGAAAGGTGGGCTCAGGCTAATTTATAGATAGCAGAGGACCCTGAGTGTCAGGCCAAGGAGTCTGGACTGGAGGAGGAGAGTGGTAGCAAGATCACTGTGTCCGTAGCCACACCAATTGCTACCATTTATGAAACTTCACTATTTATCAGACCCTGTATCGATCCCTTTACCTACATCATGCCATTGAGGCCTTCCAGAATCCCTCTGAGTTGGATACTCTCATTGTCCCCACTTTAAAGAAGAAAAAACTGAAGCAAATTGTTCAAGCAACTTATCTGAGGTTACACAACTGATTAGAGGCCAAGCTGCTGTTTGACCGCATATCAAACTCAAAGCCAAAATTCTTTACCATGTGCCCATCACAGGGTGCTGGAGCTAGCCTATCATAAGTGTAGGATGAGATGGAATGGGGAAGAGACACTGAGGGTGAGAAAGTCAGCAGATTCTACTCCAAGAGGGCTCCAAGCACCACTTACGGCTTCAGCTAGAGCAGGAGAGAACAGAATCAGGAGCCAGGCTGCAGCTGGAATTGACAGAACCCAGGACCCACTACCCTTGGAGAAAAGCAGGAAGGGATGGGAAAAGGGAGATCCTCAGGCAAGCATCAGTAGTGAGTGGGAAAGTGTAGCTGGAGGGCAAAGAGCAGGCCATCAAAGAAGGAGGGTCCAGTACACACAGGTTCATCTCTGTCATCATCTCCTCCTCCAAGGCAAGATGAATCATGGAAACAGCTCAGGCTCCAGAGTCCAAAGACTTTGTTTTGATGGCAACTTCTTCTGCCACCCAGCAGCTTATGTGACTGGAGCAGCCCTGTGTTCCTGACTCACTGTCCTCGGTAAACCAGGGTGATGACCCCACTTCCCAGGACTTTTCTGAGGATGAAATTAAAGGATGCATAAAAAGCACTAGCCCAGGGTCTGATTTTAATAAACCCTCAAGAAATATTTATTCCTTCCCCTCCTCTTCCTTAAATTAAGAAATCAGAATGTTTTAATGAAGCTGGGGTGGATACATGTTATCTTAAAACCTGAGAGCAAAATTCCTCTTAGAGAAAACACAGTCTGTTATTTAGAAAAACCTCTTGGATAGCAATTCGGGTTGTGAAAAGATGGGTTCTAGACAAGATATCGAAGATGGAGGAGATAAAAGAAAGCCAAAAAGTAAGCAGATCAGTGGAATAAAATAAATGTATTAAATATGCCAAGATGAAGGAGATAGGGGCGGAGTGTCCGGGAACAGGTAGAAATTGACAGACATAAATTGGTCCACAAAAAAAAGGAAGACAACTCTAGTAAAATGCAAGGAGGCCAGCGCCTGGGAACAGAAGACAGCAAGTGAGATGTTCCTGACAGTGGCAAAAGGCCAGGGGAGATTTATAGGCCAGGATCGTCTCACAAATGATTCAAGATGTATATCAGGAATGTGTTGAAACTCCTCCTCAGTAAAAGTCTACTCCATCAGCTGTCTTGACTTGGGGATGCTGTAGGGGAAATTTTTTAAAGGGTTAGTGGCACATTTGGGTGAACATGGGAAAATGGAAACAACAGCCAGAGAAGGTGAACATAGGCAAAGATCAAGAATTACTCAGTGACAGCAGTAAACTGGAGAAAGAGGCAGGAAAGAGAAAGTCAGCTTCCACAAGTTCATGAGAAGATTAAGATTGGAATGGGACTTCTGCCATATGTGAGACAGGGAGCACAAGCAGTTTTTTATTTCTTGTTAAATATTAAAGGAGAAGATGACCTCATAAGTCTTCAGGACTTGGATTTCTAGATAGTTAGTACTTGAAATATTTATGTAACCCAGATATTAATCGCAGCTCCTTACCCCTCAACGATTCCATTGAACTTGGCTTGAACCCCACTTCTAAGCATGAGTCCAAATAGCACCACCACCCACTGTCTGTGAATTTCCAGCCTCACTTCCTTATGGTTCCTCTATCCCTGTTCCTTTGCCAGTACCTAGCATCTCCCTTCTATTTCCTACAAAATCCCACAAAAATGTCCAGGTGAGTTAAGCACCTCTGAGTCTAATAACTTGACTGCATAGTCACCTGCCAAACGCTTTCCATCTTACAAAGGCCATTGCCCACAAATGCTCCTCTCTGCGGTCTCACCCCTGAGATGTGTGGCTGGCCCTCCCTGGGGAGCAGATTTGCAATCCTGTCTGACTTACCCAGCTCACCCACTCACCACCTCAATTCTACGGATTGCAGGCTTTTCATCTTTTCACTTACCGAGTGTCTCAAAAGTCAGTGCAGTTTTAAGCAGGCATTAAGACTTTCAGGACACTGTACAAAAGTTTATTTTTTTATTTTTCTTTTTTGAGACGGAGTCTTGATCTGTCTCCCAGGCTGGAGTGCAGTGGCGCGATCTCGGCTCACTGCAACCTCTGCCTCCCGGGTTTTACGCCATTCTCCTTCCTCAGCCTCCTGAGTAGCTGGGACTACAGGCATGCACCACCTATGCCTGGCTAATTTTTTTTGTATTTTTAGTAGAGATGGGGTTTCACTGTGTTAGCCAGGATGGTCTCGAACTCCTGACCTTGTGATCCGCCCGCCTCGGCCTCCCAAAGTGCTGGGATTACAGGTGTGAGCCACCACGCCCAGCCAAAAGTTTATTTTAAGAGTAGAGTTTTTTTGTTTTTTTTCTTTTAACTTTGTTCTTTTTTTCTTTTTCTTTTTCTTCAACTTTACACTGAGGTTGGATCAGGCCAATAGAAAGTGGTAATAAGAAGTGGAGTAATGAGTAATGAGAACAATTCCCATGGTTTCAAATTTTTTCTTCCAAGCCCATTTGAAACTTCCCAGGGACTCTCTGTCTCTCTCACATTGACTGACACACACACACACACACACACGCACACACACACGCATGCAACAACAGCCACCCAGGTCAGTCCAGCAGCCTGTTCCTGACTGAATCACGGGACAGCCAGAGCTACTAGAGGTACATCACTCTGACCAATGGCACCTGCCCGAATGCTCATTACCTCGTCAGCAGAGATGGCACCCAGAACAAAAGCAGGACAATGAAAAAAGAGGAAGCTGGGGACATTTCCATATCTGCTTCTCAAGCTCAAGGGCATCTTTATCTCCTATGTTCAGAGCTACCATGTGCTTGGCTGGCCCTTCTCCTGGCCCTCAAGGATCAATATTCAATGCCTATTGGGTCAGAAAGGCTTGAAGGGGACTCACAGTCCTCTTCCCAATTCTCCTTCCCAATTCCCCTAAGCTCATAGGATCTATAATCTGCCTCTGCCTCTTTCTGGCCATGTGGTCTTGGACAAGTCTTGTTTCCTGAGTGTGTTTTCTCATCTATAAAAGCTGGGGGTTGGTAGCAACACTAGAGGGTCATCACAGCTTTAGCAGTCTAAGCCATGACCTCAGTGTTTACAGAACTGGAAATCAAAACTTCTTTGCCTCCAGGTGGGAGGATGCACCTCTCTTGTGATTACAACTACTTATTTTTAAGAAAGCTCTCACATAAAGGAAGCATTAAATTCCTTTTTTAGCAAACATTTACAGTGTATGTGCATGCAAGTGTGTGCAGGTACACGTGTGCATGCACACATACATTTTTAGGACTCAGATATATATATATATATATCTGTTTTAGATAAACATATATATACACATATAAAATATATATGTTTATATAAATATATAAAAACATATATAGATACATTTGTCACCCAGGCTGGAGCGCAGTGGCATAATCTTGGCTTACTGCAGCCTCAACCTCCTGGGGGGGTCAAGTGATCTTCCCACCTCAGCCTCTTGCAATAGCTAGGTCTACAGGTATGTGACATCACACCCAGCTAATTTTTAAATAGTTTGTAGAGACAGTATTCTCACTGTGTTACCCAGGCTAGTCTTGAACAACTTGGCTCAAGTGATCCTCCCATCTCAGCCTTCCAAAATGTTGGGATTATAGATGTGAGCCACTGTGCCCAGCCAGTTTTATATTTAAAATATATACACTTTGAAAGTTCTTAAGGTTTTGTCTTCTTCATTTTTATGTGAAATTTCTCAACCTCCTCCATAGCCGACATTTACATTGCACTTTTCACTGGCCAGGCAGGTCCTGTCTAAAGTGCTTTCCGTGTTAAGTCAGTAATGCTCACAACAGCCCTATAGGGAAGGCATCTTCCAAAATGCACTCTGACGGAAAGTTCGATAGACAACCATGATGGACAGAGATGCCCTGAGGCTGTTTTGTCTCCAATGTCTCCATTTTGTACTTCCCCTCTGGGAAAGGGAGGTAGGGAGGGGAGCCAGGGCTCTGCATTCTTGCAGCCCGCTGTCTCCCACACTGCCACCTGCATCTGCCCTGGGGCTGTCTCCTCAAAGTAGCAGCAGGCTGTCACATCCTCTTCCCATGTAATTGCAGAAGTAGCTTCCTCTGACTCAATTTGTCCTCTGGGTACAAATAATTCGGTTACAAAGGTTGAGACCAGGGCTCAGGTGATTGCAAACAGAAAACTGAGCCTCATGGGCCATACTAGAAAAAACACGCAGAGTTCACTGCTGAGATCAGATGCAGAGGCTGGAAGAGAATAAGCAATAAAAGTGCCGTTTAAAGTCTTCATTTACTTCCCTAACAATGGCTCTTTCCACTCCTTTTCGTTATAAGCTTATTAAATATTTTATCTGTTTCCACTGCCTTGAATCCTTTTCATCTCGTCTATTCCATCTTCCAAACTTTCTACAGGAAAGAAATGTGTCTTTGTTGTTTTTCTTAGAATGAATAAATCCTTCCCATCTAGGTGACTCTTTCTCATTGCTGCTAGAACCATTGTTTAAGTGCCTAGGTCTTTGTGACCAGCATTAGGAGAATTCTAGAGCCAAGACTGCTGTCATCTGCAGCCTTCTGGCACTTGCAGGTAGAATTAAATGTGTGTGTGTGTGCACTTGTGCACATGGTTGTATCAATTTCTTAACACAATTACACTTATTACAGAGAGCAGAAAACACTTTCTGCGGGAGGCTTTGTTCAAACTCCTGTCCCATTTTCTTTTTTTTTTTTTTTCGAGACGGAGTCTCGCTCTGTCACCCAGGCTGGAGGGCAGCGGTGCAATCTCAGCTCACTGCAAGCTCCGCCTCCCGGGTTCACGCCACTCTCCTGCCTCAGCCTCCTGAGTAGCTGGGACTACAGGCGCCCACCACCACACCTGGCTAATTTTTTGTATTTTTAGTAGAGATGGGGTTTCACCGTGTTAGCCAGGATGGTCTCAATCTCCTGACCTCATGTTCCGCCCACCTTGGCCTCCCAAAGTGCTGGGATTACAGGTGTGAGCCACCGTGCCCGGCCACTCCTGTCCCATTTTCTTAAGAAGACTTCTCTCTGTTGTACAAACACCACTATACCAATTATTTTATGGCATATGTTTATTTGCATGTCTGTCTCCCCTCTAGCTAGAGTTTTTAGTACCAGGGACAATTTCCAAGATACATCTTTGAATTCCTAGGCCCTAGCATAGTTCTTGGCACCTAGAAGGTACTCAGTAATTGCCTTTTGCATGAATGAATGAATGAACAAATGAACAAATGAATGTCTATTCTTCACATAATCCTGGGAAGTCATATCCACTTCAGTAAAACTGAACAGATTCTACTCTTTCAGCTGACACTAATGTGCCCAATCCCTGGTTGCCCAGATATAGGGAGCTTTATTTTTCATCTCAGAACATGGTTTTTGTGCAGTGTCTTTATTTTTCATCTTGGTTGTCAGTGAGTTTGTTTTTAACATAGTGCTTATTCTGCTGATGGATGAAGTTATCAGCTGCCTGCATACAGTTTTAGAGATGGCACAAAGCTATGCTTTTGCCAAAATATGCCCCACTTCCCACTGTGAGCCTGCCTGGATACCATAATACCTCTCAACCAAGCTGGGAATGACATCATAAGAATTGCCACCATAAGAGTTCCAGAGGGCCATTGCTGTAGTATTTGGATGGTAAGGTCAGAGGTCATCTGCATGAAAGAGTCACCCCTGCTAAGCATAGATTAAATGGACAGATTGGTTTGTAGACCCTTGGTAAACAGAGAATCACTGTGGACAAAAGGTGAGCCCAAATAGCCTTGTGTAGGGAGTAACAGCCACAGGGACAGGGCCCCTATCTTGGAGGTGACCCTGACCCCGGAGCATTTGGTCAGGTCATGGGATGCCAAGCATGCCTTGCAAAGCAGTCTTCTGTGCCTAAGGCTCCTTCCTTGCAGAAACAGAGTTTTGCCATGTCCTTATTCCTCACTGCTCATAACCTCCACCTGAAACAATCTTTGCTGAATTGATTTTAAAGACATCAAAGTCTCGTTGTTCCTTCTCCCATTTGTAATGAATGAGGTTTCTTTATTCTGTGTGTTATCGAGGAAAGCTTCTGGCTTTGTGTCCCCAAGGTGAGGCAAATCTCACCAAAACAATATTCAGTGAAGGTCTGGTCCAAGTTCATTAGAAGTAGAATGTGAGGTTGCCAAAAGCAAGCCCTCTTGTTTACTCTCAGTGTTCTGTCTTTTATCCCTTTCCCATCCCCCTTTTTTCATTTCCACATTTGCTCAGATTTTTCATATTTGTTTCCCAGGTTTCCTTTATTTGCCTCTAGAGTTTGAAATCAAATCTGCCTTCTGCACAAGAAGCACGCAGCTCCCTCGCCCTCTGATGCATGCAGCAAATCGCATTACGATCACTGTAAAAAGGGTCTGCAGGCTTCTCGGAATAGTGCACAGAATCTTCCTGTGTTAGAAAAAAATATTTCAATTGAAAGCAAGTGCTGCACCTAAAGATCAAAATGATTTCACATCACAAAAAGCAGCCTTCCTCTCTTCAGACACAAGTTACAGATTATTAGCTGTTCCCTTGTAAAATGCCCAACTCAGGGCCTTCCTCTGCATTCAAGGGCAGCCTCATATGGGCCCAGTTCCTTCATGTTTTGATCCTATTTCCCCTCATGAGGATACCCTCCACATTTAGCAAGGCCCCTTCACAACAGATAGACATGTTGTATTCACTGCACCAGGCACACGAGACACACCCTATATTTGTAATGAATTGACACACTTATTTCTCAAAATGCCCTATAAGGTCAATGTCATTCACATTTTACAGATGAGGAAACTAAGGCATTCATAGCCCCCTTCCCCTAAAGTCTTGCAGATAGCTAGGGGCAGGACCAGTTCTTAAGAGCAAACTTTGCAACCCCAGCATCAGTATTTGTTCTTTCCACGGCTCCGTACCTGAGGGTTGATATCCCGGATTTTCCCTAAGATAATGACTGTTTCCTTTCGTTGGGATACTATCTCCTTAGCAGCAGATAACACAAACAGAAAATAAGATGTCAGGTCCGTTTTGACACAGGAACACCGAACCTCCAAGCCTCCATCAGGTGCCTACAAAGGGCCAGGTATTGTTCCAGGCCCTGGGATTCAGCAGAGAGAAAGACAAATTCTCTCCCACAATGGAGCTTCCGTTCTAGGAAGCAAGTAAGGAATCAACCTCTTTTTTTTATGGATCTAGTAGATGATAAGGTTTCTAATGTTAGGACTAAAGAGCATACCTATAATAACTGTATTTATTTAATATATACTGACTTACAAAGCAATTTCCACAGTGCTCTGTGCTGTTATAAGCACTTCACAGATAAAGAAGTCATTGAATTATTCTACCAGACAGATGCTGTGACCTTCATCTTAAAAATGAGAAAACTGAGGGATAGACAGATGAAGTAACTTTGTTCAAATGGCACAGCTCTAAGGGGCAGGGCCAGGTGTCCAATACAGGCAGTCTGGTTCTAGAAGCCATTCTCTAACCACTTTGCCATGTTGCCTGCAGAAACTTGAGGTCAACAAGAGAGCGTTCTGCACAGCATGGCCTCAGAGTGGCATCACTGCCAATCATCATGGTTACTGCCATCAGAGTTTGACTGTCTAGGGCACTCTGTGTCATCTGATGTGATGGGATGCTGCAGCCATGAGTGACATTGCACTGGCTGACAGAGTTGCCCATACCTGTGGGCAACAGTGCCTCTTACTTGCTCAGCGTCAGGTGCTACACCAAAAACTCTCAATGGAAACTCCAATTTAATACTGACATCCCTACCCTGTGAAGTAGACCAGTGTTATCCTTATTTAAAAGATGGGGAAACCTCGACTTAGGAAGCTGGAGCAAAGACTTCCAGATGCCGTCTCATGCCCCCACCCAACACACACACCCAGATATATTTCCTTTCTTCTTCTCTAGAAATGTTGCAAGGGATGCTTTGCAACATTCATAACCACGTAAATTCTAGCTGATGGCATGACCGACAGTGTGACTTCCTTTTCCTCATCTTTTCCTCTACCTGTGGCTGAAATGCAAACATGGTGGCCCATGACTTTGAACATGCAGATGAAGTCAGGGTTGACAGAAGAACAAGATGAAAGGAGGCTGTTCTCTCATGCTGTCAAGCCTCCATACCAGCCCTGGACTCCTCATCTAGACTTTTATTCAAGGGATAATTGTAACATCCACCTTGTATGAGCCACTGTATTTGGGAACTCTGGTCCCAGCAGTCTAGCCTGTGTTTCCACAGCTGTGCCCAAGGTCACTCAGCTGTGAGCAGCAGAGCTAGGATTTAGACCCAGGCCATCTCATATTTGACTTAGAAACCTCTCTGTCCCTTATAGTTACATCACACTGGACAGTCAGTTGCAATGACAGAGTCACGGTCACAGTCACACATGAGTCACATCTTTGAGGCCAGAAGCACACTAATTGCATGTTGTATCCTTCCTTTCTAGCTCAATTATGCTTCCACCTTCCAGCCTTGCCTGTCTTGTGTCCTGCTTGTACTATCATGCTATGCCAGGAAAGGAGCAGTCCTCTAAACCAAGCTGCATCTAGGTAAAGTCACTAGCATCTGTGAAGACGTGGAAGCCTCTAGAAGGCTTGATTTCATACATTACCACCACAACAAAACCTTTCATCAAGAACCTGAAATGTCACAAACTTTTGATGAGACATTTTACACACATCTTTATGGAATTTGCAGGATTTGATTTTGAGATTGAAAATTACTTCTCAGTTACATGAAAGCAATACAAAATACAAATACAATCATGTGCCACATAAGGACATTTCAGTCAACGACAGATTACATATACATTCGTGGTCCCATAAGATTACAATGGAGCTGAAATATTCCTACACCTAATGACATCAGAGATCTCATGATGTCATAGCAAAATTTGTTAATGAATTTAGTGTAACCTAAGTGTACAGTGTTTATCAAGTCCACAGAAGTGTACAGTAATGTCCTAGGCCTTCACACTCACCACTCACTCATTGATTCACCCAGAGCAACTTCCAATCCTGCAAGCTCCTTTCAAGATAAGTGCCAAATAGGTGTACTATTTGTGTTGGTTTTTCCTTTTTTACCTTTTACACTGTATTTTTACTGTACCCTTTTGATGTTTAGATATGTTAGATACCCAAATGCTTACTATTGTGTTACAATTGCCTACAGTATTCAGTATAGTAACATTGTATGTTGTGTAGCCTAGGAGCAATTAGACCATATAGCCCACGTGTGTAGTAGGCTACCCCAACTAGGTTTATGTAAGTACACTCCATGGTGTTCCCATAATGATGAAATCACCTAACCATGCATTTCTCAGAAGGTATCCTCATTGATAAGTGATGCATGACTGTAACAAAATGCATATAGCCTCTGCAAAATATGATTCAAATATTAACTTAAAAATTGAAAGAGAACAGGCTGGGTGCAGTGGCTCATGCCTGTAATCCCAGCACTATGGGAGGCCGAGGCGGGTGGATCACGAGGTCAGGAGATCAAGACCGTCCTGGCTAATGCAGTGAAACCCTGTCTCTACTAAAAATACGAAAAATTAGCCAAGCATGGTGGCAGGTGCCTGTAATCCCAGCTACTCGGGAGGCTGAGGCAGGAGAATGGTGTGAACCCAGGAGGCGGAGCCTGCAGTGAGCCGAGATTGTGCCACTGCACTCCAGCCTGGGCGACAGAGTGAGACTCCATCTCAAAAAAAAAAATTGAAAGAGAACGAAGACTAATAAATGAATGAAATGCTTGTGATATGACATGAAGGGAAAAAAGGGACACTGTAGCAATGCCATGGATAATCCAATAGAACTAAATTCATATGGAGAGTGATAATGTAGTTTCAGCCAAACATTGTCCAACATATTATATACAAACTAAAAAAAATTCAAATTAAGACTAATTCTTTAATGTGTAAATGTGATGGGGTTTATAGTTGTCCAGGAGCTATTAAAGGGTTTGTACAAACGATTATGTTTTCATATATTTAAGTAACTTTATAATTAAAATAATTAAGTCAGACTCAGAAGTCACCAAGTTTGAGAAGCCTAATATTTCAGGTAAGTACAGCAACTATGAACAACTCTCAGGAAAGGTTTAAGCCCTTTCTCACTCTTGCCTCACAATTGTCTATATCATATGTCCTTACCTTGGCCTTGGAACTCAATATCCTACCCTCTAAGATATTAGTTAGATATACATCTGCCTCATTGTTAAATGGAAATGTTAAAGTCACTGCTATTGGACTATTCTCCCAGATTTTCTCATTCCAAGTAATTTGCCATAGAATCAACATCTTGTATCTTTTTCAGTTAGGTATAAAATTGTTTCCTCTGACTATTAACATGAGGGACGTAAAAGAAATTAACCGATGACTCTAAAACATCAATTTACCACATTAAAACAATCTTCCTACCAGAAAGCAAGTCACTGCCATTAGTTTGGGACTCATTTTTGCTGGCATTCAATTACTCGGCTCCAATGGATTAGGCCAATTAAACTGATTCAAGGTCACAATCCTACCGATCCTACAAATGTAAGGTAATCAAATTTAAGTCACAAATCTGTTTTCCTGGCCTGGCATGAATAAGAAGTAAGGTGAGCAGGCACTAAAAATGATACAGAAGTGGCTAGAATCTCAGAGGAATTTGCAAGAGACCCCTTGGGAAAATTTCTCCCCTAAGTGTACATAAGGCAATCCCTCAAGCTATGCCAATGACAGTGAAAACTTCCTAGATTTTCTTCACCTAACAGAAACGGCCACCCTTCCCCTCCCTTTCCCCAACCCCCTAAACCTAGCATCTCTTCACCAGTCCCAACAGGATTCTATGCAGTTCACATTTACCATCCTCCCCAAACCCCTATTTTTCTTATCCTCCACTGAGCTGTTCATCCCATGCAGGATGGACTTGGTGTGATCCACCACTGTATACCAGCACAGAAGGTGGTCATTAAATGTTGGCTGAGTTAAAAATGCTCATTTAACTTTCTAAGACCCACTGCCGAAAGCGCCATCTCCTGAAAGAATAGAGAACTGTCTCCACGTCTGTCTGCGTGAGACCAAGGAAGGCAGAATCCCTCCTGCCCAATGTATAGGTTGGACTTTCCATGAGAGACTGCTTTAATGACGTTTAATTTGATAGCGTTATGTTTCAACTATATTAGGCACTAGATACTTTTTGTGGGCTGTATCTAGAACATAACCTCCCTTTACAACATTCATTCTATGGAGAAATATGTTCAGAAAGATGATCGGGTATATATGTTAGTTTCCTGGGGCTGCCATAACAAAATGCCACAAACTGGGTAGCTTAGAAAAACAGAAACTTATTCACTCACCATTCTGGAGGCCAAAATTCTGAAACTGAGGTGTCAGCATGGCCACACTCCATCGAAGGTGCTAGAAGAGAATCTTTTCTTGCCTTTTCCAACTTTTGATGGGTCCAGGCATTCCTTGGCTTGTGGAAGCTTAATGCCAACCTCTGCCTCCGTCCTCACATGATCTTCTTCCCTCTGTGTCCAAGTCTCTTATGAAGATAAGAGTCACTGAATCTAGAGCCTGTCCTCATCCAGTATGACCTCATCTTGATTTGATTATGCCTGCAAAAACCCTTTTCCAAATAGAGTCACATTCACAAGTACAGGAGTTTAGGACTTGAACATATTTGGGGGATGGGGAGGACACAGATGAATCCACTATAATATAATAGTATCAAAATCCTATCTTAGCTACAATGTGTATTAAATTAATGATAGCCTGGGAACCTAATCAGTGCTCATAACACTGAAATTTGGAACACCACATTTTAACATTAATATAAGATTACTGACTTTTAAAATACAACATGTCCAGGCCAGGTGTGGTGGCTCACACCTGTAATCCCAACACTTTGGGAGGCTGAGGCGGCAGATCACTTGAGGCCAGGAGGAGTTTGAGACCAGCCTGGCCAACATGCTGAAACTCTGTCTCTACTGAAAATACAAAAAATGAGCCAGGCATGGTGGTGGGCACCTGTAGTCCCAGCTACTTGGGAGGCTGAGGCAGGAGAATCATTCAAACCTAGGAGGCAGAGGTTGCAGCGAGCCAAGATCACACCATTGCACACCTGCCTGGGTGACACAGTAAGATACCATCTTGAAAATAAATAAATGAATAAACAATAAAATACAACATGTCTACATTCATCTACATATAGAGAAAAAATACGACATGTCAAATAATTAAGGATACATAGGAGAATATTCAACAGAACATAATTTCTAATATTAAAAAATTAGGAAAAACACAAATACCCAGCAATATAGGGCTAGTTATGTTATAGTTATGTAAGAAAATACTATGCAACCAAGAAAATTATGGGGCAAAATGTATTTGACATGAAAATATAGTCATGACTTACTGCCATAAAAACCATACATATATACATATATAACTATATAGAGATTTTAAAACATACATAGATAAAAGTAAATCTATAGCTATATAATCTCTATATAGCTATAAATATGTGTGTCTATGTGTGTGTATACATATGTATTTATGGCCTTTACTACATTTCAAGTACAGACCAAACACAATTTGCAAGCAGATTTCAATATATTTTCTGTAAAGTTTTATATACGGAATAGTTTGTTGTTGTAAAACCAATACATGTTCATTTCAAAGACATAAGCAAAAACATACAAGCAAAATATTAAAATTTTGAATATCCATGTTTTTAACTACCCAGAGCAAACAGCTGTAAGCACTATAGCATATATATGCACGGAAAATGAAAAAATGGCCTTGAAAAAGATACCCCAAACTAGGACACACCAGTTTATCTACTGGCACAGAAAGCCACTGAATTAGCCATAGAGTCACCCACAGAGTCAATTGTCCTCAAGTACCTAGGAGTGGGGAACATTAAGTAATTTAGCTGAAAGTATGATGTGTGTATTGAAAGAAATGTAGGTTTATAATAAGATATGGAACTCATTCTTAAGGGAATAAACTCATTCAATAAGAATAAAAAGTTTAAGAATCACACTCTAATATCTTAATGTGGGTAGAAGAATTATGAGTATCTTATATTTTCTTCTTTCGGCTTCTTTGTGTTTGCTGATTTTTTTTTTTTTATGAAATGAGTCAGTACTGCACTTACAGAGAAAATACCAAAATAGTAACTCTACCAAAAACATAAAATGTATTACTTTTCCCCGCCACTACCACCTGTTTACAGATTGAGACTAGCTCATGAGAAGAACAGTTATCAGCCAAGGATTCGTGGTCAACCTAAACCTCATCCTTACTCGGAAAAGCTGTCCCCAGGCAGGATTTCTGGTACCTATGAGTCTCTCTACACTAGGGATCTGGAAGGGCTGGGATGGCCTCTGAGGCTCACTCATCTGCCTAAATACCACCAGCTTTGGCCTCTAGAATCCCATCAGACTGTGGCAGAAAATACAATAAAAATGGGACTGTTCACCACATGTAACATAACTGTAACTGTATTTTGGCTCAGAGCAATTGGTCAAGCCCCTAAGAAGGGAACATTTTATTGAATGTGTGCTGTATGCTCCATTACTTTCTATTTAATTTTCTCAACAACCCTAGGTGCACTGATCCCATTGTTCAGATGGGAAAATTGAAGCTCAAAGAGGTTAGGAAACGTGCTCATAGTCACACAGTTAAGATGTGACAGGGACAAGATTCACAAGAAGTTATGTCTGACTTCAGAGCTGTAGCCCCTCTGCTGCATCTAGAGACTTGTTCCAAAAATGAGTATTTCTCCACCTGCCTCTTCTTGCTCATACGTTCTCTCCCTCTTTCCTATTCATTCTAAAAAGCAGCTTGCTCTTGCCTTTTTCCTAAGATGTTCTTTGCTATCATCTTTTAGTCAAGTGTAGTTGTTAGCAAAGACTTCCTACATCAATAAAGTGATGAGGCAACTTCTAACCCTTGGCTTTCTGATTTCCAGTGAATGCTCCTTTTCTATTTAAGACAGGACAGGAGGGGAGGAGCCAAGATGGCCAAATAGGAACAGCTCCCGTCTACAGCTCTCAGCGTGAGCGACGCAGAAGACGGGTGATTTCTGCATTTCCATCTGAGGTACCGGGTTCGTCTCATTAGGGAGTGCCAGACAGTGGGCGCAGGTCAGTGGGTGCGCGCACCGTGCGCGAGCCGAAGCAGAGCAAGGCATTGCCTCACTTGGGAAGCGCAAGGGGTCAGGGAGTTCCCTTTCTGAGTCAAAGAAAGGGGTGACGGACGGCACCTGGAAAATCGGGTCACTCCCACCTGAATACTGCGCTTTTCGGACGGGCTTAAAAAACGGCGCACCACAAGATTATATCCCGCACCTGGCTCGGAGGGTCCTACGCCCACGGAGTCTCGCTGATTGCTAGCACAGCAGTCTGAGATCAAACTGCTAGGCGGCAGCGAGGCTGGGGGAGGGGCGCCCGCCATTGCCCAGGCTTGATTAGGTAAAGAAAGCAGCCGGGAAGCTTGAACTGGGTAGAGCCCACCACAGCTCAAGGAGGCCTGCCTGCCTCTGTAGGCTCCACCTCTGGGGGCAGGGCACAGACAAACAAAAAGACAGCTGTAACCTCTGCAGACTTAAATGTCCCTGTCTGACAGCTTTGAAGAGAGCTGTGGTTCTCCCAGCACGCAGCTGGAGATCTGAGAACGGGCAGACTGCCTCCTCAAGTGGGTCCCTGACCCCTGATCCCAGAAAAGCCTAACTGGGAGGCACCCCCCAGCAGGGGCACACTGACACCTCACACGGCAGGGTATTCCAACAGACCTGCAGCTGAGGGTCCTCTCTGTTAGAAGGAAAACTAACAAACAGAAAGGACATCCACACCAAGAACCCATCTGCACATCACCATCATCAAAGACCAAAAGTAGATAAAACCACAAAGACGGGGAAAAAACAGAAAAGAAAAACTGGAAACTCTAAAAAGCAGAGCACCTCTCCTCCTCCAAAGGAACGCAGTTCCTCACCAGCAACGGAACAAAGCTGGATGGAGAATGACTTTGACGAGCTGAGAGAAGAAGACTTCAGACGATCAAATTACTCTGAGCTACGGGAGGACATTCAAACCAAAGGCAAAGAAGTTGAAAACTTTGAAAAAAATTTAGAAGAATGTATAACTAGAATAACCAACACAGAGAAGTGCTTAAAGGAGCTGATGGAGCTGAAAACCAAGGCTCGAGAACTACGTGAAGAATGCAGAAGCCTCAGGAGCTGATGCGATCAACTGGAAGAAAGGGTATCAGCGATGGAAGATGAAATGAATGAAATGAAGCGAGAAGGGAAGTTTAGAGAAAAAAGAATAAAAAGAAATGAGCAAAGCCTCCAAGAAATATGGGACTATGTGAAAAGACCAAATCTACGTCTGATTGGTGTACCTGAAAGTGATGGGGAGAATGGAACCAAGTTGGAAAACACTCTGCAGGATATTATCCAGGAGAACTTCCCCAATCTAGCAAGGCAGGCCAATGTTCAGATTCAGGAAATACAGAGAACGCCACAAAGATACTCCTCAAGAAGAGCAACTCCAAGACACATAATTGTCAGATTCACCAAAGTTGAAATGAAGGAAAAAATGTTAAGGGCAGCCAGAGAGAAAGGTCGGGTTACCCTCAAAGGGAAGCCCATCAGACTAACAACGGATCTCTCTGCAGAAACTCTACAAGCCAGAAGAGACTGGGGGCCAATATTCAACATTCTTAAAAGAATTTTCAACCCAGAATGGCATATCCAGCCAAACTAAGCTTCATAAGTGAAGGAGAAATAAAATACTTTACAGACAAGCAAATGCTGAGAGATTTTGTCACCACCAGGCCTGCCTTACAAGAGCTCCTGAAGGAAGCACTAAACATGGAAAGGAACAACTGGTACCAGCCGCTGCAAAATCATGCCAAAATGTAAAGACCATCGAGACTAGGAAGAAACTGCATCAACTAACAAGCAAAATAACCAGCTAACATCATAATGACAGGATCAAATTCACATATAACAATATTATCTTTAAATGTAAATGGACTAAATGCTCCAATTAAAAGACACAGACTGGCAAATTGGATAAAGAGTCAAGACCCATCAGTGTGCTGTATTCAGGAAACCCATCTCATGTGCAGAGACACACATAGGCTCAAAATAAAAGGATGGAGGAAGATCTACCAAGCAAATGGAAAACCAAAAAAGGCAGGGGTTGCAATCCTAGTCTCTGATAAAACAGACTTTAAACCAACAAAGATCAAAAGAGACAAAGAAGGCCATTACTTAATGGTAAAGGGATCAATTCAACAAGAAGAGCTAACTATCCTAAATATGTATGCACCCAATACAGGAGCACCAAGATTCATAAAGCAAGTCCTTAGTGACCTACAAAGAGACTTAGACTCCCACACATTAATAATGGGAGACTTTAACACCCCACTGTCAACATTAGACAGATCAATGAGACAGAAAGTCAACAAGGATACCCAGGAATTTAACTCAGCTCTGCACCAAGCAGACCTAATAGACATCTACAGAACTCTCCACCCCAAATCAACAGAATATACATTTTTTTCAGCACCACACCACACATATTCCAAAATTGACCACATACTGGGAAGTAAAGCTCTCCTCAGCAAATGTAAAAGAACAGAAATTATAACAAACTATCTCTCAGACCACAGTGCAATCAAACTAGAACTCAGGATTAAGAATCTCACTCAAAACCACTCGACTACATGGAAACTGAACAACCTGCTCCTGAATGACTACTGGGTACATAACGAAATGAAGGCAGAAATAAAGATGTTCTTTGAAACCAATGAGAACAAAGACACAACATACCAGAATCTCTGGGACACATTCAAAGCAGTGTGTAGAGGGAAATTTATAGCACTAAATGCCCACACGAGAAAGCAGGAAAGATCCAAAATTGACACCCTAACATCACAATTAAAAGAACTAGAAAAGGAAGAGCAAACACATTCAAAAGCTAGCAGAAGGCAAGAAATAACTAAAATCAGAGCAGAACTGAAGGAAATAGAGAAACAAAAAACCTTTCAAAAAATTAATGAATCCAGGAGCTGGTTTTTTGAAAGGATCAACAAAATTGATAGTCCGCTAGCAAGACTAATAAAGAAAAAAAGAGAGAAAAATCAAATAGACACAATAAAAAATGATAAAGGGGATATAACTACCAATCCCACAGAAATACAAACTTCCATCAGAGAATACTACAAACACCTCTACGCAAATAAACTAGAAAATCTAGAAGAAATAGATAAATTCCTGGACACATACACTCTCCCAAGACTAAACCAGGAAGAAGTTGAATCTCTGAACAGACCAATAACAGTAGCTGAAATTTTGGCAATAATCAATAGCTTACCAACCAAAAAGAGTCCAGGACCAGATGGATTCACAGCTGAATTCTACCAGAGGTACAAGGAGGAACTGGTACCATTCCTTCTGAAACTATTCCAATCAATAGAAAAAGAGGGAATCCTCCCTAACTCTTTTTATGAGGCCAGCATCATTCTGATACCAAAGCCAGTTAGAGATACAACAAAAAAAGAGAATTTTAGACCAATATCCTTGATGAACATTGATGCAAAAATCCTCAATAAAATACTGGCAAACTGAATCCAGCAGCACATCAAAAAGCTTATCCACCATGATCAAGTGGGCTTCATCCCTAGGATGCAAGGCTGGTTCAATATACGCAAATCAATAAATGTAATCCAGCATATAAACAGAGCCAAAGACAAAAACCACATGATTATCTCAATAGATGCAGAAAAAGCCTTTGACAAAATTCAACAACCCTCATGCTAAAAACTCTCAATAAATTAGGCATTGATGGGATGTATTTCAAAATAATAAGAGCTATCTATGACAAACCCACAGCCAATATCATACCAAATGGGCAAAAACTGGAAGCATTCCCTTTGAAAACTGGCACAAGACAGGGATGCCCTCTCTCACCACTCCTATTCAACATAGTGTTGGAAGTTCTGGCCAGGGCAATTAGGCAGGAGAAGGAAATACAGGGTATTCAATTAGGAAAAGAGGAAGTCAAATTGTCCCTGTTTGCAGACGACATGATTGTATATCTAGAAAACCCCATTGTCTCAGCCCAAAATCTCCTTAAGCTGATAAGCAACTTCAGCAAAGTCTCAGGATACAAAATCAATGTACAAAAATCACAAGCATTCTTACACACCAACAACAGACAAACAGAGAGCCAAATCATGAGTGAACTCCCATTCACAATTGCTTCAAAGAGAATAAAATACCTAGGAATCCAACTTACAAGGGATGTGAAGGACCTCTTCAAGGAGAACTACAAACCACTGCTCAAGGAAATAAAAGAGGATACAAACAAATGGAAGAACATTCCATGCTCATGGGTAGGAAGAATCAATATCGTGAAAATGGCCATACTGCCCAAGGTAATTTACAGATTCAATGCCATCCCCATCAAGCTACCAATGACTTTCTTCACAGAATTGGAAAAAACTACTTTAAAGTTCATATGGAACCAAAAAAGAGCCCGCATCGCCAAGTCAATCCTAAGCCAAAAGAACAAAGCTGGAGGCATCACACTACCTGACTTCAAACTATACTACAAGGCTACAGTAACCAAAACAGCATGGTACTGGTACCAAAACAGAGATATAGATCAATGGAACAGAACAGAGCCCTCAGAAATAACGCCGCATATCTACAACTATCTGATCTTTGACAAACCTGAGAAAAACAAGCAATGGGGAAAGGATTCCCTATTTAATAAATGGTGCTGGGAAAACTGGCTAGCCATATGTAGAAAGCTGAAACTGGATCCCTTCCTTACACCTTATACAAAAATCAATTCAAGATGGATTAAAGACTTAAACGTTAGACCTAAAACCATAAAAACCCTAGAAGAAAACCTAGGCATTACCATTCAGGACATAGGCATGGGCAAGGACTTCATGTCTAAAACACAAAAAGCAATGGCAACAAAAGCCAAAATTGACAAATGGGATCTAATTAAACTAAAGAGCTTCTGCACAGCAAAAGAAACTACCATCAGAGTGAACAGGCAACCTACAAAATGGGAGAAAATTTTCGCAACCTACTCATCTGACAAAGGGCTAATATCCAGAATCTACAATGAACTCAAACAAATTTACAAGAAAAAAACAAACAACCCCATCAAAAAGTGGGCAAAGGACATGAACAGACACTTCTCAAAAGCAGACATTTATGCAGCCAAAAAACACATGAAAAAATGCTCATCATCACTGGCCATCAGAGAAATGCAAATCAAAACCACAATGAGATACCATCTCACACCAGTTAGAATGGCAATCATTATAAAGTCAGGAAACAACAGGTGCTGGAGAGGACGTGGAAAAATAGGAACAATTTTACACTGTTGGTGGGACTGTAAACTAGTTCAACCATTGTGGAAGTCAGTGTGGCGATTCCTCAGGGATCTAGAACTGGAAATACCATTTGACCCAGCCATCCCATTACTGGGTATATACCCAAAGGACTATAAATCATGCTGCTATAAAGACACATGCACATGTATGTTTATTGCGGCATTATTCACAATAGCAAAGACTTGGAACCAAGCCAAATGTCCAACAATGATAGACTGGATTAAGAAAATGTGGCACATATACACCATGGAATACTATGCAGCCATAAAAAATGATGAGTTCATGTCCTTTGTAGGGACATGGATGAAATTGGAAATCATCATTCCCAGTAAACTATCGCAAGAACAAAAAACCAAACACCGCATATTCTCACTCATAGGTGGGAATTGAACAATGAGATCTCATGGACACAGGAAGGGGAATATCACACTCTGGGGACTGCTGTGGGGTGGGGGGAGGGGGGAGGGATAGCATTGGGAGATATACCTAATGTTAGATGACAATTTATTGGGTGCAGCGCACCAGCATGGCACATGTATACATATGTAACTAACCTGCACAATGTGCACATGTACCCTAAAACTTAAAGTATAATAAAAAAATAAATTTAAAAAATAAAAATAAATAAATAAATAAATAAATAAAAGACAGGACAAAAATAACAGACACTAATCTGCAAGGCATAGCCTTAAGGCCTCAGTAGTTCAGCCCAGGTAATCATTTCCCACCTTGGAGGCTTTTCTGCACAACAATGACAAATTAACTTGCTTTTTAATTTTCAAATCCCTTTTTATTTCATTTCATTATTTTTCCCTTGCCTCCTTCTGTTTCCAGAACGGGGTTCCCACCCATTTAATCACTTTTAAGAAATGTTCATTTTTTTAAATCTGCCCCATAACTGTCCACTGAAGATAGCAACCAATAATTGCACTCTTTAGTCACATGAAATTTGCTGTTTAAAATAAGCTTCTAATCGGACAGGGTCCTCAAAACATTATGATTAATCTACAGACGATGTAATAGCCAAGACAGCAATGCTCACATTTCTAAATGCTGTTTCATTAATAGGATTCATATCTTGAGTCTGTGATATTCTCAGCTCTACTTTACAGGCTGAACAAATAAAATTCTAAATCATATTAAGGAAAGGAGCAGCTTTGAAAATTAGAGTCTGTTGGAAATAGGAGACTCTCTTCAGGCAGCCCCAAGACCCTGCTACCTGACATTTCACTTCCAAATGCGCTTCAGAAGGTACCAGTTTGTGATACGAGGAAAAGCCCACAGGATGTTTATTTTCTCTTACGGAAAAAAAAAAAATGAAACAAACCTCTTCTTTCTAACATGATGCGGTATGGGAATAACAGAAAAATCAATAACAAGCCTGAAAAATATATCTTGTTTAAACAGAAAGCAAGATTTTTGTTCCAGGTATTTCTTAAAAAATATATGTGTGTGTGTGTGTATATATATATTCAGAGATAAAAGAACAAACTTCAAAGGAGGAGAGTTGGAAAAGGAGGGATGGCCAGAAATCAGCCGATATTTCAAAGGTAGAGGAAAGGAATGCGAGAGTCAGGGCAAAGTGCCCATACTGATACAAGCCTCACCTCCAGAAATCACCTGTGGTACTCACATTGTCCCTTCCAGATATGCTAGGGGGCTAACAACTGCATGGGTGGTCCCGTATGCCTCTCTCTGGGAGTGTACTAGAGCCAAGATGTGCTGCAGCCACCTCACACTGGCTCCCAGGAGCCTATTGTTCAATTTCTGGAATTTTTGGAAATTGGCTGATATTCCATTGGTGGCTTGAAATCAGCCATGGTGGGAGTATCCACACTACAGAAAGTAGAAAATGCAACAAATCCAGAGTTCCCCTCCCCGCCGCCCCCAACCCCCGACAGAGCTGGTTGTTAAACTTTCACCAGCACACCACTGCTTCTTTCTCAGTTTTCCCGTGGGCTTCCTTTGGGAGGTGTCTAGGCTTGCAGAACATTGCCAAAGGACATTTACAAAAAAGAAAGAAGAAAAGCAGCTGCGTCTTCCAGAAACTTCCCACTAATGGAGATACAGGACTGTATCAACAAAGAGGGCCATATCTAAATGCTTTCTGGAAGGGTCTGGATAAAACAGACCCACCAGAAGACTACCCCCTGGAGCCAGACTTTTGAAAAGCTCGGCCCTGGGCGCACGCTCTACCCTGAAACACAGGGCGCTGGCTCTCAACACAGACAGCATGTCCCGAGGTCCTGAGGCCTCATCTTCACCCACAGGTAGATTTCTTTCAGTCCCTACACCCCAGAGACTGGGTTTTTCTGCCAAGTCCTGCTCTTCTCTGCATCCTCTACAAAGCAGGCCCTTGGCCTTTCCTGGCCACCCCATCTGCTGTCTCAGTCCCATCCATGACCCACCCAGAGGTGGAGCCCCAACCAAGGGAGCAGCAGGGACCAAATCCTTCTGTTCACCACTGTATACTCAATGCCTAGCACAGTGCTGGGGATACAGTAGATGCATGATAAATACATAGTGAATGAAGGAATGAATTCAATAGGCAAATCTCCACCAATCTACTTATTGCTAGCATCAGAGAATCTTGGTTAGGATAGGCAATTTAAGAAATTCAGGATAAGGCATCAAGAAATCTAGGTTCTAGACCAGCCTCAGCAATTAATTTGCTTATTTATATCCCCTAACTTTGTTGGAGTTTCATCTCTTCATCTAGGAAATCGTGCCTGGATTCTGGTACTTTTACACTGACTCTACCACTAAATAGCAGACATCTTGGCAAACAGTTTAACCTTTCTTAGTCTCAATTTTTCTATCTTTTAATGAAGATAACACAATTCTATGTCCTTTTAAACTCTTATTGTGGGAATCAAAATATATGTGAAGTGCTTTTGACATAAAATGGGGGCTCCATAAATTATTCGTAGCTTCCCCTTCTCTTGTCCAGGCTGAACAGCTCATGAGTCCACTAGACCCAGTCTGGTATCTGTCTATATACAGGAACAGGAAAGGTGCTGGTTTCCAAATGTTTCCCTGGAGGCTGACTTAGGACAGGTGAACATGGGAAACTATTTTTTAATTTCACTTAAAATAAAGTTGCACCAGTGAAAGAAACACAAGAAACTTCCTCTAAACTTAAAGAGTAATTGAACTTGGGGTCAAATTCTAGATTCCCAACTGACAGGCTCTTCTATCAGTTAGGATGCCTTAAGCTACAAATAAAAGAGAGCCCAGATAACCATTGCTCAAACAATAAATGGATGTGTTAGCTCCCATAACAGATGTCTAGTGGGAGGCCACTACAGAGTTGGCTAGTTTAGCAGATAAGACCAGCATCAAGATCCCTGGTCTCGTTCTATAGCATGTTTCTTTTGGAGATAATTTCACTCCTGGTCCCAAGATGGCTGGTGCAGTGTCATGTATCCTTTGTGGATATAACATCCAGCACACAAAAAACGCTCCGTCTCGAAAAAAAAAAATGCTGCTCCTTTTGCATGTATCTCTTTTAAATAGCAAAGAAACTTCCCCAAAAGTCTCCTGGCAGAATTCCCCTTATGTCACGATAACCAAAACTGAGTCCCGATGTCCACCCTTAAATGAATAATTGTCAAGAAAACGGGACCATTATAGGCTTAGACCAATTCGAAGTTGTCTAATTTAGGAGTGGGTGGGACAAAACTGGAGCTCTGCCAGCATGGCAAAAAAGAGCCATGGGTGTTGAATAGGCAACCTGTACCATCTGGTGAACCCTCCCCACTCTGACAACCTTCCCCAACACATGCACACATGCACACACACACACAGCTGCAGCAAGAAAGAGCCAAATGATGTGATAGACTAACCTAAAACTCTTTGTTACTAACAAAAGTGAAGGGGAATGTAGCATTTGTTGAGACAAGTTTTTACACTCATTTCATAGATGAAGAAACTGAGTCACACATTAGCCAGTGAATGGCAGAACTGGATTGGAATCCAGATTTGGTTGACTCCAAATATTACAATCTTTCCACCATGCCAAACTACCTTATGAATGAGCAACCAGAAGCGATGAACATATTTGCTTTGCACTAATGCTCTAGAAAGGGCAAATGCTCAGCTCCTAGACTCACTTGCCCTAGGCTCACTCTGAATCCCAGTAATAAAATGAGTCATCTTTAAGGTACAGGATAAAGAGCTTTGAGAGCCACATCCTGCTTTTGCACTTTCTTCTCTGGTTGCTATTTCAGAGTTTTCTTTTAACCACACCGTTTTTAATATATTCTCTGTCTTGCTAATGATAGGAAACTTGCTGCTGCATGGTTCCATAAAACATTATCTCATTATCTCCTTTGCCTCTCACTGTAAAGTACTTTGTAGCATTGAAAGTGGCATATGAAAAAAATTAATTTCATTAAATTAATGGAGAGTATCATGACTGCTCAGTTACGGCTCAGATGCATTTGTAGAGGGACTGTGTATGCATCAGAGCTTGTCCTTTATTTTGCCATTTTTCCTCCCACATGCACCCACCAATGTCCCTAGGAAGGAAGAAATAATTCTAAATGGCATGCTTTCAAGAAATATTGTTACCACTAACAACCTGGAAAATCCCAAATACAAAGCATGACTTTATATGGCCAATGAGAAAATTGCAGGGGCAATCCAGTTATCTTCACCATCTTCCTAAGAGATACAAAAGTTACAGCTGAATACATCATGCTATAATTCACAGCAATCCATAAGATTGATCATGTCTCTCCAAGTGCACAGTGTTTCAGTTTATACAACAAAATATTTTATTTAAAAAAAAATTTGTAGAAATGGGATCTCGTTATGTTGCCCAGACTGGTCTTGAACTCCTAGCCTCAGCAAAGTCTCTTGCCTTGGCCTCCCAAAGAGCTGGAGAAAAAACAGTCTGGTCCCTCCAATCCTGGAGCACACTGTATCTGTACCACAGGTTACCCACCCAACTCGGGGGAAACTGAGGCTCAGCAAATTTAAAAAATTACCTCCCTCCAAAAAAAAAAAACTAGAATATCTTCTGAGAAATAAGCTTCTGCTCAGTGAGCTTAACATAGTCTAAGACAGGGGCCCCAACACCCTGGGCCACAGACTGAGCTAGGAACCAGTCTACACAGCAGAAGGCTAGTGGCAGGTGAGTGAGCGAAGCTTCATCTGTATTTACAGCCACTCCCCATCACTCGCATTACCACCTGAGCTCCACCTCCTGTCAGATCAGCAACAGCATTAGATTCTCATAGGAGCATGAACCCTATTGTGAACTGCACATGTGAGGAATATAGGTTGTGTGCTCCTTATGAGACTCTAATGCCTGATGATCTGTCATTGTCTCCCATCAGCCCCAGATGGGACCGTCTAGTTGCAGGAAAATAAGCTCAGGGCTCCCACTGATTCTACATTATGATGAGTTATATAATTATTTCATCATTTTACTATATATTACAATATAATAATAATAGAAATAAAGTGCATAGTAAATGTAATGCACTTGAATCATCCTGAAACCATACCCCTTCCCTGCCCTGGTCCACAGAAAAATGATCTTCCGTGAAACCGGTCGCTGGGGGCCATTGGTCTAGGACTTGTAACATCTACCTTGTTTTAGCTTCTATAAATGAAAGCAAGACTCCCACATTAAGTAATGCTGGTACCCCCATGAGGCCATCCTACATATCTGCACTCTATTGTGGAACTCCTCCAGATGACCTCCCACTGGCTCATTCAGTTACTTCTTGGTCTCAACTGTCCCAGATCCTTTAATTCTCTGCTTTGGCTTTACAGCTCCACTCCAACTCAGGTCAAAGATTCACTGGTATGCATTAGACATTGTGCCTAGTGCTGTCTACATACAATGTCTAGTTCTCACAACAACTTATAAAACAGATGATGCAGTCTCAATTTTACAGAAGAAGAGACTGAGGCTCAGCAAATTAAGGAACTTATTCCCACGTCGGCTCACTCATAGGTGGCAGAACAAGGATTTGAACCCATGTCTGTGCTTCCGGCATTCCATTATTCCACTTAACTTTACTTCTTCACATGCAAAATGAGAAAAGTAATCCCCACTCTAACTGTCTCATAAGGTTGTTATGATTATCAAATGAGATTGTTGAATGTAAGGAATGCTGATAACTCATCTCTCCTATCGTCTGGGTTCTACCTGGTAGAGATCAATATCTAAAGCTAAATGGAGATCAATGGATAGCTTTGCAAATCATCACCTGATAACTGGGGTCCCCTAGTAAAGAGGTGCTGCAGAATGTTGCTTGGACTGAAGGCCAAAATGGAACCTTCTTAATGAAGTTCCTCTCCAAATCTAGACTCAGTATCTGCCTTTAGTAGAGTCACCTCTGCCAGTACACCCTGAGTGCATGTTGACGGTCAGATCAGCCTGCCTCTAAAACCCAGACCTCCACAGAATGAGGAACCAAGAAAATCAGAGATGGGCCTTTGTTCCATTTTCAATGCAGTAACTACACACATGAGGGAAAACGTGCTTCAGTGGAAATTAAGTTATCTACAATCAACTGGATACTCACTTTCCCTCCAGGAAAACTAGTAAGAAATGGAGAAAACATCTCCTCCAGTATTTTCCCATCGTTTGGAGGGAAGAGGAACTGCCCTCCCACCACCCTGTCCTGCAATAGAATCATGAGGAGGGAAAAAAATCATACTTCCCCACAATAAAGATTTTATCACAAAAGATGGAAAGTTCGGTACAAATAAAAGTTGTCAGTTTCATACCACTTTTTCATTACCGTTTCTATTGCACTCTACACTTTTATATTATATTGTCAGATAATTAGTTATTTTTGTATCTGACTCTTCTATCAGACTGAATTCCTTCATGAAAATCATTTTTAAATTTATCCTTAAATATCCATATCTGATAACATGTCTACTGCATAGTAGGCATGAAATAAATATTTGTTCAATTAATAAATAGATTTAATTAGTGTATAAACACCAAGTCTCTATAGAACAGAAACTCTTACAATTACAAAGCATAGACATATTTATGCATCATTTTGCATTGTTTATCTTCGCTATTTACCTGTCTACTAACAGAGTGAACTAGATCCATAACTGTTTCCTTAAATCAACTTATAATTCCCCATCAATGCAATAGGTTCATGTTTCACAAAATTAGACCTATAAATTTCCTACTCATTTAATTATGCCCCTCTTCAAAAAAAGAATTTAAGACAGCATACCATATAGGAAAATAAAATTTTTTTAGAATAAGTAAGAAAAATGAGGCAAAGCCACACATAAATTTTTACCTTTCTTATAATGTTCCTTTAGGAGTGCTCATCTGTCTACCTTAGTGCCACAAGATGGTATGGTGAACAACTTTTCAAGAACAACATTTTACAATTTACTCATAAACAACCCAATAACTTTCCAAAATAAACCCAGACAACATTGACAGAGGCTGGTGGTTAGTAAAGTAACATGATTCAGCCTTGGTAGCTATTAGCAAGTCTAGCAGACTTCACAGGGATTCTCTGAAGACACTAGACAGCGATGCACTTAAAAAATAAATCGACTTTTGGTCTGAAACCATTAGAAGAAAAAAATGAGGCAGAAGCAAAGGTCAAGGCTGAAGTAGGTTGATAAAGCACTGCTCCCTTGAAGATACCTTCTCTCAAGAGGCACTCCCTGCCCGATATTCCCACTGAAGAACAGTTCTCTGGCAGTTAATAATGGGCTAAGAGAAGCTGTGTTCTTTTGCTTACAGGCCCAGAATTGGAACTCATGATGGTGCTACTTAGATCACACCCCAGTGGGCAATCCCAGTTGAGAAATCCGGAAACACTAGAGAAGCTAAATGAAGCGTTTGACTCAAAGATGGGCTGAGTGTGTAGGTGGCTGGTGTTTGGTGCATATTGCTTTCATAGTAAATAAAGCAGGGAGAAAAAAGAAATCAAAATGGATTCTTTTCAACTTTTTTTTAACTTCCCAAGGGTTGGCTGAGGATAAGGTATCACTGGGACGTAGAAAAAGCTAGGGAAAATGTTGGCTTCTGCTTGCTTATACCAGTAACTTTATTATTTTATTTGTTTGAAAATAAGAGAAGGCAATCCAACTGCAGCCAGGACAATGACATCAGCACACTTAGGAAGGCCTGATCTGGGGATTGTCTTTTAAAATATTGAGTAACATCTTTCTGACCAAGTGAAGAAAGGGAAAAAAGTTATACTTATCTTCTGTTCAATAAACACTCTTCCTTAACCAGTTGCACTGCTTCCTTAAGACAATCTGGCAGTATCTAAAGCAATTGGAACAGTGATCTTAACCAAAACAAATACCTCAAGCATAAACAATGGAAAACACACTGAACCTCGAGCAAAAAGTCCTGGGTTTGAGTCCTTGGTCCCCCACTTACTAATTTCCTAACTCTCAGCATGTCACTTAATGTCTTAGAGTCTCTAGTGCTTCATCTTTTAAATCAATTAAACATTTCTACTTACCTCCAAAACACTGAGAATATCAAATAAAATACTGTATGGCAATGATTGTAACTGGAGCTATTTTGTCCCTTGAGAGACATTTGCCAATATCTGGAGACAATTTTCGTTGTCACAACTGGTAGGCAAAGAGACCAGGGATGCTACTAAACATCCTACAATGCACAGAACAGCTCTCAACCACAAAGAAGTACTCAGCTCAAAATGTCAATAAATGTCACAGTTGAAAAACCCTGATGTATGTCAGGTGCTATAAAGGTCCACTTCATTATCCTGCTTCTCTATCATAATGATGAAGATGGGTGTGATGGTTAATACTGAATTATCAACTCGACTGGATTGAAGGATGCAAAGTACTGTTCCTGGGAGTATCTGTAAGGGTGTTGCCCAAGGAGACTAATACTTGAGTCAGTGGACTGGGAGAGGCAGAGCCACCCTCAATCTAGGTGGGCACTATTTAATAAGCTGCCAGCACGGATATAATAAAACAGGCAGGAGATGATGGAAGAACAGACTTGCTAAGTCTTCTGGCCTTCATCTTTCTCCCGTGCTGGATGCTTCCTGCTTTTAGACTCCTGGACTTACACCAATGGTTTGCCAGGGTCTTTCGGGCCTTTGGCCACAACTGAAGACTACACTGTCAGCTTCTATGCTTTTGAAGTTTTGGGACACTGACTCATCCACCACTGGCTTCCTTGCTCCTCAACTTGCAGACGGCCTATCGTGGGACTTTATCTTGTGATTGTGTGAGTCAATTCTTCTTAATAAACACCCTTTCATATATCCATATAGCCTCTTAGTCCACTGGCTTAAATATTAATCTTCTTTGGCAACACCCTCACAGACACTCCCAAGAACAGTACTTTGCATCCTTCAACCCAATCAAGTTGATATTCAATATTAACCATCACACCCATCTTCATCATTATGATGGAGGAGCAGGATAATGAAGTGATTAAACAAATAGGATCTGGACAGGAAGACGTAGAGTCATTTTTCTAGTTCCTCCATTTCCTAGCTGTGTACTAGTCACTTAACTTTCAAGTTCCAGTTGCCTCACTTAGAAAATAGAGGAAACAAAAATGCATACAGCAATAAAGTGTTTCAAAGATTCACTGAGATAAAAAATGTAAAAGTGTTTTTATTCATTGAATGCTGAGCATTTGATAAATGGTATATATCATCATCATTATCCTTTAAACACAGTGATTGGCCACACATGTTTACAGCAGCACAATTCTCAATTGCAAAAATGTGGAACCAACACAAATACCCATCAATCA
Organism: Homo sapiens; assembly: GCF_000001405.40. Lineage (NCBI taxonomy): Eukaryota > Metazoa > Chordata > Mammalia > Primates > Hominidae > Homo > Homo sapiens. Next base: position 112,077,568 of record NC_000010.11, read on the forward strand.
ACAAGTGGATAAAGAAACTGTGGTATATACATATGACGAAATACTACCCAGCCATATAAAGAAGTGAATTAATGACATTCACAGCAACCTGGATGGGAATGGAGACTATTATTCTAAGTGAAGTAACTCAGGAATGGAAAATCAAACATCGTACGTTCTCACTCATAAGTGGGAGCTAAGCTACGAGGATGCAAAGGCATAATAATGATACAATGGACTTTGGGGACTCAGGAAAGAGTGAGAGGGGGTGAGGCATAAAAGACTACAAATTGGATTCAGTGTATACTGCTCTTGTGATGAGTGCACTGAAATCTCACGTATCACCACTAAAGAACTTACTCACGTAACCAAATACCACTTTTTACCCAAAAAACCTATGAAAATAAATTTTTAAAAAATAAATAACTAAACATGCTGATTAGATCATTCTGAGATATCAAATCACTCTCTAATTTTCGATCACCTACTTTGATCTCAGGGACCCAGCCTTGTCTTCCCTCTGAATTGTGGAGACCCAGCCTGTAGGTCATAAAATAAATTTGAGGAGGGAGGCAATACTGAAGTTCCTTATTCACAGAAGTCAATACATAAGTGATGTCATCATTACAGAGGTCAGACTTGGTACTTGCCAGATATAACAGCCTGATCTATTTAATGTACTTTCTGTGTTTGCAAGAAATTAATGCAGGAATATTGTCAGATGAACATCATATTATCTAATAGTTTACCTAAGTGAGACATCTCTGTGCTTCATTGTTCATACATTATTAACTCTACCTGTTGACCAAATTATTATTTACTAAAATGTTTTCATTGATTGATATTTACAATTTATTTGGAACTGCTCTCAACTAGCTAGAAGTAATCATCAAGAATTTCACAAAACCAACCTCCTGTTGGGTCATCATCGTGAACTTGCAAGCATCAGAAGACTCCAGTTTGGAAAGTGTGCAAAGGAGAGGTGGTATCCCTTCAATCTTTCAGAAGCATGCTGGAAGAGCAATCTTTCCAAAATATGAAGGATGACTACTTCTCAAGAAAGCCGTAACAGCTCTCTATTGCCATAAGATCAAGCAACAGCTCCTCTGTCTGGCTTCCTGTATAGTAAACGCACCTGACAGCAGTAATTTAAGCATACCCTGACAATGACTTTGTACGGCAGACACATCTGAATGTGTGTTCCAAGCTAGGGAATCTGGGAGTGGCCAACCTGGAGATTCATTTCCTACCTAGGATAAATATCTGAGTCCCTGGCCCATCCAGTGGAACACAAGCTGTGCAGGAATTGAGGTCCTGAGTTTTGGGTTAAATGAAGATTGCCAGGTGGAGGTCTTTAGGTTTTTAGGGGAGGCTGTTACATGAGAATGCTATATAAACAGCATGCTGTTTGCAAGTGGTTGCAGTTTTCCTGCCTAGTCTGCTGCCACTAGACTGTAGGTAAGGCAGGCACCTTGTCTAGCCCATTGCCACTGGACCGTTTCTGTACATAAGACAGTTCTCCTGTCCAGCCCGCCACCACTGGATTCTTTCCCCTGTATGTAACCCCCAGATAAAGCCCCAAGTTTCATTTGCCAGCTCTGGGTCTCTCCTTCGGCCTCTTTACCTGGTGCCTTCCCTGCTGAAGTTAACAGGAGTTCCACACAGTGCTTTATAACCCTGGTTCTATCCCACCCACTATGAACCCTCACAAAAGCTAGAGCCAAGTCACTAGAGCTGGTTCCTTTTGTTCTCTTTTTATTCTTATGACTGTGTCCTGCCTTAAGGGTGTCTTCTGTTCACTCGTGGCTGGGCTCATGCCTGTAATCCCAGCACTTTGGGGGGCCGAGGCAGGTGTATGACATGAGGCCAGGAGTTTGAGACTAGCCTGGCCAACATGGCAAAACCCCATCTCTACTAAAAAAAATATTAAAAATTAGCCAGGTGTGGTGGTACACATCTGTAATCCCAGCTACTCCAGAGGCTGAGGCACGCAAATCACTTGAACCTGGGAGGCAGATGTTGCAGTGAGCCGAGATCATGCCACTGCGCTCCAGCCTGGGTAATAGAGCAAGACCCTTTCTCACAAAAAAAGGGTGTCTTCTGTTAACTAATGCCCCAACTATCCCCCCAAGTCATTTCCCATGACCCCACTCCCAGCATGTTTTCCATCTCTCCAATGCCTTTCCTCTCCTCTGCTTAGCCGTGGTGATTGCCTCCATGTCTTTACTTGCAGAGCTTCCCCCATCTTGAACATCTTTCTCTCTAACTCTCTAATTCCCACCAATTTATCAAGACTCAGAAGAAGGACCACTTAGCTTTATAGTTAACCCCCGTTATTCCATTTCCCTCCTGTTAATCTCCTTCTTCTCTGACCTCTCACAGCACCAGTAGCTGCAATACATGATTTAGCACTTGATTACTTTCCGTCTAATAGGGTTGTCTAATTGTTTCAGCACACATTTGATCTGCAGTTGAACTGTAAAGTCTTCAAGGGAAGGACCCCATGTAGTCGACATCTTTGCTATGTCCCAGAGGGAGAGACATGGTCTGCATTGTAGGCAAACAAATATTTCCTTCCCCAGGGCTAACCTAGGTGAGGAAATTGACAAATACTTTCTGTGCACCTGCTGGAAGCAAGGCACTCTTCCCTGACCATTGCAGCCTCCTTGTTTACATAAAAGCAACACAGGTGAAAATATAAATGAACCTAAGATTAGGAAGACTGGGAAAATATTAATGCTCATGAATATTTAGCAGGGCTCCCTCATTAACTGGGTTTAGAGAGGTCTCCCTTACAATCACGAAGCTCTAATAAATGCTGGCATTTAATTGTGCTCATCCAATAGGAACTAAGCTGCAGGGGTTTGTGAGCCAAGAAGTACAATATGGTATAGAGTAGTGGTTTTAAAACCAAGCCTCACACAATTCCTAAACACTTTCAGGGTAATTCAGAGGCTGCCTGGAAGACAAAGGATGACTAGCAGGTGGTAATCTGAGCCTCCACCCTTGATTCAATCAGGGTGGCTCTTTTCCGACAGCTTCATATATTGGGCTTTGCTAGAGAAAAAAGTTCTGTTACTAAAATTCTATTTTAAAGAAAAGAAAACCACTGTAGACAGAATACTGCTTGGAACCAGAAGACAAGATATTTTTTCATTCCCAACCAATTATTACCTATAGGAAACTAGACTGTGCAATTTTTCTGAAGTTCAGTGTTCTCCACTTCAGGCGTAGGTAGGGCTTCCTCCACACACACTGGGTTGTTGGGAAGATCAAATGAGGTGACACGTATGAAAGCACAAGGCAAAGAGGAGCCATTTAAAACATGTATCATGAAGGCTGGGCATGGTGGCTCACACCTGTAATCCCAGCACTTTGGAAGGCCAAGGCTGGAGGATCACTTGAGGTCAGGAGTTTGAGACCACCATGGGCTACATAGTGAGACACCACCACCACCTCCCCCCCACCCCCGTCTCTACAAAAAACAGTTTTTAAATCAACTGGGCACAGTAGCAACACCTGTAAGCCTAGCTTGAGGGTTACAGTGACCTATGACTGTGCCACTGCACGCCAGCCTGGGTGAGACTGTGAGAGAAGAGAAAAGAGAAAAGGAAAGGAGGAAGGAAGGAAGGAAGGAAGGAAGGAAGGAAAAACCACATTGCATGAGAGTGAAACAACCTCATCTTTATCTAGAGTGTGGACATGGGCTGAAACACTGGACTTATGGGTATTTAGAGCAGACGGCTAACAGGAGCCTCTGTAAATCCAGTTCACTGTGGTCAGCCTCACCTGAGAACCTGAACGCCTCCAAATCCCCTGAACCAGAAATATCCTGCCATTGTCGGGGCTGCATTGTACACTTGTATGACACTCTTTTTCCTTCACTGTATATCAACAGGAATTAATTGTTTGGGCAAGTATTTGTTTAACTTCACCCTCTCCCAAGATTGCAAGCTTGTGTCTGTCTTGTTCAGGGCTGGAGCCCAAACAGCCATCACACACCTTGCAATAAATATCCCTAAAATACCTTGCTGAATAAATGACTACATAATTCAAGGTAAGACATCTCCATGCTGGGCACTGGGAACATTAGCAAGTAGAAAATAGGCTTCCTTGACATGAAGGGACTCTCCAGGCCCTGCAAATGACACAGATGGATGCAGATGCTATTGTTATAATCTATCTCATCCAGAGAAATAAAATTAGATTTCTATCTATATCTGTTACTACATCAGACAAAAAAACATTATTTGACTGATTTTTCAGTTTGGAGAATATATTTGGGACAGTCTAACTTAAAACACAATTTACATTTCTTATGAAATCCACTCTGAATTTCACAGCTGAAACTGAAGTGCAGTAAAAGGGCTGTTGATCAAGAAATACAAGCCATAATTATCGAATTGCTGTGGGAAGGGAAATACCCTAAATAAAGGTTGCATGGGTAGATACCCCAAAGTGCAGATGGTGATCTATAATTGAGTTACTTCTCACAAGAGCAACTCTGTATGCTAAATCATGTGGAGTTCTATCAGGAACTGGTAATTTAACGATGGTTAATGCTTCTCTAGCAAGGCCAGATATTTGAGGTAGTTATTCTGATTCTTGCTCATAATGACAGTTGAGCACCACCTAGCTCTAATTCTCACAACACACTCCCAGGCTAGTGTTATTGTGCTTATTCTACACATGAGTTAAATCAGGATCCCAAAGCTAATTGCTCAAAATAACAACTTGGCAAGTAGCCCAGCTGGGATTTGAGCTCCAGACTCTCTGACTCCGAAGCCCATGGTCTTGGCACACAGTCAGCCTTGCTTCCGGGAGAGGAAGGGACTGGAACCTTGTCCCAAACAAGCCCCAGGCACCAGGGCATCACTAGTGAGATCTAGGGTTGGGTGCCTCAGAGTCCAGACCTGGGCCGCAATCGTGTTAATTATCGCATGTTTTGAAAACAAAAAGTACCTGTTTTGGGAAAGCACATCAGGGGTCAATCCACAGATGTCTTGAAGGAGCTCAAGTCAGTTTCTGCAGTAGGTTGAAAATAGATTTCTTCCAGGAGGAAAGGTTTGCCAGGGAGGAAGCCAAAGCCTCTCTGTAAAGCTCAACTTACCCGCTCCCTGCTCCATGCACACACCTCTCTCCCTTCCCAGAAGGAACTGCTCTCCTGAATTGCGCTCATCATTCCATTGCATTGCCTTTTTTTTTTTTTTCAAGTTCTCCAGTTATTTTTGCCCAAACGTGTCCACATTACTCTGACAGATTGAAGCCTTAGCAAAATTTATGCAAAAGGAAAATTGTGGTCCAGAAAGAAGTTTAAGAAGAGTGACCATCATAGCCTCAGTTAACAGATATCTAAAATAACCAGCCCCATCAAGCAGGCTTTCTGGTGGGCAATGCCTCGCTTTTTCCTCTTATAGCAAGCTCCTTCTGATCTTTTATTGACTTATATATTTCTCCTTCTAGGGCAATACAAAGAGAAGATACATATCTCCCAGGGTTATTTGTTTACATTCTACATTTAAAAGAAATTTCCATGTTTACATAGTCGTAATTCTTTTTCTAACAAACCAGAAACATTTCTAAAAATTTAAAATTTTCCATGTCTCCATGACTTGCCAACAAACAGAATCCAGAAATGCATTCTTTTCCTATTCTCGTCCCCTCCCTTCCTTTCTCCTAATGTCCCGGACCCTACTCTTCTGCTGCCCAGAAAATCTTGTCCCCTGAGACCCTGACTGCTCCACTATGATCTTTCTCTTTATGCATGCCCGTGGTTGACTTACTGTCTCATGATCTTAGGCAAGAGCCTCCATTTTCTTCATTGTAGTGGACTCAGAAATCAAATAGCTCCTTTCCTTCTATTGAACTGATTCTCCCTCTCTCCTCCTGCCCCCAAATGTTTTATAATATTTTACCCAGAAGTCTGACTAATGTAAAACACTACACAAAACATCTCCATATCACCCCCTCCCATTTTCCTCTTCTGCAGTGACAATTTTTTTTTCGAATAACTGCATTGCTCTAACTCATAAAATTTCATTTTATGGGCCTGCACTTCTTTCGACATTCTATAATTTTTCACGGTCATCAGCAGCACTGGCTTCACTTCCAAGTGCAGATAGAAACAAACATGTTCTGTGATAAATCACAGTTTATGCAATCAATAAATCAAAGGGCAGTTGCTCTCTGTGGGAAAATGTTATGCTAAGGTTCATTTTAACCAAGAGCCTTCAGCAACTAGTAGAGTCCTACATACAGCAGGTGAGTTCCAGGTTAGCACAGTGTCTCTGCATATACACACACACCCGTGTGCACATACATGTACCCCCATAATGCTATTCATTTTTCCTTCACAGCTAGTAATAATGGAAATAACAATAGCTACACTCAATCAAGAGCTTACGGTGGGTTACTCATTGTGTTAAGCCCCTTTCATACATCATCTCATTTAATCCTCACATCTTTTTCTTTTTCTTCCTTTTTTTTTTTTTTGTTTTTTGAGACAGGCTGTCACTCTGTTACCCAGGCTGGAGTGCAGTGGTGTGATCACGGCTCACTGCAACCTCTGCCTCCAGGGTTCAAGCAATTCTCATGCCTCAGCCTTCCTAGTATCTGGGATTACAGGCAGGTACAACCAGAGTTCAAGCAATTCTCATGCCTCAGCCTCCCTAATATCTGGGATTACAGGCAGGCACCATCACACCACCATGCCTGGCTAATTTTGTTGTATTTTTAGTAAAGAAGGGGTTTTGCCATGTTGCCTAGGCTAGTCTCGAACTCCTGGCCTCAAGTGATCTGCCCGCCTCAGGCTCCCAAAGTGCTTGGATGACAGGCGCGAGCCACCATGCCTGGCCCCCTCACATCTTATTAACACTCTTTCACAGACTATGAACTTGAGCTTGGGGAGATTTTGTAATGTAATGTGATCACACAGCTGGTGGGTGAAATTCCACTGAGGATGATTATTTCATGGAGACCTATCTTTCCCACTAGATGGTAAAGTCCACAAAGGAAACATAGTGTCTGTTGGACTCTTTATGCCTGGCACATAGTAGGTGCTTAATAAAAGCTTGTTAAATGGATGAAATCAAGAAATGTTTTTGTTGGTGATGATGCTGGTGATGGCTCCACTAATCCCTTTAAAACAGGACTCATGTAGTTACAATATGACCGAGGCAGAACTTAGGAACATAGGAGGTAAACCAAAATAGTCCCAGATGAAACTGAAAGATGTGCAATGAGAACTCTTCCTCTAAATGTACATGTAACCTTAAGCAAATTCTTTACTCCCTCTGGGGCTGTTTTGTAGGTAATTAAGGAGGGGCAGGGGTTGGGGATGGCTCCTGTTAAACATGGCAGACCAAACACAAATAAAAATAGGTATTTACCTGTGTTTTCTTATTTTAAAAAATTCTAAAATTTCAGTAAATGAATTTATAAGAGAGTTTATAAACCTAACAAGACAAAGAGGAGAGAGAGAAGATAATAACAACAAAATTTAGAAACCAAAAAGACGAAGGAATTGTAACAAACTTACAGAAAGCAAAATAACATGAAAGTTAAGTTGAAAGCGGAAGAGGCCAAAATGAAGCCCTAGTATTCTGTATAACATCAGAAAGGCTTAGTGATTGGAGGTGCCTCTGAACACAAGGGCAGGGCTGGGACTAGATAGGCTGAAGGTCTAGCAAATAACTGGACTCACAAATTTCCATCCCCCGAAAAAACGAAATTCCATCCCTCCCTAGACAACACTGGCAAACAATGCCCCTATTCCACTCCAGTAGAAGATTGGAGGATTAGGCGGCTAGGAACTCGGGGACTCCAGGCGCCTTCTGTGGCTGAGAGTGCAATGTTGAAAACAGGGGACCCATGAGAAAGTCTCCAGGGTAAGTGGTGAGAGTCTTAGACCCCTGTCCCACTGTCCTCCATAAATGTTCCATCAAATTTATACCCTCCAGGCAGAATATTGGAAAAATTTTTCTCTGAGGAACATCAAAAGCCCAAGAAAAATGACCTCTGGATATTGAAATACCTGTGAGTTCCCCATTGAAATGGCCTTCCACAGTCCCCCAAAGGGAATTCCTCACTGCAAGACCTACCAGTGCAGGCAGCTTCTCATCACTTTTTATGTTTCAATTAAAAAACAACTGAACAGGAAGCCAAGGATCCTCAAATATTTGAGAAAAGTATCCAACATGAGAGATAGAAACCAAAATAACAAACAGAGATCAGGAAAAAACACCCAAAGAAAGCTATAATTAATATTCTCAGCATGATAAGAACAGACATAGCAACCATGAAAGAAAAACATGATGTTATTTACAAAAAAAAAAAAAGAAATGTGCAGATATTAAAAACTATATATTTGAAAATTTAAAAGTATGGAAGGATAAATGAAAAAATCCAATGAAGGTATCGAAAGTGAAGTTGAGGAAATCACTCATGAAGTAAAGCCAAAAAAGGTGGGAAACAGGAGGGAGAAAAAGAAAAGAAAATCAGTGTATAGAACCAGGAAAATCAACTAATAGAGCTCCAGAAAGAGAAAACAGAACTCAGAAAGGGAGGAAATTCCAAAAACAACAACAACAACAACAACAACTTAGAGAAAATATCCCAGAACCAGAGGGCTTGAGTTCCAGATTTAAAGTACAGTTCAAGCAAAGAAAAAAGACTCACAGCCCGGGCATGGTGGCTCACGCCTATAACCCCAACACTTTGGGAGGCCAAGGTGGGCAGAAAGCTTGAGTCCAGAAGTTCAAGACAAGCCTGGGCAACATAGTGAGACCCTCATTTCTACAAAAAATAGAAAAATTAGCCAGGCATAGTGGCTTATGCCTGTGCTTCCAACTACTGGAGAAGCTGAGGCAAGAAGGTGGCTTAAGCCCAGGAGGCAAAGGTTGCAGTGAGCCCAGATCATGCCACTGCACTCCAACCTGGGCAACAGACTGAGACCCTGTCTCAAAAAAAAATAATAAATAAAAATAAAAAGACTCACACCAAGACATACCACGGACACCACTGTGATGTTTTAGAACACAGGGAATAAACTGTGGACCCTAAGTGCCTCCGGGGAGGAAAAGCAGGTCAATAACAAGATTGAGAATCAGAATCACGTTATATTTCTCAATGGCAACAATGGCACAAACAAGAGGGAAAGCGGAAATGCCTTTAAAATACTGAGGGAAAAGTATTTACCACTGGAATTCTACCAAGTCAAACTACTGATCAAATGTGAAGGGTAGAATAATACATGATACATGTTTTCAGAAGTCTATTTATCATGTGCCCTTTCTCAGGAAGGTGCACAAGGATGATCTTCATCCAAATAAAGAAACAAACAACAAATGGGAAGACATGGGAGTGAGAAAATGGGGATCTAGTACAGGAGACAGGCAAAGGGAACCGCTACAATGGCGATGGAGAAAGATTCCAGAATGACAGAACACAGACACAACAACACGAATGTACATATGTGTGTGTGTTCAAAGATTTATGCAAATACACATGAGTTATCAGTTGTGATTGCATATGTTCCCAATAAGATAAACACTGGATGATGAATATTTTTTAATGTTATCATGAGATGGAGTAGAGAGGAAATGGCTTGGTAAGAAAGCTAAATCATGGTCTTCTATAGCAGGAAGTTGATGAACAATATCTAACACTGAAAAATTAAAAATCCAAGTATACATGCATAGCACTTGGAAATACAGAAGTAAATGGGAGGAGAAATGGTGAAAGACTAAAAGATCTGTTAATTTCCTCTGGGAATGAGGATCAGAAGTGGGGCAGAGTGGGATCCAGGATTGTCTCTTTTGGTTATAAATTTTATAGAGAAGTTTGAATGAGCTAATCTGTAGTTCCCTGAGTTTCTAATTGGATTTTTGGACATCTATTTCATAAAATGAGTTAAATTTGAATTCCAAAAGTCCTACATGAATCCCTCTTGCCAGAATAGAACCCCCCTTGTCTCATCCTTAATGGAAGAAACTGCTTATCCTTCCCCATCTGAGCCAATGCCAGGATTACACATCCCCACATTGTCGGATGCCAACCAGGCTCCTACACAATGATGTACATGTTTCAGTTTTCAGCATTCCTATTTGAGCAGAGGTTTGGTTTAAGTTTACATCATAAAAGCAGGTAAAGCAAGTCAGTGAGGTGCCTCAGTGAAGCTGACCTGGAAAAATTGAAAGAGTCAAACTACTTATTAAAAAAGAGAATTCAAAAACATTCTTTGCTATTTTAATGAGCCCACCATTCTCAAAGGAACCTTGTGGAATCTCCTTGACCATCACTAACTAGGAACCATTTGCAGGAAAAAAATAGGTCATATTTCGGCTAATCTTATTTTAAATGGAAATTTCTCTGTGATGCACTGTTGAATGATAGAAAACAGAAACAATTACATCTTGAAGCTCCAGGCCTTTGGTTCTGTGAAGTTAGACATAACCTGAGTGGTCTTCTCCCGCCGCCCCCTCTTCTTCCTCCACGTCCTTCCCTTTCCCACAGCAGGTTTGCTGACCTCCAGGTGAAGTAATTCATCTCACTCCATGTCTCTCTCAGCTGTCTTCACTTCACTTTCCAATACAGGCAGCCCTCGGGAGCCCCAACATGAAAAACAGAAACAGAGATTCTCCCCTCCCCTGCAGAGTGCCTCCCTTGGGGAGCAGGGGTCTTGATGAGGATGCAGGGCGGGCTCTGCGGACGCAGAGTGATGGATGTGAGGGGCAGGCACGCGTGCTCTCACAGGGCACACAGCTTTCATCCTCATAATGAAGACACATGCAGTCGACAGGAAAATGGCTGTCTCATTAATGTTCCTTTTTGCAGCATGGGGACATGCTCCAAATGCCAACCTCAAAGTGCAAGGGGTCTGCAATAACTGGGAGCCTGGGCAAGGAGCCACCAGGACAGCCCTGGTGGCTGAGATATTCGCTGTCTTCCCCACCACCCTTGTTAGCCTAAAAAGCAAGAGATGCAGCTCCACAGCCTTCTAGGAAAATCAAACCTCTGGTTTCAGCAATCTCACGGCCTAATTTCAAGGCAAATAAAACAGTCCAGAGTCAGATGGGGCAAAAGATACAGCATGAAAATACCCTTACCGGTGTCCCTGTTTTTTCTCTCTAATATCTATAATGTTGTGAGTGCCTCGCCTTCTAACACAAATCATCCCTACCCATTCCATACCCCCATCCAACTTCCTCCCCAAAAGACAAACTATGTGCCAGCTGAATACATTTTATTAGCCCGTAAAGGCTAATTAAATCACCTAATTTCAAGACACTGTACTTTCTAAGGTCCAATGGATTTTAAAAATGTTATTGACCTACAGAACATAAATGAGCCAAAATATTAACATTCTTAGAATTCATTCCAACCATGCTGTGAGAGGCATTCAGCGTCAGGACTGGGGTACTTTCATAGGGACCTTAGGAATGTCCTTATACCACATCTTGGAGATTTTACCCAGCAGCTGTTTATTGAGTGGGTACACAGGGCCAGACACTCCGAAGTTTTCTGAGATGTCTGGCACAAGACCCTTGCCATCAAAAAAGCTCCCTGTGCTGAAGAAAAAAGAAACAAACCTATAACTGAAAGAAACATGAAATAAAGACTCCTGGAATGCCACACAGTCCTACGGAAATAACAAGGAGAGAGAAGTTCATCCTGACTGAGGGAGCCTGGGACATAGGAGGTCATCCTTGAGATGAGCCTTGGGAATATGTATTGCTTCCAAAGGACTGGATATGGAAAGATGGTGCACCAGACAGGGAGACGGTGGAAGCGAACGCCCAAGGAGTCAAGTGGACATGGCCCACTAGGGAACTCTAGAGCCCATTAAGTGCTCTAGAGCTGATGCCCACTGGCCTCTATCTGCAGGTGAATTCTCTAAGCAGGCAGCTCAGGAAATATGCAGAATAAAATAATGATGATGGAGCCTAATACTGGTTTTTAGAAGTCACAAGCTTGCTAAATCCCAGTTTCCATCAGAATAAAGCAGTTAGACTAAACGAAGATCTCTGCAGTTTTGTAATTCCATGAGGCTGAGAAGAGGGCAGCTGAGTCCAGAATGAGAGATCGTTCAATGCCAGAACAAGACATACGGATTTCTCTCTAAAGCAGATGGAGAGCCACTGCAGACTTTGTGAGCTGAGCTGTGACATGGCCTGGCTTGTTTAAATGGCGGCAGCAGCAGAGTAAAGATGAACTGGAGAGGCCAGATATTAGAGGCAGATGCAAGGAAAAACTAGATCCCTGACTTCAGGCCATAATGTGAAAGAAAGCAAACCCCACTCCCCATGCCATAAAAAAAAATAATAAAATAAAAAGGAAAGGAAATGGCTTTACTTGCTAGACCTAGAATAGACATTGGCAAGAATCTGCACTTTGACCCTCTTCTTTTTACAGATTAAAAAAACTGAAGGTCAGACAGCCTGACAGGTGCAGAGCAGGTTCGGAACTCTGCTCTCCAGGTTTCCAATTCAGGATTGTGGGGTCCTGCATACCTTCAAGGGGTGGCACCTTCTCACTGATTTGCCCTCCCAAAAGAAGGCAAACATTTAATCTTCATTTTTCAATACTCTGGGCTACTTCCCCACCCTCTGAGATTACCAATCAACACATTGTATTAATTGGGGATTTCACTTGTTAATCAATCAGATATAGGGGGATTTATTAGTGCTCATGGCAAGAATACAATTCACAAAATTCCATCAGCTCACAAAATTGACGGAAAAGCTTCAACAACCAGATGTTCCACACCACTAGGTATGTACCAGGTGTATGTAATGTTTCTGATCCCTGTTCATCCCCTCATTATCTTGCATGTCAGCTGGGTCTTTTTGCTCCTGGCAGCCAGGTAGAAACATGGCTGCTGGTAGATTCAATTTGGCAAACCCAACATAAGGAGAAACCAGCTTCTTCCCTGTGTTCATGTATCAGTCCCAGAGAAGGATTCCAAATGGCTCTGCAAGAATTACCTGTCCACCTCTTAAATCAGTCACTAATGATTTTCATTAGCCATGCCTGGCACCCTGGACCATCCCTCTAGCCAGGAGGAAAAGGTCTGTTTCCAGAGGAAGATGTTTTCAAAAACCTTTTATTTAAACAAAATAAAATAGCTTCCCTAATCTGCTAAACCCATCTCTACATAAAAATCCTCAGGAAATTGCTATAATTTATTTCCTCCATGCAGAGTACATCTCCTTGGCTGTAGGACATGAGATTGGAAATGTATGCTGACCACCTCTTGCAAGCATGTTCCAGCATGAGCCCCTAAGGAACATTCAGGCAGGAACATGATGCTAACCCCAACATTTCATGCAAACATTTAATGTAGCTCAACTGATTAGTGATTAGGTAAGAAAATGCATATAATGTTATACTGTGGAAAGGTTTACCCTCAATGTGTCTGATCTTGCTAATAGCAAACCTCTATAGAACACATCTCTCTAGAGCTGACGCCCACTGGTCTCTATCTGCAGGTTCTGCCTTGCCCATTATTTTAAAACCAGCCTGCTTTCAGGCAGGAGGCACTTGAGCAACTCTGCCATCATCTTACCCAGGTACTCTGGTCCCAATCTTGAGTCCTTGTTGGAGTAACCAGGCCTCTGTCTTGTTCCAAAGACCCACTTTCTCATTCAGACAACCTTATCTCATTCTCCTATCTCAATCCCTGCCTAGGCCCTTCATCCCAAAAGACTGAAGCTCTATCCCAAGCATGTCCACCTTGCACCCCTTGTGCCATGTGTGGCCCAGGACAGCTTTGAATACAACCCAATATAAATTTGTAAACTTTCTTAAAATATTATGAGGTATTTTTGTGATTTTTTTTTAGTTCATCCGCTATTGTTATTTTATATGTGGCCCATGACAATTCTTCTCCTTTCAATGTGGCCCAGGGAAGCCAAAAGATTGAACACCCCTGCTCTCTCCTCTATCCTACCTTCATGAGTCCTCTCCCAAGGTTCTGACAGATGTCTCAGCCTAATAGTAGAGACCCTCCCGCCTTCACTAGTGCCATCTGCCTAGGTCTGCAAACCTCACCTCCTTCTGAATTCCCCAACACCCTGCTCAACCCCAACACTCTGGAATGTCCATCTCCCAGTGTTGATCATCAGAGAGGCCACCTCTTATTTGCTGGCATTTCTTCCAGAAAATGCCTGTGGTACCTGTTCCCACTCAGGGGGAGGATCTTACCTGATCTTACCTGATCCCAGCCTTAATTACCCAGCTGTGTTAAGCAATATGCACTCTAACAACTATGACACTAGGTCAAAAGTCCCACAATCCCATCCCCTAAACCCAGCTTACACACAGGTGAAGGCTGAAATGACAGGAAATACCAATGGCCCAATGGCAGCCAGCCCAACCCTATGTTTATGTTATGCTTTCTCACATAAGCAGTGTGAGATAAACTTACGCAGTTTCAATGAATGGAGTTCATGGGAAAGAGGATTATTGATCAAACAATTTGTGACTTTTATAAAATTATTTCTGGAGCTAGGGCTGTCCAAGGAAACATATTACTAACCTGATCTGCCTTCAACATTCTTCCAGGTAAAGTGGAAAGAAAGGCCTGGGGCCCCACTGGGATGGGATTATAGCCTCAAAGTTATCTAGAATCCTATGAGCTTAGCAAGGTGCGAATCTCAAAGTGTGTCTCTGAAATAGCAGCAAAAGCATCATCTAAGAACTTACCAGAAATGTGTATCTTCAGGCACTACTCAGCCCTACTGAATCCAATATCCTGGGAATATGGCCCCTCAATCTGTTTTAACAAGCCATCGAGAAGACATTAATACCTGTGAAGGTGACTACAGTGGACGCTTTTAAAAAATTCAGATGCTTACTCCCCACTCCAGAGATCCTGATTGGATCTGGTCTAGGTGGGGCCTAAACATCACATTGAAGAAATTCCCAAGGTGATTCCAGCAGTCAGTTTCTGTTGAGAAGCACTGCTTGGGATGTGCTGAGTCCTGCAGTTTTGCTCCCAGACAAATCCATATTCACTTTCTTTTCCCCACCTGCCTTGCTTCCCTGCACAAAGGCAGCTCCATCTGCACTTAATCTGCATGTTCAGCCCCTGAAGAATGGACTGGTCAAGCTTGGCAAAGGCAAGATCTCATTTTCAAAGGCCCCATAAATGTCAAGCTTCTTGTTATTCACATTGTTTCTGTGTTAGTCACGGTTGTTGATATCATCATCAAATCAAATTAGATTTTACAGGCTTGCTGTGAAATTGTTTCTGGATGTCTGCAACTCTAGCTGAAGTCCTACTTAGGTGAAGTCACAAATGCCATCTATAAGGACTGCAGTTTGCAAGGAGAGGAGATGCCAGTGCTAAGGAGAGGCAGGAGGTATCAAAGAAATGAGACATCAGAACCTTGTTAAATCCACCCACCACGTTGCTGATCTTCATGGAAGTCTACTTAAAACCACCTGTTTGGGTTGGAGCCAAATCTGTAGCAAGGTAATTAATCAGGGGCACATAGTATCATATGGGTCCTGGGGGCTCTATCTTATGCCTCCCTCCAAAACAGTGGTTTCCAATTTTTAAGTATATTTTTAATGACAAAATACTTCTCAGAGCTCCAGCTGATGGTAATAATGCTTTTAGCATTGTTGGATTGAGAAAATTCACAAAGAGAACTATTCTACATTCATTACACTGATAAGTGAGTGTGCACTACATTTATCATGCATTTGAAAATTCATACCTGTGTACTACACATTTGTTACTCAGCCTAGAGGCACAAATGGATTCCAGGGCCCGCTGTAGTCACCCTACAGCCCTGAGAAGACCACTGCCTTATAGACTGGAACTCCAGCGCAGGAGAAGGAGCAATGGAAACTTAGCAGTTATATTGTACCAGATTTTCTGCACATAATTAGAATTCTGCATCCACCACCAGCCCAGGCCCTAGAGCTGCACAAGCATCCCCAGGTGTCCTGTAGTGTCTAGAAAAGCTGTCTTTATTCCCACCTACATTGTTCTGAGACACTGACTCTTGAGAAATAAATGCAGTCTATTTGAATTAATTGAAATTCCTTCAGACAAAGGACCAAAGAAATGAAGGCTGTCTCTTTTCTTTCTATGGAATGACCTGAGCCTCCATCTCCAAGGCTAGGCCACATTGTCTCTCTCTCTCTCAATCTGGTACCAGCCTGCTGAACACCTCGCTGCCTCCACCAGTCTCTTCTCCTCCTGCAACAAAATGGACATTCTAAAATGCAAGTCTGATTGTACCACTGTCCCTGGGAAGAATCCAAACTCCTGAATGTAGAATAAAAGATGCTTCCTGAGTTGGCCTCTCCTCTCCTCGCTGTCTTCGGCTTAGCATACCCTGACTTGCGGCTTATGCTGTATCCTACCCAGCCACTTCCAGTTCCTTGCAAAAGCCTTTCCCTACGCCCCTTTCTCTGGCTATCTCTTATTCATTATTTATCCTCATCATGGCCAACTGCTGCCCCAGGGAGGAGCCTGCCCTGACCACCAGGGGTCTAGATTAGCTTTTCTTCTTGGATACTCCCATCGCACCTTATAATTCCCCAACCATAGTACTACTTAACCACACCATATTGTATTTGCTAATTTTTAGTGGATCTCAGAATATATCATACAACAAGAATAGAGGAAAACTTGATTCAAGTGAGCTGGCTCCCACGTGAGATGAATAAACTAACTATAATCCCCAAATAACATTTTTCTTCCTGGTTGGTTCTTTTGGATGATACCATGACAACAGCCAAGGCTACAAGACACATAAAGGCACTTTTCTTCAACATCCTTGACCCACCCCATTTCCCATCCTCACCACCATTTGTGCAGGCTATGACCTGGCCAATCCTTAGTGACTGAGGAATTGGAGCCATTCCACCTTCTTCTTAGGAAGAGATTGAAGGAATGCTCAGTAATATTTCTCCTTTATGGGCTTAGGACTGAGAGGCCTCCCATGAACTCCTAGAATTTGTCTGCTTCTGCAAAGAGGAAGAAAAGATATTTGAAGAACAATTCAGGTCTAGGATTTCCATGAAACAAAAAGGCAGAATGAATTTCTGCAATTGGTCCTTCCCAGGATCTTTCCTGATATTAAAAAGAAGCAGTTCTGTGGACAATCAAAATTATGCACAGGATAGAAAAGCATCTTCCTTTGGCAATCAAAAGACTTGAATACATTTATAATTTCCTCATTATATTTGGTTCATGGTGCTTCTGTAAGGTTTGCATGCTCTTTTCAAAACACAAGTTCTGAACCACCTAAGTAAATGTTCCGGATGACAAAACATATTCTTCCGTTTTTCAAAACAAAAATAAATCCATAGGATTTTTCCCTACAAAATAAAAATGTGTTCAGTATACATATTAAAAATAGTTATGCATAAAGAAGTAAATAAAATAAAATTTCAATACCTAAAAACGTCAGCATTGATTATTTTTAAAATTGCAAGCCAGACTGAGCTTCATTCAGTTCTTCCAGTCGTGCCCCACCTCAAGCCTTTCCACAGGCAGATCCCTTTGTCTAAAAGAATTTTATTCTCCCTCTAAAAACCTGCCTTCAACCTCTTTCCCTGGTTCCAGCTTAGACATTATTGTCATTATAATTATTACCTAATTAATGATGTCATATATAATTAGATGTGATACAATATAACACTGCAGCATAATACAATTGTAATCATTGTTGGATGTGATTTCCTTCAGAAGGACCCCCCTGACTTCCCAAGGCGGGTACTCACATGTGCTCTCATAGCACCCGTCACAGTACTTTCCCCCCTGTAATGCAATTGCTATTGATTCTTCTCTTTTTCTCACCATGGAGGCAGGGGAATATTCACTGCTGTAAGAAGTGCCCAGCACACATCTGTCTCTCTCTTTCTCTCTCTCTCTCTCTCTCTTCTCTCTGTCTCTCTCTCACTGAGGGACAACTCTGCATGCTGCTCTGTAAATTGTCTTGTTCTTTAATGACAGATAGTGGACATATTTCCATATTACTCAAGATAGAGCTATATTGTTATTTTAAATGACTGCCTTTCATTGCATGGAAATCATCATTTCTTTAACCAGCCTTATACTGCATGCTACTATGACATTTTATGAGACCAGATGATAATTTATTTTAGAACTCTGGGTACAACAGTAGTCACTGGGCTCTGAGTAAGACTCTAACGAACTCTGATACGAGGAAATTTAACTCAAGAATTCTCTTATGTCTTCCATCTGCTCAAAATGTCTTTTGTTGCTTACCTCCTGTGTCTTAGCTGCATTGTAATGGGTGTTGTTACCAGATTCATGACCTTCAGCGAAGTGACGCAGCATTGTTCTAAAACTAGTTAGTAGTTTCTGAGCATCTGTAAACTGGCATTTAGTGATGTCAGCCCTGGGGAAAGACGCCATCCTGAGACAAATACTTTGCCTAGAAGAGATCATGAAATAGATAACCCACACATTGACAAAGTAAAATCGACTTTATTTGTACATTACCAACAGTTCTCCAGGAATTCAGCACATTCCAGCCCTGGAGACAAAACTGTCCACATATTTCCTATCAAATTGGATTTACAGAGCTCTGATTGTAAACCCAGGACTATGTTAGGTACTATGGAGAAGATAAGTGATACTTTTCTGCTCTGGGAAAGTTTATAGTCTCTTTTCATGATAAGATGTTTACACCAAAAGCTCTGGACCCCCCAAATTCAATTCACAGCCCCACGGATGGACAAACACATTTGCATTGATCAAAGAACCTGATCCATGTTCTTATGAAAAAACAGAAAAGTCAGTATAATGGCTCTCTGAAAATAATTCAAGCACATAGAAGAAAAGGACTAATTTTGTTCAGAAAGGGGTCTTTCGAGCTACTGAACCAAGACATGAAGAAACTGGGCAAGGCTGTGGAACATCATTTTTCTCTCTAGATGTGAGTATTATCGCTTATTGCTGGGTCAGGATGCAGATACACAGCTAAGTAATGACTGGAGCTTTTGGGGCCATCAAACAGCATGATACTGATGCCAAATATTTACATATTTCCTGCCCCTGAGGTGCTCAGAAGCTCTTTAAAAATTTTTTTAAAGCTATAAACAAAAATCTCCCTAATGCATCAGTGCAAGTGGCAACTGGTATTTCCATCTTTGTGGTAGAGACAGTGGGAGTCCAACACATTTGGAAGCAAAAGCTGGACACAACCAACGTGCATGCATGTTTTGACCCAAAACCATTTCTTCCCTTGAACTCCACTCACATTTTCCATCCCTTCTTCTTAGTTGCCTGCTATGGCCAAGCACTCATAAAATCCTCCATATGTCCATTATACATCACAGTCTCCCGTGGAATTAGGTTAAGACCAGTTGACTGGTTCTAGTCAATGGATAATGAGCAGTTGTGAAGTGTGTCACTTCTGGGTTGAGGTAGTTCAAAAAAATGTGTCTACCATCACTCTCTCTCTCTGTTCTAGCAAGCTTGGAGGCCAACTGGTGAAATGGGAACCTACCAAGATGGCGGGACAAGGGAGCATGGATCCAAGTCACCAGATGGAGGACAGACTCCATCTAATCTGCATCAGACTTTGTAAGTAAGAAGTAAACTTTTGTTGTGCTAAGCCACTGAAATACTGGGGTTTGCTTGTCACCACAGCCCAGTCTATTCTATCCTGCCAGATACAATCCATCAGCCATTCCTATCCCCTCATTCCTTTCCGGTAAGGTCCCAATATTGTTCATGGTCCATTCTTTGCTTGACCACATGCTCAAAGTGACTGCCTCTCCAATCATAGAAGGGTGAGTCATGAATTGATCTCAGCCAGCCACAGTGGTTTGATTTGCTTTGCCAGATTTTAGTTTAGGCTTGAACTTGTGATACAATTCTGGACTAAGGGTTATAAGATAAATCTCCTGAAGAACTTCTTGGAAAGGCTTTATTCACTCTTACAAAGAAAAATACGTGGAAATGTTATCTTTTTTCCATCTCTAGATTCAACTGATGAGGAAGTGATGCTTGGTACTACTGCAGCCATCTTGTGACCGTGAGGCTGAGGACCAAAGCTAACACCATGAAGATGGCAGAGAAGAGATGTGAAAAGAACATAATCTTTTAAGATAGTTCACCCATATATTAACTAACTATGGAACCACCCTGCCTTTTTTATTGTTTGAGATGTGAAAAGTACCTGCCACTCAGGTCAGCCATTCTCAACCTGCCTGCACATTAGGAAAAGCTGGGGAATATTTGAAACATACCAATGCCCCAGTTCTACTCCCAGAGATTCTAGTTTAGTCAGACTGCTGTGGAGACCAGACCTCACTTTTTATAAGTTCCCAGATGATTCTGCTCTGCAGTCAGAATGGCAGACCACTGCAAGAGTATAAGCTTCCTGAGGATAGGAACTATGCCTATTTAATATTTGATGTCCCTGTAAGTGCCAGACATAGGGCTTAGTGTGCAAACAGGCTCTTCCTTAATTTCCGAATAACTCTCTAAGCAGATAACGTGGGCTCATCTCTCTGGGGTAAATTTCCTTACAGAGCAAAAGCTGTGCTGTATCTTGGAAGGAAATGAGTTGTGACTGGTAGCAGGAGCCCATGAAGCAGGGTCCCAGCAGCCCTCTTCTAGATATCCATGGGTCTTCTGATGCTCAGTGTCTCCCCAACCCCTTCACTACCTGACACATACCTCTCTTCTCTGTGGTTCCAGTGTCCAAGCCCTCAGTCCTTCCCAGACCCTGGGAAGTTTTAAAGGCTGAGTCTGGAAAGATGCTTTTCTGTGTCTGGGTCTGCTGAAGCCTGATAGAGAAAGATCGGCCAATACTGCCCCATCTACCATAGAATAAACACCAATCTGATTTCCTTTGCTTTGAGGCCTCCAATTCCATGAAATAAATTATTGCTTTACTTGATGTTGAAAGCTCAGATTCTGTACAGCAATTGAAAGCAGAGTCTGGCTGGAGAGAGCAAACAGCCTGGATAGGGAGCCCCTCTCTATCTCTACCCCTGTGGCTTAGGAGTCTCCCACCTCTGGGAACTGGTGTGGACTTCCCTCCAAAGATAAGATCTGCCTCTTTACCTCTTCATATTTCCCTAGAACTGGGAGAAAAATCTCTGACTTCTACCCACCTAGCCATATTTCCTTTCTCTCATAGAGCAGCACAGTTTCAGGCTAAAGTGCACTACAGCTACATACCAGTTACCAGCACACTCCAAAATGAGCTCAGACCAAGCCTTACTGCAAATCTGTCCTGAAGTATAAACACTGATATCTATAACCACTTACTGTGCACAAGGAACCAGGCCAAGAGCTTCACAAGCGTGGCTCTGAGCAAATACGATTATATCTATTTATGGTGGAAGGAATAGGCACAGAAAGGTTAAGCAATGTGTCCATGATCATATCACTCACGGATGAGTGAGCTATTGCTGAGTTACAAAACTCCCCAAAACCTCTTGAAAATTCAAGCTAGGATCACCTATGCACTTTTTCTTGGCTTGGTGGGGCTCCTTCTCTTTTTGCCATCAACTGCAGGTTGGCAAGGCATCTCCAATTCTGGATGCTGGCTCCTGTTGGCTGAAGTGCCCCCATTCACCTGCCCATGGTCTTTTATGCTCCAGCTGGCTAGCTCTGGCCTGTTCCCAAGGCAGAACCAGCATTCTGAAAGAAGGCAGAAGTATATAAGAACCCTTAAGGGCGAGCCTTGGAATTGGCATGATATCACCTTGTCTGCATTCTGTTGAATAGAGCATGTCACAAGGCTAGCCCAGATTCATAGGCTGGAGAAATAGACTCTATTCCTTAGTGGGAGGAGCAAAGACACTTTGCAAAGAATAGAGATTTGGGGAAGCTATTAATCAACCAGAGCTAGTAAGTGATGGAACCGGATTGGAACCCAAGCAGTATAGATTTGGACCCTGTGCTCTAACACTGCACATTCATGTAGCTTTTCACACTCCCAGCTATTAAGATTCTATGCTTCTGGTTTGAGCTCCCCAAGTATTTCCCTCCAAGTTAAAATTCCTATGTATTATGCAAACACATGTTCAATGCCACATCAACAGACAATAATTGACACCTGAGTCAGCCATGCCAAAAACCAAAGCTAAAAGAAGGAGGAAATATCTAAATCTTGTTAAAACCAATCTCCATATCTCAACACCACCTGTATTAGTCTGTTTTCGTGCTGTTGATAAAGATGTACCCGAGACTGGGCAATTTACAAAAGAAAGAAGTTTAATGGACTTACAGTTCCACTTGCCTGGGGAGGCCCCACAATCATAGTAGAAGGTGAAAGGCATATTTCATATGGTGGCAGACAAGAAAAAAGAAGAGAGCAGGGAGCTTGTGCAGGGAAACTCCCCTTTTTAAAACCACCAGATCTTGTGAGACTTATTCACTATCATGAGAATAGCACTGGAAAGTCCTGTCCCCATGATTCAATTACCTCCCACTGTGTCCCTTCCACAATACATGGGAATTCAAGATGAGATTTGGGTGGGGACACAGCCAAACCATATCATTCCACCCCTGGCCCCTCCCAAATCTCATGTTCTCACATTTCAAAACCAATCATGCCTTCCCAACAGTCCCCCAAAGTCTTAACTTATTTAAGCATTAACTCAAAAGTCCACAGTCCAAAATCTCATCTGAGATAAGGAAGGTCCCTTCTGCCTATAAGCCTGTAAAATTAAAAGCAAGTTTGTTACTTCCTAGGTACAATGGGAATACAGGCATTTGGTAAATACACCATTCTAAATGGGAAAAATTGGCCAAAACAAAGGGGCTACAGGCCCCATGTAAGTCCAAAAGCCAGCAAGGCAGTCAAATCTCAAAGCTCCAAAATGATCTCCTTTGACTCCATGTCTCACATCCAGGTCACATTGATGCAAGAGGTGGGTTCCCATGGCCTTGGGCAGCTCTGCCCCTGTGGCTTTGCAGGGTATAGTCTCCCACATGGCTCCTTTTATGGGCTGGCATTGAGTCTCTGCAGCTTTTCCGTGCACACAGTGCAAGCCGTCAGTGGATCTACCATTCTGGGGACTGGAGAACAGTGGCCCTCTTCTCACAGCTCCACAAGGTAGTGCCCCAGTAGAGACTCTGTGTGGGAGCTCCCACCCCACATTTCCCTTCCACATTGCCCTAGCAGAGGTTCTCCATGAAGGCCCCACCCCTGCAGCAAACTTCTGCCTGGGCATCCAGACATTTCCATACATCCTCTGAAATCTAAGCAGAGGTTCCCAAACCTCAATTCTTGTCTTCTGCATACCTGCAGGCTCAACACCACGTGGAAGCTGCCAAGTCTTGGGGCTTCCACCCTCTGAAGGAGCAGCCTGAGCTGCATCTTGTCCTCTTTTAGTCACAGCTGGAGCAGCTGGGACATGGGGCACCAAGTCCCTAGACTGCACACAGCAGAGCGACCCTGGGCCCAGGCCACAAATCCATCTTTTCCTTCTAAACCTCTGGGCCTGTGTAGGGAGGGGCTGCCACAAAGGTCTCTGACGTGCCCTGGAGACATTTTCCCCACTGTCATGGTGATTAACATTCAGCTCCTCTTTACTTATGCAAACTTCTGTAGCTGGCTTGAATTTATCCTCAGAAAATGGGATTTTCTTTTCTATCACCTTGTCAGACTGCAAATTTTCCAAACTTTTATGCTGTTTCCCTTTTAAACCTGAATGCTTTTAACAGCACCCAAGTCACCTCTTGAATGCTTTGCTGCTTAGTAATTCCTTCTGCCAGGTACTCTAAATCATCTCTCTCAAGTTCAAAGTTCCACGAATCTCTAGGGCAGGGGCAAAATGCCACCAGTCTCTTTACTAAAACATAACAAGAGTCACCTTTGCTCCAGTTCCCAACAAGTTCCTCATCTCTATCTTAGACCACCTCAGCCTGGACTTTATTGTCCATATCGCTATCAACATTTTGATCAAAGCCACTCAATAAGTCTCTAGGAAGTTCCAAACGTTCCCACATTTTCCTGCCTTCTTTAGAGCCCTCCAAACTATTCCAACCTCTGCCTATTACCCAGTTCCAAAGTCACTTCCACATTTTTGGATATGTTTTCAGCAGCGCCCCATTCTACTGGTATCAATTTACTGTATTAGTCCATTTTCATGCTGCTGATAAAGACATACACAAGCCTGGGCAATTTAAAAAAGAAAGAGGTTTAATGGACTTACAGTTCTATGTGGCTAGGGAGGCCCCACAATCATGGTGGAAGGTGAAAGGCACATCTCACATGGCAGCAGACAAGAGAAGAGAGTTGTCCATGGGAATTCCATTTTTTAAAACTATCAGATCTCATGAGACTTATTCACCATCACAAGAACAGCATGGGAAAGACCTGCCCTCATGATTCAGTTACCTCTCACCAGGCCCCTCTCACAACATGTGGGAATTTAAGATGAGATTTGGGTGGGGACACAGCCAAACCATATACCCATCCAACTAAATATTGTCCTTGCTGAAATCTCAAGCACTGACAATATCATAAACAAAGCCCACAGGATTATGTTTTGTGGTACAATCAAAGGGTAAGAAGTAAAGTGCCAATTTACATAAAACATCAAGAAGAAATCTTTGAATGGTGAAGACTTTTTAGAGTAGTTACTTTCCTTTTAGAGAGTTGAGAGTTCAGCCAGAATGAAGGACCAAGTCCCTGGACTGACAGCTCAGAACTCAGACTATAATTTCCAAGAGAGCTTTCACCCAAAACTCCATCTTATAAAGACTGCTTGATGTCCTTGAACTCCCAGTACAAGCATATTTCATTTTTTTCAAATTACCTCCAAACAATTACATTTGTATTGCACTCATATCCTGTAATCCAAATCCCATTCTTCCAAATTGCCTGCAATATGAAACATGACTAACTCCTTCCTTGCAAGAATATTTTTTCTGACACGTGTGGTGACATCTTTTAAATAGATTCTTACAAACTGAACTTGCTACACAGTATGTAAGTACTACTTGGAATGTGTGAAGAAATCTTCACTGCATAAACCCAAGAGTTCACCAAGAACATAAGCTCCCGCCCTACCCCCACCTCTCTCCTCTTTGGGACATATTGAAGTTCCTGGGAAAAGTGGGGCACCCCCAGAGCACCTGTGTACCCCTGTACCCACCTGTCCTGAGTGGTCCAAATGCCAGTGAAATGCTATTTGGTGAGTGTTTCCTAGACTTTGCAAAATTTTCAAAGTAGAGGGAAATTTTGCCTGTAGCAACATATCTTACTTACCTTTCTCACCCCTTCCTTCTATTTTCCCCACATAAAAATATTAAGACAATGTTGGAAGTATTTCATTGAGAGAGAGGGAGAGCAAGAGAGATATTTAGAATGAGGATCCCTCTTGGTAGCTGATATGGTACATGAAAACAGACTAATACAGTAGCCAAAAGAATTCAAACGAATTGATAATAAAGGATTGGAGTTCTCTGGTGTGCAGGCACTATCCCCAGTGTAAATATTCTCTTCAGTTCTTCCCTACATCAAGCAGGCCACCTGTCTTTAGTTCCCTAAACTTACCACTCATTTCTTCCCCACACTCAATAATCCATAACCCTCATACAGAGTACTGGCCAATCCCACAGCCTTAATGAATTCTCCCTCACTCTCCACCACCAACACACATACCAAACCCTGACTAGAATAGAGCTCAACACATAATTTCTTACTGATGCTAATTGGGTTAACAGCTCAAGGTCTGACTGTGGGTCTCTGGGTAGTGCCCATGGCTCAGGTCAGTGTCTCCCAAACCTAGAGAACCATCAGGATTTCTGAGTGAGCCCCTTGCAATTTCAGATTCCCATCCTGTCCCATCAGAATCTCCACAGGTGAGGGATGGACATCTCTGCTTTTAAAAGGCTATTCTTATCATTTTGATGATTGGCCAAGTTTGGTAATTAGTAACCAGAAAATCTTTGAGGAACCAGACATTACCAAAAAGAAACAGACTTGAGAGAGCTTTGGGGCTCACAGGAAAACACTCTTATCATGCACCTACTACTGCCTGCAGATTTCATTCTGAGGACTTTGGTGGCCCATGAAACCAAATCATTTTCAATAGCCACCAACCTTATAGAAAAAAGCCCTTCAGATAGAACTTAACATATTCAAACTTTTTTCATTTTTTTAAGAATTAGTCTATGATGAACAATTACTAAGCTTATTGTCTCCCAGCAGTTCAGGATAACAGATAAGGTCAGTGGAATTGTTAGTGGTGGAAGAGATTCGAGCTACCCCAAGTTACTGGTGGCAAATTCATACATGTCTGCAGCAAATTTAGTCCTAGCCTCCTCAGAAGAAAGAATTAGACTGAGGGGCATACAGCAGAAAAGAGACCAAGGCAAGTTCCAGGACAGGAGTGGAAGTTTATTAAAAAAGCTTTGGTGGGGGAGGAGCCAAGATGGCCGAATAGGAAGAGCTCCGGTCTACAGC
Source organism: Homo sapiens (assembly GCF_000001405.40). NCBI lineage: Eukaryota > Metazoa > Chordata > Mammalia > Primates > Hominidae > Homo > Homo sapiens. The sequence continues at coordinate 112,103,973 of NC_000010.11, forward strand.
TCCCAGTGTGAGCGACGCAGAAGATGGGTGATTTCTGCATTTCCACCTGAGGTACTGGGTTCATCTCACTAGGTAGTGCCAGACAGTGGGCGCAGGTCAGTGGGTGCGTGCACCGTGCACGAGCCAAAGAAGGGCAAGGCATTGCCTCACTCGGGAAGTGCAAGGGGTCAGGGAGTTCCCTTCCCTAGTCAAAGAGAGTGGTGACAGACAGCACCTGGAAAATCGGGTCACTCCCACCTGAATACTGCACTTTTCTGACGGGCTAAAAAACGGCGCACCAGGAGATTATATCCCGCACATGGCTCGGAGGGTCCTACGCCCACGGAGTCTCACTGATTGCTAGCACAGCAGTCTGAGATCAAACTGCAAGGCGGCAGCGAGGCTGGGGGAGGGGCGCCCGCCATTGCCCAGGCTTGCTTAGGTAAACAAAGCAGCCAGGAAGCTCGAACTGGGTGGAGCCCACCACAGCTCAAGGAGGCCTGCCTGCCTCTGTAGGCTCCAGCTCTGAGGGCAGGGCACAGACAAACAAAAAGATAGCAGTAACCTCTGCAGACTTAAATGTCCCTGTCTGACAGCTTTGAAGAGAGGAGTGGTTCTCCCAGCACGCGGCTGGAGATCTGAGAACGGGCAGACTGCCTCCTAGAGTGGGTCCCTGACCCCTGACCCCCAAGCAGCCTAACTGGGAGGCACCCCCCAGCAGGGGCAGACTGACACCTCACATGGCTGGGTACTCCAACAGACCTGCAGCTGAGGGTCCTCTCTGTTAGAAGGAAAACTAACAAACAGAAAAGACATCCACACCAAAAACCAATCTGTACATCACCATCATCAAAAACCAAAAGTAGATAAAACCACAAAGATGGGGAAAAAACAGAGCAGAAAAACTGGAAACTCTAAAAAGCAGAGTGCCTCTCCTCCTCCAAAGGAACGCAGTTCCTCACCAGCAACGGAACAAAGCTGGACGGAGAATGACTTTGACGAGCTGAGAGAAGAAGGCTTCAGACGATCAAATTACTCCGAGCTACGGGAGGACATTCAAACCAAAGGCAAAGAAGTTGAAAACTTTGAAAAAAATTTAGAAGAATGTATAACTAGAATAACCAATACAGAGAAGTGCCTAAAGGAGCTGATGGAGCTGAAAACCAAGGCTCGAGAACGTCGTGAAAAATGCAGAAGCCTCAGGAGCCGATGCGATCAACTGGAAGAAAGGGTATCAGCGATGGAAGACGAAATGAATGAAATGAAGCGAGAAGGGAAGTTTAGAGAAAAAAGAATAAAAAGAAACGAACGAAGCCTCCAAGAAATATAGGACTAAGTGAAAAGACCAAATCTACGTCTGATTGGTGTACCTGAAAGTGACGGGGAGAATGGAACCAAGTTGGAAAACACTCTGCAGGATACTATCCAGGAGAACTTCCCCAATCTAGCAAGGCAGGCCAACATTCAGATTCAGGAAATACAGAGAACGCCACAAAGATACTCCTCGAGAAGAGCAACTCCAAGACACATAATTGTCAGATTCACCAAAGTTGAAATGAAGGAAAAAATGTTAAGGGCAGCCAGAGAGAAAGGTCGGGTTACCCTCAAAGGGTAGCCCATCAGACTAACAGCAGATCTCTCGGCAGAAACTCTACAAGCCGGAAGAGACTGGGGGCCAATATTAAACATTCTTAAAGAAAAGCATTTTCAACCCAGAATTTCATATCCAGCCAAACTAAGCTTCATAAGTGAAGGAGAAATAAAATACTTTACAGACAAGCAAATGCTGAGAGATTTTGTCACCACCAGGCCTGCCCTAAAAGAGCTCCTGAAGGAAGCGCTAAACACGGAAAGGAACAACCGGTACCAGCCGCTGCAACATCATGCCAAAATGTAAAGACCATCGAGACTAGGAAGAAACTGCATCAACTAACAAGCAAAATAACCAGCTAACATCATAATGACAGGATCAAATTCACATATAACATATTAACTTTAAATGTAATGGACTAAATGCTCCAGTTAAAAGACACAGACTGGCAAATTGGATAGCGTCAAGACCCATCAGTGTGCTGTATTCAGGAAACCCGTCTCACGTGCAGACACACATATAGGCTCAAAATAAAAGGATGGAGGAAGATCTACCAAGCAAATGGAAAACAAAAAAAGGCAGGGGTTGCAATCCTAGTCTCTGATAAAACAGACTTTAAACCAACAAAGATCAAAAGAGACAAAGAAGGCCATTGCATAATGGTAAAGGGATCAATTCAACAAGAAGAGCTAACTATCCTAAATATATATGCACCCAATACAGGAGCACTCAGATTCATAAAGCAAGTCCTGAGTGACCTACAAAGAGACTTAGACTCCCACACATTAATAATGGGAGACTTTAACACCCCACTGTCAACATTAGACAGATCAACGAGACAGAAAGTCAACAAGGATACCCAGGAATTGAACTCAGCTCTGCACCAAGCGGACCTAATAGACATCTACAGAACTCTCCACCCCAAATCAACAGAACATACATTTTTTTCAGCACCACACCACACCTATTCCAAAATTGACCACATACTTGGAAGTAAAGCTCTCCTCAGCAAATGTAAAAGAACAGAGATTATAACAAACTGTCTCTCAGACCACAGTGCAATCAAACTAGAACTCAGGATTAAGAATCTCACTCAAAATCGCTCAACTACATGGAAACTGAACAACCTGCTCCTGAATGACTACTGGGTACATAACGAAATGAAGGCAGAAATAAAGATGTTCTTTGAAACCAATGAGAACAAAGACACAACATACCAGAATCTCTGGGACACATTCAAAGCAGTGTGTAGAGGGAAATTTATAGCACTAAATGCCCACAAGAGAAAGCAGGAAAGATCCAAAATTGACACCCTAACATCACAATTAAAAGAACTAGAAAAGGAAGAGCAAACACATTCAAAAGCTAGCAGAAGGCAAGAAATAACTAAAATCAGAGCAGAACTGAAGGAAATAGAGACACAAAAAACCCTTCAAAAAATTAATGAATCCAGGAGCTGGTTTTTTGAAAGGATCAACAAAATTGATAGACCGCTAGCAAGACTAATAAAGAAAAAAAGAGAGAAGAATCAAATAGACGCAATAAAAAATGATAAAGGGGATATCACCACCGATCCCACAGAAATACAAACTACCATCAGAGAATACTACAAACACCTCTACGCAAATAAACTAGAAAATCTAGAAGAAATGGATAAATTCCCCAACACATACACCTTCCCAAGACTAAACCAGGAAGAAGTTGAATCTCTGAATAGACCAACAACAGGCTCTGAAATTGTGGCAATAAACAATAGCTTACCAACCAAAAAGAGTCCAGGACCAGATGGATTCACAGCCGAATTCTACCAGAGGTACAAGGAGGAGCTGGTACCATTCCTTCTGAAACTATTCCAATCAATAGAAAAACAGGAAATCCTCCCCAACTCATTTTATGAGGCCAGCATCATCCTGATACCAAAGCCTGGCAGAGACACAACCAAAAAAGAGAATTTTAGACCAATATCCTTGATGAACATTGATGCAAAAATCCTCAATAAAATACTGGCAAACCAAATCCAGCAACACATCAAAAAGCTTATCCACCATGATCAAGTGGGCTTCATCCCTGGGATGCAAGGCTGGTTCAATATACGCAAATCAATAAATGTAATCCAGCATATAAACAGAACCAATGACAAATACCACATGATTATCTCAATAGATGCAGAAAAGGCATTTGACAAAATTCAACAACCCTTCATGCTAAAAACTCTCAATAAATTAAGTATTGATGGGACGTATCTCAAAATAATAAGAGCTATCTATGACAAACCCACAGCCGACATCATACTGAATGGGCAAAAACTGGAAGCATTCCCTTTGAAAACTGGCACAAGACAGGGATGCCCTCTCTCACCACTCCTATTCAACATAGTGTTGGAAGTTCTGGCCAGGGCTATTAGGCAGGAAAAGGAAATAAAGGGTATTCAATTAGGAAAAGAGGAAGTCAAATTGTCCCTGTTTGCAGACGACATGATTGTATATCTAGAAAAGCCCATTGTCTCAGCCCAAAATCTCCTTAAGCTGATAAGCAACTTCAGCAAAGTCTCAGGATACAAAATCAATGTGCAAAAATCGCAAGCATTCCTATACACCAATAACAGACAAACAGAGAGCCAAATCATGAGTGAACTCCCATTCACAATTGCTTCAAAGAGAATAAAATACCTAGGAATCCAATTTACAAGGGATGTGAAGGACCTCTTCAAGGAGAACTACAAACCACTGCTCAAGGAAATAAAAGAGGATACAAACAAATGGAAGAACATTCCATGCTCATGGGTAGGAAGAATCAATATCGTGAAAATGGCCATACTGCCCAAGGTAATTTACAGATTCAATGCCATCCCCAGCAAGCTACCAATGACTTTCTTCACAGAATTGGAAAAAACTACTTTGAAGTTCATATGGAATAAAAAAAGAGCCCACATCGCCAAGTCAATCCTAAGCCAAAAGAACAAAGCTGGAGGCATCACACTACCTGACTTCAAACTATACTACAAGGCTACAGTAACCAAAACAGCATGGTACTGGTACCAAAACAGAGATATAGATCAATGGAACAGAACAGAGCCCTCAGAAATAATGCCGCATATCTACAACTATCTGATCTTTGACAAACCTGAGAAAAACAAGCAATGGGGAAAGGATTCCCTATTTAATAAATGGTGCTGGGAAAACTGGCTAGCCATATGTAGAAAGCTGAAACTGGATCCCTTCCTTACACCTTATACAAAAATCAATTCAAGATGGATTAAAGACTTAAACGTTACACCTAAAACCATAAAAACCCTAGAAGAAAACCTAGGCAGTCCCATTCAGGACATAGTCATGGGCAAGGACTTCATGTCTAAAACACAAAAAGCAATGGCAACAAAAGCCAAAATTGACAAATGGGATCTAATTAAACTAAAGAGCTTCTGCACAGCAAAAGAAACTACCATCAGAGTGAACAGGCAACCTACAAAATGGGAGAAAATTTTCGCAACCTACTCATCTGACAAAGGGCTAATATCCAGAATCTACAATGAACTCAAACAAATTTACAAGAAAAAAACAAACAACCCCATCAAAAAGTGGGCAAAGGACATGAACAGACACTTCTCAAAAGAAGACATTTATGCAGCCAAAAAACACATGAAAAAATGAAAAAATGCTCACCATCACTGGCCATCAGAGAAATGCAAATCAAAACCACAATGAGATACCATCTCACACCAGTTAGAATGGCAATCATTAAAAAGTCAGGAAACAACAGGTGCTGGAGAGGATGTGGAGAAATAGGAACACTTTTACACTGTTGGTGGGACTGTAAACTAGTTCAACCATTGTGGAAGGCAGTGTGGCGATTCCTCAGGGATCTAGAACTAGAAATACCATTTGACCCAGCCATCCCATTACTGGGTATATACCCAAAGGACTATAAATCATGCTGCTGTAAAGACACATGCACACATATGTTTATTGCAGCATTATTCACAATAACAAAGACTTGGAACCAACCCAAATGTCCAACAATGATAGACTGGATTAAGAAAATGTGGCACATATACACCATGGAATACTATGCAGCCATAAAAATTGATGAGTTCATGTCCTTTGTAGGGACATGGATGAAATTGGAAATCATCATTCTCAGTAAACTAATGCAAGAACAAAAAACCAAACACCGCATATTCTCACTCACAGGTGGGAATTGAACAATGAGAACACATGGACACAGGAAGGGGAACATCAGACTCTGGGGAATGTTGTGGGGTGGGGGGAGGGGGGAGGGATAGCATTGGGAGATATACCTAATGCTAGATGACGAGTTAGTGGGTGCAGCGCACCAGCATGGCACATGTATACATATGTAACTAACCTGCACATTGTGCACATGTACCCTAAAACTTAAAGTATAATAATAATAAATAAATAAATAAATAAATAAATAAATAAATAAAAAGCTTCAGTACAGGAAAGAAAGGAGAGACTCAAGTGGGCACCTGAAGGTTAAAGAGAGAAAGGTCAAGTGGCCTGTTTAACCATGATCTTAGGACTTTTATATTATAGACTTGCCTCTTTTCCATGATTCTTCCTTTAGGGTGGGCTTTCTGCATGTGCAGTGCCCTCCTTACCTTTGGGAAGTGAGCATGGACAGTGTGTTTAGGAAATTGTACCCATGCCCATCTGAGGCTTTCTTCCTTTTTCCAGTGGAGTGTATCCAGAAGATCACACTTTGCCAATTTCGTTTCTCAATGTGTATGCCCAGTGATGTGGTTTGGCTGTGTCCCCACCCAAATCTCAACTTGAATTGTATCTCCCAGAATTCCCATGTGTTGTGGGAGGGACCCAAGGGGAAGTAATTGAATCATGGGAGCCAGTCTTTCCATGCTATTCCCGTGATAGTGAACAAGTCTCACGAGACCTAATGCGTTTATTGGGGGTTTCCACTTTTGCTTCTTCCTCATTTTCTCTTGCTGTCACCATGTAAGAAGCACTTTTCTCCTCCCGCCATGATTCTGAGGCCTCCCCAGCCATGTGGAACTGTAAGTCCCATTAAACCTCCTTTTCTTCCTAGTCTTGTGTATGTCTTTATCAGCAGCATGGAAATGGACTAATACACCCAGGAAGTTTCTTCTCCCTGGGGCTGCTTTTAATTAACATTTCAATGTTAACAGGTGTGGACCATCTGGAAATGGCCTCTCCCTGGCTCCAGCTGCCAGTTTATTACTTTTAGAGAAGCAATGCAATAATTGCCAAACCATCACCCGACATTTCTGGTGGGCGGGGGTAAGAGTCCTCTCCTGCCCTGCTCTCACCTAACTACCTGTTAGTTGGGTTAACAGCTCAAGGTCTGACTGTGGGTCTCTGGGTAGTGCCCACGGCTCAGGTCAGTGTCTCCCAAACCTAGAGAACCATCAGTATTTCTGAGTGAGCCCCCTACAATACCTGTAACAGAATCTGACCACCAAAGTGCAAGCCATGAAAGATACTCATAATAACTTCTCATCTGGGTCCCTCTCCTTAGGTTGCCTGTAATAATCAAGGTCATTTTTGACTCCAAAGAACACTTGGCAAGGCCTGCAGACATTTCTGCTACAACTAGGGAAGGGGATTCTACTGGTACATAATGGGTAGAAGTCAAGGATGCTGCTCAACATCCTCCAATACACAGGGCAGCCCACTCTCACAACAAATCATCGAACCCCAAAAATGTCAATAGTGCCAAAGTGGAGAAACCCTAGCTTAGAATAATACTCTGCAGTGTTCAATTGGCAATTCATAAACTTGATTTAGGTCTAACTCAATGAAAATCCTCTTCTATTTTGATGGTGGAGTAATCACCATGACAGATTTGGAATATGGCAAATCTTTTAATTATTTACTTAATGGTTGTCTTAAATGACAACTATATGCAAGCATCATACTGGGAAGAGGGCTTTGGAGTGAAGAAAGCATGGTCCCTGCCCTCATGGAGCTCACAGGGTTGAGAGAATTGTTGGAGAGATGGGCACTAGGCAAAGAATCACCCAACTCAGGGTGAAGTGGCAACTGTAAGCACTATAAGGAAGTGGAAGAGTGATTAATGGTGAAATTTCACCTAGTCAAGGGGTCAGGAGAGGCTTCCTTGAGGAAGCCATGATTGGGCAAAGTTCTGAGGGATGCATAGAAATTCTCTAGGGAAACAGACCTTTCCAAACAAAAGGAAGCAGCACATACAACGGTCACAGAAAGGAGTATAATACATACAAGAGGCTGAGACGCATACAAGGAAAATGAAGGTGGCACCAGAAGAGGCTTGGTTTAGAAGACAATAAAGGGGTTGGTCTTTATCTTAATAGCAATGGGAAATCATTCACAGTCTTTTAAACTGGAGCTGGAGAGTTATGAATAATTTAGGTATCTCCTAGTCCATTGACTCTCACCCCTGATTGTACATGGGAATAGACGGGGGAGCTGTTTAAACATGCACATGTTTAGGCCCCATTTCAAATAAGTCAGAATATCTAGGGGTGTTATCCAAGCATGGGTAACTTTTAAAAGGTTGTCCTAAACCATCCCAAACCCCCAATTCACATATATTTCTATAATCTATAATTTAGTCCATAAAATATAGTTGAGGAAGAGTAAAGATTAAGACAGTAGTTACCCAGATGCAACCAGAAGCTTCTATTGATGGAGAAGTGATTCTATGCTAAGGGTTGAATAAGTCAGGCACGTTCATTAGCAAGGACCTCTCTCTAGCATAGCAGCCTGTGCTACATACAATTCTAATTCTTGTTTTTGCAAAACTACAAATAATTTTAGGACCTCTGGAAAATAGTCAACTCCATGAGTTTGAAAATCTGCACATGCCAAGGATCTACTGTATTTAGAAGATGGAAATGCTGTGGCAGAAATCAGAATTAAATAATATAGCAAAGCAACGGTAAAAATGGGAAAAAGAAAAATTGAACCAAACAGCAATTGCTATCTCTCTCAGGTTATGCAAAGAAATGTTAGGTTTTTAAGTAGTTTCAAGGGGAATAGATACGGAATTTATCTCTGAAGTTTGTGGTTTCAATGTTGCCTAGAATTACAAATAATTTATAAAGTTATGTGAGATACCTTAGTGCAGTATTCTCAAGCAAAGGGACACTGTCTTCTGCTGACTTACCCCATTAGGATACAGAATAGGCGATTAAACCAAAATGAACATGACACAGAGATAATTGCATATCATAATAAAACCTATACTAAGCACCACTAACAATAAAAAAAGACCCAGATTTTAAACCAATAAAGGCAGGCACAGAAGTGGGAAGTATTTCAACACAACTTATTATGCCAAACAGTATGGATAACTCAATAAAGCAAAACTAGCTGCATGTCATCAGCTTTATATCAGCAGATGATTTATTTGCTTCAGTTCACCAAACACAACAAAACACTGCTCATTAGAGACACCTCAGAAATACAGCACATCTCAGTAGGATTCATAACTGTGGCTCAGTCAAGGCTCACTGGAAACATTGAGAGACAACCGGTAATTCCTTTGGTGTTTTTTAATACAAGGGAGGTGGGGAAGAGGCAAAGAAAGGGAAGAAAAAAGCATCTGGCTTCTTGGACCAAAAGTAGTCAGTTGGGCCCAAGTACCTCTAACTTTGAACATAAAAGACCAAAGTAGACTGTGACTCTTTCCAGAAACTTCCATTTGGGGATAAACTCATAGTTCTCTGCTGAGCTTGCATTCTGTGACTCTACAACACCAGATATCTAAGATTAAGGAAACAGGGCAAAAACACAGATAATGGTGGTACTAAGAAATTGAGGATATTGTGACCCAAAGAGAGACTGATTTTTTTTTCTTAATTCCAATTATTTGTCAGCTCAAACAGCTTTTAGTAATTCACTGATCTATACTCACACATAAGCCAAACACCTCCGGTGCAATAAATGTCGTTCAAATGAGATACGCCTGAGAGTTAGAGAGGGTCAAATCACTACTAGGTCACAAGTTATGATACACAAGCTAAATACTAAATTTTCTCCGGGCAAAGGAAAAGCATAGTCAATATTTCATAAGGATTGCAGCTGGGTGTGGTGGCTCATGCCTGTAATCCCAGCACTTTGGGAGGCCGAGGTGGGTAGATCATTTGAAGTCAGGAGTTCAAGACCAGCCTAGCCAACATGGTGAAACCCCATCTTTTCTAAAAATACAAAAAATAGCCAGGAGGTAGTGGTGCACACCTGTAATCCCAGCTACTAGGGAGGCTGAGGCAGGAGAATTGCTTGAGCCTGGGAGGCGGAGATTGCAGTGAGCTGAGATATAGCCACTGCACTCCAGTCTGGGTGACAGAGTGAGACTCTGTCTCAAAAAAGAAAAAAAAGGAAAAAAGAAGTATTTCATAATGATTGCTTCTTTATTTTTTTTTACCAGTCTATCAATTAATAGTGAGTGCTACAGAAGCCATTTTGGATTTCTATGATGAAATGTGACTTGAAGCATTAATCAGGAAAATTCCATTTAATTAAGGCTTTCTGCAAGATGTGCAGCATTTGCATACTTTACCTTTAACACATACTCCTCCAAACTTGAAGATAGATGTAGATGACATTTACAGAAGGTATATGCTATAGTTTCCAGACAACGAAGCATTTTATCTTTTTCAAATTTACAGCTCCATCCAAAAATGAAGAGATGGTGGGGTCATTTTGTTTATATTTTATTTGCAGCTAAATGAAACAGGTAACTGGTAACATTCCTGGAAGGGGGCCCATTTTCAACCCAACAGGCCAATCTCCATTATATTTAGAAAAGTTTGTCCAACGAACAAGAAGGACCACCCTAACCAACAGCCAATTAAATAAAAACCTTTTAATAAAACAACAGCCTACACACTCTATATATGCTTCTGAACAATTAATTTAATTTTTAAAAGGTTTGGCTTTTTAAATTTTATAATTTTATTATTTGAGACGTTTTTCTCTAAGTTAGAAAACACAAGATTTCTTCCAGCATGTCATCCCGAGGAATTGGGAATTCAGGGTAGACAGGACTCACTGTGCTTTCATCTTCCTTTATACTGATGGCTAGATCACTGCTTTGAAGATCTACTCCTAATTATACCATCAATGGGCTGTAGCTTAATTGTTTCCTGAGATTCACAGAGACACAGTAGGAAGCTGTGAAATGATTAACAGTCTACTATTTGCTGAGCACTATTCTAGGAACTGAGGAAACAAACATCAACCTGTCTTCCTCAGGCTTAATCTAGCTGTGGATGTGGAAACAGAAATAAGGACACACCAAGGTGTTACCTTCCTAGGGTGGAAACTTGCTCAGACTATCTCTGGGGTTCAAATCAGAGTAAACATTTGCTGAGGGTTTCCCATGCACCAAGCACTTTACAGGATTATTTCATTTAATCCTGAGGTGAACTCTATGACCAAGGCACTGTAACCTTCACCTTTCAAAGAGAGAGAAACTGAGGCCTAGAGAAGTTCAGTAACCCGCATGGATCACACAGAGCAACAGTGGTGATGCCAAGGGGTAGATTGGGATCATCCACCTCCAAACCCTGTTTTCTTTTTGTTTATGCTGCAATAGAATCCCACAACAGGGAAGTGGTGAGTGTCATCTTGGATAGGGCCTGGGAGAAGAAAGCAGGAAAGGCTTCAAGGAGGAGGTGATTCTTGAGCCAAGTCTAAAAATGAGTGGTGCACATGGGGTGAGCAGCCCAGAAGAAGGAAGCTGGGCAAGACGAGGCGTACAATCCCAGCCCTCCAGGGAAGCTTCTGGGCCAGGGTTGGAGGAGCTGTGAGCAACACCCTGAAACTGTCTGCAGGGCCAGGCCACCAAAGAGTTTGAAGTGGATGTGTTCATGTGGTCATAGTAGCATTTTAGAATGATCTGGTGACAGGGTGGAAGATGGATTCAAGGGACACCAGATGGAAGACAAGAAAACCAGGCAGGAAATAGTTGCATTAATATGGAGTAAAATCAGTCTCTTCGCAGTACTGGGGATGGAAAAGAGAGGATTCAATGAATATAGATGAATGACGAACAGGGTTGTGATTGATTAGCCCTGGGAAGAGAGGGAGAGGAAGGTGGCAGGGAAGGCACCATGATTTCTAGCCTAGAGGACTGAATGATGCCATTTCCTAGGTCAGAGAGTGTAGAAGGAGATGCAGCTTGATGGGGACTCGGGGGGAGATGGCGAGCTCACTGTTGAATATGTTAAATACAAGATTCCTATGGAGAGTCTAAGTGGAGGCATATCCTATAGGCTGGCGGATGTGGAATCAGAGCTCCTTACAACAGAACCTATCAAAAACAATAAAAGAAGCAATGGAAAATGACACCCTGGTTCCCTATGGGCCGTGTGGACTCATGTGCATGGACCACCTGAGGAGCATTTTGAAACTCCAGAGGCAAAGGAAGGCGCATGCTCCCAGCTTCACCACATGAGGGCAGCACAGAGAGCCCTCCTCACTGGGGACCTGCTGCTCTCCTATTTCCCTGATGCATTGCCTCTAACGGGTGACACAAGGTGACAATGCTCCACCTGCAAAATGGTCCCAAGGGAGGCCCTAGTGCTTGCCCTTTGCCTCTTCCACAAAGAGGCCGACTGGAAGAAGCAGTTTTCCATTTGGTAAATTAGTCCTGATCATCTGCACCCCCGTGACGGCTAGGGTAACTTAAACTCTCTTCCGCCTAAAGCGAGGAGGACCTAAAGTGTGACAGAGGTAAAGGTCACAGGCGTTTTACGTGGCCATTCCGTCATCAATAATTCCACATGCCCCTGCATGGTTTTTCCTTTAAGGTATTTCATAGTTTATAATTCCATCTGTAGGTGATCATTTGATGAACATTTCCCTTACTATTTCTGTAAGCGTCTGTGTCTGTCTACCCACTTCATCCTAGCTGACATGTAACATCCAAAAAATAATATTGAATGCCTACTGTGTGTTAGCCACTGCGCTGGGTCCTGAGGAGGTCAAGTTGGCTAGGTCCAGTCCCTAACGTGGAGTTGCTTACCCTCGCTATGGCCCAGATGTCATCCTTTTGGTTGGCTAAGGACATTAATTCTGACTGTTTAAAAGAGCCTCCCCTCTGGTCTCCCTGCAGCGACCTCTGAAATGCCCCTCCAGGTCTGGTCCTCACACTAAAGCCAAAGACAGCTCAGGGAGAAGGGAGCTCCCATAAGTCATCACACGAGGCAAGACCCGAGATTCAAAATGACTTTGAATTGCTCTTATAAATGACATTTGCAATTCTTAAGCAAAATGGAAATTGTACTTCCTTTCAGAGACTCATTTGCCCCCTTCCATTTTGAGCTAGCTGTGAGATGCATCCCCAATGCTTCATAATTAAAAGACACTGCCCATTTCTGACAGCAAACACAGTCTTATGAAACAACACAAAGCTAAGATTTGCATCTTCGTCCATGAAGTTAAGAATATTAAATATTTCTGCTCAATAACAAGCATTTTCATGAATTAGTGTAAAGAATCTGAGACCTAATACACGATTAGAATGATATGCTTGGAGGGGAAAGGGACATTCTAGTACTGTTATTGATGAAGTTACTTCAGCACTGAATGTTTTCGTCAGCTAATTTCTATACCATCAGAGAATTCTGCAGATTGAACACCCCAGCCTGAGATTCAGCCAGACAGCTCTCTCTCCATGTACACACAAACACACATATCCATTTTGAGATAAATTTACATACCATACAATTCACCCATTTAAAGTGTACAATTTTATGGTTTTTAGTGTATTCACTGAGTTGTGCAACCATCATCATTATCTAATTTCAGAACATTTTTATCACCCCAAAAAGGAACCCCATACATGAAGGAGGCCCTCCTCATAACCCCTTCTCCCCAGCCACCAGAAATGGCTAATCTACTTTCTGCCTTCGTGGGATTGCCTCTTCTGGCTATTTCATGGAAATGGAATCATACAATATGCGGTCTTTCGCGGGGAGCTTCTTTCACTTAGCATGATGTCTTTAAGGTTCATTCATGTGGTAGCATGTAGCAGTACTTCATTCTTTTTTGTTGCTAAATAATTGCATGGCATGAATAGATGGCATTTTGTTTGTCATTCATAATTGATGGACATTTGGGTTGTTTCCACTTTTTGGCTGTTATGAATAATGTTGCTATGAACATTTATGTTCACGTGTGTGTGGACATGTCTTCATTTCTCTTGGATATATACCTAGGAGTGGAATTACAGGTATATGGTAACTATGTTTAAACTTTTTTGTTTGGTTGGTTCAGATATTAACCTCCTATCATATATATGGTTTGCAAATATTTTCTCTCAATCTGTAAATGCCTTTTCACTCTGTTGATTGCTTCCTTTGCTGTGCAGGAGCTTTTTAGCTTGATATGAGCCCACTTCTCTATTTTTGCTTTTGTTGCCTGTGCTTCTGGTGTCATATTCAAAAAAATCATTGCCCAGACCAATGTCAAGAAGTTTCTCCCCTAGGTTTTCTTCTAGTAGTTTTATGGTTTCAGGTCTTTCTTGTATGTAAAAGTCTCTAGGCCGGGTGTGGTGGCTCACGCCTATAATCCCAGAACTTTGGGAGGCTGACGTGAGTAGATCACTTGAGGTCAGGAGTTTGTGACGAGCCTGGCCAGCATGGTGAAACCCATCTTCACTAAAAATACAAAAGTTAGCCAGGCGTGGTGACACATGCCTGTAATCCCAGCTACTTGGGAGGCTGAGGCAGGAGAATCACTTGAACCTGGGAGGTGGAGGTTGCAGTGAGCTGAGATCATGCCTCTGCACTCCAGCCTGGGCGACAGAGTGAGACTCTGTCTCAAAAAACAACAAAAAAGTTCTTAATCTGTTTCAAGGTAGTTTTGTATATAGTATGAGATAGGGGTCCATTTTATCCTTTGCCTGTGGATATCCGGTATCTAGTTTTCCCAGCACCACTGACTGAAGAGACTATCCTTTCCCCATTGTGTGTTCTCGGCACCCCTGCTGAGGATCAATTAACTGTAGCTGCATGGTTTTATTTTTGGGCTTTCTATTCTGTTCCATTGGTCTGTGTGTTTGTTTTTATGCCAGTGCCATGCTGTTTAGATTACTGTTATTTAACCTTTTGAGGAATTGCAAGACTGTTTTCCAAATTACTACACCATGAATTCCTCCCAGCAGTGTATGAGGGTTCCACTTTCACCGCACCCTCATCAACACTTGTTAGGACCAGATCATAAGAAGTTAGTCTAAGATTATAAAACCGATCTAAACCCACCTTTTTGATGACAGCCACCCTAGTGGGTAGGAAGGGGTATGTCACTGAGATTATTTTTGTTTGCATTTCCCTGATGGCTAATAATGCCCACGGCTTCTTGATGCCTAAGCTCTGGGATATGATTTAGATCTTTTTTAACCTGCATTGAAATGAAAATTAGCACTTCCAAGAACTTCAAAAAATAAAGCCATGGGATCCATAAGGTCCCTATAATATCAATAGAACTTGAAAGTGCCAACGGTAGTTTCAGGGGAGACACTGGAAGATGCGGTCAAGATAAGCTGTCGGTGGAATGTGTTTGTGTTCTTGGGCCTGCAGAGAGAAGGGAGTCAAGAGTCCCATCAGAGCTCCACTAAGCAGGGAGGGTTTGTCCAAGACTCCCTGAGCAAGCCCCACCCCCAGCTACCCCAGTCATATCCTCGTGTCGATGACTTTATGAAAAAAAAGTCATAACCCAATAAGATATGTAGGAATCTAGGGCAGAGCAACAGGTGGTCTTGCTGAATTGCCTCAGAGGAAGATCTGGGTTGGAGTTTGGGAGGAGCTTGCACAGTGGACCAAGGATTGGATCATAGGAAAGTTAATCTAAGGTTCTAAAACCATCAGGGAGGCTGTAATGAGCTTGTTCAATCTGCAGTTTCTGGCATTGCAAACCAGTTGTCAGCACAGATGTGGCCATGGCCACCATTAAGTAAGTGAAATGTTTGTGTGCCCACAGCCCCTCACCTGTCCTATCTGCAGGGAATGCAGAAAATGTCTGTGAGCCACAGCCCCTCACCTGTCTTATGTGCAGGGAAGGAAGCACAGCACGAAAGATGGAGGAGCTCCTATTCCTGAGGTTTGTGTAACTTGGTTCCTGTTACAGGAACTCGTAGGAGCTACTGGGTTGAGTGATGAAACCCTTAGAAAAGACGCTGAGACCTGGCCTCCCCTTAAGAAACTTACATGTTTAACAAGGGGCAAAAAGTGATGTTTTTTGCCCATCTTTATAACTTATTATATGATACTTATCAGTAAACCCAACTCTAGCGTTTACTTTTTAAAAAATAAAAAACCACCAGCTAGGAAGTAACTATTATTGAATTCAAATTGTCAGCCCTAGCTTATTCTAGGACAAAAAGGAAACACGGGGGCTGGAATACCTTGTGTGACTACCATTTAATCAGCAAGCTCTTGTCTATAGGTCATTGTTCAACATGGAGAGAGAAAGATCAGGCTGCCCATCTAAACCCACCATGAGCCCAGGAGGTTTCTCCCACTCTGAGTGAGGTCCCGCCCTTACTCTCAGGCCATGTTGGTTGGTTGGGCCAGACAAAATCCCCAAACTGGGGGAAGTACGGAACCCACGACTGGCCAGTGAGACTCAAATCAGGGACTTTAGCTTGGATTATTAAGAAAGAGCAGCCTTCACTTTCTGCTGGACTTGAAGAAAGTGCCTGGGGATCATCGTGGAAAGGAAGCCTGCCCCAGGTGTGGCCCACAGACACAGTGGTGCTAAAAGTGGTGCCAGAAAAACAAAGGCCTTTGACATCATTTGAGTGTCTGCAGATACCCATGCCTAAAAACAATCACCTCTGGGATTTTTCATGACATTAACAAATGGTCCCCTACCCCACTCACACACAAACACACACACTCACACTTGTTTTGGTTTGTGTATTGCTTCAATCAGTTTAAGTTGGGGTTCTATCACTTGCAAACACAAGTCCCAAGTGACACAATTTGGAATGTTTTTTATTTTCTATGGTCTCCATCCTAACCACCTGAACCCCCTTTGGCACCAGGGCTGCTATTTAACACAGCCGATTGTGCTTTGACATACTCTCCTTATGCACTGACAAGGCCAACCATGTCCACATTCCACTAAACATGCCAACTATCTCTGTCACTGGCTTGCCCGGAGGCCTCCTTCCTCTCACTCTCGTAGTACTTTGTAACCTGCCCCATGGCCCCACCCAGGACCTGCTCAGCTCATCTTCCTGTTCCAACACCACCTGCATCTTCAGCCACAGGAAAATAAACCTGATGCATCCATCAGTTTAGCAGCTCCCTTACAAGGCACCCCCAGTTCACTGATGCCCAACGTCCCCTTGGTTTTTTCCATTTCCAGTCCACATATGAATGAAGGAGTTTTTAACTACTATTTCAATATGCTCATTAGCAGAGGCAATAACCATCCTAAATGATGTCTTCATTTTTCCCCTACTTGCTAATCTTCAGGGAATAAAGCCAAACACAGTGGGACCCTTCACAGCACCAATCCAAGCCAAAGTTCCTATTATACCACAGGGGTTTTCTGGTGATATTTGTAAAAATTCACAGCTAAAGAACTTTGCCTAAAACCTCCCACTGGGGATGGCAGATGTATGCAGATGTCCTAAACCCCACTCGCTGTCCTCTTGCAAGTCGCCTCCTCTCCACCTCCCCCGCTGCTACTCGCCACTGCCTGACACTCCAAAACTTCTCAAACAGGCAGAAGCATGGACAGAATGAGGTGCCTTGTCACTTACCCTGGGTGGGACTTCATTCCCGTGCTGCTCCCCAGGGAGCAGAAAGCTGCCCAGGCTGATGTGTTCCCGATAAGGGAGATTTAGTGCAAAAAGCATCCCTCAATTTTTATTATAATGTGTCTTCAACCTGAAATTATATTTCTCTGGTGTTTGCGAAGACTGAGTTATATTTTTCAGGAAATGGAAAGAGACATGCATATGTATATGGCACGGCGATTTATGATGTGGTCTCTGGAGTCAGATTGTCCAAGTCTAAATTCCAGGTCAGCCATTTGGAAACATTATTTCACTCACTGTTCTCATGTCTTTAATAGGGATTATAATAGAAGCCATATTATATAGTCGCTGGGAAGATCAAAAATGATAATGTATGCAACGCACTCAGCATAGTGCTGGGTAGAAAGCAAGTGCTCGAAAAACATTCAGGATTGGGACAATTACCTTCCACCGTGACAAAGGAGCTCATTACACAAACCAGCAGGCAAGTTTGGTAGTGCTATAATGGGTCCCACCAAAGGGATTCTCCAAAGAACCCCCACCTCCCTCCAACAGGTAGTCACCAGGATCAACAGACACCGTCCATACATGGGTTGGCTGCTTCCAGCACAGCTTGGCTTCAGTGGGAGGGTATTTTTCCCTCAGCAGTGACAGGAACCTCCTCTAGCAACCTGTGTCGTGTGGGAACCTTCTAGCAACCTGTGTTGTGTTGATCAAAATGTCCAATAGCAGGTCCCAAGGGGAGACACTGTCTATGGTAGAGGTTCTTAACCAAGGGCAATTTGCCACCCAGGGAACAACTGACAGTGTCTGGAGACATTTTTAACTGTACCAACTAGGGAAAGGGTAATTCCTGCTACATCTTGGGGATGGAGGCCAGGGCTGCTGCTAGACATCCTATGATGCACAGGACAACTGCCCAACAACTGACTGTCCAGCTCCAGTGTCAACGGTACTGGTGCTGAGTAACCCTGGTCTACGGTTACATCTTTTGAAGTTTGGTTCTTGGACTAGCTACATCTGAATTAGTTTGGGGTATGGCTAGAGATGCACATTTTGGAACAGAACCCCCCAACCAACTAAGTTAGACTGTCCGGGGCTCCCTGTTGATTCTCAGGAGGACCAGGGTTTAATAGGATTCCTCCAGGTCTCACCTAGAAGCCTGAGAACTTGAACTGTGCTTTGGGAAGCAGCCTTCATGAGACCTCCCCAGACCATCTTGCTGTTGCCCTGACCAACTTGTGAGATCGCAGAGGATTAACACCGGAAGCTGCTTTAGGTGATGGCACATCTCTTCACCAAGTTCCAGAAATGTGCACTAGTGAATTTGGGGGTGGGGAGGAGAGGCACTGTAATTGATTTAAAAGCCGGAAGGGATCTGTGAGATCACCCAGTCCAACACCTTCTGTTTGTAGTGGAGGAAACTGACATTGTTAACGGAAAAAAAAAAAAAATCATGCTTGGTAAAATTTCCGCGTCGGTTACTATTGTTTCCTATTTTCTTTTTTCCTATCTTCATCAAAATCATATCAAAAGAGAAGTGGAGGGGGAAAAGCTGTGTCTAAGGAGGTAGGAAGGCGAGGGATCTGAGAGCTGGACAGTTGAGACTAAAGCACATTCTTCCATCACTAGGGGCTGGGAGGGAAGTGGCAAGAAGGGAGATTTTAGGCTCCAAGCTCCTGGCCAGTGAATGATGAGCCAGTGACTCCTTCCTCCACCATCAGAAAGCAGCTGTGGCTCGTGCAGTTTACAGGCCTGAGGGGACTGCAGCTGGCAGGGCTGTCAGCTATGAGCAACCAGGAAAATATCATTAGCTGTATTTTTCTACCCTTCATTTTGAGAAGAAAAAGCAAAAGCGTTATTGACTTCGGGTTGTTACATAAAAGGGCAGATATCTTTTTTTTTTTTTTTTTTTTTTTAAGATGGAATCTTTCTCTGTCACCCAGGCTGGAGTGCAGTGGCGCGATCTTGGCTCACTGCAGCATCTGCCTCCCGGGTTCCAGCAATTCTCCTGCCTCAGCCTCCTGCGTAGCTGGGATTACAGGCGTACACACACACACGCACACATACACATTTGTACATACAGAGACCCGCACAGACACTATATATGCACATGCACAACATACATGCAAACATACACACAAAGACACAGACACACACACACACACACACACACACACACACACACACACAATATCCAGGTAAAGACAGCACACGGAAGGAGACTGACACGTGATTTTCTCCCCCTCCAGGCCTATCTGCCCAAGGTGCTTTTAGAATGGCATCTTAAAAGCAACCCATCAGGCTTGCTAGGAATAGGAATCAGTCTCTGCCCTCAAGGGATTTTAAATCTGGGAAAAGAGGAAGGCAGCCTTTTTCATGTGGCTTTGTACATGTTTATGGAATACATGAGAATGCCATATGTGTCCCATAAACATATGGACAAAGCCACACAAAGGAAAGTTGGATCAGCTGTTATCTGGGTTGGGTGTGTGTGCGCAAGGACTACCCTTTATTTCTATTCATCCCTCTCTGCCTTCCTGACCCAGGTCTGGACTTCAAGTGAGTCCCAGAGCTCCCCATCCAAGGGCACAGTAAGGAGATACTAACAGGCTGTTAACCTCAATCAAGAGGGATACCCTCATCCTGTGCCCTCCTCTCCTCCACACTGATGCCCCGAATTCTTTCAACAGGGATGACCTTCCTTGCAAGCTATGGCTAGAGCCAGGGTTAGACTGTAATCATCCCTGAGGAAAGGAAGCTTTAGACTGTAATTTGTTCCCCCTTAAGGAGAAGAAGGCACATTTTACTCCACATGAGTGCACTGCAAAAATAGAGCTGGTTGATGGAGGTGGGGGAGTCACCTCCCTGTTGCTGGAGGGATCCCCACAACAACAGATATCAACCAGAGAGAACCCACCACTGGGAGGAAGGACCAGGGTTGGCAAAGCTTTGCCAATGTTCTTAGTGTTCAATGTGAAAGGCTGAGTCCCCACCCCAGTCTGGAAACTCATGGAGACCTGGCTCCTCCCTACCCCATGCCACAACTCCTGCCCAGCCACTGACCTCCCAGCAACTCCTGGAACATGCCGGTTTCATGACCTCTTCATGCACAGGTGCACATGCCTTTCCCTCTGTCTAATGTGCTCTTCACATGAAGCTCCTTTTCTGTTTTCAGGCCTCAACTTTGATGGCCTGTCCTTAGAGGGGCCTTCGGGATCACTCTATTGAAAGCAAGCCCCCTCAATATTGCCCCTCACAGCTTCCTACTCAACATCTTCTCCTCCTCCTCTCCCCCATGCCCTCTTCTTCCTCTTCCCCTTCTTTCTCCTCCTCTTCCTCCTCCTTCTCCTCCATCATTAACCTAGCTAACATTGATTGGTTGTTTCCTACAAGTTGGGTAGAACTCTAAGCTTTCTATACGGATTATCTCATTAATCTATTAACAACTCAATTGTCTGACTGATATGTCTCAATCAGGATTCTTGATTCCACACAACAGAAAGCAAGACTATGCAGAAAGTACATTTATTGGAAGGATATTGAATAGCTTGCAAAATCAATGAAACACCTGAAACCCATCAAGACTGGATGTCCAGAATCCCATCCCAGGTCCATCCATAGGCAGGGCCCGGCAAAGAACAAATGCCACTGCTGGACACAGGTCACTATCGTCACCACTACCCCTGCACCTAGAGACACTCACCACTGCCTGCAGCAACTCTGTCATTGCACCTTTGAGGCACTTTCTCAGGTCAAAGTCCTCAGTAGAAGCATTCAATGGCCTCAGCTAAGGCCAAAGGCCCTTCCTAGTCTGCCATGGGACTGAGATGTCATCTGGCAGGAGGGCTGCTGCTGACATGGGTATATTGGGGATAGACAGGATGTTCAAGTCACAATTTTAAAAAATCGTTGCCAAAACCAATGCCACTCCCACTAAAGAAATGTTGAATAAGTACTTTAAGACTATCTGTTTGAAGAGGGGCCAAATTCTCAGGTGGGGCACCTGACTAGGGCACTGCACTTCCCAGTCTCATTCTGCTGATAAGGGTGGGCAGAGAAGATTCCCAGGGGAACGTCTGCAGCCTGCATTCTCATGGATTTGTAGTTTCTGACAACAGAGTCACATGGCTGGGCCTTCCAAGTATTGCCACACAGTGTGGTCTGGAAACCAGTGGCAGCATCAACTGGAAGCTCGTTAGACATTCAGAGTCTCAGGCCCCGCTGCAGCCCTCTGCGGTCAGAATCTGCATTTTCACACGATCCCCAGTCACTTACGGGCCCACGGAAGTTTGAAATGTACCGTTCTAGCACTATGGTTCTCCCCGTCATCCGCACACTGAAATCATATGGGCAGTTTTCACAAAGCATTGAGGCCCACCCTACTCCCAAAAATTCTGCTGTGATTGTTCTAAGTTGTAGCCTGGGCATGAAAATTTCGAAAAGCTCCCCAGAAACCCTGATGAGAAGCCAAAGTCAAGAACTACCTAGAAGGACACGATCAAATCCAAACCAGGATAGCCTTGAAATGAAAAAATATTCTTAGGAAAACTCTGTCAACCCAGGGAGTCATTTCTCAACATGTTCCCTCTGAAAGGGTCACAGAGCATCACCACTCACTAAAGGTCCGTTCCCAGAGAAGTAATTTTATAAACTAAAGGGCGTTGATTGGCCATGGCCTCTCTGAGCTGCTTACTCTAGACCTTAGTGGTTTAATTTTTTCCTACAAGCATTCAAGTTCACTAAAGCAGCAAAAGGAGCCTCAGAAGCCATAGGGTCTAACCCTCTCATTTTACAGATAAGGAAACAGGCAGAGAGAGAGAGAGGAGCTGATTTTTCAAGCATAATCAAGGAGCTGACCTCCAACATTTAGACCACACACAGCCTCTCAAGCAAAGAGTGTTCATGAGGAAAAGATGCTGGATGAGTGCGTGGTCAAAAGTCCATCGCAAAATGTTTATTATTAATAACGAGGTTAAGCTTCAAAGCCAATCCAGCAGTGCCGGTGGCTCCCATGAAAGCCATTTTTTCAGTTTGTTCTCATCTAATTACGGGTAGGTACAGTAATTGGAAACAGGCTATCTCCAATGGGCAGGGTTTCAGGAAATGGAAACCTCTAATACAATTCTGCCTGGGTAGAGTCAGCATCCACCATTGCATGCAGCTGGAAGGAGGAAAAGCAAGCCCATTCCAGGTTGAGTGGGAAAAACAGGCTGAAAAGACAAGATCACCAAGGTCTGGGAAAGTTATGCCCCCTACCTCCCTGGAGAGCTGAGCACTGGGCTCCGGGTCCCCTCTGTCATGTGCCAGTGCTCCACGAGTTGTTACTACAATGGTTATTATGCAAGACCCCCATGGTTATGGTCTTGAAGTGACTTCATTGAGTAGGTACTGGATACTGGGTGCCAGGTACTGCACTGAGTATGCTGTTCACATTATACTATTTAATCCTCAAAATCTTTCTGTGAGTTAGGTGCTCTCTTTTGACAGAGGAGGAAACTAAGGCTTAAAGAGGTTTAAGTTACTTGCCTGTAGTCCCACATATAGGGGTGGAGCCAGGATTGGGGCCCGAGTCCATCTGGGCACAGAGCTCTCCCCTCCACCATGCTGCTCTGTCTACCTCTTCCCATTGCAACAGCCTCAATTCCTAACCAGGACCAGCCTGATCCTGGCAGGTGGAGGTCAGCAGAAGCACCAGGCTCCATTGAAGCAGAAGGGCAGGTGCCAGCCAGAGGAAGGTGGACATGGAAGGAAGGAAATGGAACACACAGAATAAACAGATGCCCCTCTCGACTGCTCAGGGAGTGCCAACAACATGAGTTCAGCTGACCCAGGAGCTGTGAGCCCAGGCATCTGCTTCAGTGTGTGTTCCCCACAGTAGGACGCCAGGTCCACCACCACTATTTGCGCCATCTGGCCTTCGAGCGGCAGAGATTCCACCACAACCTGCAGCTGGGCATGAGCTGAGCAGGCCTCCAGCAGATACCATTTAACAGGTTCATGGCTCAGTGCTTCCCGAGATGGATTACTCCAAGCCCCGTGTTCTGGTGCCAGATTTTCTGAAAAGTCAGCTGCAGGTGGCGTCTTATGGTTGCCATCAGCCTTGTAAAAGGGACCTGATGTGTAGATCAACATTTTCCCATCAGGTGCCCATCAGCTGGAGGATTGATTTCACAATCTCTCTCTCTCTCTCTCTTTTCTTTTCTTCCTTTTTACTCCTTCTACACTTACGCATTTTTATTCTAAACAATCTTTCTCATCAGTTCAAAACCCCATACCCCCTTTGATCTGTTTTCAAACCCAACCTCACATATGTTCTGCCCTCTATCACATACAAACATCAACCAAGAGTGACAATACTCTCTCTTGTCTGATCAGGGTGGTGGAATTTACATCAGCCAATTCAGATCCACCCACCCTTTCCCCTGAAATAGCCCAGAAGGCTCAAGAAGGTCAATGCGATGCCCAGGTTCGGTGGGGGCAGGGAGAAGAAAGGACCATCTGGGCTATGATGGCCTAGGCCCATGCAGGTCACCGCCAAGCCACCCCTAGTCCTGCCTGTGAGTGCCCTTTTGGCTTCATGGCCTCTGTGGAATCATCTGCTGTGCCTTTTTCATGTCAGGTGGTGGATACACGAAGCTGTTCAGGGCATGCTTTATCATGACCTGTGAGGAAGCTGTTTCTTCTCTGAGGTCCTTTGCCTCCCTGCAAAACAGACACAGCCTGCTCCGCCCTCAGCTCCCACAGATACACCTGGGGATGTTGCTACTTGCCCAGCGCTCAGCCTGGGGGACAGGAAGCCAAGTTCCTCCTGGGGTCTTTCCGTGTCTACGCCTTCCCTGCCCCACTCCAACTCACATTCCTGCCTGCAGCCCTGAGAATCTTTTTCTGTCCAGCGATAGGGATGGGAGGAGGGTATTCCTCTCATGCATCTCATGTCCTTCAAAATAATTTTTTGCAGACAGGAGTGCTTTTTGTCTGCCTGAAGGTCTGGGCTACTGAAACTCCAAGGCCAGCAAGAATGTTCCCTTTTCATCCCCTTTCTGCCATCACAGGGAGGGGTAGGAAGACGGGAGTCTCCCCAATGAATGGAAGGAAGAGCTCTATGAGGGAAAAAGAAATAGCAATAATAACGACAATCAGATCACGTTTTAAAAATATGGTCCCACCACAGGTTAAGAGGCTGGGGCTCAGAGACATGAGGTGCCCTGCCCAAAGACACAGAGCGAATGCTTGTGGAAAAATTCGAGCCAGAAATTAGCCTCAGGAATATGAACTATGGGAGAGAATTTTGTTCGGTGGGTTCAGCTGTGAGTGAGAATCACCTGACCTCACATGGGAAATCCAACTTTAAGGACAGCCTCAGGAAACTGAGAAGCAGTAATTCTATACTCTTTGGAAACCATGTTGCAGGATGAAGATGCTAAGCTCAGAGGGAGTCTGCTTTCTCAGTTATCATTTATAGTCCATCTACTTCCAAAGAACCTGAGGCCACTCTTCACAAGGTCATGGCATCAAGACTAGAATAGATGCCTAGCTCAAGGTTTCTTCCTCCAGAAACCAGCCTGTAGTCTGTCCTCTACCCTGTGCACTCTGTCAAGCGAAAAGTTTTAGCCCTTTTTTTTTTTTTTTTTTTTTGAGACAGAGTCTTGCTCTGTAGCCAGGCTGGAGTGCAGTGGCGCAATCTCGGCTCACTGTTACCTCTGCCTCCCAGGTTCAAGCGATTCCCCTGCCTCAGCCTCCCGAGTAGCTGAGAATACAGGTGCATGCCACCACAACCAGCTAAGTTTTTGTATTTTAGTAGAGACGGGGTTTCACCATGTTGGCCAGGATGGTCTCGATCTCTTGACCTCATGATCTGCCCGCCTCGGCCTCCCAAAGTGCTTTTATCCTTTTTTTTTTTTCATCATTTGTAGCCAATTCATTCACGCTCCAAAAGCTATCCAAGAAGCCAATATGATTGAGAGAGAAATAAAAAAGGAGCCTGTGCCCAGGTGCGACTGCAAGAGCAAGAAGTGATATAAATCAGGGGTCTCCAACCCCTGGGCCACAGACCAGTACCAGTCCATAGCCTGTTAGGAACCGGGCCGCACAGCAGGAGGTGAGCAGCAGGCGGGCAGGCATTACCTCCTGAGCTCCGCCTCCTGTCAGATCAGTGGGGCACTGGATTTTCGTAGAAGCGCAAACCCTATTGTGAACTGTGCATGCGAGGGATCTAGGCTGCACACTCCTTATGAGAGTCTAACTAGTGCCTGATCATCTGAGGTGGAACAGTTTCATCCTTAAACTATCCCCACCCCAACCCCCGTCCATAGAAAAATTGTCTTCCACAAAACTGGTCCCCAGTGCCAAAAAGGTTGGGAACCACTAATGTAAATAAATACAGGGTCAACACTCATCTGGTCTAGGGTGTGTGTACATGTATTTGGAACCAATAAGCCAAGCAGAGATGAACCAAATATACCAACCAATCTGACCAGTAGTTACTCTATTAGTCCTAGGAAAGTATTGGACAATATTATAAATTGTATTTTTGTCAACAACTGGAGACTGGAGATATGCTTAAGAATGTCATGTAAGGCCCTACCCTCAGAAAATTCATATTTTTATGGAAAGATTGGCAAAAAACTAGGGAAAAAAACATGAAAATATATAAAATAATTACATGTGAAGTATGGCATTGAAGAAAGCCAATGAGAGGCTGAGCTAGAACAGGGGCTGGCAAACTTTTTCCACAAAGGGCCAGATAGTAAAGATTTTAGGCTTTGTGTGCCATGCGGTGTCTGTTGCAACTACTCAGCTCTGCCAACGTAACCCGAGAGCAGCCAAGTCCACAGGTAAGGGAATGGGTGTGGCCGTGTCCCAATTAACTTTATTTACAAACTCAGGTTGTGGTCAGATTTGGCCCTGTAGTTTGCAGACCCCTGAGCTACAATATAATGTTCGTGGGGTGAAATGGGGGCAGAGACCTATGTTACATGGATGGTCACAGAGGATGTCCCCCGAGGAGGTGACATGTAAGTTGAGACTTGAAGGATAAGGAAGTGCAGCTGTGGGGACACAGAGCCCCTGGTAGGGACGAGCTTAGCTGAGTGGAGCATCTGATGGCAGAACAGAGGTCAGGGACTTGCAAGGGAGGGGGTGGCAGGTAGTGGGCATGGTTCATGGTCCCTGCAAGAAGTTGGAATTTTCTTCCAAGTGCAACAGGAAGCTACAGACAGTTTCATGTAGGGAATCGGCAGAATTTGAGTGACTTTGATCTTAAAAATCTCACCTCCTTGAAGCTGCTTTGTAACATATAGACTACTTGGGAGACAAGGATGGCTGCCAGGGCCAGTCATGGGCTTCATGCAGCAGCTGGGTGGGTAGCAGGGCTGCGGTGGCAGCAGGGATGCTGGCCAGAAGTGGGGCCTTTGAAATGTGGTAGGAATCAAGACTCAGCTTGTGAAGGGGATACTCCTGGGCCATCTCCAGATTTCCTGGCTGAACAGGTGGGCAGGGCTGGGGATGCATCATTGCTGAGTGCGGAAGATTCCGATGCCTCAGAGGATGGAGCAGGTCACAGAAAGAGGGGGCTGGACCCCATCACTCAAACCATCCATGGCTGTTCATTGTGTCAGTCAGTCTTAATTGAGCACCACTGTGTGCCCAGCACAAAGCCTCCTTGTAAGGCCTCACTTGGATGGAGTTGGACAGGTAAATGAGGTCACACGCCTGCTCTCTGTCCACGCTGCTACACCTTCCCACCCCCGAGTTCTCGTCTCAGGCTCCCAGACATCAAAGATTCAGGACGGCAGCAAGGACAGAAGCGGGGGCTGCAGAAAAAGCAGTGACCTGTCCAGCACTGGCAAAGTTGTTGAAGAAGCTAGAAAGTTTTTTAAAGTTTAACTTTTCTATAAAGTAGAACAGTCACCTCTGTGAGCTTTAAGTAAAAGCTGAGCCAGATGAACTTACTTAAATGTCAGCCTCCCAGAGAGCGTAAGGGGAGGTTCTTGGCTTGGTTTTTGCTCTTTTTCTGAAAGGAAAGGCTCAAGGGAAGCAGGAACAGCACAAGGAGACGTGGATCCAGGCCTGCGATGCCACAGGGGCACACCCACGGTGGGCTCTGGGCAAGTCACGTGCCTCTGAAGGCCTCGGTGGACCCGTCTATAAACTTGGAGTTGGAGCAGATGCTCTGCAGGCCTTTCTCACTCACCCTGACACCTGGCATCATGCCTGTGCAGTAAATTCCCTTTCTTGGGTGATGTCATTCACCACCGTTGTGGCCCAAAGGGTCTGTGGCCCTTATAAATTGTGACCACCTGCCTTCTGTCTGGGAGCCATAAATCACAGCACAGGGAGCTGAACAGCCTTTCCTGCTCAAACTCAGGGCCTCCTCGTCAGCAAGCAGAGCCACTTCTGTCCGCTGGCAGAGTCGTCTGGCACACAGTGATGAGCACCCGGTGCCCCCAAGTTTACAATGAGATCCATGGCCCTCCCTCATCAATATGTCT
The DNA here is from genome assembly GCF_000001405.40 of Homo sapiens. NCBI lineage: Eukaryota > Metazoa > Chordata > Mammalia > Primates > Hominidae > Homo > Homo sapiens. The sequence continues at coordinate 112,131,789 of NC_000010.11, forward strand.
GACCCCTGGAGACATGGACGGAGTCATTTCTGATCTCCCCCCTCTTCTCCGCCAACCCCGCATTTGACCCTCTCTACAGCCTCTTCCCGTGAGGTATTTTCATTTATGTGTATGTTGGGTATATTTATTCAGCAGGTATTTATTAAACACCTACTATGTGCCAGATGTGGAATTAAGGGCTGGGGATACAGGACAGACAAGACAGATACATGCGCCCACAAAGAGACCACAATCTGGTAAGGAAGCATGCCTCACAATTTATTCAAAATTACTACTTGGAGTAAGTGCTATGAGGAAGTTAAAACCAGATAGATGTGACAGAGAAGCACAGGCAGATCTGGTTTTGATTACAGCAGGGTCAGAGAAGGAAAGGCCAGGCAAGGTCTCTCTGGGGAACTGGCATGTTGAGTGATCAGGAGGACAGATGAAACGTGAGGTGTGGACAGGGCACAGGCACAGGCAGCAGGGGAGAAGGACCGGCACATGCCAGGCCTGGCAGGTCATGTGAATGGTTTGGGATTTCATTCTAGGTACAATGTTTCAATGTTGAATGCTATTTATTAAGGGTTTTATTAGATTCCTAGGGCTGCCATAACAAAGTAGCACAAACTGAGGCTTAAGACAACAGAAATGTATTCTCCCACAGTCCCGGAGGGTGACAGTCTGAAATCAAGGTGTCGGCAGGGCTGTGCCCCCTCTGAAAGCTCCAGGGAAAAATTCCCTCGTGCTTCTTCCTAACTTCCAGCAGCTGCCCACAGTCCCTGGCACTCTTTGGCTTATAGCAGCACGATATGGTTTGGAGGTCTGTCCCCTCCAAATCACATGCTGAAATGTGATTCCTAATGGTGGAGGTGGGGCCTGGTGGGAAGTGATTGGATCAGGAGGGTGGATGCCTCATGAATGGTTTAGTAACATCCCCTTGGTGAGGAGTGAGCTCTTGCTCAGTGAGTTCATGCAGGATTTGGTTGTTTAAAAGAGTCTGGGACCTCCCCAATTCTCTCTCTCTCTCTCTTGCCCTCACTCTCACCAGGTGACCTGCCTGCTCCCGCTTCACATTCTGCCATGACTGGAAGCTTCCTGAGGCCCCTCACCAGAAGCAGATGCCAGCACTCAGGTTCCTGTCCCCCCTGCAGAACAGTGAGTCAATTAAACCTCCTTTCTCCATCAATTCCTCAGTTTCAGGTATTCCTTTACAGTCATGCAGTTGGACTAATGCATCACTCCAATCTCTGCCTGTCTTTGTGTGTCCTCTCCTCATCTTATAAGAACATCCGTCATTGGATTTAAAGCCCACCCTCATCCAGGATGACTTCAACTTACTTACAACTACAAGGACTCTTATTTCCAAATAAGGTCACATTCTGATGTTCTGGGAAGACATGAATTTGTGGGGGCGGGGAATCCCTATTCAACCTACTATAAGATTTTTGGCAGGGGATGGGTGTAATGAGATTAATGTTTCAAAAACAGGGTTCTGGTTGGACTGTGAGGAATGGATTCGAGTGAGGAAGAGAGGAAGCAGGAGTGAGACAGGACACTTGGAGGATGATGGGGGCCACGCTGGGCTGGGGGAGGTGGAGAGAAGGGATAGACTTGGAATCTGTTCTGGAGGTTGAAGGGACATGATAGGCCCTGGATGGATGTGAAGGGTAAAGGAGAGGGGTAAAGATCGCCACCCAGTTGCCTGGACACCATACATACTTTGAGAGCATGAGACAAGCCCCTTCTTCCCCCAGCACAGACGAAGTGCTCACTAAGCACCTGCACAGTGACGGATGGCTCAGGGCAAACATTTCCGGTGCCAGAGCAGGTATCTGAGTAGTGGGGCACATGGCCTCTTTCTCCACTTTGCAGCCAACTCCTCCAGACTCAGTCTCTGACTTGGACGGGGGCTTCCACCCAGCCAGAGAGGCAGAAGCTGACCTGTCCTCCCAGGTCCTCCCCCAGATCGCCTTCCTCTGTTTTCAGAGCACCCCTGGGGACCTCTGGTTGGCAGGTGGGTGAACGGTTGTTGTTGCCATTTCTGTGGCAACTTAGGTCCAATTTCATTCTGTCCATACCCTCTCCACTCTCCCACCACTGGAGTATTTCATAGTAAATCTCTGACATCATCTCATTTCATCCATAAGTATCTCAGCAGGCAGCTCTAAAGGATAATGACTCTTTAAAAAAAAAACATAATCACAATCCCATTATCACACCTAAACACATCAACAGTAATTCCAGTCAGTGTTCAATGATCAATTGCCTCAACTTTTTTTTTTTTTTACCAGTTGGTTTGTTCAACTCAGGATCCAAATAAAATACACACATCGCATGTAGTTTCATTTGACCTGCCCACCTCAGACCATAGGACCTTCAGGGTAGAAGCTCAAGTTTATGTCTAACTTCACTGGAGCAGAGCTGATATGTGGTAAGTCATTCATAAATCGGGGCTGAAAAACAGAAGGGAGAGGGAGGAGAATGCTGGATCCTCAGACCTGTTAAAGATCCTGACAGAAAAGACCCAAAGTCAAAATATGGGCAACAGAAGGAGGCAGCAGGAGGAAACTGAAGTGCAGACATTAAAAGAAATTCTGTCTGTGCTGAAGGCTTCTTTGAAGCTTTGACAAGGAGAAATACTTGCTCTTTGCTCCTTGCCTGCTCTTTGACAAGCAGCCTTGAAGCAGTTTTGTAACCTTAAGAGGAGCCTGTGACTACCAGAGAGTGGAAAGCAGTGGTTTCTGAGAAGTGGCCAAGGGAGAAGAGAAAAGCCCAAAGGCACATACACATGTGTGCACACACACACAGGCACACTGGCACACACACACACACACACACAGAGCTCAGCAGGCTGCCTGTGATCTGTGCTTCAACACACTGGCACTACAAAAACTCAAACCTGAATCTGCTCAAGCCTCCCGATTCAAGTTCTAGGTTACAGGAAATACGGGGGACAGAGGAACATGCTAAACAGGGCCCCAGGGATACAAACAGCAAATGTGAGGTATGGAAACCATAGAAGAGATGACCACATTGTGTAAACAATTACATTGTAAGGAAAGAAAGAGAGAGAAAAACTACAGTTCAAATGAAATTGCATGCAATGTGTGGATTTTATTTGGATCCTGAGTTGAACAAACCAACTGGTAAAAAAAAAAAAAGAAAAGAAAAGAAAATTGAGGCAATTGATCATTGAACACTGACTGGAATTACTGTTGATGTGTTTAGGTGTGATAATGAGATTGTGACTAGGTTTTTTTTTTAAAGAGTCATTATCCTTTAGAGCTGCCTGCTGAAATACTTACGGATGAAATGAGATGATGTCAGAGATTTACTATGAAATACTCCAGTAGTGGGAGAGTGGAGAGGGTATGGACAGAATGAAATTGGCCCTAAGTTGGCAAATGTTGAAGATGGATGTTGGGATCATGGTACTTTGTTGTTCTCTCCACTTTTGTACATGTTTGGAATTTTCCATGATGAACAGAAGTTTAAAAAAAAAAAAAAAACTCTACCGAGGGGACTCCCAGCTCCACCACTGACCGGCTGGGGCCCTCCCAACCATTCCTGGCTTCCCTGAGCCTCAGTGTCCCCACGGGTAGGGGCTCCTGCCTGCAGGGAGTAGTGTCTAGCAAGAACTCCATCCCTGTTCATTATTTCTGCTATTTGTTTATGAGTGTTTACTCTCTGTTTCTCTTGGGACAGTCTCAAAGGAGCATCAAATTAATTGATTATCCTCCAACAGGGCGCAGGTATTTTTTGCTTCTTCCAAGAAGCTTGCTTGATACCCAACTCGGCTGAAGTGGGCGTCTCCCCAGGATCATCCTGACACTCTGCAGGGGCATCCCCCATTAGACTGAGCTGTCCTCGGCACCTAGCATGCCGTAAGCACTCAGTAAGTACTATTTGACCAACCAAATGAATGAACTCTGCATCCCTGGCTTTTCAGGGTCCCACTTTGCTGAAAGAAGTCCAAAAGATACGATGCAGAAATCTGCCTTCTCAGCATTACTCTGTCTCTGCTTTGCTGTGTGGTCCTGAGCAAGAATCTCAACCTCTCTGAGCCTCTTAAGTCACTCTTCCTGATGGCCATGCTGTGACAGGAAATGGATGGAAATCTGACCATTGCCCATTGCCTCCCAGTTTCAGGTGAACCTGCCTTTGTAACACAACATTGCTTGGGGGTGAGGCCTGTACTGAAGGGAACTGCCCAAATGGCCAGCCCGAAGCAGCTCCCATGGCCTCAGCTTGAAAGGCACCACCACATCCAACCCACCCACCTCCCCTCTCTGCTAGATTCCCTCGTGGTCCACAGAGACTCTGCACAAAGTCCTCGGGCTCTCAACGACTTTCATCAATGAGACTCTCATTGTGATAAAAATCACTCACCGATGACATTTAAGAACAAATAGGTTAACATTTCAGACAAGCCCATAACACAACAAACCCCATGAGGGATCCTTTTCAGACAGGGGAATTGGCTGCTAGAAACCACCAAGTAAGCGACGTCTTCTGACTGCCAGAATTGCAGCTTTAACAGCTGGGAGAAGAAAACACAGCCTGCCAATGTGATTTTACCAATGGTCCAGCATGCCTATAACCCATGTAAGTATGGCTGAAAACCCACACAAGAACTTCGGGCAGCTCCATACCCAGGTGAGCAATATTCAGAGATTCTGGCGGTGACAATCACATGAACTGCAACTTATGCAGATTATGACACCTGCACCTGCAGCTGTGGAGACCTTCATGGATCCTGTGGGGCACACAGGCCCCCAGCAGCTCTGGGTCCTCGGCCCAGGACACAGAGGAAAGGCCCAGCCCAAGGCTGTGGCTGAACAGTGTCTGGACAGAAGAGCACAGCTGTTTGGGGGGATCTGATGGCCGGTCCCCCTGGATCCTCCAGAGAGCTTGGCAGGCGATACCACAGCTAAAGGCCAGAATGGAATAAGGAAAACATTTCCCCTCCGTTCCTTGGCCTAGAACAGCCTAGAGGAAAGGGCTTTGGGGGCCAGGAGCAGAGCCAGCTTCCTGGGTTGGTTTCCTAGTTCTAGAACACTGGCAGCCCAGGTGGCTACTGGGCCAAACCCTTGTTTAATGTGGCTCCTCTGTGCCTGTCTGAATGCTTCCCCAAGCTTCCAAGACCAGCTCATTGCCCTCTCCTTCCTCTTCCTCTCCTCCCTCCACACCCAGCATCCCCAGCCTCCCAGCTCTGCTCTGATCCCATTTTGCACACCAGCTGAGCCTTCTCACCCACTCACTGTTCCCGGGGCTCTACTCCCACACTGCATAGCAGCTGCCAGGGCCAATGCCCAGCATGCACACAGGTGCAGTGGATTTGAGGAGTACCTACTCAGTGCAGGGTCCAGTGAGGCCCTAAGGAAATAGAGAATAAACAAAATACGCAAAGACAAGCTCTCTTCTCCTAGCAAACTCTCCCTCCAGGGAGGAGGCCATAGGAACCGGAGGCTCCAGGGCAGGCAGACCTAGCTGCACATAGCAGCTCAGGAGTCCCTCTGGTGCTCATCACAGCTTCCTGAAGTCCCCACGTCTAGCTGGAGCTCCCACAACCAAGGGCTCATGCTGGCGAACATGGGGCCAGAGATGGATTGGGAGATACCCAAGGAAATGCAGCCCCATTGGAGCAGCAGAGGGGAGCAGGGAGCTCAGGGGATGCAAGGCAAGGGATTCCAGGTACACGGTGCTTCTGAGGCCCTGAGACGCCCCAAACCTCTTCCATTCTCAGCTGTCTTCCCAGCCAGGTCCCAAACCTCCAGGCTGCATTGCAGGGTGCTGGCGCCCTCTAGTGGAAAAAATGGCAGGTGCCCCCGGCTCCTTTACTGAGGAAGGAGGATTCAAGTTCCCAGGCAGGCACAAGCTCAGGGCAAGACTGTGCAGTGCAGGACACTTGCTTCCAGCCCCAGCATCCCTCCCCTTGTCCCTTCTCAGCATTTCCCCCTTCTTCCCACAGATCTCAGACACAAAGCCACGCATTCTCCCTCCCACTCTTCCCCAGTTTGCTTTGCCAATCTTATGTCTATCAATGTGTAAAATTTACACTGTAAATGAATAATAAGGGATAATATGGTGGGTTTTTTAGGTGCAGCTGGCACAGTCTCTGTTAGGAGTGAAGTTCCAACATGGTGATTTAGACATTAAAGAGGTATTTCTAGGCGGCACGCGAGGCACCGCTTTCCCCTTCTGAGAGGAAGTAGGCTTCTATACCATATGACTTGAAATCAGGAGCATTCCACTTTTCAAAGGCCAAGGTGTAACCAGTGGACCCTAAAGGGGAGTGAGGGAGATCCTGAGCTCACTGCCTAGGCAACATCTGAGAGGACCAAGCGGGCTTGGAGTCCCCTAGGCACAGCAATGGAGGGCGGGGGAGAAAAGCAATGACCCGCCCTCACCCTCACTCTGCAGCCACTGGAGGCATCCCTAGGTGCTCCCAAGACAGCAGGTGGCATGTGGCAAGAGAAGCCCATCCAGACCCATTGGCACCCATTTCTCCAACAATATCAAATCCCTATGCTTGTCAGAGAGGCCACTTCCCCATAGCCCAGGAAAAGCTTTTTAAGAGACACAACAGTGAATCAAGCACGGTTCCTGCCCTCGAGGAGTTGGGAGGCCATTCATCGAATGTCAGATCCAACTGCCAATCTCACACTACCCCTCCTGTGCTGTGCTGCACTAGGGCTGTCAAACACATCACACTTTACCTCCCAGACTGCACATGGCCTCAGGACCCCTCCCTCTCTGTGCTCTGGAGGCAGCTGTCCTCCACCCCACCCTAAGCCACTGGAGTTTACCTTGACAGTGTGCCCTATCCCTGTATGGTGGAGAGAGCCTGCTCACCGGTCTCCAGAATGCCCAAATCCACCCATTTCTCTGCGTCCCCACCCAAGCTACCAGCATCTCTTTCTGGACTATGGTTTCTTTTCCTCCCCTTCCACTCAGGACACTGTATACAGATCAGCGGAGGGAAAAAAATGCTCTTTAAAAAGCTTGAGTCTTCATTACCCCCCTTCAACAGCTTCCCTACCTGGCCCTCTGGCATCCCTCTCAGCTCAGATGCTGCCTTCAGCCTTGATATGGTTTGGCTGTGTCCCCACCCAAATCTTATCTTGAATTGTAGCTCCCATAATTACCATCTGTTGTGGGAGGGACCTGGTGGAAAATAACTGAATCATGGGGTCAGTTTCCCCCATACTGTTCTCGTGGTAGTGAATAAGTCTCACAAGATCTGAAGGTTTTATAAGGAGTTTCCTCTCTCGCTTGGCTCTCATTCTCTCTTGTCTGCCGCCATGTAAGATGTGCCTTTTGCCTTAATTGTGAGGCCTTCCCAGCCACGTGGAACTGTGAGTCCATTAAACCTCTTTTTCTTTAGAAGTTACCCAGTCTCAGGTATGTCTTTATCAGAGGCATGAAAACGGACTAATACAAGCCTTCTCTCAGCTTCTCCACCAGCCCAGTCTCTTCCCGCCTTAGGGTCCTCCTCACGCCATCCCCTCTGCCAGGGCAGCCCACTCCCACCCCACTAGCCCCTTGCCAACCTGGCTCTTTCTCAGTCTTGAGGCTTAGCTGAAACATCACCTTGCTCAGAGAAGCCTCGCCAGCTGGCACCCCACAACACACGACCACAGCACCCATGGGTTCCCCACACTGCCCTCGTGGTAGGCTGTGATTGTTTTCCTTACACTGTTTACCTTTAGCCCCATCTTGCCAGCTGGAATAGAAGCTCAAGGAGAGTTGAGATGTTGACTTCATTCACCATTGTATCCCTGGCATCTTGCCGCACATAGTAGGTGCTCAGCAAACATTAGAATGAAAGAATACATGAAAGGGCCCAGCACCATAGAAGCAATGCAATGAGGTTTCAGAGGAGGAAGCAATCACTTACAGGTTGGGGTGGAGAATAAGATTTGAACATGCAGAGGTGAGGAATAAGAAACTGCAGAAGCAAAGGCATGGGGTGGGGTGTGCCTGAGGAAGCACTGAGTGCAGTGAACAGGGAAGGCCAGGGAAAAGCAGGTGGTCTTGGAGGGCTCTGACAGTGATTGACGGAGGAGCAGAAAGGCTCAGGGAAGATGGGCTGCAAGGCAGAGGTGGGCAGAGAAACTGGAGAGAAGGCAATAAAATCAGCAGAGACAATTTGACAGAGAGTGACCAGAGCCTGGACCAGCACAGGGGACGGGCAGATGTGAAACCCAGGCAGAGGTGACAGGGCCTGTCTCCTGGCAGGGGACAGGCTGCCTCGGGTCCCCATCAATCCACATCCCTGTGCCTCTAGGCTGCAGACAGGAAACAGAGGCTAGATGGAGACCTTGGGATCCCTGAGCCATGCCCATTGCTGCCACTTTTACCCCACTTCCCACCCCATCTGCATTTCTGTCTCTCCTTTCCTTTCCTCCACTTGAAGGATCCATCCTGAGGTCTCATTTCTGGCCGTCAGTGATAAGCTGCAGTTGCTAAGAAGCACCCCAGGAGGCGTCCACCTGGTCCCAGGGTCTGGGCGGAGGCCACACCTTTTTTTCCAGTCCTGGGCCTGGTACCCCTTGATGAAATCTGACCGCCATCTAGTGGACAGAGTTGGAATGCGCAGTGTGGCCACACCCTGCACCCTGGTCCAGGCGGGGCCTGATGCAAGCAAATTGGCATCGGAAAATTCACGACCAACAAGAAGGCTGAGGAGGCTGGTGAACCCCAAACCACTAGTCCTGCATACGGATGCCCCTGCTGAAGTCCAGGTGAGGCTTAATGCAAGCAAATTAGCATCTGAAAATTCATGACCATTAGCAAGGCTGAAAAGGGTGGTGAACCCCAAAGCAGTAGCCCTGCACATGGATGCCCCTGTTTATGCGGTGGTTTCAATATGCTGGCCAAAGGAGCCAGTGGGCAGGGAGGGGTAGAAAAGCAGTGGCTCCTGCAGAAAGTGTGCAGACTCATCTGGAAAAGGGCAGGCCTCTTAGCAGAGCTAATGTGTATAAAGTGTTTACCATGTGCCACGCTGGTGCTAAATGCTTCATGCATGCTCATTACTTCATCTGATCTCCTATCAGGTGGAAATGACTAAGCAAAAAGCAGACACAAGGTTCATGTGGCTGGTAAGTGCAGAGCAGGGATTTGAACCCAGGAACCCTCAGCCAGATTCTGAATCATAAAGCTATAAACCCCTGGACAGCAGTCACATGCAAAGGCAGTTAAGACAGAAGGCATTTAGGTAGGAAGCTGCCCCCAGACCATGCACCAGACTCTAGCTGCTCGAAACTCTCGTCTGTTGGTAGTTCAGAGCTCTGTACTGGAAGAAGGCTGTGAAAATGGACTTGCCCATGACCTTCCAGGTTGTGGCTTTCTATTATCCTGAGGCCCCTGACATGAGATTGGCCCACCCATCACACTCAACAGCAGTGTGTGCCTCCCTGCTTCAAATACTTATAGCCCCTTTACCCTGGAACGGGTGGGTTTAATTCCTAAGGCAGACACATGGGTCCTGGGAAGCGGGCTTTACTTTTTTTTGGTAAAGTCCCACATTCTAGAGCATTACCTTCCTTCTCCTTCCCCTCATCTCGAAACCCATATCATGAAATCCAGACATCCAGGAAGGAAATCAAGGTCAAGGAAACTTCAGGTTCAGTGGGAAGAGTTGGAGTTTGAGTGCCCACTCACGAAGCTTCCCCTAAGAGCTTGAGGAGTTTCCCAAGACACACTCATTGTGCTTCTCCATCTGTAAAATGGGAAGTGGCTAGTCGTGCCTGTAAAGCTGTTAGCCCAATGACTGGCAATTAGTTCTTGCTCAATACGTATTACTTTACCTTTACCCTGAAAAAAAAAAAAAACAAATTGTCTGTCTGCTTTCTTTTTTTCCGTTTTAAATAAAGATAGGCATTTGGAGACATTTCACTCTATTTTGGAAAAAAGAAAAGTGTACGTCCAATAATTAACAACCCCTCACCCTTGGTCTGAGAACCAACTGGGTAGGGGGAGTGTGGCACATGAAAAGACACATGCCCCATCCAAATGCTCTCTGTTCACTAGCAACCCCTTACTCCATGCTGCGGCACAGACCCAGGGCCGCCAGGTCTTCTGACAGATTTAACAAAAGCTACAATTTTACAGAAAAATGTTCTGACATCTGAAGCATCGACCTCATTTCTTTGAAAATTTAAAGTTATCAAAGTAGCTTTAAATAACTAAAGCTACTTTAATTATTTACAGTAGCTTTAGTGATGTGATGTGATGGGTGGGCCATCTGTCTGGAGCCCACAGGTCACCACTATGTGTGGCCACACACAGGCCTCGCATATTATCACTTAAGAGTTTTGTTAAGTTTCACTGCTGGGGCCAGGCACAATGGCTCACACCTGTAATCCCAGCACTTTGGGAGCTGAGGCAGTCATATCACTTGAGGTCAGGAGTTCGAGACCAGCCTGGCCAACATGAGGAAACCCCATCTCTACTAAAAATACAAAAATTGGTCGGGCATGGTGGCGCTCACCTGTACTCCCAGCTACTCGGGAGGCTGAGGCAGGAGAATCACTTGAACCCAGGAGGCGGAGTTTGCAGTGAGATGAGATTGCACCACTGCACTCCAGCCTGAGCGACAGAGTGAGATTCTGCCTCAAAGAAACAAAAAGCAGAAAACAAAACCGTCTGGTGAACTGTTGAAGGGATTCCTGTCCCCACTCTCTGGTTCTTGCCCTTCCTTCAAGGCTCAATTAAAAACTAACTCTGATATGAGACCTCCCTCAATCACCATCCAAATCTCCAACTACAATATTGTTAGGTAACTTTTCTTGGATAAAGTCCTGTGTCCCCTGAGAGCCAGAGGGCTGCCCCAGGTGAGGCCATGGTTGGCCCTTTGTATCTTCTGCCTTCTCTAGGCTCTGTGAATGTGGGTTGATGATGGTAATAACCCTCCCCGAATACTTCCCACCCTGAATCCTAATCTCTCTAAGCACAGTTGATCATCTTTCTTCCTGGCAACCAGCAAAGGAACCAGGGCAGTATTTCCAGATCACTCCTCATCACCAACTTCTGGCAGGGACCTCAAACCCGGAATTAGAAACGTCAGCTTCCCTCTCTCTCCCTCTAATTGTTCCACAACCTGGAGTGACACTGCATTGGTTAGTGCAACTTAGCAGTCTTTGGAAACACTAGTTGTTGACATGGCTTTGTGGCTCAGCATCTTTTTCTGGCTTTTTTTTTTTTTTTTTTTGAGATGAAGTCTCTGTCGCCCAGGCTGGAGTGCAATGGCACAATCTCGGCTCACTGCAGCCTCCGCCTCCCATGCTCAAATGACTCTTCTGCCTCAGCCTCATGAGTAGCTTAAATTACAGGCATGCGCCACCATGCCTGGCTAATTTTCATATTTTTAGTGGAAATGGGGTTTCTCCATGTTGGCCAGGCTGGTCTTGAACTCCTGATCTCAAGTGATCCACCTGCCTCAGCCTCCCAAAGTGCTGGAATTAAAGGTGTGAGCCACTGCGCCCAGCCAGTTCAGCATCTTGTCTGATGAATACTCATGAGGCCTGTCTTACTTTGGGTCTCCCTAAAAGCTGCTAGAGAGACAGGAGTTTGGCTGCAAGTCATTTATGTGCGAGCTGATGCCAGGAAGGCCAGTTAGGGACTGGGACAGGGAGACACAGAGGGGAAAAGCCAAGAAAGGGGTGCTCATGAGTAGGTCACTGATGAGGGCAACTGGAGCATCATCCCACCCACAGGAACCCTCCAAAGCATGCCCTTGAGGGGCAGAGAAGGTGAGCTGTTTATCCCCCAGCTCTCACCTCTGGGGTGTTGGCTCCCAAGCACCAGAGGCAGAAACCAAGAACACCCTCCACAGAGAGACCCAGGAAGAGAGGGGGTGCAGGAACATCCACATCTGTCCTGCAGGGTGGCTGAGGGGAGAAAGATAGGGCCTACAGAATCTACTGCAAAACTCCGCCTCAAGAAAGTCCAATTCTGTGACCGAAGCCCACCTTTACGCCTAAATTACACTGCAAAGCACCTCACACTGGCTCAGCAGGTTTTCCTAACACTCCCGTGCTAGACATGTTGTCAGTCATTGTTACTAGCCCTAATTAACAAAAGGGAGAGATCAAGTGTGTGCCCGAAGTCATATAACCAATTACTAACTCTACTTTGCAGACTCGATGACCTTCATATTACTGAAGACCTTGCCAGGGGGCTACTTTAAATAGCAAAGCATTTACTCCTTTAAAATCATGTTGTAATTTTTAAAGTTGATTTCCTTGGAGCTTTTTGGGGATTCACCTGGTGTGGGGTATCTCCTGTCTCTGTGTGCCTGGCCTGGCTACAGTAACTCCACATTCAGTATCTACCAAGTCTTAGCCCCTCACAGTGCCATGAGACCCAAATGTCTTTCTGACAGTTACTCTTTCAACCTCTACATGTCACCATTATGTAAAATTATTTCCTGGGCCCTGACAAGATTTTATCTTTAATAAAACTGAATTAAAACAGCAAGCACAGGCACACCATTTCAGCTGACCCTCCTGGTTCAAAAGATTAGAATAAAGAAGTATGAATTCTCACGAAGAGAAAGAACTAAATGCAAGGTTGTTGCCAATAAAAATTAAGTTTCATCCTGACCAGAAACAATGATTGTGTTCCATTGCCCATTTTAGATATACTCTCCAAATTTAATTTCCTGCCCTGTGTCTGCAGTGAGAGGGAACTTCTATGGGGGAATGTTAAGGAGGCCAGAAGCCTCCTACAAAACAGATTATACAAAAATTCCTGGCTGGGCACGGTGGCTCACGCCTGTAATCCCAGCACTTTGGGAGGCCAGGGTGGGTGGATCACGAGGTCAGGAGATCGAGACCATCCTGGCCAACATGGTGAAACCCCATCTCTACTAAAAGTACAAAAATTAGCTGGGTGTGGTGGCACGCGCCTGTAGGCCCAGCTACTCGGGAGGCTGAGGCAGGAGAATTGCTTGAACTCAGGAGGCGGGGTTGCAGTGAGCCAAGATCAGGCCACTGCACTCCAGTCTGGGCAACACAGGGAGACTCCAGCTCAAAAATAACAACAAAAAAATCCTGACCCGGAGGCAGAAAGACACTTTGTGTAAAAACAAACAAATGAAGAAACAGCTTGTAGTTTCGAGCCTTAAAGCATGATGTAGCTTTGGCCCTGTTAAAATCATTACTGTCCCAGGATTCCAGGTTTGGAAGTGATCCATTCAGTATCTTGGAGGGGAGGGGTGTCTCCTGACTGCAGAGGGAGGGGGCCAGGACCATAGCCTGCACAGTGAGGGAGGACAGGGTGGAACTGCCACCTGTTCCCTCAGCCACAAGAGAAAAGTGAGTTTTCCAACCCAGTGAACACAGTGAGAGACTTCAAAGTGAACCTGACTAAAGCTCGCTTTGTGCTCAAAACACTTCCCAAATAAGTGCCATCTCCAGATTCTGTTTCAAAGTTAGTTGTTCTCTCTTCCAGACATGGACCCACCAGGGATGCTAAGCGACTCCACTGAGCATTTGTAAAACACAATGTTGAAGCTCAAGTTGGAAAACAGCCACACCACTTGCCGACACCACGACGCTGAGAAATTGCTCACATTCAGGTTACTATTAGGGTTGTTTAGGACCATGATCAGCATGGTGTCTGCAGCATACAATAAAAATACTACCCTATGCTAAGTTGCTGAGTGTGGCTCTGTGCCATAACAGATTTGCAATAAGCAGTAGCACATTCTGGCTATTTTCAACCTCAAAGACTCCCTTCCTGCTCTACTCTGTGCAAGAACATTCTAAGAGATCTTCTGCGAAGCTCTTCGCTCACTTTCTCTTCCCCCATCCTGAGGATGTTTTCCTAAGCACTGTTTTCCCTGTGCTTTTGTCAATTGCTCCTAGATGAAGGTTCCTTGGGTTTGCAAACTCCAGAAAGAAGCATGTCACAATGATCAAGAGAAAATGTGAACTCTGTGTTACCAGTCTGAAGCAAACTACTTCACCGGTGAGTCTCAGTTTCAACGCTGGTAGGATGGGGCTAATAGTACCCACCCCAGAGGACTGAGATGATACATACAAAGTGCTTAGCACAGTGCCTAATGATAGAAGCACAAGTCAGTCCTAGATATGTCTGCCACACTGTTTTGCTGGAGCCAATTAACTTCCGTCCAGTCCACCTCATTATGCCATTTGCCAAGCTTCACATCAAAGATATGCATGATTTGACTTTGCTGCAGGAAAACTTGGTCATTTTACTGACTTGTCTGTGTTCCCTTTGGCTGGTGTTGACTGGACTGTGTCAAACAATGTTGCTTCTGGTCTAGATTCTATCAACTTACTGTGTGAGCACTGGTAATCTTCTCTTCTGTAAAACTTGGAGGCAGAATACTAGGTGACGCTTAATTTCCCTCTGAACGACGCATAAGCTTCCTCAGAGCTAAACTTTCTAACCCATGATTCTTTGACATCTTAAAAAGACTGTCTGGCTGGGGAGAGACTGCCCCTCCTGGCACTAGTCAATTCTTAGAGATGGCAAAGGACTCAGCCAGGAGCCTACTTTGATATACACACTAATTAATCCAGAGCCATGCCTTCTCAATCTGGCCCATACACCCTTGCAAGCAATATTCCTCTACCTAACTCATCCCAGGGACTGATAACAGAAAACTAAGGACCACTCCTATAGTTTAGAGCCCAGTGAAATTATCCAGACTATTCCATTATCAATGCTAAACAGTTCACCCTGCCCTGCCCTGCCTTTCCCTCAGAAGCATCAATAAATGCTCCGACCCAAGCCCCCACCACGCTCCTGTCTTCTGCCTCCTGACCACCCCTGTGTCTTTCCCATGTGGCCCTGTGTGGGGTGTCCCATGCCTCCTGTCTCTACGACCTATGACTATAATAAATTGTGTCTCTTCTGTGGCCACACCTGACTGGCCATCACATGAAAGCATACAAAACACACACAGTTGTTTCACACTTGCCGGCCTACAAAACACTTCCGCCTTCATTAAACCTAATTTCATCTTCAAAAATCCACTGTGCATTTGCCCCTATGCCATACGGAGAACAACCATGCCCACAGAAGTGACATGATCAGCTCAGAGTCTGCATGCGCACAAGAAAGCCAGCTCTCAGTCCTAGGTTTACTGACCAAGGGATCAGTTTAAAGGACTGTGTAAAGCTCACACACACAATTCAACTCGGGCAAGCCTCCTTTTCATAGATTGAGGGCTAAGAAGCACCTCAATGCCAAACTTTGTGGTGTAAGTCACCCAACTGCATGCGAGCTATGCCAGCATCTACAGAGATGGCTAGACAATGACAAGGCTCAAGGCAGCCATTTCCCATTGTAGAAAGAAACATCTCCAGGTACATAAAGGATCTAAGCACTGTTACCTGAAAGCCCAGCTCTGTCCCGTTTACTTGATCACTTTAACACGTCCTGGAGGAAAAGCCACTTTAGAAGGGCATTTATCACCCATGCCCTCTCCCTCATTTTTACTTCCAGAGTACACTGTGTAGAACTGTGAAATGCCTGATTGTGCCAAGTGTCTAGAGCAAGGGTGCTCAAACTTCATGTGTATCACAATCACCTGAGGACTTGTTAAAATACGTATTGCTGGTCTCTGGGTTGGGGCTCAAAGTAGTTGCATTTCCAACAAATTGCTCTGGTGATACTGAAATTGCCCAGGTGATACTGAAATTTCCCAGGTGATACTGAAATTGCCCAGGTGATACTGATGCTGCTTGTCTGATAACCACACTTGACAATCACTGGTCTAGACAGAGCCACCGTATTCCATGGCTCCTTAAAATCCTCACTGTGGGCCGCATGCTGTTCTACTTTTCCCTTGCTAGGCGAAGGGAGTCAGCACTCCCTTCACCACCACGCACACCTAGAATCATGAAATAGAAGTGGGATGTTTGCCCACCATTTCAACAATGGAGAAATAATAAAGCAAGTAAATTGGGCCTCAAACCCTCCAAAAGTAGGAGAAGAGATGGGCTTTGTAGGATTCTCTTTTCGAGAGAGATTACTTGGGGACAATTGGGCTATTTCTGAGCTCTCCCCAACAAGTGCTAAGATTGGTTCAAGAAGCAGAAGTTAGATGTTTTATAGTGCATAAACATTTCCTTACAAGTAAACTCAAAGACTCTTAAAATTCTCAGGTGATAAAAACCTGAATATATATTCTTAAGGTAGATTTGTTCTCAATTCCAGCAGGATTCCTTGTCACTAGCAGCTGCAGAGCCCATGGATACAGCAACCATATAGTCTATTATGCACACCTAGACTCTTCTAAGAGTCAAAGAGGGCATTGTTAATAATTACAAAGAAAAAGGAGGGTATGGGCATAGGATTAGCCCACCAGTAAGGAGTGAGGAACAAGGTGAAATGCACACTCAGGCATGCTACCTCTGCTCTTGCCTTAGGGAGTCACCTCACTTCTACTAAGTTCTGTACGATGTATCTTGGCTATGTAGGTTGGGAACTTTCAGCAGGTGGTTGAGGGTGTGTCCACTTGCGTTCTTTCCTTTCTGATTGTCCACCAACCTGCAAGACAAAAGAGGAAAGATGTTTTCCCAGAGGGCTGGAAATTGCGTTTGTCCACTCATTTACTCTAATCACCTGTCACAGGTAGCCCACTGCCAGCAGCAAATGCTAGCTTGTTTCGATACAGTTTCTTTGACATGGGCACAGGAGTGAGTCAGATGTCAAAAGCTGACCCAGACGTGCTCATTGCCTAGTTAAACATCACCAGTCTTCATCAGATATTTGCCTCAAGCTCTAGTCCTGCCTAAGTCAGATGACCAAGGTTAGCTTTCTCTCCCCTGGGGATTGCCTACTAGCTCCTCCTGGAAGGGGCACCTTGAAACTGGTCCTTTCATGCTTCTTTTTCCTAGGCCAAAAGATACAAACTGGCAGTTGACAAGATAGAAATGGCCTGGAAAGGCAATTTACTTGATCCATATATGTTGTTGGACCATTGTGTAAAAATTAGATGCTTTCACATAAAAATACAAATTCCAGATTACACTGAAAAAAAATTTTTTTTTCAAATCAGAGGATCAGGCAACACCACCAGGACTATCTGGTAAGGGATGGGAGGCAAGGAAGAGTTGGAGAAGCACGGAGTCGTGACGGGAGACAGGAGACAATAGGGCCATGGAAACTGAAGGGGCAAGAGAAGCCAGGTAGGGGTGTCAACACCACAAGTGCCCTTGTACATGTCAAGGAGGTATGTTGGAATTTTACTAGCTAGATGTGTAGAAGACAGCAAGGGCTTAAAAAGGAAAATGACAGGACTAAAATTAGAGAGTAGACTAAACAACGAGATGAGACTTCAAAATTAACATCCACTTACCTAGTGGCTGTGAAAGTTAGAATTTAGCTACAATAAAAGGAAGGTAACCTTTGGCAGCAGCAAGAGAGTTGCTAATGTAAAGAATGAATGTGCCAGAATAAGGGCACAGTCACAGCAACATCACAGAGAAAATCAGAAGCGTTCAAGTAGGAAGTTTAGGGAGAGAGGCTGGCTGGAGAACGGATGGGATGGTCTTGGGCGTCAATCAGTTTCACAGCCATATCATGCATCCAAAGGACACGGACATCATCAGCAGGCACACGTTTACCACCGTTTCTAGAAGGAACACTCTGGAGATCAGGCTGTATTTGAGAACTTTCAAAGAATCCACAAAATCTGTGCTCTGATAAAAGAAATAATTTTCTTGTCAAAAAAGTAAACTAATATTGTTTGAGCAACTGTGATAAACTAGTGGAGAAAACACTTTTTATAAACTTAAATATGTAAAAATATAACAAAAAGCACCAAGCTTAAAGAAATCTTTACAAAAACCCACAGAATCTCCCTAGAATATGAATATTTACTAAATAAAAGGAGAGCAATAGCTAAGAAGCAGACCTACATCTCCAAATGCTTGATCAAATTTGGAAAGCTGTGGGTCAATAATAAAAGCATGAACTGTAGGTTCATACATTTATGTAAGGTATCGTTAAGCATTTTAATAAGTTGCTATATAAAGTCAGAAAACAATAATTGTTCGTATAATGAATTATGTAGGAAACTGTTTTAAATACAAATCAAACACATCAAGAGTATGTTCAATTTTTGGTTTATTAAAACAAAACTACATTTTCTGTGTTTCTTGCAATACACTAACAAGCATAAAAATCAATCAGCATTTCCAAGTATGTTTTGCTCACAAAATCGCAGTTATTTCACAGTACCTTATAGTAATTCTTTTCACGAGTCTTAACATTTCTTTGTACAACAGGCAAATAGTTTAATACCTTCCATCAAGACATTTCAGAGCTCTAGACGTTTAGAAATAAGGTCAAGAATCTCTTTCAAATGCAATCATTAGTTTGTATTAAACTAAAATGCCAGACGGCAAGTCTCAGGTTTCTAAAATAGTTTTAAAAAACAGGTTTACAGCCCATAGTAAGTCTTAGAAACCTCAACGATAGGTCCTGTCATGTCTAAACACTACAACTATCTGTGGATAAAAATCTGCATTCAAACGTACAATACTTTCTTCTAGATCTGAATTAAAACCTTATTTACCCCAATTCATCCATGTATTCTGATACGTTCAGTGAAAAAGCCAGGATCATTGGGGCTGTTCTCTCTATCAAAGGAAAGAGCTCCGATCACCTACATTATAATTTTCTGTGCTTATTTTCTGCAGGGGAGGAAATACACATCTATTCAACGCCACACTGGACGTTACAAAATGCATGCATATTCTGCCCCAGTGCTATCTGTTCATTACCGTTTTGTCTCCTTAAAGAACTATCTAACATAGTGTTTCCCAAAATGTTCTCCACAGGACATTAGTGAGAGGTTCATAAGTATCCCAAAGGAGAAAAAGGTCCTGGTGTCAAAATAGTTTGGGCAATGCTGGGTTAGACAGTTTTTCACTACCGGATGCCAAGCCCTTACTGCGCTAAAGTGCATTGTAAGTTTCCAGGTGCAAACTTGGTTTCCCAGCAACACCATTTCTATAAAACACTGATGAACATCTCACAGAGCACTCATATTACATGGAGTGCTATGGGAAATGCTTTTCCCCATCCAGGTTACTGGCAATTCCACAATTTGGGCTTACATTCATTGTAATCCCAGAAATATTTTCTCCATTTACCCTCATGACTTTGTGAAATTTAACAGATTCCAGAAGGAAGACTCGAAGCCATCTCAGTTAACAGTTCTACACATTTCCCACTAGTTTTTGCCTTTGTTTTTCATGCATTTTCAGAGTGCACAACTTCCCTCCTCTCTTCTGAATCACTTAGGACATTCTCATTTTCAAAAACAGACTGCAGTTTCATGTTGTTTAATATTGTTTTTTTTTTTTAACTTGACCACAGTCTTCCCCTGAAGAAGGGCATGCATTTCATGTTACAGAAATGCGATAGAGTAAACTGTAATAAATTATTTACAAGCACCTAGTTTGTTTAACCTTATGTGGAAGCCATCACTGTTGGAAAACAATGAGAATGTATCTTTTAGCAAAACGGTGCTATCTGGAAGCTTCATTGTGAAGATGCTTTCGTTTTTTTGTTTTTTGTTTTCAGTCATGAGGCACTGAAGAATGAGTTGTGCTGAAATTAACTCAAAGGTCAGCTTGTCTGGATGAGCATAACTTTGGTTGAGATTTTTCTCCCTTAAAAAAGATTTTCAAAGCACCAGTTAATTACAAAAAGCATGCATATTTATCCTCACAGTGAGTTAAGTGGTGAGAGAGCTAGCAAATCATACATTGCATTCCCCAAAGCATCTGAACGTACTTCTAGAAAACAAACCAACCAAAAGGGAAAATAATGCAAGAGAAGCCGTATTTTCTTTGCTTAGGTTGGCAAAGCAGCAGCTCTTTGCAGCAATGACAGGCAGGGCAGAGTGTCGACTGGGAAGCGAGTCCCAATCTTGAATAATGGTGAGCTTGAGTAATCCTTAATTTACAATTTAAAGGATGAAAAAAAGAGACTAGTGAAATGTTTGCTTCCCCAGATAAGGAACACCCAAGACTCCCTGGGTATCCTCCAAATGTAGCCAAGAAAAGTGTTCTTCTACCCTAGTCAGTAAAATGGAATGCTAAAACATGATATCTCATTCAACATCAGAGCTACTACAACTGACAATGACTTCATGGTATACATCAATTCCTATAAAGAAAAAATATATTTTAAATGCAGAACTTGAGAGGGATCACAACAGCATAGCATTATTGCTATGAGTTTCAAACATGGTATTTCATACAATGTGAAATATCAATCAGCATCCCTCCCTCTCCCAAAACACACATTACTCATGAGATACTATCAGTGTTTAAAATCCAAGCTTATGGAAGTACAAACTTAATTCTCAGTACTTTTATACTAAATTCAAAGAATCTATGTAACACTCATCTGGAAAAATTCTTAATTCCATAATATCTTGGAGATAAGCAACAGTAAACTGTTAGAAAACGTTTTAACATTACATGATATTTAAAAAATCACCATAATTACCATAATAAACCAATAATTATGCTCCCTGCTCACAAAAGGCACCTACCAATTATGAACAGACCATTTTTCATAATTATTTACCACTATGTGGCATAAGGGTTTAGGCATATAACCCATAAAAATTTGTTAAAAGTCATGGTTTTTCCTCAAAGCTAAAAATCCATAAATGCCTCTAACCATTACCAGTCAGTAGGGCCACCACATGCATATACTGGACAGGTTGTGCACGGCACAACTCGAGTGGGTACCAGTCACCTGGACTGGGGTGCAGTACACAATCTGTGTGCAGTACAGAAAGCCCTCATCAGCTGTGGCCAGAGAACTGTATTCTAACAGTCTGTCAGCTCAAGCTAATCAAGTTAGGAAAACTGCTATTTGGTTGGAGGATTTCCAAGAAACAGCTGTACCTGTGAGAGGCAGGTATTACCTGAGGGGTGGACGAGGTACAGACATAAAACAGGAAGGGTTCTAAATATATTTGCTGGTCATTTGAAACTCAATGGCACTTGTTTATATGAGCAAAAGCCTTCAACACCAGTTTTCTGGCCAAGTTTCCCTAGAATTTTGCCAGCCAAATTAACTTCCTGATGTTAACTATTTGATTACAATATCTCAGTTCCCGACCTAAACTAATATTGTCTGTTTTCACATAGCTCTTAAAAACATTTCTAAATCTGACAGCAAAGGACAGCACAGTGATACCTGGGTGTGATATATATCAGTCCACTCAATTTATAAAGCACTTTGGGATAAAAGGTGCTCCCATTAAAAATGTAGCTACTATTGACAGATAAAACTGAAAAAGAGTGAATGGATGACTCAATTATTTTTAAAGGAAGCATTAACCACTAACCAGATAATATACCAACAAATTACCCAGCAGCACTAAGTATACCATGTAAGATTCAGTTCCAGAACACAGCTACATTTCTGTGTCCATCACAGTAATTAGTCCTTAAAAGTTGTACTTAAAATGTCAATCTTTAATAAACTCAAAAATAATTTATTGAGATTTCATCTTGTAGTCTACGGATTATGAGTTGCGAATAGAGGCTGAGGTCCCCCCAAGTGTTATCTGCAGGCTGCTGTGTTGATGCAGAGCTGGGAAGATCACAGATCCATGGAGGGAGAAGGCACTTGTCTTCCAGGAGATCACTTCGGGACAGGGCAGGCCTGACCCTGCGATGGCACCTTCAACTCTTGAGCCAGAAGCTGGTACCTACAAGGAACTCATCTCATGACCTTCATTTGCCAGCAGTGCCACACGTTACCTACAGCACCACAAAACTCAGAATATATTCTAGAAGTTTTTGTCGGTTGCATTGAGGTAGAAAAGTGCTGCTCAGTTCTAAAACAGACACTCTCTTTTGTTTGGTCTCCTTGAAAACCTAAAGAAAAGGTTTAGATTAAATTAAAGGCAAAAAATAAAAAATAAAAAAAATTTCCATTACCAACCTGACCTGTGGTGTCCTAGACCTCAGAAGGCAGTAAAGGCACAAAAAACCATATCCTGGCATTAAGTAAATGTATGCCTGGGTGTGTGTGAGCATGAGGTGGGAGTTTCCAATGCAAACAAGGTTTTCTTTTTCTATTTTTTTTTTTTTGTTTTGATGGAGTTCAACCAACATTAACTATATTCTAAAATTTCAACCAACATAACTATACTCTAAAATGACTTAGAATAAAGTCACAAACAGTCCCTCACAAAAGGCCGCTAGTATCTCTATAGAACTTACATTCCCCATGAATCATGAAGGTAAAGGACACCTGAGGATACTTCTAGAAATTCTTGTAAAAATACAAGAAAGTAACTAAAAATCATATGGAATAATTAAGAGCCAAGATTGTGGTCCTAATCCCAAAATCAAAAATCTGAAGTACTCCAAAATCTGAAAGATTTTGAACATCAATATGATGCTCAAAAGACATGCTCATCAGAGCATTTTGGGTTTTGGATTAGAGACGCTCAACCTGTAAGTCTAATGCACATATTCCAAAATCCCAAAAAAATCTGAAATCCAAAACATTTCTGGTCCCAACATTTTGGATAAGGGATATTCAACCTGTAGCACCTTGAAACATATTGATACCAGTTATATATAGCAGCTTGGGAATAAATGTGAAACCAGTAAAATTCCAGAACATTCAAATAAATCTACACTGATGGGCTTCACCTTCAACATAGCCCAACCCATCCTACATGCCCCGTTCCCAAAAATGCCTTTATCATTAAGCCAGCAGAAACTGCTTCTCTCGGGGTCCACCCCACCACAAAGGTAGCTCAAACAGACTAGATCTAAAGAGAACAGAAGTTGAGATAGCTTTTATACCATAAATGGTGGACACCTACCCCAATATCCTTAAACATTTTCACAGCATTCTTCACAAGACAATATGTGGCACTCTCAGCTGAAGAGAGAGAATAAAACCCTGTCAAATGGTTACGCTCAACAAATCATGACAATCCCAGCAGCCACAGTAAGAAAGTATGGGGAGCTAGGAAGAGAATGAGGGCAAGTCAGCAGACAAGGGTGGGGCCCCACTTCCACCACTGGCAACCTGTGAGTTCTCAGATGACTTGCTGTTAAACCTACTTTGCTTACACCTACTTTGTCCTATATTGAGGTAAATAAGAAAGGGAAGGGGAAAGAAAAGAGGGTGTAGAGAGAGAAATAGGGAGAACAGAGGGAAGTAGAAATACCTAAAACATCCATTTTCCAGGACTGTTGTGAGAATCAAATGAGATAGTGTATAAATATTCTTTAAGCTACCCAGTGGTACACAGATGATTGTACATCAGTGGAACCAGAGAAAGCACAGGCCTCGAGGTTAGGAAACAAGAATTCTGATCCCGAGATTACCCATTAATTAGCAGTGTGACCTGGGGTATTTTCCTCAACTATAAAATGAGGTGATTAGATTAGATTCCTTTTGGCTCTAAAAAGTGATTCAAGTAGTTTCAGCTCCAAACTACAACTGTATAAAATAGTACTCCCACCCCAATCACACCTCCTAAAACAAAGAAGACGGAGCGCTGGCCAAGATGTGCAGCAAGTGAAACACACACTGTTGTGGGAGTACAAGTAGGTATAATCCCTTGGAAACTGTTTGGTGGTATCTACCAAAGCCGAATATACCCAGAGCCTACAACCAGGCAATTCTGTTCCCACATACATGCTGTATATAGGGGCACAGATATTCACCAAAAGACATATTCAAATATGCTCATAGCAACACTGTTCAAAGCAGCTGTGAACTGAAAACAACCCAAATATCCATCAACAGCAGAATGAATAAAATGTGGTAAATATTTATACAATGGAACACTACACAACAAGAACAAAGGAACAACTATATGCAACATGTATGAATCTCAAAAATAACGTTACGTGAAAAAAGCCAGATGTAAGAGTGTATAACTGTATCATTCAACTTATATAACATGCCAAAGAAGATAATAGTAATACTCTACGGTGTTAGAGGTCAGGATAAGTTTGCATTTTTCCAATTTTCTACAATTAGCAAATTTCTGAAATCCAAAAAAAAAAAAAAGATTTTAAAAGAATAAATAGTGACTTAACATACCATATACTGCAACATTTCTTTCTGTTCTGGTTATTAGGTATTTGTGCAACTTTTGCAGATACTCAGGTTCTGGAACAGGACCACTGAAGTTGTGAACAAAGATGGCAGCAGAGCTGTAGGCCTCCAGCAAAGGCCCAAGGAGTCTCTGTAAGAAGGTGATAAACTGCTGGTGCTCCTTGGATTGGCTCACCTGAGTGTGCAAAAGCAGGAGATGAAGTCATGAGGAAGGGACAAGAGACACAAGGCAAGTGGACAGAGGACTTTCTCTGGAGAGCCAGTAACGTGAGAAGATGGCCACTCACATCAGCACTACATGAAAGCGGCCCCCTGCCCCTCATGCAGAGAATCTCTGCTGGAAACAACTGCTGGCTTTCAAACACATTCTTTATTGTAATCATTCACTTTTTTATGGTATTTGAGGCTTGTGTTCATTGAACAGCCACCTAGAAGAAATTTTCATAAATGAATGCCCTACTTGTGATACGCTGTCATCACTAAAAATAGCCGCTCCTAAGACCAGGCCCTCCATGGTTTGAAGCCTGGGCTCAACAGTCACTCAAGTCTGCAGAAAGACCAATGGGAGACCACCAAGATTATCTCACTCCTTCTGCAGCACCTATTCCCTGCCTCCCCTAAATGGCCTTTGCCCACAGTCCAGCACTGTGGGGAATGATGGCCACTGTGACGGCGGTGCTTTATGGCCGAGAGGCTCTCACTGTACCTACCCAAAACACACTGGTTCGGTCAAGCCCCTCTGGAGTGTGAAAGCAAGATCACTGCCCCATCTTGAAACTAAACTAATACCACCCAAGTGAAAAAGAAGACAATTTCTAAATGTCAAAAAAGAGTAATCCTCTTAGAGTATTCAGAAAAGACGGGTCATTATTACTAAGTTCTAAAATTATAAATTAGACAAAATTGATTTTTCTAAATCAGGGACTTTTTTTTTAATCTCAATTTTCTCCTATAATGGTATTTGTTTTAATTGACAGCAAAGAGCTTAATATATGAAATTTTGGGAGGGACAGCAAGAGTGACTCAAAAAGAGCAGCCAGGTCAGTGGCAGCTCAATAGCAAAACTGCTGCCTCATGAGGGGTGCAGGTGTAGGTAAACAGGTATGCACCTGTGTATTTCATAAAAGGATGGTGAAAGTCTCACCTATGACATTCATCTTCCTGACTTTTCAGACTCTCCTTTCCTTTTCTACTTAAAATGCTATTAATTCAACTCAAACAGTTTGAGTGTCTTTACCACACAGAAGGTACCAGAGCTAGTTGGGGGATTCTTTAGATAAGAAGACATCACCAGGACTCCAGCTGATCTCACTGCAGCATAAACCTCAACATATCCCTGTAATATCCACCAGAATTCTTCACCCAAGTACCTTCAGGTAGCAATCTCGCTGTTCCTCCCCAAAGTCACTGTCTTCATCTTCTTCATCACTTCTCCAAGACAAAGGTTCTGGAAGCTTCTTGTCCCACTGCTGCTCAGCAAGACTAGGACTGATATCTTCCTGGTCATCGTGCTAGGCCAAGGAGATGATGGATAGTAAATAAATATGCACTGGCACACAAACAACTGCCCAGTGGAGCCAGGACAAGGCAGTCCTCTTCTCTGACCCTTCCTGGCTCTTCTCTGTTTAGCCACTCATAATGTCAGTCCACTTCCCTTCCAAACTCAAACTCAGTCAGGAGACAGCAGGAGACAAAAGAAAGGGCAGGTGGGAGGGGAGAGCTACCAGAAAGAAAGATCAAATAAAAGTACCCCCACATGTTCTAAATTGATATGTACTTTTCCAGGCCATCTCCTCTACACTAAATCTACCAAAATTAAAATAGAATCTCAAAAATGAAAACTGCAGATGTGCAAGCTGCAAGCATACTGATAGGTGTAACGTCTCAACTTAGCATACAAACTTCTGGATGTCACGGAATCAAGTCAGGATATGTTTTAGACAACACAACTTACAAATAGGAACCAAAATATTAAATAATCCCAAAGGACACTTATTCTCCCCATTCTTATTTTTTGCTTCTCTACATCTGAACATGACTATATACCAAATGTAATTATTGGTTTGTTTACTTATTTATGAGACTGAGTCTCACTCTGTCACCCAGGCTGGAGTGCACTGACATGATCTTGGCTCACTGAAACCTCCACCACTCCGATTCTTGTGCCTCAGCCTCCCAAGTAGCTGGGATTACAGGTGTGTGCCACCATGCCCAGCTAATTTTTGTATTTTTAGGAAAGACAGGGTTGTGCCATGTTGGCCAGGCTGCTCTCGTACTCCTGACCTCAGGTGATCCACCCGCCTTCACCTCCCAAAGTGCTGGGATTACAGGCACATGCCACCATGCCTGGCCAATTATTGGTTTAAATAAGTTGTAGAAAAGGTAAGGGAATGAAGAGTAAGTATAAAGACAAATAAAGGAAAGCTCTACCTCTTACCTCTGCCACTGTAAGAATGCCATACTGGATAAACTTTCCTACTGTTTCATGGCAGACTTGGTAAAATGTCTGGCAAGGCTGAAAAGAAAATTCATTTAAATATAAATGCCACCATTTTATACTTCTTTTTTTAAACGCAGAAAACATGGTACAAGGTAGCTGCCAAAGCCTTCCATTCTGTTACCTCCATCACCCCACTGAGCAAGTCCTGTGATTCCCAGTGCCCACTGTCTTGATACACACACGGTCATGGACAAAGCCCAAGAAAAGACCTCTGTCACTTAAAGTTGGCAGAGCACCCAACACTGCACCACCTGCAAGGGGTACTCCTGAGCTCAATTCTCTCCCCACACCCACAGTGTGGAAAGCCCTCTGAAGACTGCTTATCAGCCCCCCACCATCTATTTCTTTTACTTTATAAGACAATTTCTCTGCAATAGTTATCTTATAATAAATACTGTACACAAAAGTGGTGATTGAGGAAAGGCAACATTGGAATAAGTAAATAAATACCAGAGAAAGGACAAGGTCAATCTTGGAAGTCTTATCTGCCCTCATCCCTTCCATCCCACCACCCAAGGTTCATGCAAAACAGATTCCCCAACAGGACCACGAGCACACCTCACACAAAGCATGGCATGGAGGGGGCGGTACTCCTAACACATGCACTCATCTCGTCAACATCTCAAGACACATTCATACAAAAGAAAATATCGGAATTCAAATAAAATATGAATTCTACATGTTGATGACTTTGAGAAGAAGGAAATCTACTACTTAATACATATGTCTCATGATAAATGCCTAAAAGTGTTTGGGTATATAATATAAATGCTCATTAGTACTGCTGGGCTTGGTTTTCCTCATTTGTAAATTGAGAGGTGTTGAGCAGATGATTTTCTTTTTTTTTTTTTTTTTTTTTTGAGATGGAGTCTCGCTCTGTCACTCAGGCTGGAGAACAGTGGCGCAATCTCAGCTCACTGCATCCTCCGCCTCCCAGGTTCAAGTGATCCTCCTGCCTCAGCCTCCAAAGTAGCTGGGACTACAGGCAGGTGCTACTACACCTGGCTAATTTTTTTTTGTATTTTTAGTAGAGACGGGGTTTCTCCACGTTAGCCAGGATGGTCTCGATCTCCTGACCTCGTGATCTGCCCGCCTCAGCCTCCCAAAGTGCTGAGATTACAGGCGTGAGCCACCGCACCTGGCCGAGCAGATGATTTTTAAGGCTGCTTCTGACTCTTACCATCTGTGGTTCCATCATCTACAGGTGGGTGTGTTAATTATTTACAAACCACTGACCCAGTGCCTCACACACAATACGTGCTCACTAGCTTTGGATGTGACTGCCTGAGAACATTGAGCAATCTGTCCTATCATGGCTCATAGCTGCAGGATAGATTCAGTGGAGCAGTGACCCAGAGAGCAAACCAAGATAGTAAATGACATATTGGTTTGGTGGTCACTGAAATCCAGGAGTGGAATATAAAGTATCAACAATGGGTCAAACATTATCTAACAGAAAAACACGGGGGGTTACGTTTTCATGAAAACGCTCAAGAAAAGAGACCAGGCAACACTGAAGGGTCTTCACTCACCAGTGAGATGGTGCCTTCATTGGAGAGAAGGTAGCACAGGCTGGCCGCCTTCCGCACCAGCTGCTCCTGGCTGATCAGGTTAGGTGGGGTGCTAGTGGGACCCCCCAGTCCCCTCTTGTTCAGAACTGCATAAAGGCTGCAAGCTAAGAAAAGAAAAGCAACAATGAAGTTGCCAGCTCAAAGTCTCCAAGAAAAACTTCAACTGGCTTGAATAACCTTAAGAGATTATTAATACATCAAAAATAATGGCCTGTATTTGGAGAAATTTAAGTAAATCCCATAAGACTAAATTCTTATGATTCCATATGATCCCAACTGCATCAAAAACCTTCTCCAAAGACATAAGCCCCCTCTTCTCTCCTTCCTCTCTTTTCTCTTAATCACAAATGAGGCCCTCCACTCACTTTGCTGCTCTGTGTATGTCTCATCTCAGTTAGATTTTCAGCTCCTGGATAGCAAGACACTCTACCTCTCCTGAAAAATAAGGGTAATGCTATACAAACGGTAATTCAGTAACTACTCATTGTAAACAGTGATATAACAGGAGATTACATTTTCGTTTGAAAACTAAAATTATAGCCACATTCCCTCAAGCAAGGGGCTATCACCCAAATTAAAGCAGATACCACTATGTGTTTTAGGCCTTTTTATTTTCCATGAAAATTACTGAAAATATTTCAAGGTCTGACATACCTATGATGGCCTCCATGATAAAGACATGAAGTACCCCATTGCTGTAGAAGTTGAGTTCGAAGACTGATGGGACAGTTGTGCTGGGGGTGATAAAAAACTCATCGTTCCTGCTAGTGTGGGTGATTGTGACACAATTTCCCAGCAGCTGTATGGCATGCATTACTACATCTTCTGAATTTCCTGAGAACCCCAGGTCAAAATCACGAGCCAGGACTTCCTCTTTCATCACAAAGAAGTCTTCGACCAATGTGGAGAGATCAATTCCCTAAAGAAAGATGGAAACGGTATCATGATGGTGGAAAACCTACTTTCCAAAAAGCTGAGAGGCCAACATTCCAAGACTTTCTTCTTGCCTTGGCTTTCCTGCAGCTCACTGCTAGCACATAGAGAAGTAGGGCCAGAACACCAATGCAGAGCGAGTCAGAAAACTACTTAAAAAGCTGGTCCTCCAGGAATGTCAAGGTATTACACATGCTAGTGAACACTCTAGCCATGACACATGATATGCACACATAAGATCACAAGGGGGAGGAAAAAAGCCATCTGCAAGTAAGGAGTGCTTATTTTTTAGCAAAATTTCCTTCATTTTAAATATTTATCTGGCAAATATTTATTTGGTGCCTATATATATTGGCACTGTTTGGTGTTGAGAATATGACTGAACAAGACTGGTGTGGTCTCTTCCATCATAAAGCTCAGACAAATGTATTTTGGGAGGATAAAGGGTGGGTTCTAAAATGCCAGTCAATTCATTTGGAAAGCATTTGCTTTCAGAATATATACCACATGTTAATGAGTTAGACCTTATTTACATTAACAGTATTAATCAAGCAATAGCTTAGTACTATATATATTAAGCAGTCTGTTTTGTTTTGTTTTTAAATGTAGATTCTTCCTCCACCAAGTTGATAAGCTCCTTTGGGCAGGGTCCTCAGCTTATTTTACTGTTTACCTCATAGTACTAGCCATGAGTGGGCCAAATCTGCCCCTGAGTATGTATCTGAGCAGCTGACAAAACATTCTCCTGCTTCCTACTTAACTGCAGGTGACATTGCAGACATACCTGCCTGTGTCTGTAGAGGAGCAGGCAAGCCACAATGTGTGTGGACATAATGGCACAGGACTTGCTAGCAGCTGGAAGGCAAACACAAAGCTTTTTTTAGTTGCACTTTTTACAAACATAGCTGAACTTTTTTGAAATACCTAAATTTTAAACAGGAGTATTTAAAACTGTGAAAGTCTTCTATCACATTTCCCATAAGTGTGATTTACCAAAAGGAAGTTATAATACTACAGTGTTCTGGTATAATGGAACCTCATTAGAGATCACTATTCATCATACAACAGGCTAAGTAAGACAGGTCCAACTTCAATCCAGGCCAGTGGAATTTAGTTACTGAATGACGAAGAGACACTTTTATTGAAATATCAAGACCCAAAGTACAAGGCTGTTTTAGTTCTACGGGATCTCCCATTTCCATATTCCTTTACTTGCTCCCACCTACAGTCTATTATAACTACAACTCTACTTCACTCTTCTTGCTGGTATTCACCATATTAAAACGAAGGTGTAGTAGAAGGATAACAGCTGACTTGAAGTCAGAAAAATCTGGGCTCAAATCCTAATTTACTCACTAACTAACTTCATGACTTGGGGCAAATTACTTAAATTCCTGGCCTCACCTTCCTTGCTGATAAAATGAAAATCCTACCTAGCTCATTAGACCACATGAGAATAAAATGACTGGCCCGGCACAGGAGCCACAGTAATGGGTGCTCAGCATATTTGTATTTCCTCTTTCAACCTGACCCAGAGGTAAGAAGGAAGGGCACAGACACACATTTGAGAATGACTACAGTGCACACCCCTACACTGAATTTGCATAAAATTATAATTATATAAATCAAATCTGAGAACACCCATGGAATAATCTTAAATCACGATAACATTTGTGAGTTTTCTAAGATAACAATAAATTTAAGAATACTTCATTCACCACTGGTAACTGAAGTCGTCTCCAGTGTTAAAAAAAAGTACTCAGTACTATATGTATAGCTATTAAAAATATTTATAAAGAATTTTTAAATATGAATATTGTGTTATAAATGGAAAGCTGCACAATACAAAACTGTAAAAAATATTTTTAGAGACTACACAGCAACACCACTGGTTATTTGGGTAATGGGTTTTTGCTGTCTATTTCATCTTTATTTTCAAACTTTTTAACAATAAGGTATTATTTTTTGTATCCAGATTTTAAGCAGGATAGAGACATAATCAAATGTGCTTGAGAAAGAATCCTCTGACCCAAAGTCAAGCAGGAATAGGGGCCTCCAGAATGGGAGGAGCAAGGTGAGGGAGGAAGACCTCCCCAGTAGCATTGGCAGGGGGTGCGGAGAGTATCATCAGGGTCCTGGCCCAGAGAGCAGCAAGAAAGAAATCACAACTAGGCTGAGCACCAAAGAACCACTGTGCTGCCTTGGGATTTTAAAGCAGCCTCCACAACAGTACACAATTGTACAGCTTGGAACTTAAAGAAGACTGGTCCTGCAGTGAACTCACACTCCTCTCCTCTCTAGGTTCACTTTAATTATTTGTGTATAACCATCCCACTGACAAGAACATAAGCTCATTGAGTTCAGAACCATTAATTATTCATTTTGTATTCTCCACGGCTAAGGCAAAGCTTTATACAAGGCCACTCATATTTGCTGCATTACAAAAACTCATGGGGTCAAAGGAGAAATGGACATGCAACTATAAATCTAGACGTTGTACCACAAATTAGTTCAAGTAGTTCAAATAAAACACATTAATGAGCAACAGAGGCAACAAATCATTTTAATAATAACTATTTTTAAAAAGTACAACAACTACCACATGAACACCTACTAATTACCAGACACTGTATAAGATGTTTAACTCCAATTATCTCAAATCCTCACGGTATCACCTTCTTTCTAATAACTTACCTATCACCACCTGTGAATTAATAGAAGTGGAAACTAACCTCAGCAGATTCCAAAATCTGTATAGTTTGCACCATACCATGATGAATCTAAATTGTAGAATTAAAGAGTCTGGTATTCTACTTACTGAATAGAATATGCTCAGCCAGATTTGCAATCAACCTCCTTCGTAGGGATTCATCTGTTGCATTTCTGGACTCATTAATGGACGTGTCTCTACCTTCATCAGCAGCATCACTGGGTCTAAAAAGTGTTTCAAAAATCAACACACAACCGCACTCTTTTACAAGGCAAACCATGTGGAACTGATCTTTAAATGAATTAGATACTTTAAATTACTATATATTTTAAATTTAAACCACAAACAGATTATTTCTATGGCTTATTTTCCTCCATAATATACTACATTATGGCCTGGCCAAAACATGTTATTTAGTTATGACTAAATAGTCTGTTGATACACCACTTCCAAAACCACTGGCAGAAAGAATACATAATTCAAGATGCCTTATTTTAAAACATTTCTGAAAATTCAACACTTCCACATATTAAAGGAAAGGCTTCATATTCAATTTCTCTAAGTTAAAATTCAATTTGAATTCAATTTGAATTCCGAAAAATTCAAACAGCAAAATTCTTTCATATGGTTCACTTACATACAATATGCATAACCTACTACCAAAAAAACTCAGTTCAAGCATTCAAAAAGCATAAATCAATTAAGAACTCCTATATGAGTCACAAAATCAAAAAGTTATAAGCAAATAATTAAAAACTTCCAAACTAATATGAAAACATGTCATCTCAATATCCCTTATTGGACTAAGAGAAAAGTTACTTAAGAAGTGAAAATAAGAATGTGCGCATTTTTAATAAGGTTAATCTATGCAATACAAGAAATAACAGATGTTTGGTAGCTTGATTAGCATTAAACAATTCTACAAATTTTACCTTGAAGGAAGTATAGCTGGTAACAACGCTTGCTCCAGGGAAAGTAGAGCAGACACCGGTTTCTGACTTTGGCTTTCTAAATATTCCTGGAGAAAAAAACACAACATGATCATTTACCCTCACTTTCGCACCAACATATAAAATGTAATTTCATCTTCCAAAGGTTAAAAGGGAGTTGTTTATGAAATAAGCCATGCTATAGAGCATGGGAAATACTTTCTATATCCTAAACTGTCTTCAGAAGTCCAGAATGATTCACAGAATGCTGCTAAGCATGAAACTGAACTTGAACACTGAAGACACAAAGAATAGGATGCTTAAACAAAATCATTTTAAAATTAAAAGAAATTTTTAACTTTTCTCACACATCATCATAAAACTGACATTCTTAATATCATTAATAGTGATGATAGACATAATCATACTTAAAAAAATCTGGCAACCCAAGGGTCACATTATTTTCAAAAGAACCTCAATCTAAAAGCAAATCATAACAAGACAGAGAAGCTATGTGACCATTTAAAAAATAAAGAGAAAGAAAGTGGCAAGAAATGATAAGGTTCTAAAAGATCAAAGCATTTAAGGTTAGCAAGCATCTACCACAGCAGCTGGAATCTCTTAAAGTTAAGCCAGGAAGTAGAATAAAAGGAGAGGCGGGACCTTCTGCTCCTTATCCCTGGGCTCCCTACTTCTGTACCCATTTTTCTCCTTCTCCTTTACAATTTGAATACCTTAAGAATTTAAACCAGCAAGGGCCTCAGGGACCTGCCAGTCCCAGACTTTCAATGAGGATGGCACTATCCTTTGGGATGTGTGGGTACTGGATTCTACACAATAGGACATAGAGAGCATTATCCTGTCAAATTCACCCAGCTTTGGCTGCCCGAAGTGGCTCACACCTGTAATCCCAGCACTTTGGGAGGCAGATGAGGAGGCGGGCAGATCACCTGAGGTCAGAAGTTTGAGGCCAGCCTGGCCAACATGGTGAAACCCCGTCTCTACTAAAAATACAAAAATTAGCCAGGTGTGGTAGCGGGCACCTGTAATCCCAGCTACTTAGGAGGCTGACGCAGGAGAATTGCTTGAACCTAGGGGGCAGAGGTTGCAGTGAGCTGAGATTTCGCCACTGCACTCCAGCCTGGGCTACAAGAACATGAAACTCCGTCTCAAAAAAAAAGTTACCCAGCTTTTAGGGGAGGTGTTTGGAAAAATTTCCCCTAAAGGCAATTTTGAAACATAAGATATAAATACGTATTATAAAGGCACATGCAAGATTCCCATGAATTTTTATTTTTTTACAATTATTTATTCATTTATTCATTCATCCATCTCAAAATTTTTTTGACTTTTGGGGTTAATTGATATATAATACTTGTACATATTTTGGGGTACATGTGATATTTTGATATCTATATACAATGTGTAATGATAAAATCAGGGTAATTGGGATAACCATCACCTCAAACACTTAGCTTTTTGTGGGGGGTTGGGAATATTACAATTCTTCTCTTTTAGTTATTTTGAAATATACAATAAATTACTGCTAACTATAATTTCCCTACTGTACTATCAAATACTAAAACTTATTCCTTCTACCTGTTTTTTGTTCCCCTTAGATGGTCATGAATTAAAAAAAAATAATAATAGCAATAAATGTCGAGCCTGATATCTCCCAAAAACAGATACTCACTCTCCTTTGTCAATAGGCAAATTTTGTGGAAAAATTTAGGCAACACCACCTTTATCATAGTCCTCATTTTACAGGAGAGCAAACTGCAGCCCCAAGTCACACAGAGAGGTGCTGTTAAGAGTCAGCACTGGAGCCTCCTGACTCCAGGTAGATGCTTCAACATGGTTTCATTTCAACAGACACTCACCTTTAAGGAAAATGGCTGTGCAAAATCCACTCGGACACAACCATAGTTTTTTCGTAACATTCTAATAACACCTCTTGCTACACTCCACAGGCTCTCATTCTTCTTAGGTTTGCCCTAAATTCCAATAGTGAGAATAACATGGTGAGAAATAAAGCCAACACATACACAAACATTCTATTATCCACAGAATAACTTGTTTTATGGAAACTGTAAGTTCATCTTGAAGAAGAACAATGAATGAAGAAGGAAAGGAGGTAATCATTAACTGCGGCCTGTCAGAAAACGTTTAGTATTCAAAGATGTAATCATGTCATTGGGAGATGGAATTCAGTCAATGAAAAACAAAACATTTAATACTATTTCATTTAGTATCATGTTCACACAATTCACAAAAATACAATTGCAAACTAATGAAGGAAAAAATGACATAGCCTGGAAAACTTCTGTGGTTCTTAAACAAGAATAAAACATCAAAGAGGCCATTTATCTGAGGTCTGATGATCACCAGAGTCTAAATGTCTAATATTAGGCAAGTAATTGCAAATCCAGCCTTACAGTGGCCTTTGAGCTGAGTATTCATTCAGTAAATACCTAGTATCTATTACACATAAGGCACAATGACAGGACATATAACGGACACAGACTCAGATATGAACTCGTGAGACACAGTCAGGATGAGTAGGGTATACATCAAGGACAGATTCATAGAACACAAGGAGAAGAGTGTCATACAGATCATATCACTTAATTTGTAAGCCTATCACTTAATTTCTAAAGCCTCTGATTGTCAGACGTCCTTGAATTTCTGACATGTCTGGAGCCGTAAGCTTGAAATAAGTACCTCAGCCAAAATTTCCACAATAAATAAGAACAAAACTAAATTCCTCTTGAACTCTAACTGCTGACTGGAGTGGTAAGCTGGTAAAACCATTCTGATAAAGTGGTTGGCAGTACCTACTAAAGCTGAAAATACATATTTTTTAAGACCCATCAGTTCTTCTCCTAGGCACATACCCAACAAAATGAATATATATGGTCATCAAGAAAAAATATCCAAGAATGATTACAGCCAAACATTTTGTTAACAGTAGAATAAATTATGGTATACCATACACTGGAATACTACACAGCTATGAGAAGGAATAGACTACATGCAACAATGTGGATGAATCTCACAAACACCTGCTTAAGCAAAGGAAACCAGATGCGTACAGACCACATGTTATCCAATTTACGTAAGTGCAAAAATATGCAAAACTAACCCAGTCTGTAAGAAATGAAATTAATCATTACCCTTGCGGGGATGATGATAGGAGAAGCACAAGGAGGGTTTCAAAGGTCCTGGTAATATTGTTCCTTGATCTGGGTGCTAGTTGCATAGATGTATTCACTTTGTGATAATTCAAGCTACATGCCTATGATTTATATACTCTTTTGTAACTATTATACTTCAATAAAAAGGTATACTGAAAAAGTCATTGCTACCTCTCAAATTAATCTGTAGGTGTTTTTGCCAACATGACCCCACAAGTTCTTCAAGCCCAATTTAAAATATGCACATATTCATTAAGCCCTGGGGAGAACAAACCGCAGATAACCTTCCACAGCAGAGATGGCAACACGGTGGCAAGTCTTCTCCCACTTCCCAATCCCATGACCAAGGTCGGCACTGATAAATCTAACCAGGTCACTTCTGCCAAGCTCAAGAAAACACCACATAAGCACTACCAATCAAGTTAAAGATAGGGCATGAAAGCTACTCACCATGCCCATCCAATCACATTTCATACAGTGCTTTAAACATAGGGAGTACCAAAAAAAATTCTTAATTCTAAAAGCAAATGTAAATTCTAAAAGTTAAATCTAAAAGACTTGATAAGCAAAGAAAACTTTTGTGTAGGTACCCTTACCAGTTGTTCACCATTGTAGTGACCTTCGATAATGCGATCATAGGAGATTCCAACAGGTATTATCAAGATGTCTGGGATGACATTGGTAGACAGAGTATCTACCACAACTGACAAAAGTCCTGCCCGAGCACAAGAGGTTTTTCCACTCCTAGAACGTGTGCCTTCCAGGAAGATCTCCAAGAATTGCTGCTGTCGAAGTAATTCAACTATATGCTGGGATATAAGAAGAAAGTAAAACATACATTCAAGACCACTCAACTTAGAATGAGCTCAGAAAAATTAAATCTTTAAAAGCAAAACAGAAAAAACGATAACTTCACTACTGACAAAGTATCTTATTCACACTAATAAAACAGCTCCTCCAATGCTATATTTTGGTAATAACAACAACAACAACAACAACAAATTACCAAACTCAAGCAATAATCACTCCAGTTACTCAAAGAGCAGTTTTTAAAAATCTCAACTCAAAAGAGTCATTTTTCCTTCCACTGTGATAACCAACACAATGTCCCTAAGGATAATTAGAGATCACACATACCCCATGGAGCAAAGCTCTATAGAGAACATCTTTCCGTCCATCTGGTGTTTCATCGAGCCTTCGTCGTATGAAGAAGCCCCCAAGCTTATGGATCAAGGTACTATAAATTCAGAATACATGAATTATTTACAAAGAAAAATGTAAAAAGAATACTCACATTCCAAGTTAATTGAAAACATTTGCCAAGTGGATACAAGCCATATGTGCCGTTTGAGCAGCTGACAGTAAAAATGCAGGCATTTTTTTCATTTTCCATATTATCGACATGTTTCAGTCATTTACATTGTTCATCAGTCTTTGGGATATCACTGTGTATAATGAGCCTCTATTATATCTGTTCCAAGCCAAAAGGAGTTTGCATGACATATTACCCGTAAAAATGATAGTATAGATTTTAAGAGGATTATAGAACACTTCTAAATTTTAAAATCCTGCCCAGGGTCTCAAGACACTGACCCTTAGACATTCTGAAATTTGCGCATGGCATGTTTACTACAAAATGAATATGATGTTTATTACGAAAGCTCCTTGGGGGAAATTTTCTCAAATAATTATTGTTTACAGAGGATCCTTGTGAGACAAAAACAATTTTATCCAACTGAAACCAAGCATAACCATCTTTCCAAAACATGAAACAAAAATGTGCTTCATTTGCACATACACAGGCATAAAACGATTCTTTTCCTAACCCTATGTCTCTTTCTACAACACTAATTTTGATATGAAGTTGAAACTGTCTAAGTCAATCTTTCCAAACTCACAGCCTCCTATTCTTTTCAAGTAGAGTGATACTAACATAAACATTAATATATATTTTTGGTATCCTCTACAGCAGTGGTCCCAAACCCCGGGGCCACGGACCAATACCGGTCCCCGGCCTGTTAGGAACCGGGCCACACAGCAGGAGATGAGTGGCAGGCAAGCAAGCAAAGCTTCATCTATATTTACAGCCATTCCCCATCACTTGCATTACCCTCTGAGCTCCGCCTCCTGTCAGATCAGCAACAGCATTAGATTCTCATAGGATAGGAGCGCAAATCCTATTGTGAACTGCACATCTGCCCATGAGGGATCTAGGTTGTGCATTCCTTATGAGAATCTAATGCCTGATGATCTGTCACTGTCTCCTATCACCCCCAGTTGGGACCGTCTAGTGATTCTACATTATGATGAGTTGTATAATTATTTCTTTATATATTACAAAGTAATAATAATAGAAATAAAGTGCACAATAAATGTAACATGCTTGAATCATCCCAAAACCATCCTCCCCACCCCCATGGTCTGTGGAAATTGTCTTCCATGAAACTGGTCCCTGATGCCAAAAAGGTTGGGGACCACTGCTCTACAGTAAATAGAAGGAGGCCACAGTAAGGTGTTGCCAAAGCTTAGTATCACTCTTTGAGAGTAAAACTCTGCAGAATAAAATGAATGAGATGAGCCATCCACAAAAATAACACCTGAGAAGTGGTTTGTGAATGGGTAGACTGTCATGTAACAAAAGAAAGCTGCACAAAAACAGGCTGGGCTAACTACAGCCTGCTGTGTCTGAAGGACAGGTGAGCTACACAGTCACTGGCATAGAGTCCATGAAAGGGAAGTTGGATTACAAAAAATTATCAGTGTTTATTAAGCAGTTCCAAGAAATCCTAATTGAGAACCAAATGTGAAGGAAATGGGTATAGGAAATATTCTAATTACAAGAGAAGCAAGGCTTCTCTAGAGCCCCAGTGGAATAGTCCTCTTCCCTCTAAGTCTGTGCCCACCAGAAACTTCCTGATGACTTTCTAATTCAGTTTCCCGGTTCCTTGTTCCTGGAGAGAGGTCCCCTGGAGAGCAAACACAGATATTCTAATTCCTGGAAAAGCACATCTACCCTGTAGAATCATATCACACGCTATTACAGCTAGCTGTCTGTCTACATTATCCATTAAGCTATGTGAAGGCAAGGACTATATATTTTGTTCTCTCTTGTCTAAAGCACAGCTGGATAAATATCACTGACTGCATGAATCCATGGCTTCTCTTCAGTTGGGTCACAAGAGTCTGGTTAGCTACAGAACTCTGAAAGCCTATAGAACTCTGAACCAAGGGATTAAGAAGGAGCTCCTTAGACTGTGATACTGAGGACACAGCACACAAAGGTGACGAAGGCCATCTTGTGAAGCTCCACCTGCACAACCTGCCAGCCCACTTTCCTTCCAGTCTCTTTCTAAATTCATGCTCCTTTTATCCACTCTCTACCCACAGAGCTGACCTTAGAGATGCTTTGTCCTTTCAGGTTTGAAACTTTTAATTTCCCAAACCAGCTCAACCAGTTCCTCACCAATTCTTTGTTGGTGATCAGACCTACCACCTACCCAGTTTCCTAGGTGGTAAACACCTGGGAATCTTGCTCCTTCCTCTCCCCCTCTATTGAGCCCCCATAGGGACTAGCACTGGGTCTTTAAATTCGAGCTACTAAGTACTTTTTAAATCTATGCCCTCCTGTCCAAAAACAATACTACAATTTAAACCTCCATTATCTTCTGCCTGAACTATCCTAATGGAAGCAGAATTGATTTCATTCTTTCTAATCCAGAATGACCTTTCAAAATACAAACCTGAACATGTCATTTCTCAAGTACAGGACAGACTCTAATCTCTTGGCTTAGAAATTGTTTTGATCCAGCTTTCACTACCTACACAGCTACCACCTCCAGTCTCTGATCCTTCCTAATGCATCCCATATTCCCACCTTACCCAATTGTCCATCACTTCCCAACCATACCATGCTCCTGTATCTCTCCGCATTTGCACATACTATTTCCCCTGAATGGAACGCATTGAGGAAAACCTCTAAAAAACCTTTCAAAAGGTGAAAACCTCTAAAACATACCTTTCACATGATATTGTACTTTTTAAGTGGTTCTAGCTCTACTAAATTATGAGGTCAAAGTAACAGGTATGGTTGTCTTTATATCACTAACCCTTCTCCCACTTCACTGCCCCCTCCTCCACCAAACAACTCCCTACTGCTGAGCCTGGTATGGTAATTTGCTATCTTGCCTTTCTAATTGCCTTTTATCTATTTGATAAACAATGCCCATAAAGTTTAGGTAGTCACAGTTCACCAAGTATCCCATATAAAATATATAAATAATGATGATAGTCTTAATGCATTTTTGCACTCTCCAAATTTTACACAATAACTATGTATCACTTTTATAATAAAAGAAAAAAGGCTAATGTCATCTTTACAATAACATATCGAAAGCTATAATTTAAAAAATTAAAATTCAAAACATAATCTTTTTAATTCCTTAAATTCCAAAATAAGCTCATCTTACCTGAAGATTGGGATGTTGAGATTATTGCCTGAAGCAATGTATGGTGCTTTGATGTTATGGCAGAAGAGAATGAAAGTGAGCAGCAGATAGTCAATATGGGATCTATGAACTGGTAGAAACAGAAGCGGCAAATTCGTCTAGCAAAGGGAAAAATGCCAAATTTAAAACTCAAATGTAAAATTCAATCACACTTTGCAACTGCATATTTGGCTAGAGTCACTCAAACACTGGCTAATCAGTGACTCACTCTTTAAAAACATTTTCCAATAATAGGAACTTCCTTCAATGTAATACTTTCTGAGCTAAAAAGAAAAAGAGCAACTATAACAACAGAAATAAGTTGGGGGAAGAAGAGCAATCAAGAGTTCCAGTTGACCTATACCCTTTCTGAGAAGCAGCTCCACTGATATAAAAAGAGCACAGGTTTTGGAGTCAGGCTTGGTTTGATTTGAAATCCAGGGCAAGTCACTTATTATCTGCCACTTGAGACAACCTATTTATCTATCTGTGTCTCTATTGCTTCATCTACAAAATAGGGATTGTTCTACCAGATTTTCAGGGTTGTTGCAAGGTAACTTACAAAAGGAATCCTGCATATTGCTAGTAAGTACTCCTGTATCTCATTTCTCCTCCCCAAATACACAGCTATTGAAGTTATCATAAATGAGGGAAATCTTCCAAATGGGTTGAAATACATCACAGTACACAAGAAAACATTTCCACAAGAACCCTAAAACCACTCTACAATTGAGGGGAAAATGGGGTAATAGATTCACAGAAATTCTTGCCTCAGTTGCAGCTTTAACCATCTCAAGTTGACCTTTGTGAATTTGAATGTTCCAAAAGAAGCTGTTGAACAGTTTTAGCAGCACCCACCCAGTCAGTCTGAAACAAAGTACAAACAAAAAAAACAACATAAATGAACACACGTTATTTTTACATACAAGCACATACAGTTGACTTCTGTCTACTTAAATTTATGGACCTACAACCTCAAAGTACTTGTAAATGACTTAGTGTGTGTGCACATGCATGCACGTATGTCTGAATTGCTGAACTAGAGCTAATTTTATATATATATATACTACTTACAGAAGTATCCATTTATTATAGACTACAGTCATAGTTCACTCTAATAACATTTTATACTGCAGAAGCAAATGACCAAGGCGAATGAATATTTAGTGAGCAGAATGATCCCTCTGATGTACACAAACCACTCCTTTTATGACTCAGATACGTGAAAGTTGATTCACAAGCAGTCTAGGTGAGCAGATGTTAGTAGTAATACATTGGCTGCTATCAATTAACAGATATGAAGGCACCTTCAAGCCTACCACAGTGCTACTTTGCACGAAAGCTGAATAAGAATATAAGAAGAGTTTAATTTAATATCAGGATTCATTAAAACATCTTTTGGACAAAGAGAACTGTGCTAGGAAAGTTCAATAATTCAGTCTTATTTGCTCAAATCAGCATGGCTGTGATTGAAAGCTTTCTGCCTTGCCTTTTAATACCTGATCATTGCCGGTGAGACAGTGGCAACCATTTCTTGAAGAATCCTTTTAGCTTTCTTTTTCACTTTGTTAACGGCTTTTGATTGCTGCTGGGCAGAACCATCAGGGTTTAATTCAGCAGCCACTTCTGCAATTGCCTCTTGTACTCTGGTATGAAAATGGAAAAAGAGACAATGTAATTGTTTCTATACTACATTCTGTATTCAGTATTTTCTAAACTGCAGCTGTAAATCACAAAACAAAATGTATGTTCTCTTTAAAATGCGGTAACATGAAAGAATAAGCTCAAGCTAGAAGTGCTCTTTCTGGCTATCTATTAAATATTAAGAATACTATATTCCTAAATCAATGAATCTCTGAGGAATCTGGAAAGCAGACTAAGAATTTAATTCAAATTTACTGGGTGA
The DNA here is from genome assembly GCF_000001405.40 of Homo sapiens. Lineage (NCBI taxonomy): Eukaryota > Metazoa > Chordata > Mammalia > Primates > Hominidae > Homo > Homo sapiens. The sequence goes on from NC_000010.11 coordinate 112,174,106, forward strand.
ATTTGAATGTTCCCATTAAAGTATGAGGGACACGAAATTGTACTCTAGCAGAAGAGAGAAAAAGAAAGGTTATCCCTTTAGGCATATAATTCAGAGGTATCCAAAAGTCTACTACCAAATTAATGTGTGATTTTTCTTTTGAAGACTTAATTTACTTTTAATTTGTATTGTGACTCCATTAGTAAAACTATATGTAAAACTCTGGGAGGGACCAAAAATGGTCATAAATATTTACAAATTTTTTCAACTCAAACCAGTAATTTTTAAAAGGCACAGCTCAAGATCAAAAGAGCACAGCACAGAATAATAAGCAGTGAGATAAAAGGAAACATTTAATCCAGTTTTATAAATCTTCCAGCTGACTTAGGGGAGAAAGCATGAGGTTCAACCTCCTTAAACCACTTCTAACATCCCAGTTACTAGTCAAAACATCTGGATGAAATAAATGTACTTGAAGGTTTTAACAAGAAAACAGAATATATAATAATCTAAGAATTTCACATAATTGTGTTTTATCCCAGTGGTGCTGATTTTGGACTAGTGAAGTACAGCAAAATTCCACATAGCCCCATAATTCACTAATACAAAAAGACCAATACCACAGGACACTGATGCCCCCCAAGTCTATTCCCTAAAAAGCATTCATTGCATTCTGACCAGGAATGTTTCTACACGTCATTACCATGACTGATGCACCTCCATTATCAACTACTCACTCATCCATTCGAGAAGTATTTCTTGAGTACATATTATGTGCCAGCATTGTTCAGGCCTTAACAAACATAACGAAGAGTCTACAGATGACACTTATGAATTTAAAGCAGCCTTTTAATTCACCCTGGTCTCCTGCTCCCCAAATCCAGGTAGATCTCTGAAACTGGCCACACCAATGAGGCCAGTACTCTAGAATCAATATTCTAGAGTACGGGAGTTTGGAACATCTTCACCCAAACTCCCATATTCTAGAATATTTATTTCCCCATTCCACCTGAGTTCCAATCAGTCTTTCCTATTGTAAGCAAGCTCCTGTAAGAGCAAAGGCAGTAATTCATTCTGTTAAGATTTCTAGCAATGACTTTCCAGTACAAGAATTTGTACCTAGATACTCAGTAACTGGCAAAAATATCAAACTCAATTCTCTTTCGGCTATAAAATAGGAAATACAATGTCTCCAACATTTATATTACAGAAAGCAGAGAACTCTGGAAATATGTGCATCTCTGAACTCTTATTTGCCTTTCATGTTTTAGAAACCCATTCAATTATTAATCCATAAAACAAGGCTGCTATTCCCACATGGCACTGTCACCAAAGCACCTGTTCTCCTGCCTTTCTTTAGTTTCCTTTGGAGCTTAACATTTAATGTTTGGAAATGTGAACACTTCTTGAGACACAGTCCCAGAGAAACTAAAGGTTACTAAGAATTACTTCCCCCTCCCACTCCTACCGCCCATCCCTGCCTCTTCCCACCTTTACACCTTGCCCCGCCCTTACCTACTGCTGTTCAGCACATTTTCAGTCACATTGGTGGCAAACATGCCCTTATGCACATCTCGCTCTTGAATAAAAAGAACGTAAGAAAGGCGTCTTGCAAGCCATCCGCGGTGTCTGTGAAAATGATTTAGCAGAGAAGTATTAGAGGTACCCCTAAAACAAGTTGCTTAAATCATAAACTAATTTTCCGCCCATAAAAACAAAGCCTAATGTCATCTCTTTCTGAGATTTAGGGTTCTCCTACAGCAAATTCTCCTTAGTAGTTCAGAATGTTGTGCAGCCAATTTTATTCATGTACTCTCAGCTAAAACTGAAACTTGGAATTTGTGTATTAATGTTTGAATAGTGTTACTGTGCCGAATAACCCTAATATGAAAACAAAAGAAATAAGAACATCTGGCTTTATTAATACCATTAAAAAGGCAAAAATGTTTAATGCTATATATAAGCTATATCTATTCTGATAAACCATACAGCTTATATTTATAGCTATGGGCTATAAAAAGATAAATTTGGAAGTCTTTTCCTATGATCAAAGACTAATTTTTTTTGTTAAGTTTTTGTTTGTTTTTTCCTAAGATAATCACTGATTCTCTAATTGAATTGACAAGGCAGATCAGTTGAAAGAAGTCAAGCATGATCTAAATATTTGTACTCTAGGCTAACGAAGCCAGAATTTCTCACTTTTTCCCCCTTCACATTTTAAATACACCTGAGGGATAGAACATATTCCTGTCAGTTATAAATGACTATGTGGTGTTTAGATGGGAGGATGGAGAGATGAGTTTCAGAATAAGAATGCTACAAGCTTTCATTATGTAATACTTTGAAAACATTTGTAATGATTACATGATATCACATTATTATTATCAATTCAGTAACTCTGAAAAGACCCAGAATACCCTCAATAGAGAAAAAGTAACTTGAAAGAGAACTGTTTATGAATCACCTATTTCTTCACCTCTCCTTCCTGCCATTCTCTTTTTCTTCCTCCCTTCCTTTGTCTAAATCTTCCAAAAATTTGGCCCAATATATTAAATGTTAATCCTAAACTCCTCCTTCAGTCAACATTTTCAGAAATATTATTGGTATGTACAAAGTCCAAGCTCTCTATGAAATCCCTTTGCAACTGACTGAAAGCATTGTGTGTGTGTGCGCACATGTGCATGAGTGTGACAGTGACAGAGTGTGTGACTCTATGTGAATGTGTAAAAATGTTTTAGGCTTTGCTTCATAGAATACACAGAAGAAGTAAATAGCTGAACATGCAGCTTATTTCACTGAATAGTTTCATTCTGCCTCGTCATCATAGCAAATGCGATTTTCCTTAACTGTCTCTAATTGAGGGCAAGAAACAAACCTCTTGGCTTTATATATAAAATATCTACTTACATAAGGAAGACTCTGAGATCCCTTTTCTTAGGATCTTATCATCTTATCAAAAAAAATTCAACGGACCAAAGTCTCTCCCCTCTTTTTTAAATTTAAATTTAAATGCAAATTTAAAAGAGAGAGAGAGAGAGACCAGCAGCCTGGGAATGATCTGCTCATGTACTTAGACTTAAGTTCTATTTTTAAAAGTTTACTATATATCCAAGTATTATCATTCTCATATGTGATCTCATCATCAAATTATGAGAAGTAATATCATAAGGGCTTCAAGTAGTTGATTTCTTGCACTAATTTTCATAGAATTTCAAGTATTTCTCATCTGAGCCTATCTGCCTGCCTACTCCAGGTATCTATTTTTAGAATTACAAGGACTGCTAGCATTTGGCTACTGATTCTCTTGCCTCACAGACATTCACACAACCTTTCGACCCTCCTTCCCTGTCCCCTGGCCTAGAGTCAGATAAAACAAAGACCTTTTTCTCTCACACTGGTGCTTACAAGCCTATCCCCATATGCCTAGAAATTGTAAGAACTCTAAGTAAAGTCTTGGGTAAATAGTAACTCAAACAACATTTGCTCAACAGAGAAAATGTCTTTTAACACCCTACAGATTGGGCAGATTTCAATAATTTATACTTTTTTTAAGTATTAAATAGTCATAATAAATCATAAGAGATTCAAACCTACCGGTCTTCTCAGACAAATATTTCCCACATTTTGGCATACTTCATATGCAAATCAATATAAGTCAAAGAACATTCTAAGTGACATCTACACTCCCCTGAAATTATCTGTAAGTACACAAGTGGTAACAGTAATAGTTCTCTCTGTGGCTATACTGCTTCCAATTTTCAGATAATCTCTCTTGTGTCAGAAACTCATATTCTATTCACTCTCAGTAATGCAAAGCAATTCAGCTTAAAGTGTGTTAACTGATTATTATGAAGTTTTTCTTTTGAGATGTATTAAAAACATAAGAAATTTCTTTTTACCTTGTGTGAGTTTCATTGATATAAATAACATTCCGCAAACCCAAAGACGGGATACTGGGGTTGAAAAATTTGTCCTATATAAAACAAAGTAAATGTAGACATAAATACACAACTAGATTGACGGTGAAGAGCTCTCATTATGAGTTCTTGATAACTTTAATATCAAGCATAAAAACAGATATTGCCTCAAAAATCTTAGGGAAGAAAAAAGTTTTATTGAAAAGTACTTTTTAGCCTTCAAAGAATGTCATAAACTCAAAATTCATCTTTAAAATCTTAAAACTAGCCAGGCGCAGTGGCTCACACCCGTAATCTCAGCACTTTGGGAGGCCGAAGCGGGCAGATCACCTGAGGTCATTAGTTTGAGACCAGCCTGGCCAACATGGTGAAACTCCGTCTCTACCAAAAATATAAAAATTAGCTGGGTGTGGTGGTCGGTGCCTGTAATCCCAGCTACTTGGGAGGCTGAGGCAGGAGAATTGCTTGAACCTAAGAGACGGAGGTTGCAGTGAGCCAACACGATGCCATTGTACTCCAGCCTGGGCGACAAAGCAAGACTCCATCTCAAAAAAACAAAAACAAAAACAAAAAACAAACAAACAAACAAACCACCTTAAAACCAAAGGAAACAGTACCCCTTGCTGCTTGACTCCTCATCTCCACCCTGAAAGAAGTGAAGCTACAAGAATGTCAGAGATTTCAGTTTTCCCAAAATACAAAGACCACGCTAAGTACCATGCAGTTATTGTTGCTTACTAAATCTCCCAAAATCCCTGACACAAAAGAGTTATCACCATTTTCTAGGTGAGAAACTAAGACCGGGAGAGGTTTAGGATTCAATCTTATGTCTTGATCTAAAGAGTATGGTCTTTCTATTACCCCTAAATAACTGTCCATTTAATGAGAAATCGTCTGTCTACTGGTCACCCTCTTTACATGTGATCTTGAAAGATAATCCAGAGATAGCTTTGCTGAAAAGATAGTCTATAGCTTTATCAATATGGGCAAAAAGGTAACTGTTCCACACTTAAATGCTGAAAAAGCACAATGTTCCCTCAACAAATATAAAACTACTTAAGTGGAATCTCTTTAGAGAAAAGGAAAATACGATTTCAGAGAAAAGATAGCAAATATTATACAGTTACCAATAAAAACATTTTTAAACAAATTATTTTAAATGATCATGTCATGGAAGTAATTCAAGATCAAGTTCAACTCCATCAGGTACTATAGTAGGGCAAAAATCAATTGTCTGTTGTACTATCTACCTTTACCCTTTACTCCAAACCATTACCACCACCAAATTATTTCCTATACCCTCTGACTTAAGAACACATTGTAGTTATTGTTTTAAGTATTCAAAATTAGAATTAGACTAGATGTCAGATCTAAAAAGAAAATGACATTCTGTTTAAATCTTGATTTCAAGTGACCTATTAATCTGAACTAGCTTTACTCCTAGGCTAGAAATTTCTGTGATTCTTGAATTCTACCAAATTCTTGCAACAAGGTAGTTGTGGTTTAAAAGAAGCAATATTTATAACAAGACATTCTTCAGCAGATCTGAACATTTAACATAAACTGCTTGGGTTCCACACAAATCTCTCCCATGTTAGTAAACCCCTTTATACCAGACTCAGAATTCTACTTTCTGCCAAACCAACCTTGAGTAGAAAATTCACACAGCACAATTACCTAGCCACACAAGTTACAAGCAACCTCTATAAATGGCAGGCACTTAAACGGCAGAATTTCTTCATCCTAATAACTGGATCCCAGAGAGAGCTTAACATCCAGATATGACTTTTAAAAGGCAATTCTACTGCCTTCAAACACAACTACGTGAAGTTCTTGTTCCTGTGCTAATTTGTCCTTCTCTTCAACTACCACCGAAAATATACCTCTCACCCACTTGGCTCTTCTCAAAGACTGCACTGTAATGCAAAAGATATTGCATGGCTTGTGTTTTTTCACCAAAATACAAACAACAAACCCATATACACTCTCTTAAATCTTCATTCTAACATTTTAGTGACAATCTTTCACTATCACAAAGTCAACAGACACCTTCCATTAGCAAAGGCTCAGAGCAAAGTCACAGCTTTAACTTCTTATTCTGTCCCATTATCTCTTTCTTATCTTGCTAGAATTTTAATGTTAAGTGCTAAAGTTCAACACCTAAAAGTTCATGAAGGTTCCCACTAACTCCTTTGAAGACTTAACCAAAAGTAAGATCTACTCTCCCCCTTAAAATCCTACTAAAACCTCAAAAGAACTAGAATGTTACCTAGTATCAATTATGGGACCAATATTTACTGAATAAATAAATGGAAAGAAAAAGTGTGTCAACATCTTTACTTGAAATATTTGGTTCATAAACATGGGTCTCTGTTCTGAAAGTGAATTTAGTCCAATAAGACTGCCTACTACAAAGTTGGAAATAATATTTTATGCTGAGTATTAGGGTCAATAAGCAGTAAGGTTCTTACCCAGCTCTGGGGAGTGCAGGAGTAACAACATCTTCCAACAAATGGCCTTTTCCGACTCATTAGGCTTTCTTTCCATTTTAAAGTTGCAGATCTGAAGATGGTGGGTCTAAAGCCACACTCACCCTGACAAATATTAAGAAAAAAATATAGTTTCTAAATGGCAAGAGAATACTTGTCTACTTGATCTCAAAATCTAAAGTATTTTGAACAGAAGAAAAACTTATGGCATATTCTGGGTGATTTTCATTTAAGTACTCCCTCCATGATCAACACTTGGATAAAAGCTTACCACATAAGCAAAAGCTGAGCACCCAAGGATAGTAATAGCTACACACTGAAGGCAGTATTCAAAAATTTAAAAACTAAATTGTAGAAGGTCAAACAGACTTCTGACAGCTAGATAAATCAATTCAGACTCCTGGATCTCTAGTCTAACAATTAACCTTACCCCCTTTTAAATCACACAGTCGCACTACAGAACTATAAAGGCCTTACATAGTGAGCAAGTTTTTATAATTTTACTTTAAATAAAAAACAGGTAAACTTATATAACATTCCTTTATCTTATCAAGGGAACTTAAAGACCAGAACTTAAATTATAGCTATACTATTCAATTAGGGTCAAACCTTGCTCTTCTATTCTAAAAATGCTTAACTTTGAGCTCAGTTGCTCACATCTCTGTTATACAGATATAACATTCTCAAAATTAAGCAAAAAAAAAAACCCCACCATTTTTTATATAAAGACAATTAAGATATTTAAAATACGTCATGTTATATTGAAATAGGAAAAACAATCCAAGAAAATGTACGCCTTTTGGATTGAATTCATACTATAAGTTCCTAATTTTTTAAAGTTTACTTCTATTATAAAATTCATGCTTTTCAAGTATAACTCATGGAAAGTACATACCAAGAGAAAGAAAGAAAAAAAAATTTCTTACCGACCCAAAACTACTACTAGGGTTTTTTTCCTATGCAAAATGATTATTTTGTTTTCTAACATAATCAGTGTACATAAATTTTCTAACCATTTTTTCTTCCCAATATAATGCCATAAAATTTTTTATTAGGCTTCATAAACATACCAGTTTCTGTAGCTATTAATCTTGATGTGATATTATGTTGCTGCCAGTATTTGCACCTTCATAAACATCATTGAAATGAACATTTTTAGGCTGAGTGCTTTTAACTCTTATCCTAAACTTACCCATTCCTCACTTGTGTGCTTACATCGACCAACACTGTATTCTGATGAATGTGGCAGATAAGAAACATCTATTGTACCAAGGGTCAGTGCAGATTCATCCATGTCACAAAGTGTAATTCCCAAATCATGTGCTATAAAAAATAGGTACCATTTAAATTAACAAGGAATCGAGAGAGTAAATACTAGAACTCAAAATTCTGATTTCTACATTACTTTGCTCCACAATGGGATATCACATGAACTGACAGACTTCTACCATGTTGAGTCACAAGGTAAAAACTGACTTTGATGTGTTTATATGAACACAGTTAGGCTTCCCTGACTAGAAAAAAAAAAAATCAGCATTTGTATTCTAAGACTTCCTGAATATATAAGGATACAACATTGTATCCTTTGTATCCACACAAAATAGCTATGAATAGTATCCAAACAAAACATAGTATGCAAACAAAATAGTATCCAAACAAAATAGCTATGAATTGTATCCAAACAAAATAGCTATGAATAGTCATTTGCAAATGAAAATAAGAGCTTATTCTTATTTCATTTTTGTTAATTGAATAGTTCCTGGCAGAAGGAAGGCATGTTTATTTAATTAAGGCAATTAGGGCACCCCTTAAGTTCCCGTACTTAAATTAAGATCTTAATTTTCTTGTGATGTCCTAAAAGAACATTTTCACTTTTAATACAAAGGTAATACAAAGCTACAAAGCTCTGAAAGAAAAGCACACTATTTTGAAATATCTGATGTATAAGTTTTCATCCTTTTCGATAAGCTTTTTTCTACCCTAAGGAAAAAGATTCACTAAGAGTAAACTCCTAGAATAGATATTAATCCAAAATATAAAAACTTTCAAACATAATCTCTAGCCTCACATTATTTTTGCTTTTGGCTGTTTCTCACCTGGCCTAAAATTATTCCTTTAAAATCCTGAAAGGTCATGTCTAGATTAACAGTGTTCCTTTGGAAGGCATATTCCAATTTCTTTACAATCCCCACATGGGTTGGCTACAGTCACTGTTATTCTCGGCATAACCACCTATGTCCTTAAAAATTTAACATAAGTACAATCTAACATAACAGGCTAGGGGAGAGAATAAACCAATGCACCTGGGATGAAAGTTCTTCTGTTTCATAACATAAAACTTCAGGACTCAGCTATCAGTTTCGGGTGCAGAATGTCCATACAACAGGGGAGCCGCTGCTGCCTGAGAAAATGAAGTGAAGAGAGGATGAGGAGAGGACAAAGAGGCTCGTTTGTGCCAACAGGAGGTCCACGTTTTGCACTTCCTCCCTCCGCACAGTTCGCTCTAGGTCAAGGAGTAATAAAGAAGCAATATCCCAGAGGCACCAGCCAGCAGCATGCGCTGAGAGAAGCTGACTAGAGGATCTGAAAAGGACAGAGGCTGGAAGACCAGCTGTGAGGTTTAAATCTTCCACTGCTTACCATCTGTGTGATTTTTTATTACCATAAGTTGGTTAACTTCTATGCCTTAGTTTTCCCATCTGGAAAATGGGCAGAATGATAGCTCTTAACCTCCTGGATTGTTGAGAGGACGGAATAATATAAACAAAGGGTCTACCACAGTGTGTAACACACAGTGAGCGCTCAGTCCAATCAATGGTAACGCTGTCATTAATTATCTCCAGCATACCGGCTGCTCTCAGAGTACCCCTTACTGCCTCAATGTTCCCTAGGGACCCAGGCGGGCTGGCTGGCGGCGCCTCCGCGCGTGCAGATACTTAGGGGACTGAGTCCATAAGGACTCCTTCCAACCCAGGGGAACCCATGCCCCAGCGCAGTCTCCCCAGGAGAGATGAATCCTGATCCCCACCCCTGCACGAGCCCGACCGATTTCTCAGGGAGAAGACCGGAGCTCGGGTGTCAGGGAATAGGGGACACGACTGCCCCAGCAACTTGCAGGAGTCGCACCACCTCCATGCACTTGTCCCGGCGCTCCCGGCCCGAGTAGCCTCCCGCAGCCCACACCTGCCCTGGCAGTTCGCACCCTAGCAGCTCCAGCTTCGGCTGCTGCAGAAGCCCGCACTTCCAGTCCCGGCCAATGCCAGCTGCAGTGGCGCACCCTGATGACGCAACCGGCGCGTGGCATTGACGCGGGGCCGCCGGCTAGCCAGCGCCGGGGGCGGGGCCCGGCCTGCGAGCCTCAGGGAGCGTGAGCGGATCCGAGGGTGTAATGTGTGTACTCGAGTGTGCGTGCCTGTGTGTGGCTAAAGATAGTGTGTGAGCGCCTGGACAGATGGTTACCCTGCCTAGGCCATGCGTGTGTGAGTGTGTGTGGGTACCTCATTCTGCTTTGTGTAAATTCAGCTTATCCGGGAGCTTGTCCCTCTTCCAGGCTCTGTTGGGAATGTGCGCGTGGGCTATCAGGTTATGTGTGTGGTCTGACTTTTTATGAGATCTGTAAGACTATGTAGGATTTACTACGAATGGGAGAGGCAGGGATTGCAAATGGCCATGTTGTGTAATTTCTACCAAAGTGGCTGAGTGCCTTTTCCTTTAAGGAGGAAAATGAGATATGAAAAGAAGCAAATAAGGCTTGTAGTATAAAAAGCCTCAGTTAGGAGAAATAAGGGCTTTTTTCCCCCTTCGGACTATATGTTACACAGCATGGTGAATATAGTAAATAATAATGTATTATACAGTTCAAAATCGCTAAGAGTACATTTCAAAAGTTCTCACCATGAAAACTGAGAAGTATTTGAGGTGGATATGTCAATTAGCTTGATTCAGTTATTCCACATTGTATTCATAAGTCATAACATCGATTTGTACCCCCTAAATATATGCAACTATTTAGATAGTTTAAAATTTATAGCAATCCAGTCTAGCCAGCTAAGATGGAGCAACAGGACTGAATTTACTCTCCTGCCTAAAACAACTAAAAACAAAAACAAACAGGCATTTATAAGACAATGGCTTTTAAACGTTGTGCTGGACAGTGGTCCTTGAGGAGGGAAAACAAATGAGGTGAGCCCTATGATTGCCTTGATTTACTAACTAGAGGGAGCAGCCAAAAAGAGCTAGGCAGACTCCCTGAGTTGAAGAGATAGAACTGGGAGAGCAGGGAGGCCAAAGCAGCTGGAACTGTGAGTTGTATATCAGAAAGGAGAAAGCTACACAGAGAAAGAAGGAGCTGTGGAGATCTACAACAGATCTCACTCCAGTCTTCCGCTGATTAGAGCATGTGTGTGAGGAAGCTACCTAAGGGCAGGAAATAATCATGTATGAAGAAAAGAGAGAGCAATTACTAAAGTTTGCACAGGGTAGGAAATTAATTCTGCTCCCACAAGGCAGAGTAGAAAGATACCCAGTGATTATACAGGACCAGAAATAGTGCCTGATCCTGGCACCCCGACTGGAAAACCTCATAATTCACAACTCAAATGGTTTTGCTTCAGTAGTGGGGCAAAATTAGCTCTAATGTAAAAGCTACTCTGATTCTATCTTAGAAATCTTAAAAGCCAGCCACCAAAGGATTAAACCGTTTTTGAGAACAAAGTGTCCCAGAGCAAAGCACAAGAATATTTACAGGAAATTAAAAATAACCAACACCTAACAAGGTAAAATTTGCAACATCTGGAATCCAAACAGAATTATCAGGCATGCGAAAAGAAGCAGGAAATGAGAAAAAAAAATCAACCAATTGAAATCATCCCAGAAATGACAGAGATGATAAAATAAGAGAACAAGGACATTAAGAAAGTAATTATGACTGTATTCAATGTTTTCAACAAGTAGAAAAAATAAACTGAGCATGGGAAGTAGAGATGTGAAAAATCTTTAAAAAAAAAAAAGACACAAACCAAACATCTAGGAGATAATAAAACCACATCTAAGATTTTTAACACCCTAACACACACACACAGACACACACACACACACACACACACACACACACACACACACACACAGGATTAATAGGTTAGACATTACTAAAAAAGAAACAGTAAAAAACCTGACGGGAGGCTGAGGCAGGAGAATGGCGTGAACCCAGGAGGCAGAGCTTGCAGTGAGCCAAGATTGTGCCACTGCACTCCAGCTTGGGTGACAGAGCGAGACTCTGTCTCAAAAACAAAAACAAACAAACAAAAAAAAACTTGAAAGCATTGTGATAGAAACTATCCAAAATGAAACACTAAGGGAAGAAAAATACTGAAAGTAAAAGTAGAGTATCAGTGAGCCTAGTATACATGCAATTGTAGTCCCTGAAGAAAATGAGAAATATGAGGTGAGAATAGATTAGGGAGGACAGAAAAAAGCATTTGAAAGAATAATTGATGAAAACTTTCCAAATTTGACCAAAACTATAAACTTATAAACCCAAAAAGCTCAACAAACTCAGTAGAAACATGAAGAAAACCATACCAAGAAACATCACAATCAAAATGCCTAAAGCCACTGATAAAGAGAAAATCTTAAAAGCTATCAGAGAGAAAAAAAAAGACATTACTGTACAGAGGAACAAAGATAAGAATGACAGCAGATTTCACATCAGAAAAATGCAAACCAGAAGATGGTGGAGCAGCATCTGAAGTACTGAATGAAGAACCTATCAATCAAGAGTTCTTTTTATATTAATATATGGTATGTACATTTTATATATTTTTATATATATCAAAAAAATAAAATAAAAACATATTTTGACATCGAATTGCCAAAAGAATTCATCACCAGCAGGACCGTTCTATAAGCAATGTTAAAGAAAGTCTTTCAGGCAAAAAAAAAATGCTGTCAGATGGAATTCTGAATCTATGCAAAGGAATTAAGAGCTTAAGAAACCACAAATACGTAGGTAAATAATTTTTCTTATTTTTTAAACCCTTTTATTTTAATTTATTTTATTTTATTTTTGAGATGGAATCTCGCTCTGTCACCCAGGCTGGAGTGCAGTGGTGCAGTGGCGTGATCTCAGCTCACTGAAACCTCCTCCTCACAGGTTCAAGCAATTTTCATGCCTCAGCCTCCCGAGTAGCTGGGATTACAGGCACCCGCCACAACGCCCAGCTAATTTTTTTCTGTATGTTTAGTAGAGTTGGGGTTTCACCATATTGCCCAGGCCGGTCTCGATCTCCTGACCTCAAGTGATGCGCCTGCCTCGACCTCCCAAAGTGCTGGGATTATAAGAGTGAGCCACCATGTCAGCCATTAAAACTCTTTTAAAACATGATTGCTTAATGCACAAACAAAAACAATATTTTGTGGGGTTTATAACATGTACAAATAAAATGTATGATGACAACAGCACAAAGTCCAGGAAGGGAGAAGTATTCTGTTGTAAGATTCTTATCTTACGCACCAAGCAGTATAATATACTTGAAGGTAAACTGTAATAAGTTAAAAATGTATACTTTAACTCCTAAAGCAACTACTATGAAAGCAAAACTAAGAGTTATTGTTAACACATCAACAAAGAAGCTTAAGTCGAATTTTTAAGATGTTTAATGAATTCAAAAGAAGGCAGTAAATGATGGGGGAGAAAAGAAAGAATAGATAGAATAAAGAGAAAATACATGGCAAGATGATAGATTTAAGCTCATATAAGTAATCACCCTAATTAAAAGGCAGATATTGTCAGACTGGAAAAAAAATGAAGATCCAATGATATGCCACCTATTTAAAAACTCACTTTAAATATTAAGACAAGTAAAAGTAAAAGGTTAGAAAACAGTATGCTATACTAATGCTAATCAAAAGAAATATAGGTGGGTATATTAATATCATATAATTTCAATACAAAGAATATTATCAGAAATATAGAGGATCATTTTATAATGATAAAAGGGTCAATTCATAATGAGGACAAACTGATTCTACATATTTATTCCTCTAATACAGCACTTCAAAACATATAAATCAAAAACTAATCGAATTGCAAGAAGAAATTTTAAAAATCTACAATTGTAGTCAGCCATTTCAATACCCCTCCCCCAATAACTAATAGAACTGTGGGTAAAAAATTAATAAGGATGTAAAAGGCTTGTACAATACTATCAACCCAACTTGATCTAATTGACATTTATAGAACATGCCACCCAATAACAGGAAAATAAACATTCAAGTGTGCACAGAACATCCACCAAGATAGGTCATATTCTGGATCATAAAACAAGTCTTGATGCACATATAAGGATCCAAATCATAAAACATATACTCTGAGCACGGTAGAAATTAGAAACCACTAACTTAAAGGTATTTGGAAAATCCTTAACTATTTAGAAACTCACATACTTTTAAAAAATCATGCTGTAAAAAAGAAAAATGAAAATTTGTAAGTACCTTGAACTAAATGATAATGAAAACACAATATATCATACTTTGAGGAATGCAGCTAAAACAGTACTTAGAAATTTATGGCACTAAAACACCTATACTAGAAAAAAAGAAAGATCTCAAATTATTTATCTCAGATTCAGCCTTAAGAAAAAAGTATAAATTAAACCCAAAATAAGCAAAACAAAAACAGAAAATAATAAAGGGCAGATATCAACGAAAGCAGAAAAATTTTTAAGTAGGAAAATAAAAAACAATTGAAACTGAAAGTTAATTTTTTGAGAAAATCCATAGAGTTAATGAACCTCTAGCCAGATTCATAAGGAAAAAAGAGGAGGACACACATTATTGATATTAGGAACAAGAAGAGTGACAGCACTACAAATTCTGTATACACAGTAATACAGCCTTTCATTACCCAAGCTAGTTGCCTTTTGTTTTCAGGGTGGTGTACCAGATGTTAGATTTCCTGTCTTCATAAGGTGAGTCTGATTAGATCCTATAAAAAGCTGGTCCCACCCATTGTACCAGCAGAGAAGCTATTCCCTCTCTGTTTCCCTCTCTATGATTTTGTTCAGGACAATCTCCTGGCCAACTCTGAAAATATAATGAATTGTGATACCTAAGCCAATTATGAAAATGGCACACACCCTGTGTTTGTGAAAGTAATGCACATGTACCTCTGTGTACATTGCATTTTGTTTTGTTTTGCCATTTTCCAGATGTTCGAGGTATTTTAAAATCTTTGTTCTGCCATCCTACATATTGACCAGTATACCTGCTACATTTTAACATGGCTCATTCTCATGATGATGCTGCAAGATATTATGATCCTTAATTTACAGATAAGAAAAATGGGCTCAGAGTAATTAAATAAATTGCCCAAATCAACCAGACACAAAGCAGCACAGAAGGGATTTGAACCTAGGCCTTTCTCATACTAAACCTCATATTCTTGACAATAATTCATGCTGCCTTCCTAATAGTCCCTGTTCAGAGGCTCCCTTTCAGACTGATCCAGATTCGTTGACCAAACTTCCCTGGGTGCATTTGTTCAAGTAGCTGCAGATCTACCCATGTATAATAGCATTGCTCTACAAGAATATTGTAAGGACATTGTTAACTGACTTGCAAAAATCTAATGATAAAGTATCTATTAAATTCCCTTATATAAAATATAATGATTGTTCTATCAAGAACTTTTAAAGGAAGTAGTTTGGCATGAATTATTCTTACTGGATTCATGCTCTTCTCATTATGACCTACTTTTCTTTGGGCTGCTTTTGTTTATTTATTTATTCAGTATATATTTATAGAATATCTACTTCACGCCACCCAACCTATTGTAGAGACAGCATTGAACAAGACAGCACCACACTTCCTCCCTTCAAGCTTATAGTCTAGAATATTTACACTACTCCTGTTTAATCATTGTTTCAAAAAGTTTCAAAAATCAGCATCAAGTTCATTGACTTGTGGCTTCCAGAATTCACTTCCCTACTTCCAGCTGATCTGGGGCACTCACTGAGACCTACCTGTTCAAGACGTATTTCTACTCTCTGATTATATTCAGGGTGATCTCTTGCCTAGCTCTGAGAAAAGAATGAATCAAGGTATCTAAGCCAATTATGATAATCTTGTTCCCTAATACTGCAACTATCCTTCTAGCCAAGATGGTCACATGACCCAGTTCTGGGCAATGTGAACTGAGAGCAAGGCAAACTGAGGGTTCCTGAAGTTTTTCTTTCCTAGTAAAAGAGGACACAGCTGGCACCGCTTCCTTTTCCGTTTTGTTCCCATTTGCTACGTAATTCAATATCCAAACCCAACACCACGAATCACACACCTCTGGATTTTGCCAAACCTCTACCTGTGTAAGCCATTACAATGTTGTCTTCTGTTACTCTCGGGTAACATTCCTGATTGTCACTATGTAGGTTCATTTTAATGAAATGGGCAGCTTAGACCCCTACTGCAACACATCCCAAGCCCAGTTTATTTAAACAATTAATCAAAAACTTTTTTACTGCCTACCTATACTCTGTAAGGAGGATACACTCTAGTCCCTGTTTTTAGAAATTCAAGATTTCATTGGATAAAATAAAATATGCACAATTAAATAGCTGCAAATAAATAAATATATTTCTAATCATATTTGAGCCTGGATCTCATTGCCAGAATGACTCAAACATTCTAAAAAAATAATAAAAGAGAGAGAAAATATCCAGAAATAGTCCCTACCAGTGTATCGCATGCTGAGGGGTGGCAGTGAAGGTGACCTTAGATTCTGCCTTTAAGAAAGGGTCTTTCACAGGGTCTAGAGATCAAGACCATCCTAGTCAACATGGTGGAACCCCGTCTCTACTAAAAATACAAAAAATTAGCTGGGCTTGGTGGCGTGTGCCTGTAATACCAGCTGCTCGGGAGGCTGAGGCAAGAGAATCACTTGAACCCAGGAGCCAGAGAGTGAGCCAAGATTGTGCCACTGCACCCCAGCCTGGGCAACAGAGTGAGACTCCATCTTAAAAAAAAAAAAAAAGAAAAGAAAGAAAGGGTCTTAGGCCAGAAGAGAAAGAAACCCCTCTGACTTACTTTTACCACATTTATGGCATAATAAGGACTTCATTTTGACTGAAACCTGCTTCATCAGGAAACAATCAATAGACTCAGCTTTAAATAAGAGATGTTAGAGGATGACTGGAATAGCATAGTGCTGGCTGGAAATGTCTATAACGGCACCCCACACTTGGACTGCTAATTGCATTACCCATCACATATATATTGGTTTATGAAATCATACTTCAGAACTGAATAATTCAGAGAAGCAAATAATGAATATTCTTCCTTCTTTTAGAGAAGGCAGAATCTTCCAAAATGCTACACCAAGAAAAGTGGGCCCACACGACAGACACAGACAACTATTTCCTTAGTCCCAAGCGATTGCTCCCAAGCTAAAATATTTGTGATATTTCTTCTTACATACACACTTGCTTCCAAGTCTTAAAGAAGACTGAACTGTGGCCAAACATCACGGCTTATAATAATGTAAACTTCCTGGGCTCAAGCATAAGGCATGCTGGGACCTCATTCTAGGAGGGAGAGTGAGGAGGGCAGAGCCAATCAGACGGGAAGACAAGCACATTTTCCTGGACACTGAAGTTAGTTATAACAAGACATAGTGTTCAAAGAATGCACCAAGTCCAGGTCCAACTCGGACAGCCTAGAATGGAAAGTGTCTTTGTGATGAGGCAGGTTAGAGCAGCAGTCTCTCAAGATGGTCATCAAATACACTGGAGCCAGGCAGTAAGCAGCCAGGCTTCTGGGAGATCTCTCTTGCCATCTCCCACCAGATAGGGTACATGACAAGGTTCAACTCCCCAGGAAGAAAGCACGGTGGGAACTAGGTAGTATTTCACGCTTCTAGCCACTAGCTGTGCCACTGGGCAGGGCACCAATTCTAGAGGGAAACTGGGGCCCTGCATGGGATAACTAGCAGAGCAGTGTAGTTAAGAAATTAGCTTGAATGTCTCTTAATTTTTAACTACTGTTTGCTTGTTCTTAGGGAATAAAAGGTATTTTTCCTTTCTCCCAGGAGCATAGCCAGGCTCTGTGGTTTAAATCCTGAGGTTTCCTAAGACCTGGAAGTAGGCTAAGTAATTGCAACTAACTGCCTTTTTGTGATCAAAAGCAAAAAAATGAGAAGCTGCTCAACTGGGGCTGGTATCCAAGAAGACAAATTCTAAATGGGCCTTTGTTTTCTCATGGACTCAAGCTGGATTGTGGGAGGAGAGATTGTCCAAGAAAAGAGTGGAGGCCAGAATGGCTCGGCATTGAGAAGGGACAGGACTCAGGGGTCTGATGGTGGCTCAGCTCTGAGATCCTTCAGATGCAGAACCTTGGAGGTGGCAGGGCTTCAAAAAAGGGTGAAGATGGGGGGACTGTGAAGAATGACAGTCCAGCACCTTAGAAACCGCAGCGAAGGTCCCAGTGGTGGAGTATGTCATGAAAGGAATGGAACTTTGAGTACCACGCAGAGCCCAGGCAAGGTGCAATGAGGAAGGGGACCAGCCTGAGCCGACCCAGGGCCTCTGCTTGGCTTCCGCACAACACAAGCAACAGGGTAAGGGGTAGGAGGGTGGAATGCCCCAAATTATCACTATTGGCCTTCAAGAGAACTTTGACATAAGCTATTTAAAGACAGAGTAATACAGTATTCATTCGTTTATCCATTCATTCATAACACACTGACTGAGAGCCTTTTTTGCAGCAGGCATCCTGCTAAGTGCTGAAGACACAGGGATGAAGAAGGTACACACAGATCCTACCCTTGTGGAATTCATGGTCTAATGGCATATGGTATGTAGGGATGGAGACAGTAGGAAGAAAGATAAACAAACTTAAAATCACAATGAAATTTTTTTAAGTGCAATAAAGAATCCAAACAGCATCTGTCCCAGAGAAGAACAGAGGTGGCCGATATTGGATAAGGTGGTCAGGGAGGACTCCTAAAAGGGGAGAGCAGCTACACTGAGGCCAGGGTGTGAGCAGGGCCTGGCCAAGACAGGAGCCCAGAGCAGACCTCTCCAAGAAGAGGGAAGAGCACAGGCCAAAGCCCAGAGGGAGGGCAGAACTTGGCAGAGAGTGAGAACTGAACCAAGGCCAGTGTGGCTGGAGTGGGTAAGTGGGAAAATGGCAGAGGAAGGAATTGGGAACACAGGCCGACCAGGTCTTTTTAAGCCATAGTAAAAAGTTTGGAAAATTCAAAATAAAATTCTGACATGTGTCATAAATGTCATGGAGGTATGTGAATACCCTTTACCTTGTAAGATTAGAGAAGGGTGAATCAAAATAGAAGCCCATGTCTATGGACTTGGTCAACCAGGAAGAGAAGAAGTGGGCAATGATTCAGGAGCTATGTTGTATGCAGGGGCCTGCCCGCCTGGGTTAAATTGGCCGCAGAGAATCTAGGTAAGGAAGAAAGTAAGTAGGTTTTGTTAGCTACCCTTTATTGAGCAATTTCTATGTGCCAAGCACTATTCTAAGTACTTTAGAGGCATTTTCTCAAATAATCACCTGTGTCAGTCATGGCGCCATCAGAAAAACGAACCCCTTCCAGACAGCTTGCTAGTGAGACTTTAATACAGAAAACTACTTAGAAAGGTCTTGGAAGAGCAGAGAAGACAAAAGTAGAAGGGTGAGGCCCAGAGATCAGCAGCAACACGAGATCACTACCCTCCCTCAGGCTGGAGTGGCAAAGACAGGTGTTGACAGAGCCAAGAGCCATCTCCTCATAGGCTACAACTGGGACCAAGGAGGGGGTCCTGACCAGGAGGAGCCAAAACCATGGAGCCACTGCCACTGGAGGTGCCACGTGAGAAACAGGGAGATACCATGACTTTTATCCTCTCTCTGCCAACTGGGGCTGACCCAAGCTTCAAGGAAGCCTGAGGAATAAGTTTGCAAGGAGGCATTGTCCTAAGATCTAGAGTAGAGCAGGGAAGGATGGGGAATAGATCCAAGGGCAAACAGGCAGATGATGGGCCCGTCCTCTCAATAGCCCCATGGGTTAGAAACTATTATTACTCCCATTTTTCAGATGGGGAAACTGAGGCACCAGGAGAGGTCAGAATCTGTAAAGTGGCAGAAACACACTTTGAATTCAGCGTCTACCTGATACTAAAGCCCAAACATACAAGGGATATATTATTCAGCTAGCCTAGGCAAGAACATGGTAGTTAGAGCTGCGCTAGCAGATCCCAGGTCTGAAAACATTATGATAATTGTTTTTAGGATTTGCTTTGGAACTGGCTCTAGTTTTTTGGTCGTCCTCATCTCAGGGCTAGGCTGCGAAGATCTTATGCTTGAAAAACATACTTCTTGCAGATACTTTTGGGACAAAAGAGGAAATGCTATTCCTTTGAGCTTGGATCCTCACAAAATTTGTCCTAAATTTTTGAAACTCATATGAACCCTTAAAGTTACTTTGTTCTAGGGAGAGTGACTATATCAGTCAGAATGCGCTAGATTATAATACAGTAACAAACGTCTTAGTCTTGAAACAACAGAGTTTGTTTCTTGCCTATGCTACATGTCAACAGCAGGTTATCCTGGGACTCTGCTCATAATGGTCACTGAGGGACCCAGGCTGAGGAAGGTTCCATGTTGATACATGCCTTCGTGTTTGCCAAGGCTGGAAAAGAGAGTGTAGTAAGCTGTACACTGGCTCTTAATCCGCTTTGTTGGGTAAAGAAGTGTAATCCTACCATGTGTCCCGGATAACTAAACATTTGTGAACAGCTCTAATGACAATCGAACCACATTTATGACACTTCTGGTTGGACTGAGATAAACCAAAGGTCGTAATGTAGAATGAAGAGACTTAGGTGCTTCTAACAAGACAGGCTACACTATATAACATTTTAAAAGGTTGTCTTTGCTGTGCTTAAAATTGCATCTCTGCGGACACTATGTCTTTCAGGAAAACCTTTTGTTCCTAAGTATTGCTTAAGAACATTTCCCTAAAAATCACCATTGGTTCTTAAAAGATACTGTCCAAGATGGTTTGTGGAGCTGAGATACTGGCTGGAATGATATGAAAATAAAGCGTCTTGTCTTCTGGAAAAGAGATCCTAAGGTGGACTAGATTTTAACATGGACAAACCCAGACTCATTCCAAGCTTTCTACTGTTGTATAACCTGACGGCAGATTATTGGGTAGGGATGGCTTGCTGAGCAAGTCCCAGCTCTGGGTGTAAAGAGCCAGGCAGTCTCTCCGCTTTCACAACCTTGTGCTCTCCTGCATTTCTTTCTACCCCCCTAGATGTTTTCTCTTGGCATGTTTTGCTGGCTCAAGTCCTTCCTTCATTCTCACTTCATACCATCTCCTCAGCAGGCCAAGAACCTGGAAGTTCTTGACTTTTTCCTGCATCCAATAGAACATTAACTCTTAAACAATTTTACCTTTTAAATAGCTTTAAACCCATCACCCCCTTATCTCCCTCTCCACCTGCACTATCCTAATCCAAAATATCACCATCTTCACTGGGGGGCATAATGACTCACTGCCTGGATGCCCCACATCTACTTCTGCACTGGCTACCCATCCAGACATCCCATACACATCAGCCAGACCGAGCATTTGAAAATGCAGCGTGCCAAATGCACCATGCCAAATACCCCCATACACATCAGCCAGCCTAAACATTTGAAAATGCATCATGCCAAAATGCACCATGCCAAATACCCCCATCGCTCTCCCTTGTCACCATCCCAACTGACTAAAATCCTTCCATATATTCCTTACAGATTTTAGAACAAAAACTAAAGCCTGTAACATGTGTTAAATACCTAGCTCAGTCCGCCCTTGCTAATCTCACCACCCCCCATCTCCGTCCACGTACTCTTTCGCTCTCTGACTCCAGCCACCCTGGCTTTCTTTCACTTCCCCACGAAAGCCAGGCTCTGCCCTTCCCTGGCATTTGCTCTGCCTGCAGTGGTCCCTGCCACATCTCTTCTCTGACTCATACTTCATAACACAGCTCAAGTCTCACCGCCTCATGAAAATTTTTGTGGACCCTTCAGACTAAGGCAGGCCCCTTTCTTAAGTTTCTTCCCCATGGGAATGACCATAATTATAACTAAATACTTAATTGTAGAATTAATCATTTAATATCTGCCCCTCTCTCTCTCTTAAATGGCATTCTTGACTTTTCCCCTACATTCCTAGTACCTGACGGTACCTTGCTAAAGCAGATGCTCAATATCTATTTGTTGAATGTCTAAGTACAAGACATGATTAGCTACTTATGAAAGGACAGGGTGCATGGCTGTTATAACTATCAAGAGTCCTGAACAAGGATAGCCTTAGGAATAGAAACATTCAAGGAGCGATGTGGGAACCACAGAGTTTGGGGGCTTGTGACTTTGTAGCTCTTAGAGCAGGCATGCATCTAAGGTAGACAGCAGAGTTCCCATCTTCTCTCCCTCACCCCACTCCCTGGGTCAGAGTAGAGAAAACATGTGACTACAAGGAAAACTAGGGGCCCTGATCTCCAGTGTAGGGGGTGGTCTACACAGAACAGAATGCCACAATCTAGAACAAGGCCAAGCAGAGCCTGGGAGGAAACACACACATGCCCAATACTCTTGAAAGAAGGAATTTGAAAAGGCTTGAAAGGGAAAAACTAGGCATGGCTAGAGACTTATTTTTATTGTTTCTCCCTCAGAATCAGTCTTTGTCAATAGGAAAGAATTTTCATGAAGAGGAGAAGCTGAACTACTTTGCAATTAGATTATTCTTTTTCTAATGAGTTCAAAGTAAGGTAGAACCTCACTCATTAAGTATAATCGGAAGGAAGATCAATCTAAGTTCAACTAAGGCTAATTTTTAGAATACTTCTAAAGAAATTTAGAATTTTTAGAACACTTCTAAAGAAATTTGACATATAAAAGCTCAAATATTTTCCTTTGGAAAATTTATTCTCTTGGGTGTTCTAAACATACTCTGTGTAACTGTCTTTGGCTTTTAACTTACAGATTTCCCAAAAGAAAAGGCCTCCAAAGTAAAGAGTGTTATGAACCTAGTTTCCAATTATCTGAATTACCTTATATAAAGCAAAACCTAAGTAAGCATAGCAGGATTGGTTATGGTTTTAACCACATCTTTTCTAACTAGCAGTCATCATCATCTTACTCCATACAATATTTGATGTTTATTACAAGGATGATCTCCAAAATGCAAGTGAGATATTAGAGAATAGGCTTTTCATAATCCAGGATCACAAGGTGCAATTTCTTCTTCTAGCCCCATTTTGTTTTACTACTGGTTGGATGGATCACAGAGACCAACACTTCCCTCACCCCATTCCTTTTGCACATCTGATTCTGCTTACAAGGTAACAAAACACCTTCCCCCTTTATCAATCACATCATAGTTATTTTTCCAGAGGCTCTCACTTCTGGGCCTACTTCACCTCCATAAAGCATTGGAACATATGTAAATTAAGCACACATACATAAATTGTAGAATTCCTAGTAACTGCTATAGGTAATCAATGGGTTAAATAAATCAAGATCAATAATGTTGGTTTTTCTCTAGCTTATTTATAAGTGATGTTTTTAGAGAATAGTTCATTTAAATTTCTAGGTCACCTGCTCATTAACTGTTGAATAAATATAATCTAGGTAAAGAATGAATTATATCTAAAGCTCCATCAATTGATCAAATCCTAAATGAATGAAATTTTAACCTCCCAGAGATAAAGTTTCATTGACTTTAAGCTCCACAATGTTGTGGCATGCCTTAGGTAAACAGTCTGAATTTTTTTGATTGTGCTAATAGTTACAAAAATAAAATTGCTTACTTGGTTAGTAAACTTATTTTATAAGCCATAGTGACTCTTAGCCAAATTCTAATTAAGCAAAGCAGTTAACTTGCTCTCCTCTGTATGTGACCTGGTAAGGCATTCTTTTTTTTTTTTTTTTTCAGTAGTGCATATACTGATTTATTTTTTATTTATTTTTTTATTATACTTTAAGTTTTAGGGTACATGTGCACATTGTGCAGGTTAGTTACATATGTATACATGTGCCATGCTGGTGCGCTGCACCCACTAACTCATCATCTAGCATTAGGTATATCTCCCAATGCTATCCCTCCACCCTCCCCCCACCCCACAACAGTCCCCAGAGTGTGATATTCCCCTTCCTGTGTCCATGTGATCTCATTGTTCAATTCCCACCTATGAGTGAGAATATGCGGTGTTTGGTTTTTTGTTCTTGCGATAGTTTACTGAGAATGATGATTTCCAATTTCATCCATGTCCCTACAAAGGACATGAACTCATCCTTTTTTATGGCTGCATAGTATTCCATGGCATTCTTATTCACAAAAACAGAGGTGGCATGTATAGGAATCCTACTATTAATTGGGATGTACTTCAAGATTACAACATGGCTGCCATTTACACATGTCAAAATCATAATTATTGTGAACCATTAATTACAAATCACAAAATTACACTGTCCACAATTGTGAAGGGTCTTGGAATGTTTAAAGTAAACTCAATTTATGGTTTTTATCTCTCTGTGCCTCATTTTCCTTATCCATGAAACAAAGCTAATAATAGTACCTACTTTATAGTACTAAAAGGATTAAGAGTTAAAATATGTAAGGCACTGAGACAACACCTGGCACAGAGTGGGTACTAGGTAATGTTTGCAGTTCCTAGGAAAATGTCCAGTCCCCTCAAAGTCTGAAGGTTCCATTGGATCCAGATATCAGTCCCACTTGCTTTCACAGATCATAGCTGGTAAAAGGTGTATTTCAGAATCACAGCGTTCTCCAGATTCAACTTCAGCATGTTTTTCGTTTCCAGGTATAAACGTGCATAGTTTTCCTTTAACAACTATACTACTGATTGAGTCAGTAAAGTCTTTAAAGCAGTAGTTCCTCACTTTTTGGCATCTGGGAACAGTTCGATTATCTGATGAAACTCCAGGCTCTTTCCCAGAAAAAAAGTACATGTAAAAAATTACATTCCATTTCAGCAGTTTCATAACCTCCCTCCAAGGTCATCCATGGACCCCAGATTAAGAATCAGTGTTTGCAGTACAGCTATTATGGAAAACAGTATGGGGTGGTTCCTCAAAAAATTTAAAATAGAGCTACTATATGATTCAGCAAGCCCACTTCTGGATGCATATCCAAACGAATTGAAATTGCTGTATTAAAGAGAGATTTGTACTCCCATGTTCATTGCAGCATTATTCACAATAGCCAAGATATTAAAGCAACCTATGTGTCCGTTGATGGAAGAGTGGGTAAAGAAAGTATGGTGTATATACACAACGGACTACTCTTCAGCCTTGAAAAAAGAAGAAAATCCTGTCATTTGCAATGACATGGATAAACCTAGAGGACATTATTTTTATTTTGTTGTTGTTGTTTTGTTTTTTTTTTTGTTTTGAGACGGAGTCTTGCTCTGTCGCCAGGCTGGAGTGCAGTGGCACCATCTCGGCTCACTGCATCCTCCGCCTCCTGGGTTCAAGCAATTCTCCTGCCTCAGCCTCCCGAGTAGCTGGGACTACAGACACACGCCGCCACGCCTGGCTAATGTGTGTGTGTGTGTGTGTGTGTGTGTGTGTGTGTGTGTGTATTTTAGTAGAGATGGGGTTTCACCATGTTGCCCAGGCTGGTCTCAAACTCCTGAGCTCAGGCAATCCGCCTGCCTCGGCCTTCCAAAGTGCCAGAATTACAGGCATAAGCCACTGCGCCCAGCCACCTGGAGGGCATTATTATATTAAGTGAAATAAGCCAGGCACAGACAGACAAATATGCATAATCTCACTTATATGTGGGATACAGAAATGTTGAACTCAAAGAAGCAGAGAGTAGAATGGTGGTTATCAGCAGCTGCAGGAGGAGATGGGAAATGAGATGTTGGTCAAAGGGTAGAAAGTTTCCGTTAGGAGGAGTAAGTTCCTGGAGATCTCTTGTACAGCATAGTGACTATAGCTAATAATAATGTATACTTGCAAATTGTTAAGAGAATAGATTTTAAATATTCCCACCACAAAAAATTAAGTATGTGAGGTGGTGAATATGTTAATTAGCTCGATTTAATCATTCCACAATGTACATGTGTTAGTCTGTTCTCACGCTGCTGATAAAGGTAATTTATAAAGGAAAGAGGCTTAATTGATTCACAGTTCCACATGGCTGGGGAGGCCTCACAATCATGATGGAAGGTAAATGAGGAGCAAAGTCACATCTTACGTGGCAGCAGGCAAGAGAGCTTGTGCAGGGGAACTCCCATTTATAAAACTATCAGATCTCATGAGACTTATTCCCTACCATGGGAACAGTATGGGGGAACCGCCCCCCATGATTCAATTATCTCCACCTGGCCCTGCACTTGACACGTGGGGATTATTACAATTCAAGGTGAGATTTGGGTGGGGACACAGCCAAACCATATAAGTATACATATCAAAACATCACATTGTACACCATAAATATATACAATTGTTGTCAACTAAATCAAAAAAGAATCACTGTATGAAAGCATGGCTTGGAAGACAGCCACACTTGGATCTTGTTCTTTTAACAATGTTAAAGCAACTGGAGACAGGAGTACATATTTACACATTGTAAGTGGAGACAGGAACACATATTTACACATTGTAAAGGAAATATATATATATATATATATATATATATATATATATATATATTTCAGTCCACACTATATGTATATATATATATATATAGAGAGAGAGAGAGAGAGAGAGAGAATAGTTTTCCTTCAACAACTATACTGTTGATCGTTTTTGAGACAGAGTCTCACTGTTGCCGAGATTGGAGTGCAGTGGCACAATCTTGGCTCACTGCAACCTTGACTTCCCCATCTCAAGCTATCATCCCACTTCAGCCTCTCGAGTAGCTGGGACCACAGGTGCATGCCACCAGGCTCAGCTAATTTTTGTTTTTATTTTTTGTAGAGACAGTGTCTCACTATGTTGCCCAGGCTGGTCTCGAACTCCTGGGCTCAAGGGATCCTCCTGCCTTGGCCTTCCAAAGTGCTGGGATTACAGGCATGAACAACCATGCCCGGCTTTGTAAGGGAAATATTAATTACTATTAGTGAGCTAAGTACTTCCAATAAAAAGTTTTGCTGATGGTGAAGAAGATGAAGAAGGAGAATGAAGAAGAGAACAAGCAGAGGAAGAGAAGGAGTCATTCAAAATGGATAAAGGTAAGCAAACTGAAGGGATACTTTTACCTCTAAATGAGCCACAAGTATGCAATAGTGTTTTGCTACTGTGGAATACTGTGTAGCTATTATTAGCAACTCTGGAGGCAGTTTGAGCAACTGATTATATCTAAGGCCTTCTTTTAAACCTTAAACAGGTAAAATATTTTTATGGGGCTGTCCACAACTGTTCAATGAATCAGACATAAAAGAAATGCTAATTATGGGAACTGAGCTGTGAATTCTGAGTGACCCTAGAGACAAAATGCTTATCTGGTGGTCTTATGTTGCTGGACATTTATTAGAGTTTTGAGATTACATTAACTGATTTTCACCTTAAGTGCTCTACCTGGAGAAGCAGTAAAAGCTTCTGAAAAGGAATTATTTTAAAGAGGTAGTGACATTGGCCAGAAGATGTGTCTGCTGAATCAGGGGGCAGTGTGAGGAGAAGAACCCAAGTAGGGTGTGATGGGCTTGCCACAGCCAAGAGCTGCCACTTTGATCAGGACTCACGAGGACCCTACTCATTCCTCTGTTCAAGAGTGGCCAATGCCTGAGACCAAAGAGGATGGATGATGATACTTAGAACAAATATCATAGAATAAGGTCAAGGTCCCACTTACACTTCTGCTCTTTCATGGTCTCAGCTTGCATCCCTGCCTCTGAGCCAATTATCTTTTCAGGAACTACAAGCTCTCACATTGTTTTGCCCCTGCCTACCTCTCCTCCCTGGTCCTCTATCACTCTCCCTTGCCTTACTCAACCCTCGTCCCCAAGGTCATCTCTCTGTTCCTGGACCATCCCCAGCTCATCACTGGCTCAGAGACTGTGTGGTTATGGTCCCTTCTCCCAGGACATTCCTTCTGCAGACATTTGCATGGCTGATTCATTATTATTTTTAGACCTTAACTTGGCTAGCAACTTTCTGTCCCTTGCCTTGTCACTTTCTTCTATATCATCCTATTTATTTTATTTATAGCACTTAACCCTCTCTGAAAATAACCTGTTGATTTTTTTTTCTTGACCATTGTCTATCTTCCTCATTAGAATGTGAGCTCCATAAGAGCAGGAACTTTCTACATTTTAGTCACTGCGTAGTCCCCAGGCCTATCATAGAAAAAGCACCAAATATATATTTGTTGGATAAAAGAATGAAAGATCATCAGCATAGCTACCATTTATTGAGCATTTACTCTGTGCCAGGCACAAGGCTGTAGGTTTTTCAATTAACTTGCACAACAGCCCTCCAAGATAGGTATTTATCATTCCCATGGTACAGGTTAGGTTTTGCAGAGAGCTTATGCAACTTTCCCAATGTCACAGCTAGCAAGGAACCAAGACTTGATTTGAACCCAGATGTATCTGACTCCAACACTCATTCTCTAAGTCAAAATCAGCACTTTTTAAAAAATCAATGGCCAGATAGTAAATATTTTAGGCTTTGTGGGCTATATGGTCCTGGTCACAACTACTCAACCCTTTTGTAGCATAAAAGCAGCCTTAGACAGTATATAAGAAAATCGATGTGCTGTGTGCCAATAAAACTTTATTCATCAAACAGATAGTGAGCAGTATTTGGCCCAGGAGCCATAGTTACCAATCTCTCCATTAAGTCATTGTTCTATATATGCTATTCTAGAAAGGGGTTTAAAAATGAGGGGGTGAAGAAAAGAAGAACATTCAAATGTGTACTATGTTCATGGTAAGCCCTCTTTTAATAAGTAAGACAGCAGGTAGATAACTGTTAAGTTTAAAAAGGCAAAATAGGAAATTGAGTTCTAATAGGAATTATGACTCCAAACCTTTTGACTGAATTATAACCATCACTTAAGACTACAGTAGAGTTTAATTCAAATAATCTATGACATTTTAAGCAAGGTTCCATTCGCATTGTAGTTATGCATAATTTTACATGCTGACACCATAAAATACCTACATAAATTTTCATCTCAAGCATGTCCAAAATAGTACCAAGCCACTCTGTTAAAAACCCTTCTTCTTTCAACCATGGAGCCTGGACACCTCAGTCTTTCCTTCTCAAGCAAACTTATGAGTCACTGGCCAGGGGTAAAAGGCAAGATATGAATCACGGGTCTGAGCCAGCCTAGAGAAATCTAAAATCTCATTTGGAAAGGTGAACATTATTTGTGCTCTGTTGTTTAGTAATTCAGAGTGGTTCTTAAGACCGAATATCAGCATTGAAGCAAAATATCAACTCGCCATCCCTTGGGTCTAGGCTGGGAGTCAGGGGCTGAACTTTGAGAAGGTGGGAGAACAATGGACAAAGGAGGTAGTTTCAGTGGTGCTTGACGGTGTGTAAGCAATGGGTTAGTGTGAGCTGGAGTGTAGAGGACAGGCCTCCTCTCAGCGCTGTGGTAGGGGGAGCAGAGGGGAGGGAGAGAGAAGCAGTGAAACACTCAGTCTCCTCTTCCTGTTTCATCTAGCTAAGATGGAAATATAGAAACCCCCTTCTCTGGGGTAGCCCTAGGTATTTAGGAAAGTATTAGACAAAATATTCATTTCTCTCTTATCCTGAAGAAAGAGTCCCTCTAAAAACAAGCCTCCAAAAAAGATTCCCTCTGCAAATAGCACACTGGTCTAACACCTTATTCTCCTTAATTTTTGTGTAATTTTCTAAACATGGGCCATAAATGTTTGAGCAGAAAAGCAGCCCCAGCATGGGAGAACCAGCATCTGAAGGGGACTCTGGAGAGGGGCAATCTGCCCCTGCTCTGCCAACAGCCAGCATTGAGGTCCTAGTTACTAAGGCTTTCCCACTCTGCCCCTTTCTAAGCCTTTTTTCTTGTCAGTAACAGAATGAGTCAACCTCAAATTTTTCACCCACTCAAACTTCTGCTTTTGTTATCTGTTTAACATGTTATATTCATTAGTGTTTAGAGTTACCATTTAAGATGATACACATTACTAACAATAATGGATTTCTAGTGAGCACTTAGTATTTACCAGGACTGTGCCACACGCTCTCCATACACTCTGTTATTTAATTCTCATAACTGTCCAACTCGAGAAAGACCCTTATGATTACAGACTTGTCAGATATGATGCTGCGGTTCAGGAAGAAGAACTAAGTTTCCCAAGGTCACACAGGGAGTAGGTGGCAAAGCTGGGATTTGAGGCAGAGTCTGTTTTTTAAAGAACTACTCTGTCTTCATGTTCCTTGGAGCCCCTAGTCAGTGTCTCACTGAGAGGAGGGTACAGCTTCAAACTCCCTCACCCTGAATTCCTTCTCACTGTGACATGAGGCCTCTCTCTATGCCAGGCTACCAAACACCAAGGTGTATTCCGTGGAGGAGATGGCACAGCAGCTGCTGTCAATATCCAAAGCATGGTGTCTTGAGACACTAAGAACCCGTGCCTAATCAGTGCCTCCAGGAGGAGCATGCTGCTAATGCACATGGTAGAAGGTCCCTTGTCCTCAATTCCTATTGCCATTGTCCTGCTCAAGCACACAGATAGAACAATGCTGTCTGCAAATCTCTGGTTATTACAGAATTTTTTCTTTGTTCTTTTTTTTTTTTTTTTTTGATAGGAAGAGACAACCCTTTCAAGGATGGCCCAACTTCAACCGTCTGGTGACACAAGAGATCTGGGGGCTCTTCTTGAAATAGACAGTTGGGGATTTTAAGATGATATATCAGCACTGGCTTGAGTGGGAAGAGGGTTGGGAGTGGGTAGGGGAAGAAGAGTAGGTTGTAAAGATAGAGCAACACTGGCAAAGCTAATGATTTTCACAGATCTGACTCCCTCGGTGGTTGGGGAGAGAAGTTTATTTATTGCATGTCTACTATGATCTGTTGTTTTCCTATAAACTGGGCATTAGGTTCTGACAACAGTGTGAAAATCTGATGTTTTACAGATGAGGAAATGAAGCTCACATGGCTAGTAAGAATCAAAACAGGCTGTGGGCTGTTTATAGGAAAACAACAGATCATAGTAGACATGCAATAAATAAACTTCTCTCATACTGAATGGGCAAAAACTGGAAGCATTCCCTTTGAAAACTGGCACAAGACAGGGATGCCCTCTCTCACCGCTCCTATTCAACATAGTGTTGGAAGTTCTGGCCAGGGCAATCAGGCAGGAGAAGGAAATAAAGGGTATTCAATTAGGAAAAGAGGAAGTCAAATTGTCCCTGTTTGCAGACGACATGATTGTTTATCTAGAAAACCCCATCGTCTCAGCCCAAAATCTCCTTAAGCTGATAAGCAACTTCAGCAAAGTCTCAGGATACAAAATCAATGTACAAAAATCACAAGCATTCTTATACACCAACAACAGACAAACAGAGAGCCAAATCATGAGTGAACTCCCATTCACAATTGCTTCAAAGAGAATAAAATACCTAGGAATCCAACTTACAAGGGATGTGAAGGACCTCTTCAAGGAGAACTACAAACCACTGCTCAAGGAAATAAAAGAGGACACAAACAAATGGAAGAACATTCCATGCTCATGGGTAGGAAGAATCAATATCGTGAAAATGGCCATACTGCCCAAGGTAATTTACAGATTCAATGCCATCCCCATCAAGCTACCAATGACTTTCTTCACAGAATTGGAAAAAACTACTTTAAAGTTCATATGGAACCAAAAAAGAGCCCGCATCGCCAAGTCAATCCTAAGCCAAAAGAACAAAGCTGGAGGCATCACACTACCTGACTTCAAACTATACTACAAGGCTACAGTAACCAAAACAGCATGGTACTGGTACCAAAACAGAGATATAGATCAATGGAACAGAACAGAGCCCTCAGAAATAATGCCGCATATCTACAACTATCTGATCTTTGACAAACCTGAGAAAAACAAGCAATGGGGAAAGGATTCCCTATTTAATAAATGTTGCTGGGAAAACTGGCTAGCCATATGTAGAAAGCTGAAACTGGATCCCTTCCTTACACCTTATACAAAAATCAATTCAAGATGGATTAAAGATTTAAACGTTAGACCTAAAACCATAAAAACCCTAGAAGAAAACCTAGGCATTACCATTCAGGACATAGGCGTGGGCAAGGACTTCATGTCCAAAACACCAAAAGCAATGGCAACAAAAGCCAAAATTGACAAATGGGATCTAATTAAACTAAAGAGCTTCTGCACAGCAAAAGAAACTACCATCAGAGTGAACAGGCAACCTACAACATGGGAGAAAATTTTTGCAACCTACTCATCTGACAAAGGGCTAATATCCAGAATCTACAATGAACTCAAACAAATTTACAAGAAAAAAACAAACAACCCCATCAAAAAGTGGGCGAAGGACATGAACAGACACTTCTCAAAAGAAGACATTTATGCAGCCAAAAAACACATGAAAAAATGCTCATCATCACTGGCCATCAGAGAAATGCAAATCAAAACCACTATGAGATATCATCTCACACCAGTTAGAATGGCAATCATTAAAAAGTCAGGAAACAACAGGTGCTGGAGAGGATGTGGAGAAATAGGAACACTTTTACACTGTTGGTGGGACTGTAAACTAGTTCAACCATTGTGGAAGTCAGTGTGACGATTCCTCAGGGATCTAGAACTAGAAATACCATTTGACCCAGCCATCCCATTACTGGGTATATACCCAAATGACTATAAATCATGCTGCTATAAAGACACATGCACACGTATGTTTATTGCGGCATTATTCACAATAGCAAAGACTTGGAACCAACCCAAATGTCCAACAATGATAGACTGGATTAAGAAAATGTGGCACATATACACCATGGAATACTATGCAGCCATAAAAAATGATAAGTTCATGTCCTTTGTAGGGACATGGATGAAATTGGAAACCATCATTCTCAGTAAACTATCGCAAGAACAAAAAACCAAACACCGCATATTCTCACTCATAGGTGGGAATTGAACAATGAGATCACATGGACACAGGAAGGGGAATATCACACTCTGGGGACTGTGGTGGGGTCGGGGGAGGGGGGAGGGATAGCATTGGGAGATATACCTAATGATAGATGACACGTTAGTGTGTGCAGTGCACCAGCATGGCACATGTATACATATGTAACTAACCTGCACAATGTACACATGTACCCTAAAACTTAAAGTATAATAAAAAAAAAAATTTAAAAAAAAAAAAAAAGAATCAAAACAGGGATTCTATCTTCTTCACTCTACCTCCATGCCTGTGCAAATAATTCAGCTTATCCAGCTCTCATTCAGATTTCCATGAAGTAGATGCCCCTTTCTCAACAGAATATCTATTCAAGCTACAAAGCCTAATACAGTGCCTAGCACAGAGTAGAAGCTCAATAAAACAGGATGCATTAACAACTCTTAATGTGGTTTCTCAAACTCAGGTAGAAATCATCTGATCCAGTAGTTCTCAACCAGAGGTGATTTTGCTCCACAGGGGATATTTGTAAATGTCTGGAGATATATTTAGTTGTCACAAATGAAGGGAGAGGTACCACTGGCATCTAGTGCTTAGAGACAGGACACTGCTAAACTTCCTATGATGTACGGGACAGTCCCCACACGAAAAGACTTATCTGATATATAGCACCTATAGGGCCAAGGTTGACCCATTCTGATCCAACCTAACACATTCTACAGATAAGGACACCCAAACCCAGGGAGATAAAGAGACTTGCATAGGTCCACACAGCTGGCAGAGCCTTGATGAGAAACACTGCTTGAAATCTTCTACAATGTTCTTGCCCCTGCATAAGCAGCCAGCACAGGTTCCGAAGGAACACAGTGTCCCCTTAGAGGCCCTGCTGCCCACCAGCTTCATGCTCCCTAAACTTCCTTTTCTTAGGGAAGTAAACCAAACACAATGATCAAGCCAAATGAATTTATTTTAATAATGAAATAGGCAAGCTAAAATAATAATTAAGTAGACATATTAGGTCATGGTAGAAACTGCCAGAAACATTCTCTCTAAAATGTATATTGTTCGCATTATCATTGTCACCAACAACCATGTTTGGCCTTCTATGTGCCAGGAGATGTGCTGGGTCTCAAGCAAGAGACAGGCAGAGGGAGAAGGTGTCCACCAATATCACGCTCAAGATATATCTTTGACCTCAAGAAGCACTCAACCCAAGCATGAGAGTCTCTTTTGCAGTTGCTGTCACAGAGAGAAGGCAACATTGCAAACATGGGTAAAGCAAAATGCTCCTTACAGCTAAATATGTAAGCATTGAGGTCCTAGCATGACCTGCTTATTTTAAACAATGTTTAACACAGGAACATTCAACTACAGCCCAAGAACTTGGACTTTGCCACTTATATTCTTGGGATTCGGCTTGCCTGGTGGACATTTTGTTGTATCTGTCAAGCTTGTGAGGGACTTCCAGTGCCCTGGACCATGTCTCAAGTGTCAGGATAACCACATGCATCAGGGGACTTCATTTAATCACAGCAGAGCCAATGATCCCAAGATGCCCCAACAGAAGCACGTGGATAGAGAACCCCCAAGATTCGGCTACCATAAATCAACGTACTGGCATCTTTTGCAGCAGTCTCTAAGCTGCATCTAAGTGGAAGCTGGTGACCTGAATTAACACCACTCTGAAGATCAACTTTTATCCTGAAATATCAATGAAAAATTAAACATCCTGATAACCCTGAGTACTAATGGCTTTTATTTCCATTGCAACTGCTTTCTGAGACGGATAGTTTCCCCTTTAGATTTTCATGAC
This sequence comes from Homo sapiens, assembly GCF_000001405.40. Classification (NCBI taxonomy): domain Eukaryota; kingdom Metazoa; phylum Chordata; class Mammalia; order Primates; family Hominidae; genus Homo; species Homo sapiens. The sequence goes on from NC_000010.11 coordinate 112,208,413, forward strand.
TCTGGCCCAGAAAGTGGATACTTGAGGCATTAAACATACAGGAGCCTGAGACGCCAAGAAAACAGTAGTTTCTATTTAAGGATTTGGCTGCAATAGCCAGCTAAGTGTCTTGGGGAAGTGAATGGAATTTGAATAGATCAACTCTGCCACTCTGCTACAGGCTGGGAAATCAAAAACTAAGAAGGATATCCCAAGGGCTCCTGCATGGGTTTAGGCATGAATGTTAGCCTCGGTGACAAGCAGCTTTTTGAACAATGCTTCTCGGACTCTGAGCTATTACAGTGCAGTAAACCAAGGGATACTAATTTTTTAATTCTGCCCAGTCATAATGTTAAAATTAAATTAAACATAAATTGCCAATCAACTAACCCCATCATTTGATAAAAGAAGTAATGCTTTAAAATCCCAACAAGCAGGAAGGATAGACTCTCAAAACGAAGGGAAGTTCCTCAAATTGAATACATTCACCCTAGACTGGAAAAAACATCATAAGCCAACAGCTATCTGCTGTCTGGAATGTGGGTGCCATGAATGCTAAACAACCACTGGCGTTGGCTGGAGAAGGATCAGATTTGAGACCCAGCTGGAATGGAGATGGTGTTCAGGGCAAGGACAGGGATTGGGGATGGGGACAGTTGAGAAGAAACACATTGCACTGTGAATACACTGCACTGCTCTATGGTCCGGTCACATTTTCCACTCTGTAATGCTGCACTAAATTGCCTGTTGAATTACCAGTCTCTTCCATTGGGCTGTGAGTTCCTTGAGAGCAGTGACTATGCCTTGTTGCCCTGATTCATGGAGCTAATTAGACATGGGGCAGGAATGATGGTGTAGTCAGGCACGGAAGGAGTGATGGCGAAGCCCCAGGGATACACAGTGCTGCTTCACGGATCCATGCAATCGGATGATTAGAGAGCACATTTTCTAGTATCTAGTAGTGCGTGTTGTTCTGTCTGGGTAGTGGAAGGGGCCCCACCCCTACCTTACCCAGCGGGCTCAGCCTGAGCATCAGCCCACAGGATAATTAAAATGTGCTCCAAGGGGAGCCTGATGGGAGTCAGAATTGCTGCTGCCCCATCCCTGGGGGACCACTGAGCAAAAGTTCAGCTCCTCTCCCACATTGCCTGCAGATGTCCAAGTGGGAACAGAGCTGATTGTGGGGAGAAGCCAGCCTCCTGCCTGCTGCTGCTTCATGGTCCCCCTGGTTTTCCCATAGCCAAGTCCTAGCAGAGCTCTCAGTACCAAGGTTTATCAATTTTCCCAGGCCCCTGTTCCTCACAGTCACTTTTTGGAATTGACTCAAAAAAAGAATGACACTGTTACTAGCAGCCTTCAGGGTTCATTTCTATGGCAACCATCCCTTTCCTGCAGAATGTCCAGCCCACAGGGAAATGAATGTCACTTTCTTTCAAGACTCATTTTGGGTGTTTTTATGGCCAATCTGATTTCTGGCAGGATGCTGAAGCCCATAACACAGCTACACTTCCCGCCAGCCCCACAGGGCATGGGTAGAGTTTGCATGCAAAGCTCACTAAGCAAGTGCACCCAGGCAAGGCGGACAGGGTAGGGAAAGGGCTCCTGTCTGCCTGTGCCTGGAGAGCCCAGGAGCCGTGATGCAATGATTTAATTAGCACTGACTCAGCCTGACACGCAGGGTCCCTGTTTTACGTCTGACGTGCTGTGGCAGTTGGAGAACCCAGTACCACGTGGTGGGAATAGCAAGGCTGAAGTTCTGGGAACTGAAGGATGAGAGTGAATATTTCATTGCACATATACTATCATTTTCCTCTTACGAGCTGTTGGGGGTAATTGCCTTGGAGTACAACTTCCTATTCAACCTCTCTTTGGAAATGTTCTTGATCTAGAGTTTTGTTGCATAGCATCTCTGTCCCTTTCTTAACATTCAACTCTCTATGACTCCACCATCAAACAGGGAGTTTTCAAATCTTGAATTCATGTGGAGAAGAGTTGTGTGCCCTGAAGTCTCATGCCTACCTCAGTTTCCCCACCATTATTGCTCTCTTCAGGCATCGTCGGCTAAAACACCAATGCCCTGGGAGGTCTCACTAAGCCCCATGACCAGCAAACAATGGGGGATATTGGATAACAGACAGCTGAAGGCAAGAGTGAGACCCCAGTTAGGGAAGAAGAGATGGAGAAAGAATGCATATGCTTCTGGAGGTCAAGGGGACAGCCCCCCTCAACCCCACCCAGGAAAGGTGGGAGAGAATTGAAGATGCTGATATCTCCATTCTTTCAGGGGCCTGAGGCTAACTAAGCATTTCCTTTCATCGCCCTCTGCAAACTTAGCCTCCCCACCACCTCCAGAGTTTCTGCTCTGTCTGGAAAAAATGCTAACCAGCCATTTGTAAGAGATGTCACTAATAAGAGCTCACAATAGACACTGTGTGCTGTGCAGAGGGAACATCATGAGCCTGGGGGAGGTCAAGTGGAAAGCATTGGGAGCACTCATGGGCAGCCAAGGAACAGACCTAGGCCTATTCTCAAATCTTCAGCTCCCTGCTGCCCTCGCAGCGTTCCTGTTCTCAGAATCTCACCATCCAAAGAATCCCACCCCAGGTGGGTTAACTGCCCAGGCAGGACGTGCAGGTGCTTGGAGAGGAAGGACACAGAGAACTGGGTCTACAGGAAGGATGTAGTTCCTGGAAAGGGGCTTAGGGAGTTTTTCCCATAGGAGTGACCCCAGGGGAGTGAATACTGGGATCCAGCTGGGGGAAGTAGGAGGGAGGTGCTGAGAGAATGGGGATTCTAGAAGACAAAACTGGTCACTTCTTCCTCCTGCCGTCCTTGAGTTTGGGCCTAGCTTCTCTCCACCAGCAGAAGCACCTGGGGAAGAAGAGCCCAGGATAGGGAGTCAGAGGCCCTCGTTTCACCTGGATCTAACCTGCCATCAAATAACAAAATGCTAGAGGTGGCCAACTCAGTCTTAGGAATCATTCAGTCCAACTCTCTCATTTTATTCTCACAGACTCTGAGCCCCAGAGAGGTGCAGGTCCATGGCCAGGGCGGCAAGTATTGAGAACTTCCTGCATTCTGGTCGAGGCGGGCTATTAAGGATTCAAATCCTATTGGTTCATCAGTGGGTCTCCCACCCCATCGAAACTAGGTCCTCTGTTCTTTTTCTCATCACATATGGGACTGAGCTATTTGTTTGTGTGATTTTTTAAATGTCGGTCATCCCCATTCAACTGCAAGTTCCACAAGGGCACGCAGCTTTCTCAGCCTCATTCTCTATTCTACCCGCTGTGTGCCTCACACACAGTAAGCACACAACCCATATTTACAGAACACAGAATCTGTACTCTCAAAGTAACCTCATGAGAAAGTATTACACCCATTTTACAAAGGAGGAAACTAGAGCTTGAACAATTTAAATAACAAGTGAAAAAAGCAAGATTCAGCTCTGGATTCTAATGACCTTTTTCCTTAGGCTGTCTGCTTTTCTAACAAAAGATTAACAGATGTATGAGGGTTTCTTAAGCTGGGGACCTTGGTTTAGACTTTTTCAAACATGATGTTCTAGAACCAGATGCTCCAAGACCATTCCCTGAGAGAAGAGAAGAGGAAGGGCCACTTGGAGACTAAGGGCGGCCCAAAGCAGGTGTCCCCAGGCAGGTGCCCCGTCTTGCCTAATCAGGCATAAGTGTGGAGCCCACAATTGTCAGTGGTCAGAAAAGATGTTAGGTCAGGGGTCCAGTCAAGGAAGAGGGGGCTGAGGACCACTAAGCAGGGAGAAAACCCCAACTCAGTAACTGGGGAGGCAGACAGACAGGAATATCTGTCTGACAGGAATATTATTAGGTTGGTGCAAAAGTAATTCCGGTTTTCGCTGTTACTTTTTTTTTACACGGAGTCTCGCTCTGTCGCCCAGGCTGGAGTGCAGTGGTGCGATCTCAGCTCACTGCAAGCTCTGCCTCCTGGGTTCACACCATTCTCCTGCCTCAGCCTCCCGAGTAGCTGGGACTACAGGCACCCACAACCTTGCCTGGCTAATTTTTTTGTATTTTCAGTAGAGACGGGATTTCACCATGTTAGCCAGGATTGTCTCGATCTCCTGACCTCATGATCCGCCCGCATCGACCTCCCAAAGTGCGGGGATTACAGGCATGAGCCACCGTGCCCGGCCTCGCTGTTACTTTTAATAACAGAAACCAGTCATCAGGATGCAGTGAACCCAAAGCTTAGGGTCTCGAGAAAGCCCCTGGTTGATGAAAAGGGCAAAGGCTTGGAGGCTAGACCAGCCTGCCATTGAGTCTCAGCTCTAGCACTTACCAGCTTGGGCATATTCCTTATGCTCTCTTAGCCTTGGTTTGTTCATCTGAAACACAGGGTGGTGGTAATCCCTCTACCTCATAAGGAGGAAATATGAGATCAGCCAGGGCAAAGCACTCAGCACAGTGCCTGAGATACAGTCAGCTTCTGGACAATGGTAGCTTCATTAAGCACTTACTTCAAGGCTGGAAAAACGATTTGGAGCTCCTCTTCATGTTTAGGCGAAAGCCTGTAAGTGCTTAACCCTGGCTACCAAGGCAGGTGAGAGGGACGGGAAAGCTGATCTTGACAGGGAGAACAGAGCAGATCTCAGAACTGAAAGCATCTCAGCTCAGGGTCTGTGCTTGCTAATCACTGTATTCTCAAAGCCTTGCTCACAGCTTGGGACATGGTCAGTGCTCAATAGGCCCAGCTGAATGAATGGGTCCAACCGAGCATGTGAAACAGTTACAATGTTTTTACCATCAGCCTGCTATCATTCATTCATTTCTCACTGGCTCTTTCAGCCCTAGAGTGGTCATGATGACATAGATGTAAAGAAAAAAAAGCATGGGCTCTGAAGTCTGCCATTTACTGTGTTAACTTGGGCAGTTTCCTTAACTTATAGTTTGCTCATTCATTAAATGGGTTGACACTCACCTCAGTGACCTCAGTGGCTCATTGTGGGGACTGAGTTAATAAGATAAAGCCCTTAGAAGAGTGTTGGGTATATAGAAAACACTCCATCAATGTTAGCCATTATCACAAGAAAGAGCCTACCGGGTGTCACAGATTCCTAGGCTCTGGGGTCCTGGCTGAGAGTTATAAAGGCATGAACCCTGCCTTCACAGCTGTCAGTCTGGTGGGGGCAATGGATCAGGAAACAAGCAATCATAAGACAATATGGTTAGTGGTCCAATAAGGGGAAGTTCAGGGGACCCTAACCTCATAGCAGAAGAAGTAGATTTACTCAGAAAGAGACCTGACTAATCTCCTGACTTGGTCAGACCCAGAGGCAGGGTAGGGTGAAGAATGCTTTAAGCAGACAAGATAACATGTGATAAGGTTCGACCATGGTGGGTCCAGAAAACTGAAAGAGTGTTTCTGTGGTGAGACAGAGGTAGAGAAGGATGAGAAAAGAGGCCCAAGAGGCACACAGGATCCAGACTATGCTGGCAATGGCAAAGGGAGAAAATGTTCCAAAAGAGCAGAGAAGAATCACATCCAAGAGGTATAACCCCTTGCACTGGGCTTGTCCTCCACCTCTTGGCAGTTTCCATAAATTTATGAAGAGGAGCGTGAGTCATTATGACAAACTTCTAGGCCCTCATACTCTGGATAATCTCAGGAAATCCCACGGGACCCCTGCAGTGAAAGCTCCCTGAGGACCACAGCAGTCAGCACAGGAAGCATCTCCACCATCCTGTGGGGGGATCCACAGACTCATCCCACTGTGGCTAACAAAGCAGGGACGATCTGGATACCAACACTGGGAATTAAGACAACACGGACAGAAGTACTTGGGAATAAAGACAGACACAAAGAGTGGAGAGAGGAAATGCGGTTGGCATGGTTATTTCTTAACCTGAAATGCATATAGGGAAAAATCAGTGTTAAGAATACTGACATACCGTAAAAACATTCTTTTCCACTCAATACTAAAACAAAAGTATTGATTTCCTTGGTTTTGCATCGTATCTTCCCCTCTGCTGCCATCTCCAGCCAAACCTAACAGAGAGAATGAAGTCTGTCTTTTCTGCTGTCTTTGATCTTCATTCCAGATGGTTAAATCCTGCTGGCCCCATATGGAGCCCAGCTTTCCTCTACAGTGAGAAAGTCCTTTGACATAAAGCTATCTGCCCGATCCAAGCTCAGAAAACAACCCTGAGTAGGGAATACAGTGGGGATAAGAATGAATATCACCCGTTAAACACAGATCTTAAAGTGGGAATCAAACTTTCATAAAAGACATTCTCAGCTCCTCCTCTTTCCTCTGTAGCCAACATCACGAGGATTGGTACCAGGATTTGTACTACTAAGCAGAGCCTTTGAAGGCCATGTGCCGTTTGCAAATCAGATTTGGTGACGTTTCAAGCTAAAGCAATTAGATTTTTCATAAACTGTCCAAAACCTTCTCAGGATTTGGGGGTTCTGAGCCAGGATGGAGGATTTCATGGAGGCCAAAAGAGTAGCAAAAACTCGGGAAGGATTTCATGAGGAGCAAATGCACACAGATGTGAATGTTACATCACAAACGTGCTTGCACCTCTTGTCAGCTGCAAATAACTATGCCCAAGCACCTCAGTTTTGCCTTTGCACAGAATTCCATGATTCTGAGTTCTTTTCTTTGACTTTCTTCTTCCTACTGTGTCTGCCTCTCCTGCATTCCACGCTGCTTCCCAGGCTTCCTCGTCCTACCCCCGTGTCTCATGTCATGACATCCTAAGAAATTACTCCCTGCACCCCAGGTTTTTAAATACCTGTATCCTTGACTTGGTGGTGTTTGAGGAATTATTTCCAATCAGTCGATTAGCAAAGCTGATGGAGACTCTGGAGAAGACAGTCCCAGGCTGTGGGTGAATAAGCAAGGTCTGGTTCCTCTGGGTGCCTGTTTGCACGGCCAGAGGCTGACAGACTTTGGGTGCTCCACAGTAACCTCAGAAAGAGTCCCCCCGCAGCAGCAAATTCTCCCAATGCAGTTTTGAAACACCGCAAGAGGAGGAAGCCTCTTTAATCAAATAATAACCAGTCAGAGATAAGGCCTGCTAGGCTGAGCTTGGCCAGCCAATCACAGGCTTCCTTCCGACTGCAAGGACAAACAGACCCAGGCTTCTGGAGTGCATTTCAGGGCTTGTTACAATTTAATGATGCAATGAATGGTGTCTTCTTCGCATTGCCTGGTGGGGATTTTCTAACTGGGGAGTAAAGCTCTGAGCTCAGTAACCTCATTCTCAGCGGAGGTGTCCACAGCTTGAGTGTTCACATGGGGCGTCAGGCTCCGGGCCTGGCTGTTTCCAATTTGCATTTCTCACTGCTGAGGGGAAGGGAGGTTTGACTGGGGCTGAGCGGGGCTGGGGTCCCCATGGGGTGAGCCTATTTGACACCAGATGTGCAGCTCACTGACTGTGACCCTGAGAAGGTTGTGGAGAGATGTTGGAGATGCTTTATGTGCATTTCGTATTTGTCTTTAAGCAGTCATGACTTTGGTCTTCTCTATTTCTTCATCCTCTTTCCAGCTGCTGCCACCCTCCCCTTTCAAAACTATTATTGCTCTGTTCGGCTTATGAAGAGCTCTAGTAAAGACAGTAGGTTCTGGGAACTAAGAAGGTGTAGGGGCGAATAAAGGCCCTTGCTAGCTGTGTCCATGTGACTTTAAACACTGTCAGTCGCTTCCTGCTTAGTTGTTGCAAAGACTACATGCATAAAAACTCCCTCTCCTTCCTCTGAGGCTCTTACAGGCCCTATAGACTGGTAGACAAACCCTCAAAGGGTCTTGATATATTAGAGCTCAATATTTAAAGGAACTTAAGGGGAACCCTCTTATTAGGTAAATATGCATTCGTTCAACAGTTATTTATTTTGCATCTACTCTGGTAGAGATGTGCTGACTGGGGGCACTGAGGTGAGCCAAACCTGGCACAGTTCCCTGCCCTCCCAAAACAATGTCAGCACAGGAGGTAGCAGTTTGTGAAAGAAGTCCTTAGTGCAGTGGAACCAATGGCAGGGACTGGTGAAGAGGGCTTGTCTTGAAGGGTATGGGCCTGTCCAAAGGAACCACAACAAAACCAGCAGTGGTAGACAGGAAGCGGATCCAAGTCAGAGGGACAAGTACAGTCAAATATTCTCCAAGGGGACCCCCTGCAGGGCTCCTACTGGGGAAAGGAGAAAAAGCAAAGGTGTGTATCTCCTCTCCTTTTTTATTTTTATTAATTAATTACTTTTTTTGTTTTTTTTGAGACAGAGTCTCACTCTGTCCCCCAGGCTGGAGTGCAGTGGTGTGATCTTGGCTCACTGCAGCCTCTGCCTCCTAGGTTCAAGCGATTCTCGTGCCTCAGCCTCCCAAGTAGCTGGGACTACAGGCACCCACCACCATGCCCAGCTAATTTTTGTATTTTTACTAGAGACGGGGTTTTACCATGTTGGCCAGGCTGGTCTCGAACTTCTGACCTCAGGTTATCCACCTGCCTTAGCCTCCCAAAGTGCTGGGATTACAGGTGTAAGCCACCACTCCTACTGGGAAAAGAAGGAGAAAAAGCAAAGGTGTGTATCTCCACTCCTTAAAAAAAAAAAATTGATATATAACGTCTCATTGAAATATAATGCACACACCATACAATTTACCCATTTAAAGCGTATATATAGTTCAGTGATTTCAAATACAGACATAGAGTTGTGCAGCCATGAGCAGAATGAATTTTAGAACATTCCATCACCCCATAAAGAACCCCCTTCCCATTAACGATCACCCGCAACTCTGCCAACACCTCATCCAGCTCTAGGCAACTACTGATCTACTGTATGTCTTCTATAGATCAGAAACGCCTACTCTGGACATTTCCTATAAATGCAATCATAGGATATGTGACCTTTGCAGCTGTTTTTTTTCTCTTAGCATAAAGTTTTCAAGGTTTACTTCATTTCTTTTTATTGATGAATAATATTACATAGTATAAATATACTACAATTTATACAGTCACAAATATCCACCATTCATCTGCTGGAGGACATTTGGGTGGTTTCCACGTTTTGTTTGTTTTTTTTTTTTGTGATATCATGAATAATGCTGCTATGGACATTCATGTACAAGTTTGCATACCCTTATAGCCACGAATTCACAACCTCATAGCAGGGAAACAGGAAAGAAACAAAGCAAGCGAGAGAGCTAGTCATTAAAGGGCTTCTCTCCCGCCAGAAGTTATGATGTCATAGCAGTAGCCAAGTCTAACATTTACACAGATTTTCACAGTGCATAAAGCACAATTATACATTCTGTCTCATGTAACCCTCCCTACAACCCTAAGCAAAAGGAAGGTAGTATTTTTATTGCCCTTTCAAAGATGAGGTGCTGGAGAATCAGAAACTTTAGAGTAACTTGCCAAAATCTACCCAGGCAGGAACTGAAGCCAGAATGAAGTCCTGTGATCTTCCTACTCCAACTCTTCACACACAAAACAGGTCTTTATTCTTCTCCTACATATTCAGTCTTGGCTTCCTAGCTGTTTAGATCAAGAGAAAAAAAGAAAGAAATTTAAAAGGACTTCATTGTTTATGGAGAAAATGGCAATGAGGTCAACAAATAGCTGTTATGTTGGCATTTAAAACATTTTTACCTAAGGCTCAGAAAGACTGAATATCTTACCAAAAGGCACAGAGCTAGCAAGCTGGCCATTGACGATTCAAAGGAAGATAGAAATCTGATTCCCAGACACAGGTGAGATCAACTTGCTTCCTTCCTAACAGCCTACTGAGGGCAGTGCCTCTGCAGCTGCCTGGCTTGTTCAAGTGAGAGGAAGGTGAACTCTGGGTGAAAGCACTGCAGATGGGGTAGGACTGGCTGAGGAGGATGCCATACAGAGCAGGGGCACACGGAAATGGATTAAGGATCATGGGAGTCTCAAGATGCAGGGGAAGATGGCTACAAAGGAGAGAAAACAGAGCGACTATGGAGAGATGGAGAGGACTTCACTGAAGGCTCGCCAAGTTCTCAGCTTGACCCATTGCAAGGAATGTTTTATCCAAACCCTTGAGGTCACCAGATAAACAATAAGGGAGATGCGCTGGGTAGGATGGTATAAGAAAAAAAAATCAACCTGGTGTTACCAGAAAGGGGTCCTGATTCAGACACCAAAAGAGGGTTCTTGGTGCAAGAAAGAATTTGGGGCAAGTCCACAGAGTGAAGTGAAAGCAAGTTTCTAAGAGAAGTAAAGAAACAAATGAACAGCTACTCCATAGACAGAGCAGCAGCATGGACTGCTCAACTGAATATACTTATGGTTACTCCTTGATTATATGCTAAACAAGGGATGGATTATTCACAAATTTCCCAGGAAAGGTGTGAGGAGTTCCCGGAATTGAGGTTTCAACTCATGAGGTTTTTTAGACTACACAGGGTAAATGCCTTCGCATTTGTAAACTGTCATGGTGCACGTGGGAGTGTCTTTTGGCATGCTAATGCATTATAATTAATACATAATGAGCAGTGAGGATGACCAGAGGCTGCTTTTGTAGCCATCTTGGTTTTGGTGGGTGTTAGCCCGCGTCTTTACTGCATCCTGTTGTATCAGCAAGGTCTTTGTGACCTGTATCTTGCCCCAACCTCCTATCTCGTTCTGTGGCTAAGAATGCCTAACCTCTTGGGAATTCAGCCCAGCAGGTCTCAGCCTCATTTTACCAGCCCCTATTCAAGATGGAGTCACTGGTTTGAATGCCTCTGACTCAGGGACGACAAATGTGGTGACTGAGAGTGACAGCATCCTCCCAGATTCTCAGCACCTGTCCAGTCCCAACCAAAGCCCACAGCCCTGGCAGAGCAGCACCAGAAAAGGACCTTCCCAAAAGGGGGTAAAGCTCTCCATGGGGGTAGAGAGGAGGCTGAGCAGGCCAAGTGCACACAGGTGACAGGGCCTGGCCACAGGTCATGTCTGAGATGGAGATTCCAGTGCAAAGTGCTTTCACCTGGGAGTGGGGATGACGGAAAGGACAGCAGGGATGTGGAAGTACCAGAGGTCTGGAACCAGCTAGGCACCTCACAGCCCCTGGATCTTGATTCGTGGCACCAAGATCCTGCCAACTTCATTTGATTTCCCTTTTATTTTCATTACTTACAGAACTCAGTACATATCAGGCACGTCACTGTCAGATTGACTCCAAAATCCATAATTTTTCTATCATTTCATGCTCCCACTCCTAAGAGAGTTCTTAAATTCATTTTCTTTCTGTCTTTTGCAAGCTGTCACTTATTACATTTTCCCTCCTGCGATTATTCTAGCACTACCAAAATCACTTGTGTGTGTTTGCAGCATACATGAAACCCCCTTTGCAAAAATTATATAACAGTGAGATTATGACAGTCGAAGAGATCTGATCTAAGCAACCCCAATTTGCCTTTAACCTCCAAAATGCCCTTAATCATTCCTGGGGTCTGGCCAAGTGACCTTTGGGAGACATTTAATTTATAGTTTAAATGATAGCCCTTCCCTAAAACTAAGCCACCTTTGTAAAACTAATGAAAGACCACCAGGTCAGGAGAATGAAAGGAGCCTGAATTCTGCTAAGGTAAACAATTACCAGCCATTATTCTGGAGGTCACAAGATTTGCCACTTTTCCAATTACTCCTGCAGATAACATTGCTCTTGTAGAACCTAAGATAAGCCTTTTTAGATGTCTTTTCAGGTTTTTGCATTTCTGACTACTGATGGCTCCACCCAGACAGCCAGTTGGATCTGTGGCCCCACCCAGAAGTAGACTGAGCAGGCAGGAGGACCATTTTCCACACCCCTATGATTGGATCCCCAACCAATCAGCAGCACCCATTCCCTGGCCCACCAAACTATCCTAGAAAAACCCTAGCCTCTGAATGTTTCGGGTGATTGATTTGTGTAATAAAATTCCTGTCTGCCATTCTGCAGGCTCTGCATGAATTAAACTCTTTCTCTATTGGAATTCTCCTGTCTTGATAAATTGGCTCTATCTAGGCAGTAGGCAAAATGGAACCACTGGGTGGTTTCATACATGCATCTAGAGCCATACTCATATATAACTGTGAGAATACATCTCTGTGTGCACATATATTCATATGCATGTATCTTTGCTTTTAGCTATATGTGTTTTGTTGCCTTCAGAGAAGGGTGTGAGTGGCTTTAGTTTTAATTTCCTTGAGGCTAGGTAAAAGCCTGTCCTTGAATAGTGGGTTTGTGGTGATCTTCTTATTGTATGTCATCACTTGAGTAAAGAAACTGACTCCTGTAACGAGGACAATTACTTTGCTGCAGCTATCTTCTGAGTATTTTTTCTCTGGGATGGTTCTTTCATCCCAGAGAAGATTTGTGGAAACTTCCATTAATGGTGTTACCCAATGATGTGTACCATTGATGTGCATGTCATGACCAAACTAAACCCATCTTTGATTTGGCTTTGATCTGCACTGCCAAGGACAGATCTCAAATACACACACACACACACACACACACACACACGTCAACTTACATGGGGAGATTATTCACAAATTCAGAACATCTTAGCACCAGGCAGCCAATATAAATGAGAAAACTGGGTTAGACGTGATTAATGAGAAGTAGTGGGGACTGGGGTCAAGTGGACAATATATATCACATCCAATGGCATCTACTATCTCCAGCCCAATATTGCCATGGGAAAATGTAGTCTCAGTGTGGTCAAATCTTTTTATTTTCAAAGGAGGCTAGAAATAAGGATTTTAATGTGAAATCTCCATTTTTTTTAATTTGGTAAACATTCACAGATATGAAATACTGTACAAGCCAGAAAGCACACACAGATTTCAAGATAAACTTAGTCTGTGGGCTGCCAGTTTTTGCCCCTTAATGTGGACATAATATGCACTTGCTTACACATACCTACCTACTCTTGCACGGTGACCAAATATTCTAAGTAGACTGTGAGAGCCAATCCTCCAGATGGCTGTGGGTTTGTCTCTCTTACTTCTGTAATCTAGAGTCATCAAAGTGTGGTGGGAGGACCCCTGTATCACTAGTCTTCAGGAACTTAATAAGCATACAGATTCCTAGGCACCACCCCAGAAGCCCTGGGGACAGAATCTGGGAATCTGCATTTTAACAGAATGCCCAAGTAATTATGATGCCCACTCAAATTTAAGAATCACTGGCTCTAGGTCTGAAGAACCTTGAGTATAAGATAAGGCATTTAAGTGTGTCCTGAAAGCTCTGGAAAATGTCTGAAAGTGACATACTTCAACTTAGGTTTTAAAAAGATGGCACCAATCTGTCATTGTATACCCCAGAACAGTGTGTCTCAACATGTGGTCTTGGCCACTGTTGCATCAGAACCACTTTGATATCCTGTTGAAATGCAGACTTCTATGCCCTTCTGAGTCACAATTTCTCATACGTGCTATAATCATAACAGGGAATATGACTATGGCTAAATATGAACCAAGCACTTCATATAAAATGCAGATAATAACGCTGCAAAATAGATACCACTATGTTCATTTCATAAATAAGAAAACGAGACTCACAAAGGTGACATGTGTAGTAGTATTCTGGATATATTTCAAAAGAAAAACAGCATCCTTATCCTTCAGAGATACCTACCAAAATATTCACCAGTGAAATGATATGATGTCTGGGGATTTGTTCCAAACTAATACAAGAGAGAGGATGTGGGTGATGCTAAAGGTGAAACAAAATTTGTCATGAGTTGACAATTGTTGAAGTTGGGTGATGAGTTATTCAGGTGCTTTATAATTTGTTATTCTATATTTTTCTCATTTTTCTAAATTTAAATTTTTTCTATTTTTTATAATGAATTGAAAGAAAAGACTTCCTTCCTACCACTGCATCATGCATTATAGAGCTTTACAAATATATGGTTGCTAAATGAATGATTTTGCCCACTGTTTGTGCCTAACCTGAATATTAGCAAGATTCTAGTCATTAAGAGTCCCACGCAAACCCAGACATATTTCTATCGATTTGTTTTTTAAAATGACTCATCAATGCCTATAACACCCCTCAATATCGTAAGTTTGTTTATGGCCAAGAACCCACCTATTTGCTATACCTGGCATAGATCCTTGTACTTGGTAGGTATTCAATGAATGCCAGATGGGTGAAGGTGACCTGTGAGCCTGGGGAAGGCTGAAATGACTCAGAGCACCCTGCACACATACCTGTCTTCATGCCAAATGGGAACATCTCAGGCTTTCCTCCCAGGGTCCCTCTTTGAAGCATGGCACACATTGTTCCTGATAACTTCAGGCTACTCCACTATGCACCCCCTTTTATTATTGCCTTATGTATATTTGCTTGTTCAGGTGTGCATGTTCAGTCTTCCCAGCTAGATCATGAGCTGCCTTGAGGTTGAGAACAATGTTCTCTCAGATCTCTGTAGTCTCCAGGCCTAGCACAGAGCCAGGCCCAGCCACACCATTTACCCATGGCGTGGGTAAATGATCCATGCCATGCCAGCCACAGAGGAGCACTGTTTAGATTCCCCTTCAAGAGAACCTTCTGCAGGTGCCTGGTTGACTGACAGCCTCTCGGTGCTGTCCTGTTGACTCCACCATGCCATTCCTGCCAGGGCCACATGTACCCCAGGCCACTCCTGGTCAGCAGCTGAATACAATGGTGGCATAGGAGCCAGGCCTCTCCCTTTCTCCCCATGTAGCCTTCTCTCATCAGTCTGGCAGCCTTTCTCAGAGCTGCCCTGTGGTCTGAGGCTCCTCTGACCTAATCCTTCCTTTGCTCTCTCCTTTCACAGGACTCAGACCTGTAGCATGGTCCAAGGCCAGCCTAATTCTGCTCCATTTCCTTTCACCCTTCATAAACACCTCCCCCAATAAATCTTTTACATATCTACTCCTGTTTCAGTATCTTCTTCTAGGAGGACTCACACTGTTGAATAGGTGAAGTGCCTGAGATCCAATAACAACCAGGGATTTCCAAGCTCCCTGTCTTGCACATGAAAAAAATTCTATCGATCTCCTAGTTTACAGCTAAATATGTGGTGTGTAACTCTTATCCTAAAACAAACTAAATCAACTTTTCCACATCAAACTAGGACATTCTATTTTGAAGTCACATGTTGCAGTGGAATGAACTGAGGGCGTTAGGGAACCTATACAGTGATACCTGGCCTTGTGACCTTAAGCAAATCACTTCTTATGTTCCCTCACTTTCTTTATTCTTAAAGTAAGGCTACTAGGATCTTCCTTCCTCCTTCATGGAGATGTTGGATATATTTATGTTTTTTAGAAGTACTCTAAACTGCCCTAAGACAGGGTTTGCAAACTTTTCTGAAAAGAACAAAATAGCAAATATTTTAGGCTATATGGGTCATACAGTCTCTTTTACAACTAATCAACTGTGCCATGTAGCACAAAAGCTGCCAATATAAACAAAGACTACAGCAAAATTCTATTCAAATAAAAACTTGTGGTGGGCTGGACTTGGTCCCAGGGCTGTAATTTACTGACCCTTGCCCTAGAGTCATGGACGCTTATGGTTGGAAAAGATAACAGGCATCACAGGGTTTTAGGTAACTAGATCCTTCCTCTGACATTCATCATAGACCTGACTAATCCATCAGGAAGCGCCTTCCTGCAGAGTTCAGAAGCAGCCTCAGCATCCTTCTTAACACAGGGTGACCAATCAAGCTAAGATGACATGTGTAGTGATGTCTATCATTTCCTCTTGATTTGTTCACATCCCACACCCCCCAACTGAGAAAACTGAGACCAATTATTCAGTAATAATGAATATAAAAGTGTTTTGAAAAGTATAAAGTATTCCTTCAATGTAAAACATTCTTATCTGGAGCAAAAAAAATCCCAGCCATTTAAAATACAATTTAAGTAATAATAAGTTAAATTATTTCATACACAATGATCATGGTTATTTTTTTGCAGCAAGAACAACTAGGCCCAAAGTGCTGTTTTCCCATCTCCTGGAAAGTAGGGATGCATTCTTTTAGTATGTACAGATAAATGTCTGCCTTGTTTCTCCACTGGCAGAAAATGAGCTGAGCTTTCTGGCCTTAGGTTGCAGTTCAGGAGGCAAGGTTTAAATTTCCTCCACTGCAAGACACAGGTGCTGAGAGAGAGTTGCAAGCTATCTTAGATTCCCTCCAAGCAAGTGTCTGTATTCAAAGCAAAGCCCATCATAACTGGGAAACACCGTGTTCCCCTGGCCTCTCTTCTCCTTGAAGCTGTTTGTTTTTGTGTTTTGGGAAGGCAACCTTGACATTTCCTCTCTCTATTCAAACTTGTTGATCAGAAAGATCAAAAAGCCTTCTGTAAAATATGCAAGTACTAAGGACTAAAAACATCCTTTTCTGCCCCTAAGAATCCAAAGACCCTTATGAATATTAAATAGATGAATCTTTGCCATTTGGAAGTCAACCACCCCTTTTGGAATCAGATGACAGCCATGGAGCTCTCGGCAGGAAAAATGCATGTGCGATAGTCACCGCAAGTTCTCCAGCCTCCAGGATCACCTCTTTGTTTATATCCAAACAACAATAATCCCAGACCAGTTAGTATCACAGTCATTTCCACAGAATGCATATAGCCTTCTCATTAAGCAGAACACTCAACATTCTAGTTTGAAGCACATGCCTTAGGATGACTTTGCCTGGTCAGGGCCGGCCTGGTGATCCCATGTGCCAGCCTCACTCCCCAGCAAGAAAGTGGCCCCAGGGGTCTCCGCCAGAATGGGGTGGATGGCACCCCAACCTGGATTTCAGCTTCTGGTCTAGAATGCAGGATGTGCTGCCTTTTCACAATGTGACACTATCCAGATTCCCTCACCACACACACAAGCACAAATTTGCCCACAATTCCAAAATCCCAGAGGAGAGCCCAGCACTGGATAAGCCCCTCTAATGGCCTTGCCTGGGAGCTGCTGGTTCCTGGAGGGAAGAGTCCTGAGGGTGGGGACCATTGAGTCAAGTCCTGGAAAGCCAGGGACTGGGGTTCAAAACTTCTGGGTACTGAGTACCTAGTCTGGGTGTGACCACCGTGTCTGGGTGTGACCACCACCACCTTTCCATTCCACAATGCCACCCTCCTACCTATGCCAGCCAGTCAGCCAGCCTGATTCCACTACCAGGATGTTTACATGGGGAAGCAAAGGGGAAAGAATATTCTGGGGACTCATGGGTTTGTGGGAGTCTGAGTGGGATCCCCTGGCACTGTGATCTGCTACACAGCAGTTCACAGTCCCCTTTCCATAAGTAAAGCCCTCTCTGACCTCTCCATATAAAATGTCAGCTTCCCCTCGACTCCCCACCACCACCCAGCATCTCTGTCCCTGCTACCTGCCTTCATTTTCCTCCATTACATGAATCATCATAAAACATTGCAGAGCTCATTGTCTATCAACTATCCCCCTCCACTAGGGTGTCAGCTTCTTAATGGCAAGCATGTTTTGTTTTGCTCGCTGCGGTGTTCCCTTCATCTAGAAGAATGCCTGGCACAATAAATATTTATTAAATCGATATAATGAATAAACAAAGGAATCACAAGTAGCCTTGTTTCTAGAGCCCAGCTCAGCCCCACCTCCCCTGGGAGCCTCCCCTGACTGCTCTGAGGATCACACCATTTTTCCCATGGTGCTCATTTATTTTGTCAACAAGCTTGTATTGAGCACCCACTATGTGCCAGATCCCAAGCTAGGCCCTGAGTTTACAGGACAGACCAAGCAAACCCCTTGCCCAAATAGCTTGCAATGTAGTTTAGCACATAAAAGTCATCTAGTTTGGGTTTCCAATTGCTTCCTGATCTTCCAGAGATCAAGGAGATGCTAAAGGAGGGAGAAGACTGACATTGCCTGAGCACCCACTATGTTCTCAGCATGTGATATGTGCTTTTCTGGAACCAGGTGGGTTTTGCCCCTGAAAAGAAGGTCATCGTTGTGGAGAGTGTGGGAGGGGAAGAAGTAGGACTTGCAGAGCACAACAATTAGAACACAGAGGCTGCAGGGAAGTGTGAGCCATTTCCCACTGGAAATAGAAAAGGAGGCTCAGAAGAGACATGGGCAAGGATCACTAGGCCTGGTGTAAAGAAGCCCAGTTGCACCCTGTGTTGGGGTGATCAGACCCAACACCAGGCCATGGGGGCTATGAAGTCCAGCAGAGCCAAAGAAATGAGAAAAGACAAGAAAGTGGGACCAGGGGGCCAACACTAGTATGGAAGCTGCAAAGACCCCGAGCTCTGGGAGCCCATGCTATTTATTGGTGATCAAACAGAGAAACAGGTGGTGAGGTTGTGAGGGTTGAGAGAAAGTGATGCATCAAGCGACTGAGCTGCAGCTGTGATGGTTTAGCATTTTCTTTGAAGCATATGGAACGTGTTCTGCTACTTGAGATAGTAAGAGTGCTAGAAGCAAGGAGTCAGCAAGTCTAGACACATTCCAGAGGCCACGAGGGGTTTTATGCCCTGAGCCCTGGATTCCATCCAAGCCATGAGGGGTTTTATGCCCTGGGCTTAGATTATAGTGCAGCAGGGCAGACTTCCACCCTTTAGCACAGAGCTTGGTGTTCCAAAGGCCACGAGGGGTTTTAGACCCTGGACCCCGGACATGTTCCAAGACTCTTTTACATTATGTCAGACACGCAAGCCCTGCCTCAGCTTCTCTCCCAACATTCAGCTTTTCTCCCAACACCGTGACCCCTCAGGCATGCCACTCTCGTTCTCTAAGCTGTTTCCATTTCAGTAAAGGGCAATTGCTAGCCTCAGCAACCTCTAAGGCTCACTACATAAAGACATCTATGATCTTTTCTAATCAACACAGCATCTTCCTCCTTTACTTCCTGTGGACCCTGTCCTGATACCTCAGTTTAGAAAATGACTTATGACAGTTAATGTGATCTTTCCACAAAGGAGGGTCCATTACACCTGACCTTTGATTTAGGCAAAATAGTTTGGGGGATAAAGGAGCATGAAAGAGCTCAGGGGTTTTCACTGTTCTGTTCTTTCCAATTAACCTTAGAGCCTTCTCTCCTGCTCTGCCCTCTCCTGGGACCTCCCCATCCTGGAGCCCAGCCATAAGCTGTCTTGGTTCTTCAGTTGCTCAAGTGACTCACCTGATTGGCTGTGAGGTCCAAAGCCCACTAGGCCTTCCACAGGGCTGAAGCCAAGAAGACGGCCCCTTGAGTAACTTCTCCCTCATCATGCTGGTTCCCATCCCTGAAGAAGATGGGCCAAGACAGGCGAAAGAGGGCATGAGCTGAAGACACGCACTGAGCAGTTGCCTCTCATCTTGCTGTGAGTGGCTAGGCAGAGGTTAAGGTTTCCTGTCCCCACCCCCTCCCATTGCCCAATTGTCCACAAGGAAAACCACATAGCAAGTACTGGGTGGCTTTTGGAACCACAAACAGTCCGGATCAATTTGTTCTAAAGGCTCATTGAGCAACCACATTGCCCTCTTCCCTCTTGCCTGTCTGGCCATGAGGCTCCCTGCTGAGCAATTGCCTGCCCAGACAGGCAAGAATGCCAGCTCCTCAATTATAAGGGTCTGGATGCATAAAGCATAGCTCGACTAATTGACCACATCCCACTTGCAATCACGACAAGACAACATGAATAGAATCATAGTTTCCTCACTAATCATTTCAAGGTCTTTCTAAACACAATCTTTCTTCCAAATGTGTTATCTCACCACCAGCCTGAGATAGGTTGCTAGTGATAATAATTAACTGATGGATGACAGGAAGCTAAAAACTATTCTTTAAACAAAAGAATATGATAGTATCATTTTAATAGCTCTGCTTAGCATTTTGATAAACAAACAACATTTTTTGTTTGTGGATTCTGTAAAGATGTCTAAATCAATAATCTCAAAAAGACTTACATATTCTGTAACCAAGATATCAGAAAGTTAAAATCAAACAATTCAATTACGAATGTTTATTGAGTATCCACCATTCACAAGGCACTGGGCTGTGGGTTGATACACAGATGTATAAAGCTCAATCCTTGACTTGGAGATGGTGAGTTGGTCACTCATCAGGGTTTGAGGACAGAAAAGTTTTGCAACCTACATAAAAATAAAGGAGTGACCTGGGCATGGTGGCTCATATCTGTAATCCCAGCACTTTGGGAGGCCAAGGCAGGAGGATTGCTTGAGGCCAGGAGTTTGAAACCAGCCTGGGCAACATAGCAAGACCTCATTCCTAAAGAAAAGACAAATTAGCCAGGCATGGTGGCATGCACTTGTAGTCCCAGCTACTCAGAAGGTAGAAAGATCACTTAAGCCCAGGCATTTGAGGCTGCAGTGACACATGATGGCACCACTGCACTCCAGCCTGGGTGAAAGAGTAAGACCCTGTCTCAAAAAAATAAAATAAGGCCGGGCACAGGGCTCACACCTGTAATCCCAGCACTTTGGGAGGCTGAGGCAGGCAAATCACTTGAGGCCAGGAATTCAAGACCAGCCTGGCCAACATGTTGAAACCTCATCTCTACCAAAAAATACAAAAAAGTAGCTGTCCGTGGTGGTGAGCATCTGTAGTCCCAGCTACTTGGGAGGCTGAGGCACAAGAATTGCTTGAACCGGGAGGCAGAGGTTACAGTGAGCTGAGATTGTGCCTCTGCACTCCAGCCAGAGTGACAGAATGAGACTGTGTCTCAAAAATAAATAAATAAAATAAAATAAAAAATAAGGGAGTGGAAA
Organism: Homo sapiens; assembly: GCF_000001405.40. Classification (NCBI taxonomy): domain Eukaryota; kingdom Metazoa; phylum Chordata; class Mammalia; order Primates; family Hominidae; genus Homo; species Homo sapiens. The sequence goes on from NC_000010.11 coordinate 112,229,080, forward strand.
CTCAGCCAGATATGAACTTCCACTGAAATAAATATCTGAAATATGTAACTTGCTGGATTAGGCATATTATTGTGAACAGGACCCTCCCAAGTTCTAATTTGACAGTTGACAATTTGGCATGGAGCATGGAGAGATACAGGACAGACATGAATGATGCTAGATTTGATAAAATGTCATGCCATCACAAAATAGTTTGGAGAGTATTCAGCCGCAAGTAACAGAAAATGCACAAATAATGGCGTAACCAAGTATGAGACATTTTTCTTACTCATCAAGAATTCCAGAGTTAGACTGCTCATAGCTGGAGAAGTTGCCATGAAAATAATCAATAATTTCTACTATTTTCTTTCTATATTGTCCTCTGCTTGTAGATTTTGTCCTCATGTTTTCAAAATGGCTGCAGCATTCCAGGTGTCATGTCCACATTGCAATAGGAAAAATGAGAGAAATACAAAGGACAAAAGTCTTCTCTTTTGTAAATGACTGCCTTTTTATTTGCAAAAAGAAGCCTTTCTCAGAAATCTACTTTCATCTCATTGACCAGAACAAATCACATGGCCACTCCCAACTGCAAAGGAACTGGGTATTTTTTACTTTGCAGGCTCCATAGTAAAGGAAGGCAAGGGAGAAGGCGATTTAAATAGGTTTCACTGGACCAATAGAATTTGCCATGTATTTATCACATAATAATCACGCGGTATATGAAATTTACTTGATTTTACATTATAAAAAGCTATTTTTCTGCCCCACTGAATGTACAACTTGGCTCTACTTGCCTTTTTTAAATTAGGTTTTTAGATATAATTATGTTTTTAAGAATATATTTTTAAGGAATAGTTGGGTAAAAATTTTGTAGTGATTATCTCTCAGTGGTGGAATTATACTTTTTTTAATTTATTTCTCTGTGCTATCTAGTTTTGTTCTTTTGTTTTTTTTTAATTTGCCATAACAAAAGTGCATTGTTGTATAATAAGAAAGCAAAAAAAAAATTTCACAAGAACGTTCATGACTCATTATGGTATATTGTCAAATGGAAAAGCAGTGTATACAATGCATTCCCAATTTTCAGAGAGTAGCAAAAGCCTAGAGCGTTGCCTCTGAATGCTGGGAATATATTAATAGATTGCTTTCATTTTCTTTCTCTGCTTTTTGGTATTTTCCAAATTGATCACAGCAAAAAATATTAAAAACAAATAACAATCGTGGCCTATGTAGCTTTCCACCTGGACTTGGAGGAAATGAAGTCTTCCAAGCATAAACTGAAAAACAGAATTTGGGGAATAAAAATCACACCAAAAAAAGAGAGAGAGAAGAAAGAAAGAGATAAAGAAAAAGAGGAAAGAAAGAAAGAGAGAGGGAGGGAGGGAAGGATGGAGGGAGGGAGGAAAAGGAAGGAAGAAAGGAAGAAAAAGAAAAGAAAGAGAGGGAGAAAAGAAAGAAAGAAAAAAGAAAGAGAAAGAAAGAAAGAAAAAGGAAAAGAAAAGAAAAGAAAGAAAGAGGAAGGGAGGGAAAGAAGGAGGGAAGGAAGGAGGAAGGAAGGAAGAAAGAAAAAAAGAAAGAAGAGAGAAAGAAAGAAAGAAAAAAGAAATTCTACTGAACAGGCCTTGTTTGTTAAGACCAAAAGGAAAACAATAAAATGCTTCCCTCCTTGTTTCCTTTCTCTAAAAGCAGTTTCTGCTGAGAAACATTAAACCCCCTTAACATTCTTCAGGGGATTCTCAAGTCCAAGGCTAAGAGCCGGATAGAAAGAGGGTGTTTGTTCCTTTCTGGTGAGTCAGCTGTGAAACATGGCCCATTGTTTCAACAAATATGGCCACCAGAAGCAGTCCTCTCATGGCCTCTTCTCTTTCCAGGAGGCTGAGAGGCTGGGGAGCAAGAAGATGCCTCCTTTGCCTTTCAGACACACCATTCCACACAGAAATTCAGCAGTCATTTCATTTCTCTTATTTATTTTTCTCTTTCCAATAAACACAGCTTTCTCCCAAAAAGCAAGAGTCCATCTACAATTCTCCTGAATTTGCAGAGCTAAAGGCCATCATTTCAAAGGCCTAGAAAATGCACGTCTAGGTAAAGGGTTCTCCTACTGGATCAATTTCAAAAGCAGACAGTCCATTCATTAGGCATTCATTCATTCATTCACTCATTCATCCATCCATCCACTCAGCAACAGTGCCTGGCTTGAGGATACAGTGAGAACAAGGCAAAGTAAACACGGCCTTCGGGAAGCTTATTTGGGGAGGCAGGGTGATAGGGAAAGACAGAGAATAAGAAAAAAGGAAGCACATCAATAAATAATTTTAGGAAGTGAGAGTGTGATTTAAAGGATATAAAGCAGGGTAAGGTTCTAGAGAGCCACAAAGGAGTAGGCGGGTGGTCAGGAAAGAGTCTTTGAGAAGGTGACATTTGAATTGAGACTTGAACGATGTGAAGGAGGGAGCCATGAGAAGTTCCGGCAGGGCACAGGCAGGCAACAGCAGAGTTCCAGATGGGGCAAGCGACAGGAGGTGAGCCCAGAAAGGCAGCACAAAAGCACAGGGGCTTCGAGGCTGCAGGAAGGAGCGTAGATTTAAGAACAAGTGGCTATCTACAGCGTAGTGGGGATCAAAAGCCAAAGGTTGCAAGCAGCTATGCACTCACGCACCAGCACCTGTTTTCCAGTTGTGTCAGAGAAGATTAAGGATGACAGTAAAAAGTTTCTGCTTTCTCACAGCTTCTAGTCTAGACCAGGAGACAAAAATAATGCCTAATGCAATTATGGAACAATTCGGGGCTAAGTCATGTGACTCTAATTTATGTAAACACATTTGGAGAAGGTGAAATCAGTGAGAGCAGAAGCAGTCAGAGGATTGCATGGGGAGAGAGTGGGCTTGACCTAGAGGATAGGAAGTATTACATCAAGGATGGCAAAGGTTAGGCTGCACGCACCCACTCCTCCTTCCATGGCAAATACCTTTAACCATTCACAGCTCTCTTTCCCACTAACCTGGGCCCCGAAAACCTTCTCAAACTAGCATTCCAGGCAGATGCCCACCCCCTCCCCGCCCCGGCAGTTAATCAGAGTTAGCATAGGAAGAAAAAATGCAGCCTAAGCCAGACATAGTGAGTCAGGGAAATTGGGGAGAGAAAGTGCTTCCCAAATTGAGAGGCCTAAAGATCAAGTGGGAGTTATCTAACTGAAATGGCAGAGAGTGGTTCCTCACAGAATAGCTTGTGTGAAGGGCTGGAGGTAGGAAGGCCTGGGGCAAGTAATTCAATGTGGCTGGGGTTACAAGGGCAGGGGCAGAAGGGGCTGGAGAAACATGATCACAGAGGGCAGTGGAAGCAATGCAAAGAGTTTGAACTTCATGTTACGGAGATAGAGAAGCTTTGAAGGGCTTAAGCAGGAGAGAGGAGCGACCCTGGTTTCATTCCCAACATCACTCTAGCTTCCCTGCCAACCAGGGAGCACATGAATTAGGAGACTGGTGCAGGAATCCAGGGCCTGGACTCGAGGGTGTCAGAGGGAATGGAGATAAGTAGGTGGCCTGAAGCTATTTAGGAGTTGAAATGGCTCAAAATTAGTGATTAGCTCTCAGGGTAGAGAAGAGAGTAAAGAATGAAGTCCAGCCCCTCAAGTGAGTCCACGGATACCTGCAATGACAAGGGAAAAATGAGAACTGACAAGCCCTACTGGTCCGTGCTTTCAGATCTAACACACCTGCAGGAAGCCAGCAGTGCCTACAGCTTCACAAGACAACGGCGTTCCCACTCTGCTGGGAGCTTGACATGCCAGGCATCCAGCCATTTCTCACTTCTGCTTTAGGTCTCAGGCAAACTATGCAAAACCCTTTAAGTCCAGGGCATCTCGTTTTTCATGGCAAAGAGCAGTGACTCAACCTTTGAAAGCCACTTGACATTTTAATTTGCCAGTGCCCCACCTTGGCAGAGGATAATCCAAAGGTTCAGAGTGGCTGAGGGCGTTATTCAAGGTCACATAGCAAGCTGGAGGTGAGTAGAGACTTAGAATCAAACATTCCCAATTTGTTACACTACTTGCTGCCCAGGTTCTGAATAAATCAAGCACCTTAAGCTATGTCACTGCCCTCCTTAGCCTATGTAAGCAATGGTGCCAAGAGTAGGAGAAAATGTGGTAGCCCCCATTCTCAGTGTTGTGTCAGTTCCTGTATAAGTCAATCCCTTCCTCTTAATAAAAGAATCTCTGGGTTTGTCTCTGGAGCAATGCATGGGTGGGCAGAAATCCACATCTCTATACATCCCAGTTCCTCCCAGACTCTATGTCTATTCTTGACTAGCTTTGAATAACTTGAAGAAGGTGGAGTGGGGCGTGTTCTGATTCTGAAACATGACATTTGAATAGCACCTCTGTCCTGGGAGTGAGCCATAAAATGAGGTAGCACCTGGATCTCATCTTTCATCCTGGTTCCCCTCAGCAGGCACCTGAGCCCCTCCTGTGTGCCAGGCACATGTCAGCAATGCACGTCTGTTATCTAAACGCAATTTTGCTCAGGCCTCCGATAAGCACTTTATCTGAAAGAGGAAGAAAAGGTTTTTTAATGCTTGCCTTCTCCTGAACTCAACCCTGCTAAGTTGATCTCATGTGTGGTATGCAAATCCAGGGGCACTGAATTTCTGTGAGAAAGTGAGGGATGACAGCTGGGTGCGGTGGCTCACGCCTGTAATCCCAGCACTTTGGGAGGCCAAGGCAGGTGGATCACCTGAAGTCAGGAGTTCGAAACCAGCCTGGCCAATATGGTGAAACCCCATCTCTACTAAAAATACAAAAATTAGCCTGGCGTGGTGGCAGGCACCTGTAATCCCAGGTACTCAGGAGGCTGAGGCAGGAGAATCGCTTGAACCAGGAGGCAGAGATTGTAGTGAGCTAAGATCACGCCACTGCACTCCAGCCTGGGTGACAGAGTGAGACTCCGTCTCAAAAAAAAAAAAAAAAAAAGAAAAGAAAAGAAAGAAAGAAAGAAAGTGAGTGATGAGACATCTAGACACCTGGGGGGTGGGAAAGTGGGGAGTGGGACAGGGAAGCTGAAGCCTCAGAGGCTGGGAAGGCCCCAAATAGGAAATCCCCACTGTGGGTGGCCCCAAAAGATGGACAGCGAATATGATGAGATGGACAATATAGGCCCTCCTCCTCCCCCACATCTGCGTTCATTGATTCAACATTTATTCAACAAACAGTAAATAAACACCTTCTGAAGTGTTCTGGGTACTGGGACTATAACAGTAAACTCAACAGACCAAAATCTGTTCTCCTGTAGTTAATATTGTAGTGGCGGAGACAGATGTTAACAAGGATATCAAATGTTAGGTAGTGAGACAGGATGGAGTGATAGCCTGAGTCAGGAAAGGCAGCCCACAGAGTGGGTGGTATGTGAGAGGGGAATAGGAGCGCTGTCAGGGGAGGCCAGGGAAGGTGTCAGGGAGAAGGTGAGTTGTTTTTTTGTGTGTGTTTGGCTGGGGGGTTGTTTCTTTGTTTTTTGAGACAGTCTCACTCCATCACCCAGGCTAGAGTGCAGTGGTGCCATCTCAGCTCAATGCAACCTCCCCCTCCCAGGTTCAGATGATGATTCTCGTGCCCCCGCCTCCCTTGTAGCTGGGACTACTACAGGTGTGCGCCACCACACCCAGCTAATTTTTTGTTGCATTTTTAGTAGAGACGGGGTTTCTCCATGTTGGCCAGGCTGGCCTCGAATGTGCCTGGCCTCAAGTAATCCGTCTGCCTCGGGAGAAGGTGAGTTTTTATTAAGCACTGAGGGAAATGAGGGAGCTAGTACTGCAGATGCCTGGGGGAAGAGCCTTCCAGGCAGGGAAACAAAAAAAGCACAGTTCCTGGGATGGGAGCGTGCTTGGAGTATTAGAGAGAGAAACATCAAATCCACCGGTCAGGAGCAGAGTGGGCGGTGAGAGCAGGAGGGGCTGAGGTCAGAGTGGTGGCCAGCCAAAGAACAAAACTGATAAGCATTTGATTTTTTGTGTGTTGAGGGTAGAACAGGGTCAATCCATAGGGAAAAAGGGGCCAGTGGACTTCGAGGGGACATGTACATTACATCTGGTCTCTCTCATAACACTACAAATAAGGCAAGCGGGGCTCAGGAGGGGAAGAGGAATTGTCCAAGATCACAAGGTTAGGGTGGTAGAAGCTGGAGTCGATCCTGCAACTGATAGATTAAGCTTCTGCTCATCCCACTACAGTCAGCTAAAAAGTGGGCAGTTGGGAAGGAGAAATAGAGTCAGACAAAGAAGTGTGTCTAGATAACAGATGTGCAGCGCTGATGCCGTGCCTGGCACACAGTAGGTACTCGGGTGCCTGCGGAGGGGAACCAAGATGAAAGATGAGATCCAGCTGCTACCTCACCCCACACTCGCTCCCAGGAGGGAGGTGCTGTACACATGTTGTGTTTTCAGAATCTGAACATGCCAGATTCCACCTTGTTTGAGTTATTCAAAGCTACTCAAGGACAGGAGGAGAAGTAGCGTCAGGAGGATTGGGGATGTTTACAGATGCGGATCCCTGCACGCTCATCTATCTCTCTAGGGCCAAAGCCCAAGGAATAGCCCAACCCCCACATAATCGTAGGATCTGAGAGTGGATCACATATCCCTCTTTGCATGGGACAGGCCCAGAGTGCTCCTATTGTCTTGCAGAATTATTTAAGACCCTCTTTCATCTTGTAACACAACCCTGGTTTGGATGACAAATTATATACTCACCCTACTGGGCCTCAGTTTATAGATAGAGGCCCTGTGTTACAAGGTCTGTGATATACTTCAAGATATTTCAGCTTAGATCGTAGGATGTTTATGTGTTTGTTTTAACCTATGCCCTAGGGTAAAACAAGGAGTAGTAACTCACCTAGATGTGATTAGTTAACATTTGAAGTACACTCATCAGGAATACACACTTCAGGCACTGGTTAGCATTTGAAATGATCTAATAAAAAATAGAGGTTACAACCAGCCCTTCGGTCAGAGACTTTATAAACAGTTATGATGAATGTTAGAAAGAATTTTTCCTTGGTGGAATGAAATGATGAACACATGCAGATTGCTAGACATGTTCAGGCACTCCTACTCTTGCATTAACAGAATGTGAGAACATAGCCTAATTCTGCAAGACAACAGGAGCTCACTGGGCCTGTCCCATGCAATAGCCTGTACTCTCTGGAAAGCCACCCTGGGCTTATTAAGACTCGTTCACGGGAAGGTTTTATTGTCTGATTCCGGATAGGTTATCTGATTCCTACTGCTAAAATATTGTTACATTCATCTAAAGAGAAGCTTTTATGCAAGATGCTAAGGGAAGACCTCAAAGGATAGAGAGCTGAGTCTTCATCAAGCTTACATAATTATATGTTTGCATGTCTTTTTGCTAATAAGCAAAGGCACATGTGGTGGAATTCCAACTGAGACTTGTTTTCTCTGTGATCTTACCTGTAGATCCCGCCCGTATCTACTGAAGAACTAAAGAACTGTGAACAATCCAATTGTCTTGGCTCAGCTGACAACACCTGGCAAGGTGGCAAGGTCCCAGAGGAGAAGGAGTCACAGGCTGTGTCATACACACCAAAGCAAAGAAGATCTTGGGCAGCTGTACAAGTGTCCCTCAGGGAGAGAGCCCTGTGTACCCAGAGGGCATGGAAGCTTCAAGGAGAATTCTTGAGCCAGTGGCTGTGAAATGGGACAACCCAGCTGCATCCTGCCTGATGGTCCTCCCAAACCTGCAACTGCTGGGAGTGGGGTTATCTCAGAGGCTATCAGTGTGCGTACATTATGACCCTGGAGACACATACAGTCTTAAGCAAAAAAGGCTGGGAAGCACTGAATTGAGCATGGTAGGGTTCAAAATAGGAAGTTAACTTATTTATACCTCTTTTTATTCTTTTATTCTTTTTAATTTTTGTGGGTACATATTAAGTGTATATATTTATGGAATTCATGAAATATTTTGATATAGGCATATATAATAGGTAATAATCCCATCAGGGTAAATCACATCACCTCATTTATCCTTTCTTTTTTGTTACAAATAATCCAATTATACTCTTCTAGTTATTTTTTAAATGTACAATAAATTATTGTTGACTATGGTCACCCTGTTGTGTTATCAAACACTAGATATTATTTATTCTATCTAACTACATTTTCATACCCATTAACATCCCTACTTCCCCCCAACACACACACACCCTTTCCTGCCTCTGGTAACCATCATTCTACTCTTTATCTTCATGAGTCCAATTGTTTTAATTTTTGTTAGCTTCCACAAACAAGTGAGAACATGCAATGTTTATCTTTCTGCACCTGGCTTATTTCACTTAACATAATAAACACCAGTTCCATCCATGTTGTTGCAAATGACAGGATCTCATTCTTTTTAATGGCTGAATAGTACTCCACTGTGTATATGTACCACATTTTCTTTATCCATTCATATGTTGACGGACACTTAAGTTACTTCCAAATCTTGACTTTTGTGAATAGTGCTACAATAAACATGGGAGTGCAGATATCTCTTCAACATACTAATTTCCTTTCTTTTGGGTTTATACCTAGCAGTGGGATTGCTGGATCATTTGGTAGTTCCAATTTTAGTTTTTTTTTTAGGAACTTCCAAACTCTTCTCCATAGTAGTTGTCCTAGTTTACATTCACACCAACAGTGTACAAGGATTCTCTTTCCTCCACATCCTCACCAGAATTTCTTACTGCCTGTCTTTTGGAAAAAGCCATTATAACTGGGGTAAGATGACATTTCATTATAGTTTTGGTTTGCATTTCTGTCATGATCAATGATGCTGAGCATCTTTTCATGAACCTGTTTATTGTTGATATGTCTTCTTTTGAGAAATGTCTATTCAGATCTTTTGCGTATTTTTTAATCAGATTATTAGATTTTTTTCCTGTTGTGTTGTTTGAGCTCCTTATATATTCTGGTTATTAATCTCTTGTCAGATTGATAGCTTGCAAATGTCTTCTCCCATTCTGTGGATTGTCTCTTTACCTTGTTCACTGTTTCATTTGCTGTGCAAAAGCTTTTTAACTTGATGTGATCCCATTTGTCCATTTTTGCTTTGCTTGTCTATGCTTGAGGGACATTACTCAAGAAATCTTTGCCCAGTCCAATGTCCTGGAAAGTGTCTCTAGTGTTTGCTTTTAGTAGTTTCATAGCTTGATGCATTCAATTTAAGCCTTTAATCCATTTTCTTTGATTTTTGTATATGGTGAGAGAGAGGGGTCTAGTTTCATCCTTCTGCACATGGATACCCAGTTTTTCTAGTAACATTTATTGATGAGACTGTCCTTTCTCCAATGTATGTTTTTGGCATCTTTGTTGAAAATGAGTTTACTGTAGATGCATGGATTTATTTCTGGATTCTCTGTTCTATTCCATTGGTCTGTGTGTCTGTTTTTATGCCAGTACCATGCTGTTTTGGTTACTATAGCTCTGTAGTATAATTTGAAAGTCAGATAATGTGATTCCTCCAGTTTTGTTCCTTTTGATCAGGATAGCTTTAGTTATTCTGGGTCTTTTGTGGTTCCATATAAATTTCAGGGTTGTTTTTCTATTTCTGTGAAGAATTTCATTAGTATTTTGATAGGGATTGCATTGAACCTGTAGATGTTTTGGGTAGTATAGACATTTTAACAATATCGATTCCTCCAATCCATAAACATCCTCAAGATATAAGTAGTTTACACACCACAATTACAGTGTGATAATATTGTGCTTTTCTGTGTAGGTACTATTACCAGTGAGTTTTTTACTTCAGATGATTTCTTATTGCTCATTAATATCTTTCTTCTTTCAGATTGAAGAACTCTCTTTAGCATTTCTTGTAGGACAGGTCTGGTGTTGAAATCCCTCAGCTTTTGTTCGTCTTGGAAAGTCTGTATTTCTCCTTCATGTCTGAAGGATTCTTTTGTTGGAACAAAGTAAAAGTTTATCCTAAAGATAAAAGTTTTCTAGAATACAAGTTTTTCTCATTCAGCACTTTAAATATGTCATGCCACTCTCTCCTGGCCCATAAGGTTTTCACTGAGAAGTCTGCTGCCAGATATATTGGAGCTCCATTATATGTTATTTGTATCTTTTCTCTTGCTGCTTTTAGGGTCCCTTTTTATCCTTGTCCTTTGGGAGTTTAATTATTAAATGTCTTGAGGTAGTCTTATTTGGGTTAAATCTCCTTGGTATTCTACAATTTTCTTGTACTTGAATATTGATATTTTCCCCTAGGTTTGGGATGTTCTCTGTTATTGTCACAGGATCCTTAGGGTGTCACTTTTCCAGCTCAAAACCTCTGTGGTTGGTGGTGCTTTTGCCTGAGTTTTGCTCGGGCCCACTGGGCTCATTCCACCCACTCAGCCCAGCAGGCTGTGCTTGGGTCACACTATCAGCCCAGATCCCACACCTGCCAAGGGCAAGCCAAGCATGGAGCGGTGAGGAGTGTGTGAGTGAGTGCGGAGTTTGGCCACTGTGCACAGACAGGCATGCCAGCTGTGGCAGGGTAGGTAGCTCCAGGAGCCAGCACAGGCACTGGCTCCCTCCAAGGCTGCGGCTGGACCAGGCGTACCACAAGCAGCTTCCAATGTGGGCACTGGGAAATGTGGTGGCACTCAGAAGCTTGGAGATGCCAAGAACTGCAGAGCCCCAAAGAGGGTGTCACAGCCCTGGCTCGAGGAGCTCCTAAGTCTAGGCTCCCCAAAGGGCTACACCTCTTCTGTCCTCTCTTCTCTCCTCCTTGTTGACCCCAACATGGCAAGCAGGGGGCATGTATTTGACGTGTTTGTGTTACAGCTCTTTCAGTCCTGCCATCCAGTAGGTCCCAAGTTCTTATCCTGCATCCAGGGAGAATGGAGTACATAGACAACTGGAGGGTGAGCAAGGTGGAGAGGAGCTTCATTGAGTGACAGAACAGCTCTCAGGAGACCCAAAATGGGTAGCTCCTTTCCACAGCCAGGTCATCCAGAGGAGTGTCCAGCTCTCAGCGGAGAGGAGATCCAGAGTGTGTAGCTCCTACCCACAGGCAGATCATCCCAATGAGTGTCTAGCTCTCAGCAGAGAGGAGACCAGGAGTGGGTAGCACATTTCCACAGGCAGGCTGTCCCTACAAGCTGAGGAGATCCAACATAGGTAGCTCCTTTCCACAGTGGGTAGTCAGCCATCTGTGTGAGTCTGGCTGAGTCTTGGGTTTTTATGGGCTCAGAAGGGAGAAAGTGCATGCTGATTGGTCCATGGGCAGCCATGAATAGGCCTGGAAAAAGCATTGTAAGTTCTCACTCTGGGCCACGGACTCCATCTGGAGCTGGCAGCCCAGACCCCAGGCTTCAGGTGGTCCCTGGCTTGAAGGTGGAGTTTCACCAGGGACCCGCCCCTTTCTGCCCAGGAGCCTGTCTGCCTCCTGCCGCCATCAACATTCCATCCACAGGGCCCAGGCTGTTTGTGTCAAGGGGTTCCTGCAGGCCCACGCCAAGCTGCCTGCAGCACCCCCCACCAGCCTCCTTCCCATGTTCATCGCCACCCAGAGTCCAGTGGGGGCTGAGGCGGCAGGGGGTTGGCGTGTCGGTGCCGCCCCAAGTGCACGCACACCTGGCTGAGTCACGACAGTACCTGGGCTCAGCCACAGCTTTGCTCTGCTCTGGAGTGGGAGCCAGGAGTGGAGAGAGGCCAGGGAGCAGGAGCAGACACTTCCGAGCCTGTGGGGAAAGAGCCCACAAGAGCGCAGGGATGCTCAGGTCGGGAGCCAGGGCTGGGCGGCAGCAGCGGTGCCCAGGAGCATGGGCTCCTGCTCCACCAATTCAGTAGGGGACAAGGCTCTCACCTGTTCCCAGCTCCCACCAGCGCCACAGAATGCACAACCCCGCTGCACCTCCCCTGCTGCAAGTGGTGTCTTCATAACAGCTGCTCCAGACTGGCCACTGCTGCCATCATTATTATTCCTTTGAATAAACTTCCTACCTTTTTCTGTCTCCCTACCTTCTCTTTAAGATCAATAACTCTTAGATTTGCCCTTTTGAGGTTATTTTCTAGATCTTGTAGGCATGCTTCATTTTTTTTTTTGGTCTCTTCTAACTGTGTATTTTCAAATAGCCTGTCCTCAAGTTTACTCATTCTTTCTTCTGCTTGACTAATTCTTCTGTTAAGAGACTCTGATGCATTCTTCAGTACGTAAATTGTATTTTCGGCTCCAGATTTCTGCTTTATTCTTTAACTATTTCAACTTATTTGTTAGACTTATCTGATGGGATTCTGAACTCCTTCTCTGTGTTAAATTGGATTTCATTGAGCCTCCTCAAAACAGCCATTTTGAACTCTATGCCTAAAAGGCCACATATCTCTGTCTCTCCAGAATTGGTCACGGGTGCCTTATTTATTAATAGTTCCTGTGGTGAGGTCATGTTTTCCTGGATGGTCTTGATGCCTGTTGATGTTCATTGGTGTGTGGGCACTGAATATGTAAGTATTTATTATGTTCTTCATAGTCTGGGATTGTTTGTACCCATACTTCTTGGGAAGGCTTTCCAGGTATTTGAAGGGATTTGGGTGTTATGATCTAAGTCTTTGGTCACTGCAGCCATATCTGCTTTAGGGGGTGCTCCAAGCCCAGTAATGCTGTGACTCTTGCAGATTCATAGAGATACTGACTTGGTGGTCTTGGGTAAGATCTGGAAGAATTTCCTAGATTAACAGGCAGAGACTCTTATTCTCTTCCCTACTTCCCCCAACAAACAGAGTCTCTCTCTCACTCTGTGCTGAGCTGCCTGGAGCCGGGGAAGGGGTTAGAGAAGAACCCCTGTGGCCACCACCACTGGGACTGTGCTGGGCCAGACCCAAAGCCAAGCCAAGGACTGAGTCTCACTCAAGGCTTGCAGTCACCATTGCCTGACAAGTGCCTATGTTCACTCAAGGTGTTAGAGCTCTACAATTAGCAGGTAGCAAATCCAGCCAGCCTTGTGTCCTTTCCTTCAGGGCAATGAGATCCCCCTGGCACTGGATGGGTCCAGGGTTGCCATCTGGGAGCTAGGGCATAGAGTCAAGAATCTCAGGAATCTACCTGGCTCTCTATTATACTACAGCTGAGCTGACAACCAAGCCACATGACATAGTCCTTCCTGCTCTTTCCTCCCACTTCCACAAGCAGAGGAGTCTCTCTGCCACAGCCTGCACCACCCCAGGCCCACGATGAGGACTGCCTGGCTACTACTGGGTTTCACTCAAGGCCCAAGGGCTCTTCAGTCAGCTTGTGGTGAATTCTGCCAGGCCTGAGTCTCTCCCTTCAGGGCAGTGGGCTCCCCTCTGGCCCAAGGCAGGTCAAGAAATTCCATCCAGGAGCCAAAGCCTGGAATTGGGGATCCCAGGATCCCACTTGCTGCTCTATTTCTCTATAGCCAAGCTGGTAACCAAGTTGCAAGACAAAGTCCCCTTTAATCTTCCCTCTCCTTTCCTCACGCAGAAGGGGTCTTCCCCCCTAGAGCCACCACAGCTAGGGATGTGCTGGGTCACACCCGAAGCCAGCACAACTCTGATTCTCACCCAAGGGCCACGGCAAATACTTCCTGTCTACTACTACTGATTATTAAGGGCCCAAGGGCTCCTTAGTCAGCAAGTGATGAATTCTGTCAGTACTGGGCCTTTCCCTTCAAGGCAATGGAGTCCCTTTTGGCCTAGGGTATGTTTAGAAATATTGTCCAGGAGCTGTGGCTAAGCTGGTATCCAAGTTGCAAGACAAAGTCCTCTTTACTCTCCCCTCTCTTCTCCTCAAACAGAAGGAAGAAGTACCTCCAAGAGTTGCAAGCTGTGCTGCCTGGGGTTGGGAGAGGGGTTATGCAAGCACTCCCTTGGCCTCCCGGCTTATATCCCACTAGGTCCCATGCACCCCAAGTCCACTGTCTCCATGGCAAGCACAGCACTAGGGCTTGCCCAAGAATTATAGTCCGTGTGGCCTAGACTGCCTTTCAATTTTATTTAGAAGCCCAGAGCACTTTAGCCCATGATGGCAGGGCTTGCCAGAACTCAGCTTCTGGCCACTGCAATGGATGATTTCCCTGTGGTTAGGACTAGTCTAAATGCTCTCTCCATGGGTGTTGGTTGGGTTCTGCCTGGTGTTTCTTTCTGCTATGACAAGGCAGCAATGAGTTTCAATGCAAATTTCCACAATCACTGCATTCTCCCTCCAACAAGCACACAGATTCTCTCTCCGCACCACATGGTGGCTGCTGGAAGATTGGGCAGAGGTGGTGCAGGCAATTCAAGGCTGTCTTTCCTACCCTCTATAGTGTCTCCTTCCTTAATATGATATTAAAACCAGGTACTGTGAAAAATCACCTGATGTTTGGTTCTTATGAAGGTGTTTTTTTGTGTGGATAGTTGTTCAATTTGGTGTTCCTGTGTGGGTGGACAATTGCTGAAGATTTCTCTTCAGCCATCTTTCTCCACCTCCCTCCTGCACCTCTTTCACAGCTTAGTTTGTGAACAAAGATTCGTTCCTGTTATGATAGCTATTATTGATCGTTCATTCACTCACATATGCATTTATTCAACAGCATTTATGGCAGGTGTTGTTGTAGGAGTTAGGGACACTACAGTGAACCAGAAAAACAATCCAGAAATAATAGATACATGGTACATCCACGCAATGAAATATTTAGCAATAAAAACAAATGAAGTACGAATACATACTACAACATGACTGAACCTGAAAACATTACGCTAAGTGAAAGAAGCCAGAAACAAAAGACTATATATTGTATGATTCCATCTCTATGAAAAGGCAAATCGATAGAGACAGAAAATAGATTGGTAGTTGCCAGAGGATGGCGTAAGTTGAGGGCAAGTGAAGAGTGACTTCTAATAGGTTCAGGGTTTATTTTCAGGATGATGAAATGTTCTAAAAATAATTGGGCTGACGGTTGCACAACTCTGTAAATTTACTAAATCCACTTACTTATACACTTCAAATGGGTGAATTGAATGATATGTGAATTGTATCTCAATAAAGCTGTTAAAAAAGAATATTACATTTAAAATTTTTAAGATTAAATCAATAGATGCAGACATTTAAAAATTAGTAGATACAATAGTAGCTCACTACATGACTACCGGGATTACTTCCGTGTATTTAGATTTTTTTAACTTTTTTTTTCTGCAGAGATGGGGTCTCACTATCTTGCCCAGGCTGGTCTAGAATTCCTGGCCTCAAGCAGTCCTCCTGCCTTAGCCTCCCAAAGTGCTGGGATTCCAAGCATGAGCCACCATGCCCCATCAGTATATTTGTTTTAATATAATGAATACTTCTGCTAGTGAATCATCCAGAACGCAAAAGTAAGTGAGGCATCAACTGACCCAGGCTGAGCTCAGAAGCTCAAGCTCAAATTGAGAAGGCTGCCAAAAAAAAAAAAAAAGATAGTGTGGATTTTCTGGGGCTTTTATTGTCCCCACCCTTTTCAGTTTCCATTAGTCTAGAGAAGTGAGAGTCAGCAGATTGGATGAAATTTCCTGAACCTGGAGCTGTTGAGAAAAGTCTTCCTAAGCCTCCTTGAGTGCTGCAGGCATGGTTTCTTTTGATTCTCCAGAGACAGAGCCTAAAGCACACCCTTGGAAGCAGGTAACCTTTTGCGAAAAGATT
Source organism: Homo sapiens (assembly GCF_000001405.40). Classification (NCBI taxonomy): domain Eukaryota; kingdom Metazoa; phylum Chordata; class Mammalia; order Primates; family Hominidae; genus Homo; species Homo sapiens. The sequence continues at coordinate 112,244,714 of NC_000010.11, forward strand.
CAGGAAGCAGGAGTGAGAGACCACAGAGAATGAGATCTGGAGGGGGAAGCACCAGTCACTAGGACATTATCAAGCTGATTCCCATCTTGGGAAATGGAGCCCAGACCTTCTGGGGACTGTATGAGGCACCACGTAGAATGTAACTCAGAAGTGTCTTTTATTTATTTCTGTTTTTTATTTATTTTTTTTTGAGACAGGGTCTCATACCATCATCCAGGCTGGAGGGCAGTGACGCGAATAGGGCTCACTGTAGCCTTGACCTCCTAGGCTCAAGTGATCCTCCTACCTCAGTCTCCAAAGTAGCTGGGACCACGGGCACACACCACTATACCTACCTAATTTTGAAATTTTCTGTAGAGATGAGGTCTTGCCATATTGCCCCATCTAGTCTCAAACTCCTGGGCTCGAGAAATTCTCCTTCCTTGGCCTCCCAAATGCTAGGGTTACGGGTGTGAGCCACTGCACAAGGCCAGAAGTGTCTTCTGAAGGACCTGGAACAGGCATTTATCCCTCTCCAAGAACATTAACTGCCTCCAGCTCTGGGCAACACCTACAGGTGGGCTAAGTAGGTTCCCTCAGTTTCTGAGAACGCTCTGAGGTCGAACCTCACTGTCTAGAAAAGAGACACATGTCAGGAAGGCGGGTGGGGGAAGGGCTGACCTCACCAAAGAAGTACCCAGTGAACATGACCAAACCACTGGCGAACGAATACAGCATGTTTCAGACATTGCCTGTGCATTGCTTCCTTCTCTGCTTGCAGTCGGTCCTAAAAACATAAGAGAGATGCTCTTCTGTTTTAGCAGAGGAGAAAGCTTGAATAAATTACACAAGCTGCCTGAAGTTGCTCTGGAAGAATATGACAAGGTAGGGATTCAAATTTGGAGACCAACCTGATCACAAAGCTCAACTAATATTTCTGTATTTTGATGATGACACATTACAAAATATGTTTTATGTAGGGGCTCAGATTACACACACACATATATAACTAAAAGTTTCATAAAAACCTCCTTTCTCATGGGCAATACACTCTGATGTTTAGTTCTATTCTGTTTTTAAATGCCACTTGCAATCATTTAACTTATTTCACAATTCACTAATGGGACACATCCCATGATATGGAAAGAATACTTGATTACTTATTTATTCAATTACTTGTGAGACACATATAGTGCCCATCCAAGCCATTCCCCCATTAATAATAATTGTCATATTATTTGTAGTTAGCCCTCTCCTTCAGTCTTGGCCAGTTCCCAATTAAATGCTCTTAAAACTGGGTCAGTTTTCTTTAGAGTGCTAATCTTAAAGTGTACTTACATATCCCATTTGTGCGGTTATTGATTTCTGCCTGTCTTCCACGAACTGTAAGGTTTACTCATGGTCAAGTCTACTTTGACTCACCTGTCTCCCTAGTGCCAGGAGCATGCATAGTATACAGCAGGTGCTCAGTGTTGGTATAATGAATTCATTTTAATAAAAGTGATTGGTTTTGAGGTCATCACTCTCAGATGTAGTGTGTTTTTTTTTTGGAGATGGAGTCTCACACTGTCACCTGGGCTGGAGTGCAGTGGCGTGATCTCAGCTCACTGCAACCTCCACCTCCCAGGTTCAAGCGATTCTCCTGCCTCAGTCTCACAAGTAGCTGGGATTACAGGCACCCACCACCACACCTGGCTAATTTTTTGTATTTTTAGCAGTAATTTTTTGTATTTTTAGTAGAGATGGGGTTTCACTAAGTTGGCCAGGCTGGTCTTGAGCTCCTGACCCCATGATCTGCCTGACTTAGCCTCCCAAAGTGCTAGGATTACAGGTGTGAGCCACCACACCCAGCCTGCCCTCAGATGTATTCTTATCTCCTTTCTTCTTCACAACTCCATGAGTGGACACAGGAAGAGGGGTCAACTGCTTGACTTCAAATCCCACCTCCGAATCCTATAAGCTGCATGACCTCCAGCAGGTTTCTCATTCACACACACAAAAAATAATAATGACTTACCTTATGGAATTATTGTGAGAATTAATCGATAAGATCTCATTGAACAAAAATAAAGTGGGGGTAGGAATAAAGAAAGTTTACTGTAAAAAGCCCTGAAATGAAATATAGTCAAGTGAGGCAGATGTTATTAATTGAATCGTGTCTCTCTTGCCAAAAAAAAAAGAGAAAAAAGATATATTGAAGTCCTAACCTTCAGGATATCAAGTGAGCTTATTAGGAAGTTAGGACATTGCAAAAATCATTAAGATGAAGTCATACTGGAATAGAGTGGGCCATTAACCTCATATGGCTGGTGTCCTTATAAGAAGACGGCCATGTGAAGACAGAGAAACACAGTGAGAACACCATGTGATGACAAAGGCAAGATCGCAGTGATGCAGCCATAAGCCAAGAAATGCCAAGGGCTCCAGACAAACTACCAGAAGCTAAGAAGAGGCACTGTCAGATTCTCCTGCAGGTTTCAAAGGGGATACAGCTCAGCTGACACCTAGATCTCAGACTTCTCGCTTCCAGAACTGTGAGACGATCAATTTCTGTTGCTAAAAATAATAACCTCAATGACGATTAGTCATTATTATCATCATTCTACAGATGAGGGCAAAGTAGCATCTTTCAAACCCAAGTGAATTAATTGGCATTCATCCTTTAGGGCCTGGGGCTGGTTTCTGGGCTATACCTTTTATATATTTCAAATGCACACTCTAACAATACAACAATTCAAAATTTTAATCATTTAAACCCTTCCCTCAGGTAGCAAAATCCAGTGGCTAGCAATTATTGCAGTGTCCCAATTTAAGGGCATGTTAATAACATGTAAATGTTCTATTCTTACCAACACACATTTTAAATAATCTCTTCCAATCATCAGGCCTACTAAATTGTCCTTCTAATCTTATCACCTGTGACATTAAAAATCTCTTGACCAGGGAGAAGCAGGCCCTAAAGAGGTGTTGTGAGAGGATTTAGCATAGACCTGAAGGTGACTGAGGTTGAGAAAGTATTGCCCCTTGTCGTCAGATCTTACGTTTCCCAGACAGTAACAATCATGCTTTTTAGGGTCTAGAGTTGACCCCCATTTGGGTATGTATTTGACCTGCAGTGAGATCTTACCCAGAAGGGGTGAGGAGTCTTCTTAGAAGTAGGATCCACAGCGTTGGCCTGACTTATTACTAGCTTGGGCCCCTCTTTCCATGTAAAAGAGACATTGCCCAGGTCCCCCAAGCCTGACAATGTGGCAACGTGGACTGGTGATGGAGAATCCAGAGTGTGACTCAGACCTGAAGTTGGCTCCTGGCTCAGCCACTTATCAGCTGCCTCAAATGTCCTCATCTATAAAAAGTGAACAAAAAGAGCTCCTGCTTCAGAGCATTGCTGTGAGGAGAAATGGACTTGATGGGTGGATGTGCTAACACAGCACAAGGCACATATAAACATTTTTTAAAGGTTTGTCTTCTCTTCCTATAGTATTATAGTAATTATTATTAACATGAGTATTGAAGCCTCAGGTTAACTTTGACTTGGCTGGAGTACAGTGGTGCAATCTCAGCTCACTGCAACCTCTGCCCCCCCAGAGTCAAGTGACTCTCCTGCCTCAGCCTCCCTAGTAGCTAGGATTACAGGAGACTGCCACCACGCCCAGCTAATTTTTGTATTTTTAGTAGAGACGGGGTTTCACCATGTTGGCCAGGCTTGTCTTGAACTCCTGACCTCAAGCAATCAGCCTGCCTCGTCCTCCCGAAGTGCTGGGATTACAGGTGTGAGCCACCATCCTGGGCCCAATGCAATCATTTTCTAGGTACTACTGATTTCATTTCTGCAGAGCCTCCACTGTCCCCTTCTCTCCATTTCTATCCCTTTCATTGCCTCTTGCCTAGTGAGACTGGGGCCTCAGCACTTCTCATGTGGTCCCACTCAGCTTCTTGATGAGCATAATGACACCTTACACCAGTGGTTCTCTAACTTTGCTGGACATTAAAATCATTTAGGGAGATTTGATGTCCCCACGCCCACCACAGACCAATTACATCAGAATGTGTGGCCACAGACAGAGGTACCAGTATGATCCATGGGATTCCAATGAGCCTGCAAGGCTGAGAAGCATTGCTCAGTCCACGGCTCACACTACTGCTAGAATGGCCTTCTCAGAAGACAGCTCCACCCAGGCCTCTCCCCTTCTGAAAAACACTGGTGTCCCCCTTCTTTTTCAATTCAAAAGAAATCTTATTGCTGGGAGAATCCATCCATCCAAATAGTTCCAAGCCCTATTTTAAAAATAAATTCACTGACTCTGCATATGTTAGTAGTTTTCCATTTGCAGAGTATGTGGACTGACAAATAGGTACTATGAGATCAGTAACACTTTTAAATGAATGGTGTTTCTTAGTCATCACTACAGAATCTCCATATACTTGAAAAATAGCACATATTGAGAGCTGTTGTGCCATTTCTGTACACATAGATTCATTGACTTACCCCAAGAAACCCACAGGCCCCAGGGTCCATAGCCCACAGAAACTGCTGATTATTGTCAAGGTGAAAACTTCATTGAGCATCAGCTTGAAGCCATAAAATGGTTAGATAGGTTTTCCAAGGCCACACAACCAGAGGTGGAGCAGGGAGCTGAGCCCCAGTCTTCTGATACCAAGTTCAGTGGTCTTTTTACTGCAGAAGATTCTCAAGACATTCTATACTTGTCCCAACACACCTGGTATGGTTTGACTGTGTCCCCACCCAAATCTCATCTTGAATTGTAGTTCCCATAATCCCCACGTGTCATGGGAGGGACCTGGTGGGAGGTAATTTAATGATGGGGGTGGTTACCCTCATGCTGTTCTCATGATACTGAGTGAGTTCTCACATGATCTGATGGTTTAATAAGGGGCTTTCTCCCCTTTTACTCAGCACTTCTCCTTGCTGCCACCATGAGAAGAAGGATGTGTTTCCTTCCCCTTCCACCATGATTGTAAGTTTCCTGAGGTCTCCTCAGCCATGCTGAACTGTGAGCCAATTAAACCTCTTTCCTTTATAAATTTCCCAATCCCGGGTATGTCTTTATTAGCAACATGAGAACAGACTAATACACCATCTCTTTTGATTTATGTGGCACCATCTCCCAACAAGCACAAATAGGTCTAATAAAATAGATCCTGTTATAGGACCAATATGTTTATATGCCCACTGTGTAGTAAAATACCAATTACACAGAGACAGCAGGGTTTGCAACAGAGAAAGAGTTTAATGATTACAGAGCACCAAGCAAGGAGATGGAAAGCGATCTTCAAATTCATCTCCCCAAGAAGTTCTTGACTGGTGCTTTTAAGGGGATTGTGTGGAAGTCAGTGTGGTGATTCCTCAGGGATCTAGAACTAGAAATACCATTTGACCCAGCCATCCTGTTCCTGGGTATATACCCAAAGGACTATAAATCATGCTGCTATAAAGACACATGCACACGTATGTTTATTGCGGCACTATTCACAATAGCAAAGACTTGGAACCAACCCAAATGTCCAATAATGATAGACTGGATTAAGAAAATGTGGCACATATACACCAAGGAATACTATGCAGCCATAAAAAATGATGAGTTCATGTCCTTTGTAGGGACATGGATGAAATTGGAAATCATCATTCTCAGTAAACTATCGCAAGGACAAAAAACCAAACACTGCATGTTCTCACTCATAGATGGGAATTGAACAATGAGAACACATGAACACAGGAAGGGGAACATCACACTCTGGGGACTGTTGTGGGGTGGCGGGAGGGGAGAGGGATAGCATTAGGAGATATACCTAATACTAAATGACGAGTTAATGGGTGCAGCACACCAGCATGGCACATGTATACATATGTAACTAACCTGCACATTGTGCACATGTACCCTAAAACTTAAAGTATAATTAAAAAAAAAAAAAAACTGCAAAAAAAAAAAAAAGCGGGGGGATTGTGGAGTGGAAAGGGCTGGAGAGTTGGGATCATTGATTTATTGGGGTAAGAGGGATGAAATCATCAGGAAACTATTTTTTGGTGAGTCAGTTCCTGTGAGGTTCTTCAGACCAGATGATGTCAGTAGTTTCACTGGTATGCAGGACTTGAAAGGAATATCTCAAAGGGAAAACTTAACATCTCATAATGTTAAAGTTGTTATCTATAGAACAGTTGAGGGGAACTTTAATCTTATAACAGGGGGTGGAGCCAAGATGGCCGAATAGGAACAGCTCTGGTCTACAGCTCCCAGTGTGAGCGACACAGAAGACGGGTGATTTCCGCATTTCCATCTGAGGTACCAGGTTCATCTCACTAGGGAGTGCCAGACAGTGGGCGCAGGACAGTGGGTGCAGCGCACCGTGCACGAGCTGAAGCAGGGCGAGGCACTGCCTCACTCGGGAAGCACAAGGGGTCAGGGAGTTCCCTTTCCTAGTCAAAGAAAGGGGTGACAGATGGCACCTGGAAAATAGGGTCACTCTCACACTAATACTGCGCTTTTCCAACGGGCTTAAAAAACGGCACACCAGGAGATTATATCCCGCACCTGGCTCGGAGGGTCCTACGCCCACGGAGTCTCACTGATTGCTAGCACAGCAGTCTGAGATCAAACTGCAAGGTGGCAGTGAGGCTGGGGGAGGGACGCCTGCCATTGCCCAGGCTTGATTAGGTAAACAAAGCAGCCCGGAAGCTAGAACTGGGTGGAGCCCACCACGTAGCTCAAGGAGGCCTGCCTGCCTATGTAGGCTCCACCTCTAGGGGCGGGGCACAGACAAACAGACAGCAGTAACCTCTGCAGACTTAAATGTCCCTGTCTGACAGCTTTGAAGAGAGTAGTGGTTCTCCCAGCACACAGCTGGAGATCTGAGAATGGGCAGACTGCCTCCTCAAGTGGGTCCCTGACCCCCGAGCAGCCTAACTGGGTGGCACCCCCCAGTAGGGGCACACTGACACCTCACACGGCCGGGTACTTCTCTGAGATAAAACTTCCAGAGGAACGATCAGGCAGCAGCATCTGCGGGTCACCAAAATCCGCTGTTCTACAGCCACCGCTGTTCTGCAGCCACCACTGCTGACACCCAGGCAAAAAGGGTCTGGAGCGGACCTCTTGCAAACTCCAACAGATCTGCAGCTGAGGGTCCTGTCTGGTAGAAGGAAAACTAACAAACAGAAAGGACATCCATGCCAAAACCTATCTTTACGTCACCATCATCAACGACCAAAAGTAGATAAAACCACAAAGATGGGGAAAAAAACAGAGCAGAAAAACTGGAAACTCTAAAAAGCAGAGCACCTCTCCTCCTCTAAAGGAACACAGCTCCTCACCAGCAACGGAACAAAGCTGGACGGAGAAGGACTTTGACAAGTTGAGAAAAGAAGGCTTCAGACGATCAAACAACTCCGAGCTACAGGAGGAAATTCAAACCAATGGCAAAGAAGTTAGAAACCTTGAAAAAAAATTAGACGAATGGATAACTAGAATAACCAATGCAGAGAAGTCCTTAAAGGAGCTGATGGAGCTGAAAGCCAAGGCTCGAGAACTACGTGAAGAATGCAGAAGCCTCAGGAGCCGATGCGATCAACTGGAAGAAAGGGTATCAGTGATGGAAGACAAAATGAATGAAATGAAGCAAGAAGGGAAGTTTAGAGAAAAAAGAATAAAAAGAAACAAAGCCTCCAAGAAATATGGGACTATATGAAAAGACCAAATCTATGTCTGATTGGTGTACCTGAAAGTGACGGGGAGAATGGAACCAAGTTGGAAAACACTCTGCAGGATATTATGCAGGAGAACTTCCCCAATCTAGCAAGGCAGGCCAACATTCAGATTCAAGAAATACAGAGAATGCCACAAAGATACTCCTCGAGAAGAGCAACTCCAAGACACATAATTGTCACATTCACCAAAGTTGAAATGAAGGAAAAAATGTTAAGGGCAGCCAGAGAGAAAGGTCAGGTTACCCACAAAGGGAAACCCATCAGACTAACAACAGGTGATCTCTCGGCAGAAACTCTACAAGCCAAAAGAGAGTGGGGGCCAATATTCAACATTCTTAAAGGAAAGAATTTTCAACCCAGAATTTCATATCCAGCCAAACTAAGCTTCATAAGTGAAGGAGAAATAAAATACTTTACAGACAAGCAAATGCTGAGAGATTTTGTCACCACTAGGCCTGCCCTAAAAGAGCTCCTGAAGGAAGCGCTAAACATGGAAAGGAACAACCGCTACCAGCCACTGCAAAATCATGCCAAATTGTAAAGACCATCAAGGCTAGGAAGAAACTACATCAATTAACGAGCAAAATAACCAGCTAATATCATATGACAGGATCAAATTCACACATAACAATACTAACCTTAAATGTAAATGGGCTAAATGCTCCAATTAAAAGACACAGACTGGCAAATTGGATAAAGAGTCAAGACCCATCAGTGTGCTGTATTCAGGAAACCCATCTCACATGCACAGACACACATAGACTCAAAACAAAGGGATGGAGGAAGATCTACCAAGCAAATGAAAAACAAAAAAAGGCAGGGGTTACAATCCTAGTCTCTGATAAAACAGACTTTAAACCAACAAAGATCAAAAGAGACAAAGAAGGCCATTGCATAATGGTAAAGGGATCAATTCAACAAGAAGAGCTAACTATCTTAAATATATATGCACCCAATACAGGAGCACCCAGATTCATAAAGCAAGTCCTTAGTGACCTACAAACAGACTTAGACTCCCACACAATAATAATGGGAGACTTTAACACCCCACTGTCAACATTAGACAGATCAATGAGACAGAAAGTTAACAAGGATACCCAGGAATTGAACTCAGCTCTGCACCAAGCAGAACTAATAGACATCTACAGAACTCTCCACCCCAAATCAACAGAATATACATTCTTTTCAGCACCACACCACACCTATTCCAAAATTTACCACATAGTTGGAAGTAAAGCACTCCTCAGCAAATGTAAAAGAATAGAAATTATAACAAACTGTCTCTCAGACCACAGTGCAATCAAACTAGAACTCAGGATTAAGAAACTCACTAAAAACTTCTCAACTACATGGAAACTGAACAACCTGCTCCTGAATGACTACTGGGTACATAACGAAATGAAGGCAGAAATAAAGATGTTCTTTGAAACCAATGAAAACAAAGACACAACATACCAGAATCTCTGGGACGCATTTAAAGCAGTGTGTAGAGGGAAATTTATAGCACTAAATGCCCACAAGAGAAAGCAGGAAAGATCCAAAATTGACACCCTAACATCACAATTAAAAGAACTAGAAAAGCAAGAGCAAACACGTTCAAAAGCTAGCAGAAGGCAAGAAATAACTAAAATCAGAGCAGAACTGAAGGAAATAGAGACACAAAAAACCTTTCAAAAAATTAATGAATCCAGGAGCTGGTTTTTTGAAAAGATCAACAAAATTGATAGACCGCTAGCAAGACTAATAAAGAAGAAAAGAGAGAAGAATCAAATAGACACAATAAAAAATGATAAAGGGGATATCACCACCGATCCCACAGAAATACAAACTACCATCAGAGAATACTACAAACACCTCTACGCAAATAAACTAGAAAATCTAGAAGAAATGGATAAATTCATCGACACATACACCCTCCCAAGACTAAACCAGGAAGAAGTTGAATCTCTGAATAGACCAATAACAGGATCTGAAATTGTGGCAATAATCAATAGCTTACCAACCAAAAAATGTCCAGGACCAGATGGATTCACAGCTGAATTCTACCAGAGGTACAAGGAGGAGCTGGTACCATTCCTTCTGAAACTATTCCAATCAATAGAAAAACAGGGAATTCTCCCTAACTCATTTTATGAGGCCAGCATCATCCTGATACCAAAGCCTGGCAGAGACACAACCAAAAAAGAGAATTTTAGACCAATATCCTTGATGAACATTGATGCAAAAATCCTCAATAAAATACTGGCAAACCGAATCCAGCAGCACATCAAAAAGCTTATCCACCATAATCAAGTGGGCTTCATCCCTGGGATGCAAGGCTGGTTCAACATTCGCAAATCAATAAATGTAATCCAGCATATAAACAGAATCAAAGACAAAAACCACATGATTATCTCAATGATGCAGAAAAGGCCTTTGACAAAATTCAACAACCCTTCATGCTAAAAACTCTCAATAAATTAGGTATTGATGGGACATATCTCAAAATAATAAGAGCTATCTATGACAAACCCACAGCCAATATCATACTGAATGGGCAAAAACTGGAAGCATTCCCTTTGAAAACTGGCACAAGACAGGAATGCCCTCTCTCACCACTCCTATCCAACATAGTGTTGGAAGTTCTGGCCAGGGCAATTAGGCAGGGGAAGGAAATAAAGGGTATTCAATTAGGAAAAGAGGAAGTCAAAGTGTCCCTGTTTGCAGATGACATGATTGTATATCTAGAAAAGCCCATTGTCTCATCCCAAAATCTCCTTAAGCTGATAAGCAACTTCAGCAAAGTCTCAGGATACAAAATCAATGTACAAACATCACAAGCATTCTTATACACCAATAACAGACGAACAGAGAGCGAAATCATGAGAGAACTCCCATTCACAATTGCTTCAAAGAGAATAAAATACCTGGGAATCCAACTTACAAGGGATGTGAAGGACCTCTTCAAGGAGAACTACAAACTACTGCTCAGTGAAATAAAAGAGGATACAAACAAATGGAAGAACATTCCATGCTCGTGGGTAGGAAGAATCAATATCGTGAAAATGGCCATACTGCCCAAGGTAATTTATAGATTCAGTCCCATCCCCATCAAGCTACCAATGACTTTCTTCACAGAATTGGAAGAAACTACTTTAAAGTTCATATGGAACCAAAAAAGAGCCCGCATCGCCAAGTCAATCCTAAGCCAAAAGAACAAAGCTGGAGGCATCACCCTACCTGACTTCAAACTATACTACAAGGCTACAGCAACCAAAACAGCATGGTACTGGTACCAAAACAGAGATATAGATCAATGGAACAGAACAGAGCCCTCAGAAATAATGCCACATATCTACAACCATCTGATCTTTGACAAACCTGACAAAAACAAGAAATGGGGAAAGGATTCCCTATTTAATAAATGGTGCTGGGAAAACTGGCTAGCCATATGTAGAAAGCTGAAACTGGATCCCTTCCTTACACCTTATACAAAAATTAATTCAAGATGGATTAAAGACTTACATGTTAGACCTAAAACCATAATAACCCTAGAAGAAAACCTAGGCATTACCATTCAGGACATAGGCATGGGCAAGGACTTCATGTCTAAAACACCAAAAGCAATGGCAACAAAAGCCAAAATTGACAAATGGGATCTAATTAAACTAAAGAGCTTCTGCACAGCAAAAGAAACTACCATCAGGGTGAACAGGCAACCTACAAAATGGGAGAAAATTTTCGCAACCTACTCATCTGACAAGGGGCTAATATCCAGAATCTACAATGAACTCAAACAAATTTACAAGAAAAAAACAAACAACCCCATCAAAAAGTGGGCGAAGGCTATGAACAGACACTTCTCAAAAGAAGACATTTATGCAGCCAAAAAACACATGAAAAATGCTCATCATCACTGGCCATCAGAGAAATGCAAATCAAAACCACAATGAGATACCATCTCACACCAGTTAGAATGGCAATCATTAAAAAGTCAGGAAACAACAGGTGCTGGAGAGGATGTGGAGAAATAGGAACACTTTTACACTGTTGGTGGGACTGTAAACTAGTTCAACCATTGTGGAAGTCAATGTGGCGATTCCTCAGGGATCTAGAACTAGAGATACCATTTGACCCAGCCATCCCATTACTGGGTATATACCCAAAGGATTATAAATCATGCTGCTATAAAGATACATGCACACCTATGTTTATTGCAGCACTATTCACAATAGCAAAGACTTGGAACCAAGCCAAATGTCCAACAATGATAGACTGGATTAAGAAAATGTGGCACATATACACCATGGAATACTATGCAGCCATAAAAAATGATAAGTTTATGTCCTTTGTAGGGACATGGAGGAAACTGGAAACCATCATCTCAGCAAACTATCGCAAGGACAAAAAACCAAACACCGCATGTTCTCACTCATAGGTGGGAATTGAACAATGAGAACACATGGACACAGGAAGGGGAACATCACAATCCGGGGCCTGTTGTGGGGTGGGGGGAGGGGGTAGGGATAGCATTAGGAGATATACCTAATGTTAAATGACGAGTTAATGGGTGCAGCACACCAACATGGCACATGTATACATATGTAACAAACCTGCACATTGTGCACATGTACCCTAAAACTTAAAGTGTAATAATAATAAAAAAATTTTTAAAAATCTTATAACAGGGCGTACATGATCCTGAGGCAATAGGCTCCATACAGCTATGAGGAAGCAGGTCAGAAAGCAAGCTGACCTAATGATTAATGCTGAGTTAGCTGCAAGCTTGATTTATTTACATATCTCCCCCTCCCTTCTTCACTGATTTTATAAAGTTTATAGGGGCGGTGTGAATCCCTCACACCATAACTTCTTGTGGTAGCAAGAATGATGGTCCCTAAAGATGTCCATGTCCTGATCCCTAGAACATGTAAAAATGTTACTTTATATGCCAAAAGAGACTTTGCAAGTATGAACAAGTTTTGCATCTTAAGATAGGGAGATTACCATGAATTATCCACATTGGCCAAAGGTAATCAAAAGGGTCCTTATGAGAGGGAAATAGGAGAGTCCAGGAAGGACATGTGTCAATGGAAACAGAGGTCAGAGTGATGCAGGGCTATGAGCCAAGGAAGTCAGGCAGCCTCTAGAATCTGAAAAAGACAAGGAAGAGACAAGTCAAGAGCCTCCAGAAAGAACACAGTCCTGTAGGCACCTTGATTTTACCCCACTGAGACTAATTTTGGACTTCTGACCTTCAGAATTGTAAAATAATAAACTCGCATTATTTTAGACAACTGAATTTGTGGTAACTTGTTACAGCACAACAGGAAACTAAAACACCCTTGCATACACCCCTGGGTTTCTATCTCTACATTTACAAACGAGCTCCGCCTCTTCCCAGGGGCCCCTCACATCACCACTTGTTAAAATGCTACCCCACTCCACAATGGAGAAGAAAAACTTACAAAGGGAAAAATACTTAAACACCCAATATATGTATAAAAATATTACAATATCAAAAGGGAGTGTAGTGGTTAATAATACTGAGGTCTTCACAATCAGAGCTGCATTTTAGTTCCAGCTCTGCCACTTTAACAGCTATGCGATTTGGGGTAAGTTATTGAACCTCTCTTGGGTTCTTATGATGGTCTTTTGATGTGTCAACTTGCCTAGACTACAGTCTCTAGTTGTTCCATCACCCCAATCCAGGTGTTGCTGTAAGATGTTTTGAAGATGTAATTATAGCTCATAATCAGTTGACTTTAAGTAAGATAAATTATCCCAGATAATCTGCATAGGCATAATTTAGTCAGTCAAAAGGCCTTAAGAGCTGAATTGAGGCTTCCCTGGTGAAGAAGAAATTCCATCTCTGAACTATATCTTCAGCCTGTGCCCAGAATTTCCAGCCTGCCCTTCCAGGGCCTGCCCTAAAGATTTCAGACTTGCCCAGCCAGCACCCACAATTGCATACAGCAAATTTCTTGCAATAAATCTCTTAATATATATCTCATACTTGTTCTGCTTTCAACTGATACAATCCTTAAGCTCTAAATTGAGATAATAGCACCTACTCACAGGACAGTTGTGAGGATTCAATGAGATAATGCATGGAAAGTGTTTGGCACACAAATAATTGCTAAACAAATATTTGGTCTTGTTCTATTTTGTTTGTAATAACCTTGGTAGACTGTCACAAGTTCTTTCCCTCATTCTGTTCCAACCTCCTTGCCATGTGAACAGCAAGGAACCTGCTGCCATGCTGATACCATGTCACTTGGTTTTGCCAATGGCATGTTAGCAGGTGCTATCCAAGCAGAGACTTGAAAAGAATTTGTATCTCAGAACTCCTTGCCAGCCACATAAGGAAGCCCTTGATGGATGATGAGAAGTACGTTATCCAGTCACAAACTTCCCTGCCCTTGTTACCAATAAGCAGCAAATCCTTTAAAAGTAGAGCCCTTATCTGATAGTAGCTGCATGAGTGACCCCAACTGAATTTAGCCCAAATTTCAGATTCACAGATCATTAGCTAAATGAGTGGTTTTCTTCATAAGCCACTATTTTGGGAATGTTCTGTTATACAACAAAACTAACTGAATCAGGAATAAAAGTGAGATTCTTTTTAAACCTTTCAAATTGGAAATTTCTTTTTTGGTATCAATGACCATTATTAATTTGAGCATAGGAAAACAGATCTTCTCTTAGATTTATTTTGGGCATGTAAATTGTTACAACCTTTTGAAGGAAAGTTGATTAATAGGTATAATATGTTTGAGAACTTTATATACATATTCTTTAATCCAGTAATTCCAGTACAATAATGTATCGTTAAGAAAATAATTAGAAATATGCACAAAGATTTATGAATAATGATGTTTAATGAGGTGAGCATTTTGAATGGTAAAGTGGAACTATCTATATAATAGTAAAGAAAACAATACATTTCCAACAATGGAAGATTATTGAACCACTCATGGTGCAATATAATTGAATACCAAGCAATAAATAAAATTAACATTTCAAAGATTATATAGTCTTAGAAAATGCTCATAATTTATTCAATGAAAAATGATACTATAAATCTGTGAACAGTTTGATCTAAGTTTTATACTGTGTGTGACTGTATAAATTGACTGATTATATAATTGCTTGTACAGGGGAAATTGATTCTATAGGGGAAAGAAAAAGAAAATACATCAAAATATTAATAGTGATTATTTCTGGGTGTGGGATTATTGGTGGTTATTTTATATTTTGCACTTTACAACATTTTTGTGATGAACTTATGTTATATTAATATTTATTACCAGAACAGTAAAAAGACTTTAGAAATTCTATCCATTCTTGAAAACCTTGTCAAAGGCCAAACCAGCAAAGCCTTTAATTATCCCTGATTGGGAACAAGAGGAACATCCCCTAGTGATTTGCTCCTCTCTGTGTTGCTTATGACATGCCTTGTATTGCAGTTATTTGTTTACCTTTCTTGTCACCCCACCTTTATGGTGAGTGCTTCAGGGTTGTGCTGTATTTGCCTTGAATGTAGAAAGCACACATTGCATATTTGTTAACTAAAGATGTATTGGATGATTTGTTGTGATATCACATTCAAAATATACCCCATATCAGACTACTTCTCCACCTCAGCTCTGGTCCCTGGTACCATGCTGACCTCATGTCTTATGACTTTTCCTAACTCACAGTCCAGCCATACTGGCCTCCTTGCTACTCTTCCATCTCCCCATACAGGCTCCTGTCTCTAATACTTTTTGCTTCTTGTTATCGCTGCCTGGAAGAACTCCTCCCCAGTCATTGGTGTGGCTTTGTACTCTCTAATCCTCCTTCAAGTCTTTGTTCAAACGTCTCCTTTACCTCCTAAAACACAACGGCAAAACTTCAAATAACCCAACTTAAAAATGGCCAAAGGACTTGAATAGACATTTCTTCAAAGACAACACACAAATGGCCAACAGGTATATAAAAAGAAGTTCGACATTGCTAAGCATCAGGTAAATGTAAATCAAAATGACAATGAGATATCACCTCACACCTATTTGGCTGTTCTTTAAAAACAAAAGATAAGTTGTGGTGAGGATATGGAGAAATGGGAACCTTTGTACACTGTTGGTGGGAATGGAAAATGGTATAGCGGCTATGGAAAACAGTATGGCGGTTCCTTGAAAAATTAAAAATAGAACTACCATATTATCCAGCAATCCCACTACTGGGTATATATCAAAGGAAATGAAATCAGTATGTCGAAAATAAATCTCCACTTCTGTGTTTATTGTAGCATTATTCACCATAGCCAAAATAAGGAAACAACCTAAATGTCTATCAATGGATGAATGAATAAAGCAAGTGTGGTTATACACACATAATGGAATATTATGAAGCCATAAAAAGAAGGAAATCCTGCCATATGCCAAAACATGGACGAACTGGAGGACATTATGCTAAGTGAAATAAGCCAGATACAGGACAAACACTACATGATTTCCCTTATATAATGTATCTAAACGTGTCAAACTCATAGAAACAGAGAGTAGAATGGTAGATGTCAGGGGCCGGAGGAGGAGCAATGGGGAGTTACTATTCAACAGGCATAAAGTTTTGGTTATACAAAATGAGGAAGCTCTGGAGGTCGGCTGCACAACCTTGTGTGTGTAGTTAACTTAGATTTTTGTTGATGGGATAGATCTCATGTTACCTGTTCTTACCACAGTTTTATATATATACATATATATGTCTCCCCTTCTCAGCGAGGCCTACCCTGAACCCCACTCTCCACTCCTAGAACTTCCTTTCTCCTTCTCTTGCTTTGCTTTTCCCCATAGTTCTTTTCACCACTATGTATTTCACTTATTTGTTGTGGTCCACCTCCCTCAGTTAGGAAGGTCTTCAACAGAGCCCTGCACAGAGAAAGAGCAGGCACTTGATAAATATGTGCTGAATCATTCATGTCTCATGCCACAGCCACTGCGCTTTACTCCTCTTGCTTGACTCTTAGGACATAGCTCCAGTTGCAAGTTTAACTTGAACTCTGAGGCCAGGCAGCTTCTTTCAAAACTAATAATGTTCAAGTGGCAAAGTTCAGTTGCAGCAAAGCATTAATTGCTCACGTGAACATCAAAGTTTCCAAAGCCTTGTGACCTTGCTTCCCTAAGACCCAGAAAGGGGAGTCCTGGACATCAAAGGAATCCATCAAGTGTTACCGACAATCATTCCAGCGATGCTGAAAGTCTAATGTTTTCAATGACCCCTGGCCTCTCACTTGAGCAATAAACCCAAAAGTGATTTTCCTCTTCAAATTTCCTTTCCCTAGTCAGACCAACAGGCACACACAGAAGCATGAAATAATGGTGCAATAGAACAGGGCTGGACTAAGAAGTCAGGGAGCTAACTTCTAATCTAGCCTTCTTCACTTCATATCTGTGAGTATGGGTGAGTCCCTTACTATCTGAGCCGCAATTTCCTCATTTTTTAAAAAAAGAATTCAATCTAGATCATCTCCATATACCCACTTTTCTTGCTCTGAAACATTAGTGTTCCATGAAATGCTAAGTCTCTGCAAAGAGGATGCTAGAACCATCCAGGGTTGCATTTCCTCAATTCCTCCATGTGAACCCTGTCGTTTTTCTTCATTTCTTTCCCCCGCATAAAACTACCTTCTGTCATATCGCAGGGCAATTCTAATTATGAGGTTCTTAAGAGGATCTCCTGAGCTTATTCCATCCCTAAACTGGAACAGGCATAAAGATCTGTTGGGGCTCTATGAGTATGAAATGCACTAATGTGTACAAACCATCTGTCTCAGTGCCGGCATATAGCAGGCTCCTGGTAAATATTCATTTTGTCCCTTTCACGTCCTTTTCAGGGTTCTATTCTGATGAGCCTAGGAAAAGAGAGAATGCATGAAACCATTAGCCCAGCCTCCATCTGATCACACTTGCCATCTTCATCTTCAGAAATGACAGCGCAACTGCGTTGCCTTGGTCCATACAATTCCACCAGGGCTTGGTCAGATCATCATGATGTCAACAGGCATTTTGTGGATCATTCCCAATGGCTTTATTTTTTGCAACATATATTCTCTCATTTAATCTTCACAACAGCCCTATTAAATAGCTATCGTATTCCATGCTACAGATGAGGAAATTGAGGAACACATGTTGCTGAGGGTTATCACAAGCTGGTAAGTGACGAGTTGGGCACTCAAAATTAGGTTTTCCAGTGCATAGCTCCTTCCTCCTTCCCAAAGCTGCAGAGTGAAATGGGTTTGAAGGGATGAGTCACTATCTGAAAATGTTGGGTCGACATGCGCCAAGTTGGAGGAGTTAACATTGGCCTGGTCCCTAACATATTTTTCCCTTAAGGGGTAATAATGAACAAACCTTAACCTGTTAAGCATCCGCATGCACACAGTATTACATCTGATTTCTAATTTTTCCAACAAGTCTGAAAGCGAGCTGAGCTCAAAGAGATTAAGGAACCAGCCTGAGAATACCCGGGCAGTAGCTGGTAGAGATGTGGGCCCTACCCAGGTTCCTCTGGCTCCGTGGTTCCCCCTCCCCACTCTGCAATTCTCTCTAGTAATGTCAATTGTTGGGCCCTAGGGGTGAGATTTTACCACCATACCATCTGAGTACCTACCCTGCACAGAATCCTGCTTACCCCATCTGAGTCTCTGGCACAGGAACCAACAGCACGAAGTTGGCCTCAGCTTCACCTCCCATCACCTGAGCACCACCCGAGCCCACCAGTTGCCCTCCCTGCTTCAAACGCATAAGATCCTCATGAGCTGCCCTGCTCACTAGGCCTTGAAATTGCCATATTTTGCATCACTTTCGATGCTTCCTTATGGACAAGGGATACCTCGAGGGCAGGGCTTATGTGGGGTATGTTTCTGTTTGCTCATGGCACCTAGTATAAAGCCTTTCTTATAAAATCCTGAGAATAAATGGATTTAAGCTCAATGCTTTGGGAATTGTGATGAAGCACCCTGTGCTTCATTAACATGTTTCTCCATCCTTGCGTGGAAGAGGCTATGAAATTTAAGGGTTGAGCAGCAAGAAACTAGGTTGTGAGCAACTTGAGAACAGGAACAATGTCTGATTCAAGGGCTAATGCTTAGGCCAAAAGCCCTTCCCTAGCGCTTAGGACCTCGATGAACAAACTTCAGCAAGTCCAATAACTCCCTAAAAATATATGTAAATGTTTTTGAGGATGTTCATTTCTACACTTGTCTGCCGCAAAAACCCAGAGCTTTCATTTGATTGTCAAAGTGTGTTAAGACTCACTGTCCAAGTACATAGTAGATGCATACTCATACATCCAACATATGCTGAATGAGCACTTCCTCAGAACCATTTGCTCTATGGATTGATGAAGGAAGGAAAAGAAGTGTGCAAGGTGCAGACTTTTAAAGTCAGATTCATTTATTTCACTGGTTTTAGTTAAAGCTTTTGAGATACTGTTAGGGGGTCAAGTCCTTCTTCCCAATTAGAGTCCCCCTTAAGTCATTTTAAAGGCCAAATTTTAAAAGCAGCAATATTACACAAGTTTCAGGCTAGAAACCGGGACACCTGAATTCTGATTCCAGAGTTATTACTGATTAGTCAGAGTGGCCTTAGGCAAGTCCCTGAAAGCAGGTGGTTTGTGACACTTCTCAACTTAAAGTCTGCCACAACCCAGTGACAGATGACTTTTCCATAGGAGAACAAATTTATTATTTTTTTAATGTATGGAAAAGTAAAATATAACCATAATTAATAAATGTTATGTTGACAACATGTTCTAGAAGATTCTTTATAATACCATACCCTCCATCCCTCTCTTCCCCTATATCTCTTACTCACCCATGCCTCCCCTTTCATTTCCAACCAAGAAAGCATGTGAGCAGGTGAGGAATAGTGATTCCTCCTAATTTAATTTAAAAGTGAATTGTTTGCAGACATGAGCACTTTGATGGTAGTGTGTTATAGACCCCGGGAACATTCCTCCCAGGACGTCGTGAGCATTTGGAGCTCAAGAAGGTGGAGAGATCCCTGGATTTAGAGTCAGAGCAATTATATAGCAAATCTCAGCTCTGCTTATTGGCTGTGTGACTTTGGGAAGTTAGATGACTTCTCTGTGCCTCTGTTTCATTACCTGAAAAATGGAGATGGCACCCATTATCTCACAGGGTTGTGAGGGTTAAACAAGGCATAGGGTGGAAAGGGCCAATTAGCACTGTGCCCAGCCCACAGATAATGAATTTCAGTGTTCTTCTCCTAATTACTCTCTCTGGACCTCAGGTTTCTGGTCATCAAGATGAAAAGGTTGAATTAGATCTACGTCGGCAGGCCCTATATTGGTTTCCCTCACCTCCTGACTCTAGAATGGATCCCAGCTACCATGGGGGTGAGGCTTTAGTAAGATGAAAAAAAAACAGAGGCTGGGCGGGGTTGCTCATGTCTGTAATCCCAGCACTTTGAGAGGCCAAGGAGGATGGATCACCGAGGCCAGGAGTTTGAGACCAGCCCGGCCAACATGGTGAAAACCCGTCTCTACTGAATACATACAAAAATAATTAGCCAGGCTTGGTAGTGTGCACCTGTAGTCCCAGCTACTCAGGAGACTGAGGCATGAGAATTGCTTGGACCGAGGTGGCAGAGGTTGCATTAAGTTGAGATCGTGCCACTGCACTCCACTCCAACCTGGGCAACAGAGCAAGACTCTGTCTCAAAAAAAAAAAAAAAGAAAAGAAAAGAAGAGACAGAAACCCTGTTAGCAAACAATACATCAAAGATTTGCTACTGAGTTAGCCAATATTATCGAGGGAAACTTCTTAGCAGATGCTTCTCTCTGAAGGACAGGAAAGGTCATCCTTCACCTCTGTAGCAACCACAAAGGAAAAACTGGAAGGAGTGGCCTGTCCTGGCCTTCTAGGCCCCACAGAGAGAATTAAGCAGTTAAAATCTTTGCTTCTCAAACTAAGAGACAGGTATCCTTGCAGGAATGCAGCAGGAGCTAGGGACACCCGAGGCATGAGAAAGCCAGCTTATCTTACTGAGACACTGTATTGTAATTTTTAAAATTATTTTTATTTTTTTGCAGTTTTTTAAAATGGCAATATAAAACTTTATATTTTGCTTTTATTTTTAAAAACACAGATATATTATGATAAAACTGTTTTTATAGATTTTTAAGACCAGGGTAGGGAGGGGGCCTAACCCATTCATATACTCTTATGAGGTAGAAAAGTTTAAGAAACACAGGCCAAGATGGTCCCTAACATCACGTGTGGTTGTATGTCTGTGCCAGCTCCAGGCCTGCCTCTCCAAACAAGACTATCGGAGCTTATCAAACACAAATAACTTAATTAAAATATAAAACTGGGGCAGAAATTTGAAGTTCACCTTGAAAAGAATTAGCTCAAACAGCAAGCAAGCCAGGAGCAGCTGAACAAACTAAGTGCTCCCTGGCCCAGGCTGCAGGATTGCATGGTCCTGGGGGAGCATTTCCACTTTGTGCCCAGGACAAAAGGCCTTCATGGACATCACATGGACTGAGGCAGGCGCCCTTGTGATGTTGCAGGCAGATAAGGAATAGGCCAATCATTCTTATGGTGTGTAAAAGGAAAACAAGAGCTATAAGAACTCCAGTGGACAGAAAGGTCACAAATCAACTAAACATCAAGAATGACGAAATTCTAATCATTTCTGGATACTGCCTACATGTTGAAAGCAATTCATTTTATTGCATAAAACTGGAGAAGTGCAGAAAAGCATAAACTACAAGTAAAAATTACCCATAATCTCTTTGCCCAGAGAAAATAACTGAAGAAGTGTTAACATTTTGTTGTAGCTTAGATAAACAGATAGATAGATGTGTGTGTGTGTGTGTGTGTGTGTGTGTGTGTGTATATAATTTAAATTTGGAATTATACTATACACAATGTTTTGTTACCTATTTTTTCATTAGACATTACATTATGGGCAGTTTTCCATGTACTTATTCCGAAAAATTATAGCTTTGTTGTTGTTGTTGTTGTCTCACTCTATCACCCAGGCTGGAGTACAGTGGCTCGATCTCAGGTCACTGCAACCTCCACCTCCAGGGTTCAAGCAAGTAGCGGGGATTACAGACACCCACCTTCACACCCGATTAATGTTTGCCTTTTTAGTAGATACTGGGTTTCACCATGTTGGCCAGGCTGATCTTGAACTCCCAACCTCAGGTGATCCACCTGTCTTGGCCTCCCAAAGTGCTGGGATTACAGATGTGAGCCACTGCAGCTGACCCAAAATAATGGTTTCTAATAATTTCATTATAATGCATTTTTATATTATGATATATAATACATATGAAGTAAATTATATAGAGATATTTCATTTATGCAGTTATATACACATTTCAATATTCATGTATGTGTATGTATACTTAGTTTACTTAACCAGTACTTTTGGAAATTTATATCTAAATTTTCACCATTATAAACAATGACCATAACAATAGCTAATATTTATCGTGTTAAGCACTTTATAAGGATTATCTTATTTCATTATTTCACAAGAATGCCACAAATTGGGCATTCTTATCATCTCCATTTTACAGATGAAGAAATAGAGGCAGAGAGAAATGAAGAAATTTGCCCAAAGTCATAGAGCTAGTAGGGGATATAGCCAGGACATGAACCCAGGCATTGTTTTAATCACTATGAAATCTGAATTTCAGTTTCTTCATTAGTTAAAAAACAACAGCAACAACAAAAACCAAAAAAACCCTTTTAGCACACTGGTCTAAAAGGTCCCTTCCAACTACATATTCCAGTTAATCCATTTCATCACTAAGAGAGATACAACAGTGGTAAAAGTGGAGGCTTTAATGCCAGACTTGTCTGAGTTTAACTTCCTAGTTATACTACTCACCAGCCTTAACTCTTAAACTTTAGTGTTCTCGTCTTAAAAATGGGAATGATAGAAGTCCTTACTGGGTTGCTTTGAGAAATAAATGAGATGAGGCTTGATAAATGTCTCAAACAATCCCTATAACTAGTAACACTTAGAAGTGACTTTTACTGAAAGCATTGTTGCCAATTTAGCCCCAAACTTTCTTCTAGTAATGCAGTGGCAATCAGTGAGGCCCTTGACAAAGGATAGAGAGTTCGGTTACTCTAGAAGGCAGAAATGAAGCCAAACAATATCCAAGTCACACTAGGAACCTCATCTGCTTCAGGTCAGATTTGACAATCAGGCCCCTCCCTCAAGACCAGGTACTGGTGGGGAGAGTCCTCTGGCCTCTATGAGCCCAGACTGGCCAGTCACAGACCCACAGGGAGACCTGGCCCCTCCAGGCCATATCCAGGGAGAAGCCCTTGCAGAGGGTCCCAGAGGAGCAAGAAAACCAGACTTTAGCATCATCTGCTTCTGGACCAGGGGTGTGAAGACAAGCAGGCACCAATCATGATCTATGCTTTCTCAAAGGTCTCTGGAAATATCCAGCCATAGTCTGTTTACAAAAAAAGAAAAGGCTAGTTTTATTTCTAACCAGTAAGAGAAATATACTCTTCTCCTTGGATATTTTCAAACTTCTGGAATTCATCATCCCAGAGGGGACACCAGCCCCCCTACACAGCCAGGCATTTATGTAGATGGTGTCTCAAGATGGTGTCACATATAAGAAATGAGGCTTCACTCTCACCATCAAAGGGACTTTTCCCAGGAGACAACGCACTAGTTGCTGATCTACCTACAGGGGCAGGGGCTGCTCTGCAGCCACCCCTACGAACACTGGGCAGAAATGTGGACACAGCATTGCCAGACCTTGTCACTTTTCAGGGCGACTTAAAAGTTAAATGATTCTAAGAAATCTGCCAATTTTTAAATGTTGGCTCAAATTCATAAAACCCTAAAACGGATTGAATCAACCCATGGCCTGCCAGTCCATAACCTCTGAGTTAGGGAATGCTCTTCCAGAAATACTCACTAATCAGGAAAGTAGTGGGAAATGACCCTGAAAAGGAAGGAGGGAAAGAGAAAGGGGTCATTACTAGCAGCATGGAAACATTTAAGCAAAAGTCAGGAGGTGTTCAACAGAATACAACAAAGAGATTGATTAATCCAGTAAAAAGGATGGGGAGAAAGGAAATAAAACTGGAAGAATAAGTTAAGGGAGATCATTGGGAGACCCAAATATTGGTATCTGGAGATTTTATTTTATCTTGTTAATAATAGGGAGCCACTGAAGATGTTTGAGCATGGGAGTGACTGACACTTGGCTGCAGAAGGGTTACACAAAATCAGGCCTCTTTTACCAAAATATGAAAATCTCTCTCTCTCTTCAACGAAATGAATACACATGCAATCAAAGGAAGAGCTCTGGAGGGCTGCAGCACTTTTTGCAGCACTGGGTCAGCTGAAACTCAAGCCCAAATCAGCTCCACTGATTCACTGACTTGACTTTGTTCTCTTTTCCCAAAACCACTGTCTTGTCGTTCTCTCGCTTGCAATGTGTAAGCTGCCTCTAATGAACCACCTTGAAGTTATTTAATATAAGTTCCAAAAGTCCTGGGACAATGAGTCCTACTCCATGGAGGATGCTATCAGCTCCCTTGAAATCCCAAACGTAGAAAAATGGGATTGCCCGGTAGGATAATGGTTCCAGTGCATAGAAAAGGAGGCCCTGGTGTGAAGTCATGGGTTTGAGTGATATGGAGGAGAGAATTCTGATTCCACTCAGGATAAGCTCAAGTGCAGAGGGGAGAGAGAGGTCAACATTTGCATTTTCCAGCAGCCATTTGATAGGGGACCTCTACTGGGCCCTGATGAGATTCTGGTGGGCAGCTTATGGGTCACGTTGCAGTTAACCCCACCTCACTCCCTTTTACCAGCTAGAAAATAAAGATTTTGCTGTAAGTCACCCCTCCCTCAATGGCAATGAAGCTGAGTGAGGTGATTCTCTGAGGCTTCAATTCTCCAAACTCCACCTGGGAGAGGATTGAGTACAGATGAGACAGAATCTTGAACTTCCCCTCTTACTCAGTGGTGTGGAGCTCAGGAGACCCTTGGCTGTCACAGTTGAATATTTGAGGTTTATTCTATATTCACACATAATCCTGAAAGTTCAAGACATGAGTCATTTGCTATTTTTGGTCATGTGAATTTGAGTTTCAAGCATGGTGAATGGGGTGATGAGATCTAGTTCCATAGTTAATGATGGGACCCCAGTCAATGGGCCATGATGGACCCCAGTCAATGGGCAATTGTTATCACTGTCCTAATTTATGGGAAGAGACCCTGAACAGACTCAACTGCTGAGGGAAAGAAAGGAAGGTATTTTAAAGAAGGGAAGTTTGATTGGGGAAATTATATTCTATGCAAGTGTTAGCAGATATGGAAATTCAAGAAGGTCTTAAGATCCATCCCCAGTGATCGTCAAGGTTCTACTATGCTGTAATCAAAAATGAGGTTTTAGCAGGATATCAAAACTTCATAAGCAAAGGGCTCTCAATGAATAGTTGAGATCCACCTACCAGTCTGCCTCTCTACCTACTGTTAGTAGAAAAATGCATAGTTAAAATGCATAGTTAAAAAATAATAACAACAGCATAAGGAAGGAAATAGGTCAAAGTCTTAACAGAGTTTGACTCAAGAAGATGTAATTCTGTGTTTTTCTCTGCATCTTTAATATTTTGTACATTTTCTAAATATTTCAGCAGTGATCAGTATTACTTCTGTAGTATGAATAAATAAAATAAAAACACAAAGGGGAAAGAGGAAGAGGGAAAGAAACTCAAAAGGAAGAAACTGAGGAAGGTAAAAGGATAAGAAAACGTCTCAGCCTAACCCCAGCCGTGCAAACCAGCTCAGAGTCACTGTTCAAGGGCCCCCTCCACTTACCCCTCCAATAAATTGCACTATGGTCAACCAGCAGCCTTTTCTCAAGATAAAGGCACCACTAGCCACAGGGCTAGCTTCACTGTTAGAAATCGCAATCTCTAATAGTGTCTTGCATGCATGTGTGACCTTGTAGTTTTGAAAGTGCTTTCATAACTTCCACCTACCAGTCTGTATCTCTACCTAGTGTGGGTAGCAAGAGATGTCATTAATTTATAGGTAGAGAGAGAGGGAGATTTGGCATAATTCCTTATGAGTAATTAGTGCTTTGATATACAACTTGTAATTTTTCAAAACATCTTGTGAATGCCTCTCCTTTGACTTTCACCACAATCTTATAAGAAGTGAGGTGGGGGCCAGGCGCAGTGGCTCACGCCTGTAATCCCAGCACTTTGGGAGACCGTGGCGGGCGGATCACGAGGTCAGGAGATTGAGACCATCCTGGCTAACATGGTGAAACCCTGTCTCTACTAAAAAAATACAAAAAATTAGCCGGGCGTGGTGGCAGGCACCTGTAGTCCCAGCTACTCAGGAGGCTGAGGCAGGAGAATGGCGTGAACCTGGGAGGCAGAGGTTGTAGTGAGCCGAGATCGTGCCACTGCACTCCAGCCTGGGCGACAGAGTGAGACTCCATCTCAAAAAAAAAAAAGAAGTGAGGTGGAAATGAATGACCAAAGAAATGGAACCACTGGCCCAAGATCAGATAGAGAGTTAAGGGAAGAACCAAAACGGGGAGAATCTAAGTCCTTCCTAAGTCCAAGTCCTTCTGCCTCTCCAAGGGTAGACCACACTTTGCTGTAGTTACCTTGGAGGCGTCCACACAGCCATAAATGGATTTCCTGTCAATTTTAACCATCTTTTAAATCCTCTGGGGAGGATCGATTTTCATAGCTTTTTAAATCCAACTGTAAGAGAACAGAGAGTTGGTTTCAAACCAGAAGCTAAAGTAATGTGAATGGTCTGAGGTTACGGGTAAAGCGATGGAGCGCAAAGGCCAGGGCGTGAAACCGTGGAACTCTCCAGCGTCAACAATACTTGGAGCAAATCGCAGGCCTGACTATGCAGCTCCCAAATTCCTCAAATTCAGGTTACTGGATTACTCTGTTTTGTTTTTTCTTTCAAAAGAAGAAAAAAATCATTACACTATGTTCTCCCATAAAAAAAATCTTGCAGCTATGCATATATGAACACAATGCTGAGTGTTCCCAAAATATCAATACCGTTATTTGGACCAGCCTATTGGCTCACTAAGTCACAGACAGATAAAGCCCTTTAATTACAAATTGTTAATGAAGTGGGGAAATAGTAACCAGAAAATCACCAAATAAATTGGGTCTGTAAAGACAGAGCCAATTAACATGAAAGCAAATGGGAATGCAACCAGAAAGACACCTCCAGCCCCATGTCCCAATACTGCAGGTGGAAGGTGGTAAGGGGTTGGCCTAAATTTCTCCTACAAGCTCAGATCCGGCATGTTCTTCTGCTTTGAACTTATTTCCCAATACATGAGAAGACACAGGCTGGTAAGACAGAATTGATGGATGAACAGTTCTATAGGATGTGATTTAAAAGCAAAGTTAGTATCAGAAAGATTCACTGCAGGGCGTGAAGCACTTTGGGACTCGAAGCACCCAAAATCTTGAAGGCAACTGTGCTGGCATCGTGAAAAGGTAGGCCATCAGCTCCCCATACATAGAGAGTCCCTAAGAACCTCACCAGAAGAAGCCGAAGGACTCAGATGAAAGATGTCATCTAAATGGCTTAAATATCATTTAAAGATTGAGTAACTTATCCACAGACACACAGGCGGTCTGTCTCACATTCATGCCCTGGCTCCTAACCATCCACGTAGCCCCTCCCATCATTACTGAAACAATTGCATCATATTCATGGGCTAAGGCAATGATACTTTCTCCTGGTATGAAAAAGACTCAGACAGCAATCACTGCATTTTATGTCATCATTTAACAATTATTTAGTTAAATGCCAGGCACAAGGCTGAGTGATGGGAATTCAGCTGTGGACAAGCTGGAGACAGTTCCCTGACATGCAGCACTTCCAGTATAGTGGGAAAGATAAGAATTCAACAAAAAATAATAACATGACCATTAACACAAAGTTGATAGCCTCAAAGGTGCTTAGAAAATGATAATGCAAGAGGTTTCTTTTTGTAATTAACTTGGACCAGCAGTTCTCAAAATGTGGTCTCCCAGTCTCTTTGCGTCTCTAAGATTGTTTCAGAGAGTCAGTGAGGTAAAAACTGTTTTCATTATAATACTAAGATGTGATTTGCCTTTTCCACTAGGCTGACATTTGCACTAATCATACAAAAACAATGGTGGGTAAACTGCTGGCGCCTCAGCAGGAATCAAGGTAGTGGCGCCAAATCTAAATAGTAGTCATAATTGTCAATGCAACATACTTGTGGTTTTAAAAAAAGCTGTTTTCACATAAGAATTTTCTTGATGAAGCAGCAAAAATTATTAATCAAAATAAATCCTGACTCTCAAGTAGATAACTTTTTAATATTAATATTGCATATGACAAAATGGAAAGCATGCATGAAGCATTTCTGCTCCCTATCAAAGTATAATAATTATCTTGAAGAAAAGCACTAAGATCATGTAAATTAAGGGGTGAGCTAGCCACTTTTTTATGAAACAACATTTTTTCTTGAATAAACAATCTACAGACTAGCTATCATTGTTCAGACTTGGATCTTTGGCAGACATTTTCTCTAAAATGAACAAAGTGAGCTTTTCACTATGAGAAACAACTGACGATGTCTGTTGCCAACAATAAAAGTCGAACTTCTACTAGAAAACTGGAATTTCCAAAGTCTAGTTCCACCATCATGATCTCAGTACTCATTGAATTTTCTAATTCTGGCTTTAAGGAATGTGATATTTAAAAATATCTATAATGAAATGTGTTAACCTTTGGAAGCTCTAATAACTCAGTGAACCGATATTTTCTGAAAGATCAATGCATGGTATTATAAATTCTGCATGAGCACAGATTCCATTCGAGTGCAACAAAAACCAATGGATTTTAGTGTTACAGAGTACAAAAAGTTTACTGATATGGTTTCAGATTCCACATTGCTACTGATCTGTAAGAAACTACTATATGTTGAGTTTAGGTGTAGTTATCAAAAAAGAATATCTACAATCATCTAAAAAACATCTAAATTTATAGTTTTTCTAATTATAAATCTGTGTGAAGTCACATGCTGTTAGTATACTTCAACCAAAAAAACGTATCACAAAAGATTGAATGCAAAAGCAGATATTAGAATTCATCTGTCTTCTATTAAGCTAAATTGTAAAGATTCTCCTAACAATCTAAAAACAGTGGCATTCATGAATTTTTTTGTTGTTTTGGAATATAAAGTTATTTTTTTATTAAAAATACATTATTTGTGTTAGCATTTATGGGTTAAGTATTGTTATGTTCAAATAACTTAACACATATATTTTTAAATTATCAGCTTTAATTTCTAATATAGTTAAGTATCAGTGGATGTAGTCCACATAAACCAAAGCCCTCAACAATCTTTAAAAGCATAAAAGAATCCTGAGACCAAAAAGTTTAAGAAGTGCTACCGATTTAGATCTTTATAGTAAATAATAAGATTATTAACAAGATGGATAATTGCCTGAATACTTAGGTATTGTCATTCCAAGGCTTCTATATGTTTTGTTCATTTTTCTTATTTTACTCATTTAAACAAATCTGTATTAGCTTCCAGGCTGTGCTAATATAATTATTCGCTAGTACTTCTGCTAATAAGACTAGCGGAACTTTTTGCTTTCCCTTTCATGTTACAAATTGAAGTGAATTAATAACCACTTGAATTAATGCAAACCTGGAGCCACACAGCTGAGGGTCATAGTCAGGCTTCCTTAGGCAAGATCCTGAGCTTTTCCTCAGCTGCACATTGAGGATAACCATATATACCCAACCTCATATACGACTGTTGCAAAGAGTGAATTTGTCAATGCATGAAAAGTGTTTATGATAGTACTGACATAATAAAGGTTGCATAACTATCAGCTGGAGTTGTGATATCATAAAATACCTTGCTCTCTTTGCAATTCAAATTTGAAAAATATCATATAATGGCATTTTTATTTTGTAGAAGAAGAAGAAGGGCCTATCTGAATGTCCTGGACATACCACTCTAAGGGCCTCACACAGTTATGACCCTCTCTAAAGGAAAGAAAAAACAAAATTCTCTTACACCTGATCAGCATACTTTATCCAATTTGAACATGGCTTTCTGATCTCAGCTGATTGGACCAGGGATCGAACCACCTATAGGCCAGTCAGCAACTATTGAGACAGCTTCCTTGGCAAAAGAGCTCTGCCAATAGGGTACTAGCTGACCAAGGAGATCCTCCCTTGGGGTGAGACCAGGAATCTACAGATGGGCTCAGTAGGCACTTCAGTGGGCAAAATGTCTGCCCAGGGCAGGAGGAGAAGATGCAACAGCTTTAGGCCAAGATTTACAATTTCTGGATAGATAATCTCAAAAGTCCCTGTCAGCTTTGACAACCACTGACACATCCAGCCTAGAATCCCAAATTCTTCTCTGCCTTTCCCCACGAGTCTGAAGCTCAGCATGCTGAGGCCTGAGGCTTGGCTGTCTTGGGTCAGAAGACCAAGCCACACTGCAACGTGTAAAGTCTTTACACTAAACCCTGCTGCCATGATCTCTACAGGGCCTGCTCTTTAGAGTTCATCACTGGAGGACAGGAAAGGGAAGATGGGCCCCACACAGTTAGCTGCCATCAAAGCAATCGCCACACTGTCTGCAGATCTTCTGTCGGGCCAGGGCCCAGGAGGTAGCTGCTGGTGGACACTTCTAATGCAGCTGGGATTGGCAGGCATAGCCTTGCAATGTTTCTAAAGGAAGCTGAGGTGGGAGAACTAGGTGACGAAGAAAAAGAGGCAGAGAACCTCAGTACTGCAAAAAGTACATCCTAGGCAGTACAGCAAAAAAGATGGGGATGGTTGGAGAAAATTCGGCTTTTCATAATTCACATTCGTCATTTCAATCTTTGATTCGAACAGTTAAGATCATTTTCAACCTTATGTAAGGTGACCTTAATCACTCAAATATCCCACTTTCTAACTAGATTGCTGCCTTAAAGCCCTTTCTTAAAGAAAATCTGCTGCCACCCTTGTACATAAACTAGTTTTTCCAGCTAAATCACTGGATTAATTAAACAGAGCCCCTACACAGGCTTGGGAATCCTCTGTGATGTTTTCCTCACCCACAGCCAGTGTGCACAGATTAGTGAATCCAAGAGCTGGGTGGCAGGTCCAAAGGCTATTTGTTCTCTTCCTGCCAAAGACTGAGGTCTGTCTGATCAAACCTAAAGGTTTGCAGGGAGTAAGATGTCTAACCATTTCTGGAATAAAATCAGGAAAGAAGTTATTCTTCTGATAATCCAGAATCAATGGGTTGCTGTTTGTGAGCACGACCTTCTCCAGGGCTTACTATAGAGTGTTAGGACATTCTGGGACCCAGTGTATATGCTCAGAATTGTCCAGATTCTTTCTGGATAATTCTCTATGGGGGCCTTTTAAACCCATGCCAAGGCCTTTACTTTTTATTCATTAGGGAGTCAGCTAACAAATATTTGCTGAGTGTTTACTGAAGGTTTTCAGGCTATGAATTGATAAGGTCAGAGCTGTCTTTTAAGAAGATTGATCTGTCAATAATTTGCCTGGTCAGCTGACATCAAGGGGAGTGGTTTGCGGTTATTACAGCAGGTCAGTTAGGTCATCGGAAAGCCTGAATAAGAATGGTGACAGGGGAAAGAGCAAACAGTTGGATGGTGTAAGAACCCAAATTATTAAGCAAGGAGAGTGGGGTGGCTTTAGAACTGACAACCATGAGTCAAATTCAAGCACCAGCACTTATCCCAGCGAGTGACTTAATCTTCCAAGTTTCAACTTTCTTATCTGTAAAATAGGAATAATAAAACCCACTCATAGATAGATACATAGATAAACAGACAGACAGACATACAATCTTGCAGAAAATAACTATATATATTGAATTACTATGTGTTCACCAAAACCCATTTCCCCTTCTCAATGGGCAGACAGTTAGATGTCACCACATGATGGAGTTCCAGCCAATAAACTGGGTGGAACTGACATGTGCCACTTCCAGGCCTGGTCTTTTCACATTTTCCATTGACGATCCTCCATAACCTTTTCCTATTTGCTGGCTTGATATAGAGAACTCCAAGGACCCAGAAGAGGACAGATCCATGAGATGCATGAGGCTCAAGTCCTTGGGTGACCATGGGAAGACCACCTACCAGTTGGGAATACCTGTTTGAAACTTCACTGTGTAAGAAATGAATTTCTATCATATAAAGCCACTAAGATTTGAGGCTTTACATCTGTCTATCCATCTATCTATCTATCCATCCATCCATTCTTGCACAGAACCTGACTTAATAATCCCTCAATAAATAATCATTAAAACATATTTTAGCATTATGGGAAATACAAAGATATACAAGGTCTCAATTTAAGAAGACAAGACACATACATAGCAGTCATATACAAGATGTAGACAACATAAGTTTTAAGTTTAAAAAGTTCAAAGTCCCCAGAAGTAGGGGGATCTGAGATGGCATCACATAGCATGTAGCCTTGAGCTTGTCACTGAAAAATGGATATGAATTATCTGGATATGGAGACACTATTCATTCATCAACACTTAAAAACATCAATACGAAATCCCCCATCATCCAGTATCCACCCCCATAGTCTGCAGAACACTTTGGCTCTTAATATTTCTCTATTGCTCATGTCTTCTGATTTCCAGAGTGATCTGGTTCCTAGTTTCCATGCAATGGCCTTCAATCATCTGCAACTTTTGAAATCATTTAACATTTCTACTCCCCATTTCCAAAGGCTCTGACAAGAAAGGAAGGACCTCCAGCTTCAGAATCTTTTATATCCTCTCCCATGGGTCCATCACAGCCTTGGGTCTGTGGCTTTAAGGAAATGGCTGGAAAATGAAACCATAACTGTATATTTATATTACTCTAGCATTTTGCCATTCTTGCAGCTATTGATCAATTAATCCATTTGAATTATCATTTCCCTCTAGTTAAAGCTCGAGGCTGTACGAGCAAAGAATTGCATTTTGGAAATTAGAAGGCTGATCAATCCATTGTATTTTAATTATTACCATGTGAAGAAAGCTTGCAACATAAACTTACTGCTCATATTTTCCTCTCTCAAATAATGAATTATAGATGATATGATAGAAAATATGCTATTGTTTATAACTCACTTTTGCTTTCCATAATCAAAACTATTGCTCTTTAGTCTTTAAAGGCAGTTGGAGTGCCATAATAGAAACTACTGTGTAACTTCCCGTTTTCAACTTTCCCCATAATGCTTAACATAGGCGTTGCAATTCTCCAAGGTCAGAAATGCTCAATAGCTTTAATTAGCGTAATTATCCCTGCTTATTAAACAAATGAGACCACATACTTAGGGTCAAGAAGAACAGAAAAATGAAACTACTCAGAATTCGGTATAAGAAATCATTTAAAATTCATTTAATCACAGTGTCAAGTTTGCGTTTTGTAGAGAAAGTACTGATGGAGCTGTAGGATTTTGAGAGTACTTTCACCCCTGATCCCAAGATGCAAAATTTGGTTCTTAGAGCAAAGAAAACATTGGCAAGTATGTGCATTACAGTTATATAGAAACCGCCCCCACCTTTTTTTTTTTGGAGATGGAGTTTTGCTCTTGTTGCCCAGGCTGGAGTGCAATGGCACAATCTCAGCTCACTGCAACCTCCGCCTCCCAGGTTCAAGCGATTCTCCTGCCTCAGCCTCCCAAGTAGCTGGGATTACAGGCATCCACCACCACACTCAGCTCATTTTTGTATTTTCAGTAGAGACAGGGTTTCACCATGTTGGCCAGCTGGTCTCGAACTCCTGACCTCTGGTGATCCACTTGCCTTGGCCTCCCAAAGTGCTGGGATTACAGGCCTGAGCCACCGCGCCTGGCCTCAGGCCTCATCTTAGTCTCTCTTCAAAGAGATTTTCTTGACCAGGCCATCTAAAGTCAATGACTCCTCTCTGCTCCATTATTCTTTATCTCTGAAGCCCACTTGTGCCCTTCCTCCATATCCTTACATTTACCCCAAGCAGAAGATGTAGACACAGATACAGATAGATAGTTGATTACTGCCCGGCAGTAACACACACTCATTACATATTTGGTAGATGAATGACTGGGTAAATAAATAAAAGAATACACGAATGATTCTCTGGGAGGTTTCAGGAACAGAATAAGTTATTTGCCTTGGATGTTTTAGACCAGTAATGAGATCCCTAAACTTGATCTGAGGAGGAGCAATTTTTAGTTCTTCAGCCTGATGATTGCCAGTGGGGGTGAGGAGGGAGAGGGGAAGACAGATAAGGGAGGGGCTGATGGGACCATAAGAGATGTGACTGTGGGTCCCCCTCTTCTGAGGGAAAGGTCAAGGCATTGCTTAGAAATTAGCCAGAAAAGATTCCAAGATCTCCTGGAGGGGCCAGTTTATCTGCCTGGAGCAATGTGGGTTTCTGAAGCTGATAGCTTCAGGGTCAGCTGAGAGATGGGGGAGGCAGGGTGTCTTACTCTTAATTCCTGATGCACTATTACCAGTGGATCTTTTCTCACTTCTCAGTTCTCCTTTTCCATCACTTTCTCTGGGGAATTGTTAATTCCTGGGGAGTAGTGTGAGGTTTGAGCCATTGAAGCCTGCAGGGAAACACCCACTCATTTGCAAATTGGCAAACAGAGCCGCCCACAAAGTAGAAGAAGGCTTGATTCAGAGCTATAAGGAAACAATGGAGTTCATTTAACATTTAATGAACTCAAAATAGAGTACTCTAAAAAATAAGTCAATAAAGCAGTTTTTTAATCTTTAATGCACGCTTGCTAGCATTATGTCTGAAGTATTATCTGTTACCTCAGTATGGGTTTACTGGTGTTGTTTATCAAATGATTCATTGCCTGTATGATTTCTGGGCTGTGAATGAAAATATTGATTGGAATTTTGCAAATGGAAATGCTTTTGTTTCTGGCCGCAGCTTTCCCAAATCATTCAGGGCCTTCAAATAGAATAGGTACCTTCTATTGCTAGGCAATTCACAAAAGAAAGGTACAGGTCAGACAAGCTCATCTTTTAGATAAGTCTGCCATAAAATTCCCTTTCTTGGGCTCACTCGAGGTCCTGTGAATGTTAAGATCTTCCATTCAGTTTGTGTGTTTTTGAAGAAACAGCAAAATTCAGTGTGCTTCTCAGTGAGAGACTTTGCTTTTGCATTCCATCTCCCAGTGGCACCCCCTCCCCCTCCACCTTCATGTGAGGGAGAGAGAGTGTTGCAAAGCAGAGAGGGGATGGGCTGGGGCATTGGTATGGGGGCGGGGGTACTTACCAGGAAAAATAGAAGCCTCCTGACTTTTATCAGAGCAAGTATCAAATACTGTTTGGCCCAAGTACATTTTGTCCCATTCTCTTTCGTATGCAAATTAAACATCTAGAGACCAGCCTGCCACAAAAGTTAAATCTACTTCCCAATTTCATTCAGCTCGTCCTTGAAAGGAGTATCATGTACCTGATGGTTAGCTGGATTCCCACCCTAAGAAATTGTAGGCGACATCTCTTTCTCTGTCCCAGGATCTTATCGCTATCAGACTTCTCTAGAAATCAAAAGCACCTGCTCTTTTGTTAAGGTGGACTTCTAAAGAGAGAAATATTACCATTAGCAAACACCCAGAGTTCACATGAGAACGCCACTGACAGGTCCTTCCAGCCTGAGGATACCAACCTCAGATGAACACACTTCAGGGCAGCGAGTCTTCATAGAGTGCTTACTGTGTCCAGGCACTGTGCTAAGCAATTTATATGCCTTATTTCATTCTATCTTTGCAAAAGCCATAGGCAATGAGAAGCCCCATTTTACAGATTTGAACACTGTAGGCTTAGAAAGGTCAAGTTATGAACCCAAGATAACACCATTGGAAATGTGACAGTGCCATGACCTCTAATTTCAGAACCTGTGATCTTAGTTACATATGATGTAATCCAGGGCTGATGACAATAATGTGTGTTATCTAGGGGTGACCCACTCCTACTAGGCTTCCCTCTTTGAATTTCCCAAGCAGAGCTAAGCACAGACACAAAAGGCTTTCCTGGTGCCTTGCCCTGATCGGGAAAAATAAGCCATGTCTGTGCTAGCAGACATATATCTCATTTAATAGTCTGAGTAACACTGTGTCATAGATATTAGCATATCCTTTCAGGAGAGGAGGAAATTAAAATTCCCAGAAGCCAAGTAATCTGCCCAAGAACACACAGTTAGTAATGACTGAGGTGGACTTTGGATTTCAGGCAAACAGCAGAGTCCAACTGCCCAGGCTTCTCCTATCACATCTCGCAGCATCTTGCAAGCACCCATCAGACATTTCTGCTGGGAAAGAGGAAAGGTGTCTATATCCACTGCAGCCCTGTCCATGAGTGACCCCTGCCCTGCTAAGTCAGAGGTAAGATGACACTGTTGACTTGCCTGGGCCAAAGTTGGTTGAAAAGAGATACATATCTGTAGAATCCTCTTGAAATGTGAACAAGTACTCCAAACCATGTAAAAAAACAATACTGAGGCCGGATATGGTGGCTCACACCTATAATCCCAGCACTTTGGGAGGCCGAGGCAGGTGGATCCCTTGAGCTCAGGAGTTCGAGACCAGCCTGGCCAACATGGTGAAACCCCATCTCTCCTAAAAAAAATACAAAACATTAGCCAAGTGTGGTGGTGTGTGCCTGTAATCCCAGCTACTCGGGAGACTGAGCCAGGAGAATCGCTTGAACCCAGGAAGCAGAGGTTGCTGTGAACTGAGATCACACCACTGCACTCCAGCCTGGGTGACAGAGTGAGACTCAGTCTCAATTAAAAACAAAAAACAAAAACAAAAAACAATACTGAATTGCCAGTGATGAATAATCGTTTATGTCACATCAGAAGCCTTTCCTTATGCAGTTGGGCTGTTGTACTCTTCTGTGGCTTGACTTACCTGCCAAGCATTCTGATGGTCCCTTTTTCCTCCTCTCCATCCCATAGTCCTATCTCTGTGTCCTCTCCTCCCCTAGTTCCTCAGGGAAAGAAGCCACATGAAGTGCATGCATCTTCCCAGGGCCTGGTCCAGTATACCACAGGGGCTCAATAAATGCTTACTAAAAAAGAGGGGAAAAGATACACAGAGAGTTAGTGCTAAGCCCCAGGAAAGAGGAACTCAGAGAATTCACACATATTTTCGAGATTCAAGTGTCTTTTTTCTGCTCAGGAATGAACTATGGAGAACAGTAGAAATATGCCAATGTCACTGTTCACAATAGCAAAGACTTGGAACCAATCCAAATGCCCATCAATGATAGAGCAGATAAAGAAAATGTGACACATATACACCATGGAATACTATGCAGCCATAAAAAAGGATGAGTTCATGTCCTTTGCAGGGACATGGATGACGCTGGAAACCATCATTCTCAGCAAACTAACACAAGAACAGAAAACCAAACACTGCATGTTTTCACTCATAAGTGGGAGTTGAACAATGAGAACACATGGACACAGGGAGGGGAACATCACACACCAGGGCCTGTTGGGGGGTGGGGGGCTAGGGGAGGGATAGCATTAGGAGAAACACCTAATGTAGATGATGGGTTGATGGGTGCAGCAAACCACCATGGCACGTGTATACCTATGTAACAAACCTGCACGTTCTGCACATGTACCCCACAACTTAAAGTATAATAATAATAAAAAAGAAATACGGCAATGTTTCCAGGCCACAATAAACTTGATCCTACTGTTTAAAAAATTTTTTTAATATATTCTTTCTCTTCTCCCTCTCAGCTCATTTGTTCATCATCCATAAAATATTTTGCATACGTGTCATACAATACAGATATGCCTCCTGTTACGTGAATCATAAATCTACAATGAGTCACTTTGTGTTGCATGTAAAGAAAGGAAAAGCAACTCATGGGACACATACATGCTACTGGAAATTGTCAGTTGTCTTTTCATGTAATCTACTTATTTATGTACTACTTACAGTTTACAAGAGCCTTTACATCATTGCTCTCCTACTCTGTAAGTTCAGCCCAGAATCACAGCCACCATTTTACACAGAAGGAAACTGAGTTACAGAACTTTTTAATGGCTTGCCACATGGCTATTTCCTTCATTCTTTGATACCATCATTATAAAACATCCCATCAATTTAACAATAGGTTTTGAGGAAATAAGGAAACTGTACTGTATTACTTATGCATGTTGCTTATAAGATACCTCCCAATGTTTTGAAACATTAAATGATGTGCATTATCAATAATATATCTGGAACCTTCATGGGAGTAGCATGTTATCTGTTGTTTTCAGTGGGATCTTGTCGGGTGACTAAGAATTGAATTATAAGAGAGACTTTCTAAGTTTCTTCTTCCAATGTCATTGCTCTGGGAGACTAATAAAGCTTTAGAAATCTCAAGGGTGTACAATTAAAAGTTGTTCTTCAGGATGAAGTTCAAGACACTAGAGTTTATTTATTGTTTTTTAATTAGAGGGAAAATCCTTTAAAATGTTTACGTTCACACACACACACACACATATATTTATAGTTATCAGGTGCAACAATGTTAAACCTGAGTTTTCTTATCAAAGTTTAGTTTACCTACATACAAAAATAAGAAAGCAGGAAATAAAGCAAAGAAAGCAAGACAAAAGAATTAAAACTGTCACCTGGAATTGTACAGAAATAGTTTGCCTCCATTCAGAGTTATTTTCTGTACAAAAGGGGAAAAAATCAACTTTTCCTCCCAATCTTGGTTGAAGCAGTTAAAAAAAAGTTTTTCCAACTCTGTAAAGCAAAAGAAATTAGATTCAAGTAACTGAGCTTCCCATCGGATTACTGTGCTAGCCCCCCTTTTTATTCCCCACACAGTGGATAATGCATGCTCATTGTGACTTATCTGGAGCTGGTTTCTTTTACATCCTCGGGCTATATAAAGTCAAACTAGGACTGGGGCAGCAGATTTGGGGAGCATCCAGCAGCCAGCCTCTACAGTCCGGAGAGGATGAAACAGTCGGGAACATGAACAACTCCATGTGTCATTGACGCTTCCAACGGTATGAGCCCCACTTTTTGCCTCTCAGCGCTAACAGGAAACAATTAGAAACGACACAACATCGTTTATCTCCCTTGAAAATTTCCCCAAGACTGTATGTGCGGCTTTGTTCTTCCCTTGATTTTAACTTTTCATTCATGTTTCTGACTTAGAATGATCGAGGCTCAGGCCCTGGAAGGACCGTAAACATTTGGCCAGCTTGGTTTGGATACCTGGCAGAGACCAGGTTCTGAGAAGCAATGGTGACGAAGGCCTTTGTCTTGTTGGCCATCTTTGCAGAAGCCTCTGCAAAATCGTGTGCTCCAAATAAAGCAGGTATGTCCTCGCCAAGTCCATTTTCCTGGGACGAAAAGTTTCCTGAAGTTTCCTTTTACAATGCTCAGCACTTCTGTGCTTAACTTGTTATAAAAATGTAATGATGTAGCCAAGCAGGAAAGTACTTAAGCACCCCCTCCAATACCAATCAGACTTTTCCCAAATGGAGCAAAGATGTATTGGATAAACTCGGACTTTTTTTTTAATTAGAGAATGCTTGCTCTATTTCACTCTCTTACTTACACACTCTCTCCCCACATCCCATTATATATATATATAAAACATCTCCACTTTTTTTTCCATTCAACTACTGAATTTCTATCTTGTGCCCTAAATCAGTATTTCACAATATTATGCATGAAATTGACATTTAAAATGTTTAAATTATGTGCTCATTGTTATGGAGATTTTAATATATATTTATGTATGTCTAATACATCCTACCTGTGGTTTCACAGATACATTCCTTGTTCCAAATGGACTAATTTTAATTCCATGTTAAACGTGGTGCAGTCATTAAATAAATGCAGCAAAAACTGTGAGAGTGACTCTTCAATGACTGAAGTTTGGGGAAAACTTTTGTCACAGCTGGTGAGGAATAGCAGGGAAGGTGTTTTTAACCAACTGCTTTTGCATGCTCAGGTGTAGCTGGAATCCACTGTTCGTTACGTAGGTTAGCATGATTACCCTAACTGATTTTAAACTATATGTGTGCTCTTTCCAGATGTCATTCTTGTGTTTTGCTATCCCAAAACCATCATCACCAAAATCCCCGAGTGTCCCTATGGATGGGAAGTTCATCAGCTGGCCCTCGGAGGGCTGTGTTACAATGGGGTCCACGAAGGAGGTTACTACCAATTTGTGATCCCAGATTTATCACCTAAAAACAAGTCCTATTGTGGAACCCAGTCTGAGGTAAGACCAGGCCACACAGTGCAGAGTTGTTTAAGGTAAGGCAACTGGACCCAAGAATGAGATGTCTGCCATCTGTCCTTGAAAGGATTCAGAATTTACCCATTTCCTTTTAAAGGTCAGTCCTGATTCCCAAATATCCTGGAATGTTGGTGTTATTTAAAATATTCTCTTCTGCCTAGTTTAGATAACTCTTTTGGCTTGACTCTTATCCTCCTAATTTGTTGCCAAAGCCAGTGAAGCTACCTTCTAGTAGAACAAAGTACATTTCCCACCTTCAAGTTCTGAGCCTGTGCTCACAAGCCGCCATCCTTCCTAGATTGGATGGGTGGATGGATGAGCCATTCTCTGCCTGAGACTTCAAAGTGGTGACAAAGAGCATTTGGAAGAGCAGTTTAGGGAGTGACCAATGTATAATACAACTTCTAACGCAGTCTTGTGAAGTGCCCAGGATGGGATATCATAAGATAATTATTA
This sequence comes from Homo sapiens, assembly GCF_000001405.40. Classification (NCBI taxonomy): domain Eukaryota; kingdom Metazoa; phylum Chordata; class Mammalia; order Primates; family Hominidae; genus Homo; species Homo sapiens. The sequence continues at coordinate 112,285,200 of NC_000010.11, forward strand.
GGAAACAGACGCCCTCTTACCAAGTATCATATGACAGACGAGAAGTCTGAGACTTCCCAATAAAGTCACTCATTCAGGGCCACAGAGCCTGTAGGGATGGAATCAGGAAGGGAGGCTAGGTCTCCCAACCTCCCCACCAAGATCTAGCATTCCTACTGCCCTACCTGCCAGAAGGCTGTGCATCTATCCATCTCAGAGCATGAGAGCAAAGAGCTTCCAGGGCCAGCTCCTCTTTCTAAAGGCCTCACAAGGATTCAGTGATTTAATGGGAAGAGTCATGAGCATGATTAACAAGACATCATGTCTTTGAGTATATCCTGGTGAACTAGAAATCAGCTGTGTGGTCTCAGGTCAGTCACTTTTCAAGTGGATGTTCAAGATCCCCTCCAGCTCTAATATTCTGTGATTTTAGAGCCCAACAAGTCAGGCGAAAGAGTCTCAGAAATCGTGCTTATAGTCAGAAGAAGGAAAGAGCAAAGAACCAGAAGGGAACACTCTAGAAATTGGAGATGGGTGAAGCATTCATTTAGAATATTTGGACAGGAGAAATGGATGAAGAGTTGACTTTGGGAAACAGAGATTCTTGAGCCAGTTCTTTTTGGTCAGAAGCCCAATGGGTACATGGAGATTTTTAAGCATACGACATCAACCTAGATCATTTTTAAACACTCTTAGTTGAATAAACTAAGGAACCCTTTACAAAATTATCAGCTCACCCGCAGACAAGAAGAGTGGATGCCACCGTCAGTGGCAGACATTTCTGTCTCCCCACTGGACTTGTTTTTGAGCCATCTTCTTGCACTTTTCCCAGAACCCTCATTCCCATCGCGGGGAAACAGATTCATCCTGACTGTCTCCTTTCTTTGTCCAGTACAAGCCACCTATCTATCACTTCTACAGTCACATCGTTTCCAATGACACCACAGTGATTGTAAAAAACCAGCCTGTCAACTACTCCTTCTCCTGCACCTACCACTCCACCTACTTGGTGAACCAGGCTGCCTTTGACCAGAGGTAAGTTGCTGTGCGGCATGGAGGGCTGGCTGCCTCATGTGTGTACTGCAGGTCCTATCAATCAGCGTGTTTCAGTCCTTATGCAAAATTCTCTCCCCTTTTCAGAGTGGCCACTGTTCACGTGAAGAACGGGAGCATGGGCACATTTGAGAGCCAACTGTCTCTCAACTTCTACACTGTAAGTGGTCTCCAGGTTCCCATTACTTCCCTGTGGCCTTTCCTTTCTAGGAGATGGTGGGATGCTTCCTCGGGATTCAGTCTTCCCCAAGCTCTGTGCAGAGCCCCATTCTTAAATTCAAGTTGAAACATGAACTTTGGTTTAGCTTTAAACCTCTTTAAAAACTAAGTGTCACAGAAAGTCAGATTCATAGACTGGATAGAAGAGCTGAAAGGTATAAGATATAAGCTATAATACCAACCTTCTGGCCAGGCGTGGTAGTTCACACCTGTAATCCCAGCACTTTGGGAGACCGAGGCAGGCAGATCATCTGAGGTCAGGAGTTTGAGACCAGCCTAGCTAACATGGTGAAATCTCGTCTCCACTAAAAAAATACAAAAATTAGCCAGATGTGGTGGCACATGCCTGTAGTCCCAGCTACTTGGGAGGCTGCAGCAGAAGAATTGCTTGAATCTGGGAGGCGGAGGTTGCAGTGAGCCAAGATCACACCACTGCACTCCAGCCTGAGAAACAAGAGTGAAACTCCATCTCAAAAAACAAAAATAAAAACAAAAAAACCAATCTTCCGCAAAGATATAAGACCAACCTTCCCATTTTACAGATGAGAAAACTGAGGCAAGGTCAACAGACAATAAGACAGCCAATGTCTGACTCTTAGTCAAGATTAGTTTTCACTACAACCCCCTCCAGAGATTTATATTTAAGATCTAGCTCTTAAAATATTTGGCCCAATGTATTGAGGTTCCTGACTGGGACAGGGCTAAAGAGAAGGATTGGGGTCGGCCTCCACTGCCTAATTCTTTGGTCTCTAAAGCCTTTCAAGTAGCATTTCCTCCTTGCTTAATTTGGGCAGGCTGCCCATGTTGACATAGAAGTTAAAGGCACACTTTGGTCTCTCTCAAAATAAAGTGCTCCAGAGAAACTAAATATGCAATGGCCATTTGCCCAGCTGCTCTCCTCTTTAGAAGGGGTGCTTTGTTTCTTCAAACCTGCAGCTTGCATTGAGGACCCATACACACAGAGACTGTCCCAGCAGGCTAAAGGAAGATGTGGGCAGAAATACAAACCTTTGCATAGAACATTAGAGCCAGAGGACCTGTTGGAAAGGCATCACGTCCAACCCATTCACTTCTCAAAGGAGAAACATCGTACTACCTCTAACTCCATTAACTTTGAACTCTTTAAGCTTGCTTAACCTGCTGCCTGGAAGCTATCAGCCCTGCTGAACTCAGAAGGCGAGAGCTGTAAGGGATCCTAGAATAACCTAGTCTGTTGTACAGATGAGGACCAGAAGCCCAGAGGGAGGAAGGATTAGCCTGAGAGCCCACAGGTAGTTCAGAGCGGTGGCCAGTCTGGAACACAGATCTCCTAGATATGGTCACTTTACTTACTGCGAAGGGAATGAAACTCATTTCAAGGCCCTTTCAAGGCCTTGTGTCTAATTCTGTATTGAAAAATGTGATTCTTTTCATTAAAGAGGGCTCTCCACATTGTAAAAGTTTCAAGATCCCACAAAATCTAGATCTGCCCCTAGCCACACACCACTAGTCGTTAAGTACCGAGAAAGGGAATCCACGTAGCCCTTGACCTATAATCGGGGGCTAAATACAGCATGGGCCACCAGGGTGATGATAAGGTGGTGAAACCACTACAGTCAGTGATGAAAGCCGTCCGGAGAGGAAAATTGGCTTCTGCGCACTGACAACAGTCTCAGGGGACTCCCTGATGACAGGCTGCCTTTGCTATTGAATCCCTGTCTGGAAGTGAATAATTGTTATTTTAACCAGATAAAATTATAGATATGATCCCATGAAGGTTTTACAATAGTTGGCAACACGGAGACACCAGGATTGTCAAAAATCATTGCCCACCATCAGCTGCGTAGAGCTGAGCTTCAGGCATAAACAAAACATCAAGTCTTAGAACTGGAATGAGCTTATTTTCTTAAAAAAAAATAATAATAATAAGAGACATGTCCTCAGCATCCCCCAGGCCATCCTCTGGGCTGGACAGACAGATAACGGGACACTCCCTTCAACAAGTATAGAATTAAGGGTCAAGCGTCCCCTGAGGCCCACCAAGACCTTTCCAGGACAAACGGGCCTCAGCAAAGAAGGGACTCTGCCATCCTGACACTTTCGTACTGATTAATATTCCCGCCATGGGCTCAGTTCCCTATGCCTGACCCATGTGGTTGGTATTTTTTTCTCCTCCCTTCTTCCACTTTCAGAGCATTCTTATGTGTTTCTGAAGCAACAACTGCTCCCTGCATATATTTCCATCAAATTACCAGAAAGAGAGCTCTGCCCTAGATAACACAATGGAATCAATGCACTGCTAATTGCTTAGGATCCTGAGAGCTTCAAATGCTGGGCTCTAAAAGCACCAGTTCTACTCAGCAGGCTTCCTCTTTTCTTTTCTCTCCATCCCCCTCCCACTCACTCTTGACAATATCCCATGGTTGGTATTCCTAGTGAAAAGTTATTTTGACCCTCAATACAAAATAAGGAAGGTAGTTGGCTTACGGAAATACCCTAGTGCTGTGGTTAAGAAAATGGGCCTTCTCAACAGACCACTAGTTTGAAGCCTTGTTCCATCATTTACTAGTTGTGTGACTTTGGGCAAGTTAGTTAACCAACCTCTCTGGGCTTCTATCTCTGCATTTGTTAGCAGGGATAATAATAGCACTTACCCCATAGGTTTGTTATAGAATTAAATGAAATAATCTTTAGGAAGCACTTAGCACAGTGCCTGGTACAAGTTAAGTACCCAAGAAAGTAGCCATTCTCATCATTGTAGACTTTGACTCTATTTAAAGTGGAAACTCTGAGGGCTTCTAGCATTGTTAACTTTATAAGGCTGAACATCGATGTCAGTGTTGGATTATATTGACTTTTATTCAATCAAAACAGTACTGATCATTCCTTTTAGACAGATAGAAATGAAAAAGCTTAAGACGGAAAAAATGCAAGCAATAGAGGCCAAAATCATAGACTCCAGGAGTCAAAACAAGCCTCCGAGGTGGTAAACCTTGACTTTCCACCCAAAGCCCAAAACCCTTCTGCAATATTGCTGTGGGGTGGCCTCCCTGCCTCTTCCAAAGACAATGATATTTGGGCCTTCCCATTTTAGATCAGCTCTGATATCTGACACCCTGAACTCTCGCACATGTGTCCCAGTTCTGTCTTCTGAAATAATATCATATAATTATCTGGCTGACAGTACTTCAAATATGTCCACCTTCTCCAAGCTAAACATCTTGTCTCTGTTGGTGGTTCATTCACCATCCTAGTCACTCTTCTCTGAATATGATCCAGTTGCTCAGTATCCCTATTAAAAAATGAAGCCCAAAGTTGAAGTGTTATATTCTAGACTTTATCAGACCCGTGCAGGCCATCACGGGTCAGAGGTGACCTTCTAGGTTCTGGAAGACTCTAGGAATGTGTCCTAGGAAAATAACTTTAGGGCAGTTTTTTTCACCGCTACTTCACATGGAGCAACTCCGAGATGTTTCCACATGAACTATTGTTAAGCCAGGTGTACTCATCCTTAACTTGTGACACTGGCTAGTTGTGACTCAACCGTTCACAACTGTGGGTCCCCTCTTACCCACAGTTTTGCTTTCCATGGTTTCAGTTACCCTTGGTAAACTGTGGTCCAAAAATATTAAATGGAAAATTCTAGAAATAAACAATTCTTAAGTTTTAAATTGCACACCTGTTCTGAGTAGCATGATGAAATCTTGCACCGCTCACTCTGTACTTCCTGGGATATAAATCATCCCCTTGTCCAGAATATCCACACTGTAGACACTACCTGTCTGTCAGTCACTCAGTAGCCATCCATGTTATCGGATCAAAATAAAAGTAATATATATAGGGTTTGGTACTATCTGCAGTTTCAGGCATCCACTGGGGGTCTTGAAACATATCTCCTGTGGATAAAGGAAGATTACTGGATCTGGAATAGGTTTCTAATTTTCACATTATAGAGAAAGTAGGGGAAAAATTATTCCAAGCCTTCCCTGAGCTGTTGGGTGAGAATATAGAGAACTCAATCATTAGTGTTCTATTTCAGAAACTGAATTAACGGTGTCAGCTCTGTTCTTCACTTTGTAACAGAATCAGGCAGGTTCTTCCATGAGGAGAGGTATTATTCCAATATTCTAACATTCTGCTGGCTGGTCCCTGGCAGAAAGAGTTGGGAGCGATACCTCTGACAGGTTTGGGGACTACATCGGGGTCCCCAGGTAAGTTCCTATATTTGAAAATGGCCTCTCAAAATATGACAAATCTCAGAACATAACAAGGAACATTAAAAATCACTGTAAATCTGCCACTTCAACCTGCATTTTAAGCCAGTAGATCCCTTATGATTAAGAACATTATTATCCAATTATTGCAGTCATTTAAATGGTGCAGGGGCTGACAAATGGGAGGAAGCAACTGACTTCTAGGTGACTGAATCAGGCAGCCCTTGCTGGACTTGCCATCAGTAAAATAATGTCAGAGGTACTAGGAAACAAAAGAGATTCTGAGTCGTCTCAACAAAGTCCCTGTGTGTTTGACATGTGAGGGGTAAAGTCCACTTTATTTTATCTTTATTTGTTATTTTTATTTTAAGTTCTGGGGTACATGTGCAGGATGTGCAAGTTTGTTACACTGGTAAACATATGTCATGGTGGTTTGCTACACCTAGCAACCCATCACCCAGGTATTGAGCCCAGCATGCATTAGCTATTTTTCCAAATGCTCTCCCTCCCCCACCCCACCCACCAACAGGCCCCAGTGTGTGTTGTTCCCCTCCCTGTGTCCATATGTTCTCATTGTTCAGCTCCCACTTATAAGTGAGACCATGCACTGTTCCTCTGTTAGTGTGCTGAGGATAATGGCTTCCAACTCCATCCATCTTTGCAAACGACCAGAAAGACCATTTGACCCAGCAATCCCATTACTGGGTATATACCCAAAAGAATGTATATCATTCTATTACAAAGATACATGCAACCCAAAGGAATATAAATCATTCTATTACAAAGACACATGCATGCATATGTTCATTGCAACACTATTCACAATAGCAAAGCCATGGAATCAACCCAAATGCCCATCAGTGACAGACTGGATAAAGAAAATGTGGTACATATACACCATGGAATACTATAAAGTCCATTTTAACTAGACATCCTTGCTGAAATCCGTTCCTCCTGCCACTGTCTACCTATTGCAGTTCTGCAAATCTCCAGGTCTATGAAACTCAATCTTTCAAACAGTAACCTGGTCTAAGCTTTATTCTCCTATTACATAAAGTCACAAAGGTTATGTCCATTTTGCATAGGAAGAAGCTGAGGCCTGAAAGGCTGACTTGCCTATAGTGTGTCCCAAGTTAGCGGTGGAAGCTCGGGTTAGCCCAGGATCCTTGCCCTTCCATGGTAATGCTTTTGTCTCTGAAATCTAATCCACAGGCTGGGCGCAGTGGCTCACGCCTGTAATCCCAGCACTTTGGGAGGCCGAGGCGGGCAGATCACGAGGTCAGGAGATCGAGACCATCCTGGCTAACACGGTGAAACCCTGTCTCTACTAAAAATACAAAAAATTAGCCGGGCGTGGTGGCAGGCACCTGTAGTCGCAGCTACTCGGGATGCTGAGGCAGAAGAATGGCGTGAACCCGGGAGGCAGAGTTCACAATGAGCCGAGATCGCGCCACTGCACTCCAGCCTGGGTGACAGAGCAAGACTCCATCTCAAAAAAAAAAAAAAAGAAAGAAAGAAAGCTAATCCACAGAGCAGTTCAAGATTGTTACTAGGGTTGAATGAACTCAAGACTCAGAGAATGGAGAAATCAGCCTCCTTTGAGTAAGTCAAACAGAAACACTGCTGTTATTCCTAACAGCTCACCCAGCATGTCCTGATGAGAATGGCAGGGAAATATCCCACATGCCAGGCCAGTGATCAGAACCTGCTGTTACTGTGCTCACATCGTGGTGTTGACTCCTTGCTGCCCCACTGCACTCAGAGAGTAAGACCCAGTGTTTAGTTTTTGAGGTTTTTTGTTTTTTGTTTTTGACAGAGTCTCACTCTGTCACCCAGGCTGGAGTGCAATGGTGTAATCTTGGCTCATGGCAACCTCCACCTCCCAGGTTCAAGAGATCTTCCTGCCTCAGCCTCCAGAGTAGCTGGGATTACAGGGACTACAGATGCCTGCCACCACACCCAGCTAATTTTTGTATTTTTAACAGGGACAGGGTTTCGTCATGTTGGCCAGGCTAGTCTCGAACTTGTGGCCTCAAGTGATCTGCCTGCCTCAGCCTCCCAAAGCGCTGAGACTACAAGTGTGAGCCACAGCGCCCAGCCAGCCCCAGTCTTCTTGATCAGCCCCCACAACTTATCTAACCTCACCCCCACCCCGCTCCCCACTCTCCACCCTCCTGCCTCACTTACTTGCTCCAGCCACACTGGCCTCCTTGCTGTGCTGCCAGCCACAGTCCTGCCCCAGGGCCTTTATCCTGACTCAAGCATTCTTCCCTGGATAGCTACATGGCCCCCCTCCTCACTTCCTCCAAATCTTGCTCAAATGTCACATCCTCAGTGAGGCCTCCCCAACCACTGTATTTAAAACTGCAACCTGCCCTTCCTCACACTCCTGATCTTCCTTATCCCACTCTGCATGTTTTATAGCTTTTCTAGATAATGTCCTATGGTCTATAGTTACATATTATATCATTTACTTACTTACTGTTTGTCTCCCCTGCTAGAATATGCCAGATCATTGAAGGCAGATATCTTTGCTTTGTTCGCTAACAAAATCCTGACAGAGTCCATCGTCAGTGCCCAACACATAGTAGTTGATCAATACATTGTGGTAGTGGTTGTTATTGTTGTTGATGATTGTACTGGGAATCTGGGAATCTGATCCTACACTTCCCAACCCACGCTGAAATCTGCTCAGGCAAAAAGTAGCAACGAGTGAGGGCAGAGGCGGGTGTTGTATGTGCTCAGTCCCTGTGTCCTTGGGCGATTCAGTATAACACAGTGCCTTAATATCCCTGAATTTCACTTGTTTTCCATTAGTGAAATCTCATTGGCATAAATGAGACATACAGTGTGTGTCTCACTATAATGAGCAAATCTAGAATACGTGATTATATGATGTCCTCATCCCTTCTAAGATGGCATAGTGTCTTAAGACTTAGAATTTCTCTGGTCTTGGAGGATCACTCTATGGTCTCACCTGCTTATGTCTTTGGGTTGATTCTCATCCCCACCCCATCCCAATTCATCTGCTCCTGGTAGACCTAGCTGCTCAATCTGAGAGTTCATAATGCCCAGTGTCAATTTCCTTCCAAAGAATGCCAAGTTCTCCATCAAGAAAGAAGCTCCCTTTGTCCTGGAGGCATCCGAAATCGGTTCAGATCTGTTTGCAGGAGTGGAAGCCAAAGGGTTAAGCATTAGGTAAGTACATTTCCTCCAAGTTTATATGTTTAAATGCAAAGAAAAAAAAGACTAGCTGACATACTTTTTAATCATCAGATGTTTGTAGGCATAAGATTCTCTGTTTCAAAGTGATGCCATTTTGTTTTATTTCCAGGTTTAAAGTGGTCTTGAACAGCTGTTGGGCCACCCCCTCGGCTGACTTCATGTATCCCTTGCAGTGGCAGCTGATCAACAAGGGGTAGGTACACTATCTAGAGACAGGGCTGAACAGTGGAACCAGGCATTTATCGGGCTACTTTGCTCTGGCTTGGGAAAGCTTGGGAGGAAGAGGTGAAGCCTGCTGGAGTTACAGCAGTGACACCATCTGTGGTTCCAGGCAAAGAACAAATACTAAGAAACAGGACATAGTGCATTCTAGGGGCCAGATACTGTTCTGAGAGCTTTACCTTATATTAACTCCTTTAAGCCGTACAACAAGAAAGTTAGTTTTACTATCATCCCCATTTTACAGATGTGAATACTGAGGCACAAGAGAGGGTAAGGTCTCATATTAAATGTGTGTGTGCGCATGCGTGTGTGTGCATGTGTGTATGTGTGCAAGAGGAAGTGTGCAGGCTGAATTCAAATCCAATTAGTCTGACAACAGAACCACGGTGATGATGACTAAATTAAATAATCGATATCAAAAGCTTAGCAGATGGTACTTGCTAGATAGTCCAACCATTTTAAATAAGATCATTGTTTTTATTACTAATTAAGTAGATAACCGGGAGCTTTTACAATTTGGAGTAAAGCACTAAAGTAGTACTAGAAGTGCGCCCTAGAAAGGCAATGCTGGAAGTCATACACAGGATGGTTTAGAAACGTGCATGGAAGGGAGAAAAACCAGATTAGAGGCCCTGGCAGCTATTGTGCAAGGGTGATAAGACATGAACTGCTATTGTAGCCAAGTGAATGGAACAAGGTAATAAAAAGTAGGGAGATGCTTCTGCAGGAATGAGAAAATGTAGGAACTAATCAGATAGGAGGTGGAGGAAAGGACAGCGCAAGAAATCTGGGGAGTAATGGAAAAAGATGGCTTTGTGTTCTTAAATCTGTGGACTACAAAGCTGAGGAAGAGTGTCTGGATTTGGCTGTTGGAGAAGGAGGTTTTTGGATAAGGAAATATGGATTCTCGCTGAGTTCACTAACAGACATGTTAAGCTTCAAATGATGATTGTCCAGAAGTACTTAGAATTGTACTATTGGAAATTAGAGGAGAGACAGGGCTAGACAAGAGATGTGGACATCATACACATAATTAGCAGTAAACAAAGAAGAGATCATTCTCTAAACAAAGCATGTAACAGACCAATGTGCCTGTGTTATTCTCAGAACCCATCAGGCCAAGGAAAAATTAATGTCAAGGATAAACATAATTGGATAACAAAAGTGGAGCTATTTTGGACCTCTATTTTTATTTAGCAAACACTTATACAGCTCTTACAATATACCAAACATTGTTCTAGATAGGTGTTTTACAAATATTAATTTATCTAAATGTCATTAAACCCTCTCTAAAGTAGACAGTATAATAATCATTATTTTATAGAGGAGAAAACTGAGGCACAGGTCCAGAAATGTGCCCAAGATATGGAGCTAGTAAGGAGAAGGCCTGGGATTCAGACTCAGTCAGTGTTACCTCCTGAGTGGCCTGGACAGGACAGGCTGGCCGAGGCACACCTGTGCAGCCCAGCAAAGCCTCCTGTAGAGATGGCAGCTTAATCTGGGTGTTTACCTCACATCTGCCATTGAATGATTCAATTCATTCAGCCTCTGTTAGCAATGGTGCAATCAAATGACTCCAGGAATTCTGAAATAACGTATTGACCTGCAGGGACCAGAAATTGCTATCAGGCACTGGGAACCTCTCTCAGGCAATGGTCACACTAGGCAAAGGCTTCTGCTACCCCTGGAATCATCTCTCTGCAGGGAGTTCTAGTGCCGTTGTTCCCATCTGGCAGATGTGCAACATGGCTGAAAAAGGGATGCCTGTGGCTTTGGGTGGTCTGCACAATTGTCCTCAAGCTCTAGTGTACACACAAACTGTGTAGGGTGCCTATTACGTATGCAGGTGTACTGTAAACCTACCAGATCAGAAGGACTCTGGGGAAACCCACGGAATCTGCATTTCAACACAGCCAGATGTAAGACATCCCGACCCATTTCTACATTCTTCCTAGTTGACATGGCACCTCAAAGTTGGAGATACATGCACAAAGTTCAGTGCCAAAGGGGAGAATGGAAAAGTCCACTCCCACAATCTCCAGATGATTTTTGCTCACAACACTGGGCCCCTTTGGAAAAAAAAAACCCAGTTTGCAAAAGTTCCTGGAGAGATGGCAGGAGATATATCATAAGGAATTTCCCTGTACACATGGATGCCCCAAAAGCAGCATACTTATCTCAAAGAGCAATCTGACATGGGAAAGGAGGCTCATGCAGAGAGGGCATAAAAGCCTCCTGTGGGCTTCCACCATCTAGAGGCAGCTGCCACTGAAGTGTGGGTGCTGCAGCTGGTGCCAAGAAGCAGCAGTGCCAAGGCATCTAGATCTGCCTATTTTTTGCCTCCTCCCCACCCCCTGACAAAGCTCTGCTTACATTATTTTCCACTGGCTGACCATGCCTGGGGCACTCTGGCTGCAAAGAGCTATTTTAAGAACTCCCATCTTGAGTTCATACGAGGATCTCGTGTTTATTGACAAAATGATCCTACAGAAGTCTTGTTTCACAACTTGGAAAATGCCACAGTTTCATCACTGTTCAGAGCCCACCACACACAGACCCGGCTCTGACCCCTGGTCCAGATACAAAGGTACAGCATTCCCTCACTTCACTCCCTCACTCTCACACTTGACTTCCTTAGTGCCTGCCTTTAGCTTGGCCCCCCGTTGTCTGTTTCTGAGGGAAAAGGGGTGGGGTAGAGAACATCATGAAGGTTCCCTGGGGTAACTGGACCGCTCTCTGGCGTGTGTGCCGAGTTTACCATACAAGAAGAAAGATGCTTCAGAGTTGCATTAATCTGGGGCCTGCTATGGTGCTATTCAGTGGTCTGACGCTTTCGAAACATAGACCTTTTCCTGCAGAGCGACAGACCCTGCTACCCCGTGCTACCTGCAGATAACAAACCCCCACAATAGTGTGGGCTTCTCTGTACAGTCCCAAGAATGGTTGCGTCTGTTTCCAACACCTAGTTAAAGGAACGGCACTTAGGTCATCAGTCTTTGTTAAATGAAAAAGTATGTTTGCTGAAACTAGGGTTTCTCAATGTTGGCACCTTGACATTTGGGGTGGGACCATTCTCCACTGTGGGGGCTGTGCTGTGCACTGTAGGACGTTCAGCAGCAGCCCTGGTCTCCGCCCACTCACTAGATACCAGCAGCACTTCCCCCAGCCTGGACAATCACAGTGCCAAATGTCCCCTGGGGCACAAAGTGGACCAAGCGAGAACCACTAGCTTAAATAAATGCCCATCTGTGTCATTTTTTAAACTGAATTATTACCTTTGAGACGTTGGAATATCATACAAATATTGTATTCTCATTATAGAGAATTTGGAAGAATACATAAAAATACAAAGAAGAAAACCAAAAATGCCCATAATTTTATCCCTTTGTATCAGCCTGTGTTAACATTTAGACGGTATCCTTCAGTCATTATTTCTGTGCTTATATTAAAAATGTGACCACATTTTTACAAAAGTAACTATGTAGATATATATAATTTAAATAATATACCATAAATACAAATTTTCAATGCAAAACCTCACAGTTCACACACAGAAATGTGTTGGGTGTGACTTGAGCTTAGGCAGCTGTGGCAGCAGGGGCAATGCTGCACCTGGTGCCATTGTCCTTACTTTGTATGTCCCTCAAGGGCTGGACATATTCCAGTCCTCGGAGGGCCTTATCTCCTAGGGATTTTCTTTCTTTGGGACACAGGTGTAACTTACTAAAAGTGTGACTCTTATAAGTCACTCCCCTCCCATCGTACCTTGTCTATAGAATGAGGACAGTAATACCCATCTCCTAGCTCATCAACTTGACCTCACAGTTGTGAAGATCAAGTGAGGTGCTGCTAATCAAAATGCCTGGGAAGGTTAGAGGTCATATAACCACCTCGGGAGCCTTGTGTGTAAATCGCTCAGCAGCTCTTGCTGGAGTTCAAGGAGATGACAGTTCACTCTTCTTTCCCCATCTGCCTCAGCTGCCCCACGGATGAAACCGTCCTCGTGCATGAGAATGGGAGAGATCACAGGGCAACCTTCCAATTCAATGCTTTCCGGTTCCAGAACATCCCCAAACTCTCCAAGGTGTGGTTACACTGTGAGACGTTCATCTGCGACAGTGAGAAACTCTCCTGCCCAGTGGTGAGCTGCCTCTCTCCAGAAGGACAATGTTACCTAAAGGGTGCCAGTATTGGAGGAGCTGGAGTTTGAGTGGGGAGATCATAACCAGGCCAGGGCAGCTGTGTGCTGAGGACATCTGGAGGAAATGGCACTGAGTATAAGGGCAGATGCTCGTGAGGGCAGATGCTCAGGGCCCTATCTGCCCTGCCTCCAACAACCCACATGGTCTGGCATGTGTCGCCTAACCTGCTGGGACCTGCTTTCTCATCCTTAAGCAAAGTGTGTTAAGTAATGATGGCCCTTCCCTCATCAGAGGGCAGTGTAGGTAAATGAAAGTGATAACAGACTTGGAAATACTTGGAAGAAGTGAAAAGGGCAAGGGAAATTCAAGGTCTAGGTGGCAGGGACAGGCCGTGGAAATAACTCAAAAGGTGGGTGTTTTTAGTCTTGACTGAACAGCCCGAGGGTTCACCTCTGTGACTTCAGAGAGATGCTGCAGAAATTCCCGACACTGGATCATGGCTGATTTGACCACGTGAGAGGAAGGCCTGGGCAGGCTGTGCTTTAACAAGCCAGCAGTCATGCCGGTGCTCACTCAAGCCTGAGAACCACCACTTAGACACTTAGACATGCCAAATCTCAAACTGTTCTCCTTTCTGGTCTCTTTCAACTGGAGACCTCGGTGTTTCCAAAGAGGCTGCTATCCACATAGCCTATAGTAACCAACAAAAATAAGGTCATAATCTCTATTGCTGTTGTTTCATTTGGCCAGAAAATGGTTCTTTATGAGCACAAACAGCAAAAGGGAAAGAAACCAGAGAGTGCAGAGCCAGGGAGAGGAGGGGAGAGACACTGTACAGTTGATCAAAGGATAAGTATCAATGCCATATTTTTAAAAAGAAAGAAAAGAAAATGAACCAGAATACAATTGCAAGTGTCCACTTCTCTAATTATTGTGGTGAGAGTGGTAAGTAGAAGCCTTATCAAAGGAAATGGGATCAATCCCTTCCACACTCAATGACCTCTTCCAGAAGGATTCCCTCTGGCTTGAAGAGTTAACAAAGTAAAGCTTTCTCTTTGTATTCAAGTTGGAGAAGGGATGAACAGTGTGTCTTCTGGGTTATTTTTTAAAAAGGTAACTCATCTCTGTTGACTGGGGAATTGTGACTCCACCCCATTTGTGACCTTTTTAAAATATCTTTTCTTTCTCTTTTCTCCCCTTTGCTCACGCATCATCCCACCTTCCCCGCTTCTCTCCTGTCTGCCTCTCTGGGTCTTCAGACCTGCGATAAACGGAAGCGCCTCCTGCGAGACCAGACCGGGGGAGTCCTGGTCGTGGAGCTCTCCCTGCGGAGTAAGCGTCTCTGTTTTCCTCTGTTTTCCAAACGGTTGAGTTCACGCTGGGCTGCGTCCACAGGCACAGCCGGTTTGAGCATTTTTACTGAATTGCCAAACCAGTCGTGCCTGTGGGCACAACCTTCACCTGCTCCTGGAGTCTTCCAGCCAGGGGTGGGGAACAGCTCAAGCCAAACGAAGGAGTTGAGGTTTGTTATCTACTCTGAAAGTTCTAACTGCACCCTAAATTCAAATACCCCCAAAGAATCAGGAAGTGCTGAGCTTCCAAACAGAGCATGCAGTGAACAATAATAATAGAAAATGAGATGTCATGGGGCCGGGCTCGGTGGCTCACGCCTGTAATCCCAGCACTTTGGGAGGCCGAGGTGGGCAGATCACTTGAGGTCAGGAGTTTGAGACCAGCCTGACCAACATGGTGAAACCCCACCTCTACTAAAAATACAAAATTACCTGGGCTTGGTGGGGCACGCCTGTAATCCCAACTACTCGGGAGGCTAAGGCAGGAGAATCACTTGAATCTGGGAGGCAGAGGTTGCAGTGAGCTGAGATCGCGCCATTGTACTCCAGCCTGGGCAACAAGAGCGAAACTCCGTCTCAAAAAAAAAAAAAAGAAAGAAAGAAAAAGAAGAAAGAAAGAGAGACAGACAGACAGACAGAAAGAAATAAAGAAAGAAAGAAAGAAAGAAAGAAAGAAAGAAAGAAAGAAAGAAAGAAAAGAAAGAAAGAAAGAAAGAAAGAAAGAAAGAAAGAAAGAGAAAGAAAAAAGAAAAGAAAAGAAAGAAGGAAGGAAGGAAGGAAGGAAAAATGAGATGTCATGAGAATGTCATGTGCAAGTCAAAAAACCTTTACTGAGTATCCAGCACTGCCTGGCCTGGCAGGGCACTAGGATTTCAGAAATAAATGTGACCCAAGCAGGCCCTGTCCTCAAGGGATTTACTGTCTAGCAAGGAGAGAGATGTTAGACACTAAGGGAAAGAGAAATTACTGTTAAGGAGGGTGACAGTGGGCTGGTGCCATGGTTGCACAGTTGATCATCACTAATGTGAAAATCCAAAATCCGAATGCTCCCAAATCTGAAACTTTTTGAGCACCCACATGATGCTCAAAGGTCATGCTCACAGGAAATGCTCATTGTAGCATTTTAGATTTCAGATTCCAGGTTTTCCAGTTAGGGATGCTCAACTAGTATAATGCAAAGATTCCAAAATCCAAAAAAAAATCTGAAATCTGAAACACTTCTGGTCCCAAGCATTTTGGATAAGGGATATTCATCCTGAATGGAGCAAAGGGATTCAACCTAGTACAGGGCTTGCAGAAGAGCTCTGCTGACAATCTCCAAGTGAGACCTGAAGGATAGTGTGACATGAAGGGTGGGCAAAACCTGTGGGAAGGCGGGAAGCTGTAGCGGCTCTATCTTAGAGGACAGTCACCAAGCTATGGCCAAGGGCCAAGGCCCAGGTGCCACCTGGTTTTGTGGCCTGGGAATTAAGAACAGTTTTCACGTTTTTATGTGGTTCAAAAAAAGAATCAAAACAACAATATTTCGTGACATGTAGAAATTACGTGAAATTCAGGGCCAGGCATGGTGGCTCATGCCTCTAATTCCAGCACTTTGGGAGGCCAAGGCGGGCAGATCACCTGAGGTCAGGAGTTCGAGACCAGCCTGGCCCTGTCCCTACTAGAATACAAAAATTATCCGGGAGTGGTGGTGCACACTTGTAGTCCCAGTACTTGGGAGGCTGAGGCCAGAGAATCACTTGAACCTGGGAGGCAGAGGTTGCAGTGAGCAGAGATCACGCTACTACACTCTAGCCTGGGCAACAAGAGTGAAACTCTGTCTCAAAAAAAAAAAAAAAATTATATGAAATTCAAATTTCAGTGCCTTTAAAGAAAGTTTTATTAGAACACAGCAACACTCGTTCATGTAGATATTGTCTACAGCAGTGCACTGCAACTACAGGTGGATTTGTGGTAGCAGAGATGGGATGGCCTGCAAAGCTGACAAAATGTACTATTTACTTTTTTCTTTTCAGAAAGCTTACCAACCCCTGCTTTGGAGAGAAAGCGTTGTGAGATGAAACTTTGTAAACCCCCAGTATAAACTGTCTGAAAGGCAATGGAGCACCTGATGGTTTAATCAGGGGAGGATTGTGGTCAGGTTTTGTGTTTTATTTATTTATTTATATTTATTTTTTTGAGACCGTGTCGCCCAGGTTGGAGTGCAATGACGTGATCTCAGCTTCAAGCAATTCTCCTGACTCAGCCTCCTGAGTAGCTGGGATTACAGGCACGTGCCACCACATCTGGTTCATTTTTGTATTTTTGGTAGAGACAGGGTTTCATCATGTTGCCCAAGCTGGTTTCGAGCTCCCAACCTCAAGTGACCCGCCCACCTGGGCCTCCCAAAGTGCTGGGATTACAAGTGTGAGCCGCAGCCCCCAGCCAGGTTTTGTGTTGTAGAAACATCACTCTGAGACTTCTCCTTTCCATGATCTTTTCTTAAACTTTCTGCATTCTCTCTTTACTCACTACAGGCAGGGGATTTTCCAGTCTCTATAGCTTCTCAGGTAAGGAAAAGAGACACTTCTGGGATTTCGTGGGGCTATGCTGTTAAAAGGCAGAGAGTGTTTTAAGAGAAGCTTAACTTTGGCCCCGGCAAAACTTTTAAGGATTGAAAATTATACTTTAAAGCACACCTGAGTGGCGCAGAGGGGGCGAGATCAAGAGGTCTCCCTCTGACCAGCCCCTGAACTCTGAAGAGAGGGAGGAACCGAAGGTAAATCGGATGAAGCAGAACTGGACCTCACTTCCCCAAGTCTTAGTAAAGCCATCCCCAGATGGCTTCCCTTGGATTCCAACATTTACAGAACAAGATTTTCAGTGATCTGTTCATTCAACAAATATTTGAATTCTTGTTATGGCTCTGTCTTTTATTAACTGAGTGACCTTGGGCAATGACCTCACCCCTCCTCCATACCCTAGTTTCCTCTGTGAAATTGGGCTAATAATTGCCCCTATCTACATGGCTGTGGTATAGATATTTAATTACAGCTAAGGGCACTGAACAATGCCCAGCAAACAGCAAACACCCAGTCAGGGTCAGCCATGATTATGATGACTGTACTGGGAACTGGTCTTGTGGCTACTGCCGTGAACAAGACAGACAAGGCCCCTTCCCTTGCCAATATGTGTAGAGTATTTGGGGTTCAATGGGGGACGTGATTTAGAGAGCAGCCAGGGAAGCCCCTTAGAGGAAGAAACATTTCAGCTAAGACCCAAGATCTCACCTGAATGATAAGAAGGAAGCAACTACATGAGGAGATGGGGTAAGACAGTTCACTTATTAATAATCTCACAGACAGATTTTGCTCTCATCATTACAGGAGAATCATGTAAATCAACTTTTAAAATTCCAATCCTAGATTCTCATCGTTTTTAAGTTCTACACTGAAAGCCCTAGAGTACCATGCACCATCACTGATTTCTATTTGTCAGAGGTCCACAACCTAGGTTTATCTGTCAGGTTCTTTGTACTGATAAATGTGAGCTACAGAATCCCCAAGGGATGAACAAAATCGACTTTGTCTAAAATGTGTGGAATTTTATGAAGACCCCTGAGTTAACTCTTCTGTTGAGTTGGCTTTACCCTTGTAGAACTGTCTCTGAGTGCCATCTCCCTCCCCTTCTGGTCCACAGATGTTCTCCACCACCTCATCATGATGTTGGGGATTTGTGCCGTGTTATAGGAGTTAGCCAGGCAGCTGCCGCTCCTCCACCCACAATAGTCCTCAGCGAATGACAAACACATTTATTGTGCTGCCAAAAAGAACAAACAGAAGACCACATTGTTGGGGGGCAGAGAATAGCACTTTGCCAAATATGCACTCCAATAATTTCTGTGAATTTGGTGATGCCTTTTTCTTTCTAAGAAAAACTTAGGCTACTTCCCGTGGCCCTTAGATCTCACAGTCCTTCTACAGCTGGGGGAGGAGCCTCCTTTCTCCATACTCAAGTCAGGGCTGCAGTAAATTCCTTTGAAAGCTATTTTAACTTTAAAAGGTTAGCAGACCCAACCAAGTACTGCTGAGCATTTTGAAGAGAATGTAGGGTGCAACTACAAAGTCAACACTAAATGCACAACGCACATTAATAGCTGACTTTGCCAAAAAGGAGCTTTGTCATTGAGGCAGTGTCATTCTACTTAAGGACCAGAGCTGAGCCCCCACGCAGGGAGTTCCAATCTTTCAACTGATGACATGGGAGATGATGTGGGATTCAGAGTGGAATACAATAGTTTTGCTCAAACCTAATGATATAAAGGAAATAGATTCTTGAAAGCCCCTAGTACTGACCTAATTTGTTTTTATTATACCATTTGTTAAATATATAAACATGATATAGGTAGAAACTCCTTGTTTTTATAGCAGATGTATACTTCTAAAGTCAAAAGAAAATTACAAATTAAATAGGAATATTTACAAAAAGAATAATCACAAGAAGAATACAACTCACATTAATTTAACCTAATAACACGGCATTGCCCCAGTGAAACTGCTGCTGGAAACATGACTATAAAGTGACTCCAATGACACAAGTGCTGTGAGTTTGGTGACCCAATCCTACAGATAAATGCCTTGTGACACTCAATGCTATTTTTTCTCTATTTGCTCTACTAAGAAGTTTTCATTTATAAGAAATGGTCTGATCTCATTTAGCTTTTACTTAAACATCGAAGCTTACATCTGTTTTTGTCTCATTCACTTACAATCATTAGAATGAAGCTAACACAAAATCAGAAACACAAATGCAAATGCAGCCAATGAAAGCATGCAGTAGCACATCTTGGTAACTGGCCACCCCAGTGATCCAGAATATGCCCATATAAATGATTTACATTGTCAACAAAATACAAACTGAATGAACCAATTCTGGTAGAGAATTGGCTGGATTGTGATAGGAAAAGGCAGAGTTCTAAGTCCTTAGTTATGTAAAGACTTAATTAGTAGGCTTATAATTTGAAAACAACACATGGGTTTGTCTCTCTGTATTTAAGGTATTTGAGAAGTTTTGCAATTTGCAGTTTGATGATTCTTTTACAACTTGTGTTAGTGAACTCAGAGATTAAACTAGTTATGAAATCTCCGGATACATGAAGTGTATGTTTGTTTAGTAATAGGCTAAAGTAAAATGACTCAATTTGGTCTAGACTTGGTCTCTAAGCTGGAGTTCCAACGAGTTTAGGATCTCTTCTTTCTGTAAATTCAGAGTTTTTATAGTCAGGAAAAACAGAAGACATATTTTATTGGTTCTAGTAGAAAACTCTTAAATAGCATACTCATAGCCATGTTCAAATCCTTTGCTGTCAGAATAAACCAATGTTGTATTAGTTTTGCTGTATTTCATCATTGTGTTTTATGATCTTGTATCTCTACCTGGCGCTATGGAATAAATAAAATGCCTTAAAATAAATAACCTATGACTACAGTTTACAGTGTTAATATATCATGTTGACAGCTAATTCCCCAATTCTCCCAGGGGTTTCTACAACTAGAGCTTCGTAGACTCGCATATATGCCACAGACTTTTTTTTTTTTTTTTTTTTTTTGAGATGGAGTCTCGCTCTGTCACCACCCAGGCTGGAGTGCAGTGGCGTGATCTCAGCTCACTGCAAGCTCTGCCTCCCAGGTTCACACCATTCTCCTGTCTCAGCCTCCCAAGTAGCTGGGACTACAGGTGCCCGCCACCACACCCAGCTAATTTTTTGTATTTTTAGTAGAGATGGGGTTTCACCATGTTAGCCAGGATGGTCTCAATCTCCTGATCTCGTGATCTACCTGCCTCAGCCTCCCAAAGTGCTGGAATTACAGGCATGAGCCACTGCACCCGGCTTGCCACAGACTTCTAATTATTCTATCCTACCTTTACATTTAAAAAACTCCCAGTATTGGGTTTCTGATGCAAGGAGGTAAAGCCAATCTGTATGATTAACATTTTGGGGAAAAGGTCTTTTGGGTCATCCCTGCCTATAGAGCCCGAATGTCTCTCACCAGTGACTGGATGTGTTTTGACTTGACATTAACTAACAACCTCATGATGTTTGATTACCCTTCTTGTCTCATAACTTCTTCTTTGAGAAAATAAGACAAGGTACTCTCAAAACAATCTCTTGTAAATTCTCAGTAGTTCTAAACACAATTAGAAACATTAAGAAAAAGAAGAAAACTAATTCTCCCCCAGGTATCCTTAGCTGACATAGAACAAATACTGAATATAGATTTAGAAAAGTGTTCTTATCAAAATTCTTAGTTGTGATCCATAAAGACAGTCTCGCTCTCTCTTTCTCCATGTGCATATGTGTGTGTATGTATGCACGTGTGTGTGTATATATATGAGGGTGTGCATACATATATATGTGCATGTGTGCACACGTGGATGTCTGCATATGCACACGTGTGTTTTTGTGTGTATGTGTGTCTAGATGCCAAATGCTTATGATGTTCAATAAGAAAGGCAGAACTAAATCTATATTACATGAACATAACTTACATAAGCACATGGGCTAGGGCTGGAAGAAAAACAGACACACACACACAATACAAAGACAGGATAATAATAGGCAATTGCCCTACCTGGCCCCATTCCTTCATCTGTGTATTATTTTCTAATGTTCTTTTAATGTCACAGTGATGGACTGCTTAGTTACTGCTACGCTTTTGTATATAGCTCTATTAGTCCTTAATATTGCTTTATGCAATGAAATTATGCTTTCTTCTCCCTAACTAGACTGCAAGCCAAAGATCAAGGGAAAGTTCATATTCTCTTGTGTACCCCAGAATGGCACAGAGTAAGTGCTTAACAAATGCTCCTTGGATTAAAGAAATGTTCACATGAATAGGTGGACGGGTGGGTGGATGGATGGATGGATGGATGGATAGATGGATGGATGGATGGATGGATAGATGGATGGATGGATGGATGGATGGGGACTATCCTAGCTCTCTAGGAGGACTCATAGCAGAGGTGGCCTTGTTTCCTTTCATGGTTGAGCAAGGTGTTTGGGATCCAGAGCCATTATCTCAAGAAAAGGAGTTATGGGGAATGAGAAGATAAATTTGGCTTACTGTCTCCATGCTAAAGTAGCAGGAGAAAGCCCTCCTCTCCTCTTCACATAAATGCCTTCTGCCTTCTCTCCTTTTAAGTATCAGTCTAAAGCCTTCAGTCCCCAATGCTTAAGGCCTCTGGGGAGGAGCGAAGCCTACCACAATGAAAACAGAATTTTCATATAGAAAACAGAGTGTGTGATGGATGTAGAATTCAGTCTTCCCTCTCTGGGCAGAAGCAAAATACTGGTAATGGAAATGCTTAGGATCCCAATGAAGACTGGATTATTTGGGAAGTGAAAGTGCTTTTGTGTCCCTCTTCCTAAAGAAAGGCAAGAATTCCACCAAATCTTTTATATAATTTGGTGTTAAAAGCCTTCAATAAGCCAAAAAGTAGTTTATTTCCCATACAGGTCTCAAAAGTATCTCAGCAAAGGCAGCTCAGAGACCCAGCAAGAAAGAAACTATTTCTGGTCTCATTGATTTTCGCTCCTTCTGTCATGGGAAGTTCAACAGGAAAAGGTCTCAAACACAATATTTCATTCAAATTGCTCTGCCAGATTCAGGAGCAACCACATGAAAGATATCTGGATGTGAGGAGTTGCAAGAGATGAAGAAAGAAGTACTATAAATGCATTAGTGGTTCAGTAAATCTATTAAAACATCCACTCAATAAAACAACATGGAATCCTATTCATTATGTAGAAGAGAAAACCATCGTAGCAGGAATGGATGGGTTCGTCTTTGTCTACTGGAACCTTTTTTAAATTAAACTCTTCATAAATGACTGAGAAATTCTACTTAACATTCAAGCCTTGACTGCAGGAGTTTTTGCTCGGTGAATAGGAGAGAAATTAGGCAATACATCAGGAAGAGGGCATTATGCATTTGGGAGCTGCTCGGCTCACAGTAACTCAGGGCTCAGAACCAGGCTTTCCAATAACTGCAGAGGGCCTGACTGCTTGAAATAGCCTCGGCCCTGTTGGATTTCAGTGGCTGCTCATGCCTTAGAGCTTTTTTTCCTGAACACATTCTCAAGATGCTGTCAGATATGAGCTCCTATCTCCTTGCAAGCTGATTAGCTGATAAGGAAAATCAGCACCAAAGGTTAGAGAGCAGGCATCTTGCACAAGAAAGACAGGCTTCATCCTCTCCACTTTCCCCTCCTGCAGAATGAAACTGGGTTCAACACAAATTCTCAAGTTAATGGGCTGTAAATATCTGGCAGCTAGGGCAGTTGCACAGGGCTGAGAGCCACAAGTCAGCCCTGGCACCCCAGGAAATGAGTTCACCATCTTCAGCTCCTCCAAATCTGCATTTGCTGGAGGCACAGGCTGGGAGCAAACACCTGGAGGTGGAAGAGGGGGCCAGCTAGACGGCTCCCCCTAGTGGGAGACTGGATCAATGCCCCAGAACCACACCTCTTAAATGGGATATCGACTGCATCTTGAAGAAGGGTCCCCAAAGACTTTCATGTGACTCCACAAACATCTTGAAAGAAAATACTCACCTCACAATATCTCTGGGACTTTGGCTTTTTCCTCAGTAAATTCGGGAGTGGAAGAGTGAAGCCTTCTTTATCTTTCAACCAGAAAGTTGTTTGCTCTCCTTTGCCCTGTGGGAGGCAAAGGAAGGCCCTGGGGAATCGCTGGCAGGGTTGGGGTGGGGCTGGCGGGCTGCCTGTAATGCATGGCCTCTGGGCAGATGTCTGAGGTCTGTCTTACTTGCTGGGACAGTGGGAGCTCCCTCCCTCCACAAGCAAAAGGCCTCCTTACAGATAAAATCTTACTGATTTTCTTGGGCTTTGCTGATAAGCCTGCATGGCCAGGCAGCAATGTCCTAGGGGGTGACAGTCCACGGAGACTAAAGCTTGTTGCAAAGAAAATCTTTTAAAAATAATAATAAAATCTACTGCACTCTTAGTATGAGTGGGACACCCAGTGAAGCGCCTCACATCCATGTCCACATTTACTCCTCACATCCACCCTTCAAGGACGGTATTATCACCACCCCCATTTTGCAGATGACAAAAACAAGCCCTCAAACTCAGACAGCTGGTCAGTAGCAGGAATGGGTTCCAAGCTATGGCTAAATGCCGCCTTCTAGAAAAGTCTTCCTCTTACTGAAGTCAGTTGATTGAATACAGAATGCTAAGGCCAGGCTAAGCAAAACTGGGGAGTTGATGCCACTGCCTTCCCTTCTACTTCTTTTTCTGGACTGGGGTGTTCAAGAGGAAGCTAGGGGACCATTTGTAGCCAAAAAAAAAAAAACGAGAGAGAGAAAAGAAAAAAAGAAAGCATTCCCTAAGGGGTTGGTTTAGCTGGGAGTTAAGGTGTTCTCTGTTGAAGATTCCACGTTTGATCATTTGAGGGAACTTCTTCTCCTCTGAAGGAAGAAGATCTGGCAGTCATGAGTGCCTCCAGGGGAACCTTAGAGGTCTCCCTGCATCACTCCATGGAGATGCATCCATCCCGCTAAGTTCCTCGATGTCTCTATCAGAGACCCAAACAGGGCAGGCAGGGCATGGTTGGCCTGGTCTTACCTTGACTGGAATGGTGCCTCTCTTTAGCAAATCGTACCCTCCCAATGCCACCAGGGTGCTTGCAGTGCTCTGAGAGACATGAATCCGGAGAGCTGCCATAAACCAGTCACTGCTTAGTTATCAACTTATCAGTGGAGTGTCAGTGGGGTAGGGGCTGCTTTGGAGAGGGAACCTACACTGCTTGAATTCTCTGATCACCAGGACTTTTCATTAAGCAAATCACAGACGACTTCTCTGAAGTCTGGGACTCTTAGGTTGGGATTCTCAACCATTCTGACATTGCTCAATCATTGTTGAGTCCTGCTCAAAACCTTAGTGCATTCAGTTTGGAAACAGAAGGCAGAACTGATTCAGCATACAAGGTAATCCCCATGGAGGGCAGTTCACTGGGCTCCTCAGCTGGGACATTTTACTGAAAATGTTGTTTGTAACCAGAAATGCAATTAGAATCAGGTCTAGATCCTTTATAAGCAGCTCTAGCTTCAAAGTTTATCCTAAAAACCTTTACTTACAAGATAAGAGAGAGGTTTAAAATTCTTGTTTGAATGCTGGGCATGGTAGCTCACGCCTGTAATCTGAGCACTTTGGGAGGCCAAGGCGGGTGGATCATGTGATGTCAGGAGTTCGGGACTAGCCTGGCCAACATGGTGAAACCCCGTCTCTACTAAAAATACAAAAATTATCCAGGCGTGGTGGCAGATGCCTGTAACCCCAGCTACTGGGGAGGCTGAACCCGGGAGGCGGAGGTTGCAGTGAGCCGAGAGCATGCCATTGCACTCCAGCCTGGGCAACAAGAGCAAAACTCCATCTCAAAAAAAAAAAAAATTCTTGTTTGAGACTCGGTTAACTTAAACAATGAATGTGTTTTTATATAATGTGGAAAATTTACAATATAAAACAATGTTAATCATCTAAGCCTTTTTGAAACTGACATCACTGAGTAATTCTTTTTTACATGTCTCATCTGACAAATGGCATACGAGTGCCTGGGAATGGTAATGCAATAAAATTACTATAAAGCAAAAGAATGTAATATTCCCTGGAGGTCCTGGCTATAGATTTCTTCTGTACCACCAAGAATATACTCTACCTCGGAGAAGGGCAGATTATCACCTATGGGCCAAATCCAGTCCACTACTTGTGTTTGCAAATAAAGCTTTATTGGAACATGGCCATGCCTGTTGATTGACATATTGTCTATTGCTGCTTTTGAGCTACAACAGCACTTAAGTAGTTGCAACAAAGATTCTATGGCCCCTGAAGCCTGAAATATTTACTGTCTGGCCCTGTATAGAAAAGGTTTTCCGGGCCAGGCACAGTGCTTCATGCCAGCTAATCCCAGCACTTTGGGAGGCCGAAGTGGGTGGATCGCTTGAGGTCAGGAGTTCAAGACCAGCCTGACCAACATGGTGAAACCCAGTCTCTACTAAACACACACACACACACACACACACACACACACACACACACACACACACACACATTAGCCGGGCGTGGTGGCGCATGCCTGTAATCCCAGCTACTCAGAAGGCTGAGGCAGGAGAATCGCTTGAACCCAGGAGGCAGAGGTCACAATGACCTAAGATCACACCACTGCACTCCAGCCTGGGTGACACAGTGAGACTCCATCTCAAAAAAAAGAAAAAGCTTTCCAACTCCTGCTCTTCATTTAAGTGATTATATGTGCCTGTGATTGCTTAGGACTGAAAGTCATAGAAAAAAGGAGGCTGCGTGTATTTGCATGGTTCTAACAAGAGCAGAGTGCAAAACCCTGTCTATAAAGCATGTGATCAGTGTTGCCTGAAGTGGATAATGATCTTAACCTCCAGATGGAAAACAGTAGGCAAAAAGCAAATGCATCTTCTAAAAGTATCCCCTGGTTAAAGCTAGGGGCCTGGAGGGAGATAACAATATTGTGTTTACAAAGTGTTGTCAGTGATACCCACGTGAACTGCTGCTCTCCATTCTGGATGCCATGTTGACAGTGTCTCCAAATAGACAGTATCTGGACATGGTAATCCCCAGCACACCAGCCACCACAGGACCTAAAGAATGAAGAACCAAAGGCCATAACCGCTCTGCATTGCCCGAGGCTGGACTCGACGATACGCATCAGATGAACAAATGTAGTGATGCACCCTCTTGGGGCAAATTGGCAATAGGTTTTAGGGTTTACAGAAAGGAAACCGACAGAACCCACAAACACCTGCTGGAAAGCGACATCATCATTAAATGACCATGTCACTCACGAACTAGAGCTGTGAACAATGCCAATAGTGGTACAAACATGGGAGCAATTCATTCTGACTGAGGATCGGGTTTTATCTTTGTTGAGCCTTGGAAGATAGGTAGCATAACTGGCTACAAAATTTGCTGGAACAAGTGCAGAGTGAAAACACAGGACACTCTGTGCAAAAATGATTAAGAATTTCCAGACAGTGACAGAAAGAGCGTGAAACCAAGCATGCATCACTTCTGCACAGATCACATGCCCATGAGTTAGCAAACACAGAGCATATCAAAGGGCATTTGATGCTAAGGCATGGAAGAAAATTAGCCCTGTAGAACCCATCCTGGGTTTTGGTCTCTTCCTTTTTTTTTTTTTTTTTTTGAAAGAGTTTTGCTTTGTTGCCCAGGCTGGAGGCAGTGGCACGATGTCAGCTCACTGCAACCTCTGCCTTTCAGGTTCAAGCAATTCTCACGCCTCAGCCTCCTGAGTAGCTGAGATTATAGGTGCCTGCCACCACACCCAGCTGGTTTTCTGTATTTTAGTACAGACAGGGTTTCACCATGTTGCCCAGGTTGGTCTCAAACTCCTGAGCTCAGGCAATCCACCCATCTCGGCCTCCCAAATTGCTAGGATTACAGGCGTGAGCCACTGTGCCCAGTCCTTACTTTTGGTTGAATACATTGAAGCCATTGTGTGTCCTTGTTGTTACCAAGCAACCTAGCTAAATAGAAATACACATGCAGAGACAATTCAAACTTTTATTTCCCCTAAAGATGTTACTGTTCAATGTCCAGGTTCCTAAAAGCCCTGGACCTAGGAGTGGAACCCGGAACTACCTGCTGCCATCCCTGGACCATCAGGCCATCAGTTTTGTCTACCTGTGTAGAGGCCAATACGAAGCTGGAGCTTCTCCTGGGGCATGTGCCCAATTTGGAAGCAGATGGTGGCACTGAGGAAGTGCAGGGACATGGTGGCAATCTCAGCCACATGCTGGCTTCCATTGTGGTAGGGAGTCCACTAGCCACCATGTATGCATCTCCAATGGTCTCAACCTGAAAACAAAGTGACAGAGTGACCTTTGTTTTCCATGAGGGAGGCCAAGGGTTGGGGTGGGGTCAGAGATTAAGGCCCCTCATTTGTCCCCAACCTTGAGGCCCCATGTTTGGACGCGTCACACTCCCTGACCTCCACCCCATGCAAGTTCCAGCATTTCTTCAGTTCCTGCCCTTGTCATGGCTCTTCCACAAAGCCCCCCTCACCCTCCTTCCCTGAGCCTCCCTCCCCACAGTCACTGTTTCCTCCTCTGAAATCCAATAGTAGCGGTGACTATATTTCCCCAGCCCAAATTCAGAA
The DNA here is from genome assembly GCF_000001405.40 of Homo sapiens. Lineage (NCBI taxonomy): Eukaryota > Metazoa > Chordata > Mammalia > Primates > Hominidae > Homo > Homo sapiens. Next base: position 112,312,792 of record NC_000010.11, read on the forward strand.
CCAGTGAGACAGGGAGCAGTATGCTCCTAGAGTCAACCTTGAAGGGTGAGGTGGATCCGTCAAGCAGAGACCATCTCACCCAATATTATATATATATACACATTATATATATATAATGTATGTATCTGCCTGTCTGTCCTCTTCCCCCTCCATCCTCCTAATAAAATCAGCTTTCAGATCTGTCATTCACAATAGAGAAATAAATGACAAGTAGAAGCTTAAAGTTACAGCCCTTTCCAGATACATTTGCATTTTAGCAGAATCCAAAGATGATGTGGTAAAGGCTGAATTTCAGGCATTAGCCAGACAGTAAGAACACCTCTGTCCTGGTGACCCTGAAATTACGCAAAGTCAACTATTCGACAAGCCTCACCTGCTTCCGGGTTTCCTCTCCCCACCGTGGTAACGTCCTTTAGAAATACAAACTAAGTTTTAATATGAGCTCAAGCAAAACACAACTGAGAAGGTAATACTAAGAGGAAAATCCCAGAAGATATCCTCCTAAGCAGGGCAGGTTCTGATTTTGTTGGGTGTGTGTGATCTACTCTTAAAGGTTATCTATACCATCCTTTCTTTCACCCTTGAACAGAGGCATCATTTGTGGGGAACACTGGGAGATAAACATTGAAGACGTGTCACTGTGTCACTGAGATATGTGACCATATGACCACACTGTCCCCCAAATCTCGCTATCCCCAGGTCCACAGGCAGAGACAGGGCCCTGGGATTGTGGTCAGTGCTGGTGCACTTGTGGCTGCCCACCAGGCATGTATGAGCACAGGCACACGGTACTGTCCCTAGAGTCATGGGCTGACCCCTTCTAAAGAGTCAGAACACACAGAAAGCAGCCCTCATCACCACCACCACCCGGCAGTCATGAAGAGCCAAAACATTTCTGTTTTCCCCATCAAAAATGGTTTTCACTCCAGGTGACCGTGTCCTTCTATCTCCCACAGTAGCACCCGGCAGGGAATTGTTGCTGCCCCGCTTTTAGTCACAAGTCTGATAGTCTAAAAGTGGGAATCTTTCTTCACTCTTAATTGCTAAGGATCAGGACAACAGAGGTGAGACCCACACAAGATCCAAGGACAACCTTTGAAGGACAGTAAACAGGAGCCTCTCTGCCTCTGAAGGAAATGTATTTAGGAAAGACGGGAAGGAATTAGCCAGTGGAAGGTCAATGCCTCTTTTTAAAAAGTGTTTACTGTGAGATAAAATAATGGAAGGAAACAGAGGAAACTGGTGAGTTTTGACAAGCACATACATCTGTGACTAATCAAGACCTTTTCCAAGAAAACAAACAGAAATAAAATATTGAGTTTCTGCCGTGAAGTGACATAGACTGAAATGGAGCTTCCTCCTGGCTGATGTCTGGAATCAGTTCCATTCTCCATCATGCCCCGGAGACAGCCTGCAAGGAGCACACGTGATCGCACAGTCAGGATGAGGCATCTCACCTTATAAACATCATAAGTTGTGATGATGTGATCGAATAAACTGTACACGTCATTGAGGAGCTTGACGACTTGCAAAGGGGAGCTGAGAGAACACAGCTTTGTGAATCCAACAATATCAGATAAAAAGATTGTCACAGATTCGAAATGTTCTGGTTCCACGGACCTTCCGGCTAGTAGTTGTTCTCCAGTGAAGCTGAAACCAGAGAAACGGATCATTTTTGAATGGGATCTTATTCATCTCATCTCCTACAGACTCCTGCAAAGTTGTCCTCATTGGTCCTTTTGCTTCAATGGCTAAGCTTTTGGTTAACAAAATTCATTTTCTAGAGGAATTCTTTTAACATCCACTTCTCCAGTTGCATTCTCTCTAAAGAGATATTTTAATTGACGTGTATAAATTGTGGGGGAGTAGGAGAGAGGGTCACATAATGCCTTTACAAAAAGGATTTTCTTTATGTATATTGGTTATAGAGTTAGGGTGTAAAGACTCTGCAGTTGTGGAAGGGAATATAATCATTCACCAATCCACAAATCAATTTCATTTCAGTCAACCAATCTCATTAAAAATCCCTGCCCCCACTTCTTTGGTCTAGACATGCAAGAAGCGCACGGGAATTTTAACAGCAAATACTTCTGCCAAGTGTTGAGAGAGTGAACATATAGAAACAGAACCAAAAATGAAGCAATATTTGAATGTGAAGCCACAGGTACATATTAAACTGTGTGGAGGTTTTGGACCTACAATCAAATACAGGGGAGGTAGCAATTAGTCGGACTCGTGAAACGAGGGCGCCATCTAGTGGCTACTCTCCTGTTGCTGCATCCACCACCCTCCACGTAAAAGACCGACTACAGCCTCTATTTCTATGGATTCAGGAGAGTTTGCCTCTATCTCCCTTTACAGGTGTACCAAACTGCACAAAAAAAAATGCCTGACCCCTTTTAGAAGAACCTGACATTCTCTTAGAAAAATAATCATGGAAATAATCCCCCCTATGTGGGGCTGCTAGATGGTGATGCCGCAGCTTCAAGGCCCCAGTGCTTCCGAATACCTGGGCACTTTGGTGGACAGAAGCTTCTCCACCTTCCTCTTCTCTGCAGTCAGCTGGCTGGTCCTCTCTTGCACCACTTCCTCCAGGTAATTGGCATACACTTCCAGCTTGCTCATCACACTGGCCAGTATGCTCACATGACTTTAAAAGAAACCAGACATTGATGTTTTCTCCCAAGACCCTTAGGGCCTCAGTGGAACAGAGCTTCCAGCTACACATTCCAGGAAAATATTGCTTGCCTTTCAGGTGTCCTAGTTAAGGGTTGCCAACGGACATCGGGGAAGTGACAATGGCATTGCAGCCGCGTGACAGGACAGAGCCTGCCTTTCATCAGCCCTCTAAGCTGCCTCCTTCATTTCTCTGAGCCTCACTTTACTCATTTGGAAAATGAAGATAATCACGCGTACCTCATGTACATACGATCACGTTGTTGTTCTGAGGATGTAGGGAGATAACATGCATAAAGTGTCTAGGGTCACGTCCAGGGCCACAGGCACTCAACAAATGGTGGCCTTCAATGGCCCATTCCCCACCTCCCAACAGACATTGAGAATGCAGATTTCAGGATGGGTCATTCCTTTCTTTTCAGACGGTCTAATGTAAGGGCACTTCTAGATTCTATTAGTCCTTTGTTTTCGAAGCGTCTTCAGAGAACTCATTTAAATTCCTCATCTTCAGATGAGGAGACCTAGACTCACATAGGAAAATAGATTTGTCATAACATTGAGGTCCATATTTTCTAAGTAAAAAATATGGGGATGTATCTTAAGCTTACTTAAGAGGTATCTTTAGGTTAATTACCTTGATTTAATCATTCTACACAGTATACGTATTCCGAAACATCACATGGTATACCATAAATATAAACAATGTTTCACTTGTTAATTTTAATTTTAATTTTATTTTATTTTACATTTTTGAGATGGCGTCTTGCTCTGTCACCCAGGCTGGAGTACAGTGCTGCAATCTCAGCTCACAGCAACCTCCACCACCCAGGTTCAAGCGATTCTCCTGTCTCAGCCTCCTGAGTAGCTGGGGTTATAAGTGTGTGCCATCACGCCCAGCTAATTTTTGTATTTTTAGTAGAGATGGGGTTTCACCATGTTGGTCAGCCTGGTCTCAATCTCCTGATCTCAGGTGATCCACCTGCCACGGCGTCCCAAAGTGCTGGGATTATAGGCTTGAGCCACCACACCCAGCCTCATTTGTTAATTTTAAAAATCATTTAAAAATGATTTTTAAAATTTAAAAACTATTACGAGCTTGGAAATGCAGAACCCAGGGCTATTGTGTTAAGAATGCATAGCTGAGGCCAGATACGGTGGCTCTTGCCTGTAATCCCAGCACTTTGGGAGCCCAAGGCAGGCAGATCACCTGAGGTCAGGAGTCTGAGACCAGCCTGGCCAGCATAGCGAAACCCTGTCTCTACTAAAAATACAAAAATTAGCCAGGCATGGTGGCACACACCTGCAGTCCTAGCTGCTCAGGAGGCTGAAGCATGAGAATCACTTGAAGCCGGGAGGCAGAAATTGCAGTGAGCCAAGATCATGCCACTGCACTCCAGCCTGTGCAACAGAGCCAGACCCTGACTCCAAAAAATGTTTTGTTTTGTTTTTTTAAATAATGCATAGCTGAAGGTCCAAATTAAGAGTAGACACCTGATTCCTAGCCTGGGGCTCTTTCTACCAACTCAAGCTACCTCTAACATGGGCATGTCTTCCTAAATTCATGTACTAAAAGATGATACAATTATCTGGTGTAAAGGAAGCTACTATTGAGAAAGTTGTTGGAGAGGAATGCGTAATTTAAGTCATAACCTACTCTATGGGTGGTGAGTAATTTTTATCCCACAGTCCAGTCCAAATTGATTAGCCTAACCCTTGGAATGCTGATTTGAAAAAGACTCTGAAGCCATGTCAAAACTCCCTGGAAACAAGGGCCTTAATTGATTAGTGACACCTGAGATAGACAAAGAAGGCAGTAGAATTATTAATATCTGATCCATTTTTGTGGCATTTATGAAATAAAGGAAAAATTTCTCACTCCACTGTAACCAGCATGTAGTACAGTGTTTTGTGTATGGTAAGCACTGAGTGAGTGTATGAGGAAGGAAGAAAGGAAGGAAGGAAGGGAGGAAGGGAGGAATGGAGGAAGGGAGGAGGGAGGAAGGGAATGAGTCACATAGAACCAATCACGGCCATATAGATTTAATTTTGTTTTGTTTTGTTTTTTAGAAACAGGGTCTCGTTCTGTCACCCAGGCTGGAGTGCAGTGGCACAATCATAGCTCACTGCAGCCTTGACCTCCAGGGCTCAAGCAATTCTCAGCCCCCCTAAGAAACTCAAACTACAGGCTCACACCACCACGCCTGGCTAATTTTTTATTTTATTTTATTTTTTATAGATACAGAAACTCACCATGTTGCCCAGGCTGGTCTTGAACTCCCGGCCTCAAGGGATCCTCCTGCCTTAGCCTCCTAAATCACTGGGATTACATGCATGAGCCACCATGCCCAGCAGCTCTAAAATCCTAATGGTTAACTGAGTGAGAGCAAATATCTGTTGCACATCTAACTCACCCTCTGGGACTGGCCTCTCGTAAAGTTTTCTTGATGGAAGAGAAACTGGGTCTTTTCTCCAGAGATTCATCCCAACACACCCTCACCATGGCCACGATCTTTTCATTGCCCTTCTCCTCGGGCAGGGAAGGTTGCAGTGGGACTGCTGCTGCAGGGTCTTTGATTTGGTTGATGATTTCTGAAATTCATGTTGGGTTTAGACAGCCAAACATCAGAACTTTGTGCCACTTACTACACTTCATTTTCAATAGTAATTGTGCTCTTATATTTGTAAACTGAGTTTTTAAATAAATAGAACAGATTAGAATTCCAAAGTAATCTGGATATTTTAATAGGAATACTCTGAGAATCTGCCTGGAAAATGAACAATTCTAATGAAAAACATATAAACAAACATCCTCCTAATTAATTTGTTTTCAAATCAAGATTTTTTAAAATAGAACTTTGCTTGAGGAGAAGCATATCTCTATATGATTTCAGGAATGTATAGGCATTTCGTGTTGGAAACCCCCAAAGCGCGCTTCATGCAATTTTGTTAAATTTTCTGTAATATGTCGCAGAAATGCTATTTTAACACGTAATAAATGTTACCATCATGTCCTGCCTCTCTGTCCGATTTTCTAAACCTAATTTTTCCCACTTCTTCACTGGCTCCTACTGACATTTATTAAACATTCTGCTTAACCAGATGTTGTCAAGAAAATAATATTTTGAGAACAATGTATACATGTTTTGGCATAAAAATAAAAATACTGTGTGTGCAACAACATGGATAAGTCTTACATGCATTATTACTAAGTTAGAGAAACCAGTCAGAAAAGGCTGTGTACTGTATGATTCTATTTACATGGCACCCCAGAAGCAACAACACGCAAGCAGCAGTGGGCATATCTAGCATCATTTCTTTCTTTCTTTCTTTTTTCTTTTCTTTTTTTTTTCTTTTTTTTTTTTTTTTTTTTGAGATAGACTCTGGCCCTGTTGCCCAGGCTGGAGTGCAGTGGTGTGATCTCCGCTTACTGCAACCTCCGCCTCCTGGGTTCAAGCGACTCTTCTGCCTTAGGTTCCCCAGTAGCTGGAACTACAGGCATGCGCCACCACGCCCAGCTAATTTTTGTACTTTTAGTGGAGATGGGGTTTCACCATGTTGGCCAGGATGGTCTCGATCTCTTGACCTCGTTATCTGCTTACTTTCTAATACCTTTCTCCAACAAAAGAAGTCATGGCTTCTTGGAGAATTGACTGCATCTAGCACTGGGGCAGGAGATATGCAAAATGAGACTTTCTTGTCTTCCCAGAAATTAAGGAAATATACATTCTAGAAAAGACAAAATTTTAGAGACAGAAAACAGATCAGTGTTTTCCAAGAGTTTGAGGAGCAGAGAGCGTTGACTAGGTGAAGTGCAGGGGATAATTTTAGGATGAGGAAACTTTTCTGTAGGATACTATAGTGGTGGATAGATGACACTATGTATTTACCAAAACCCATAGAGCTTAATAGCACAAAAGTAAGCCATAAGGAAAGCAAACTTTAAAAAATACCAATTGGGAAATTAGGCAACCCCAAGATAGAATGCAAACAGCGATAAAAGAATCTAACAGTGTTACAAATATATGGCATAACCTTACTGAATGGGATGAGTGAGAAAGAATGCTGACCTACATCGCTTGTGAAATCACTAGAAACTTTCTAAGACTAAAGGCAAAAGGAACTATTCATAATCATCGTACTCTAGTTGGTAAAACTGTTTCTCATGGGGATGCAGATTAACAAGTCTAAAATCACCGAACACACACATAGGGATCGAACAAAGTACATGGATGGTGGATGGTGGGAGCCAGTATCTCAATGTTGGAATTTACAGAAAAGTAATGGGGAAGACTGCAATGAACCGTGATGGCGATGAGTTAGATTTGGAGACGTCAATGGGAACTCATGTTTAGTTTAATGTAGATGCAGATATATGTGTATGGGTGCATGTGTAGTTATAGAGATATGTATACATACGGGTTAGTATGCACACGCATTTCCCTACTCTGTCCACTGAGAAGGCCCATAAGCAACAACACTCCGGTAGCAATGAGCGTATCTAGTGTCAGCTCTAACTTTCTAATACCTTTCTCCAACAAAAGCAGCCAGGGCTTGTTGGAGAGAACTGGTTGCTTCTAGCACTGGCGCAGGGATATGCAAAATGAGACTTTCTTGTCTTACCAGAAAGTAAGGAAATACACAGAAACAAGACAAAACACCACAGCGATGGCTACATGTCAAAGAGACACAGAAGCCACCTGAAACGGAATGGCCAAAACTGGAACAATTTAAGCCACAAAATAAATAGTAGTGATTCAGTTATAACTCAAAGTATGAAATAAATATCCATGAGTCCATACTGACCTAAGTACTTGAAGAAATAAATGAATGGGCACAGTAGACAAATCTCCCACGGAGAAGAATTCCAAGTATTCCCTCCTCAAAGAGGTGGAACCTAACTTCCCACCCTTTTTTTTCTTTTTCCCTCTCCTTTTTTTTTTTTTTTTTTTTTTGTTTGAGACAGGGTCTCTGTTGCCCAGGCTGGAGTGCAGTGGCAGGATCTTTACTCCGCCTCCCAGGCTCAAGCAATCCTCACACCTCAGCTTCCAGAGTAGCTGGGACGCTACCACGTCCAGGTAATTTTTGTATTTTTGTAAAGACTGGATCTTCCCGTGTGCCCAGGTTGGTCTCAAACTCCTGGGCTCAAGCGATTCGCCCTCCTCGGCCTCCCACAATGTGGGGATTACAGGCGTGAGCCACCGCGCCCAGCCTAACTCTTCACTCATAAGTGTGGGTTTCACATAGAGATTTCTCTCCCTAGACTAAGTATGGAAGGGAGAAATCAGAGTAACTTTATGGTGGAGAAATTGACAAACACTTCCCCAGCCAAGTGATCAAGGTCAACATCAACAGCAATAATCAATGAAAAGGACAATTTACTTGTTCAGTCATCCTTCAAAATACATATACGCAAAACCATGAGAAAAGAAAAACAAATCAGACAAATTCCACATGAAAGAACTTCTACAAAGTATCTGACCAGTACTCCTCAAAAGTGTCAAGGTCATTGAAAATAAAGTCTGAGAAATTTTCCCAGAGAAGCTTAAGGAGACATGACAACCAAATATAATGTGGTACCCTGGATGGGGTTCAGAGACAGAAAAAGGACATTAGGTAAGAACTAGGAAATCTGAATAATATATGACTGTTAGTTTAATATAATAAAAAAATACAGGTTACAAAACTGTGCATAAAATGTCATCTTGTTTAAGTGTACATGTTTAATGCCTAAAAGTATTCTGAAAGTATGTGCATTAAAAAGCACTCTAGGAGGCGCAGTGGCTCACGCCTGTAATCCCAGCACTTTAGGAGCCCAAGATGGGCGGATCACTTGAGGTCAAGAGTTCGAGACCAGCCTGGCCAACATGGTGAAACCCTCTCTCTACTAAAAATACAAAAATTAGCCTGGCATGGTGGTGGATGCCTGTAGTCCCAGCTGCTCAGGAGGCCAAGGCAGAATTGCTTGAACCCGGGAGGTAGAGGCTGCAGTGAGCCGAGATCACGCCATCACACTCCAGCCTGAGCGACAGAGAGAGATTCCATCTCAAAAAAAAAAAAAGTACTCTGGAAAATTGTGTTTTACTTCCCAAATGAAGTACAATTTGAGACATGAGACAGCAATGGCTTCAAAAGCAGTGACTGAATTACTATGGCATCTTCTGCTTTCTGTGTTTAGCTCTAAGAAATGCATGAAAGAATCAGAAAAATGACATAGGACTTCGAGAGCAAATTCAGACCCATGGGACTGCACTTCAGAGCACATGTGTGAATTACCTAGTAACTTCTAACCAGCTGTTTCCATCCTATAATCTTTAACCGTCTACTAGACATGTTAGCACTGTTGCTCATTTGCTTTGGCAACGTGCATCAGAATCGCTGGGGAGCTTGCTGACACACAGATTTCTGGACCAATTCCTCCACAGTTTCCAATGAAGCAGGTCAGGAGTGGGGCCTGAAAATGTGCATTTCTGACGTGTTTCCAGCTGATGCTGATGCTGCTGGTCCAAGGACCACAAGGACCAAGGCCAGTACTTCTCAAGCTGTGGCTTTATCAGCATCACCTGGGAGGGTGATGGAAATGCACATTCTCAGGCCTCACCCCAGACCTACTGAGTCAGAAACCCCAAGAGTGGAACCCAACAATGTTGTGTTTTAACTGCCTCCCAGTGATTCTGATGCCCACCACAGTTTGAGAACCATGGGTCCTGCGTGCCCAGAGAATCAATAGCTACTCAGTTCCCAGTACAAGCTTTGTTTATAGGAAAGTGTCAGAAGTTAATTGAAGAACTGTTTGCCCATAAATTAGGTATACACTGTATTCTTCCTGGTTGCAGTCCTGTGGATACATAGTCCCATGTAGCCAGCTCTCAGTTAATTTTGTGAGCTCAACAACGAAGGGGAAATACATTGATTGTCCACAGTATCTTCCCTTACAGATCCCAACTGGCAAAACCTAGGCGGTGAAGGGGCTGAGGGACTGTGGGTGGGCTCCTGCCTGGGCTCAGTCTGGAAATATTTGTGTGTGTGCTTGATGCCAAAGTCAGATGCGCTTGGATTTTGAGTTACCCTTTTTGGATTAATCTCACCTCTGCTTTATTTAGCCAGAAATTAGAAACTGGAATCTGGTCTAAAAGCAATTGCATATCCTCACAGTGGGCTCCTGACTCAAAAAGTCTCCAGGTAACAGATAATGATCTAAAGCTGAGGCTTGAGATAGACCACTGAGGATAGGCTAGAAATGGTAGGCAAAGCAAGAAAAAAAAAATCAAGAGAGAAAGTGGGCTGAGTTTACTTAGAAACTCACACTTATGTGTGTACACACACACACACTGGTATCCTCTCTCCAAGCAGCCTGAGCTGCTACATATTACAATCACCCCGGGAGCTTTGAAACCCTGACACTGAGGCAGCACCCCGAACCAATGATATCAGAATCTCAGGCTGAGATCCAGGCATCAGCCATTAAGAGACAACCCAGCAAAAAAAAAAAAAAAAAAGCCCGAAAATATCCTTTGTAAGTGGACAACTGAACAGCATTTATCATGGATTTTGAATATAGTTAAAATATATTTATCTCCTCAATTTCATGGCTAGAAATCTAGCCTGAAACAACATTCACCATGTGTGCAAAGATATAGAGCTGCTCATTGCAGCAATTTCCAAAATGTGTATCAAGGTACCACTTATGGCATATTCTCACAGTGAAAAATTTTGTAGCCCTTAAGAAAGAATGGGGCAAATTTGTACATAGGAATATGAGGCGAGAGGTGTCCCGGCAGAGGGAACAGTATACACAAAGGGTTTGGGGTAGAAATGTGTCTAGAGTGATAGAAACATTTCTACAACTCCAAAGTAAACCCCTTGCTCATTAAGCAGTTTCTCCCTGTTCTCCCGACCCCCAACCCCTGGTAACCACCACCAACCTGCATTCTGTCTCTATGGATTTGTCTATGTTGGAGACGCATGAAGGTGGCCAATGTGACTGAAAGGAATGAGCCATAAGAGATGACAGTAGGAAGGTGCAGTGGGCTGAATCGTGGTTCCTAAAGGGAAATGTCCAAATCCTAATCCCCAGAATCTACAAATGTTTCCTTATTTGGGAAAGGGGATATAAACCAAATATGCAAACAGAATTAAGTTTAGGATCTCAGGATGAGGAGGTCATCTTGGATTATAGGGGTGGGCCCCAAATCCAATGACAAATGTCCTCATAAGTGGCACAGCCAGGATAAGTACACAGAGGAGGAGGTAATGTGAAGACGGAGACAGAGGTTGAGGCCATGTGGCCACAAACCCAGGAATGCTGGGGCAGCCACCAGCAGCTGGAAGAGGCAGAGAATGGAACCTTCCCTAGAGCTTCTGGAGGGAGCAGAGCCTTGACAACACCTTGACTTTAGACATCTGGCCTCTAGAACTGCCAGGGAATAAGCATCGGTGTTTCAAGCCACCAAGCTTGTGGTCACTGTTATGGCCCCCTAGGAAACTAATCCAGAAGGCCGCAGAGGTTACACGGTTTCAACGCCTTCAGTGGTCTTGTAGGCCATGAGGAGGACTTAGTTTTCACTCCTCAGATGGGAAGCCAGGGGAGGCTTCTGATAGAGAAGTGACATAATCTGCCTCATTTTCTAATAGGATCCCTCTGGCTGCTGTAACAAAACAAGTTATATAATTTGGGGTCCCTTGATTTTTTTGGTAACCAAAATGCAATTCATTTTCTAATTTAAAAAAAGAATATGAATTTTTATTTTTCTTTAATTTTTTTCTGAGACTGCTTGCTGGGAAAGAGCATGAATTTTTCAATAAAAAATAATGGAATAAATTGTATATTAATAAAACAATTAATTTAAAAAACCAGCATTTCAAAGCTGGCCCACACGACCAAAACCTCCCAAGCAGGCTGTCCCGCTTTACCATCCGGTGCCTCGTGGAGGTCATCAAAAGGCCCGTGGTCCCAATGGTAGATCAGCTCCCTCATCAGAATGGCGAAGCTGTAAACATCTCCTTGCGGGGTACCCGACCAGGGCATCTCCGGGAACTGCAGCAGCTCTGGGGCAGTCCAGTAGAGCTCTGCAAAAGAATGGGATGTCCGCATGGAGTGAGGGTACTGCCAGGCAAAACAGGAAAAGCCACCTCTTCATCCTTTGGGGCACAGGAGAAAGGAAGGTATCCAGCCCTGAGCCATCAGCCCCAGTGTTGTCTGATTTGAAGAGCTAACAGGGGTCCGTGTGTGTGAATACAGAGAAAATTAGCAGGAAGGATGTGCGCTAACATGTTAACGGTGGTTTACTCAAGACTAAAATTACAGCTGGTTTTCATGTTCAAGTTCCTTCTCTGTATTGCCTTTATTTTTAAAAACAATTGTGGTACGATTCATAGAACATAAAATTAACCATTTTAGGCCAGGCGTAGTTCACGCCTGTAATCCCAGCACTTTGGGAGGCCGAGGTGGGAGGATAAATTGAGGTCAGGGGTTCCAGACCAGCCTGGCCAACATGGTGAAACTCCTCTATTAAAAATACAAAAATTGCTGGGCATGGTGGCTCACGTCTATAATCCCAGTACTTTGGGTGGCCAAGGCAGGTGGATCACCTGAGGTCAGGAGTTCAAGCCCAGCCTGACCAACATGGAGGAACCCCATCTCTCCTAAAAATACAAAATTAGCTGGGTGTGGTGGTGCATACCTGTAATCCCAGCACCTGGGGAGGTTGAGGCAGGAGAATCGCTTGAACCCAGGAGGCGGAGGTTGTGGTGAGCCAAGATCGTGCCATTGCACTCTAGCCTGGGCAACAAGAGCGAAACTCTGTCTCAAATAAATAAATAAATAATAAAAATAAATAAAAATACAAAAATTAGCCGGGCATGGTGGAACACATCTGTAATCCCAGCTACTCGGGGGGCTGAGGCAGAAGAATCACTAGAACCCAGCAGGCAGAGGTTGCAGTGAGTCGAGGTTGCACTACTGCCCTCCACCCTGAGCAACAGATCCAGATTCCATCCCCCCGCCAAAAAAAAATTAACCATTTTAAATGAACAATTCAGTGGCATTTAGCACATTCACGATGTTGTGCAACCACCACCTCTGTCTAGCTCGGAAACATTTCCATCACTCCAAAGTCAACTCCTTACTCATGAAGCCGTTTCTCCCTGTTCTCCTGACCCCCAACCCCTGGTAATCACCACCAACCTGCATTCTGTCTCTATAGATTTATGGGTCTATTCTAGATATTTTACACACCTCCTTTTCTGCAGTGAAGTCTATAGGCTTATGTCATTATAGGTAATAGTCATTAAAACAAAAGATATACATTAGAGGATGCAGAAGGGGAACTAGGACAGCTGCCAGCAGGTCTTGGCCGGGCACGGTGGCTCACGCCTGTAATCCCAGCACTTTGGGAGGCTGAGGAAAGCAAATCACTTGAGATCGGGAATTCAAGACTGGCCTGGCCAACATGACAAAACCCCGTCTCTATTAAAATTACAGAAATTAGTCAGGCGTGGTGGTGCATGCCTGTGATCCCCAGCTACATCGGGAGGCTGAGGCATGAGAATTGCTTGAACCCAGGAGGCAGAGCTTGCAGTGAGCCGAGATCGCGCCACTGCACTCCAGCCTGGGCGACAGAGCCATACGCTGTCTCAAAAAAAAAAAAAAAAAAAGATTAATTAATTAATAATAAAAACAAAATTTCTCCCCATCCCTTTTTTTTTTTTTTTGACGGGGTCTCTAAAGGCTGGAGTGCAGCGGCGCAATCACAGTTCACTGCAGCCTTGACCTCCCAGGCTCAAGTGATCCTCCTACCTCAGCCTCATGTCACCACACCAGCTAATTTTTCTTTTTTAAGTATAGATGGTGGGGCGGGAGCATCTCACTATATTGCCCAGGCTGGTCTCAAACTCCTGGACTGAAGCAATCCTCCTACCTGAGCCTCCAAAGTGCTGGGATTTCAGGCATAAGCAACCATTCCCATCCCCCTTGTCCTTCTGTAAGACATCATCCTATCATATGATATAGAAACCTCCCAAATTGACACAAAAAAGCTCCTGGTGACATGCTGCTCCAGCAAAAAGGGGATCAGGGCTGAGAACACTGGTCTCAGGAGAGCCCAGGATACATGCAAAGGTACGAATCCAAGGCATTCAATTAACTGGACAGGTAGGAAGAGTCATTGAACCCCACTTGGCACATAGGGAAGGGAAAAGTGGACTTGAGGCAATGGTTTTGTCTTCAGATGCACAGCAGAATTACTTGGGAGCATTTAAAAAACAATTCAGATGCCAAGACCCCATCTTCAGATATTTTGATTCAGTTGATAGTTGGTTGGGGGTAGAGGGACCAGGACCTAGAAGAGAGAGAACTATGGAACTCGATTATCTCTAAAATATCTGGCGGATCTTATGTTCTAAGCTGAGAACATAGGATGAATGTGGGAAGGAACAAAGAGAACTAAAGAGAGGGGCAATGGTTGCTCCAGGTGGCTCAGCTGAGCTAGGACGAGAACCAGTCTCCAAACCCAGACATCACCCCACGAACTCATGCCACCTGCAGATACTTTTTCTTTTTCTCGTTCTCCTCAGTTGAACGGAACAGCCACATATCATCAGCTCCAGAGGAAGGCCCACCTGTGGATACCTGTACAGATGAGCATCAGGAAGCAAAGATGGAGCCAGGAACCTCTGACCATGCTGCCAATAGCTAGTGGGTGCAAGATCAACCAAAGGTTACCTGAGTGGTTGGTCACTGTCTCATCATATGTTCTGTATTTTTAGCCATGCTTGAGTTCCCACAGCCCGAATCACGACAGCTTCACCTGCAGCCGACCATCCATCAGGCAGTTGGAAGGTTTCAGGTTGCTGTGGGAGCCCAGGGGGCTCCTGTGGAGGAACAGCATGCCCTGCAAGGGTGAAAATGAGCAAATGAGGCAGACCAGGTGCTGATAACACTGCTGGAAGGAACCAAGGCAGAGAGACAGATGGACAGAAACACAGACAGAGGGGCCTGGGGCAGGGGATGCGCCCATCTCTGTGTTCATTTGTTCAGGAGCCACCAGCATAGCCCCTTGTCCCTGGAGTCAACTGGGGCTGGGACACCCAAAATGGAGAAAACTATTTCCAGCTCCTTAGTGTGAAGCCAAGAAGGCCAGGCCAGCTTAAAATAAATACATCCTAGTGATCAGGCTAGGATGAGTAAATTTGGAGTGTTAAATCGCTCCCAAGAAGTCAGGACCAGAGCTGGGATATAAACCCAGGTGGGATTGGGTTAGAAGCCCAGCTTCTTCTAAACCACTAGATTTTCGTCTTTCCTGTGCCCTGGGTGATGGGAGATAAAAAGGGGGAGGAGGGAAGAGGGAGGAAGGAGGGTCAAAGCACATACTCCCCCTGCACAATGACACAACCCCAATGTGTAATTACACAATGACACAATCTAACTGAGAAGGGGCAGTGAAGTCATGTGTGGGAGGGGCTATGAGGAGGTCCCAGGGAGGAATGGGGTGGGGGGAACATCCTGAACAGATAAGTGAACCCAAGGACAGGGTCTTGGGCCTCTTGGGCACCAGTGATATAAGAGTTAGAAAGAGGCTGGGCACGATGACTCACGCCTGGAATCTCAGCAGTTTGGGAGGCCGAGGTGGGTGGATCACAACGTCAGGAGTTCAAGACCAGCCTGACCAATATGGTGAAACCCCCTCTACTAAAAATACAAAAATTAGCCAGGCATGGTGTCCGCGCCTGTAATCCTAGCTACTTGGGAGGCCAAGGCAGGAGAATCACTTGAACTCGGGAGGCAGAGTTTGCAGTGAGCCAAGATTGTGCCACTGCACTCCAGCCTGGGCGACAAAGCGAGACTCTGTCTCAAAAAAAAAAAACCAAAAAAAAAAACAGTTAATAAAGGAATTATTTAGACACTTAGTGAGTGTATGGGAGTCCTCGGTAAGGTCTTCCTTTAAATGGAAAGCAGCCCGTCAGGCCTCTGAGCCAAAGCTCAGCCATTGTAACCCATGTGACCTGCACATGTATGTCCAGATGGCCTGCAGGAGCCAAGAAGTCTGGAGTAGCTGGAACACCACAAAGAAGTGAAACAGCCAGTTCCTGCCTTAACTAATTAACCCACCTTATGACATTCTACCATTATGACTTGTTCCTACCCTGCCCCAACTGATCAATTGACCCTGTGACTTTCTTCTTCTGGACAATGAGTCTTATGATCTCCCCACCATACACCTTGTGACCCCCTCCCCTGCTAACAATAGATAACCACCTCTAACTGTAACTTTCCACTGCCTACCCCAGTTCTATAAAGCTACCCCTCTCCTACCTCCCTTCACTGACTCTCTTTTTGGACTCAGCCCACTTGCATCCAAGTGAATAAACAGCCTTGTTGCTCACACAAAGCCTGTTTAGGTGGTCTTCTATACGGACACGTGTGATAGCCCCCAAATCATTTTCTTTTCTAACAAAGAGCAGCCTGTAAAATCAAGCTGCAGACATAGAAAGGCAGGCTAGAAGCTTGCATGGGTGAATGCCTGCAGTTGTGCTAATAGGAAAGGGGCTACCTAGGGACTAGACATGTTCAGATAGGGGCTCCATCGTCCCTTTTCTTTGTAAACCACACGTACGGTAAGCAGTAGGCAACATGGCGCCAGGCAGGCAAAGATTTCATTTGCATAATAGAAGATTAAGGTGGGGAAGCCAGCTTCATCGCTGGCTATGTAAATGTCACACCTGGTCCAACCAATCTTTGGGCCCTATGTAAATCAGACACTGCCTCCTCAAGCCAGTCTATAAAATCTGGTGCACTTCGCTGTGGGCCCCCTCTCTCTCATAAGAGAGGGAGCTATTCTCCTTTCTCTTTCTTTTGCTTATTAAAACTGTGCTCCTAAACCCATTTCTTGGGTGTCGTGAGTACTCAATTTCCTTGGCGTGATACCATGAACCTCGGGTATTCACCCCAGACAACAAGCAGCTTCACCAGCACAGGGGTGCATCTCTTCCTCCAGCAGTGCTGACAGGCCAAGTAACTATCCCACCTGAGCCAGAGCCCTGAGGCCAATATTGCATTAGAAATATGGGATAAGGGCCAGGCACGGTGGCTCATGCCTGTAATCCCAGCACTCTGGGAGGCCGAGGTGGGCGGATCAAGAGGTCAGGAGTTCAAGACTAGCCTGACCAACATGGTGAAACCCTGTCTCTACTAAAAATACAAAAATTAGCCTGGCATGGTGGCACGTGCCTGTAATCCCAGCTACTCAGGAGGCTGAGGCAGGAGAATCGCTTGAACCCAGGAGGTGGAGGTTGCAGTGAGCTGAGATCATGCCATTGCACTCCAGCCTGGGCGACAGAGTGAGACTCTGTCTCAAAAAAAAAAAAAAAAAAAATGGGATAGGGGCTGGGCGGCTCATGCCTATAATCCCAGCATTCTGGGAGGCTGAGGCAGGTGGATCACTCAAGGTCAGGAGTTCAAGACCAGCCTGCCCAACATGGTGAAACCCCATCTCCACTAAAAATATAAAAATTTGCTGGACGTGGTGGTGGGTGCCTGTAATTCCAGGTACTCTGGAGGCTGAGGCATGAGAATCAGAATCACTTGAACCCAGAAGGCAGAGGTTGCAGTGAGCCTAGATCCCGACACTGCACTCCAGCCTGGGCAAGAAAGTGAGGCTCCATCTCAAAAAATAAATAACAACAACAACAAAGAAATATGAGATAATACCGAAAACATCCAGGAGAATGGATACATGCCCCCACCCCTGCCCCAATCACTCTCCACCCCCTACCCCATGTTCCTTTATCAAAATGCCTTATTTGTTTTTAGATGGTAACATTGAATCACATTTTGAAACTGCCGCCCACTCAACTGGACCGGGAGGGGCCTGGCTGGGGCTGCCTCTGGGACTTCCCCAGGGAGGCTCCAATAGGCTAAGGTCCAAGCTTGAAATCAGGTGAGACCTGTGTCTGATCCAGAGTTCTCTGATTCCAGCAGGAGACCTCTCCATTCAACAGGAATGTCCCTGATACACACAAGGTTTTTTTCTGCTTTCCTCCTGCCTTTGCTAGTGCCATGCCTACCCCAAGTATGAGATATTTTACAGTCAACGATTTTATATTATAGGATTTTAACAGAGCTCCTTCCATTAGGGTGAAAATGACATGCTGAGGGGCGCTTGGAATTCTGGGTGTGCATTCCTCTCCAAGAGATGGCATGCATGTCTTTATTTTCTATCTTGATGGAAATGTATGATTTTTATGTATATTATCAGAGAGCAAATAGAGCTATGAAAGGATTTATTATTTACATGCCAGATTTTATGCACTTTTGGCAGCTCTGAGACAGGAATAACAGGAGTGGCTGCAGGAGAACAGAAAATTCCAGGCAGTTACACATGACTAGCAAAAAGGAACTGAAATAGCTGCATAAGCCATTATTTTCAGGGCTGACAAGACCCTGAAAAGAACAGGGTGTGGGCCAAGCCAGCTAAGACCAATTGGATCCAACATGGTGCTGGATTTGACCCAAGTTTCACCTGGGACCTTATTATAAGCTCATTAACATACTAGGTCACACACCCACCAGTGCCACAACAGTCCCAGGAACAGCCATATTTAATGTAAAAATGGGTAACATCACAGTTCCCAGAAATCTCCACCTTTTTCCAGGAATCCTCATGAATGTTCTACCCCTTGGTTAAAGAAACTCATGAAGGTAGAAGCCCCAAATTCCATTGCGTGACTCTCTCTCAAGTCTGCCCGCACTCCCCTTTCCTGAGTGTGTACTCTTCACTTTGCAGTAAATCTCCATACTTTCACTACTTTCTGATTTATCCTTGAATTCCTTCTCACAGTGGTGTTAAGAGCTTGCACACTGGCTGGGGTCAAGGTCCCACCAGCATTTGGGGACCTCCCCTAGCCCACCAGTATCAGTTCAATCATCTGTCTGTTAGCTACATTTCTTGCCCTACTGGAAATTCCTGGGTGGCAGACAGCACTCCTACCTCTGGGCCCTATATCTGTACTCTCTGGTACTTAGCAGGAAGGAAGCATCGCATGGAAGAGCAAACACAGCCTTTGGAGACAGACTGGCTACAAATCCCAATCTGCGTCTTACCAGCTGGGCAGATGACTTCACCTCACTAAGCCTCACTTTTTCCCTCTTGGAAATGGAGATCATGTTACTCCAATATTACTACTATTGGAGTTAAAAATGAATTAATAATGGAGTTAATTGCTAATTATTGAGATCACTGTCCAATAAAAACATAATACAAGCCACATGTGTATTTTTACATTTTTAGCAGCCATGTTATAAACCAAACAGGTGAAATGTATTTTATAATGTTTTATTTAACCCAATGTATTGAAAAATCTTATTTCAGCAAGTAATCAACATAAATATATTAGCAAGATATTTTATATTTTTTTTTTGCTAAGTCTACAAAATTCAGTACAAACTTTATAGCACATCTCAAATTGAACTAGCTACAATTGCAGTGCTCATTATCCACATGTGGCTGGTGGCTATCATATTTGGACAGTGCAGACTTGCCCCATAGGAGTGTTGGGGAAATTAAAACAAGAATATGTACTTCTTTTAGCACCAGTAATAGAATTATCTATGATCGTGATAATACTATTGCTACTACTAACAATCAACATTTACTGGACGCCTGTTACAGGGAAGGCATGGCACTAAGCATTTTGCATACATTAGTCCTCACACAACCCTATGAGTCAGGTACTGATGTTATCTTTACACACAGGAAAACTGAGGCCCAGGGTTGTTAAGGTCACCTGGCCAGTAAGTGGCAGTCAGGGTTCAAACTTCAACGACAACTTCTTTGCTGAATTGTCCTTCATCCTCTTAATCCATCAAGACTTCTCTTATTTAGACATGAAGGCCTATTTGTAACTCAAGAAGAGTATTATACTCTCCAAACTCCTTCCCAGGCTTGCCCAACTGGGTTGAACTTTTTGGGGACAGGACAATGAGGCTCATTCGTCTGTGCCTCCTACGCCCAGAATCGGGTCTGATCCAAATTAGGCGCTTGATCAATATATGTTTGTTGCCTTGAAATGTCTATGGCATCTCAGAGTCTCTCTGATACCTGATATAGAGGAGGTGCTGATCAAATAGACATAGAGAGACTTGTTTCCAAACTACAATCGCCCCCACGGAGCTTGGCCCAATGCCCAGACCCATGGCAAGGCTCTAAGAGTACAGTACATTTTCTGTTACTCGCAGTCCCCTTTCAAAGAACATTGGCAGAGTAATTAACCTCAAAGGGCCTACCTGTGCCTTGATCTAGCCTATTGTGTCATCAGTAGTGGCCCTACATGATCCCAGAATGTGCACACTCCATCTCAGGAGGTAATGATCCTTCCAAAGCAAAATGCCAAGCTGTCCTCTGTTTTCCTGGCACAGAGTAGAGGGTAGACTCAGTGAGCTAGAGTAGGTGATGACCACCAGGGAGCTCTTCCCCTTCAAAGTGCCATGCCCACCTGCCATAGCGTTTTTCCAGAGAAACCTTTGGGTTAATGCTTCTTGAAATCTGATGCCTACACTAAAAAGGTCAAATCTGTTAGTCATTCATGGCTTGGTGAGAACTTACTTACTAGCTTACTCTTCACTTCCAATATAAATGATGTTGGCTGTTTTGATGGGGGCAGGAGGCAGATAATTAGAGTCCAGAATACTTCTTTGTGCTCGGTGGGAAGAGAAGGAATAAGTGGGTGAAGGGAAGGAGAGAAGATCCCAGGGTAGGAAAAGATGCCAATGTCGCATCCTCCCAGTTTATAACCACTGCCACTTAAAGAATTTTATATGTACATCTCCAGACTATTTTTTTCCCTAGCTTTTAAGCCATCCAAAGCTGGAAACAAGTCCTTTCTTCCTACAAAAGTGACCAGAGTAGGATAGACTCTTAACAGATGCTCAATAAAATTTTAATGAAATAATAACAGTGGTGGTCCAGGGTTGCCCATGAAGACCCAATCACAGAGACGCTTCTGCCTATTGACCTTGCTTTATAACAATCTGCTGGCTTCCTGCTAAAGCCTAGGAAATCAAAGTCTCACAGAGATATGGGACTCAGCTCCCTAGAAACAAAAAGCAATAAAATCCTTGTTGAAGGAAAGCCGTTAGACTTCAATTGGGCCAGCCTCATTCATTCTACCTACGTGGAGGTCAAGGTCTAGAGAGGGGAAGTGGCCTGGCAAAATCACTCAATAAGTCAGTGGCCCATTAATCCAGGAGGGCACAGCTTGTGTTTCATCCTTTTTGCCCTCTCAACACCCAGATGAGTCTTCCCCACAGGAGTCTGTTGGTTGATTGATGGTTGGACTAATGACTAGCAGTGGACCACCACCCTTCACCGTGCTGCCCATGACTGAGAGGTTTCCTCACCGGACTGACTCCCAGGTCACTGGCTTTGTCGCTTCTGGTGGTAAAAGTATAGGCAGCAAGCTTAAGAAAGAACAGCTGGATTTAGCGCAGGTGGGAGACAGCAGCCTCAGGATGCTGGTCCACACTGACATGGCTCGCCCCACAGCGAATCTCCTCCCTCTCCTGCCCTCTCCATCCCTCATCACCAGCTTATACCTAGGGCATGGCCCTTCAAGACAGTGTCACCTTGGGCTTTGGATCCAGCTGCCACTTCTCAGTATTTCCACTGCCTTCCTGGCAACAGGCAGGAATTGGTCTCTCTCCAACTCCCTCTGAATTACACGCCCCCCCAGCCCCTAATTGGCTTCTAGTTGTGAGACTGACTTCTCCCTGTGGTAAAACACAAAAGCAAGCTCTAGTGCTTCCTACTGAGAGGCAGTATGGTACAGTGGTTAAGGGTATAGGACTTGAAAATGCCTGGGTTTGAATCCTAACTCTAGTATTTCATAGCCATGAGACTTCAGGAAGGTCATAGGAACTTTCTGTGCTTTGTGTTTTTTTAATCTGTAAAATAAAAGTAACAATAGATCTACCTTACATTCTTGTGAGAATTCAATAAATTAATATATACAAAGTACTGGAAAGTGCCTGGCCCAAAGTAGGCACTCTATATATTTTAGTGTTACTATTATTCCCTTCTTTGCAGCCACCATAGTCCCCTGTGCCAAAGCAAAGATTCTACCTCCTCAGATCAGAATCTATGGCCCAACTCTTAGGTCAGCAGCTATGTGGTTAATGTGGCATCCCCATTTCCTAGGGAAAGAAATCAGGGGCTGAAGAGCAGGGAAGAATATCAGGAATCACTTCCCCCAGTCCAATTTACAACCTAGTGATGAGATACCCTTTGAGATAGAAAGTTCTACCCTACAATGTAAATACTCTGCTCTTTTCTGATTGGGTAAACTTAGCATCCATTCCAACTTTAGCATAAAATACTTTCCTCTCTATATATTTATCTGTAATCAGGGAAGAAGAAAAGAAAAAATCAGATAGAAGTGATAGATTTTAGAGCTGGAATCACTCTGAAGAGGAGATCTGAAGAGGTCTAACATTTTCAAGAAAAATTACAGTTTATTTCAAGACACAGCAACTCAAAAACACTATCATATTCATTCTTTGGTAAGTTTGTGTTATACTTACATTGACTATGTCGTATGCAAATGAGAGTTTGAATATCCAATCCATTTCATGATCCGAGTTTCTCAAAACATCCTGAAAAACTCAGTAATTCAAAAGATTCCTAGTGACTCAACCTGAAGCACAGTGAGCTTTAACAATTGAACAGATTTGACTCTAATATAGCTTATATTTTTGGCCAGAACTAACGCAATGTGGGGCAGAAAACATTAAACCTAATAACTGGAAATCTTCCCAGGAGATACCATAACCTGACTCAATATTGAGAATGCATGCAGTCTCGAGTTTTACAAACACTTCCTTGTTCCTGACAGAAAGCTGTCGTCACATACCATAATAGGATGGGTCCAGGAACAACAGTTCAAGAGTAGCCATAACATCCTAAGAGAAGAAACCAAGCTCAGTTTTCCCCCAGAACAAAAGAAGCAGACATTTGGCTAATTTGATTCCCAGAAGGTAGCCTGACAAGATAGTTCAGGTCTTGCAACTAGAACAGAGAGGAACTGACCTTGGATGAATAGCAGAGGGCACTGAGAAACTTCTTTATTATCTACCACTAATCAAACCTAAGGAGCATTTTACTGTTTTGCTTATCTTAAGACTTCCTTTTTTGCAATACTGGGTGACAATGCAGATGTTAGGTGGTTCGGTGCAAATACCAAAGAAGGGAACAATGCTCTCGTGCCTTAATTCACCCATCTGGAAATAATCATGGTTACAATAGCTCATGTATAGAGTGTGTCTCTATGTCCAGGACCATGCTATGTGCTTTGCATATTTTCAGTCAATTCTTATAAAGACCTTGTTAGATAAGAACTGTTACAGATCCCATTTTACAAATAAGGGAACTGCCACTGAAAGGTAAGGTAAAGTAACACCTACAAGTGGCAGAGCTGGGAGGTAAACCCAGGAAGTCTGTCTGCAGCAAATAAATCAGAGGAACGATCAAAGTCTAACCTCACGCACGGTGATTAACTCAACCACGTCACAGTAAATGGACTCAGCCCTGCTTCCATGCTTATGGCTGTCAATGCCAATGTGGGGCCCACAACAGATCACAGAGAAGGAGCAGGAAGTCAGGCCCATGAAACTGACTCCCTCCAAGTACCAGGTTCAAGGCTGGTAGGTAGGCAAGCAGCCATCACAGACACAGAGGATGAAGAGCCAGAATCAAGGCCAGAAAGAATGATGGGGAAAAAAACAGAGGTAGGAATGATCCCAGGCTTCAGGTGCCTGGGAGAGGCTAGAGGTCTGAGATTCAAAGCCTGGGCTGTCGAGGGGAGGGAGAGATGGGTCACGTTAAGGGAAGCAGCCTCCCATCTCTGCTCCTTTGGAACCAGGGAGCTGGCAGAGGAGGGGCAGAGAGCATCACTGCTTTGTCTCTCCACTGACCCTGGGCAGGGGGCCTCACCAGCTGTATTTCCTGTAGCACAATCGGCTTCCTAACCCAGGCTTCTGCTTGGTCACCAACGTAACGGATGGCCACATGGTTTCCCTAGAATCAAAGAAAAAGTGGAATGTTCTTAACTCAGAATGAACCAGAAAAAGCTCCACTTAGGGCTAGGGAGGGGAGAAAAAAAGCTGGAAAGAAATGCACCTAGGAGCCAATCATCAAGCTCCTCACTGCCCAAATCAACCCCTTCGGTGGCCCTGTGCATGGCCAGGCACTGAGCTAGCTGCTTAACACTAAGATCTCCTTTAACTGGCATCACAGTCCTGTGAGGTAGGTATGATTGGCCCATTTCCAGATGGGATTGTTGAGGTTACGTAACTTGCCCAAGTTGCATATTTGTAGGTAGTACAGCGAGAACTTGAAAGTCTGACTCCAAGACTATACACTTTTTATTATATAATAATGTCCCATTATCATTCAGAGGAAATAGTGAGTTACAGTGATAAGCGTAGGTTTGGAGTCAGTTGCCTGATTCTAAGCCCAGTGCTACCACTTACTGCCTTAACAACCTTGAGTTGTTCTTAACTTCTCCAAGCCTTTATTTTCTCATCTGTAAAATGGGATTAAAAATAACACCAAACCTAAAATAAGTTTTTTTTTTTTTTTTTTAAAAACACCAATCTCATAACGTTTTCTGAGCATTAAATCAGTTAAAATACCACTGGTAACTCAAGACCTGGCATATATCAAATTTTCAGTAAATGGCATATTTTATTTGTATTGCCTATGGAGTCTGCTTTTAGAGAGCCACTTAATCAGTCACCACAAAAACATATCATAATGTGGTAAGAGCTGGATAGAAGAAGGCATAGAATCTGGACCCAAGAGAAGGTAAGCCACAAGAGAAGGTAAATATCAACCCAAGATCTTTCACGTTTCATATGAGGGCAATGGCAAAGGACTCAGGACTGTGATGGGAGGGCCACAGAGGAAGGAATGCCTGTGGGATGAAGAAAAGGATTCTTAGAAGGGGTGATGCTTAAGCTGAACTTTGAAGGATAAGAAGATTCCACATGGGTTGGGTGGAAGGGGTGTGGCATTGTCAGAAGGTGAAACATACGTGGCAAAATAGGCAAGACCAATTGGATGAGCACAGAATATAAGCCAGGGGAAAAAAAGATTAGAAAAATAGATAAGGACTAGGGAGTCAAGAGGCTTAAATCTCTTATTAAAGAGTTTTGGCACTATCATGCAGGCAACAGAGGTGGGGAATCCAGTGATGGTGTTTCACAGAGAGGAGAGGAGACATATTTTTGGAAGATCAATCAAACAGCGATATGCTATGTGTTGCTACTTCCTTCTTTATGTGGCTGGGTGACGACCACGTAGAGTTTTGTATGGATGGTGGTCCCTAAGGTATTTAGTAATATCCCAGGAGGTTTTTGTAGTTTGAGAACTCAAGTAAGCAAACATTTAAAAAATCAAGTTTCAATGCATAGGGGATAATTTGGCTCTAGTCTTTTCTAACCCCAATTTAGAGCAATAAACAATTCTTCCCTTGCTCGGAGCTTTCTGTCTTTACTCTCTGGGACCCCCATTTTAAAGAATAAATACAATTTTGTATATACTCTTACCCCAAGGGGACTTGAATTTTGGAAGGATTGCTAAATGCAGACAGCGATCATGGTCTGGGTGTGGGAGGGAAGGTGAGAAAGGACAAGTGGAAATTACGTTCTAAGCTGCAGCAGCAGTCACTGTCTACACTGCAGAAGCACCAGGCCCCACAACTGATTCATCCATGCCAAAGTAGCAAGGATGAAATAATCCACACTCTAGGACTCCACTGTCCTTTAAGGGAGCCACCAGTCACATAAGGCTATTTAAATTTAAATTAATTAAAATTAAATAAAATTTAAAATTCAGTTGCCCAGGCACACTAATGTTCAGTAGTCACAGGAGGCTAGTGGCCACCATATTGGACAGTGCAGATCCGCGACATTTCCATCATCACAGAAGGTTATTTTGGACAAAGCTAAGTATAATCTAGAAGCCAGCTTGGGAATCACCTAGAAGATTTTTTTTTTTATATGGAGCCTCGCTCTGTCGCCCAGACTGGAGTGTAGTGGCGTGATCTCGGCTCACTGCAAGCTCTGCCTCCCGGGTTCACACCATTCTCCTGCCTCAGCCTCCTAAGTAGCTGGGACTACAGGCACCCACCACCAAGCCCAGCTAATTTTTTGTATTTTTAGTAGAGACGGGGTTTCACCGTGTTAGCCAGGATGGTCTCGATCTCCTGACCTCGTGATCCGCCCGCCTTGGCCTCCCGAAGTTCTGGGATTACAGGCGTGAGCCACCATGCCCGGCCAGGAGATTATTTAAAATGCAGAATCTCAGGTGCCACACCAGACCTACTGACCCAGAATCTGCATTTTAATAAGAGTCCCAGGTGATCCATCTGCACATTAAGGTTTGGGAAGCACTAGTATGGAGTCACAAGACCACCTTGGCTTTTGCTAGCAGAATGTTCTTCTATTCAGAATGCCCTGCCTGGCAGAAACGATGCAGAGAACAGAACAGAGATACACTAAGATCTACGGGCAGCCACCTGGCCTCAGAAATACCTGATAAAGCCCTACTGCGGCATAGAAGAGCTCTTCCCACTGCTGGCTCTTGACAAAAGAGCTGAGGTCCACAGAAATCATCACACTAGATGAGTTACTGTTGATGCCTTTTGACACAGGTGTGGCTCTCTGGGATGGCTGTAAAACAGGAAGTAATTTGGTCACTCTCAGCAGCAAGGCCAAGTACAAAAGGGAATGCATTTTATAGATGAGGAAGCTGAGTGCCAAGGTCAGACAGTTAATAATAAGAGAGCCAGGATTTGAACCCTGATCTTTCTGACCTGTTACATGCATCACTCTAGGACAGCATCATCCAATCATCCATGCCTTCTATGGCATCTGTACCACCATGGAGGTGTAGGTTAAGAGGGAAGGCTCTGAGGTCAGACTGCCCAGACTCAAGTTCTGGCTGTGGCACTTAATTAGATGTGTGGCCTGGGGTTAGAGCCATTTTCTTAAAGAACATCTAACCAAGTTGTCTCTGTTTAACACTCTCAGTGCCTCCCAACACCTAGAAAACACCTTCAAAGCATAGGAATCTTGTTTTCAAGGAGAATCTTATCTGGAACCCTAATGTAGAAATGAGGTAGATCGAAGCAGAGCTGCTTTGGTGGAAGATGGAAGAGTAAGTGTCTGAATCCCCGGGGACGTTTGGAGATGAGTTACTAATGAATCACAGTCACCTGCTCTTAGCATGTTGAAGCCTCCCTGACTTGGTACCAGCTAAGCTTCCCAGCCCTGACCATCCCACATCTCATTATATCCTGTGTACTTCACTCTTTTTCATCACTTGCAAACTCACTCTTCTCAAATGTCACCTCCTCTCCAAAGCCTTCCAGATGCTGAGACCTTCAGTCCCTCCATCTGCAAGGCTTCCATCTCACCGTGGAAACACCTCTCTGACACTTGCCTCCCTCTGGAGGCATCTCATTTGTGGGATATCCCCATACCTTGTATGATGCTTGGCCTGTAGTTAATGGTCAAGTCCCTGTCAAGCAAATGAACATTATTGTATTAGTCATCAATTGATTAAAGGAGTTAATGTGGTTTTGAAAATAACTAAATCCGGCCAGGAGCGATGGCTCATGCCTGTAATCCCAGCACTTTGGGAGGCTGAGGCGAGTGGATCACCTGAGGTCAGGAGTTCGAGACCAGCCTGACCAATATGGTGAAACCCCATCTCTACTAAAAAAAAAATAGAAAAACTTAGCTGGGCATGGTGGCAGGCACCTGTAATACCAGCTACTGGGGAGGCTGAGGCAGGAGAATCACTTGAACTCGGGAGGCAGAGATTGGAGTGAGCCGAGATCGTGCCATTGCACTCCAGCCTGGGCAACAAGAGCGAAATTCCATCTCAAAAAAATTACAAAACAAAAAATAAAATAACTAAATCCTCCCCAGGAGACAGCTTTAATATCTGAACACCATCTACAGTTCTCACCCACAGAGTAACAGAGCAAAGGGAACTTTAGAGACTGTCAATCATTTGTAAGTATTTAGAAACTGAGTCTTGGGGAGGTAAAATGACATTCTCAGATTCAGCAAGCAAGTGGGAGGCCTAGAACCAGAACTCAGGCCTGCAGACTCTTCATGAAGTGCTCACTGAATAAATTAGCCTCTTGCTCTTATAAGCTCCTAGATGAGGTCCCTTCCACACATCTCCAGCAGTGACCAGGAAATGGGACATCTGGGTCACATATGGCCTCACCTTGTTCTGGGGAAGAATGGTGATATCATCAAAATTGATTTGCCACCAGATGTCTTTGTTTTGCCTCTGCATCCTTAAAATCAGACCTATGATGGCAGCTCCCAAGACAGGAATGAGGATCATCAATGTCAGAAGCACAGCAGTCACGCCTGGAGGGTAGAGGCATATTACCCAGGCCTTGCCCAAGAGCAGTAGCAAGTACATCCCTGCCCAGCTGGGCCCAGCCGAGCAGGTTCCTCAAAGGCTGTCCTCTGGAAGGTCTGGGGTAGGACACACAAAGTCTACGCTGACTTGTCTCTTCCAGGAATTCTTCCCTGACTACCACCCTAGTTCCCACTGGAACTGCATTCACCTCCCGCTTTGTATAGAAAGTTCCACTGCAGAGAAATAATAATGATGACTTCTAACTCCACCAGCAGTGTTTACAAAACATTTACTGTGTGTTCTCCTTAGGGTGGTTCTCCAGGCATGATCCATCTAATTCCAGGGCTGGGCTCCTAACCACTGGGGCACACTCCCCTCCCCAGACTCTTTCAACCTCCCTAGAGGTGAAGTTCCTGAGACTCAAATCTCAGGAGCCAGTTTCCCTTAGAGCAGTGATTCTCCACAGGGGAAAAAGGTGATGTTGCCTCCTAGGGGATATTTGGCCATGTCTGGAGACATTTCTCATTCCGACTAGAGGGCTGCTATAGGCATCTGTGGGTAGAGGCCAGGGGTGCCGCTAAACATCTTATAATATACAGGGATGCATGGCTTGAAATGCCAGCCTCCCCATACACAAAAATTACCTGGCCCAAAATGTCAATAGTGCTGCCTGCCATACAGAGACCCTACTATAGAAAGTCTTTCCCTGCTACGTTCTCCAAACAGCCATACTTACCCGTAAAAGCAGACTGAGTTTCACAGAGCTCATTATAAAATCCACAGCCAGGTCTGTCTTCAGGAAGGGAGCCATGCGGCCAGGTCATATTGGAGAAATTCCCTGTGGGTCTTTAAAAAAAAAAATAAAGGTCAGCGTCAGCTCAGTTTGTTCTATTTGACTCTACCTCATGTACAGCAGAGACAACGGAAAAATGCATGTTATTTGCAAAACTCAAGCCTTGGTCTCTCAATTCAAACTTCTGTCCAGTTTGCCCAACTCTCCTAGGCTCTTCAAATCCAGCCTTCAGGTAATCTCATTCAAGGAAGGCAGTATCTTTTTGCTGTTGAAATAGCTTCCTCAATCTTTTGACTTAAACCATGTCTCTTTTGATTTAAAAGATGACATGCCAAGTCAATGTTGCTGGGACTTTCATCTGTGTTTGACGTAGACAAATCTTGTTATATAGCAGCTTGACATTTCACAGAACAAAACATCTCCTCCTATGTGGAGTGTGCCTGTTCTGACAATACTAAAGACCTAGTTTGCCATGGTTACTTTGTTTTCTGGCCCATTTTGGTCCATTAAAATTCCATAAGAGAAGGGGAGAAAAAAGCCTCAAGTTGCCTGGGTGTGGTGGCTTACACCTGTAATCCCAGCACTTTGGGAGGCTGAGGTGGGTGGATCACCTGAGGTGAGGAGTTCAAGATAAGCCTGGCCAACATGGTGAAACCCCGTCTCTACTAAAAATACAAAAATTAGCTGGGTGCAGTGGCATGCACCTGTAATACCAGCTACTCAGGAGGCTGAGGCAAGAGAATCACTTGAACTTGGGAGGCAGTGGTTGCAGTGAGCCCAGATTGTGCCACTGTACTCCAGCCTGGGCAACAGAGCAAGACTGTCTAAAAATTTAAAAAGCCTCAAGTTGAATCTGGATTGGAAGTAGTGGCAGTGGGGGTGAGTGGAAATTGAATTACATCTTAGGTTTCCTTTTAGTTTTCTCATTGATTTGTAGCTGAAAGAACAAAAACAAAGTTTTGTTTTGTTTTTTCCCCAGGATTCCTGGGTTCTGGTTGCTGGTGTCCAAATGTGTCTGGGAGTCAGGCTGTCTAGGTGAGCCATTTCGGGGCCTGTAAACCCATCCCTTCGGGGACGCTGTGCTCCACCACCCGCTCTGGGCCCAGGGCCTCTCCCCTAGACCATGGCCAATGGGACCACTGGTTGGAACACGAGAGGAGAACAGGGCCCTGGTGGAGGTGCAGTTCGTGGGTACTCTGTCCTACACTGAAATCTGAAACGGTCAAGCCATAACCTCAGTCAAGGGAATAAAATCACCTTAAAGGCCCAAAGTCTATCTTCATGAGTTCTAAGAGCACCAGGCTACTTGGGGGATTCTAGGGACTGGATCCCAAACTGGCCTTCCCAGGGCCCTCCTCTTCCTATGTCTCTTTCTGTAGCACAATCTACACTTGCAGAAATGTCCGGCCAGTATCTGATTACTTTGATAACTGTCATAATGAAGAAAAGAAAGTAAAAGGGGCCCATTTTCAGACTTCTGCAGGGCATAGACAGAGTAATCCATGTGCCTTTCTCCCTGGGCATCCACAAACACAGGGCCTGTGATTCCTAGAAAGACAGGAGATTGCACAAGGTCAGGAGAGGGACAGCAACATGTGGCTCAAAATGCCAGCCTGCCCCAACTCAAATCAACAGAACCCCCTTCCCCAACAGCCATTAAAAACCAGACACAGGGTTTCTGTCATTTCAGTGAATCTGAGACAGGGTCAATGGGGACCAGCAAAGGGAAGAAGACAGTTCAGAGATAGCATCCTGTTAGGGTTAAAGGGCCACACTGGGCAGGCAGATGTATTTTCTCAGGCCCACACTGGGGAAGCTCATCCAGCACTTAAAAATAAAAAAAAAAGTTTGTTTCCAGTTAATTTCACTTAAAACCTGAGATTTATGCTTCCCTCGAACAATCAGATGTGACAACATGTCAGCAGTCGTCTGGGGCCGAGGGACAGCTGCTTCCTCCAGTTCCTCCCATCTTCCTCCCCTGACCCCACCCACCCCACGCCTCCATGCTGCCAGGCCCTGGGGCACAAGTTTGCAATCTCTGTTCTCATGGCAGCCCCTTCCCTCCTGGTCTGGGTGCAGAGGCCTTGCAGGCCCTTTGCAGAGGCTTGGTGCAGAGGCTTTACAGGGCCTGATGTGCTGTTTGCTATTTCTTAGAACGTGATTAACTCCACTACTGAAGGAACGCATCTTGGAAGCACAGCTCCTTCACACCCCAAACTAGTACGTAGGTTCTGACAAAGGACTTATTGCTGATTTTGTCCCACAGGGGACAGAACACAAAATTACCACTGATAAAGCACCTAATAAGTGCTGGGCACTGCAGGTGGTGTTGACTTCCCATGTCTAATCCTAATTAACCCTTCAGAAGGGGCACCATCATCTGCTCCCAACAAGCAAAGCTTGGAGGCATGAACTCCTCGGGTCTTCCTGCCAGGGCCACGAAGAGGCACAGCTGGTACACAAACCCAGGCCTATCAGGCCCCAAGTGCCATGTTCTTTCCAGCATGCCACACTGCCTTTCTGCATACACATCCGTGGGCATCCTGAATGTGGGTATTGAGCCTGAGGTTTGCAGGGGAAAGGCCAGAGCTCCTGCGACAACCAGGGCCACTTCTTTCAGTGTGCATTGCGTTCACTGAGCCAAAGCCAGTGGGGTTGGGGGATTCTGCTCCCTAACTCGACCTCCTAGAAGAGGCTTTCCTTCTGGAATGGTGCAAAAGCCCTTCGGCACTGGCCGATGGAGTGGTTGCCACCATGTGGCAGAAATGAACACAGGAAGCAGAGACAAATACTCCAGTTCTGCCAAGGCTAGTCCTGTAGCCCATAAGGGAACAGAAGCCAGTTTGGAAGGGGTGAGGAGGGCCCTTTGGTCATGAGTCCCTGAAAGGGGCCCACGGGTCCCAGAACCAAAGTGGGATGACTCAGGCTCTTAAAGGGCCTCACTGCTCTTCACAACCTCCCCTCATTCCAGCATGAAGAATTTCTAAAACCACAGGAAAGAGGAATTAATTGATCTGGCAGAGGGGATTAAACTGAGAGCAGAAAGAAGGATCCCCCCTTGTGACCTCTCCCCTTTTTAAGCAAATGCCTTAGGGTCTGAAAGGAAAGGAGAGAAGTTGGTGAATATTTCCACTTGCAAAAGGCATTAATAGGGTAAACGCGACCTGCTTCTATGAAAACTTCAAAGAGCAGGCCTTGGCTGCTGTCTTTAAATTTTCAGACAAATTTTAGGTAATAATTTATAAGCCAAAAGCCAAAAAGATAAGCCAAAGCAAGGATAAAAATAGTGACCATTTGGCTAGGCACAGTGGCTCACACCTATGATCCCAGCACTTTGAGACACCAAGGCGGGAGGATCTCTTGAGCCCAAGAGTATGAGACCAACCTGGGTGACAGAGCAAGACCCTATCTCAAAAGAAAAAAAAAAAGAACCTACTATTTAATGAGCACATACTATGTGCCAGGTGCATGTCATATTCTCATTACTCCTATGTTACAGGATAGCAAAGAACATGAGCCCTGGAGAAGGCAGACTTGATTTTGAATCCTGGCTCCACCATCTAATAACTTTGTGACCTTAGACAAGGTACATAACCTCTGTAACCTCAGTTTACTCACCTGAATAATACAGATAGAAATAGTACCTGCCTCATGGGCTGTGTGAGGATTCAATTAGGTAATACTCGGAAGCTCTTAGCACTTGGCCTAGTGTAAGGTAAGCCCTCCCTAAATGCTGGTTATTATTTCTGCATGTGGTAACAGGTGTTATCCCTATCTTACAACTGAGAAAACGAGAACAAGAAAGATCAAAGCAGTTGGTCAGCTGAATGTGATTTGAAAGCGGTTCACTCCCCAACCTATACTCATCCCCACCAGGAAAGCAAGAATGAGACTACAACCCATCTTCAGAAGTCTGTGGTGCCAGGGCCCCCATCACAGAGGCTGCAGATGGGAAGTGACCCCGGGAGACAGGTCTCACATTTCTGAATTTTATTCTTGATGGACTCAGTTTGAATGGAACTGCGGGGGAGAATTCCCAGGGGAAAGGGGATAAGGTGCCCAGCAGCCTCCTCTCCTGGTCTGGGCAGGCTCTGGCCAGAAGGATGAGCGAACTGTGGGAGCTGGGAGGTCTTAACCTCAACTACACTTACAGAAGGAAGACAGGAATCCCCATAAGAAAGATGAATTCTGGAGTTCAGTGTGAGGCAGGCCCTGAAAGAGGCCTTTAATTACATGCCCAAGATCTCAAAGCCCCCACCGACTGGAGCCGCAGGTCTGAGTTTAGAACACCCTCCAGCAGTAAGCCACCTACCCTGCACTGTGGTCTGACTGGAACCCTTCAGAGCGCTGACCAGCTGCCACCCATCCTGGAAGTCGCCTCCAGCCTTTACCACCTGCTTCACGGTCTCAGCATAGAGCAGGACGGCGTCGTGAAGGTAGGCAGAGTAAGGGCTCACCTTCAATAAGACAAGCAAAGCAGGGTCTCAAGAGGTTCTTGGCCTCTTGGGTCACCGTCCAGCACTAAATTAGGAGGAATCTCTGTTCCGTCCGCCCGGCAGTGGCACACAGCACTTTCTTCCCCCATCCCACAGAGCAGAGGGTCCAGCATACACCTGCGCCTGCACTATGAAACCCAGACGTCGCAGTCTTCATTTTCCTTCTGAATGCTGCGTTTCCCACTTAGATCTTCTGATCCTTCAGGGACGCTCTTCAGGCCACAGGTGGGAGGGAGCATGGTTTCAGGGAAAGAGGGTACATGCTGGAACTAGACCAGCTCAGCTCCCTACTGGCTATGAGTCCCGAGGTAAGTTCCACAGCCTCTCTGAATCTCAGCTCACTCGTTTATAAAATGGGGATAGGCTGGGCGCGTTGGCTCACGCCTGTAATCCCAGCACTTTGGGAGGCCAAGGCGGGCGGATCACGAGGTCAGGAGTTGGAGACCAGCCTGGCCAACATAGTGAAACCCCATCTTTACTAAAAATACAAAAATTAGCCCAGCGTGGTGGCAGGTGCCTGTAATCCCAGCTACTCAGGAGGCTGAGGCAGGAAAATCACTTGAACCCAGGAGGCAGAGGTTACTGTGAGCCGAGATTGCGCCACTGCACTCCAGCCTAGGTGACAGAGCGAGACTCCATCTCAAAAAAAAAAAAAGGAGGGGGATAAAACTGCTGTTGGGTTGAATGTGACAATAGTTAAATGAGGCATAATAGGTAAACTATCCATTGCAGTCCCTGACCCTTAGTAGGTCTTCAGGACGTGATGTCTTCTATTGGGCAGTCAAGGAAAATACAAGTGCCTACTAAGTGCCAGGCACTGTTCTCCCAACAGTACCAGATACAAAGCTGACACTTAGTAGACTGTTACTCAAATATTCTTTAATTGGTTATCTTGTCTTATATGTTGGGATCCACAATCGGCCCCCTCATTTCTAATCAAACTCCTTGTCATCAGTGGCCTGTGGTCACCTTAGGCTTCAGCTTGGCCCCACACTGGAAGTAGCTCCAGCTCTGGACAAAGGTCTCTCTTCAAAAACTTCTCTGTGAAAGCCAGATACTGCCTCCTCATCACACACATACTGGGATTACCACAGGCGGACCCTCTCTCTCCTGATCATCTCCTCCCTTTTCCAGCCCACCTGCTGGCCCTGACCTGTCCTAGCTCCACATCTCTGACCACTCCATCCTGGGTCTAGGTCCTGGCATCCTCCTGGGGAAGGAAATTGTCATGGTCTGGGTACCCATTAATATCTGTTCTGGGCCAGGCACAGTGGCTCACGCCTGTAATTCTAGCACTTTGGGAGGCCAAGTCAGAAGGATTGCTTGAGCCCAGGAGTTCAAGAGCTGCCTTGGCAACATAGGGAAATCGCGTCTCTACAAAAAAAATTTTTTTTTAATTATCAAGACATGATGGCATGTGTCTATATTTCCAGCTACTTAGGAGGCTGAAGTGGGAGGGTTGCTTGGGCCCAGGAAGTCGAGGATGTAGTGAGCATGACTGCACCACTGCACTCTAGCCTGGGTGACACAGCGAGACCTTCCCTCAAAAGAAGAAGATATATACTTTGCTTCTTCCATGGACAATGTTACTAAATACACACCACCACAGCCTGGGAGGTAGATGCCATTATCAGTCCCATTTCACAGAAGAAGAGACCGAGGTGTAGGGAGGTTAAGCAATTCACTACAAGGTCCTACAGTTAGCAAACAGCAGCAGTAGGATGGGGGCATAGGCCTCTGCTCCAAAGGCCTTTCACCCAGTAACCTCTGAGGTATAAATTCACAAGAGAGCATCAAACTGCTGTTTATTTTGGGCGTGGAAGATGGGGAAGTGCATGTGTGTGTGCACCTGCATGTGTGTAAGGGGGGTAGGGAGAGATGAGGAGAAATAAGAGGGAGAAATGCAAAGGCAAACACAAATATGATCAAAGAAGGGGAGGAGGGAGCCTGAGCTGGAAGACCCGGCATCACACCTGCTCCTCCCAGGAGATGGTGCTGCGGAAGGGCGACCTCCTCGGTGTTTGGTAGACTTGTTTCCAAAAGCCTTCGTCTCCACGGCCTTTTCTGTAGGAGCTGAGGGCAATGAGAAGCAGTGACCCATACACCTTTTGGAGGTGCATCATTTTCTGATTTGTCAGTACTTCCTTCCAAAAACGGTCCTAAAAAGTAATAAAATAAATGTTGTTATTCGGTAGGAAATGCCTTGGCAAGGGCACTGCGTGTAACACAATGTTTAATTTGAACCACTACATTCTAATTCCTGGAAACACAGTGATTCCAGAAGGCCTGCAATACAAGGTCCACATTCTCTAGCTGGCATATAAGCAGTGGAAGGAAAGCCACAAATAAAAAGAAAAAATGTTCCTGGTGCATACAGCTGCTAAGATGCAGAAAGCTTACCTACTAACAATGATTGCAAAAACTTAAAAAGCTTAAGACTATAGATTCTTGCTTTTTTTAAATTTTTTTTGCTTGTGGCATTATCATTATAATCTACGTTACTATTATGAACAGTATATACCCACTCATTATACATATATGTATGTATATATACATATATATGACATCACACTCACACATATATATATATATATGATGATATCATACCATAATGCAGCTTGATTTTTTTCCACCTAAACCTATACTGGGAATAGTTTCATAAAATAGATTTATGCTATTCTTTCATGAAGCAGCATGAATTCAATTGCATAGACATTGGTGTATTCTTAGTTCTACCTTCTTTCTGCCATTACACACCAGTTGGAATGGATCATCAATGTGTGGGAGAAAGCAACAGGGGAGTTGAAAAGTTTCCCTGCCAAAACAATGTGCCTGAAGGCAGAGATGAGAGGAAAAGTGAAGAGAAAGGGAGGCGGTCACAATGGATATCTAGGGTAAGAGAGTGTTCTGGAAAGTCTGGCATGCCTTTAGGATTCCAGCTCCCTACCCAAAGAAATCTGAGATGCTTTTGTGGATCTGAAAGACTTCATGATAAAGAAAGAAAAATCTGGGACATTACTATATATCTCCCTTTATTTTCTTCTGTCCTATTTCAGCTTCTTGTGATTTTTTTAAAAAGCTTATTTTAGAAAGATAAAACTGCTAGAAAAATAATGCACCGTGTCCATAGGAAAAGGCAAGTAGCTTTTGTAGATGCCTGTTGTGTAAGATGCTTACAAGCACAGACACAATAGCCCCCTGTGAGGCAGATACTACGTGCATTATTTCCATGCATCAGTGCACTTGATGAGAGGTAGAAAAGGAGCCCAGGCCACCTGGGTTTGAATGCTAGCTCTCCCTCATACTAGTTGGATGGCCTTGGGCAAGTTTTGGCACCTCTCTGAACCTCAGTTTCCTCTTCTGTAAAACGAGGATGATAAAAGTGAGGTGACAACGTGCTAGCAGCCCTCGCTCGCTCTTGGCGCCTCCTTGGCCTCGGCGTCCACTCTGGCGGTGCTTCAGGAGCCCTTCAGCCCGCCGCTGCACTGTGGGAGCCCCTTTCTGGGTTGCCCGAGGCCGGAACCAGCTCCCTCTGCTTGCAGGGAGGTGTGGAGGGAGAATCGCGGGCGGGAACCGGGGCTGGGTGCCGCTCGCTGGACAGCGTGAGTTCCGGGTGGGGGTGGGCTCCGCACTCGGAGCTCCGGCCAGCGCCGCCAGCCCCGGGCAGTGAGGGGCTCAGCACCTGGGCCAGCGGCTGCGGAGGGTTCACCGGGTGCCACAGCACTGCCGGCCCGTCCGCGCCACACTCGAATTCTCACCGCGCCTCAGCTGCCTCCCCACGCGGCAGGGCTTAGGACCTGCAGCTGCCATGCCTCCCCTCCGCCCCCCCCGCCACCAGTGGGCTTCCGCGCAGCCCCAGCGTCCCCAAAGGGCCCCGCCCATCGACCGCCCAAGGGCTGAGAAGGGTGGGTGCGTGGCTTGGGACTGGCAGGCAGCTCCGCAGGCGGCATCCACTAGGCGAAGGCAGCAGGGTTCCTGAGTTGGGTCGGCACTTGGAAAACTTTTATGTCTAGCTAAAGGATTGTAAACACACCAATCAGCACTCTGTCTAGCTCAAGGTGTGTAAACGCACCAATCAGCACCCTGTCAAAATGGACCAATCAGCTCTCTGTTAAGTGGACCAATCAGCAGGATGTGGGTGGGGTCAGATAAGGGAATAAAAAGCTGCGTGGGCTAACAGCGATAACCCTTTTGGGTTCTTTTTGGAAAGTTTGTTGTCTTGCTTTTTGGGCTAAAGTTTTGCTGCTGCTTGCTCTAGCTCTATGTTACCTTTGTGAGCTATAACATGGTGCGAAAGTCTGCAGCTTTACTCCTGAAGCTGCCGAGACCGTGAACCCACTGGGAGTGATGAACGATTCCGGATGCGCCACCTGTAACAGCTGTAGCACTCACTGTGAAGGTCTGTAATTTCACTCCTGAGGCCAGCGAGACCACAAACCCACGTGAAGGAATGAACAATTCCAGCCACGCTGCGTTTAAGAGCTGTAACATTTACCGTGAAGGTCTGCAACTTCACTCCTTAAGTCAGCGAGACCACAAACCCACCAAAAGGAAGAAACTCCAGACACATCTGAACATGTGAAGGAACAAACTCCGGACACACCATCTTTAAGAGGTGTAACACTCACCTCGAGGGTTCGCAGCTTCGTTCTTGAAGTCAGTGAGACCAAGAACCCACCAATTTCCAGATCCAAAATACCCCATGGTGTGGTGGTGGGCTGCAATAAGCGTTAATGTATTAAGCACTCACAGTGAGGCCCAGTACTCCATAAGCTCTCCAGAAGGCAGAGTTGTGTGGGGTGAGCTCAGACTGAAAGGCCCAGTCTGGAAGACTAGGTATGCCACTTGGGAGTGCTGAAATCTTAGATAAGGTACCTTAATTAAGCCTTGGGTTTTTTTACCTGTACATTGGAATAACAATAATATCTACCTTCCAAGGCTGTTCGAAATACCAAATACAAAATGTACAGGCACATAAATAATGCATTTAGGAACTGCCTTGCAAAGCCATTGAGAATATTAAGTGCAATCGTGTGTAAAATGTGTAACTCAGTCCTCATAGTAAGCAGTTGTGTTTTTAGCCATTCTCATTACCAAAAGAATCAGACTGCCTAAGAATTGCTTCGTTGCATCTGTATGTTGGTCTTTCCAGCCCTTTGTTAAAGCTTCAGCAGGGACACGGCGGTAGCTGTGGAAGAAAAAGAAGTGAGAGCCGCTTGTGTCTGAGGGTCCCTTGGGAAGGTCTCAGCTGCCCGGTAGAAATGACAGTAGTTCCTCAACTGTTGTTGTCTGATACGGAATACAGCGGGCTAGGCCTTCAAGCCAGCTGACCTAGTTCATGGCCTGGTTCAGCCTTTCACTAGCTGTGGAGAAGAACTCTGGGCAAGTTCTTCCAGCTCTGTCTTAGTGTCCTAATTTTAAGAAGAGGACGCGAGAGTGCCTACCTCACAGGGTTGTAGTGAGTGCTCAGTGAGCTAATACATGTGGGTCATAACGAGTGCTCCATACTTGCTACCTCTTACTACCAGAGCCATTGAGTGGTCAACGGTACCCACCTCCAACTGCTGCAAAATGATGAAAACAAATTCTCCAGTGCTGAGTCCCAGGTTTGCTGCAGCCAGAAGAATAATTTTTGCATCCTCTGAGCTGCACGTTAAGATGATAACTATAAGAATGAAAACCAGAGTCCGCCAGTTGCACATGCTTGTGTATGTGTGCTTTCTCACGCATGCTCTCACTCTAAGTCTGGCCTAAAGTCACTGTAAATGAGACGTGAACTTTTTCTTTCCTTGGGCATGCCTTAAGAAACAGGAATGCCTAAACTAGTCCCTGAGTTTTTACATTCTTTAACCAAACCTGAAGTGTACAAACTAGCAGTTATAGCACTGAAGTCTTTGCTGCAGCCTCCCCACAATGTACAAGTGAAAAAAGTTTGGGATCACCTCTGTGCTCTAGGTTTTTTTTTTCTTTTTGGCTCAAAAATCAGAACAGCAGACCTGGCTTGTGACTTGTCAGCCACACTTCAGCTAAGAGGAGTTCACAGAGGACCTTTGGACATGTGGACTTTCAAGGGCATTTGGACTTTCTGAGTTGGGCTGGCCGGAGGGAGGAGTAGGCCATGGTACTTTTCTGCCGTTTAATCCCATCACCGTTCATTTTCAGAATACACAAATGAAGTAGTGGGTTTTATTTTTTATTTATTTATTTTTGAGACAGAGTCTGCTGTATTGACCAGGCTGCATGGAGTACAATGGTACAATCTCGGCTCACTGCAACCTCCGCCTCCTGGGTTCAAGCAATTCTTATGTCTCAGCCTCCAGGACAGCTGGGATTACAGGCATGCACCATCACACCTGGCTAATTTTTGTATTTTTAGTAGGGACAGCATTTCACCATGTTGACTAGGCTGGTCTCCAACTCCTGGCCTTGAATGATCTGCCCACCTCAGCCTCCCAAAGTGCTGGGATTACAGGCGTGCGCCAACGCACCCAGCTAGTTTTTTAAATGAAGTAATTTATAGTCTATTTATCTGAGCTCCAATTATGTGTCAGGCACTTTGCTGGGCACAGACATAGCAGTGAACGAGCCAGCAGACAGCATACAAGTGGACAGATTAAAGAGATCATTGAAGATTCTAATTAGTGAGGTTGGAAACGGATGCTGTGATGCTAATGGGTGGGGAGGGGAAACAGCTTCACATCAAGTGGTTAGAGAAGGCCTTCCTGAGGAGGTGGGCTCTGGACCCAGTCGGCAAGGATGCAAGGATGAGAGGACGCTACCCTTAAGAAGGTGCTGGGTAGGGTGGAATGTGACTGAGACCACATAACAATTGCCTCATTGGATCAGTGTTGGTCTTTCAAGCCCTTTATTAGAGATTCAACAGGGACACAGGGAGGTAGCTGTGGAAGAAAAACAAGTGAGAGCCACTTGTGCCTTAGAGTCCCACATTAGCATCACTGGTTGGAGTGGGTGCAGGTGACACCCTAGGCCAAGGGAGTAGAAAACCCTAAAGTCTCAGGGCTGGAGAGAGTTCAGTTTATTTGAGGAACAGAAAGGAGTCAGTTACTAATTCATGCTAGAAAGTTGAGCCTTATAGGCATCACCACAAAAATAATTGCTGTCATATGTTGACCAACTACTTGTCCAGACATGGTGCTAAGCACTTTACAGGCATAACCTTATTTAATCCTCCCCTTTCTGTGACATAGGTAGGATGGTTGTCTCCATTTTATAGAAAAGATATTTGAGATACAGAGAGATTAAGGTACTTACCCAAGGAGGACACAGCTAAAATGTCAGAGACTGGATTCAAACCTAGGTCTGTCAATCTGCAGAGCCCATGCTGTAAACAAATAGTGAAGTCCAGGACCCAGCCCACCTGTAAGATGCTTCTAGAACTTGCGCTGTGTATCATAACACTGTAGCATGTGGGGTTTTACTTTAGACCAAAAAAAAAAACCCACAATTTTTTGTTAGTGATGTCAAGCAATAAAGGAAGTTGCTTTTATATATTATTAATTTTGTACCTTGTTTCCATCTGCTTTTACACTCATAGAAAAGTGAAGAGTTTTTTGGGTTGTTTTTTTTTTTTTCAAATCTGCTTGTCCCATTTTTCTCTCCAAATAAAAGCAACAGAAGACTTTTCTACTTACCCCTGGCAATTGATGATATCCTCCAAAGATGCTCTTGAAGAAGGACTAGACTATTGTTGGTGTATCTCATGCTGGCAGTGATGATAAAATGGGATTTGAGTTCATTCTCTACAACCCTCCACAGTTCATCCACTCCATCCCAGGAGGAAGCCCCAGAGTAGCCTCCAAACATCCCAATGTGTTTCCAGCCCAGGTACTGGAGACTTTCCTGGAGCACATCACCAATGTCCTGCTTGGGTGACACAAGTTTCACACAGGTGTCAGACAGTTTTGTGGTTTGTCCAACAAAGTCAAACATGGGGTGTTCCACTCAGAGGCCAGCAAGCCGATAACCTTGAAAATAACCCAAAGGATGTCTTTGTATAATTGAGTTTATGTACACGCAAACCCCAGTGTGAGACATCTGCATAAACGTCAGATTCTGTGAGTCTGTGGGTCATACTGGGCCCTCGCTTTTGTAATGTTGATGACAACGTCAGCCTCATAGAACAAAGATAACGAAAGCGAGCATCAATTGAGCACTTACTCTGTGCCGAGCACTCTAGGAGCTTACATGTGTCATTTCAACTTTCACAACATTTCTAGGTATTATTACCCCCTCTTTAAGATAAAACAGGAAGACACAGAGATGTAAGTTACATAGCTAGCAAATAGTGGAGCAGGGTTGGAAATTAGGTAATATGGTTCCATGGCCCACAGTCATAACTACTCATTCTCTCTTTCTTAATTTCTCCTTTATTCATTTTTCATTCATTTTAATTAGGGGCCTATCACATATAAAAATCTTTGGAGACCTTGCTCTTGAAGGAGCTCATGGTTTATTACAAGAACCAAGGTATATAAAAAATAGCTTTAAGATTAAATATATTCTTTAAGATGCATAGATAATAGATTTATAGGCATTTAGAGAAGTAAACAATTACTTTCGATTGGGGAATTAGGGATAAGGAGGGCAGAGGTGAAGGGATAAAGAAAGGCTCCATGACATTTGATATTAACTCTTAGACAAGTAACCCTTGAACAGATAGAAATGTGTCAGATGGGGAATTCCAGGAGAGAATGGGTCCAATTTAAATGTAAACTTAATTCTGCAGCTCCAGCTAATGATAGTTCTGCAACATTGTTGAGAGTAAGACCTGTGCTGCTC
Source organism: Homo sapiens (assembly GCF_000001405.40). Classification (NCBI taxonomy): domain Eukaryota; kingdom Metazoa; phylum Chordata; class Mammalia; order Primates; family Hominidae; genus Homo; species Homo sapiens. The sequence continues at coordinate 112,354,989 of NC_000010.11, forward strand.
CTTCCTGTTCACCTTTTGCATCAACACTTTTCAGGCGACATGATACTGAAGGACACCAACAAAGTTCATCCCAACAACCAAACAAATACAAGTCATTCATTTCCCTCATTTTCTTGCTGTAGGTAAGGTAGGCTGCCATACTTGATTCTTTCTCATTGACTTGCATTATCACTGATTAATTTATTATATACGCCAAAGAAAAGCCTACTCAAACAATTGATAGTTTTCTATTTAAAACCAAGCATTTGTTTCTTCTTCTTCTTCTTTTATTTATTTATTTATTTATTTATTTATTTATTTTTTGAGACGGAGTCTTGCTGTGTCACCCAGGCTGGAGTGCAGTGGCACAATCTCGGCTCACTGCAAGCTCTGCCTCCGGGTTCACGCCATTCTCCTGCCTTAGCCTCCCGAGGAGCTGGGACTACAGGCATGCGCCACCATGCCCGGCTAATTTTTTTGTATTTTTTTTTAGTAGAGACGGGGTTTCACTGTGTTAGCCAGAATGGTCTCCATTTCCTGACCTCGTGATCCACCCTCCTTGGCCTCCCAAAGTGCTGGGATTACAGGCGTGAGCCACTGCGCCTGGCTGCATTTTTTTCTTCTTAATTTTCCTAAGCTTTGTAGCTTAGGAACATGAGAGTGAACTATAAGAGTCTATACACAATAGCATCAACTTCAGACAGTCAACAAGAGGAGGAAGAGGGTAGGTGAATAAACAATTATTGATTTGAAAGGCTTTCTGGCCATATGTGGTGGCTCACGCCTGTAATCCCAGCACTTTAGGAGGCCGAGACCAGTGGATCACCTGAGGTCAGGAGTTTGAGAGCAGCCCGGACAACATGATGAAACCCTGTCTCTATTAAAAATACAAAAATTAGCTGAGCATGGTGGGGCACTCCTGTAATCCCAGCTACTCGGGAGGCTGAGATGGAAGAATCGCTTAAACTTGGGAGGCAGAGGCTGCAGTGAGCCAAGATCATGCCACTGCACTCCAGCCTGGACAACAGAGCATTAAAAAAAAAAAGAAAGAAAGAAAGGCTTTCTTTAAAGAGAATGTTAACTCTTCTAATTACATAGACTAATTGCATCTCAAAAATGATATTCAAGATCTACACGGTTATTGTTATAATAATGTGATCCTTGTCAGGAGATTACTCAAATCTGTACCATCATCTTGAAGGCCACCCCTTCCAATGGAAACTTAAAGTTTCCAGAGGCTATATATACTCTACCTCAGCTGCTTCTGGGCATGCTGGTCCAAACAGGGCAGAAATCTGTTCGTTCTGGACCTGGTTGTTGAAAATAGCAAGAGACTCCTTGGTGCTGCAGGCTGAGTTGGTGTAAGTGGTGAAATTTCCAAGGTCCACTAGCTCTGAGTTGACCTTGTCCATGGCAATCTGGAGGCCTGCACCCAGCCTTTGCATGCTGAATGGATGGGAGATGTTCCAGGGGGTCTGGAAGCCTACGGTGAGTTTAGCAGCCTCAAGGCAAGTCACCAGCACACTGGCAAAGAGCATCAGAACTAGTGTTGGGTGCTCAGCATGACATTCAATCCCTGAACAGAGCCCAGACTCAATTGGGGCCTCAAGACATGGTTTGAGAGCCATGGATGGCATGTAACACCTGTGTCACTGCAGAACTGTGAGAGGCTCAGCCTCCTGATTACTCACGCCAGGAACTTACATGACAGTGTAGAGTTCCCCGAGGATCACAGCTTGCTTTCTATTCAGTGCCATTAATTAACCGAAACTCTCCCTTTTCTGAGTCTGTCTTAATACCATCTAGAAGCAGCAGCCTTGCAGAAGGAGGCCAAGGCAGCTAGTCAGCAGGGTCCTGGTGATTGATCCAGTGACATCCCTGACAAACTTCACATTCCTGGGCAAGTCACATGACCCCTCTGTCCCTCTCCACCGGTAAAATAAGAACCACAGAAATGACTCAAATGGAGTCAGATGGCCCGGGCTGGAATTCTGACTCCATCACACATTAGTTGAGTGACCTAGAACATATTACTTCCCCTTTCTATGCCTTAATCTCCTGCTCTGTAAAACAGGGATAAAACTGTAATAAGGTCTTCCGTGAAGTGATATGGTAAAGATTAAAAGAGATCATACAAGACTAGCCCTTGGCAAAATACCTGGGCAAAGAGAGCCAGTCCATCAGTATTAGATTTGACAATGGTGTTGATGATGATGATGATCCCAGTAATAGTGATAATAATTATCACTTCCTGATTCCATCTTCTAGGAAATTTTTATGAAATAAGTAAGCTTATGGCTATAAGGTTTACTGAAAGGTTGACACAGTCTGTATCCCTCACCCAGGCCTTTAGGGCGCTTGAGATTGGTTATTGATGCATGAAATACTAACCCTCCCTCTACACAGGTCAGGGCAAGGAGCTGGGGGCAGCTCTCAATTGTCTGAAATATCACAGGGATGACAGGACCCTTGAGAAGCCATTGCTACTGCCAAGTAAGATGGCCCAGCTATCAGCCAGGAAAATCCACATGAATATAAAGGGTTGAATTCCCACCTACTGTGGGCTTGCTTTCTGATTACTCTGGCAGGGAAGGGGCTGGCATCTCACGTTCATCTCAGTATTATGTGAGCACAGTCGACTCGCTATGAGTCTCAAGTCTTGATCTAAGGACCACCTACCTCAGTCTCTCCTGATGGTTAGAAATGAAGATTCCAGGGCTTCACTCCAGACCCTCTGAACCAGAATGTTTTGAGGTTGCTCTGGGAATCCATGTTTAACAGGTCCTCATATATCCCTAAGTACACTAAAGTATGAGAACCCCTGGCAGACTGAAGTGAGAAGAGGGAAAGAATAGCCAATAGCTATTCTCTACTTATCTTCCTTGAGGAGCAAGCCCCCAGGATGGAATTAAGGAGACTTAGCTTTGGCTATCTCAGAGGGCCATTTCTAAACCCATGGATTAGGGGAGTTGCTTTTCTCCAAACCAAATTCATCATAACTGCTTCTTCACTGACCTGCAGTTTCTCTGTCTCCTCTGCTAGGACGGCTTGGAGTCAATTTGCAAAATCATCTGAGTCCAAAAACTCACTGGAACCATAAGCAAAATCCCATGAATCATTTTTGGCTCAGATGCTTACATGATGTTGGACAAGTCAGTTAAATCTGTGCCTCAGTTTCCTGAAAGTCAAAATGAGCAGAGTAACACCCCTCCTGGAAGGATGCTATAAAGATACTGTGAGATTGCATGATTACTTAGAATGGTGCCTCACAATTATTAGGAATCAGTAAAGGAATTCTGTTAATAGATGTGTCATTGCACATGTCATGGTCTCAAAACTAGAACACTGGAAACAATATGTTATCTATGCACTTTTTGTTCCCTCCCCCACCTTCCATATGTATACTTTCTTTGATTTGTATTCCCACACTGGGTCATTTCTGATTCTTTGTGTTTACAGATTGTCTTTGTCCTGAGAATCTTTGAGCCAGGTGACTGTGTGTGTCTTTTTTGGATCCTAATATTCAGCACAGTATTAGGCCTCTAGACAAGCAAATTAATATTAATCATAACAAGTATAAGTATTTTGTATTCTTAAATGCTTACAAGTGAGCATGGTCAAAACCAGAAGAAAATACTGATGATGTTCAGTGTTGTTGGGAGTTTAAGAAACAGACATACACTGGCTGGTAGGAATGTTCATTAACAGCAGTTCTTCAATATGCACCAAACTTTAAGAATGTGTGCATATTGGACTCAAAACTCTAATTTGGGGGATTTATTACAAATAAATAAAATCATATGATCAGATTTAAACACAGTGTTATTTCTAACAGTCAAAATTTAGACACAAGCTTCATTGTCCAACAGAGAGACCAGGATAAATAACATGTAGTGAATTCATATGACTGAGTGGCATGCAATCACTAAAAATAATATTTTATATATGTAGAAATACATATAGATATATTATGTATATTTCTATATATATTATATATATATTTCTATATATTATTATATATATATTTCTATATATATATATATTCCTGGGGGCCCTGCTGAGTGATGACAGCAAATTTCTCTTCAGTTCGGGCTTACAGGTTCCTAATGGGAACATTCCTGAAGGTAGAGCACACCGTGTACTCACTATTCCAGAAATAAGAGCAAGTAAACGTGTCTGTGACCTGTCAGGGTGTGAACCGCAAACATAGATAAATATGTATCTATTTATCTATATAAATATGTATCTATATATATCTCTATACATATATATCTATATATAAATAGATATCTATCTATATATCTATATATAAATATATATATATTCTCTTAGAAAGATAGCCGCAGTGTATTGCTAACTGATGAAGCACATCATACAATAATATATATTAGTATTCCATTTTGTTTTTTTTTTCAAAAGGAAAGATTACATACAACAAACCACTAAAAGTGGCTCGCTCTGTGTCATAGGAATTAGGGGTGGTTTGTCCTTGCTTTGTTTATATTAATTTTCATTTTTTGTCTTAATCTCTTTGCAATAAGAAAGAAAAGTGAATATTTTAATTAAAAATAAACCCTACAGAATTGTACTTCTGAAGGATCAACACAGAAGGCTAAATTCATACTGCCTTAATCGCTCAGTTCAGGAGCACCCCACACTTACAGACACCTGGCTTACCTCCGTAGGCCCTAATTATTCTCTGCTGAGCTCAGCCCCTTCCATTTCTCCATTGCCCTCAGAGACAGAGATGCAGCGGTTCAGGTAATGGCCATTATGAGCTGGAAAAGCATTGCCATTGTTACTAGCCCAATTTGTGTGATGCCTTTGATTGGCTGGAATGGAAAGCCTGAGGTTAAAACCAGGTTGGGGGGCGGTGGGTGTTGTAAGGACTGTGGCTGCTGGAGGGGGCACACTGTCCTCTATTTTGCTCCCCAGCCCTCCTTCCTTCTAGGGGATTCTTAGGCCTAGAAGTTACCCTTATGATTAGGAGAGGCCATGCTATTTCATCGGATGGTGCTTTGGAACAGAAGTTGTCTGTGCGTGGCCAGCAGAGGTTCAAAGTGCAGCCCCCTCTGCCTGGGGTAACTCTTTAATTCCTTGCTACTTTGTCCCATCTCTGCTTCCTGAAGAGACTATTACCGAGGGAGGGTTCTTTCTGCCTGATTTGTGGCTTCCTCAATAGTGACCAGCCTAGTCTATAAACTAGATGCAAGGCCAGCTGTTCGGCGTCCTAGGTCAGATAAGATGAGCTGTATCCAGGATGGTGGGTTTTAGTAAAACCTCTAGCAACTTTCTAGCTCTCCTTCCTCCAGCTCCCTCTTTCTGCCTGCCTCCCTTCAATTTCTAAATCAGTGGCCTGATCAAGTTTAGGTGAAAAGTAAAGGTTTGGCATGTTTGGGCTCTACTTCTCCCCCAGGGAAAAGGTGAGAGGCAGAAAAAGGTGCTTGACCTAAGTGGAATGCAATGCGATGAGCCTGTGATCACACTGGGGGAGAGGCAAAGGGAGCACCTACCGGTGCATTCCTGGAAAAGGCTTCAGCAAGTCCGTAAGACTACCTGAGCGTCAGTTTCCTTATCTGTGAAATGGGAAAAAGGCAGAGGGCAGAGAGCTCTGACCTTACCAGCCTCCTGCCCTAAGATACTAGGCCTCTGGTGGATTCCTAACAAATGGAAGACAGTATTCCTGGGGGCCCTGCTGGGTGATGACAGCAAGGTTCTCTTCAGTTCGGGCTTACAGGTTCCTAACGGGGACATTCCTAAAGGTAGAGCACACCGCGTACTCACTATTCTAGAAATAAGAGCAAGTAAACATGGCTGTGACCTATCAGGGTGTGAACTGCAAACTTCCCCTTGTGTTCTCAGCTCTTACAAACAGCTATGGTGCCGGTTCTGAAGATGCAGCTTCTACTAAGCAAAAGTTTGAGGAGCCAGAGGAAAGCAGAGTTAAGATCAAACTGGAAGATCATGGCTCTTAGGGCTGCAACAAAACAAAATCCCCAGGATGCAAATCCTGTCAGTAATGATGCACACAGGCACCCACGACTCCTACAAAGCTGAGGATGAGGTGTGGCCTTGGCTGACTGACAAGAACGCTCTGGTCTTGTTTCTGAAAACGTTTGTGCCAAGAGAAGAAAATTCCTCCCTCCTGGAAGCCCTGCCTGTCTCCTCTGTGCTTCAGTCATCTGCTATTTATCCTGTGTGGCTGAAACAGACTTTCTCATACCTTTGTCCTAAAGGAATGAGTCTTTGACACCTGAACAAATTTGAGGCTTTAAGCAATACTTTAAACAACGAAGTGTTCTCCCAGATATCACTATAATCTCCGGGGTAGCAGGCTAGTCTGGCCTAAATGCCAGATTTCTGAATATTTATTTCACAGTCTCTGTTCCTACTATTTCGTAGTCTCTGCTCCTCCTCCTGCCCCCATTATGCCTTGGCATGAAGAGCAAAAACTTTCAGAGGTTGTGAGGAGGAGAAGCAACCACCTGCTCCAGGTACTCAGTATTCAAAGATACGGAATGACTAACAGTGATGCCATTAATTCCAAAGCCACTTTCCATAAAATTTTAGGTTTGCCAAGACACTTTTGCTGTCATAGTGTCCCAAACACTGAGCAAATAAAGAATGTGTCCTGGCCGGGAGCGGTGGCTCACGCCTGTAATCCCAGCACTTTGGGAAGCTGACGCAGGCAGATCACCTGAGGTCAGGAGTTTGAATCCAGCTTGGTCAACATGGTGAAACCACATCTCTACTAAAAACACAAAAATTAGCCAGGCATAGTGGCAGATGCCTGTAATCCCAGCTACTCAGGAGGCTGAGGCAGGAGAATCACTTGAAACCGGGAAGCAGAGGTTGCAGTGAGCAGAGATCATGCCAATGCACTCCAGCCTGGGCAACAGAGCAAGACTCCTCAAAAAAAAAAAAAAAAGAAAAAATATGTACTAATCCATCTTTCTCTGGTGATGACACACTCTTGACCCACAGAATGTTTCTCCATCTGTGTAAATTGGCGACCTTTGTGGCACTGGGCTTGGCATCTGGCAGCTTCTTTCTGGTGGATAGCCATACATCTAAAGTGAGACAGGATGTCCCTGACTCCTCCGCCCTCTCCAGTTTCTTGTCTGGAGAAACCAGGAGCCCTCCCACTTCCTGGCATTTCCTCTCTGCTCCTGGTAAAGGCTCTTGAGCCAAGCACGTGGTGTGTCTGTCCCCAGGCTGTGAGCCCAGGGAAAGAAAGCTTGCAAGGCAGAGGATAATATCCTTAAAGGCTTGAAAAGGAGGGAGGTGCTGACATCCCCCCAGAATACTGGTATTCCTATCTATGGCACAGGAACCCCGGCTTCTCCCACTACCTTCCTGTAGAAGGCAGTGTCGCAGAATGGCTGTAAGCACAGGTTTTGGAATGAGAAAAGCTGGCATGGACAAGTTATGTATTATCTGAACCCAATTTCCTCATTCGTAATTACTCTGACAACCTTTTGCAAGGATTAAATGAAGTAGTAAATGTAAAATACACAGCATAGTGCCTGGCATGTAACAATAGCCAGTAAGTGGTAGCAGTTTTATAATAAAGGTTTATTGCTCCAGGCAAAAGATCATAAAGTCTGTTGGATGGATTCTGTGTTGACCCTAAGGAACAAATTGCTGCTGCTGCAGAAACCAGAGGAACAGGTAAAAGATGTTGCTGGGACAGGTTTCTGAAGATGCCTGGATTTATAATTGCTAATATATACAGGCATATACATAGTTTTCAAGCATTACATGGGATGATGAAGCTCTGGCTGGTTTTTAGGGGGAAAAAAGTTCTCCCAGAACAATTACAACATGTTCATTGCTGCCACTGGGCAACACTACCTTTTGCTTATATTCTGTAGGCATTAAGTCAAAGGGCCTTTGGTTTCTTTGTCTTTTTTATTTTTTTTAGACTGAGTCTCACTCTGTCACCCAGGCTGGCGTGCAGTGGCGTGATCTTGGCTCACTGCAACCTCTGCCTTCCAGGTTCAAGCTATTCTCATGCCTCAGGCCAGGCTGGTCTCAAACTCCCGACCTCAAGTGACCCGCCAACCTTGGCCTCCTAAAATGCCGTGATTACTGGCGTGAGTCACCACGCCTGGCCAGGGCCTTTAGTTTCTAAATCAGCACTGTCCAAAAAAATAACACGAGTAACATATATTATTTAAAATTTTCTAGCACACACATTTAAAAAAGTAAAAATAGCAGTTAAGATTACTTATCAAGAGTATCCTAAATATTATAATTTCAACACATAATCAGTATTTTAAACATTGAGATTTTATGTTATTTTCTTTATACCACATCTGGAAAATTTGGTGTGTGTTTTATACTTAAACACCTCTCAATTTAGACTTGCCTCATTTCAACTGCTCAGTAGCCACGTGTAGTTAGTGGTTATAGTATTGAACAGTAAATTTTCACTCTGAGCCACCCTTTTAATCCCCTGGGAGATAGCGATGTTTCCTATGGGGTGTTGAAGGTTCTGGGAATTTCAACTTGACACCTCTCTCAGTGGCCTCAGTTCTGTCTATCTGATTCTTTAATGCTCTTTGGAAGCTCTTGCTGATAAAGGAACAAGCTGCCTACATCATGACACTGAGAATAATATTTATTCAGCATACTTAAAGCCTGAGATGGGGCCGGGCACGGTGTCTCACGCCCATAATCCCAGCACTTTGAGGGGCCGAGGCGGGCAGATCACCTGGTCAGGAGTTTGAGACTGGCCGGGCCAACATGGCGAAACCCCTTCCCTACTAAAAATACAAAAATTAGCCCGGTGTGGTGGCAGGTACCTGTAATCCCAGCTACTTGGGAGGCTCAGGTGGGAGAATCGCTTGGACCTGGAAGGCGGAAGTTGCGGTGAGCTGAGATCACACCACTGTACTCCTGCCTGGGCAACAGGGCGAGGCTCCACCTCAGGGGGATAAAAAAAAAAAAAAGGCTGAGATGGGGCTGTTCACGAGCACATCCCGAGGGTTGAGGGTGATCAGTGTCTACTGGCCCTTCCATGTGTCATGTGTCATGCCCCACCCATTGGAAAGCTCAAATCTAAGGCTGAAAGGCAATTTGCTTTGGGTGTGTGGTTCAAGAAAGGGGAGGGGTGCCTGGGGTTGGGGGAGCTTTTTATTGTAATCTGGGCAAACAACATTCTTGTCAGCCAAGTGCTCACACTTGGGTAACACTTTCTTCCCACGAAGAGTAAGCACGTGTTCTCAAGAGCATGCATGCCCAAGCAATTGATATCAGCAGCTACAGTTAAGAGAAAGAGTTGCTGCCATCGCTGAGCTGTGGGGTCAGCTTCTTCCTCATACCCTGTGATGTTCCCATGGTGCAGGGTTCACTACAGGGCCCAGAATGGAGCTGTGAGCCCTTGCCGCATAGCAGACGGCTAAGAAGAAAGAGCTAGGGGGTCGCACAGCTGGGACCCGTGGAGCATTGGCCCCTCCAGTGAAGTGAAGCAAGGCTCTGAGTTGGTAATGGGCTCTGCAGCAGGCAGGATGTCCAGGCTGCTAGGGACCCCTTCTCGAGGGGGCCGGACCCTTGGCATCCGGTCCACATGTCTGGTATTGGGTCTGGCTTCCTGTAGGGCAATGGGTCTTAGTTTTCTTTGAGAGACCAGTAAAAATTCTGAAAAGAAACGCATATATAAACACACCAGTTTGCTAGGGGGTCTTGGAACGGATGGTACGCAGTCACAGATATGTGCTTGGGCTCTAGACTCAAGACCACCTAAGCTCAAAATCTGACTCTGAGACTCAGCCAACTGTTAGCTGTGTACCTTGGAGGTTTAATTAGGCTACCCCCTAGCTCTTTCTTCTTAGCCGTCTGCTATGCAGCAAGGGCTCACAGCTCCATTCCGGGCCCTGTAGTGAACCCTGCACCATGGGAACTTCATGGGGCATGAGGAAGAAGCTGACCCCACAGCTCAGCGATGGCAGCAACTCTTTCTCTTAACTGTGTTACTTGGCCTCTCTTAGATTTTCCTCTCCTTCTAAATAGCAATAAAAACTTCCATAGGGCTGCTGTGTGATTAAATGCGATAGTACTTAAATGTAGTGTTGCCACCACGCGGTAGGAGCTCAGTGATGTTCGCCATCATGAAGGCCTTCAGAGAGGATCTGGCATGAAAAACTTGAATCACTGCCCTGTAAGTTGTACTTTGAGTGTCATTAGCCTTTTGAAATATCAGATAACCAGGGAAAGGGCGAACATGAATTTCTGTGGCTGATTATGACACCCTGGTTATGAGTTAAGGGACTTCGCTCCTTCCTTCTCATATCTCAGTACACAGATAAACTTCAGAGTCAACTCTGCCATGTGGGAAGCTAAAGGTCAGTGCAACACAGCTCTGTTTTTGCCCACTGCATGCCATCACAACCTCTGCCCTGCTATTCAGCTAACTCCAGGAAGGGACATCTCCCCTCTTTCTTTGTGATCCATCATTGTGAAGTTAACAAGAATAGATCCAGCCCATAGCTCTAGGTCTTTGCTTCTCTTGCCTGTTGAGTCATGTTGTTTGACTTGAAAAGGCTTGACGTAGAGGTCAAAACAGCCTAAGATCCTTCCTAAATAAGTGTTTCGCGTGCTTCACATGTCCCAGCTACTGCAGACATCATGAGCTTTCCCTTTTCTCTCTGGTCCTCACATTTCTTCTTTGCCCTCACCAAAAATGCTTATGGTAAGCATTATTTTGTGACTGTTCCATCATCTTAATCCAGTGAAATATTCTAAAACAAAAGATCTAGAGGTTTAAGATGAATCTTCTAGATTCTGAGGTCAGAGGTTATATTAAAAGGAGAAATCTGGGGCCGGGCATGGTGGCTCACATCTGTAATCCCAGCACTTTGGGAGGCCGAGGCGTGTGGATCACTTGAGGTCAGGAGTTCAAGACCAGCCTGGCCAACGTGGTGAAACCCTGTCTCTACTAAAAATACAACAACAAAACAAAATTAGCTGGGTGTGATGGCAGGTGCCTGTAATCCCAGCTACTCGAGAGGCTGAGGCAGGAGAATTGCTTGAACCCAGGAAGCAGAGGTTGCAGTGAGCCAAGATTGTGCCACTGTACGCCAGCCTGGGCAACAGAGCGAGACCCTGTCTCAAAAAAAAGGACTTCATTAGGTTCAGTGGTCTCTGGAATCTGGACATATTCACTAAGACCTTTAAGTAACATTTGGTTGCTCTGCCTGACTCGTCTCAACCTGCTGTGAAATCTGCTTTGCAACCAGCTGTGCTTCCTAAAGAAAGGCAGATTTTCAGAGACAAGCTGCAAATCACTTGGCTTTGCAAAATCGCCTGAAATTATTAAAAAATAACACTTGGCCCCACCACCGTCATCACTCTGTTACCAAGCTATAGGATCTTGGGAAGGGATGTCATTTCTCTGAGCTTCTATTTTTCTTGTCTGTACAAATCATAACTACCTTCCAAGTGTATTGTGAGGGTCAAATGAAGTGTTTGTCACAGGACCTGGCTCCCAGCAGCCACTGGAAGTTTGGATGTTGAAAGTATTGTTCCCACTCAGACCTCACAGGTTTGCTAAGAGGCAAACTAGAAGCATTTTATAAACCGGGAGGAGCTATGTGAATGCATGATGGCACTATGTAAAGTTAGTCTGCTTATATTGTCTGTCTTTCTCTGCTTTCTAAAACATGGGGGGCTGGGTGCGGTGGCTCACACCTGTAATCCCAACACTTTGGGAAGCCAAGTCAGGCAGATCACTTGAGGTCAGGAGTTCAAGACCAGCCTGGCCAACACGGTAAAACTCCATCTCTACTAAAAATACACAAAAATAATAATAATTTAGCCAGGCATGGTGGCAGGTGCTTGTAATCCCAGCTACTCGAAAGGCTGAAGTAGGAGAATGGCTTAAACCCAGGAGGCAGAGGTTGCAGTGAGCCAAGATTGTGCCACTGCACTCTAGCCTGGGCAACAGAGTGAGACTTCATCTCAAAAGTAAAATAAAATAAAATAAAACGAGGGGAAAGCCTGGTTTCTGTTTCTGAAGAGTTGCCAGCCTCTGCCATTAAAGATAAAATGACTATTTCCAGGCTGTGTTACAAAACTCTAGAATGTTAGACTCTAGTATTCTAGAACAACATTGTGTAGTACATGTGTGGTTTCTTTGGCCCTAGGAAGAGGGTGGGAGTGTATACAAACAGTTCCCAGCAGTGTGGTTGTGAGTATGTCAGCATTGTAGCGGGATTGTATACAAACAGATCCCAGCAGCATGGTTGTGAGTATGTCAGCGTTGTAGCTGTGGGGCAGACTCCTCACTCCTCCAGACCTCACCTATGAATGACCTTAAAAGTGAAAGTTTGTACTTTTTAGGGGCTGCAGGATGCCCAAGCCTAAAGGTTATTAATTTTCGTATTGGATTCTAAATGGATATGGCTGTAGGAGGGGAGGGAGTGACAGAGCGTGTTGCAAAGAAGCTTATCTAACACGTTTTTGAAGAGAGAGGCTGTAGGAAGCAGTGGTTTATCGAGATGGTGTAGCCTGCTCGGGCACTGGAGACCTGGGTCCTGGGCTTATCTCTCTCATTAGTTAATACATCACCTGAGCCAGCTGCCTCACTTTTTGGCATTTTAGGTACCCTCACAAGTAAAATGACTGTTGTTGGATCAGCTGATGTCCCCCACACACCCACTCTCATACCCACCTGGGCTGTCTAGTGGTGATGCTGTGAGTTTTGTTTTATATTTCCCTAAAGAGGTGCGACCGTGACTGCCGATACCTCCTGCTGTGGCCAAAGCACTTCTCTGAGACTTGGCCTGCTGGCTGCTTTTGAAGACCACCTCTCTCCTGGAGCATCTGAGGAGTTCCATTCTGTGTCAAGTTTTCCCCCCACCTGCAGGCTCACCATAGCCAAGACTACCCCAAATGCAATCCCTTGTGACATTTCAGTAGCCGGGCCCTTTGAAGACAGGATAGCTGCTTGAAGCAGAGATGATCCTAAATGTGGTCCAAGGGTGGTCCCCAGAGCAGCAGCATCCGTATCACCTGGAATTGTTAGAAATGCAGATTCTTGGGCCCCAGATCAGACCTACGGAGTTAGAAATTCTAGCCAGAAATCTATGTTGTAACTAACAAGCCCTCCATGGGGATTGTGATGCTGAAGTTTGGGAACCACTGGCTTGGAGTATCTTACTCTCCAGTAAGTGTGGTATCAAAGGAGTTCAGTGGGTTGCTACTTAACACAACTGGACTCTAGTCCAGTCAAGTAGTTGTCACACCCCTAGTCCCCATTGAACTGTGTCTTCTTTAGCCACTTCTTAGAAGCCCTTTTCTTTCACATACTAAGGAAGGACTAAGACTCTAGCAAAAACGTGACCTTCAAGAGTTAATGAACAGACTGGGTGCAGTGGCTCATCCCTGTAATCCCAGCACCTTGGGAGGCCGAGGCGGGCAAATCACCTGAGGTCAGGAGTTTGAGACCAGCCTTGTGAACATATAGTGAAACTCCATCTCTACTTAAAAAATGCAAAACTTAGTCAAGCATGGTGGTGCACGCCTGTAGTCCCAGCTACTTGGGAGGCTGAGGCAGGAGAATCACTTGAACCCACAGGGCGGAGGTTGCAGTGAGCTGAGATCACACCACTGCACTCTGGCCTGCGTGACAGAGCAAAACTCCATCTCTTAAAAAAAAAAAATAGTTAGTGAACCAGGTTGGGTGCAGAGGCTCATGCCTATAATCCTAGCATTTTGGGAGGCTGCAGTGGGTGGATGACTTCAGCCCAAGAGTAAGAGGCTAGCCTGGGCAATATGGCAAAACCCATCTCTAGTAAACATTTTTAAATTAGGTATGGCGGTACATGCCTGTAGTCCCAGCTACTCTGGAGGCTGAGGTGGGAGGATAACCTGAGCCCAGAAGGTGGAAGTTGCAGTGAGCCGAGATTGCACCACTGCACTTAGCCTGGGTGACAGAGGAAGACCCTATGTCAAAAAAAGAAAAATCCTGTGTTTTGAAGAATCCAGGCCTCTGTGGCTCAGCAAACGTAGGTGGCTGGAGAGAGGACGGACCGTTACCTAAATGGTGTGGTGGCACTGACCTGTAGTCCCAGTGCTCAGGAGCCTAAGGTGGGAGGATTACCTGAGCCCAAGAAGTCAAGGCTGCAGTGAGCCATGATGTTGCTACTGCCTGAGTGACAGGAGTGAGACCCTGTCTTAAAAAAAAAAAAAAAAAAAAAAAACGGCCAGGCACAGTGGCTCACACCTGTAATCCTGGCACTTTGGAAGGCCGAGGCAGGCAGATCACTTGAGGTAAGGAGTTCAAGACTAGCCTGGCCAACATGGTGAAACCCCATCTCTACTAAAATACAAAAATCAACCAGGTGTGGTGGCACACATCTGTAGTCCTGGCTACTCCGGAGATTGAGGCAAGAGAATGTCTTGAACCCCAGGAGGCAGAGGTTGCAGTGAGCCAAGACAGACCTGCTGCACTCCAGCCTGGGCAACAGAGTGAGACTCCGTCTCAAAAAAAAAAAAAAAAAAAGTTAATGCACATGAGAATCTGACCTAAGAAGACTTCTATGTTAATATGCTAGTCTCTCCTCCACACAAGAGTCAACAGGAAGTGGTATTAGCTTCTGATTTTGGTATTGGTCACCTGACCAAATACAGTAAGTGAGAGGTGACAGCGTGCTGGCAGCCCTCACAGCCCTTGCTTGCTCTTGGCGCCTCCTCTGCCTTGGCTCCCACTTTGGCGGCACTTGAGGAGCCCTTCAGCCCGTGCTGCACTGTGGGAGCCCCTGCCTGGGCTGGCTGAGGCTGGAGCCGGCTCCCTCAGCTTGCGGGGAGGTGTGGAGGGAGAGGCGCGGGCAGGAACCGGGGCTGTACGCGGGGCTTGTGGGCCAGCGAGAGTTCCGGGTGGGCGTGGGCTCGGCAGGCCCCGCACTCAGACCAGCAGGCCTGCCCCGCTGGCCCCCGGCAGTGAGAGGCTTAGCACCTGGGCCAGCAGCTGCTGTGCTTGACTTCTCGCTGGGCCTTAGCTGCTGCCTCCCTGTGGGGCAGGGTTCGGGACCTGCAGCCTGCCATGCTTGAGCCTTCCCCCACCCAACCCCACCAGCCATGGGCTCCTGCACAGCCAGAGCCTCCCCGACGAGCACCGCCCCCTGCTCCACGTTGCCCCTTCCCATCGACCTTCCAAGTGAGAGGTGACAGCATGCTGGCAGCCCTCACAGCCCTCGCTCGCTCTGGGCACCTCCTCTGCCTGGGCTCCCACTTTGGCAGCACTTGAGGGGCCCTTCAGCCCACTGCTGCACTGTGGGAACCCCTTCCTGGGCTGGCTGAGGCCTGAGCCCGCTCCCTCAGCTTGTGGGGAGGTGTGGAGGGAGAGGCGTGGGCGGAACCGGGGCTGCGCATGGTGCTTGCGGGCCAGCCCGAGTTCCGGGTGGGTGTGGGCTCCGCGGGCCCTGCACTCAGAGCGGCCGGCTGGCCCTGCCGGCCCCAGGCAATGAGGGGCTTAGCACCCCGGCCAGCGGCTGCAGAGGGTGTGCTGGGTCCCCCAGCAGTGCCGGCCCACCAGTGCCGGCCCACCAGTGCTGTGCTGGATTTTTTGCCAGGCCTTAGCTGCCTCCCGGCGGGGCAGGGCTCAGGACCTGCAGCCCGCCATGCCTGAACCTCCCCCACCCTCCGTGGGCTCCTGTGTGGCCGGAGCCTCCCCGACAAGCACCGGCCCCTGCTCCACTGCGCCCAGTCCCATCAACCACCCCAAGGGCTGAGGAGTGCCGGCTCATGGCGCGGGACTGGCAGGCAGCTTCACCTGTGACCCAGTGCTGGATCCACTGGGTGAAGCCAGCTGGGCTCCTGACTGCTGGGGACTTGGAGAACCTTTATGTCTAGCTAAGGGATTGTAAATACACCAATCGGCACGGTGTATCTAGCTCAAGGTTTGTAAACACGCCAATCAGCACCCTGTGTCTAGCTCAGGGTTTGTGAATGCACCAATGGACACTCTGTATCTAGCTACTCTAGTGGGTACTTGGAGAACCTTTGTGTCCACACTCTGTATCTAGCTAATCTAGTGGGGACGTGGAGAACCTTTGTGTCTAGCTCAGGGATTGTAAACACACCAATCAGCACCCTGTTAAAACAGACCACTCAGCTCTCTGTAAAATGGACCAATCAGCAGGATGTGGGTGGGGCCAGATAAGGAAATAAAAGCAGGCTGCCCCAGCCAGCAGTGGCAACCTGCTGGGGTTCCCTTCCATGCTGTGGAAGCTTTGTTCTTTCGCTCTTTGCAATAAATCTTGCTACTGCTCACTCTTTGGGTCTACACTGCCTTTATGAGCTGTAACACTCACCACGAAGGTCTGCAGCTTCACTCCTGAAGCCAACAAGACCACGAACCCACCGGGAGGAACAAACAACTCCAGACGCCCCACCTTAAGGGCTGTAACACTCACCGCGAAGGTCCACAGCTTCACTCCTGAGCCAGTGAGATCACGAACCCACCAGAAGGAAGAAACTCCAAACACATCCGAACATCAGAAGGAACAAACTCCGGACACGCTGCCTTTAAGAACTGTAACACTCACCGCCAGGGTGTGCAGCTTCATTCTTGAAGTCAGTGAGACCAAGAACCCACCAATTCCAGACACACAAAGGCTGAGGAGTGTGGGCACACGGTGTGGGACTGGCAGCCAGCTCCACCTGTGGCCACGGTGCGGGATCGACTGGGTGAAGCCAGCTGGCCTCCTGAGTCTGGTGGGGACTTGGAGAACCTTTATGTCTAGCTAAGGGATTATAAATACACCAATCGGCACTCAGTATTTGGCTCAAGGTTTGGAAACACACCAATCAGCACCCTGTGTCTAGCTCAGGGTTTGTGAATGCACCAATGGACACTCTGTATCTAGCTACTCTGGTGGGGACTTGGAGAACCTTTATGTCTAGCTAAGGGATTGTAAATACACCAATGGGCACTCTGTATCTAGCTCAAGGTTTGTAAACACACCAATCAGCCCCCCGTGTCTAGCTCAGGGTTTGTGAATGCACCAATTGACACTCTGTATCTAGCTACTCTGGTAGGGACTTGGGTAACCTTTATGTCTAGCTAAGGGATTGTAAATACACCAATTGGCACTCTGTGTCTAGCTCAAGGTTTGTAAACCATTCAGCACCCTGGTCTAGCTCAGGGTTTGTGAATGCACCAATCGACACTCTGGATCTAGCTAATCTAGTGGGGACATGGAAAACTTTTGTGTCAACACTCTGTATCTAGCTAATCTAGTGGGGACATGGCGAACTTTTGTGTCTAGCTCAGGGATTGTAAACACACCAATCAGCACCCTGTCAAAACGGACCAATCAGCTCTCTGTAAAACAGACCAATCGGCTCTCTGTAAAATGGACCAATCAGTAGGATGTGGGTGGGGCCAGATAAAAGAATAAAAGCAGGCTGTCCGAGCCCGGAGTGGCAACCACCTGGGGTTCTTTTCACACTGTGGAAGGTTTGTTCTTTAGCTCTTTGCAATAAATCTTGCTACTGCTCACTCTTTGGGTCTACGCTGCTTTTATGAGCTGTAATGCTCACTGCAAAGGTCTGTAGCTTTACTCCTGAGCCAGCAAGACCACAAACCCACCAGAAGGAAGAAACTCTGAACACATCTGAACATCAGAAGGAACAAACTCTAGACACACCGCCTTTAAGAACTGTAACACTCACTGCGAGGGTCCGCGGCTTCATTCTGGTAGCTAAACATACACAGATCAATGGGGCAGCATAGGGGCCAAGGCACTGCAGGGGTTCTCATGACTCTGAGTCAGGTGCTGTCTTGACCGACTGGTTGTGTGATTCCAGAAGCCTTCTTTCACCTGAAAAGGCCTCACTGGCCTCACCTATACAGTAAGTTTGCACATCATCTCCAGGGTTTCTTTCATTTCTACCCACTGTTTTTGTTTAGTAATGATGCCTTGCAGTCCTAATGATCTTGGAATCAAGAATGGTGACTAGAGAACTTCAAAGTGGAAAGAGAGGCTGGGCATGGTGGCTCATGCCTATAATCCCAGCACTTCGGGAGGCCGAGGCAGGCAGATCACTTGAAGTCAGGAGTTCGAGACCAGCCTGGCCAACATGGTGAAACCCTGTCTCTGCTAAAAATACAAAAAAAAAAAAAAAAATTAGCCAGGCATTGTGGTGCATGCCTGTAATCCCAGCCACTCCAGAGGCTGAGGCAGGAGAATTGCTTGAACTCAGGAAGTGGAGGTTGCGGTGAGACTCCGTCTCAAAAAAAAAAAAAAAAAAAAAAAAGGAGAGAGTAGGATGGCTGAGCCATGACGCAGTAGCAATGCTTCTTTTTTTTTTTTTTTTTTTGAGACAGAGTCTCGCTGTGTCGCCCAGGCTGGAGTGCAGTGGCGCGATCTTGGCTCACTGCAAGCTCCACCTCCCGGGTTCACACCATTCTCCTGCCTCAGCCTCCCAAGTAGCTGGGACTACAGGGGCCCACCACCACGCCCGGCTAATTTTTTGTGTATTCAGTAGAGACGGGGTTTCACCGTGTTAGCCAGGAAGCAATGCTTCCTATTCTAGCGCCTTGCTAAACTATGTGTGCTGCAGACTGTGTTCGTGATTCCGAATCCTAAAAACAACCGTCCTAGGCTTGTCTCTCAGCCTAGACTCTAGACTGATTTGGCTCATTTGGTTGTCTTGGAGACGTTCTAATTCTGAAGGGGGCAGTGGTCCCTTCTAGAAGATAGCTGGTCTGCAAATGCACACCTCTGCTTAGTCTGAATCCTAAAGTTATAGCTTGAGCCAATTAAAGTGGCTTCTCATTTTTCTCTCACTCTGATCTCAAGGAGCCCTTTTTCTTCTAGTAATCTAGACCTTCCTCTTCCTATCACAGTCTCAAGGATTGTGCCCCCAAAGCAGATGCAAAGCCCTGTCTACCCCTTCTCCTTCCCCTGAGGTAGAGCTTTATCGAAGGTTTCTCTTGGTAAACGTTAGCTTTCTGAACTAAGGGCCGTCTTTTTTTTTTTTCCCGCTTAAGCCCATTGCATAACAATCTCTTGTTTTAATCTTTTGCCCAACACTGCTTTTCTTACTGTCAGAGGTTACTACAAGTGTTTGAACAGGTAACTTCTACCTTTGAACTTCTGTTGTGACAGATTCAAAGGTTCCAGGGGAGTGTGTTGGCCACTCTCAGGACAGTACACAGTAGCTTCGGGTGTGTCCCAGTCAGTCCTAGGAGCTGTGGAAAGAGTAGAAGTGCCTGAATGTGGTGCTGAATCAATACAGCCAGCTGTGAGGGGAGCACTTCCTGGACCCAGGAAGGGAGAGTCTTCTTCCAAGGTAAGCTGCAATGATACTACCTGCACTATATTGAATATATCTGTGAGATAGTAGGGAGGGGATTGGTGTGGGGAAAGAAAGTGGGATTTGTTATGCTCAACCTAAGGCTCTTTAATAACATGAAATTACATTTAGTTGAATAGTAATCTCAGCTGACTTGTGTGGGAGGCAAAGAAAAAAATCAGTTGGAAAAGGGGTGGAGATATATGAGCTATCCAAATGCTAGCAGGGGATGGAATTGGAAGGGAACACTGATTTTGGTAAGTGTACTAAAGCACACCAAGCCAGAATGTGGGTCTCCTTCATCTTCCATTAAGAAATTTCTGTCTCAGTGTAGTTAGAAGGATCGTGCGTCAGCTGCTGAGGGCAGAGAGTCCCATTTGGCAGACAGAGAGGAAGGGAATCAGCAGATATTCGATTAGGTGCTGGGGACTGTTCTGGGTAGATTATGTATGTTACTTCATTGGTGTATCTCATCCTATAAAGCAGGTGGTATCCTTCCCATTTCACAGAGGCATAGTGCGTCTCCAGGCTGTTAAACAGCATGGCCTAAGCTACATAGCTCCAAGGTGGTGTGGCTAGAATTTGAGACTTGATTGGTCAGTTTCCACAGCCTGCCCAATAATGCAGAATTGTTGTGGGTTGCCAAAGCTTTCAGTTACCCCCTGAAATCCTGAGGGTGTCACTCATGTGCACAGAGGATTGATAGGAATACAACTCTGATGGGCCTTTAGAATGACTCAACCTTCCTGAACTTGAGCATTTTTACTGGAGGAGGTCAATAAAAAAAAAAGAAATAAAACCTCATCTTCCCCTGGCCCTGAGCCCTTTGGTGAAGGAAGACAGCACCCGGTGAAGGGCTCAGAGGTATTAGTGTGGCTGAGATTCGACACCCACTCTGCCATCCTCTGCTCTCCTCTAGAGGAAGTTGCCTCTTGGGGAGCTGAGTTCCTGAAACTAAGCAAATGACAAGTGCTCCTCCAGCCGTGAGATGAGCCAGAGGATGGAATGCCACAGGCCCCACTTCGTCTCCCAGCCCTTCATCTTTCTTCCATGTCCAAAGGCGGCTCCCCAGAGGCCAAGGGCTCAGCTCTTGTGTTCTCTGAGACTGTGGCACAGCTCACCCTGGCTTCCTTAGTAGGAAGCTTTTAAGAACTGCTCTGTAGAAAGAACAAACCCTAATCTAGCTCCAGCAAAGAGCCAGGATCATGCTGAACTTCCTGTGAGCCTTCGTGGGGGATCGAGGCTGGAGAAAGTGCTGCTTCATTCTGAGGTATCTGTGAGGTGGGGAAGGGGCAGGAAAATTTGTCATTTCGGCTTCCTAATCTGAGAATGGTAGCTCCAGGGCCCCCCTGTAGCCACAGCCTTAGGCGGATCAAAAATGAGACTAATACAGGTCCTGGTAATACTGGGGGTGACCAAGGCGAAAGAATCGATTTTTAAGTTAAGTTTTGAGGTGTGACTGTATCAGAGGGAAAGAAACCATGCCAATTGAACGACTCACAGCCCTGTCGTTCCTGACTTGCTTATTTTCTTGGCTTTGCCAGAACTTCTTCAGAGACCAAGGCAGGCAGCTCTGGCGACTGGAGAGAGGCGGGGTAGAAGGTGTTTGTGTGGGTCTGAGGGCTGAGGTACCCTCTAGCCAGACTTTCCTGTCCTCCGAATCCAGCAGGGAACAGCGTCACCTCTGCCTCTGTGAGGCTTCTGATCTGAGGGGGCACCTCAAGTCATTTTAGTTTGTTTGTTTTCATCTTAGTTGAAAGATGATAGGCCACAGGAGGGCAGGGTCAACTGTGTTGAGGCAAGCTGGCTTTTGTGTCGGCCCTTAGGGGCTGAGGTGAAAGGCTTTGACACGGAGCCAGGGTAGCTTTGGCAGCTTCTCCCCTCCTGGTCAGAACACTTCCACTTTCAGTTGTGAAAAAAAAAATTAAAACCAGGAAGTGAAGTCCCCGAGCACGTTAGAAAGCCTGACATGGCCTGACTCGGGACAGCTCAGAGCAGGGCAGAACTGGGGACACTCTGGGCCGGCCTTCTGCCTGCATGGACGCTCTGAAGCCACCCTGTCTCTGGAGGAACCACGAGCGAGGGAAGAAGGACAGGGACTCGTGTGGCAGGAAGAACTCAGAGCCGGGAAGCCCCCATTCACTAGAAGCACTGAGAGATGCGGCCCCCTCGCAGGGTAAGGGGACCATCGAGGGGGTGTTATTCAGCAAGGGGGTCTTGTGAGGGTGTGACAGAGGCCAAGGGGGCATCCTGACCCCCGACTTTCTTTAAGCGACTTAGAATCAAGGGCCGGCTGAGTTCCACGGGCACATCATGCTGTCTCCCTCCTGGTCTCGGTCATGCCTTCAGACCCTGTGTCAGGAGGAGCAACGGGAAGGAAGGATGTGGGGCATGCATGGGGCTCACTTTCCTTCTCTCGACTCTCTTGGGGAAGGTGAACCAAAACAGAGACCTCTTTTTGTGGGTCTGAGCATCCAGCATAGCTCCCCTGAGGTGGGCTGGGGGTTTGCCCTCAATTTTATGTTGGGTAAGACTGATGAATGAGACCAATGGGGTGGGAGAGACAGATGAATGGAGCTGAGTGTATTTTAGGAAGTAAGGCCACAGGTTAAGTCTCAGGTGCTGCTTAATTCCTAAGTACTTCCTTCCCAATGCCCACTCCCTGAGGGTCCTAAGGTGAATCTCAAAGACCCTCAGGGAGTAAGCACTGGAAAGGGACTCTACCACTGGAGACCCTCAGGGAATAAGCACTGGAAAGGGACTCTACCACCGGAGACCCTCAGGGAATAAGCACTGGAAAGGGACTCTACCACCGGAGACCCTCAGGGAATAAGCACTGGAAAGGGACTCTACCACCGGGGCTTGGTACCTTCTGAGATATCAGCCTTTTTTTGGTGGTCTGAAAGGTAGAATTGAATCTATAGCTCCAATGTGTAGGTGATTAGTATTCTATATCAGAGGCAGAGTCTTAAAAAATAAAGTTAAGGCCGGGCGCAGTGACTCACACCTGTAATCCCAGAACTCTGGGAGTCTGAGGTGGGTGGATCACCTGAAGTCAGGAGTTAGAAACCAGCCTGGCCAACATGGCGAAACCCCATCTCTACTGAAAATACAAAAATTAGCTTGGCGTGGTGGCGTACGCCTGTAATCCCAGCAACTCAGGAGGCAGGACAATTGCTTGAACCTAGGAGGCGGAGGTTGCAGTGAGCCGAGATGGCACCACTGCACTCCAGTTTGGATGACAGAGCAAGACTCTGGCTCAAAAACAACACACAAACAAACAAATAAAAAAACATTGAAAACTGACTTAGTTTTCTTTTAAAAAAGGAGTAATTGGTTTTGTTTATTTCTCCCTTCATATTCTGATATGGAGTCACTCTGTGGTAGTCCCCTCCGATTGATCAGTATTCAAGGTTAAACACAGAACATGTCTTGAAAGAGGCATGGTGTAAAATTTTATAGCCATCTTTTGTGTATTTGGCATAATAAAAGGAACAAAAACCTAAATAAAACAAGAAGTGTAAGTGCAAATGCTTATAGGACAGGCAAGTAATATAGAGAAGTAAAGTAGATGGTGTGTAATAAGATGCTAATGGTGGAAACTTTAGCAAAATTCAGAGCAGGCATACCCCAGATAAATGCATTCAAATTTAATTATTAAAAAAGAGAAAACACTTTTTAATCCAGACCAAACAGAATATTTCAGCCTAGCCTGACCTAAAATAGTCTCTCCCAGGCTATATTGTAATTTTTTGAGGGCAAAGACACCAACAACAACATCAGCGTGTCATTGCATACCTAACCATCCACCTATAGTGAGACCACAGATACTACATGGAGGCTGGAGATGGAGGAAGGAGAGAGAAATGAATGGAGAGAGGGAAGATGAAGCCAGGGAAGTACCAGTACACAGTAGGTACTCTTATATTTAATCAAGACAATCTTCTTCTTCTTGTTTTTTTTTTTTTTTTTTTTTTTTTTTTTTTGGAGGAGCCTCACTCTGTCACCTAGACTCCCAGGCTTGAGTGCAGTGGCAACATCTTGGCTCACTGCAACCTCTGCCTCCCCAGTTCAAGCAATTCTCCTGCCTCAGCCTCCTGAGTAGCTGGGATTACAGGCATGCACCACCATGCCCAAATAATTTTTGTACTTTTAGTAGAGACAGGGTTTCACCATATTGGCCAGGCTGGTCTCAAACTCCTGACCTCAAGTTATCTGCCTGCCTAGGCCTCCCAAAGTGCTGGGATTACAGGTGTGAGCCACTGCACCTGGCCTATAGGATTTGCCAGCTTCTTAGAAACCAGGAATACAGTGTCTGCTCCTGTCTGTCTCTCATATGCCTCCTCAGCAGATGAGCAGACCCTCAGCTGGAGTGCAGTCAGAGGTGACTCTTGTGCCTGGCAGCATCAAGCAAGGGTGACGTAACCCCAGCAGCCATGAGTCCAGCCATCACTGCTTATCACATTCTGCTGGAAATGCATCTGGGTCTATTTCTCCCCTCTATGTCTGTACATCCTGAGGTCGGAAAGGGACTCTCTCACCAACTTGTCCTCCCTGGCGCAGGGCCTGACACTTCCTAGGTTCTCAACTCATTGTTTGAATAAATACATGAGATCTGGAGTTTGGAAGGTCAGACAGCCCGTGCAATGCTGTGGTCAGGCCACACTATTAGCCTTCTTTGGGGAAGCTGGTGGATCTCCCAGTCTTCATGGGCCATTCTATTCTAAGAGTTGTGAGGTTGCGAGTGGCTCAAGTTGAGGATTTGAGGTCTGGGGTAAAGCTAGGTCAGAGACAGGCCATGGTTCCCTACAACTAGAAGTGCTCTGTTTAAATAGAAATGAGGGCTTGTTGGCCGGGCGCAGTGGCTCATGCCAGTAATCCCAACACTTTGGGAGGCCGAGGCAGGCAGATCACTTGAAATCAGGAGTTTGAGACCAGCCTGGCCAACATGGTGAAACCCCATCTCTGCTAAAAATACAAAAGCTAGCTGGGCGTGGTGGCAGCTGCCTGTAATCCCAGCTACTCGGGAGGCTGAGGCAGGAGAATCGCTTGAACCCAGGAGGCGGAGGTTGCAGTGAGCTGAGATCTCGCCACTGCACTCCAGCCTGGGTGACAAGAGTGAAACTCCATCTCAAAAAAAAGAAAAAAAAAAAAAAGAGATGAGGGCTTGTTAAAACCTTTGCACAGAAGTGGAGGGGCAGTAATCGTTCAAGACCGTGGTCATCTCTTTTCTTTTGGGACATCTCGTAATAGAACATCTGATATTGGCAAGGATGTGAAAACTGAGGAAAAGGGAAGGAAAGGGGAGCTAGATTTGATTGAGGACTTCCCATGTGCCTGACAGCATACCAACTGTTCTACACACAGCATCTCCTTTAAGTAGCGATTTTCACCTGCTCCTTCTGTGTACAGTGGCGGGGAACTGATGCTCAGTGACTCTAAGTAACTGTCCCCAGGGCTACACATGTAGTAAGTGAGGAGCTGTTGCTCTGGTACCTGGAAGGGCACGACCTTGAAAGTTTGCCCCTGGCAATGACACCGTTGACAAGAAAGCTTGTTGCCTGCACTTTGAAACTGTTGACCCTTGACCACTGGTTGGGACAGGCAGTGCAAGGGCTGATTCTGCAGAAAACTAAGGCAAGAAGTCTGCTTTCCCAACCTCTTGCCTCACCCTGGCACAGGTGACAGGGTCCTAGCACTTTGTCCGGCCTATCTTTTTACAGACCCCCTTATCAGATCCAGTGGACTTCTGACACTGCTTCTTCTTACCCCAGTTCTGTCATAATATACTTGGTCAGCAGCAGGCCTGGGATGCCCTTTGGGGGTGTTACTGACACAAGTTGTCCCGGGGTCGGGATTTGGACTGTGACTCACTTGAAGCCCAGTGGTGGATCAAGGTTGACTCTATCGACCTGAGCTCCTGTGGGATTTGTCACTTCTGGGGTCACATCCTGTGGGTGACTCAACTATCCTATGCTATCTTAATGGACTGACTTAAGAGGCTCTTGGTATTTGACTTAACATGAGATCTCCTGATAAATGCTACTCAGCTCAACTGGCCAATGTCTGGCCCCACCCAGGCTCTCTGGAGTATGTGAAGGCAATGGCTCCAGAGGTGCAGTGTCTACACTGGGCCCCACACACCATCTCATTCATCCTTGGAGACTTTTTCTTCCCCCTGCCACCCCCCGCCCCCCAACCTTTTAACTAAAGATGGACCCTCCACCTCCAGCAGAAATACCTCTTCACCATTTCCCTCCCCTAAATGTCCCACTTGTCCCACTTTAGTGCCTCTAGCACATCTGGCCATTCCCCTTCTCCACTTCCATTTGGCTCCATCCAACCTAATGAGATGATTGGTCTCTCCGTGAAGAAAGTAGATAGAGAGACACAGACAACAGTTGAGAAAGATGGTTTGGTGGCAGGCCCACTGGTTGGAATCATAGTTGAGATCTTACTAGACATCAGCTTGATTGGT
Organism: Homo sapiens; assembly: GCF_000001405.40. Taxonomy (NCBI): domain Eukaryota; kingdom Metazoa; phylum Chordata; class Mammalia; order Primates; family Hominidae; genus Homo; species Homo sapiens. The sequence continues at coordinate 112,380,751 of NC_000010.11, forward strand.
AGAATTGTCATCCTTTTTTGTTTTGTTTCTTAAGACAGGGTCACACTCTTGTCACTCTGCACATCCAGGCTCCCAGGCTGGAGTGCAGTGGCGGGATCATGGATCACTACAACCTCAACCTCCCAGGCTCAACAATCCTCCTACCTCATTCTCCTGAGTACCTGGGACTACAGGCATGCCCAACTAAATTTTTTATTTTTGTAAAGATGGGGTCCCACTATGTTGCTCAGGCTGGTCTCAAACTCCTGGCCTCAAACGATCCTCCAGCCTCAGCCTCCCAAAGTGCAGAGATTACAGGGATGGGCCATCATGTCTGGCCAGATCATCATCCTTGCCCCTGGAAAGAGACAATTGGCAATAAAGCCAGGGGGTCAAGGATCACACATCTTTGAGGTTCTAGTGTTCCATACAGCCGTCTTAATGTGCTCCAGTCTGCACTGACCTCTTCCTCCTTCAAAACCATGAGCTCACTGCACACACTGAAGCATTCTGTAAGAGTTTCTAGGACTAGATAGACCCATAAGTACCCAGATGGCAGGAACTATATCGGCCAAGTGTTCATCCCTCAGCACATGGCACAGTGCTGAACACACAGGTCCACAGTTTTTGTTTACTTTACTGAAAATAAACGTATAGGCTGGGTACAGTGGCTCACACTTGTAATCCCAGCACTTTGGGAGGCCAAGGCAGGTAGATCACTTGAAGTCAGAGTTCGAGACCAGCCTGGCCAACATGGTGAAACCCCCTCTACTAAAAATACAAAAATTAGCCGGATGTGATGATGCATGCTTGTTGTAATCCCAGCTACTCGGGAGGCTGAGGCAGGAGAATCGCTTGAGCCCTGGAGGCGGAGGTTGCAGTGAGCCAAGATCGTACCACTGCACTCCAGCCTGGGTGACAGAGTGAGACTGTCTCAAAAAAAAAAAAAAAAAAAGAGGCCGGGTGCGGTGGCTCACACCTGTAATCCCAGCACTTTGGGAGGTCGAGGTGGGTGGATCACGAGGTCAGGAGTTTGAGACCAGACTGGCCAATATGGTGAAACCTAGTCTCTACCAAAAATACAAAAATTAGCTGGGCGTGGTGGCACGTGCCTGTAGTCCCAGCTACTCAGGAGGCTGAGACAAAAGAATCGCTTGACTCCGTCTCAAAAAAAATAAAAAGTAAATGTGTAAATAAGTTAAAAGTGCAGAGAGTAAATGTATCCCTTGCCACACAGACACTTCTCCAGCCCACCAGGTGCTGCCAAAGCTGAGGTGCATCCCATAGAGCACTGGTCTCAAAAGCATCATGGCTGCCTGGGGAATTGGCTTTATCTTCTACTGGACCAGAAGTTCTGAGCATGCTTTCCTGTGCTAAACACACTGCCTGGCACACAGTAGGTGCTTGAATACCCAAATGGATACATTATGAGGGAACCCGCCCTCACTTAGGTCGGACTGCTTAGCGTTGCCCTTCTCATGGCATGAAGCCCCTGGCTGTGGCATTCCTGAGGAAGACTCCGCCGACCCTGTCCTGCTGTGTGCATAGAAGCATGTTCTGTTCCTTGTGGGATTGAACACTGCAAACTTTCCTTCAGCAGACTCTCCTCGCTAGTTGCCTTTCTCTCAAATTGTGCCAATGGTGAGTAAAAGGTGAAGGTGGCTTGGTAACAGCAGCTTCCCACTGTGTCTCAGGTGCCATGCTAGGTGCAGTGGAATCCACAGGTGAGGATGGTCACTATGTGCATGAGTGCTCACAGCACTGGGAGGCCTATTGACACACAGATCCATGAGTCCCAGGAAGCCTCACTGGGACCCAAACCCGAGGAAAGGGCTTATTCTGCTCCACCTCTTCTATCTCTTCTGAGCTCTGGCTCCTGTAGCTTTTCCTGTGCAATTCAGCAGCAAAGATTTTACCAGTGGAGCTGCATCGAACGCCCTAATGATTTATTTATGGTATGCTTGCCTGTGGCCCAGGACACCTGTCTGAAGCCTAGACTCTTAACCCTTTCTCTGCCAGCTGTCTTACACATTGGGACTGTTAGATGCTGTCTAGCAATTGGGCTTGGAAGAGAGATATGAGAGGTTATTATCACTTATCTTTTAAAAAATTACGTAAGCAATCGAATTGAATCTTTCCATGGTGTGGAAACTACTACTTAGCTACCACCTGGTGTTTTAACAGGGCTCCCTTTGGTAATGCTGTCTCCCTGCTCTGTCCACCACCTCTCGGCGGAGATGATAAGAAGGACCTTCCCCACTGGGTGCCATGGCTCATGCCTGTAATCCCAGAACTTTAGGAGGCTGAGGCAGGTGGATCGCTTCAGCCCAGGAGTTCAAGCCCAGGCTGGGCAACTTAGGGAGACCCCATCTCTACAAAAAACTTAAAAACAAAAAACAAAAAACAAAAGCCGAGTGTGGTTGTGCACACCTGTAGTCTCAGATACTTGTAAGGCTGAGGTGGGAGGATCACTTAAGCCTGGGAAGTTAACACTGCAGTGAGCTGAGCATGTTAGGATGGGGCTGCGATAGCGCCACTGCATTCCAGCCTGAGCAACAAAGCGAGACTCTGTCCCAAAATAAATATATAAATAAATAAAATAAGGCCCTTCCCATCTGCCTGGGGCCATGGCTATTATAAGACAATGGCTTGAGCAACTGGTGAATGGCTGGGAAGTTATCAGCAGGCTGTAGGTCAGGATCTCAGGCCATCCTTCCTTCTTAGCTACTTGGAATGAATATTGAAAGACACAGTTTCAGGGCCCCTCGGCCCTGTGACTCAGCCTTCACCTTTGCTCTGGTTTCTTATCGGTTAGAGAAATGGATGAAAAAGGTTTCCACCCACAGAGCTGCTGTCCAGCTGGATTACTCAGTGGCTGAGAAGCATTTTACACAACATGAGGGCTTGGAAGAGGCTGTGTGTCAAATGTAGTTTTGGTAGCGGGAGAGCCACACTTGTAGAAACAAAGCTGAGGTGTACACTTAGGTGCATTCACATGAAATGCCACCAACCAAGGTGGTAGAACTTTCTAAATTAGCTGCCTGTGTTGGAGGTGGGATTATATGGAGCTGTTCATTTTATTCTTTTTTTTTGTAAGTGTGCATATTTCAGATTAAACAGTACACATCAAGTGTTACCTTCCCACTGAGACTACGCTACGCCTCCCTAATTAAAACTCATCCACCAGGCGCGGTGGTTCATGCCTGTAATCCCAGCACTTTGGGAGGCTTGAGGCAGGTGGATCACTTGAGACCAGGAGCTCAAGACCAGCCTGGACAACATGGCGAAATCCTGTCTCTACTAAAAATACAAAAATTAGCCAGGCACACACCTGTAATCCCAGCTACTTGGGAGGCTGAGGCATGAGAATCGCTTGAACCCAGGAGGCAGAGGTTGCAGTGAGCCGAGATCACACCACTGCATTCCAGCCTGGGCAACAGAGCAAGACTCTGTCTCAGAAAAAAAAACAAAAAACAAAAATCTCATCCCCCTGCTGTACCCCCAGTTCTCTTTCCCTACTCTTGTTGTTTTTGTTGTTCCGTAGTCCTAAGTAACCTAGTTATTGCTCAGGCTTGTTGTCAAACTCCCCAATATAATGCAATCTCACGAGGGCAGGGTTTTCCCTGCTATATCCCCAGCACCTGGAACAATGCAACATATACAGCCAAGCCCTTCAATAGCTTTTGGCTGAATGATGGAGTAGACAAGACTTTCAAGAAATCCAGTCATGATTTCTCCTCTTCCATCTGTCTTTTTCTTGTTTTTTTGTTTTGTTTTGTTTTGTTGTTTTGTTTTTGAGACAGAGTCTTGCTCTGTTGCCCTGGCTGGAGCGCAGTAGCACAATTACAGCTCACTGCAGCCTTGACCTCCCTGGCTCAAGCGATCCTCCCACCTCAGGCTCCCAGGTAGTGGGGACTACCGGCATGCACCGCCAAGCGAGGCTAATTTTTGTATTTTTTGTAGAGACAGGTCCTCACCGTGTTCCCCAGACTCAAACTCCTGGTCTCAAACTCCTGGGCTCAAGCAATATATCCACCTCAGCCTTCCAAAGTACTGGGATTATAGGTGTGAGACACTGCACCCGACCTCCATCTCTCTTTTTCTATGAGGATTGTCTTTTCAGAAACACAAATGCGTATATAATTCATTGTAATTGAGAAGATAATGTACACACTGTCCAAATATTTTTTTCTTTCTCCCTGGCAGTACATCATGAGCTCTTTTCATATCATTACCTACAGATCGACTTTCTTTTTTAAAATACCTGCCCAGAATTCCATTGTGTGGAAGTACTGTAATTTGTTTCATTCTTCTCCTATCAAGGAAGGCTTTCCTAGGCTTTTGGATTAGAAACAATTCTACAGCTTTAAAGGTGATAAATATAATAGTTAATACATGAACCTGCGTGCCAGCCATGGTTCTAAGCACTTTATATATCCATTAACTCTTTTAATCATGGTGACAGCCTTAGAAAGGAGATGCCATTACTGCCATTTTATAGATGAGAAACCACAGAGAATTAAGTTATCTGCCCCAGGTCACAAAGAAAATGACCAAGAAGAGCTTGAGCCCAACTAGTCTGAGCCAACATTCTTAACCTGTACTTTACATGTCATTTGTGATGTAGTTTATTGATCTGATGTCTTTCTATGAGATAAGCTGATGGTAGAATTACTAGGTGAAAGGGCATACATTTTATGATGTGTAGAGGGCAATAGGGACTTCTTTAAGAGACAGCGTCAAATGTACATTTCCACAATTCACGTTGCATTTCTCACCGTTTCATCACTGGAATCTGATGCACGAGGAAAAGGCATGTCATTTAAATCTGCATTCTTAAGAACTATAAGCAAAGTTGAATGTCTTTCCCTAATTGTAAATAACTTGCTTGTTTTGCTGTGAACTTTCAGCAAGCTCTGCCCTTGCTTTATTGGGTTATATTTTGTTTTTCATTGTTGTCTGAGTTTCTTATTAAAGAAATTAACTCTTAGCCTATCTGAGGGGGTTGATACTTTTTCCTCAACGTGTCTTTGTCTCTGGTATCTTTTCTGCGGGAAAATTTTTATTTTTATATAATCAAACTTGCCAACATTTCTGTTTATAGATTTTAGGTGTTATGTCTGTCTTGAGTCTTCCCCATGCCAAATTATAAGAGAAAATCTCTCCATACTTTTTCACCCCAACCATTCTTATTGTTTTCATTGTTTTATACTTAAGTCTTTGACCTATCTTCAGCTTATTTTTGTTGTAGGAGTAAGAGAGTAGACAGCTTAATGTATTCTCTCTGAATGGCTAGCCAGTTGTCTCAGTACGTTTATTTTAAGTGAAAAAATACCTATTTTGATTTGAAATGCAATTTAGTACATGATAATAGCATCTACTGGGCATGTTTCAGGATGATTTTATTAAATAGGTTTGTCTATTCATGACCAATAGAAAACTCCTATAGCTCTTTTTTTTTTTTTTTTTTTTTTTTTTTTTTGAGGCAGAGTCTGGCTCTGTTGCCCATGCTGGAGTGCAGTGGTGCAATCTCGGCTCACTGCGATCTCCACCTCCTGGGTTCAAGCAATTCTCCTGCCTCAGCCTCCCTAGTAGCTGGGATTATAAGCGCACGCCACCATGCCAAGCTAATTTTTGTATTTTGAGTAGAGACAGGGTTTCACCATGTTGGCCAGGCTGGTCTTGAACTCCTGACCTCAAGTGACCCGCCCGCCTCGGCCTTCCAAAGTGCTGGGATTACAGGCATAAGCCACTGTGTCTGGCCAGAAAACTCCTATAGCTCTATAGTAAGTATTTAAATTTGGTAATGATTGCTGGTCTGCCACCTACCCAATTCCTGCTATTTTTCAAAATTGTTTCACTCTTTGTTAAGTTTTATTTTTTTCTGGATGTACTTTAGAATTAGCATTTTAGTTCCTAAGAAAGCCTTCATTAGGGTTGCATTAAATGTATAGATACCTTTAAGGTGACAGGAACCTTGAATATTTCAGGTATGTCTTTCCATTTTTCTAGCCTTCTTAGGTACTTCAGATCTAAACTTTTAAAATATAGGTTTTACGCATTTATTCTTATATACACTATTGTGAATAGCATCTTTTTCATGACTTCTAAATCAGTTATTTGTATAAAATATAGGAAAGCTATTAACTCTCTGCATACCAATTTTAGTAACTGGCCACCTCCAAATTATCTCAGTAATTATAAAACTGAAACATACTAGTTACCTCTTATTTCCTTAGAGGGTTTTTAGAATTTCTCCTCTCAGCTCTTTTTTTAAATTTTGTTTTGTTTTTTAATTGGGAGATATGACCACAGATTTTTATGTCAGATCTGAATGTTGACCCCTTGGATTTTGAATCATTTTAAATAGCTTGGGTAGCTGAGAATAGCTTCCCTTGGGGGACAATCTACTGGGCTTTTTCCATATGATGCTTTTCTTTGACTGAGTTTTGTGAAGCAAGATCATTGTCTCAAATCACCTCATCTGTCATATCCCTAGTAGAAGAAAACTACTTATGATACAGAAAAGCAAACTAGTTTAAGAAATGATTTTTTAAAAGCCCTTCATCCCAGGGCTCTGAGGAAATTGGGTGAAGGATCTTGCAACAGAACACACACCTGGTTCACGTTCATAGCATATAAAGGAAAAGGTTATCAGCTCTTTCCAGGTATGCTCATGATGCTAATGGTTTGTAATTTCATACTGGCCTTTTGTCATTACTTTTGGGTTTGTCTAGAAATACTGACTCTGTAGTCAAGGACTGAGAGAGAGGTTTCCTAGGTTGAGGGTGGCAGGAATGTAGGAAAAATGATTTTAGAAGCTGGGTTAGAAATGGAAATCCCAGCTCAAAAAGCAAAACTTTCATATACAGCCTCGTAAATAACACACAGTTCCCTTTGGAGTCATTATAAGTTGTAAAGACTTTTGACATAGTCTCTAGGAGAGAGTAGGTAATTCCTAGTATGGAAGAATGTGTTAACTAATTGGGTGTAAGAACTTGAGGATGCTGGTCTCCTTTTTAATTAGCTTTCTATCACCATAGGATGAGCCCATACATGCAAAAGAACACAGAAATCAATTAAATACAAATTAATGAAGGCAGATTTTTTTAAAGCTTATAATTGCAATTTATGTCTTATTATTGCACAAAAAAATAATAGTTCTCCAGGCCTAAAAGCAAAGGTAACAGAATGATTTATTTGTTCCTTTTTTTTTTTTTTTTTTTGGAGACAGAGTCTTGCTCTGTCACCCAGGCTGGAGTGCAGTGGTGTGATCTCAGCTCACTGCAACTTCCGCCTCCCAGGTTCAAGGAATTCTTGTGCCAGAGCCTCCCGAGTAGCTGGGATTACAGGCATGCGCCACCAAGCCCAGCTAACTTTTTGTATTTTTGGTAGAGATGGGGTTTCGCCATGTTGGCCAGGCTGGTCTCGAACTCCTGGCCTCAAGTGATCTGCCCTCCTTGGCCTCCCAACGTGCTGGGATTACAGGCGTGAGTCACCGCTCCTAGTCCAGTATGATTTATTTCTTGGCTGGACTTTCTACCTACTTATCCCATGTAGATAACTTCATTCCAACTCTTCTAAGCCTGGAGGAGTAGAAGGATCTTGAATAGTCCTTAATGTGTGTCAGAAATACACCCCTGTCACCAGCCACCATCCCTATCCAATACCTTACCAAAGTATTGATTAGGGAGCAATCCTCTCCAGATTGGCCTGAATGACTTCTTATGATCTAAGATTTGGGGGTTTAAGGGTGGGGTCTTTGTACTGCAGGGAAAATGAGTTAACTGAGAGTATATGGAATAAACAATTGTGACCTGGAAAACTGTTCATTTGCTCAACAACCACTTGTTGAAAGTTTTTTATGTGCCAGGCATGGTGGGGGCATCAGAGACACAGCAGTAAACAAAATTAAAATCTCTGTTCCAAAGAGAACATCAGCTCAGTTGGCACAATGAGTGATAAGGAGCTAGGACTATTTCCCAGTGAACAGTGTCATGGAGAAGAGAACAAAGTCCATGACACTGACTGGAAAGGTAAAGACAATATTCAATAAGGTGATCAGAAACAGTGAGCCTCCGAGGAAGTGACATTTGAGGTGAGGCCTGACCTATCAGCAATACACAACCATTTCAGATCTGGGGAAATGTTCCAGGCAAAGAGAAGAGCAAATACAGAGGCTTCCAGATGGGAACAGACTTCGAATAGGGTTTGAGTGGGATATATACATAGGAAAAATACAATCTTTTAAAAGATAGAGACTATCAAAAGAAAATGATTTTTAGCCAATAGGGATAGTATGAAAGATTCATAGCAATAAACATAGTTGACCAAAAATTTAAATATTAGAGTAGAAGGAGCCATTTAGGACATTTATCCAAAGAAAAGGAGACTAAATGAAGACATGCTGCCCCAAGTCCACAAAAGGAAAAAAATCCGAAGCTGAATATGGGGTGATCATAACCTAGACACCAAGAATGGTCCAGGAAGCATGCACAGAGGTGTGAAGGCAGAAGGCGTCCTTCAGCTAACTTGGGAATAAAACATGTTAGGAGCCAGGAGATGAGTGACTGTGGCTCCAGTCATCCATCCACAGGAGAGGGGAAGGCCCTGGAGTGGATCAAGGACAAGGATGGTGGACAAATGGGCATCCTGGGGTCTGAGGCCAAGGCATGTCACCATCACCACGTCAAAAAGTGGAGTAAGCCTTTTGACATGGGACATCCTGGTGTGTACTGGGGCTTGTTCAGCTATTTGTATATTACGTGAAACAGGAAATCCCAGACACAGCATGACAGAGCCCTCTTTCCTCTTTTCTTTACCACTATTGTGCTTTTCCCTACCGTAACCAGGAGTGATGTTAAAAGGAAGAGGAAATGCCAGTCACGCCCACTGCTTACAGGGGATTCTGTGGAGTGACTAAACCAGAGCTGTAGTTTGAGTCACACAGGACGTGTGACAAAAGGAGGGTGACTTTTTTCCCCCTTGTTTCTTTGAACTTACTTGGAAGTGTTAACAGATTCTAATGGTTAGAATGGTAAACAGAGCTTCCTACTCCTGTCGTGGTTTGACCCAGGAGTCTCACCTTCTCTCAGGCCCTTAGTTTCTTCCACTTAAACAGTGAGAGAGTTACATGATATGGTTGCAAATCCTCTCAGCGCTAATCTTGTAAGGTTAAAAATGTTTGAGTGTATTGGGCATTAAAAAGGAGACTATACACCAGGCACAGTGGCTCACGCCTGTAATCCCAGCACTTTGGGAGGCTGAGGTAGGAAGATCACTTGAGCCCAGCAGTTCAGAACCAGCCTGGGCAACATAGTGAGACACCATATCTAAAATAAAATTGTTAATTGTAAAAAAATAAAAATAAAAAAGAGATTATCAAGATAGTAAAAAGACAACCTACAGAATGGAAGAAAATATTGCAAATCATATCTCTGATAAGTGTTGTGTGTATATATATATATGACCTAATTTTTAAATGGGCAAAAGACTTGAGTAGACATTTCTTCAAAAAAGAAATACAAATGGCCAAGAAGCACATAAAAAAATGCTCAACATCCTTAGTCATTAGAGAAATGCAAATCAAACCCACAATGAGGTACCATTTCACACCTACTAGAATGGCTATTTAAACAGACAAAGAGAAAGTAGCAGTGTTAGGGAGAAGGGAAAGAAATTGGAACCCTCTTACATTGCTGGTTGGATATAAAATGGTGCAGCTACTGTGGAAAACACTTTGGTGGTTCCGCAAAAAGTTAAATATAAAATTCGCATTGACTCAGCAATTTCTCTCCTAGGTCTACACCCTAAAGAACTGGAAAAAGATATTCAAACAAAAACTGTATAGAAATGCTCGTAATAGCTTTGTTCACAATATCAAAAGTAGAAACAACCCAGATATTCATCAACTGGTAGATAGATAAATAGATAGATAGATAGATAGATAGATAGATAGATAGATAGATAGAGTGTAGTCTATCCATACAATGGGATAACATTGAGCCATAAAAAGAAACGAAGTACAGACATACTACCCCATCAATGAATCTTAAAAATTATACTATGTAAAAGAAGTCAGACACAAAAAGTCACATATATGGTTTCATTTATATGAAATATTTAGAATAGATAAATCCATAGCAACAGAAAGCAGCCTAATCCTTTCTCTAGAGGCTGGGCATTGAAGGGTTTGTTAATGGGTTCAGGGTTTCGTATTTTATGGTGATGAAAATGTTTTGGAACTAAATAGATGTAATGGTTGCACAACATTGTGAATGTACTAAATACTGCCCGATTGTACATTTTAAAGTGGTTAATTCTACATTATGTAAATTGTATCTCAATTTTTTTAAAAATTGAGGAAGGGCCAGGTGCAATGGCTCATGCCTGTAATCCCAGCACTTTGGGAGGCCAAGGCGGGCGGATCACCTGAGGTCAGGAGTTTGAGACCAGCCTGGCCAACATGGTGAAACCCTCGTCTCTACTAAAAATGCAAAGTTAGTTGCGCATGGTGGCAGGCACCTGCTACTCAGGAGGCTGAGACAGGAGAATCGCCTGAACCTGGGAGGCAGAGGTTGCAATCAGCCGAGATCATACCACTGCACTCCAGCTGGGCAGCAGAGCCAGACTGTGCCTCAAAAAAAAAAAAAATTGAGGAAGGAACCATGTGAAATTCTGTGCACCTCCTACTTGAGTTGGATACCTGGTCAGTGGTAGCAAACTAAGCAAGCTATTTCCATTGACAAATACAAATAAATCCTTCCTTCATTGTCTTCCTCAAATAAAATCCCTTGCCAATATAGGCAAGGTATTTTCATTCTCATGAAACTGTGGCTTTGAAATGTGTAAATATCTCCCTTGTTTGTAATGAAGTGGTCAGTCTCGTTCTGTTTGTGGGCAATATGATTGAAGTCTGTCTCAAAGGAGTAGTCAAACATTAACAGACCGTGATCCAAATTAAACTATGAAATGTGTTCTTGTTTATCCCATGCCAGACTCTTAAAAACGGTTGTTAGTTAAAATTGAGGTTTCAAAAAATGCAGTCTTCTGGATTATCTAGGGAGGGGGCAGAATTCTGACAATCTGTGACCCATAGTATTGTTACTATATGGTAACAATCACCTGAGATTGACAGCAGGTGCCCCCTTGAGACGCCATAGATTCTCTGTCCCTTTTCTCCCATATGTATTACCAGTCAGGTTATTCACTCTTCTTCCTGACCCCACCCCCATATCACCACAACTGAACAGAAATTCAACTTTTAGACTCTGATTCAAAGACATTGTTTGCAAAGTCTCCTATTAAAATATAAATGTGCCATCTGGAAGAAGAGGGCAGAAATCCTTAGTGCAACCATTTTTTTCCATAGTCGAACAGGAGGGTGTTGGTAAGGATCTCTTAATTTGTGGGTGGGATTGAGGCAGAGGGAAAAAGCCCAGATAAAATATCACCAGCTTGGGGTGGTCGTGGTGGCTCACACCTGTAATCCCAGCACTTCGGGAGGCCAAGGTGGGAGGACCACTTGAGCCCAGGAGTTTGAAACCAGCCTGGGCAGCATGGTGAGGCTGTGTCTTTACAAAAAATTAAAGAATTGGCCAGGTACGGTGGCTCACACCTGTAATCCCAGCACTTTGGGAGGCCAAGGTGGGAGGACCGCTTGAGCCCAGGAGTTTGAAACCAGCCTGGGCAGCATGGTGAGGCTGTGTCTTTACAAAAAATTAAAGAATTGGCCAGGTACGGTGGCTCACACCTGTAATCCCAGCATTTTGGGAGGCCAAGGCAGGCGGATCACGAGGTCAGGAGATCGAGACCATCCTGGCCAACATAGTGAAACCCCGTCTCTACTAAAAATACAAAAAAGTAGGCCGGCATGGTGGCAGGCACCTGTAGTCCCAGCTACTTGGGAGGCTGAGGCAGGAGAATGGCGTGAACCCGGGAGGTGGAGCTTGCAGTGAGTCGAGATTGTACCACTGCACTCCAGCCTGGGTGACAGAGCGAGATTCTGTCTCAAAAAAAAAAAAAAAAATTAAAGAATTAACTGGGTGTGGTGGCACACACCTGTAGTCCCAGTTATTCAGGAGCCTGAGGTGGGAGGTTCACTTGAGCCCACGAGGTTGAGGCTGCAGTGAGCCAGAGTTGTGCCACTGCACTCCAGCCTGGGCAACAGAGTAAGACCGTGTCTCAAATATATATATATATATATCCAGTCTTGTCACAATATCCCAGCCTGAAGGGAGTGGCTGGTGGCAGACTGGATGGGAGAGCACAAAACAGGCACGGGCTTCTCCTCCCCTTTGGTACTGCCACCTGCTTTTTCAATTTCACAGTCTTCCCTGAGGCAGTCCTCCCTTCTCTGCCTGGGCTTTATGGCTAGTTTTTGAATGCTTTTGCCTCCTGGAGTACCTCATCATACAAGTCCAAGTAAGGCTGAATTCCAAAAATCCCAACTCTCAGAATCCTGCCAGGTGGTCACAATAGCACCCTTGTTTTTATGTAACCTAGCACCCATGGGACCTGGCTTTTATTTTTGTTTTTACTTATTTTTCTCCCCCTAAATGCAATATGGAAAGAACCAAGGAGTTGAGGACTATTATCCCAGTTTCTGGAAGTTCAGTTTTCTCCTCTAAAATGGAAAGGGACTCTCCAAAATCAGGTAATAACTAATCGAGAGGCAGAAAGATAGTAAGAGTGGCCCAGGGTTTCTTGTGACTGTTCCTGCCCCCACACAAAATTCCTGCACCTTGTGGCCTTTCTTAGACTAGAGTGAAGTGTGTTTCCATTGTTAAAGATGGTTCCAGGTGGCAGCTAATGGCAGCTGTCCAAAGCTCTAAGGGCAACTGTGATCTTGATCTGATCCAACTTTTAATTGAGCTTGCTTTGTTCTTTTGATTTTCAGTGGGCATGTGTGGCCTCATCTCTGAGCTATTGTTTCATCAGGCATTGCAGTAAACTTTGAAGAATGCAAATTCTGAACTTCATTTGCTGTCACCTGGAAGGTGCTAGACAAATTCAATCCCCTTGAATTCTGTGACTAGAACCTATAAGAAAAAATGAATTGTCGTTTTGTAGGTTTTCATAGAGAAGTAGCAATAGGGAATGATGGGTGAATTTGGACAAGTCACTTTATCCCAAAGCGTCCATTTACTCTTCTGTGAAATACTACTTTATAGTGTTGTTTGGCCTAAATTAAACAAACCATGCAAAAAGCCCAGCCCTGTGCCTGGCATACAGTGAGTGCTCATGTGTTTGCTGCTATTATATTCTCCTAATCCAGTTTGAAAGCTGTGAGGCAGCAACTTTCCAGGAAAAGATGGCTTCAGCCAAGGGTATGTTCCTAGGACCTACCCTAAAGTTAGTCTCTCCTATTAGAGTAGTTTGAAGCTGAACTTGGCTGAAAACTATAAGAAAGGCTGGTTTAGGGGAAGCCTTTGTTACTTTTAGTTTCTTGAGATCTCTTCTTGACCTAACTCTTCAATGCTCACCACGTGTCATCCATTCTCCAGCACTGTTTCTGTGTACCTGACTGACAGTTTGCCTCACAGTAAAATGATTCCTCTGGGCTCCCTAGGTGAAAGGATGTTGGGCATAGCAAGTTGTAATGCTGTTGATCTCAGAAATCCTTCCGATGCTCCAAAAAATAAAGCAATGAGCAAGACATGTCTAGCCAGCAGGAAATATCCTTCATACAAAATGGTTAATTTCTAAAACCTGTGGCATCACCTTGACAGATCTCTTCTGTTTGGTTTATACGGGGGAATCCAACTGGAAGAGTCCTTCCTGACCCTTGGTCTGCCTGGGCAGAGGAGGTACTGTCCTCTGACCATCAGATTATGTTGGGTCTAGCAGGCTGCCTTCTTCCAGGCTTTGTGCACCAACATTAAAAAGGCAGTCATTTCTCAAAATTGTTTGGGAAATGATTAACTTGTTTCCTTTGATCCTCCCTGCTCTGTGTGAGGACAGTCAAGTAGCAGAGGTGGAGAATGTGTTCTATTATTTTCAACAGTGCTAAGTAAACACTGGGGGAAATTCTGCCACTAGAGAGGTACAACTGTGTTTGAGGGTTTGAAGGCGTGCGCGCGTGTGTGTGTGTATGTGTGTGTGTGTGTCCTTCTGAAAACATAGAGCTATTGAGTACAAAAATATGGCCATTTCCTCTAAATTTTCTTTCCCCTGTTTTTTTTTTAAGGTCTGAATTTCCTGCTGCTGTTCACAAAGATGCTTTTTATCTTTAACTTTTTGTTTTCCCCACTTCCGACCCCGGCGTTGATCTGCATCCTGACATTTGGAGCTGCCATCTTCTTGTGGCTGATCACCAGACCTCAACCCGTCTTACCTCTTCTTGACCTGAACAATCAGTCTGTGGGAATTGAGGTAATTTACCAGTCATCCTTTTAGTTTGTCAACCTTCCTCAAACTCAAACTGTAACTCCAAACCTAGGGATAGCTCATGAAGGGGATTGGGTGCAGCATGGGAAAGTAAAGCTTTCATGTTACCAATCAACAGGCAATATACAAATTTAAACTTCTATTACTGGCACATTTTCTTTTGTAATAAGGACAGTTGTATGATGTCAGTAATCTAGATTGGAGTTGGCAAACATAGCCATGAACAAAATCCATCTTTTTTTGTGCATCTGGCAAGTAAAGAATAGTTTTTACCTTTTTTAAGGGATGAGTTAAAAACAAAAATGGGAAAGATGAGGCATGTCCCACAAAGCCTAAAGTGTTTGCTGTCTAGCCCTTTGCAGAAGTAGTTTGACAACCCATGATCTAAATAATAGTGTCAGAACTTTGGGGACAGGATGACATTTTCATTGAGATACCCAGTGTCTGAGAACAATTAAGCCATTTCCTCCAGTTAAATTCTAGTTTGAGTTAAATTTATTTTTCTTAACACTATAAAAATTGAATTAGGCTCACTCCCCCGACTTTCAGCAAATTCCCCAGCTTCCTGTATCTATGAGCAAATTGAAAGTTCCAAGAATGTTCTCTTCGTTTATCCTTCCTTCTGCGCCCATGAATATCTTCATCTGTTTTCATCTTCTACCCTCTTCAGAGAAAAAAGCATTCCTGTTCCTTCACAAGGCTAATTTCTTCTGTTGTTTTTACAGTCTTCTCTTTCCAGGATAGAAGGAATCTTACTCCAAGCTACCTCTACTCTCCAGCTCCTCTCCCACCTGTGGGTACATCTGCATGTTCAATGTCTTCACTGACATCTTCCCGTCCTGCTGCATTCCACCACCACCTCTCATGCCTTTCCTTTCCCACCAGAGTTCTTTGAGAGTAGTTTGCTTATCGATTTCCTCTTCTGAACTTCAACCCACTGAGATCTGACCTTTTACCACTACCATCTCCTCCAAAGTGCTCTGAATCACTCATAACCTAACTTCTAAATTCAGTGACTTCTCTTTCAGCTTTCCTCTCAATTGACTTGAGACTTCTTTCTTGAAACTCCTCCTTTCGCCTTTTATAATATCATTCCATGAGATTTCTTCCTAATTTCAAAACAATCTTTCTTTGTTCTTTCCTCTCTTCATAATAGGGTTTTATTCTCAGCATCTCTTGATTCCTCTGCAGCAGGGGTTGGCAAACATATGCTGTAAAGGCCAGGCAGTAAATGGCATAGAATTTGCAGACCACATGGGCTCTTTTGCAACGACTCAATGCTGCTGTTGTAGAATAAGAGTACAGTACCAGACAACATGTAAACAAATGAGCATGACTGTGTTCCGATAAAAGTTTACTTACAAAGGCAGGTGGTAGGCCAGATTCAGCCTGCAGATTATAGTCTACCAAACCCTCATCTAAATTCTCACAGCTAAGAAAATACCTCCTCTTTTATGACTTGAAAATGTGCCTAAGTCTGTGACACTGAAATCTGATTTTCTATTCTGACCTCAGTGATGCTTAAGTAACTTAAGCTCTCCATGTCTTTTCATGCATGTTTTCTCCCTTCACACACACACACACACACACCCCTCCTTTCCTATTCTATTTCAGTTAAATGTATCTCTTCTTACCCAGTTGCCAAAGTTAATAGTCTGAAACATCTTGGATTCTTCCTTCTTCCTTGACTAGGCACTTAAACAGACAGCAAGACCCTGTCTTCCTTCACTAGACAAGGAACTTTATTTTTGCTATTTTCTGTCTTAACGTGATGGCCCATGTAAATTTTCCCTGATGTCCTAGACTAAGTCAGATCTCTTGTTACATCCTCGTGTGTTTTCCTGTACTTTTATAGCTCTCACTTTGGATACTAATTTACATTGTTGAATGCTTATTTAATTGTTGCCTGTTCTTCTCTACACGAAACTTCATGAGAGTTGGACCACTGGACCACACCCGCAGCACCTGTTGTAGCTCCAGGGTCCATCCCAGGGCCCTGATCCTGTAGATCCAGCTGACATTTCAGATAGATTCCTAGCTACTCCCTTTTTCTTTTTTTTTTTTTTTTTAGAGGAAGTCTCGCTCTTGTCCCCCAGGTTGGAGTGCAAATGGTGTGATCTTGGCTCACTGCAACCTCCGCTTCCCAGGTTCAAGCGATTCTCCTGCCTCAGCCTCTCGAGTAGCTGGGATTACAGGTGCCTGCCACCACACCCAGCTAATTTTTGTATTTTTAATAGAGAGAGGGTTTCACCATGTTGGCCAGGTTGGTCTCGAACTCCTGACCTCAGATGATCCACCTGCCTTGGCCTCTCAAAGTGCTGAAATTACAGGCGTGAGCCACAGCGCCCAGCCAGCTAACCCCCTTTTTCTTGAATACGCCGTCCTCTAGCTGCCCACCCAACTCTGCGCTGCGTTTTCTTACCTCCATGCCTTTGCTCAGGCTGTTCCTCCACTCTGGAATTTTCTTTTTTCTCCTTTACCCTACCCAAATCATATCTTTTGCCAAATGCCTACTTGTCTTCAAAGTCTGTATTGAAATACCATTTCTTCTCTGTAATCTTTCTGCTTAATACAGAACTGGTTGCTTCATCCCCACCACTAATCCATTTCCTCCAAATTCATTATAGCATGTACATCATAGTATTATATTTGCATTTTTTCCTTATGACCTACCCATACTCCAACAACCGTAGTGTGTGAGGTGCTTAAGGGCAGCTATTTTGTCTTAACTCACATCTACAGTATGTACAGAGTACCTAGAACACATAGTATGCATTCAGTAGAAGTTTAAACTCGATAAGATAAAAAAGATATAAAACTATACATATCATCTCTCCTCCATATATATACACACATGGATGCCAGGAGGGTTACCAAAAACATAACAGTGGCAATCTCTGGGTGGGATTACAGATCCACTTTTCTTTTTTTTTTTTTTTTTTTTTTTTTTTTTTTTTTTTTTTTTTGAGACGGAGTCTCGCTCTGTCGCCCAGGCTGGAGTGCAGTGGCGCAATCTCGGCTCACTGCAAGCTCCGCCTCCCGGGTTCACGCCATTCTCCTGCCTCAGCCTCCCAAGTAGCTGGGACTACAGGCGCCCGCCACTACGCCCGGCTAATTTTTTGTATTTTTAGTAGAGACGGGGTTTCACCGTTTTAGCCGGGATGGTCTCGATCTCCTGACCTCGTGATCCGCCCGCCTCGGCCTCCCAAAGTGCTGGGATTACAGGCGTGAGCCACCGCGCCCGGCCACAGATCCACTTTTCTTAAGCCTTTATTACACTTTTGTATTTTCTTTTTTTTTTTTCTGAGACGGAGTCTCACTCCGTTGCCCAGGCTGGAGTGCAGTGGCGCGATCTTGCCTCACTGCAACCTCTGCCTCCCCGGTTCAAGCCATTCTCCTGTCTCAACCTCCCAAGTAGCTGGGACTACAGGCATCTGCCGCCATGCCTGGCTAATTTTTGTATTTTTAGTAGAGACGGGGTTTCATCCTGTTGGTCAGGCTGGTCTCGAACTCCTGACCTCAGGTGATCCACCCGCCTCAGCCTCCCAAAGTGCTGGGATTACAGGCGTGAGCCACCGAGCCCAGCCACTTTCCTATTTTCTAAAATGTCTACGATGTAAACATACTATGATTTGGGGATTTTTAAAAATCAATTGACTAGCGAAGAGAACATTCCCGTGACCTCAAAATCGGCATTTATGGTCTCTTTAATTCAATTCATAAAGGTTTTGGAAAGAGTGAGGGGAGACTTGAACTTGGCCTAAACTTGGTCTTGTGTCTTAGGGAGGAGCACGGAAGGGGGTTTCCCAGAAGAACAATGACCTAACAAGTTGCTGCTTCTCAGATGCCAAGACTATGTATGAGGTTTTCCAAAGAGGACTCGCTGTGTCTGGTAAGCCTGGTGGTCTGTCCTTGCCTGAAGAAGACAAGGTGAGGTCTGTGGCCCATCTCTCTTTCTCTGTCTCACTTCTAAAACCCCAGCTATTTAGATGCAGTGATCCAAGTAGAATCGCAACATGCAAAATAGAGGCAACATTAGAACATAGTATTAGGATGGGCGTTGGAACCAGTGTCAGACGGACTTAGGTTTGAAACCTGGTTCTTCCATTTCCAGCTTCATAACCTTGTGCAGACCACTTTGCTTCTCTGAATCTGTTTCTCAACACAAGAAGAACGTCCCTGCCAAAACTGTTGTTAAAGGGTCAAGGAGATAATAATATAGGACAGTATCTTTAACTCACTAGTACCTCATATTTGTTTAGAAACATGCCTTTCATTAATGTAATTCCCTGCATTTACAGATAGACAATCTGAGCCAGGACTAGCAGTCCAGGATTCCTGATGTCTTACCTTGTCCTTAACTCTGATACCATCCTACTGACCAAAGTTAGCACTTCTTTGGACTTTTTTAGAGACTACCAAATGGGCTTTGACACGTTCATTTGGAATACATCAAGCCTTAATATTTATATCTTATATCATTGAACATAATGCCTGGCACACACACGTTTACTTTTAAAAGCTGCTGGCTTATAGCTCTTTCTGTGCCTTTGGTCTTTTGGGTGACATTCTGGCCGTGTAACTTTTATCCGTCCCTTGACTTCTGCATGTTAACTAAGACTAAGAGCATATTCATAGCCAACTCCTGTCAAGTGTTAACTATACAATAGCTACTGCACATATATTACTTCATCTTCCCTAAACCATAGAGAGTGGTTACTATCACTGCCATTTTTAAAGATGAGGACCCAGACTCACAGCTTCAAGACCATTACCAAGGTCATAGAACTAGAAAATGTCAGAGCTGATAGGAAAATCTAAGTGTGTCTGTTTGACTTGGTTGTTCTATTTTAGGTTAGCTCGTAAGTGTTTTATAAAAGTAGTCACTCCTCCAGACAATGAAAGATTTATTGTCAAGAAAACATCTATCTGAAGAGTCCGATGGGGCCTGTACTTAGTATATCTGGCTCCAAATCAGCATTTACTTATAGACTTCATGCAAATAACAAATAAAAACAAACCAAACATCAGTTTCTTTACTTCTCTGGCAATTTAAGATAGTATATGTCTAATACAGTATAATTTCCTTTGGGGTTTTTTCCTTTTTTTTCAGAGACGGGATCTTGCTCTGTCACCCAGGCTAGAGTGCAGTGGTGTGATAGAATATAGCTCACTACAACTTTAAATTCTTGGACTCAAGCAATCCTCTCACCTCAGCTTCCCAAGTAGCTAGGACTACAGGCATGTGCTGCCACACCTGGCTAATTTTTTTTTCCTTTTTTTCTTTTCTTTTTTTTTTTTTTTTTTTTTGAGATGGAGTCTCGCTCTGTTGCCCAGGCTGGAGTGCAGTGGTGCAATCTTGGCTCACGGCAACCTCTGCCTCCCAGGTTCAAGCAATTCTCTGCCTCAGCCTCCCGAGTAGCTGGGATTACAGGCACCTGCCACCATGCTTGGCTGATTTTTGTATTTTTAGTAGAGATGGGGTTTCACCATCTTGGCCAGGCTGGTCCTAAACTCCTGACCTGGTGATCCACCCACCTTGACCTCCCAAAGTGCTGGGATTACAGGTGTGAGCCACCATGCCCGGCCTACACCTGGTTAATTTTTTTAATTTTTTGTAGAGACAAGGTCTCACTATGTTGTCCAAGCTAGTCTCAAACTGACTTCAAGAGATAACCCCCTCCCCGACTCCAGCCTCCCAAAGTACTGGGATTACAGGAGTGGGCCACTATGCTCAGCTCTAGTGATTTTCTGTTTTTAGAAGTTTTCTTTATTGAGGATGTGTTGTTATTGTGACTAAAACAAGCCATTTAGCAAGTGATATGTGGCACATGAGAGATATAATTTAGGATTTTTTTTTAAATACTAAATCCTAAACCAATACCGTTGAAATAGCTTCTCATGGAAGCAGGCGTGAGAAATCTGGTGTGGCTACTTACATAGAAAAATGATAGCCAGGCATGGTGGTGGTGCCTGTAATCCCAGCCACTTGGGAGGCTGAGGCAGGAGAATCGCTTGAACCTGGGAAGTGGAGGTTGCAGTGAGCCGAGATCGCGCCACTGCACTTCAGCCTGGGTAACAGAGGGACACTCCATCTCAAAAAAATAAAAAAAGAAAAATGACACTTCTGGTCCTATCTGGGGTTGCATACATTAGCCTTAGCTAGTAGTTTGTTTATCTTGAGACTCACTTGGGGCTACTGTTTAAAATATATATCTTCTGGTTACACCTTAGGTTCACTGAATTAAATTTCCAGATAATGAAACCTAAAAATCCTCAGGAAGCTTTGTATTTTTAGCAACACTTCCAGGGGATTCTGTATACCAGAGTTGGAATTCTACTTAGTTTAGAGGGACAACTTTGCCAAGAATTTGTTAATGGATGGGCTCTTTGTAGATGGCCACAGCTTAGAACAGAACAGGTCTGAGTTGACTAAGTTAATGAAAGGCTAGGCTGTTGCCTGGTCAGGCATTTGGCTAGTAGGCTGAAGCTGATCAAGTCACAGAGTTTAATGAGACCTGAGTTGTTGCCCCTTTGGGCTAATTATTTGACTTATTCCTTAGACACCAGCCTCTGCTAGCATTTTTATCAATCAAGAGGTGATAAGATGCAGTATAATTCCTTCCTGGAACTCTCTCTCTCCTTTCTTTCTTTCTTTTTCTTTCTTTCTCTTTCTTTCTTTCTTTCTTTCTTTCTTTCTTTCTTTCTTTCTTTCTTTCTTTCTTCCTTCCTTCCTTCCTTTCTTTCTTTCTTTTTCTTTCTTTCCTTCTTTCTTTCTTTCCTTTTCTTTCTTTCTTTCCTTCTTTCCTTCCTCCCACCTTCTCTTTCTTTCTCTCTCTCTCTCTCTCTCTCCTTCTGTCTTTCTTTCTTCAGGGTCTGGCTCTGTTGCCCAGGCTGGAGTGCAGTGGCACGATCTAAGCTCACTGCAACCTCCACCTCCTGGGCTCAAGCCATTCTTCCACCTCAGTCTCCCAAATAGCTGGGACTACAGGCTCATGCCACCACCCATAGCTAATTTTTTTATATTTTTTATAGAGATGGAGTTTTGCCATGTTGCCCAGGCTGGTCTTGAACTCTTGAGCTCAAGTGATCTGCCAACCTCTGCCTCCCAAACTGCTGGGATTACAGGCATGAGCCACTGTGCCCAGCCCCCAGTATACTTTCTTAGACATTCATCAGCTCTACCACTTGCTGAGTGAGCTTAACCAAGCTGTCTCAGTCCTTCATAATTCTTAGTACAATACAAATGATAATAGCTGGGAAGATGAGTTAATGTGCCTGGCATGGAGTAAGCATTTAATAAATGGTAGCTATCATTAGTGATTAATGTTAGTACAAATGATCTCAATGTTAGACCACCCAAGACACACACCCTGGGGGAGCAAGTGGCTTCCACTCTGACAAAGCCATGCTTCAGGGAAAGTTAGTCTGAGACGTTACTTCTAAGGCTTTCATGCAGCTGTTTCAATTGGAAGCAAAAGTACTAATGTTTTCTGTACACAGCCTCCTCATTCATTTTTATATCTCTTTAATCAGAGTGGGTATCTCTTCCCTGCTTTCCTTCCTTTTTTTCCCATCTCTTAGTCTAGAAGTCCACTTACTTGCCTCCGAATTCCTAGTAACTCTCTTTCTGAATAATTCCTTTTGGCAAGACCTGAATTCCTCTTAGCAGTTTGACTAGATCCTCTCTATACATTTTCCTGCCCTTCTACTTGTCTACTTATAACAACCTCCTTCTGGCTTAGACGTGAGGGCTTCTAAGCCACTTAGTGTGTTCTTCAGCCTAATACCACTACTTCCTTGACTTAGCTTTAAAAGCTGAGATGCCATTTATTCTTGTAAATGGATGTTCCCAAACTTATTTTAAGTAAGGCTGAGTAGTTTAGATATTCAGAAGTTTAATTCTTTTATTGTCAAATGCAAGATGTAAATTGGAAAAATACTGAAGACAAATGCATGAGTGTGTGCACACCTCTGTGTGTGTTTCCGTGTTTTTTTACAAGCCTTGATATCTTAGAAGATACTCTCATACAAATGGGCAAAGTACATGAACAAACAAGTCATGAAAGTAAATAAAACCTAACAAGGAAAAAGGTCCCACTTTACTAGCTGTTAAAGAAACTTAGACTATAGTAATAACTTTTCAAACCTATCAAACCTGAAAATATTTTCGTTTTGTTTTGTTTTGAGACTGAGTTTTGCTCTTGTTGCCCAGGCTGGAGTGCAATGGCACGATCTCAACTCATCGCAACTTCCACCTCCCGGGTGAAGCAATTCTCCTGCCTCAGCCTCCCCAGTAGCTGGAATTACAGGCATGTGCTGCTGCACCCAGCTAATTTTGTATTTTTAGTAGAGACGGGGTTTCTCCATGTTGGGCAGGCTGGTCTTGAACTCCCAACCTCAGGTGATCTGCCCGCCTTGGCCTCCCAAAGTGCTGGGATTACAGGCATGAGCCACTGCGCCCAGCCTTGAAGAAAGTTTTTAAAGACACTATTTAGCAGTCTAGGAGAGTGTGTTAAAACTTGATATGATAGGAGAAAAGTGAATTGTCACATCTGCTCCAGTAAGCAGTGTGGTCTAGGTATCAAAAGCCTGACTGTTCTGAGCCCCTATTCCCTTCCCTTATTATATTTTAGGGGCTCTATTCTAAGGAAATGGTCTAAATTTAAAAGGATCAATTTGAAAATATTTAGCGTAATTTAAAGTGTCAAGCTTGAAAACAATCTAAATACCCACGATGAAATAAAGTCAACTATAATAGAACCCTTCATCGACTGGCCATTGAAACCACTACAGAGAAGAGATAATGACATGAAAATACTTAGGTCAGATTGGGAGAGGAAGCAAGGTATCAAAGTATTATATTCATTCTATACATGGGGAATGAACATAACTGTCAAACTATGCAAAAGGGCCATGGGATAATATATCAGTGTTAATAATGGTATTTGGGTGATGAGATTGATGATTCATATTTTAACTTTTTTATATCTTTATGAGCATAGTTTTTATTGTAGGGAAGTTCAATCCAAGATTGTTCAATACAGGCTGTTTGTGTTTACTTGTAGGCTTTCACTTGGTCATGTTTTGTGGGCTAACCCCATATGGATGGCTTTCTCTGAATGTCTACATTATCATGGAGGTTACATATTCAACACTGAACCACTCCTGTTTTGTGTAGCATTTCCTAAATGTTTCAACTATAGTTTATAGGACTCTTCATTTTTGAGGACTCAGTGCTTTCTGACTTTGAATTTCCTGGACATATAATAGAAGCTCAAATCCTTGTTGGACTTACCCTTTGTGTCTTGCCCCTTCTTAATCTCCTTTTAGCTTCCTTGGTCCAGAGAATTTGCAACTGGAGTTGATTTTCTTTTAATATTATGTTTTTAGACAATGGGCCCTGCTTGGGATATAGAAAACCAAACCAGCCCTACAGATGGCTATCTTACAAACAGGTAAGTTGAGTCCATGTTTTTAGACAGATTCTTTCTAACATAGTATTCTGAACTACAGGATACGATATTGGTCAGTTTTTGGTCTTGACCTCTTCTCTCTCTCTCTCACCCCATCTCTCTTTTTTGTAGGTGTCTGATAGAGCAGAGTACCTGGGTTCCTGTCTCTTGCATAAAGGTTATAAATCATCACCAGACCAGTTTGTCGGCATCTTTGCTCAGAATAGGCCAGAGGTAACTATGTTGAAGTTAACTAAAGGAAATGAGTCAGGGTTAAGTTTAAAAACTTCAAATGCTATTCCCCGTCCAGCATTCCAACACTTGTTAATGCCTTACCAAAGCTATTGTTAAAATTTTCTAATGCTTATTCTACTTGAAAGAGTTACCACTCAGAACCTATTTAATTTCTGGTTAAGTGTCTGGCACTCTCACCTAGGTGTTTGGACTTCTCTTTTTTCTCAGCCTATCATGTGTTTTTTGAAGTCAGTCTGATTGTTACATGAGGAAAATAAGGAAGCTAGGAGGGACCGCCAAATAAGATCTTGAAGATATTGTGGAAAGTATGTATTAGTATTAGAACTGAAACTTGCAATTTGTAATTGAACTAGTAAATTCAGCCATTCATTGCTACTGAGTCTGGCCATAGCTATCTTTCCACAGTGAGTTGGAAGCAGATTTTAGACAGTAAGATGACAGAATCAAGCTTATCTCCAAGTTTTGGTTAAGTCATTAGGCACATTATCCCCAGAGGAAGTCTTTTTATGCTTCAAACGCTCCCTAGAAATGCAGCATATGATACATATAACATACAAAATCTGTGTTAACTGTCTGTGTTATCAGCAAGGCTTCCAGTCGACAGAAGCCATTAGTAGTTAAGTTTTGGGGGAGTTAAGTTCTATGTGGATCTTGTTGAAAGTTCACAAACTGTAAGTCCCATTTCTAATGCTAATACAAATATAAAAATATTCACCAACATTTTTAGGTGAATCTGCATACTCCATTCTTGTCACAGTCAGCCTCAATAGAAAAAGGTTCCCTTGACTCTAGTTTAGGAACTTAACACCTAATCTGATACAGTTAATCCTTGAACAACATGGGGGTTAGGACCACTGCCTATTCAGTAAAAAAATCCACAGATAACCCCCCCAAAACTTAACTACTAATAGCCTTCCTTTATGATAATATAGGTAGTTGATTAACACATATTTTGTATGTTATATGTATTGTATACTGCTTTCTTACAATATAGTAAGCTAGAGAAACAAAAATGTCATTAAGAAAATGATAAGGAAGAGAAAATGTATATACTATTCATTAGGTGGAAGTGGATCATTATAAAGGTCTTCATCTGAGTCATCTTTACCTTGAGTGGGTTGAGGAGGAGGGAGAAGAGAGGTTGGTCTTGCTGTCTCAGACCTGGCAGAGGTGGAAGAGGTAGAGGAGATGGAAAGAGAGGCAGGAAATATAGGCACCCTCAATGTAACTTTTATTGAAAAAAAAAATCCACAAGCAGACCCTTACAGTTCAAACCCATGTGTTCAAGGAGCAACTGTATATTAGTCTGCTAGAACTGCCATAATCTAATACACAGACCATGTGGCTTAAACAACAGAAATTTATTTTCTCACAGTTCTGGAGTCTAGGAATCCAAGGTCAGAGTGTCAGCAGGTTTAGCTTCTCCCGAGGCCTCTCTCCTTGACTTGTAGACAGCCACTTTTTCATTTTGTCTTCACACGGCCTTTTCTCTGTGCACATGTATCCCTCATGACCGTTCTTCTTCATAGAAGGAAGGGATTAGGACCCCACACTTAAAACTTCATTTAACCTTAATTACTTATTTAAAAGCCCTATCTCATATACTGTCACATTGGGGATTAGGGTTTCAACATGAATTTGGGTTGGGCCGGAGGAGGGGTGACAGGGAGACAGGATTCAGTCCATAACATCTACATTGATATTTAAGGCCCATCACTAGCAGATTCCTACCTACCTTTCCAGTTTTATTTCCTGTAGTCTTCAAGCTTGCTAATGTGTATCCACACAATGATGTTATGCTGTCTGTATTAGTTCGTTATCACACTGTTACGAAGAAATACCTGAGACTGGGTAATTTATAAAGGAAAGAGGTTTAATTGACTCACAGTTCTGCAGTGCTGGGGAGGCCTCAAGAAACTTACAATCATGGCGGAAGGGAAAGCAAACATGTCCTTCTTCACATGGTGGCAGGAAAGAAAAGAATGAGAGCAAAGGGGGTGGAAAGCCCCTTATGAAATCAGATCACATGAGAACTCACTCACTGTCACGAGAACAATGTATTAGTCTGTTTTTATGCTGCTGATAAAGACATACCTAAGACCTGGAAGAAGAGGAGGTTTAATTGGACTTACAGTTCCACATGGCTGGTGAGGCCTCAGAATCATGGTAGGAGGCAAAAGGCACTTCTTACATCGTGGCAGCAAGAGAAAATGAGGAAGAAGCAAAAAGTGGAAACCCCTGGTAAACCCATCAGATCTCATGGGACTTATTTACTATCATGAGAATAGCACAGGAAAGACCAGCACCCATGATTGAATTACCTCCCCCTGGGTCCCTCCCACAACACATGGGAATTCTGGGAGATACAATTCAAGTTGAGATTTTATTTTATTTATTTATTTATTTATTTTTTGTGAGACGGAGTTTCACTCTGTTGCCAGGCTGGAGTACAGTGGTGCCATCTCAGCTCACTGCAACCTCCACCTCCCGGGTTCAAGCAATTCTTCTGCCTCAGCCTCCCGAGTAGCTGGGATTACAGGCACATGCCACCACGCCCAGCTAATTTTTGTATTTTTAGTAGAGACAGGATTTCACCATGTTGGCCAGGATGGTCTCAATCTCTTGACCTCGTGATCTTCCCATCTCAGCCTCCCAAAGTGCTGGGATTACAGGCATGAACCACTGCACCCGGCCTCAAGTTGAGATTTGAATGGGTACGCAGCTAAACCACGTCAAACAGTATGAGGGTAACCACCCCCATGATTCAATTACCTCCCACTGGGTTCCTCCCACGACACATGGGGATTATGGGAACTACAATTCAAGATGAGATCTGGATGGGGACACAGCCAAACCATATCACTATTCTTTGTTCATTCACTTCCTTCTTTTAATCTACCTCTACCTCCATAACCAAATCCTACTAGTCCTCTAAAGCCCTGCCCAGTTTTCATCAGTTTCCCACAAGCAGTCCCAAATAGCTTTCCTCACCCTTGAAAGTGATCTCTGACACCCTAAGGCTCCTAATGCCTTCCATACCTCTTACGGATGGAACTTATCACACTCTGCCTTTGTATTCTGGTCTACCTTTGTATTGCAGTTGTCCCTGTGCCTTTCTTATCTCCCTTATTTAATTGTACTTTATAGCAGTATTTACAACTGTCCCTATGGCCCCACAGTGATTTTTTTTTTTACATAAAAGTCAACAAATAAGTAATCCCAGCACTTTGGGAGGCCCAGGTAGGCAGATAGGTTGAGCCTAGGAGTTTTATGCCAGAATGGGAAACATGGTGAAATCCCGTCTCTACAAAAAATACAAAAATTAGCTTGACATAGTGATGTGTGCCTGTAGTTCCAGCTACTCAGGAGGCTGAGGTGGGAGGATTGCTTGATCCTGGAAGGTTGAGGCTGCAGTGAGCTATGATCACACCACTGCACTCCAGCCTGGGCAGCAGAGTGAGGCACTGTCTCAAAAAAAAAAAAAAAAGCAAAACAAAACAAGACAAAAAACCAGACAGCATTTGTTGGCTGAATGACTGAACTGGTACTCTTCAGTGTGCCCTCCAGTCCTTACTTGAACTTCTCTCTGTACAGTGGATCATCTCCGAATTGGCTTGTTACACGTACTCTATGGTAGCTGTACCTCTGTATGACACCTTGGGACCAGAAGCCATCGTACATATTGTCAACAAGGGTAAAATTTTGCTGTTACATTACAACTTGATTCTTTCTCAATGCTGAGTATTTCTTCAATTTCTGCTTTTTTGTTTATTTGTTTGTTTGTTTAAGCAAACTTGAAATGCTGTGGTCGGAAAATGTTCAAGTCTTTCTAGTTTTGTAGTACTTAGGATATAATTTTCAGGAAAGCTACAAAAAGCCCATGAAGCAGAGATACACACAGAAAGAAGTTTCAATGACATGCGTCAGGGTGACATGGTATGATGATATAGAGACAAGACTACTCACTCTGAACACACTAGATAAAAGCCCAGAGAGTGAGCTTAATTGACTTAATCACAGTAAAGCTACAGATTTAATTTCCTACCTTTGTAAATCCAAGTCAATACAGTTAACCAGCATGTACCAATGTCCATGGTGAGTCTGCAGAAAATAATTGTCGTTGTTAGAGAAACAAGTCCAAATTTGATGGGCAAGTAACAGCCCTTTCACATATCCAACATGTTACCTTCTGTCATGGGACTAGTAGATTAAGTGAGTAAGTCCATTTGCACAGTAAACATCATTTGAAACTTTAAACATGCATCAAAGCAAATGCTAAAATTTAGAATTGTAAAATACTTGTCAGCTAAAAATCCTATTTGCCCCCTTCTTTTTCTTCTATTCCCTACTATCCTCCTCAAATAAAACAGTGATAGAACCACACCTCAGTAACCTGTTTAGGTTATCTGAATGACTTCTTAAGCAGAAGGAATTCTGTGGTTCCTCTAGAAACTGTAAAATCTGCTGGCACAGTTCAAGAACATGTGCTTCTGTTTCAGTTAAGTTCATTTATCATCAATGGAATGTTTCAGGTTGTACATTATAAATCTGATTTGCAGGTGTAATCTCCTTTGGACACCTGTTAGCTTTGAAAACTTTTAAAACCTCTTCCTTCTTGCAAGGCAATCAGGTACTTAGCAGAGAGAGGGAATGACCTCTGGTTCTATTTTGGCTTCCAGCTGATATCGCCATGGTGATCTGTGACACACCCCAAAAGGCATTGGTGCTGATAGGGAATGTAGAGAAAGGCTTCACCCCGAGCCTGAAGGTGATCATCCTTATGGACCCCTTTGATGATGACCTGAAGCAAAGAGGGGAGAAGAGTGGAATTGAGATCTTATCCCTATATGATGCTGAGGTATGGATCTGAAATTTAGCTTGCAGCTCCAATGCTTGTCCAACACCTTGGGCAACTTGCAAGATACCTTCCCAAGAGGACAGTGTTCTTGTTCTCCAGGGGTGGCACGTGAGGAGTAGATTAGACTCATGCTGTGAAGCTCTGAGAATAATTTCCACAAGACAACTTTGAAACTCATGCCAGGAGAGGACAAAGTTCTGTGGCCAGCTGTATGGACTTCTAAGTGGATAATATATAAATAGGGGTTTAGTAATAGTTAAAGGATGTGGCTCCTGGAGCCAGGCTGCTTGGGTTCGCATGCCAGCTCCACATCTGTTAGGCAACCTTGGGCAATCTCATCTCCCTTCTCTCGGTCCGTAAAATGGTGATAAAAATAATCACTACCTCACAGAGGTCTTGTAAAGAGTTAGCTTAATTCATATATGTAGATTTCTCAGGACAGTGATGGATATGTAATAAGCTCTGAAAATGTTAGCTATTCATTTCTTTCAAAAAAGATTTAGTTAGGGCCCTAGATGACTGAAACTTAAGAGTACAATGGGAAGTTTGAACATGCAATCTACCCTCTATAGGTAGATGATTTTCTAGAGAAATCTTATGCTCTTCCCTGGGGCTTCCATTGTTCCTGAATGTTGGCTTCTGGTCCTGATCCAGGTTGGAATTTTGCTTATATTCCCATAGAGATGTTCTCACGGGAAAGGGAGGGAGAGGGCCACATTTATCACAGTCTGTCCATCTCAACTAATGTCTTTCTTTCTTGGTTTTCCATTCACATAGAACCTAGGCAAAGAGCACTTCAGAAAACCTGTGGTAAGTTTTCTTCTGCCTGAATTTGAGCCTTGCCATAGTCAACTCTCAAAGTTCATGGTGGAATAAGCCCTTGTGCTTCCTCCTCCAGCCTCCTAGCCCAGAAGACCTGAGCGTCATCTGCTTCACCAGTGGGACCACAGGTCTGTGCCCATGAAACTGAACCTTAGACCCCTGGTCAGCCAAGAACATGGCTTCAATTCTTGGCCACTGGTAGGCTGGTAAATACTCCCTCTAAAGAGCCCTATACTTAGGGGCTCACAGCCTAAGGCTTCTAAGTGTGAATTCCCAAATGGAAAAACATAAACATAAGTAAATACACTTTATTTAATATATTGGGAGGTGTTTATATTCAATAGATTTCAGGGGTCTTAAAGATGATGTCAGAAAGTCCTTTCCCCCGCCCCCACCAACCCACCACTCTCTTGATTTGACACCGCTGGAATGGTTTCATTCAATCAAGATAACTCAGTGATAGTTCTCCATAAAGGGCTTCAACCCCACCCTACATCCACCCATCTGTTAGAATGCTTAATAGTTTTTAATGTGGTCCATCATGGTCTACAGTTATATTCTTTCTAGTATGCCCAGTTTATAAGGTTTATAACCATATCACTATATAATATTGGTAGATCTGGAATTCCAAACATATAAACAGCATGAGATGTGGGGCAGAGGGACAAGGAGGGTTAACTTGAATTTTTCTTTGCAGCTGTGCTTCTATCTGAAATCATGGCTGTGCTCTGCATAGTAGTAGAAGGCCAACGATGCATTCAGCAGTAGAATCTCCGGGGGCATTAATTATTCCTAAACAGAGGCATATACCATCCACAAAAAGACACAGTGACAGGAAATGCTCTTGGCCTTCTGGAATAAAACCAATTGAATCTAGTTTCTTTCAAGGCCAAAGGCTACCTATTAGCTACATAAAGTATCTTTCTCTCCACCTCTTATTTCCTACAGGTGACCCCAAAGGAGCCATGATAACCCATCAAAATATTGTTTCAAATGCTGCTGCCTTTCTCAAATGTGTGGAGGTCAGTGGTCAGTTGAAAAAGAGGCTCTCATTAAAATGTGAATCTGTCATAAGATTTTTATTTTTGAGGTTAGAGCAGGCAGACACACACACACACATACACACACACACACACACACGTTAAAGGCTGGAGTGTGGACAAACACCAGCGTGTTCTTTGTTTAGAGGACTGTACATTTTCAAGCGTTGGTCTTTTAGGATCACTGCAAATTTCTACACTATATGCAGTTCAAGGCATCTCAGATCTACACAGTGTACCGCCTATACAGCTGTCTGTGGTAGTCCTGGGAGGAGGTAGTTTTAAAATCTCCATTGGAATTGAAAGTTGGCATTAATCTCATGTTGCCTCCTCTTACTTCCCTGGCCTACATAGCATGCTTATGAGCCCACTCCTGATGATGTGGCCATATCCTACCTCCCTCTGGCTCATATGTTTGAGAGGATTGTACAGGTGAGTGTTCTGTGTTCCTAGCAGTATGTGGCAAGGGGGTCCTGACTTGCTATCACATGTTTATTCCAAAGGCAGCTACACAGTATTTACTGTTCTTTCTCCGGTGTGAGAGGTGCAGGCAAGGAGTTGGCTCATGGGAGCC
This sequence comes from Homo sapiens, assembly GCF_000001405.40. NCBI lineage: Eukaryota > Metazoa > Chordata > Mammalia > Primates > Hominidae > Homo > Homo sapiens. The sequence goes on from NC_000010.11 coordinate 112,412,122, forward strand.
CTAATCATGGCATGGCCCCTCATTTCCTGCAGAGTCTTCCTCTGCTAAGTCTGCATGTGTCCAGGGAGGATAGTACTTGCTCCTGCCTTCATGGGGGTGTGTGAGTCTAGTGACATCACAGCTAGGAGCTTACTATCTATCTGCCCTTAATTCTGAGCTGACACAAGACATTGTCTTCTTTTTAAATTTTATTTTGGTTAGAATTTTTGAAAAGATCTAGGATTAGAGAAAAGGAAGTTCCCTACAGAGGATCAGGGAAGGAGCATTTGATCTACATAAGGTGTGAGATGTCCCCCGCGCCGGTTTTTGCACACCTGAGTGTGTAAGGTGGTGCTGTCAGCATGGTGCATACCGGAGGAGGTCTGCTCTTCTGTGAGTGGACTCCAGGCTTTTCAGGCTATTTTGAGGCTGATTTGAGAACCAAGAGCCATGTCAGCCTTTCAAAAACGCAGGTAGTGTGGTTGGAAAGTTCTCTCTCTGCTCCTCGCTACCCCCAAATGCCTCTTCAACAAGCTCATGGTTGATGCCTAAAATGCCAAAATGCAAGATTCAGTTCTTTGGGCTAAAGTAATGATATCTGATTCATAAAAAAATTGATTCTAAGAAATCTTAAAAAATATTTTAACATAATTTATGAAATTGTGATGGTCTTACGATTGAAGGCAGGTTCTGCTTTAATTGGCAGTGCTTTCTTAGTGCCACATAATGAATTGCGTCTTACAAAGGATGATTATCTTAGACTGTCACACAGACCTGTGGTGGAGTCTGGGGGACCACACAGTCTCAATATCTGTCTTATCTGTCATGCCACCACAACAGAAATAAATGTCCATCCTTTCTTGGGGGAAGGTTCTCAGAGTCCTGAATTGGGAGGGAGGTGCTGTGCAAGAAAAGTGTCTGTGTGCCTCAGCCCACTTCCCAAATTCCTTCCAAGACAGGTCCCCACTGAAGGGGTTGTTTGCCTCAGCCCACCTCCTGAATTCCTTCCAAGACAGGTCCCCACTAAAGGGGTTGTTTGCCTCTAAGCTCTATAATTTGGTTTTGTTTTCAGGCTGTTGTGTACAGCTGTGGAGCCAGAGTTGGATTCTTCCAAGGGGATATTCGGTTGCTGGCTGACGACATGAAGACTTTGAAGCCCACATTGTTTCCCGCGGTGCCTCGACTCCTTAACAGGATCTACGATAAGGTACTAACTTTCAGCTGAAGGGACTGTCTGTGACTTGGGCCTGCACGAAGGAACTCTGTACTACTATGAGATTTACTCCACCTCTACCTCCACCCTCTACAAGTATCTACGTAAAGCCGTGTGTAAATACAATCCCCGCCAGGTGTGGTGGCTCACTTCTGTGATCTCAGCACTTTGGGAGGCCAAGGCAGGCAGATTGCCTGAGGTCAGGAGTTCGAGACCAACCTGGCCAACATGGTGAAACCCTGTATCTACTAAAAATACAAAAATTAGCTGGACTGGTGGGGAGCACCTGGGATCTCAGCTACTTGGGAGACTGAGGCAGGAGAATTGCTTGAACCCGGGAGGCGGAGGTTGCAGTGAGCCAAGATCACACCACTGCACTCCAGCCTGGGCAACAGAGCAAGACTCCATCTCAAAAAATAAATAAAAATAAAATTAAAAAATGAAAAATAAATAAGTGCAATCCCCTTTTCCTTGGATAAGATGACTTGGACCTGATCTGAAGAAAGCTTGACTAAGAGACTTGGGGGGCCCCTCAGGGTTCAGCAGACATCTTGGGAAGTTGTTCCCTTTCTGAAGTGCCAGGCCCCATGATATACATTTCAGATGCATCCTCTCATTGAATCCTCACAAAATCATAGTAAATCATACTTACACCTATTATTTCTAACTTATGATGAGGAAAATGAGCCTCAGAGGTTAAATAACCTGCCCAGAGTCACATCTAATAAGGGGTAGGGCAGAATTAAGCTTTCAGTAGTCATGTTTCAGTAGTCATGTCGGCTAGTCATGTTGATGACTAGCACTGCTCTATTTTTCATTAGAAATTACAGAATGGTGATTTCTGTAATTCTGTCTTCCTCTTGCATTCATTAGCTGAGATTCTTCCATAAAACCTGGTGAATATTTGATTCTTTTTATTTATCAATCTTCAGAAGAATGGATTTGTGCCTCAGCAATCTTCAAAAGTAGCCAATGAGATTTTCTCTTTGTATTTTTAGGAATTCATAATTTTCAGATTTTTTTTTAATTTCAGTGATTCTTTTTTTTTTTTTTTTTTTTTGAGACAGAGTCCCACTCTGTCACCCAGGCTGGAGTGCAATGGCACGATCTCAGCTCACTGCAACCTCCGCCTCCTGGGTTCAAGTGATTCTCTTGCCTCAGCCTCCTGAGAGCTGGGATTATAGGCGTGCACTACCACACCCAGCTAATTTTTTAATATTTTTTAGTAGAGATGGGGTTTCACCATATTGGCCAGGCTGGTCTCGAACTCCTGACCTCAAGTGATCACCCTACCTCAGCCTCCCAAATTGTTAGTCTTTCTTCTTGATCTTCTAACTGCCCCATCGTGGCAGTTGGGAAACCTCATCAAGTTGCTCATGTGTCCTTTTGACAATACCCCTGTAGCCTCTGATAGCTTCCTTGGTTTCTGGCACAAGATGTCTCAACCTCATCTTGTATATTTCTCACCCAATTCTTAGAGTGTCTGATTGCTTCAGGGAGCCGTTGAAGCTATTTGAACCCAGGCAATATAGTATGTGATGATTCCTCGGGCTGGGATCCGTGAGGAAGTAATGCATGGCCATTCTTCACATGCTTTGGAACCCTCCCCCACCTCCCCAACCACCTCCAAGATTTTAACTCTTCCTTTCACTCTTAGGACTCTCAGCAGATGCTAAATGGGCTCTGGTGACAGGGCAGGCAGTGTTCTAGCAGAACTGATAACAATTCCAGCAGTTTCTTACCATGCTACGCAATTAGTAGATTTGGTGGTTGTTATGGTTTTTGTTCATATGTTGTTGTTGTTGTACATTTTTTATTTTTCAGAGATAGTTATTGTATAATATAATACCTAATACACAGTTCACTTCTGGAATGTATTTTTTTTTTGTTTTGTTTTTGTTTTTGAGACGGAGTCTCGCTCTGTCGCCCAGGCTGGAGTGCAGTGGCACGATCTCGGCTCACTGCAAGCTCCACCTCCCGGGTTCGTGCCATTCTCCTGCCTCAGCCTCCTGAGTAGCTGGGACTACAGGTGCCCACCACCACGACCGGCTAATTTTTTGTATTTTTAGTAGAGACGGGTTTTCACCGTGTTAGCCAGGATGGTCTCGATCTCCCTGGAATGTATTTTTAAAATGAAGGACTTTATTAGCACACGTCTCTAATACTAGCTCTTTGTCAGTGACTTGTTGAGGGAGGGTGAGTCTTGTGAATGTTGAAGAAAGATAAATCTCTTTTAGTTGAGGGAGATTCTAAGAATGGCATGATGCAGGAAGCATTTGAGCATGGATCTTGGAGACAGATTATGACATACTGGTACAATGATAATGTTATAGGCATAAGAAGATGCTTATGTCCTAGAGCACAATTTACATTAGAAGATGAAAATTATCACCCCTGCTTGGCTGGAGGCCCAAAAATGGGGTTATAAACATGGAAGATGGATGGAGAGGGATTCTTCAAATTTTGAACAAGAAAAAAGACTTCAATTGCCTTGAATCTGACTTCCAGTAGGGTGGAATCTTGAAAGCCAGATAAGAGTTCAGGACTAAATTTTGGAAATAAGGGGTCACTTTGAGCTGTACTTGGGGAAGCTCTCCTTTGGCAGGAGTGTGGTTGATGGAATGTAGGGTCACAGTGAGGTCAGAGTCAGGGAGACCAGGGAAATCATGCGAGCTGGAAAAATGGTGTCAGAATTAAGCCCAAAGGGAAGAAATCATTTTAGTAGGAAGGTAGGAAACTCTGTTGGGGTTTGTATGGTGTGGCTAAAGACACCTTGTTTATAGGGAAGGGTGGGAATTCTCCAAGTTCAGTTATATAAGCATTACAGAGGGAGAGGGAGGAAGACATGATACTTGTTTTAAAAAATCAGATTCCTGGGCCGGGCGTGGTGGCTCACGCCTGTAATCCCAGCACTTTGGGAGGCCAAGGCGGGCAGATCACGAGGTCAGGAGATTGAGACCATCCTGGCTAACATGGTGAAACCCTGTCTCTACTAAAAATACAAAAAGCTAGCTGGGCGTGGTGGCGGGTGCCTGTAGTCCCAGCTACTCAGGAGGCTGAGGCAGGAGAATGGCGTGAACCTGGGAGGTGGAGCTTGCAGTGAGCCGAGATGGCGCCACTGCACTCCAGCCTGGGCGACAGAGCGAGACTCTGTCTCAAAAAAAAAAAAAAAAAAAAAAAAATCAGATTCGTAGGCTGCCCTTTGACCTACTAAATCAAAAGCCCTAGAAGTGGTGCCCATTGAGCTGTGTTTTTTGTTTGTTTGTTTGTTTTAAATCTAGTACCCCCCAGGTGACTTTTTAGGCAGTCCCTCTTTATCTCAGTTGTCAAGTTGTTTCCCAAGGACTAAAAATTGGGGCAGGAAGTGGGAGGACTGGAGCTCTGCATTAAGTTCACTTCTTTCTGAGCATGGCCATAATTCTCTGGGCTCATCATTATTCAGCAATCCAATTCATGACTGTGAGACTGTGAGACCACTTCCTTATAAAGCTAGAACACACTGTTTCTTGCTCACTAATGGCTTTGATGAGTATCTCCAATAGGTTTCCAACTAAAAGGAGCTATCACTCTGCAGGTACAAAATGAGGCCAAGACACCCTTGAAGAAGTTCTTGTTGAAGCTGGCTGTTTCCAGTAAATTCAAAGAGCTTCAAAAGGGTATCATCAGGCATGATAGTTTCTGGGACAAGCTCATCTTTGCAAAGATCCAGGTAGGTTGGGCAGGTCCTGGACTGAAGCAGGCAAATACCTGGGCTGCCTTCTGACTCCTTAGACCTTGCTTTTCCTCTGCTGCTTGAGCGTCACTTTAACTAGAGATCCTTTCAGACTTTGTGTCCACTGCCTTTTGAGATCTTTCTTGTACCACTTTACTACTAAAGGGAGTAGGTTTAAAAAAAAAAAAAAAAGCAGGCTGAGTGTGGTGGCTCACACCTGTAATCCCAGCACTTTGGGAGGCCTAGGTGGGTAGATCACCTGAGGTCAGGCATTCAAGACCAGCCTGACCAACATGGTGAAACCCAGTCTCTACTAAAAATACAAAAATTAGCCGGGCGTGGTGGTGGGTGCCTGTAATCCCAGCTACATGGGAGGCTGAGGCAGGATAATCGCTTGAACCCAGGAGGTGGAGGTTGCAGTGAACTGAGATAGCACCACTGCACTCCAGCCTGGGCAGTAGGGCCAGACTCTATCTCAAAAAAAAAAAAAAAAGTTTTATTTAGGTTCTAGCACTCTCTCTTATTTTCTTTGGTGGTCTGTTGAGATTATAAGCAATTTGAGGGGCTGAAGAATACAAATTATTTGAGAAATATATGGCTTCTGGTCCCAGCTATGGATAGTGATGACAATAATAGCTAACATTTTAAGTGCTTTTCTACAATCCAGACTGTATTCTAAGTGCTTTGTAAATTAACGTGAGAATTGATGTCAGTTTAATTCTCATAACAACGCTGCACAGGCTATTATACCCACTCTACAGTGGAGGAAATTGAAGCCAAGAGAATAGGTTTTAGTATGTCTTTTGTTTCCACTGAACAGGACAGCCTGGGCGGAAGGGTTCGTGTAATTGTCACTGGAGCTGCCCCCATGTCCACTTCAGTCATGACATTCTTCCGGGCAGCAATGGGATGTCAGGTAAGCCAAGCACCTTCTTTGAGAATAGGCTATTTTACTTTTGCACAAACAGGCTCACTGTTTAAATAAAAATGAAAACAACTAAAAGGTACCAAAATGAAAGTCACCTAAATTCTCAAAATCCAAAGAAAATATCCTTCTAACCATCTCTTCAGGCATCTGTGTGTAGAAACCTTCACATAAATAAAACCAGTGCTCTAAAACACTTGTTAATGTTGCTCCTTGTCAAATAAAGCTCAGCATCATTTTAATGATTTCACAGTAGTTTACTGAATGTAGTTGACCCTTGAACAATGCAAGAGTTAGGATTGCCTACCCCCATGGCAGTCAAAAATTCATGTATAATACTTGACTCCCTAGCCGGGCATGGTGGCTCATGCCTGTAATCCCAGCACTTTGGGAGGCTGAGACGGGCGGATCACGAGGTCAGGAGATAGAGACCATCCTGGCTAACAAGGTGAAACCCTGTCTCTACTAAAAATACAAAAAAATTAGCTGGGCGTGGTGGTGGGCGCCTGTAGTCCCAGCTACTCGGGAGGCTGAGGCGGGAGAATGGCGTGAACCCGGCAGGTGGAGCTTGCAGTGAGCTGAGATTGCGCCACTGCACTCCAGCCTGGGCAACAGAGCAAGACTCCATCTCAAAAAAATAAAAATAAAAAAAATACTTGACTCCCCAAAAACTTAACTACTAGTAGACTACTATTGACTAGAAGCCTTACCAATAATGTAATTAATCAACACATATTTTGTATATGTATTATATACTGTATTCTTACAATAAAGTAAGCTAGAAAAAAGAAAATGTTATTTAAGAAATCATAAGGAAGAGAAAACATATTTACTATTCATTAAGTGGAAATGGATCATCATAAAGGTCTTCATCCTCACTGTCTTCATGTTGAGTAGGCTGAGGAGGAAGAAGAGGAGGGGTTGGTTTTGCTATCTCAGGGGCAGCACAGACAGAAGAAAATCCACCTATCAGTGGAGCTGTGCCATACAAACTTGTGTTGTGCAAGGGTCAACCGTACCCAAATAACTAATCTCCTATTAATGGACACTTGAGTTGCTTATGATATTTTTCATTGTTATAATCAATTAATAATCTAGAATAAATCCACGCAAGAAGGGATTATTGGGTCAAAGTAATACACACAATGTATCTGTGTGTGTGTGTGTGTGTGTGTGTGTGTAATAATGTATATTATCAAACTTTCTTCCAGAAAGATCTTTTTTGCACATTTCTGCAAGTATACAAGGCCTTATTTGCCCATGCTCTTGCCAGTGACAGACTTTATCAGTCATTCAGATATTAGCTAATCAGATAAATGAAAAATCTTATTACAGTTTTGTTTCTTTTATTTACACCAAACATCTTTCTATTGCTTATTGACATGTATATTTTATCCATGAATTATTCTATTACTTCCTTATAGAAAAACAGGCAAAAGATAATTTGGTCCTTTTTTATATTTCTAAGAGTTCTTCACAGAGTAATACAGGTTGAGTATCTCCCTATTTGAAATGCTTGGGACTAAAAGTGTTTTGAATTTTGCATTTTTTTCCAATTTTGTAATGTTTGCATTATAAAACAGTTGAGCATTCTGAATCTGAAAATCCAAAATCTGAAATGCTCCAAAAAGCATTTCCTTGGAACATCATGTTGGCACTCAAAAAGTTTTGGATTTTGGAACATTTTGGATTTCAAACATTTGGATTAGAATAGTCAACCTGTAATATTAACTTTTGTCATGTTGGAAACATTTTTCCTGGTCTCATCATTTTTGCCCTGTGTATTGCCATATAAAAATTTCCAATGTTTTTATAGTCAAACTAAATAATCTTTTCTATTTGTAGGTTTTAAACTGCTTAGACAGGACTTCCTAACCCCCAATATTTCATAAGACTGTTTCACCCTTATTTTCTGGCAAACTTACCATTTTCCATTTTTTCCTTTTAAGTCTCAGTTCCACCTGAAATTTGTCCAAGTGCTTGGCCATGCATATTGTCTCAATTTTCACCCAGATGGATAATTAGTTCATTCATTCAACCAACCATGCAGAGCATGAACAAAACAGGCATAGACTTTTCCTCATGAGTCCCCTATCTGTATAACCACAATCAAAAGAGACTCCAGAATGATGCCAAGGCCTGAGGTCCTTCAAATTAGCATCCTCTTAGCCATTTTTAATACTGTCCTTTCCTTAAGCCCCTAAAACCAATAGATCAGCAGGTCCTGTTGCTAACTCCTTCCCGAAATGTCTTCTCTAAGCCTTCCTCTCTCTCCCAACTCTGCCTATCACAGGCCACACCCCCCATTGCAGCAGCCCTTGAACTTGTTTCCTGCCCCCAGCCTCTCTCCAGTCAAGATTATCTTCTATACCAAGGATTGGCAAATTGTAGCACTGGCTAAAACTAGTCTGCAGCTGGTTTTTATTTTAAAAATATTATTCAAATACAGCTATGTCCATCCATTTATATATGGACTGTGGCTGCTTTTGTGCTATTTTGGCAGAGTCAAGTTTTGAGTCAGATACCAGATGGCTCACAAAGTGGAAAATATTTACTATCTTGGCCTGTACAGATAAAGTTTGCCCACCCTTGTTTTATATCATAGTGGGGGCTATTTCCCTTAAAAAATACTACTCCCCTTCTTCAGTTCCTTCAGTGATGCTCCATTGCTCAGGGTCAAGTTCAATTGCTATTGGGTTGCACACCACTTAGTGAATAACTTACATGTTCCCACCTACTTGAAATGCTGCATTTTCTTTTCTTTTTTTTCTTTTTTTTTTCTTTTGAGATGTAGTCTCGCTCACTGTGTCACCCAGGCTGGAGTGCAATGGCACAATCTCGGCTTACTGCAACCTCCGCCTCCTGGGTTCAAGCAATTCTCCTGCCTTAGCCTCCTGAGTGGCTGGAATTACAGGCATGTGCCACCAGGCCCGGCTAATTTTTGTATTTTTAGTAGAGATGGGGTTTCACCATGTTGGTCAGGCTGGTCTCGAACTCATGACCTCAGGTGATCCTCCCGCCTTGGCTTCCCAAAGTGCTGGGATTACAAGCATGAGCCACCATGCCTGGCCAAAATGCTGCATTTTCATATAAAGTTCTATGCTTTGGTCTATTTCCAGACCCTTTTGGTTTCTGAATGGCCAGAAGGCTTGGTAGTAAATACTTTGCAGCTTGGGTATGAGTTCAAGGTTTTTTGTTTGTTCGTTTGTTTGTTTGTTTGTTTTTTGAGACGGAGTCTCGCTCTGTCACCCAGGCTGGAGTACAATGGCGTGATTTCAGCTCACTGCAACCTCTGCCTCCCAGGTTCAAGAGATTCTCCCACCTCAGCCTCTCAAGTAGCTGGGATTACAGACACCTGCCATCATGCCCAGCTAATTTTTTTTGTGTTTTTGTAGAGATGGGGTTTCACCATGTTGGCCAGGCTGGTCTCAAACTCCTGATCTCAGGTGATCCTCCCGCCTCGGCCTCCCAAAGTGCTGGGATTACAGGCATGAGCCACCGCCCCCTCCAAGTTCAAGGTTTTAAGACACTAAGTGGTCTCGAACCCTTAGAGACCTTGCTTTCCTCGTGTCTTGACCATAGCACGTGGCCAGCTCACACTTTATCTTGAGTAAGTCTAAAAGCTCTTCTTTGGTTTCCCAGGTGTATGAAGCTTATGGTCAAACAGAATGCACAGGTGGCTGTACATTTACATTACCTGGGGACTGGACATCAGGTAAGTCCTCCATCTGCTGGGCAGGAGGTGCCATGGTTGGGAGAAAGGTTCTAACTGAACTAGGACTTTGGAGTTTAGATAACTTCAGTTCTCTGGACTAATGTGGCAAATGCAAAATTCAAGTTTTGGGTCCAGGCCTGCCTATCTTGGCTAGTCTGCATTGGTGCCAGGTGATTTTTCAGTCTTCCTCTTCTAGAGTCAATTCATAAATATCTTAGAAATGTGCCTGGAATTATCACCATGCAAGAGTTTCTCAGCTAATTCAGCACGGTATGTTCTAGGTCACGTTGGGGTGCCCCTGGCTTGCAATTACGTGAAGCTGGAAGATGTGGCTGACATGAACTACTTTACAGTGAATAATGAAGGAGAGGTGGGTAGGTCATGCCCTGTGGTCAGACAGTCATGGTGGGGAGGTTTATATCAGAAAGAGCAAATAATTGTAAGCAAACTTGGATTTGGCCCCTTTGAGATTGTTAGCAAAGAATTAAGCATTCTGAACTTCACTTTCCTATCCCCTATAGTGGAGACTTAGATCTGGTGCTCTTCACAGTGTAGTGGAAGCCATCAAATGATTTAAGGGGAGCAGGTGTTTCATAAACTGCCCACGCTGGGAGGAGCAGCCTTTGCTATTGTCACCGCCTTGTATGTCTGCTGTGCAGGTCTGCATCAAGGGTACAAACGTGTTCAAAGGATACCTGAAGGACCCTGAGAAGACACAGGAAGCCCTGGACAGTGATGGCTGGCTTCACACAGGAGACATTGGTCGCTGGCTCCCGGTAGGTATATCATCAGAACTCCTGGAAGTCTATGCTAATGGACTGAGAAGAACAATCTGCTTATAGCAAGAGGTGCAGAAATGCAAGTAGGTTAATCAGCTGAGGCAGCTGGAGGGGATTAGGTTTGTACCCTACCTGGCTTATGACTTCCTCATACTATCCAGAGAAGAACATACAGACTGAGGTGGTGGATCACCTGAGGTCAGGAGTTCAAGACCAGCCTGGCCAACATGGTGAAACTCCGTCTCTACTAAAAATACAAAAATTAGCTGGGCATGGTAACGGGCACCTGTAATCCCACCTACTTGGGAGGCTGAGGCAGGAGAATCGCTTGAACCCAGGAGATAGAGGTTGCAGTGAGCCAAGATTGTGCCACTGCACTCCAGCCTGGGTGACAGAGACTCTGTCTCAAAAAAAAAAAAAAAAGAACATACAATTGAAAGAATCTAGGTTAAGTTAAAAAAAGGCTGGGCATGGTGGCTCACACCTGTAATCCCAGCACTTTGGGAGGCCGAGGCGGGCGGATCACAAGGTCAGGAGATCGAGACCATCCTGGCTAACACGGTGAAACCCCGTCTCTACTAAAAATACAAAAAATTAGCTGGGCGTGGTGGTGGGCGCCTGTAGTTCCAGCTACTCGGGAGGCTGAGGCAGGAGAATGGCTTGAACCCAGGAGGCGGAGCTTGCAGTGAGCCAAGATCACACCACTGCACTCCAGCCTGGGGGACAGAGCGAGTCTCTGTCTCAAAAAAAAAAAAAAAAAAAAAAAAAAAAAAAAAAATATATATATATATATATATATAGGCTGGAAGTCATGAGATTTGTGTTCTGGTTGCAGCTCTTCCATGGATCAACAATATAAAATTCTGAGAAAGTAATTTAACGTGTGAATAGGAGCTGCCAAAGCTAGAAAGTCTTTCTTAAAAAAAAATTTTTATAGAGATGGGGTCTCGCTGAGTTGACCAGGATAGACTCAAACTCCTGGCCTCAAGCAATCCTCTTGCCTTGACCTCCCAAAGTTCTGGGATTGCTGGTATAAGCTACCACACCAGAAGTACTGCCAGAGTACTTTTGGTATTTTGATCACACTGTTACAGAAGACACCAAGATGTAGACCAGTTGAAGTGTTTTCTTCTTGCCTTATTCCTTATCGAATATACAACCAGCAAGCAGTAAGTCAGTGATCCTAGCACTGTTTTTAGACCCAAACTGAAGGTGGGATTCTTTAACAGGTCAGGTAGACCTGCACATCAGAGTTGGCATGGGTCCCCTGCAATGGAATAAATTTGCTACCAGCCAGGGAAAAATTAGGTGACTTCTCTAGGAAAGGGGAAGGGAGATGTACTACTCTGTCCTTTTTTTTTCCCCCTTAACTTTTCTTGAGGCAGAAGTTGTGGTTTGAAGCCAAGTGTGGCAGCTCACGCCTATAATCCTAACACTTTAGGAGACTGAGGAGGGAGAATTGTTTGAGGCCAGGAGTTTGAGACCAGCCTGAGCAACATAGCAAGACTCTGTGTCTACCAAAACAAAACAAAACAAAAACCCAAAAAACTTTGGTTTGATAATGCCGTTGGTCCACAGCTTTTGCCTCTTATGAGTTTCTTGGGATAAATATCCTCCCTATTAATTCACAGGCATATCAAAACAAGGAAGAAGGATTTCTAAATCAAGTGTTTGCAGAGGCTAGTGTTTGTCTCTCATTGACCTTCACAGCCCCTTTCTGTGGAAGATACAGAGACATATTTTTAGCATAGCTTGATAATTAGCAGTAGTTGCTATTAGTTTTCCTAAGAAGAAAGGAAATTATTGCAAGGGCAGTGATGGGATTTCCCAAAAGATCTTCCCTCTCAAAAGTTTTGTCTTAACTATGTGCTGGGGAAGTGGGAATGTCACTAGAACTTAAAACTCCTTTCTTGCTCAATCAATATTTAAGATTTAAGTGAGATTTAAGGAATGCTTGACAATGTAACTTTTAAGAACACTGGTCCTAACGATGCATTTTATTGATTTGGGTTTGGTAGTATCTTGCTAATATATTTGTTTCTGTCTAGTAACAGAATTAAATAACACTCTAATAAGCCTAGGATGTAAGCAACAGATATGTCCCCACACCAGGGTTATAGAAGGCTGCACCTTATTAATCACTTTCAGATAATGAACGTTAGGCTGAATTGATGGCTAATTTATCAAGTCGGCCTTGTGATAGTTCCAGTGTTGGTTTAGTTAGTCGCCCTACTTAGGGTGTTAGCATGTGGATTTTATTTGCCATTTGTCCCAATTCTACAATTCAAATCCCTAAAGACCTAAGCTCCTCAGACCAATTAGTTCAGAGAAATGAAGCTGCAAATGACCTTTGGTGGCTGGTCAGAGTCCTCTCAGCCCTGTTGCTGTCCTAACAAGCCCAGTAATTGAGTTGCTTGATTAGCACAGTGGAGCTGTTTGAGCCTGCTCCCGGATCTAACAAGGAGGAAAACATAACAGGGAGTCAAGTGGTGGGAGAACTATTCAAATCAAATCAAAAGTCTAAACAAAAGACAACACCTCTATTTCTGAGAGTTCTGAAAATGAACTAATTGGAAATTAGTGATTGGAAATTGAGAGCTGTGCAATTTCTTCCTTGGATGAGGCATCAATTTGCATAACTCCAGTAGATCCAGGAGACTTTCTCTAAGGCTGCGCATTGACTCTCCACATAGATATACAGTAAAGACAGGTTCTTGCTGCACGATGCTTCCCTCCCCTTTCACCAAAGCCAAGAAAGAGAAATGAAAGACAGCTCAAAAGTCTCTGGAGAAATCAGCTTTAGAGAAGAAAGATGACTGTGACTTCACCACTCTCCCCACTGATATCATCTCTGTGGCTCAAAAATACTGATACTTTTATCTGTCTCATGTAGAATGGAACTCTGAAGATCATCGACCGTAAAAAGAACATTTTCAAGCTGGCCCAAGGAGAATACATTGCACCAGAGAAGATAGAAAATATCTACAACAGGAGTCAACCAGTGTTACAAATTTTTGTACACGGGGAGAGCTTACGGGTAATATATCATTTTAACAATAGCCCATTTCAGTCACAAACCATGCTGGTTCTTGTAGCTACAGGAAATTTGTATAGTTGGGTTCAGAATGAGAAGATCCAAGCTTATAAAACTAAAAAAAAAAAAAAAAATGAAGTTACATTCCAAACCTCAAATAAGGCAATTTCAATTTAAAAAATTTCAAAACTATGATGGACGTTGTACACAAGTCAGTAGAATTGTTTAGAATGGCTATACTAAAAGGTAATGATTCAGTAAAAAATGAGCTCCACATTGCACTTAGTTCCCATTCCTTAAGGAGTTCCTTAAAGCTATGTTTAAGAGCAGTATGTATAAAACAACAAACTGTTGCAATATATATAAAGCAACAAACAAAAGTTTGATCAACAAACTGTTGTTTTATACATACTATGCTTAAACGTAGCTTTAAGGAACTCCTTATCCCAAAACAACGAACTGTTTTATACACACTGTGCTTAAATGTAGCTTTTAGGGGACAAGGGGAGAGTTGACATGGACAAGCCAGAGGCGCTTTAAGCTTAATGTTGAAGGATCAGATTTGAATGGAACATCTTTGTAATGAGATATTGAGTGGGAAAATGGGATTACAGTTCCATGGTGTTGAAAATATATGGTGAGAAAAGAACACTAGTACTGGATTTAAGGTTTTGGGGAAATAACTATTACAATGACATAATTCTGCTTTATTTAACTACTGGGGGACATCCCTACATAACTTCTCTCATGCCCTTGCACCTTTTATTTCCTTTCCATAGTCATCCTTAGTAGGAGTGGTGGTTCCTGACACAGATGTACTTCCCTCATTTGCAGCCAAGCTTGGGGTGAAGGGCTCCTTTGAGGAACTGTGCCAAAACCAAGTAAGTCTTGCCTAGGAAAGCTTTATGCACACCCATGGGCCCATCGTGGAGGAGAGGATGCCTCACCAGTTCCTGCATCTGTCACAAGTGGCTGCAGCCCAAACAGACTGAATAGTTTTATGGGACTCGGGGATAGGATGGAGAGTTTAAAAAATAAAACTCTCTTTTCTATTTAAAATAATATGTTCATTGTGGGAAAAGATTGGGAAAGAAGAGTAAAAATGCTATTCAGAGAAAACTGTTAACACTTAGATGTGCCTTTTCTTCTCAGTTTTTCTTTCAATATTGGGCATATAATGTGCTTGTGCATAGTTTTATATTCCTGCTTTCATACTGCATGGCTTTGACAGGCACTTTGAGTTGGTTCATGCTTAGCCCTTCAGGCTTTTTGAAACAGCCATGCTTTAAGTGATGTTTTGTATTCTTAGGTTGTAAGGGAAGCCATTTTAGAAGACTTGCAGAAAATTGGGAAAGAAAGTGGCCTTAAAACTTTTGAACAGGTGTGTGCTACCACTGATGTTATACTGGCCTCTTGTCAGAAAGTTTTGTTTAAAGTTTCCATCTAATGAGGTTTAAATGTATAATTTCTAAGGAATTGATTTTAGATTTTGTGCCATTAACTACAAAATGACCTTTTGTAGTTACTTGTACAGCGCCCTTTTTTTGCTGTTTATTGTCCATTCTCCCTTCTCCCTACTCATTACTTTCTTAAATTATGTTTGTGGGAATGGGCATGTGTTACTGTTACCTTTACCCTTTCACTGCATCAACCTCACTTTCTTCACAGAGCACTCAGGGGGCTCTGCAGAGAAGTCCAAATCACTAATGAGCATGGATGTGTGTGTGTTCATCTTCCAGGTCAAAGCCATTTTTCTTCATCCAGAGCCATTTTCCATTGAAAATGGGCTCTTGACACCAACATTGAAAGCAAAGCGAGGAGAGCTTTCCAAATACTTTCGGACCCAAATTGACAGCCTGTATGAGCACATCCAGGATTAGGATAAGGTACTTAAGTACCTGCCGGCCCACTGTGCACTGCTTGTGAGAAAATGGATTAAAAACTATTCTTACATTTGTTTTGCCTTTCCTCCTATTTTTTTTTAACCTGTTAAACTCTAAAGCCATAGCTTTTGTTTTATATTGAGACATATAATGTGTAAACTTAGTTCCCAAATAAATCAATCCTGTCTTTCCCATCTTCGATGTTGCTAATATTAAGGCTTCAGGGCTACTTTTATCAACATGCCTGTCTTCAAGATCCCAGTTTATGTTCTGTGTCCTTCCTCATGATTTCCAACCTTAATACTATTAGTAACCACAAGTTCAAGGGTCAAAGGGACCCTCTGTGCCTTCTTCTTTGTTTTGTGATAAACATAACTTGCCAACAGTCTCTATGCTTATTTACATCTTCTACTGTTCAAACTAAGAGATTTTTAAATTCTGAAAAACTGCTTACAATTCATGTTTTCTAGCCACTCCACAAACCACTAAAATTTTAGTTTTAGCCTATCACTCATGTCAATCATATCTATGAGACAAATGTCTCCGATGCTCTTCTGCGTAAATTAAATTGTGTACTGAAGGGAAAAGTTTGATCATACCAAACATTTCCTAAACTCTCTAGTTAGATATCTGACTTGGGAGTATTAAAAATTGGGTCTATGACATATTGTCCAAAAGGAATGCTGTTCTTAAAGCATTATTTACAGTAGGAACTGGGGAGTAAATCTGTTCCCTACAGTTTGCTGCTGAGCTGGAAGCTGTGGGGGAAGGAGTTGACAGGTGGGCCCAGTGAACTTTTCCAGTAAATGAAGCAAGCACTGAATAAAAACCTCCTGAACTGGGAACAAAGATCTACAGGCAAGCAAGATGCCCACACAACAGGCTTATTTTCTGTGAAGGAACCAACTGATCTCCCCCACCCTTGGATTAGAGTTCCTGCTCTACCTTACCCACAGATAACACATGTTGTTTCTACTTGTAAATGTAAAGTCTTTAAAATAAACTATTACAGATACTTACGTTGTGGTGTTTCTTTCCTCATGGACCATGATGAAAATCAGTCTTAAACAAGGACCCCTTAAAAATCAAGTACAGTATCTGTTCTTAAACTTGGGTACACAATAGAATTATCTAGGAAGTTTAAAAAGACACTAATGCCCAGCACTTTGGGAGGCCGAGGCGGACGGATCATGAGGTCAGGAGACCGAGAACATCCTGGCTACTATGGTGAAACCCCATCTCTACTAAAAATACAAAAAACTAGCTGGGCGTGGTGGCGGGCACCTGTAGTCCCAGCTACTCAGAAGATTGAGGCAGGAGAATGGCATGAACCCGAGAGGCGGAGCTTGCAGCGAGCCGAGATCGCACCACTGCATTCCAGCCTGGGTGAAAGTGTGAGACTCTGTCTCAAAAAAAAAAAACAAAAACAAAACAAAAAAACCACTAATGCCTGGTTGCCACTCCAGGGATTCTGGCTTAAATGGCCGGATACAGCCTGGGCACTGAGATTGTTAAGAAGACCCACAGATGATTCTAGTCTGCGAACAGGTTAGTGAAGAAAAGTAAGTTCTGAAGACCAAACCTTCTTATCCCATAGCTGTAAAGAATAAAACAAATACCAGCTGAGCCAAAACTCCAACTGAGCACAAGTCATATCCATTCTTTTACCATCTTTGTTGTACTCTAATTATAATCTTGAATATTAATAGTATTCTTTTCTGGCCTCCAACTGGAGTTAAAGAGAATGTTCTTGGATGGTCTTTCTAGATTTTGAGCCCAGAAAAGCCAAAGAAATATCTATTCTTAAGGATCTGAAACAAAAGGGTAGGCAGGAATTAACTTTTAAAGTCTAGCTCCCATTATCACTTTAACTTTCTCGCCTTCACTTCCTTTCCTATTCTCCCCTCACGCATTACAGCTGAACCTCACTAGTTACCTTCCTGTTTCTCAAACGTGTCAGACACAGGTCCAGCCTGTTTTTGTTCTTGCTGCTGTCTCTAAAATGCAAATATCCCAAAGCACATGACTTGTCCCCTCATCTGCTTCAAATGCCAACTCAAGACTGTCCTACCTTCTTGCTTCACAATAACATGACTCCATCTTACATATATTTTACCTGTCTGTTCACTGCTGAATTCCCAAGTGCTCTTCCCTTATCCTCAACTATTACAGGCCTGGCCCCCAAAGCTTCACATTCCCTGCCTTGGAAAGGTTTCTGAAGTCCAGAGAAATAGGCTTTCTCTTTCCTTCTGTGATTCCACTGTTATGTTTAGACAAGCCCAATTTAAGCATCCAAGCCCACCAGCTTGGATCCTACCACTCACACAAGCTTCAGCTTTTTACTCAAGGGTACATGAGTAGTTTGATATCACTATGTTTAAAGTCTAGAACACTACTGCCACGGGATCCTTGGGGTGTTGCTTCCCCAGCTGGAATCCTCTGTGGCTGGCAGCCCAAAGTCCAGAGGGGGCCTAGGCGGCAGGGCGCTGGTGTCAGCACCACTCAGAGCTCACGTACACCTGGCCAGGTCCTCACAGCACCCGGGCTTGGCCTCACCTTTGCTCCAGAGCGAGTGCCAGGAGCAGGAAGAGGCCAAGCAGTTGTTGGGGGGGGGGTGTGGGGGGGGTATTTCCCCTCGGCCCCCTAGAGCACAAGGATGCCCGGGTCCGCAGCCACGGCTGGACAGCTGTAGCTACGCTTGGCTCCTGCCTATCACGGCTCCCCCTCAACACCCCTCAGGCCACCACTGCCATCCGCTGCCATCACTATGACCGCAATATCCCATTAATAGGGTTAATATCTTGAAGCAAGTGTGTCATGTCTTAAGCCACGTTTTAAGATGCCAGTTGTCCACAGGGCAGCAGAGCAGTTTTTCCATAAGGAACTAAGATGAACCTTTTTAGTCAGCAAAAAGAAAAATGCTTTAAGTAAAAACTGATTATACCCAACATCCATTGATCTTTATTTGATTTGACAAAATCTGCATTTTTAAAAGACAGGTAACAAAATCTGAGGTTATACTGAATCTGACAAATTGAGTTCTATAGTATCTAGAATATCATATAAGAAATATCAACTGAGGGAAAAGAGAAGTACCACATGCAGATGCTCCTGGCAAGGGGGGAACTGTATCTGCAGGTGAGGTCCAGAGTGTGCAGTGCATAAGAAAATCCTACAGAAAATGCCGTTAACTTACTTGGATGAAATGTTTTTCCTTTGAGGGGGAGGAAGAGGTGGTAAAGAGGGGCAGGAATTCAAAGGCATATGCAGAATGGCTTCTCCATTTCAAAATGGTAATAAAAATATTTAAATCATGGCACTAGGGCACCTTTGAGGAAAAGAACATCTTAACCAGAGTAGGCTCATTGCATAATTCTTTAGTAATATGTACAATTTTCAAGTAATTAAGCAGACTTAAAGGATAATTTTGTTTTAACAGCAGCTATCTATTTTTCTTCTCCCCCTCTGGGGCTTGATCTGTTTCAGCATCACAGGGACACTTTTCCACACATTTTCTAGGGAACCAACCCCTTATTCTTGAAACACCTGAGGGAGAAAATGAAATTGAGGTGAAATAGTCTGATGGATGACAGTGACATTACTGAAAGCAGTAAGTCCTATTACTTCAAATTAATAAGCTTGTAGTTAGACTTTTATTCCCCACTTTGCTATCTATTATAAGCACAGTTTGAAGGGGAAAAAAATAAGATTTTTAAATGTTCATAACAAGCTAGGAACAGGTATTTCCCAAATTTGATGATCCCGAATAGGGACTAATGTGGTTAAAGACAGCTCCTAACTAGAGTCAGGGGGAACTCGGTATGGGTGTTTACTTATATGTGTATGATCAGGAAAGGTGTTTTTGGCACACCATCACACTGTCTTTTCCAGGGAACTATCTTCTTGTAGTCTTTGTAAATTTCCTTTTTAGACTTTTTCTAACATATATATTTCTTTCTTTTTTTTTTTTGAGATGGAGTCTTGCTCTGTCACCTAGGCTGTAGTGCAGTGGCACGATCTCAGATTACTGCAACCTCTGCCTCCCGGGTTCAAGCAATTCTCCTGCCTCAGCCTCTGGAGCAGCTGGGATTACAGGCACACACCACCATGCCCGGCTAATTTTTGTATTTTTAGTAGAGATAGGGTTTCACCATGTTGGCCAGGCTGATCTTGAACTCCTGACCTCAGGTGATCCATCTGCCTTGGTCTCCCAAAGTCCTGGGATTACAGGCATGAGTCACCACACCTGGCCTAACATATACATTTCTATATCACGGCCGTCATAAGAGGTTAATTTATGATTAACCCCAACTATTTTTTAAAGAACATCCCGAGCTAATCTTTACTTTAAAAAGAAACAATTATAAAACTTAAGAAAAAAAAAAACACAAAGTTTCAATCTACTGGTTTTTATAACAACTTAAGAGAAATGCTCAAAGTGGGGGCAGCAAATAGTACAGGGGTTTGGTGCATAGAATCTGGAGTCAGACTGCTTGGGGTTAAGCCCTAGCTCCATCTGTTTTCAGTGCATAGCTATGGGCAAGTTGCCTCTCTGTGCTTCAGTTCCCTCAATCAAATATAAATAATAGTGCCTACCTCCGAAGTATTTTGGGGACTTCTACACCTTAAGGGTAGCACTTATACAAGTACTTTTCGCATAGTTATGAGCTCAAATGTTAGCTATCATTAAAAAGACCTGAAAAATACAAGAGCTATAGAGAAATATATAAGGAAGTTCCTTTTGTTGCTTAGTGATATACCCTTCTATGCAGTTCCCCTAATGCATTAGGCATGATTGGTTTATAAAAGTTATTCTTGTAAAATTTGGAATTATTGCTAATAGTCTTGTCCTTTAAACATGCCCTTCCATTTCCATACCTTCTATAAAGGAATCATCAAGAATTTTGTCTCCATATAACCAGTATCTGAAATATTTAAAAGATGAAAATTAATTTTTTAGGCTAGATATTAATTTTGTCCTTGAAGAAGAAATGCAGTACTTCCTATTACTTACCGTAAACCTCTTGTGGCTAAAATGAATTCCCCTTTTTGCAGCTGTATTCGAGGCTCTTCGGTGCAGGGACTTGTGAAGAAGGTTTTGATTCCTTTATTCAGAGGGCAGCAGGCACCACTATAATCTTCTATTACTTTATAGCGAACCTGTCGTCAGTGATCAGAAGAAACCTTTAAATATTCACCCATGATATCTGAGTTTTAAGTCTGAATTTCAAATTTTAAAGCAAGATCCAAAATATCCAGTGACAAGCCTTCTAGTTCCCCTTCTAGGGGAACCTCCCAGTTCCCCATCCACCTAGTTCCCTGGGAGGCAACTAATGTTTCTAGTTCTCAAGGCTTTTCTTACTCCTCTTTTCAAGCCCATAGCTAAGAATTAGAGTTAGAGCAGGGCTAAGAACATTCTGCCATGATGGAAATGTTCTGTATGTGTAGTATCCAATGCAGCAGCACTTGACACATGTAGCTACTGAGTGAGCACTTACAATGTAGTGAATGCAAACAAGAAACTGAATTTTTAAATTGATTTAATTTTAACAAATTTAAATAAAACAGCCACATGTGGCTGGTGGCCATCATATCCAACAACATAGTTGTAAGGATAGGTTTCACATTAAGGAGCTGTATTGAGGATAATTATTTTCCTATGTTGGCAATATAAATGGACTAAATTCCTCCCAACCTCTAGTCCCAATTATTTAAATAAAAACAAAAGTTAACTGCATCAAATTTCAACAAATGTATTAAGGAATACTATTTAATAAAGGCCAACAATTGGTTTCTAGTCAGTCAATTAAAAAAACTGTATGGAAGTACAGAGCCTAACAAAAGAAAAAAAAATTACCACTGCAAAAGAAGTACTTACACTTCTGACTCTCTTATCTGCTTTTTGTTTCAACTGTTCTATCTGTTTGGAAGAAATAAAAAGAAAAAAATGAAGTCTCTTGTCTCAATGTTGAAAAATCGCCTTTCCTCATCAACTGTCAGAGTGATATGGCAAAACCCCAATTTTCCAGCATTTCAAGTTGCTGATAATTTAAAGGCCACAGGTTGTTTTAGCATGGAAAAAAAGGCCCTATGCTAAGAACCAGAGGCTGAGAGTGAGGTTTTCTTCTCGCTATTCACTCTCTAATGTCCTCATCTGTGTATATTCCTAGAGTGCTTACTGTGGCCCAGGGATCAGGGAGTATATTCTCCGCCCTCATGAAGCTTCTCAGGTGAAAACACTGAGATTCACTGATTCTGTAGAGACATGGCAGACAAACTACAAATGAATAATGAAGAACATTTAATAATGAAGTTGAATGAATAAAAGTCATCATAACTTAATTTGACATAGCTACTATTAAATAGCACTATATTAGATATAATAGGAGAAATAAAGATAACTCATGATCTCTGTCCTAGAATCTTATGAAGTTACAGATATAAGATAGCAGAATTAAATAAAAATATGAGACTTCATGAGCTACCATAGAGTAGTATGTGATTAAATGTCACATTCAGATGAGTCTATGGGGGTAGGTTAGACTTTATGGAAGAGGTAAGACTGGAACGAGTCTTAATAATTTTAGATAGAGTGGAGGTCATATAAGATGGAAAAAATTGTGGGCAAAGTTGGGTGACAGGAATGTATAAGGAATTCATATGCTACTGTAAGTTGGAAGGTAATTTTTGGCCAGATTTCATAAAACTATGTTAAGGGATCAGGACTTTATCTCACAGGTATAGAGAATTAAGGAGATATTGAAATAAAGGGAGATACATGATACAAGGAGTGCTTTAGAATTATTAGATTCATTTTGACATAGTGAAAACATTCATATTACTTATTTTACTACAAAATGTCACTTGAGTTGAGGGGGAGTTAAGGGAAAGAAGGCGAGGCAAAAAGGAAGGGCTATTTGAACAAAAATACTCACTGTTAAGCTGTATTGGTGACAGCCTTCTCTTACTGGCCACTCAAGTCCATCTCCTTCAGGGACCCCTGACCACGTAAATACCTGTTTAAAGTTCCTCCATCTACTTCCCATATCATATGGAAAAACAAAGACTTCATCTAGTTGATAATACTGAATTCGATCTTTAGCCTGTGGGTAACAAAGATATAAGATGGCAGGTGCCTCTGTCTAAGTGGCCTGCAGTAATATGTTATTGAGAACACTTATTTCTCAAGTTTCTAACATTCATAAAAATACTTCCTCCTTGCTGTAATATTAGTGTACATGGAAGCAATAGACAACTTCATCACAATATAGGAAGAACTTGATATAGAACACCAGCCTTGTATGTGATTACCTAGGAAATATCTGACAGGGTTTCTTTAGGAATAAGCACTCATAAAGGCTTATTAAAAGTTAGCTAACTTTATCTCATACATAAAAAGTCCTCAATGCTCCTAGTTGTTCAGCAATACAAAACAATTCAGGTATATAGAAGGGATGCAGATAAACAGATTCAGGAGAAAGGTAAAGGTTTATTCAGGATGGAACCGTTTTATTCAAGATAGAACTGTTTTGTGGGGTGCACCAGAATGTAACAGTTGTATCAGAGGGTAACAGTTATATCCTGGGTGGCAGTGATGCCCATGGGAATGACCAGGAAAGGTGTAACAGGAGAGCTGTTTTATGAAAA
Organism: Homo sapiens; assembly: GCF_000001405.40. NCBI lineage: Eukaryota > Metazoa > Chordata > Mammalia > Primates > Hominidae > Homo > Homo sapiens. The sequence goes on from NC_000010.11 coordinate 112,435,009, forward strand.
ACATTTTTTAAAGCTAGCAGATATATACAGGAGATCTTCTTTCTTTTTTTATACTATCACACATGTACACATAACTCATTTATATATGCATTTATATGTACATGTTATGCATGTACATAACTATTCAGCTTGCATATATTCCAGGCATTTAAACTGTTAGCTTTAACTTGAGGAAATAAATTGGCTTTGGATTTCTTAAGTTCCACTGACACCTAGTGGTACAAAGATACATTATTTATTTTAACAATAAGTATACAAATCCCTTCAAATTTGTTGTATATAGTGTCTGGTAATTTCTATACATTTCCTATAAATTTAATATGGTCATTTGTTTGAATTTTTTACTCAGCAATAAAGTGCCCGTTCTGAAATAATTTCTAGTCTATGGCCATACCATTCAGCATACTCAATCTCATCTGAGGTAATTTCTAAATGTAGCATGGCGGTTTATAAGCAGCCTTGGTCATCCACAAAAACAAACAAAAAAATGTTAATCTAATGTCAATATATTTATTATGCTTATTAGAAATGATACTTTGAAATATTTGATTATCAGGGGACAATGTTTTATGGAAAATGTTGCAATTATTTGTTGAGTGATATTAAAGTTAACTATTTACTAAAATAATTATTAAGCTATAATGCATATGAATCTATTAAGTTATATAAATCCATCCTCCCCAGAAAGTAAAGAATAATTTCATTTTCTTTTTTATAAACACAGCTTCAGAGTCTTCAAAATGGACTGAATTTCAAAGAAAAGAGTTCTAGGCTATTTACAAAGAAAAACTGGTAAATATAAGAGAATTTATAAAATGACTAAGACATGTCTTTGCCTAACAGAAACACTCAATGAAGTTAGGATTCTATCAATATTGTGTGTTAAAAGGTGATGAAGGGGTGTGGTAGATGCTATGGGAAAAGGGAACAAAGGAAACAAAAAGTACTTAGCCAAGTCTAGGGAGTATCCAGGAAGGGTCCTTGGGAGAAACAATACCTTAACTAAGTCTTGAGAAGCAAGAAATCAGGCAAAAAGAGAGGGAAGAGCATTCTAGGCAGAGGGAACAACATGTGCAAGGATACAGAAGCATAAGATGTACAAACTATGAGTAATTTAGTATCAAGTGTGAGACAGGGTAGAGAAGGGTAGGAAATTAGGCTGGAGAAGTAGATAAAAAGAAGTCCGCCAGGTGCAGTGGCTCACGCCTGTAATCCCAGCACTTTGGGAGGCCAAGGCGGGTGGATTACTTGAGGTGAGGAGTTTGAGACCAGCCTGGCCAACATGGTGAAAGCCTGTCTCTACTAAAAATACAAAACTTAGCTGGGCATGGTGGCATACACCTTGTAATCCCAGCTACTTGGGAGGCTAAGGCAGGAGAATCACTTGAACCCAGGAAGTGGAGGTTGCAGCGAGCCAAGATTGTGCCACTGCACTCCAGCCTGGGCAACAGAGCGAGACTCCGTCGCCAGAAAACAAAAAAAGAAGTCATAAAAGGTCTTACTTATGTAGAAGCTAAGAAGCTCAGACTTCAACCTGTACATCAGTGGTTCTCAAAGCATGCTTTATAGATCACTTTGAGTATTCAGGACTTTTTCTTGCTGGTCAGCAAGGCCAAGCTATTTTCATAATAATACTGAAATGTTATTTGTCTTTTTGTTGCATTGACATTTGCAATGGTGAATAAAACTGTTGGCATCTTAGCAAAAACCAAGGCAGTGGCACCAAACTGTGTTGGTAGTCATTATGAGCAATTCCATGTAAGAATGTCCTTGATGAAGCAGTAAAAATTGTTTTTAAATATTAAATCTCAACTCTCAAGGAGATGTCCTTTATTTTTAACAGTCTGTGTGACAAAATGAGAAGTATACATAAAGCGTGCCCAAGTAGAATGATCATCTCAAGGAAAATAGTTGTTAAGCTGTAAGCTAACAAAAGCTGTAGAGCCAGCTTTTTTAATGTAACACTATTCTTATTTGAAAGAATGAGTAATATAGCAAACTAAGGTTATTCAGACTTCAGGACTTGGTGAACATTTTCTCAAAAACGAACAGTCAGGCAGTCACTTCAAGGGAAATGACTGACAGTATGGGTTAATAGTAAAAAATTAAGGCTTTCAAATGTATACTAGAATTACAAAAAAAAAAACCTTGTATCTACCACTGTGAGCCTGACAGCTTTCCAATACTTAAGGATTTTTTCTCATAAAAATGATATATTGATATACGTGAATGCAATTTTGGGATATTGTATAATGAAAGGTGTTTAACGTTTGCAAAATCTACATAACACAGTAAACTAGTATTTGCCAAATGACCGATGCCTGATGTTACATAAAACCACATACTGGTAAAAGATTAATTCAAAGAGCAAGATAGACTGATGAGTTTTAAAATAAAAAGGTATAAAAATCTTATTGATAAGAAATATCACTTGTCAAGTTTTCAATGTAATACGGAAGAACATCCACTATTATCATGTAAAAGGCCTATTAAAATATTCTATCCTTTTCTACCTACTTATCTGTGTGAGGCTAGATCTTCACATACTTCAATCGAAGCAACATATCTCAACAGACTGAATGCAGAAGTGAGAATCCAACCATCTTCTCTTAAGTCAAAGATACTAAAGAGATTTGTAAAGATATAAAACGATGCTATTCTTCTCCCTATTTTGTAATTTGGAAATTGTGAATATTCCCCTGTGGCAACAATCAGCTTGGTCTGCCAGGCAATTCTTTGGTATACAGGCTTGCTCCCCTTCATGGACGTTATCTGCCCAGACCCTGCAGGTATTTGGGTTTCAACCCCTGCCACAGGAATGGTGAGGCTCTGAGAAGTTTTAAACACAGAGCAGGGTAGTCAGATTTGTGTTTCATGCTAGAATCACAATGGACAGTATGAAGTATTGGACATTGTGAGGTCTGTGACAAGCAAAATGTTAGGAGCTTCATTGAATGTCTAAAACACTGAGAAAAACCTGATGGCAGTTTGGTAGGGTGGAAGCTCCTTTCCAAATGGGCTGCTTTCTCCTCTAGTCTAAGAGACAACAAACAGATGGTTTGACGTGTGGCTTAGGCCTCTGCGACCACTCAGGGTGTATGAGAAGCACCTTTCTGTGGGAGTTACAGAATGAACAAAAATGTTTCCTATATTCACCTTTTATGTGGCATGCAAATGACTTACGGTAGCCATTTGGCAGCCATGTTTTCACTTTTAGGCACTTTTCGTTAATCCGGTCTAATAACAGACTTTATTAATATTCAGGACTTTACCAGTCCTTTATTAATATACTTTTTTAATATTGAAGAAACAATTATTAAAATTTACCTTCTCTTCAATCCATGACTCAATAGAAGTTTTGTTTCTGAGAATTATTTTCATCTGGAAATTAAATGATAGTAAAATTTAATAATGCGACCTTGGTTCCTTTAAGATTATCATATTCATAATTCTCTGAGATAGCTTTTATTACTCCATTCCATAGACAAAGATACCAAGGATAACAGAGGTTAAGTACCACAATTACCATGTCATCCGTCTGACTCCAAAGTCCTTGTTCTTAACTACTGCACCACGGTACCTCTCCGTAACAATGATTACACCCATCCATAATCAAATCTGAATCTAGTATGTTAATCAAACTTTATGTCATAAGTACTATTTTCAGAGCAAGGTTTAATAAAACATTGATATAATCCATTTAATCAGTGCTTACTTATAATTTGCTATTAAAATCTTTTATCACTATTTTTAACTAACTTTAAATTTACGATTAATCTATTTATGAGAAGTAACAGTGACTCATTTCAGTCAACCTCAATATTTCACTTGCCTTAAAAATAATGAATGTATTCAGTCTTTATTCTATTATTTGATTTTCCTAGATATGACTGATTCCACATATATAGGCTTTTATATTATAGGATCTTAGTTTATTTCTAATATGATTCTAAATTAGAGGCATTGGGGAAAATTTTTCAAAGAATTTGGTCCCAGGCTAGTAGACGATAATAAAGTATAAACAAAACCAGATTATTTTAAAACCAAGAGTTCCCTTAAAGTCTGGCTGTGCCTTCAGAGAGACAGTGTAGTATGTTAGAAACAGCCTTGGTGGAGGCTGCAATAAGCCGAGATCGTGCCATTGCACTCCAGCCTGGGCCAACAGAGCCAGGCTCTGTCACAAACAAACAAACAAACAAACAACAATAAAAAAATAAACAGCCTTGGCCCAGGAGTCCTCATCATATTCCAAGGGCCTAGCATAATACCTGGCCCACAGTAGGCCTTCAATGAATGAATGAATGAATTACGTGAATGCAATAAGTCATAAGAATGGTTTTTGGGCCGGGCACAGTGGCTCACACCTGTAATCCCAGCACTTTGGGAGGCTGAGGTGGGTGGATCACAAGGTCAGGAGTTCAAGACCAGCCTGGCCAAGATGGTGAAACCCCGTCTCCACTAAAAACACAAAAATTAACCGGGTGTGGTGGCAGGTACCTGTAATCCCAGCTACTTGGCAGGCTGAGGCAGAGAACTGCTTAAACCCGGAAGGCGGAGGTTGCAGTGAGCTGAGTTCACGCCATTGTTCTCTAGCCTGGGTGACAGAGTGAGACTCCGTCTAAAAAAAAAAAAAAAAAAAAAAAAAAAAAAAAAAAAAAAAAGAATGAAAAAGAATGGTTTTTGGTCCCTTCAGAGCCAGGTCCTCCTCCTCTGTGTTCTCATAGCACTGTGCACATAAATCTATGATGTACATATGGCCCTGTATTAGTTAACTGTTTAATATTAACTGTCAGTTCCTAAGGGCAGCTACCTCTTCATTATCATTTATGCAGCCTTAGAAATTAGCAAAGTGATTCATCAGAGTAGGCTTTAAATAGCATCTTTATCATAGGGCTGTTATGGAGATTAAATGAGCTAATACATGTAAAGTGCCTAAAACAGTGCCTTACACATAATAAGTGCTCAATAAATGTTAGCTATATTATGATTACTATTATTAAATATATACTATTATAAAATAACATTAGTGTTTACCAAGTACATGAATGGGTGACATTGGGTAAGTCACTTAACCTTTTTGAGAATCAATGAATTAATCATCTGTCGGGAAGGGAAAATGTTTACCAAGTACATGAATGGGTGACATTGGGTAAGTCACTTAACCTTTTTGAGAATCAATGAATTAATCACGTGTTGGGAAGGGAAAACAGTAAGACTCCTCTATTGGGGTGGATGTGAAGAGCAAGAGAGACTGTACAGGTGAGAAGAGCTCTCTCAATTCTGAAGTGCTCCAGAACTTACCTAACTTGAAGTTAGCATTTTAAAAACTAAATCAATACCTAGAAATTCTGGCAAAATTAAATCAAAATTATCTGACGAATACAAAGGAGATTAGTTACCTAAATGAAATAAGCAAAAATAATTTCCATTTCATACTGGACACTTAAATACAGGCTTTGTCTCTTTCTTGTGCAATCAGTCCCAACAACTTGACACTTTTGACTTGAGGTAATTGAGATGCTTACCTGGATAAAAAACAACATCCCAACAGCTATGGTTGTTCCTAAAGCTAATCCCAAGGCAAACAAGGTGGTAGCAAATGCAGCTAATCCAAATGGAACAATTGGAAGAGGATCTCTCCGGGCTGCACTCATGTCGATCTTCACTGTGTTCCACCCAAAGGAGAGCTATCGCAGCAACAATAGCACACGCACAAAATGTTTGGTTATGGTAACTGGTCAGACTCTACTGTGACACGTAAAACAACTTGATCAAAGAGATAACAACGTGGCCCTGTGGCCAACGCAAACACAGCTATTTTTATTTTATTTTATTTATTTATTATTTATTTATTTGAGACGGAGTCTCACTCTGTCGCCCAGGCTGGAGTGCAGTGGCACGATCTCGACTCACTGCAACCTCCACCTCCCAGGTTCAAGCAATTCTCCTGCCTCAGCCTCCCGAGTAGCTGGGACTACAGGCATGTGCCATCACACCCGGCTTATTTTTTATATTTTTAGTAGAGACAGGTGTCACCAGATTGGCCAGGCTGGTCTTGAACTCCTGACCTTGTGACCCACACCGCCTCAGCCTCCCAAAGTGCTAGGATTACAGGCGTGAGCCACTGAGCTGGGCCAGCTATTTTTAATTAATATAGTAATGAGCTCGGACCGATGTGCAGGATATCATTCTTAGTTTTCTCAAATGTTACTTTTTGTTGTTGTTGTTTCCTCAGAAAGTGTCAAGGAGACCTTACCAACATTAACATACATAAACAACACTAGACACTAATCTAAACCAGAACTATGTCTTTTCTCTTCTCTTGCTATTCTACATCGCAGTATTCTTCCACAGTGACAAGTGCTGCCTAGGATTCAGTTGTTTCTTCCCTCATGTTTTACAAATGGTGATGAAGAACTGATAAAATGCAGGCCAAATATGGCCACAGATGTGTGCTGCCTGGCCTGCATAATGTTTCAACATTCAGAATTAGGTGCCAACATTTAAAAATCAAGAGATTTCACATAAAAATCCAGATTTTCAGATTTTTCTGGGCTAGAATTTCCAAACACCACAAGCTAGCAGATCAAATATGGGCTGTCCCCTCCCCAAAGGACAGACTCTCCAGTTTGGCAGTCCCATCAGGTGTGTCTCTCGTTTACTTTCAAGGCCTGTTTAGGGAGGTTTGTGTCCCTTGAACTTTATCTCATGACTACTTGCCCATAAATCAACTTGATCTCTTGCTGGTTTAATCTGTTTATATTTTATGGTATGCATCTGCTCCATGAGCCACCTTCCAGGGCACTAGAATCAGAAATGAACAAAGAACTACAACTTGCCACATGAATGGGATGAAAGTAGGAAGCACTAGTGTTGTCTTTTTTTCTTCTATTCTTTCCATAACTATTAAGTTTGAAGTCTAACAAATTACATATACAGTACTAAAATATTTATCACCTTCAACTACAGCATGTAAGTTTTCAGAACAAATACTCTTTCCTCATCTTAAAATTTAAGTTTTAATGCTTTCTAAAAAGGAACCCATATACCAGTAAAACAAAGTTCTATTTCCCCAACTAAATCACAGAAAGCATATTTCCAAAAGGAACCTCTTAAATGTTGATAACTACCATTTAATCTTGCATGGATGATTTTATAACAAAACATTTTCATTTTCACTTACCCGATGATAAAGCTGTGTGTACATAGTCATCACAAAAATGAAAGCAGCATGGATACAACCCAGTGGTGCTAAAAGGAGAAACAGTGTGAACGAAGCATGATTTTGGTAACCACAACAGTTGTTGATCCAAGGACAGTGATGGTCCATCTTCATCACACATCTAACAAGAAAAATTTACATAAAACATGAGGCAGAAAATCCTGTCTACTTTAAATAACTTTGGTCTTCAAAAGATCAAGCAAATAGGAATCCAGCATGTCCATGAGCTACGAGAGAATTATACTTCATGGAACAGAAAGAAAAATCTTTATGAGCTTTTAAACAATTAAGTGACTCCTTTTAAATTCTAAACAGCACAGGAAAGGGCAGGCTTTCTAACAGCTTCTGAGGAAAAGATGTCAGCTACAAGTATTTGTTTAAAGAAGTCAGGAGACCCACTGAAAGAGGGTCTCTTTATAATGCTCATTATAAAGAAATGAGCATGGTTCCTGGTTTTCTTCTAGTTTGTAAGTGCAGTGACCCAAGTGACCTACAATAGAGACTCAACAAATCCCTTATAGACCTCCAGTGGGGTTAATGGGCTCAAATAGACACATGTAACTTCCTTCCTGTTCTCATAGTATCCTTTAGTTAATGGATCTCTGAGCTAAGCAAGCTAACTCCAGAATATAAGATATGGTATAATAAACAAAGTCTTGCCGTGTACTGTTGATAGAAGACAATGTTTTGGCCTGAAACAAAACTTTATTTGCTTTCAACGGTTCTCTAAATTTCTTACTAATCAGTGATTATAGCTGTTCATTAAAAAAGGTCACAGGTTATTTCATATTTTTAATAGTCAGTTTTCTTCTAAGTTTTTGATATTAAAACATTTGTGATAATAGGCACCTGGATTATTAGATGTGTATAAAGTGTAAATGTTTGTCAATAAGTAATGGGAAAAGCAGATCTCCCTTATAATTTAGACTCAGAACAATTCTAAAGTTAGTCCAGATGGCAGCTGACTAACACAATTAATCTTGATATATGGAAACAAACTTAAGGTTTATACCTTTTTCCCTTGTTCTTGTAGGACAAGAGGCAAAGTAAATCTGTATTTTTCTGGAAAATCTTTTCACTTGTAACAAGGAAGAATTAAATCTATTTATTATCTAGATAATTTAAGTATAAAATGGCGATTATGGACACAAGTATTCTGACAATATTGTTTATAATATGGTAACCTTGCAGTGAATAGAAGTAGCACTAATGTAGTATAAGCAACAATGAAAACATCAGTAATTAGTTGATCAGTCCTCGCTGAACAGCAAGAAAGACAGGTACCTGTTACACTTTCTGCAGTGATGTGAACGTGGTGCCTTGTATGCTTGGCAGACTTTACAATACTGGAGATACATGGTATCCTGAGAAATTTCCTTGGCAGCAAAACAGAAACAAAAATGCATCATCGGATACTTGAATATAAGTATGATTCCTACGGTATGATTTTCTTTTATGGGCGATAGGGGAAGGAGAGAATCTTAACTTGCATTTCCAGTCCTCTTATTTGAGCTAAAATATTTTTAAATAAGTTTTCTGGTAAGAGCAGCATCACTTTCCCAATTACCCAGAAGTCCTTTTAAATTTTTCTTCCTTGTGCTCCACCTAAATTCAGTGTCACTAGTTGGTTCTACTTACCCCAAATCTTAGTGGATTCAGGAGTTCAGAAAAAGGTAGCTGACAACTTAGCAGGTATTTTAGAGTGAGGAGTTAATCGTGAGTTGATAGTCCTACTGAAATCTGCTCCCTCCTTGACATTACCCGTCACCACCCCTTTCTTGGGCCATTTTAATCACTTCCTAACTAGTTTCCTTTACTGTAGTTTTTCTTCAGCACAAACCGTGTATTGTCAAAATAATATTCCTATAATACACCTCTGACTGTGTCAGACTCTGCCTGAAAACCCCTACAACTTTCTATGGTCTACAATTTCTCATGTATTTAAGACTGTCACAATCTGCCTTTGTTTCAGCTGTCTCTGCCCTACATGATCTTTTCCCCAGTCACACAGGGCTGTCTACTGTTTCTGAATACGTGGTCCCACCATTCTTTCAACCTGAAATGCCCTCTTCCCCATCTCCTTTGGAAATTCCCACTCCTCCCTCAGGTCCCCAACTAACAATGCTCAATTCTTCTAACTTTAACAGCACCCATCACGTTCTACTTTATAGTTTAGTGATTTGCACAAGTGCGTTTGTTTCTTGCTTAGGTTATAAGCTCTTTCAGAGTTCAAATTACATCTTACCCTCCTCTGTACGCATTTTGAATAGTACATAGCACATGATATACACCAGTGCTTCCCGAACTTTAATATACCTAAGCATCACCTGGGCACTTTATTAAAATAAAGATTCTGCTTCAGTATGTCTGAAGTGGAGCCCAAGATTCTGCCTTTCTGACAAGCCATCAGGTGTGGTCCCTTAGCAGGAAACATGGACATTCATAAGCATAAATTTCCCAGTAGTTTTTAAGCTATAAATGGATTTGGACTATACTTCCCAATGTTATATTTTCAGTGCAATGATTTTAAAACTTTATGATTTAAACCAGCAGTTTCTAAAGCGTTTTTCTCAGTTCTAAGGGATGTTAATGTATTACATGAAAAAAGGTACTACAGCCAAACCTCACTGTGTATGACATGTGATGTTTCCTAAACTTTTGACCATGAACCTATCCCACCTCCACCCCACCTCCATCTTTTTTTTAATGCAGAGCAAATATTCAATAAAATTGCTTTGGAAAATGCTATTTTGGATCAATGTGTTCAAACAGATATGAAATAAAGTCTCCGAGCCTAAATGATCAGTGATTAGAGTAATATACTTAGTCTCTGTGAGGACAAACAGTAGGCTGTGTTTGGTATTATTGGTTAGTAGATAAGGCAAAAACCAAATATACGATTATCATTAAAGTTCATTGTCTTACAGAATCTTTCTTACCGGTTTCCACCCCAGAGGGACAAAGCCCGGACCGACAAACATGGCATTGAAGTAATTATAAAGAATCATGACAGTCCAATTTATCAACATGATGAAATTCACACTTCCTCCAGTTGTATGTAAGGGCCAATACCACAACACAGAGTCAATCATGGCCATGGTAGAACATATTGCTATAACACCAAGGGCTATGATGGGACCCCAGTGACACAGTCTCTTTAATTCTTGTAGATTTTCAAACTTGATAACCGAACAGAATGTACCCATTTTGGCAAGGAAGAATGCCTTCCTACTTTAAAAGAATTATAGATTTCCTTTTTCTGTGCGCACATTTCCATGTGCCACAAGTCCATGTGTGTTCTTTAATTGTCATGCCTTCAAGCTGTGAACTGTTAACGCAGATTACACCATTTTCACTGTCAGGCACCCAAAGCTCTTTATCTTAACTAGGAGAATCCAGTGTCTTGGTCTGAAACCCAACCTAAAGAAAACAAAATGGGAAAGTTCAGTTAAAACAAAACAAAACAAAACCTTTATTGCATACCATACTTGTTAACTACAATAAACACCTACACAACAGCATCTCACAAGTGCACTACACTTTGGGATGCATATCTTGTCAAATGTCAAAAAGAACTACTTTTGACTTATCCAAAATATGGTACAAGTTTGAATGGCATGCAAACTGGATACACGATTCCAAAATAGTTTTTTTTATTCCTTCTCCGCTTGTCAGGGGACTGTCACCATCCAACGCTTAGTGAATAGTTTGAGAAGACAAAGAATTTTAGGACCTTAGAGTTGATCTAATTCAGTTTCCTTCTTCATAGAACAGAAATTGTCTTAGAGAGGCTGAGTGATTAGACCAAGGTCACAAGTAACAGGTGAACCAGAATAGAAGGCAAGTCAACGACCTCCCTTTATGAAATTCTAAGCTGCCTCTTATGAAGTCTTGAATTAAGCCAAGTATGAGTCAGACATGGTCTATGCCATTTGCCTGCAGTCTCCTCCACCCCGCCACCCAAACATCAAGAGAACAGTCAATTTGGCCCAAAAGTAAAGGAGCGACAGTGAAAGCAAAGAGAGCATGCAAGGAAAGGAAGGGAGGAGATAGAGCGAGAGTGTGTGTGGTGTGTGTGAAATTATGACCAGAAGAGTATATGAGAAGAACCTGAATTAGAAGATTCGAGGGAAGAAAGAAGAGGAAGTGCCTCCAGGAGCGAGGGAAATGGAAGGCAGGGCGGCGAGCTCCGGAGAGATTTGTGGAAGGGCATCTCTGCCTGGACTGGATCTGAAGATCTGGAAGAGGATCTGAGCTACATGGATAATACAGACTACCACGCAGCAGACGCTGTTGACTTGTGCCTCAGTTTCCCGCCCGAGTCATGGAGCAGAGGGCTTAGAAATAAATCCTCACCCAAGGAAGAAATATCCTGGTAAGCCAGGTTGGTCTCAACATTCAGGAGAGCCTGCTCCCACTCTGGTGGGACAAAGACCACCAAAATCGTGCTTATATTCCCTGCCTTGACTCCCACCTCAGTGTGGTCCCTGGTGTCTGCTCCTCAGCCATCGCATATCCGGGGCGGCCTGGGCTCACCCGGAACAGATTTTTTCCTCCTTGGATGACTCCGTCATGGACACCTCAGCCCAGGACAAGCAGAGAGCAAACCCTGGCAGCGAGAGGCTGGAGTGCGGGACCTGCTACAAGCCGAGCACCTCTCGGCCAGCGCCCTCGCCAGGACTCTCCCGCTCAGGCCCCCTGCGCAGTCTCTGTTACTGTCACTTCCGGAGGTTCGCCGCCTCAAACCTCCCTCCGGAAGCAAGCTGCTGTGCCTTGTAGCGTGTGGATCCGGAGCCGATTCCCAGAACACGAAGGGGGGAAAAAACGCTTCTAATGATCCCTCAGAACTTGCATATTTTCATACGCTTTTCTGGGGGGAGGCACTAATTGGGGCGCTTTTCCTTTGCGAACTTACTTATCTTAAAGTCGGAGCGGAAAATAAAGCACGCACGCAACCCAATTTCCGGAGAACCGAGATTGCGACGAACAACCAGGAAGCGGCTGGGTTGAGAGCTGTCCCCGGTTCTCCGTTCTGCTCTCGGGGGCACCTTCCGGGGTTCCTAAGCCGCGGGGCCCCTCGCTGCCCCTCGAGGCCCTTTCCCTGACCTAGGCTTTGGCCTGGGCTACTCGTTCCGGAGCCGCCATGTCGTCCGACTTCGAAGGTTACGAGCAGGACTTCGCGGTGCTCACTGCAGAGATCACCAGCAAGATTGCGAGGGTCCCACGACTCCCGCCTGGTGAGAGCCTTGCCCGGCTGGACGAGGGTGCTGGGGAGAGCTGGGAGGGTGCGGGCGGTGGAACGCCGCCCGAGTAAGTGTGTCTATGAGGCGCGAGGCTGGAGTGGGTGGTGCCGGCTGTTCCCAGGAGGGATACGGCTTGGCTTGGTTGAGGGTAAGGAGTCAAGTTCGGGTGTGGGGTGCCGTGAAAAGAGCCTTCGGAATCTGAGCCATCTGAGTTCGAATCCCGGCTCTACCTTCTTGTAACTTGCATAACCTGGAAACGTTTCTTAACGTCTTAAGAGTCTTAATGTTTTCATTTGTAAATTATAGACATGTGAGTATTCAAAGAAAATGAATGAAAGTATGTAGCCTATGGATCTACAATCTACAGCGGCGTTGTTGTGTTAGTAATAATATTGTTATAATTATATGCGGCAAAATAGAGGTAAGAATCAGGGTGCCTAGATTCAAATCCTACCTCTGTCACTTAGAAGTTGTGCCTCTTAACCCGGGAGGCGGAGGTTGCAGTGAGCCAAGATCTCGCCATTGCACTCCAGCCTAGGCAACAAGAGTGAAACTCCGTCTCAAATAAATAAATAAAATAAAAGTTGTGCCTCTTAAACAGACTTCTTAGTCTCTTTCAACTTTCCTTCTTAGTAAATGGGGGAAAATTGTACTTCTCTCATGGGGTTGTTAGGTAGATTAAATTTATATAACATATTTAAAGTCACTTTTGGTGTTGTTAGTTGCTGTATTAGCATTAGTATTTTTCATACCCCCCACCCCCATTTCTTGTTTCTCATCCTTCTTGGGGATTTATTGTATAACCCAGTTTCATGTAAAACTTGGTACAAGATAATTTTTCACACTTAAAAATTTCACATCTCCCATCTGGAAATGTTTTTGTTTTTGTGTTTCCTTTTGTGTTTTAGCACATCTTATTTTCTATGCTAGACTGTCAACTATGTGAAGGTGGGAGCTGTGTCTGATTTCCTTGGCGTTTACTTATTAGGGGCTCAGGAAAATAAGTGAATGAGCAGGTGAATATAAATATGATCTTTTGTAACTATGGTTTGTACAATGTTGATTCGGGGACTATCTTTCTCTACAGATTAGAGTAGTTAGTTACAGAAAAGGGTTTTACATTTTTGTTTAGTTTTGTTAGGGAAATTGAACCATCATCTGGCTGCTAGACTTGTCCCTACCCTAGCTCCAGGATATAAAGTGTAGAAAGGTGGATGTGCTCATTAATCTGCGGATTGGTGGGCACTTCACTTGCCCACTTGTCCTGGTACTAGCAATAATTTCTCCCGGACCTAAGTTGTCATTCCTCTTTCCCTTTCCCTACTTCCCCCAAAACTTATGTGTTTATAAGTAATTTTCTTCCCTTATTTCTTTGTTTTTCTTCCCCTCACCTATTTTCTGTTAATAGGGATATTTGCTTGAAGCCAGGATCTCTGAACTTATACCCCACTCATCTCCTGAAGTCCCCAGTTAGTTCTGGAGGAGATGGATGATGTCTTAAAGAGGTTTATGAGTCCAAGTAAGGGAACAAGAGGAGAGAACCAAGGTAGTATATACCACCAAGCTCTGCTGCCTCAGAGATTTTTGTGTCGAAAGTGGCTGATGGCCTCATCTCTTCATGATACATCACCTCGCCTCTTCTCTTCAGTTCTGCTTTTCTCCACTGCCGGAGATCGTCTTGATTTTTGTTATTGTTGGAGACTACTTCCTTTGAATTGAGTCCCAGAGCCTCAGAGTATCAGGACTTGTGGTTCCAGTTAGAGTTTTACTCATTTTTAATTGTAATTGTTTTAGCAGTAGAAACATTTCTTTGGGTTATTAGTTTTTGTATTGGGAAGCTGTTTTACAAGGTAACAAAATCATCCTTGGATGCAAAGTTGTAAATTTCCAAGAAAACAGATCGTGTTACAATTTTTTTCTTGCCTTTATATTTTAATGTGACAATTCTTAACACATAGAAGGAAACTTTTTGAATTCAGTACCTTAAAAATAAAACTGGGCAGAGCCCGGTGGCTCATGCCTATAATCCCAAAACTTTGGGAGGCCGAGGCAGACGGATCACCTGAGGTCGGGAGTTTGAGACCAGCCTGGCCAACATGGAGAAACCCTGTCTCTACTAAAAATACAAAACTAGCTGGGCGTGGTGGCACATGCCTGTAACTCCAGCTGCTCAGGAGGCTGAGGCAGGAGAATCGCTTGAACCTGGGAGGTGGAGGTTGCGATGAGCTGAGATTGCGCCATTGCACTCCAGCCTGGGCGACAAGAGCGAAACTGTCTCAATAAATAAATAAATTAAAAAAAAACTATGTCTTTCCTTAGCTGTAGTATTATATAAGGCCCAAACACAGGAGCTTCATTACAATTGAAAGGAGACTGCATTGCTGGCTCTGGAAGAATGCTTACTGACTTGTATTATTGAATAATCATAATTCTTTTTTCTTTATGAGATGGGGTCTTGCTGTATCGCCCACGTTGGAGTGTAATGGCGCAATCTCAGCTCATTGCAACCTCTCCCTCACGGCTCAAGTCTACTCCCACCTCAGCCTCCCGAGTAGCTGGGACTACTCAAGCCACTGTGCCCGGCTGATTTTTTTTTTTTGTAGAGATGGGGTTTTGCCATGTTGCCCAGGCTTGTCTCAAACTCCTGGGCTCACGCAATCCACCCACTTGGGCCTCCCAAAGTGCTGGGATTACAGGCGTGAGCCACCGCACCTGGCCTGATCATAATTCTTAAAAACGCAGTAGTTGCCCTCTTAATAATGACTTGTGCTTGCCCCTTTTTAAATCTATTTCCAATTGATGTATAGAAAAAGATGAAAAATATATCCATGTAGTTATGAATTTCAGATGTATGTCTGTAGATGAACAGACATTAATATATATAACCATGGCAAAAATAGTTTGATGACAAGTAATTATAATCTCTCTCTCTGGCCATCATTGGCGAGTGCAGTGTTGAGCTAAAAGTGACCCAGAGGAGGTGAACTATAATTTACTTGAGTTAAGAAGGATAAAAATTGGAGCAAACTTTCCAGCCAAAGCAGTTAATTCCCCCAACATAGTAACTTACTTAAATTCAAGTAGAGTGGGTAGATCTATTGAAATGAACTTTACTCTGCTGTGCATGTTACAATGTATTAAAGTATTGCTTCCAAAGAGAACAGAAGAGTGAACATTTAAAAATTTTATTTTAAGAAAGAAATCTGATTACTCTGTGATATTTTTTAAACAATAAAGAGATTTTGCTCTTAAAGTGTTTGAATCTTAACTAATTTTAGTAATTGAACTGAGATGGGTGAGTTCTTTCTTAATACCCTATGGCACTATATTTGAACATTGTTTTTTTAATTATTATGGTTCTGTGGGAAAGTAAGGAAAAGGGATGAGCAGAAACTATACAGTTAGTACTTTATTGTGAAGTTCCTTTTCCTCTAGTGATGGGAGTGAATTCTTAAGTGGGGAATGTTTTCCTCTGGTGCAAAGATTCTGTTACACGAAATAGGCTTCCTGAAGAATTTTAAAGTAGTCTTTTTGCAATTAGTTGCTTACTTTACCATTCACAGAGAGGGAATGATCTGTTGTGAATCCTGTCACTTTATGGCTGTCCTCAGAATTGTACCAAGAAAGTATTACAGCAAAATGATTCAGATTCAGACATGACATCAGATCTGTTTAGAACCCTAGTTCTGCTACTTACTAGATGTGCAGTCATGGACAATTGCTTGGCCTTTCTAGGCCTGTCTCCTCCATCGGTAGAATGGGGGTGAGAGAGTAATAATTTCAACCTTATAATGTAAAAATCAGTGAAATAAAACATGTAACACACTAGCACCCTTCTTACACAGAGAAAACACGTGATATACTAGCCATTAATGATATTACTGCTGCTGCTGAAGACAACAGTTGGTAAGATTAGCTAGGACCCCGCTCTTCAGACTTTGTCATGTTAATTGAACTCTTAAATCTTACACTTCAATTCTTGCTTCCTTTCTGTTCCTAGACTAGAATTAGGTAAATTTCTCTTGATGAACACATTTGAAAGGAGGTAAGTGATTAGGGCCTTTTGGATATGAATTTGGAACTGGGCTTTGAACTCAGGATCCCAAGGGGGGCAGTCGGAGGAGAGAAGTGAAAGTGGTGTCGGACAAGGCAGGTGTCCTTTCTGGAAGGAAATGCCTGAGTCTAGTGGATTGGTTATGCCAAGCCCTGGAGGATTGTCTAGACCATCTAGACTTAGCCACGTGTAGATGAAGGCATAAACATACTTCTGTGATTCTCTCTTGCCTTTGCAAGGTGGTTGCAGTGAGATAATTCAGAAAAGTTGGCTTTTGTTCATGAATATTGTGGTTTGCTTAAAATATATTTGGCTTTAGAGCTGTAATATCTACGTGTAGCTATTGAGCACCTGAAATGTGGCTGTTGCTACATTGTGAAATGATAATATTTTAGATATATGCAATTACGTATTATTGAAATTAAAAACATTATTAAAACTAATTTCACTTGTTTCTCTTAAAAGTTTTTTATTTTTGAAAACTTTAAAAAATACTGCTACAAGAAAATTTAAAATTGCATGTGTGACTTGCATTATATTTCTGTTGCTCTAGAGGGTTACAGTTGAAGGGATGGTTCCAGTCCTGATTCAGGAACTCACTGCTACAATAGTTTGTTCCTTGTTAGGATTCAGGCTACCTCAAAATCTGCTTCATGAGCTGCTGGGCAAGGTCCAGCTTTTTCAATTGAGCATACAGGGAAGATAGTCTTTAGCAGTTACTGATGGCCCAGTTATGTCTCATAAAAAATTTAAGCATTTAGGGCCGGGCGCGGTGGCTCACACTGTAATCTCAGCACTTTGGGAGGCCAAGGCGGGCAGATCACGAGCTCAGGAAATCGAGACCATCCTGGCCAACATGGAGAAACCCCGTCTCTACTAGAAATACAAAAATTAGCTGGGTGTAGTGGCACGTGCCTCTAATCCTAGCTACTCAGGAGGCTGAGGCAGGAGAATTACTTGAACCAGGGAGTCAGAGGTTGCAGTGAGCCAAGATTGCGCCACTGCACTCCAGCCTAGTGACACAGTGAGACTCTGTCTCAAAAAAAAAAAAAAAAATTAAGCTTTTATGGGGTTGTATTCATCTTTGAATAATATACATTCATATAAACAATTGTGTGTGTGTATGCATCTATAGATCTATATATCTGTATGTTGTCTATATATTGGTCAATTTAGTCAACCTAAGTAATGGCTTCAGTCTTTTGTTTTTGTTTTTTTTTTTTAAATAAACTTTTTATTTTAGAACAGTCTGAAATTTACAGAAAAATCACAAAGATAGTACGGAGAATCCCATATACCCCATGCCCAGTTTTCTCTGTGATTAACATCATGTTAATATGGTACATTTGTTACAGCTAGTGAGCCCATATTGATACATTATTATTAACTAAAGGTCATACTTTATTCAGATTTCGTTTTGTTCTGTTTGTTCTTTTTACCTAATGTCCTTTAACTATTCCAGGATCCAATCTGGGACACTGTAAAACATTTAGTACTCATGGATTTTTAGGCCCCTCATGGCTATGACAGTTTCTCAAACTGTCCTTGTTTCTGATGACTTTACAGTTTAGAAGAGTACTGGTCAGATATTTTCTAGAAGGTTCCCTCAACTGGGATTTGCTCAATGTTTTTCTCATGATTAGATTGGAGTTCTGGGTTTTGGGGAGGAGGACCACAGAAGTAAAGCATCATTTTCACCACATACCAAGAATACATACTGTCAACATGACTTATCACTACTGATGTTAACCTTTATCACGTGGCTGAGGTAGTGTTTGCCAGGTTTCTCCACTGTAAAGTTACTGTTTCCCTCCCTTTTCCATACTATTTGGAAGAAAATCATATATGCATAGCCTATACTTAAGGAGTGGAGAGTTACACTCTACCTCCTTGAAGCCAAGTAATTACGTGAATTATTTGTAATTCTTTTATGTAAGAGAGATTTATCTATTCATTTATTTACTTATTCAGTCATTTACATCAGTATGGACTCATAGATACCTATTTTATCCTTTGTGTTATATTCCAATACTACTTTATTTTCATGTTGCTCAAATTGTTTTAGCGTTGACCATTGGGAGCCTTTTTTTTAATTTGGCTTCTGTGTCCTTTTGGTATACCCCCATCATTTTGGCTTTTTTCTTTTCTTTTTTTTAAGGACTATATTGCTTTCTGATAGTATAAGATACTCCAGGATCATCTTCTCTATTTCCTGTTTCAGTGCTAGAATCAGCCCTTTCTCTGAGGAATCCTGTTTCCTTTAATTAAAGAAGGGTATTAGAAACCAAGATCTGGACAGTAGGTGTGCACATTACTCCCGGGGTGTTGTTGCCTCTGGAACCTCTCAGCTGACAAAGCAAGGAAATTCACATGTATATACTAAGCCATGTATATGAACATATCTACAAGCATTTGCATATGTAATCATTTGTATATATAGTATGTTAAACACAAGTTCATACTAGTATCTCCAGCTCTAATCCATTATCAGATGGATCATTCTGTAATTGCTTTATTTCAACACTGACCATTCTATACCATGTTACACAGGGTAGCATCAGTAATATACCCATTTAAAAATTATCTGTTCCTCTCTTAGTGGTTTGACCCTACATTTCTAAGTACATACATAATTTCTGCTGCTAGTTTTATTTTAACATATCTACATTGCACAAAGACAGGTACAAGTAACTGAATTCAAGTGAGCCTTGACACTTTAATGAGGGTGTTCTGTGCTGATTAAGCACTTCTGTAAATATCAAGAATTATACTATGCAAAGACTTGTTTGTACGTCAGCACTAAGAACTTCTATTGAGTAGGAAATGAGAGGCCAAGATGGGAGGATCACTTGAGCCCAGGAGCTCAAGATCAGCCTGGGCAACATAGTGAAGCCCCATCTCTACAAAATAAAATTGAATTTAAAACTAGCTGGGCATAGTGGCACGCACCTGTCATCCCAGCTACTCAGGAGGCTGAGATGGGAGGACACCTTGAACCCAGGAGTTTGAGGTTACAGTGAGCTATGATCATGCCACTGCACTCTAGCCTGGGTGACAGAGCGAGATCTTGTCTCTAAATGAAAAAGAAAACTAATTAAAAATGTATTGAGTAGGAAAGAAAAGATCATACATACTATGCTAAGACTTATGTGTATGTACATCAGCACTTATCAAGCTTATAGACCAAAAAAAAAAAAAAAAGTGGGAGACTGTTTATATATTAAATAGTATATTTTATATAATACATATAGCAGTTACGAGCTCAGTTCAGGACAACAGACCCACCCCATTAGAGTTCCAACTCTGCTATTTATTAGTTGTTGAACTTTCAGGAAATAATTTAGTATCTCTGATCTTATTTAATGGCTTGAGAAAGGGATAGTAATAATACCTCAAAAAGGTTGTTTTAAGGATTGACTATAACAATGTTAAACACAGAGCACCATGTACATTAATGATAGCCCTTAGTTACAAAGGTCTGAATCCTAGGTACATGTTGTTTGAAAGGGGATGTCATTTGGGGTGGGCAGAATGAATCTCTTTTGGGAATTACATGTAAATGTTGCCAGGTTACCAAAACTTCGTGTTGGTAGGTATTTCCAAGGTCATCTAGTTCAGTTCCCTCCCCTTCCCTCCTCCCCTCCTCCCCTCCCCTCCTCCCCTCACCTCCCCCCTCCCCTCCCCTCCCCCCTCCCCTCACCTCCCCTCCCCTCCTCCCCTCCCCTCCCCTCCCCTCCCCTCCCCTCCTCCCCTCCCCTCCCCCTCCCCTCCCCTCCTCCACTCCCCTCCGCTCCTCCTTCCCTCCTTCCCCCCTTCCCCCTTCCCCCTTCCCCCTTCCCTTCTTCCCTTCTTCCCTCCTTCCCTCCTTCCCCCCTTTCCCCCTTCCCCCCTTCCCCCTTCCCTTCTTCCCTCCTTCCCTCCTTCCCTCCTTCCCTCCTTCCCTCCTTCCTTCCTCCCTCCCTCCCTCCTTCTCTCCTTCCTTTGTTCCTTTCCTTCCTTTGTTCCTTCCCTTCACTTCCCTTTCCTTCCTTCCTTCCTTCTCTGCTCCCTCCCTTCCTCCCGCCCTCCTTCTCACCTTGCTTTGTTCTTTCCCTCCTTCCTTTGTTCCTTCCCTCCTTCTCCCCTCCCTCCCTTCCTCCCTTCCTTCCTTCCTTCCTTCCTTCCTCATACTTTACCCCTAAATCATCACTTTTGAGATTTGCCTTCTTAAAAACATGAGGAACACTATAAGGACCAATCAAAGAATGTCTCAGTTCCATCATTATTTCTGACAGCACCATCACAAAATGAATTTTATGAAAAGAAAATGATCTAATTGTGTTAACTCCACCTCTATTCCAATTTAATTATTTTTTTCGTGAAGGGAAATTTGTCATTTCAAATGGGAAGATTTGCCCCAGTCCTCACTAAAATGAGCTGTTTTTCCCCCTCAGTTTCTCTGTGAGTAATAAGTATGTTGCTGCGTGCTAAGACTGACTCATTTATTCTGTAAGCACTTAGTGGCCCCTACCATGTACAGCTCTCTATGCTAAATACAGAGTTTGGACACGATTTGTCAAGAGTAGTCTCTGCCTTCAAGGAGCCGGCAATGAGCCTGAAGAGGAAACTGCAGGCCAGGTGCAGTGGCTCACACCTGTAATCCCAGCACTTTGGGAGGCCGAGGCAGGTGGATCACTTGAGGTCAGGAGTTTGAGATGACCCTGACCAACATGGTGAAACCTCATTCTACTAATATAATACAAAAATTAGCTGTGTGTGGTGGCGCATGCCTGTAGTCCTAGCTACTCGGGAGGCTGCAGCAGGAGAACCACTTGAACCTGGGAGGTGGAGGTTGCCGTGAGCCAAGATTGCACCACTGCACTCCAGGCTGGGTGACAAAGTGAGAGTCCATCTCAAAAAAAAAAAAAAAAAAAAGAGGAAACTGTAGAACCTAATTTTTAATGACCGTTGTACCCCCTAGAGCCGAGCATAGAACTCTAGGAATTCAAAGGAAATGAGGTATGTCTCAGGACCTCGCCTAGAAGGATAGGTGGGGTTTGGACAGACAGAAACAAGCAAAGACTATATTATAAGAGGTTGCAATAAATGGATGCAGTGGGCATCTGTTGCACCCAGCAGCTTTCATTCTATCTACTCAATTTCCTATTGAGGAACTACTTAAACCCCCTTATTCCAGTCTTGATAGAACTGACAGGCTGCCCTGCCCTCTGTAGGTCAAGAGGTGAACATATTACCTAAGCAAGGACATTTATAGAATTTTTGCCAGGAATTTGATCAGAATGAACCAAGGAAAGAGAATAGTTAGAGCCGCTCAAGACTTTGCTTTAGCAGAGACTGTAAGTTCCTATTTCCTTGGTATCCTGAGCTACTCCTCATACTTGTCTTTCCCAAGCTGGGTGGCTCATTTTTGTCCATTGATCCTATGAGCCACCCCACATTATTCTAACAAATTATCTTTTTTGAATTAGTTTAGCCAGAATCACTTCTGTCGCATTCAGCCAAAGAACCCTAAATGGTAGCTTAACAAAGATTTAGAGAAGAAAAAAACAAGATTTGTTTGGGTAGCAATGAACAGTCTGTCTGTAGACTGCATACTAGAAACCTTGTAGTTGGAAATAAAGTTGGAAAGGATGCTCGGCTCTGAAATGTCGAGGACCTTAACTGCTAAGCTCAACTGACCCACCAAAGCCAAATTTTAGGAAGATTAAATGGGAGAGGGGGCAGGGAGACCAAGGTGGTTAGTAGCATAGCTTCTTTTGCAAATTCTTGCTGTGTCCTGCATTATGTATTTAACTTACTTTCATTTTTTGAAAACTGATTGTGTATGCCAAGCTCAGTATAGTGTAGGACTATAAAGATGACTGAGACATGGTTCTTGTCTTCCCAGAGCCTCTAAGTTGAAAGGTTGTTCATGTGAGGGATAAATCATTAGGATTACATAAGAGTTATAGATATTTTATGTACAAGGGGGTGATTAACTCTTATGTTGGGTTAGGAAAGCCTTCAAAGAAGTGATGATTTCTGAAGAGAGTTTTGAATAGAGGTTTGCCAGGTGGGCCTGGTGGAGATGGGCATTGGGATTAAAGGATTGAAGGCCTGGAAATATATCAGCGTTAGAGATAAAGATTTAGGATCATAAATACATAATATGATAGTTTTAAAATGGATGAAATTGCCCAGGGACATAGACGATAGTCATAAGAAAGGCAAGGACTGAACTCCAAGGAACATCAGCAGTTGAAAGATGGCCTGAAAAATACAATGCCTAACAGAGGACCGTGAGACAGGAGTGAGCCTTCAGGAGAATGACCAGATCAGGGTGCCATGGGAGCCAGTAGAGGAGAAAGTTACAGGACGGGAGGAGCAAAGTGTAAGAAACCACAAGATTAAATAAAAACAGGACCTAAGAATGTCTATTAGTTTGGGCAAAGGAAGGGTTATTAATCTAGTGAGAGTAATTTCAGTGGAATGGTGGGGGCAGGAGTTAGTTTACAGGGAGTGGATGGGAAGATGAGGAAGGGAAACAGAGTCTGTACCCTTGCTTTCAAGAAAATTGACTGGTGATGAAAGGAGAGGAATATTAGCAAAGGGGAATACAGGTCAAGGGAGGCTTCTTTCTTTGTTTTATTTTGCTAATGAGAAAAACTGATGCTTATTAGTCCTGGAGGTCCACGGCATGGACTTTCCTATCAACTGAATACCTTAAAGAGAACAGGATGTTCCTCCTGATACGTAAATACACCATCTCAGTTTTGATCCAAGATAAGCCTGTCTTATTTTGTATTTTTCTCTATCACAAAAATGTAGTCTATTCTAACTGTAACTGTGTGAAGATACTAAAAGGGTTGAAATGTCCCAGAAGCAAATACATTTGGGATCATCTATTAAATATTTAATCTGGCCATATGTAGATTTAACTTTTCAAGGAGGGAAAATCAAGTTGAATTGTAATCCCAAAGGCTTATTTTTCTTAGGGAGAAATATTGTGAGTACACATAAAACACCTTATGTGACAACTGTTCCCCCTCTGTAGTTTGGGGATAACAAAGGGAAAGGGTTAAGATTAGTAGAATCTACTAATAATCTAATCATTGTTTTAGTGAAATAATTATATATATATTTTTATTTTTATTTTTATTTTTATTTTTATTTTTTTTGAGACAGAGTCCCGCACTGTTGCCCAGGCTGGAACGCAATGGTGCGATCTCGGCTCACTGCAACCTCTACCTCCCGGGTTCAAGCAATTCTCCTGCCTCAGCCTCCCAAGTAGTTGGGATTACAGGCGCCCACCACCACACCCAGCTAATTTTTTGTATTTTTAGTAGAGACGGGGTTTCACTATGTTTGCCAGGGTGGTCTCAAACTTCTGACCCTGTGATCCACCCATCTAGGCCTCCCAAAGTGCTGAGGTTACAGGCGTGAGCCACCGCGCCCGGCCAGTGAAATAATAATTTCTATTAAAGCTTCCCCACTTAGGATTGGCTGTCCTTCTGAAGGCTGGTCAGCTGGTAGGTGTTGTACCCATTTCAAGCTTCATGACTTTTCTAGTCTGTTGTGTTAGTCAGTCTCATTAGGCTCCCATGTGACATAAACCCAGTTTTAAATAAAGAACAAGAAAGTTGTTGGCTCAAGAAACCAAACTATGGTAAAGTCAAGCTTTTATAAAGTCAAGCCATTTCAGTTATTTCAAGCCAGGAACTAACTATATCTCTCTCTCTCTGTCTCTCAGTTGTGTTTCTTTTTAAATGCAGGTTTTATTTTCAGCCATTGCACGCTTGCTTTCTTCTTGGAGCTAGACCAATGGATGCTAGCAGCGCTTCTAGGCTCATTTTTTCGTTACCAGGAGAAAGGAAAAGGCTTTCCCCTTGCTCTAGAACTTTGTTCTCTCTGGTTCATATATGCCTATCCCACCGCCCAACTCCCAGATGAATGTGGCCAGAGGATTGAGTTACTGAGATTAGTCCAGCTAGGATTAGATGCCGGTCATTTGCCAAGTCACTGTGACTGAAGAAGCAGAGTCTTTATGGAGATAGCATTTTCATTGTCCTGCTTGGTGAGGAAGAAGGCCTTTGAAGAGAGTAGGGGCTGTTGCCTGAGAAGAGAAGCATGCTAGGCAGACAAAAACTAGAGATGTTCAATACATCTGGTTTGCACAAAACTTAACTAGGGTATGTGAACAAATAGGCTGACTGGCTGGAATGAGGGTATGGGAAAGCTTTCTGAAATTGTCTGCCAGGACATGTCTCTCCTAGAGAAGGGAATTACAGTTGGGTTATAACTTGATTGTATTAGAAAAATAAACCACATACAGAGACTTAGCACTTTATAATATTAAAGTAATTTCACTTGCATCAAGCTTATTGGAGCTAAAAGTAATCCCGTAGATATTTTTTATTTCCATTTTAGAGAGTACAG
Source organism: Homo sapiens (assembly GCF_000001405.40). Classification (NCBI taxonomy): domain Eukaryota; kingdom Metazoa; phylum Chordata; class Mammalia; order Primates; family Hominidae; genus Homo; species Homo sapiens. The sequence goes on from NC_000010.11 coordinate 112,459,943, forward strand.
AGTGAGTCTCAGAAAAAAAGAGAAAAATTTCTTGCCCAGGATCCCATAACCATTGAGTGAGATAGTAGCTTTCGGTTTGGAATCAGTAGTCCTAACTTCAAATATTTATTCCATTACACCTGATTCTCCATGCTACTGAAAGTACAATTTTTTAAAGGATTGTTTTTGCCCAGTTTTAGGAAGTGTTTTTGTATATAACTTTTAAATTGTATTAACAAATCAGTTATTCCCAATTTATTAAAGTTATGACTTCACAGATTCCTTAGGCCAGCACAAATCTGCTCTTGTTGACTTAGTCTCTCCTAAAGGGCAACATAATTTTTAGTCTCTCTTAAAAATAGGTCTCTCTTAAAAATGGTGTCTCTTAATAATTAGGTATTCTATCAGATTATATGTTTCTAGATAGCCTGGAATCAATGGCTTAAAGTGGTTTCAAACCCACCAAAGAATGATATGCTCTTTTGCCTTATGTTCTGTAATCTGATTGACCAGAAAGGAAAAAGGCATATAAAAATTGAAGTTTTAAAATATTAAATTTATTTGTATCTTTAGCAATTTCTTGGTATTATTGTTTGTTTCAGATGAAAAGAAACAGATGGTTGCAAATGTGGAGAAACAGCTTGAAGAAGCGAAAGAACTGGTATGTACAGACAGTAATGTATTTTAACACACAGCCAGAGCCGTTTAAGCTAATGTCTTCCTCTAGCCTGTTTTATACATTGTGGAAATGTGAAGCATTGCTGATTAGCATTTTATAATTCAGAATTTGTCAATTTTTAAATTGAAGAGATTTTAGTAGCTTCTTGGGATTTTATTCTTCTTAGCAAAGGTGATTCATTAAATATCTATCTCTAATTTTTATTCCATCATAATACGTTTCATAACAGCTGTAAATAGCTAATGCTGGATAAAGGCATACTGGGTACCAGACACTGGATTAAAAATACTACTTGCTTTATAATATTTAATTTTCTCAATAACCATGTGAGACAATATTATTTGTCAAAAATGATAAAGGGTCTGATATTTTCTGCTATTTGCAAACTCTCAAGTGACTCACTTGCTTGCTACAGTTTCATAGATGACTATGTCTCATGTCTTCTCTAAGACATGAGACTCCTAGGTCAGAGACAAAAGATTTTTATTACCCACAACAATAGCAGTTGCCTGTGTTTCAGGCTGGTTGCATCAGTTCCTGAGTCTGAATTCCCACAGTGGTGATGCAGGCAGGCCTAGATGTATGCTTACAACAGCATTAGAATACCTTAGAGGAATAGAACGAGAGCCTAGAAAATGTGCCACTTTCTAGCAGCCTATAAGCAAGGCTGTTGTTTGTCCCAGGGGGACACATTATTTCCTCTCCCTGAGCTCCCCGCAAACCCAATCCTGAAAAATGGCTCAGACAGAGTCCTCAGGACCTTGTATTCTTGGCAGACCAGGCAAGACATGTAGCAGCATGAGAGAACCTTGGCCAAGTGATTCTCAACACTGTTACCACTCCCATTTTGTGGATGGGGAGACTGAGACTTAGAAAGATGAAGTAACTTGTTGGAGGTCCCAAATCCTGTTAAGTGATAGAGTAAATATTTGTTCCTAGTTTGCTAAACTCAGAGCTCTGGTTCATCTACTACTTTTTTATATAAATACATCAGTAAAACATGGAGCAAAAAAGGACTAAAAGTATTGTGTCTTAATTTGGGGTTTTAAAAGCTAACTACTACAAGCATGACTCAACTTGTTACTATGCATTGTGGCCCTATGAGTGTGTTGCTTTTCTATTTTATTTTATTTTTGATATAAAGTCTCACTCTGTCACCCAGACTGGAGTACAGTGGCACAATCTCGGCTCACTGCAACCTCTGCCTCTTGGGCTCAAGCGATTCTCATGCCTCAGTGCTCCAAGTAGCTGGGATTACAGAGCAATACCACACTTGGCTACTTTGTTTGTTTGTTTGTAGAGAGGGGGTTTTGTCATGTTAGCCAGGCTGGTCTTGAACTCGTGCCCTCAAGTGATCTGCCCGCCTTGGCCTCCCAGAGTGCTGGGATTACAGGCATGCACCACCATGCCTGGCTAATTTTGTATTTTCAGTAGAGACAGGGTTTCACCATGTTAGTCAGGCTGGTCTTGAACTCCTGACCGCAGGTGATCCACCCACCTTGGCCTCCCAAAGTGCTGGGATTACAGGCCTGAGCCACTGTGCGCAGCCGATACTGCCCTTTTGATGAGGACCTTGGGAGAAAAACTCTTTTGATTTGACTATTGGGATTAATTGTGTTTCTGCTGACCATCTGATTTGTATTAGTCTCTTGGACACTACACATCTTGCAATGATCTTTTCTCCCACTCTGCACTGGCCACATAAATGTTGTGACAACATGGAACAAGTGCACATTAGCCTCATTCTTGGTTTCATTTTAAGTGCTTGTTGTGTGTTTCCTTTTTCTGTCTTACCTACTTTTAATTTAGTTTTAAATATCCATATAAAATATCTTCAACAAAAATATACTTAAGGCTCAGATTTTGGCTTGCAAGTATTTTTGCTGTTATTTTTCCAGATGATCCTGTTTACCTTGTTAGAACTAAATAATTGATGATCTCAGAGAGTTATTTTAAATAATTTTCTTGCTAAGTAATGATTTTATTTATTGGTGCTTCTCATTTATGTTGAGACATAATCATTTAAACTATCACTGTTTAAATCAAGGCTAATTAAAATTATCTTTTTTCTTTATAATAAATTGAAGCCTATTAATTGAAAGGTGATTGTGTGGTTTATCTGTATGCTACTGTAGTTATTCAGTCGCTAACACTGAATACAGGTTTTATTAGTGATAAGCTGGTAGGGTTCCGGAAGGAACTTATTAGAAAGCTTTAAAAGGTAAACTACATGGCAGCATTTTTGCATGTGATTTTAGCAGACATGGCCTGGGCCAATTTGTTGTTGTTACTGGTTTTTATTTATTTATTTATTTATTTATTTATTTATTTATTTATTTATTGAGACGGAGTCTCGCTCCATCGCCCAGGCTGGAGTGCAGTGGCACGATCTCGGCTCACTGCAACCTCTACCTCCCCAGTTCAAGCAATTCTCCTGTCTCAGCCTCCCGAGTAGCTGGGACTACAGGCACCCGCCACCACACCCAGCTAATGTTTGTATTTTTAGTAGAGACGGGATTTCACCTTGTTGGTCAGGCTAGTCTCAAACTCCTGACCTCAGGTGATCTACCTGCCTCGGCCTCCCGAAGTGCTGGGATTACAGGGGTGAGCCACTGCGCCTGGCCTGGTTTTTATTTTTTAATGGCAACTACAAGTAAGCCACTTCTGCTATCTTGTATAGTGCTTGCTGTATCTTCTTCATCACTTGCAATCATCGTTACTAGAGTTAATTTTAATCTAGCAATTATCAAGTAAGAGACACTGTTCTAAGTACATTATAAGAATTGCCTCATTTAGTTTTCACAGCTGCTCTGTGAAAAAGACACTATTTTGTAAGTGAGAAAACTAAGGCACAGAGACATTAAGAAACCTGTTCCAGATTCCAGGACTAATAAGTAGTAGAGCCTATGATGTCAACGTAAGAGTCTGGCTTCAAAGCCTATGCCTAAACCATTATAGTATTTCTGCATTGCTGCTGATTAAACTCTTCTGTGTTGTATCCAAAGTGTTATCTGATAGCAGGTTGTTAAAAAAAAAAAAAGCGCCTTGCTGTGATTTCATTAAGCTATATGTAATTTAGCATATTACTGTATCCATTTAATGCCATATAAATGTGGTTATAAAGTATCGGGAGTTAGGATGAAGGTAAAGATCACATGTTGGTTGGTATGTGATTTTCCTAATTACAAAACACCTGCCAGAATAAATATCACCAAATAAGGCTTGGCTGATGTTTCATGGATTACCCATGGGAAATAATAGCTTACTTTATCTTCCCATAGTTGTGGAGGTTAATGGTCAGAAGACAAGACCCGGTTGGATTGAATGATGGGCTATTCCAAGTATATTGAAATCAAATTATTAATAACGTTTGGGTTAATGTGTATCTTTTATTTTGTTTTATTTTATTTTTGAGATGGAGTCTTGCTCTCTCACCTAGACTGGAAGGAGTGCAGTGGTGCAATCTCAGCTCACTGCAACCTCTGCCTCCCAGGTTCAAGCTATTCTCCTGCCTCAGCCTTCTGAGTAGCTGGGATTACAGGTGCCCACCACCACGCCCAGCTAATTTGGTATTTTTGGTAGAGATGGGGTTTCGCCATGTTGCCCAAGCTGTTCTCAAACTCCTGACCTCAAGTGATCCACCCACCTTGGCCTCCCAAAGTGTTGGGATGATGGGCGTGAGCCACGGCGCCTGGCCAAATGTATATGTTTTAACAAAGCATGTACTTGAGCACAGTGTGTGTCACTTGGCAAGTACTCAGAATTGTTGAACTAAAGAAAAATTAAGTGTAAAAGTAGTTTCAGTGTTATTTGATCATTCAGCACCCTGAACCTGGTGCCTCAACTACAAAATGAGGAACTGGAATTAGATCCTTTCAGCCGTAAACATTTGTTCAAATAAGAATAACAGTGTGTTTTAAATCACATTTTTCTTTCCCTCTTCTAGCTTGAACAGATGGATTTGGAAGTCCGAGAGATACCACCCCAAAGTCGAGGGATGTACAGCAACAGAATGAGAAGCTACAAACAAGAAATGGGAAAACTCGAAACAGATTTTGTGAGTCAAATTCGACCCTTTGTCATATTTACTTTTTTTTAAAAATGTTTCCTCCTCATGCCTCAGTCAGCATTAAATGCACAGTCTTTTGGGCTCATGTAGAAGACAAGTAACAGCTTTCATTCTTTATGAGTTAGGGATCTAAAAAATGGTTATAGAGATAGCTAATGGTGGAATTTAAGGTATGTTGGATTAATGATTCACAAATAGATCCAAATCATGCGGCCCTTTGAGTCTGAATGGTATTTACTGATACTTAACATTTATTAAAATTTTGAAACTCAGTTTCTGGCCTTTCAGGGTTTGGAGCCTTTAAGAGGCAGCCTGTACATTTGCAGCTTCTGGACTTCAGGGGCTCATAGTCTCCTGAAAGCATATCTGTATTTTTGGATGCATGTTTCCATGTGTATTTTTCCCTGGGATAAACTCCATAGACTTTATTAGATTCTTAATAGGATGTATCATACCCTTCCCCCAAAAGATAAAAGAAACCACTTTCAATTGACAGTTTATATGTGATCCTTTTTATTAATTGCCCATGAGAATATGTAGCTGTCTCTTCCTATATATCTGGCTTTCAACCGTATCTGCTTTATAGCAAATTTAAGAATATAAATGTAAAGACATAATGTTAAAGTTGTTAGTAATTAGAAATTAATAGGAGTAGAAAAGATACAGCTGAGTAATTCCACTCCTGAGTATATGTCCAAAAACAAATTGAAAGCAGAGTCTCAGAGAGAGATCTGCACATCCATATTCATAGCAGCATTTTCACAATAGCAGAGAGGTGGAATCAACCTAAGCATCCATTGTTAAATAAATGGATACACAAAATGTGGTATATCCACACAATGGAATATTATTCAGCCTTAAAAAAGAAAGGAAATTCTGTCACATGCAACAACTTGAATGAACCTCGAAGACATTATGCTATGTGAAATAAGTCACTCACAAAGACAAATACTACATAATTCCACTGATATGAGGTATCTAGAGTAGTCAGATTCATAGAAACAGAAAGTAGAATGGTAGTTACCGGGGACTTGAGGGGAGGGAGAAATGGAGAGTTGTTTCATGGGCAAAGAGTTTCAGTTTTGCCAGACTGAAACTTACAAAAATTTCTGGAGATTGGTTACTCAACAATGTGAATATATTTAACACCACTGAACCATACACTTAAAAATGGTTAAAATGGTAAATTTTATATTATGTGATTTTACCGCAATTAAAAATAAAAAGATACAGATAAAAAGTATTTTAAAAACCCTGCTAATGATAAAAGAACAAAGAAGTTAACACAATAACAACTAACTGTTCTTATAGGCTGGCACAGGAAATTAGGTTTTCAGCAAATTAATGAAATTTCATATGACTCACTTTAAAAAATAAAAAGATACAGGCGAGGAAAGATCTGAGCCTTACCTATGAGCAACAGAAGTCATGTGTTGGGTGATAAATCAGCTGTATTTCTGAATCTGGGGCCCAAATTCACAAGGAAAGTCAAGAATGTTTAAGGATCTTTCCGCCTCAGTTCTTGCCTTAGGTGTTTTGCTTTTGGAGGGTACAGCTTCTAGGCTACCGTATACCTTTCCACTGTAAGACCAACATCAATGGACCTGGTAGAAATCCCTCCTAGAGTCTGAAAATAGGGTGATTTGCAGTTATGCATGCTTGTTTTGTATGTGAATGGCTACTATCTTGATAAGTTGAGGTGGATCACATCAATAACTCTGATGCCTTTTAGACTGGGCTCCTATTAATTAAAAAAAATTAAAACTCATTATGGGCCCAAATTGATAAAATAAATATATATGCCTAAGTATGTGCCCTGTACTAGGGTAACATTTTCTCCAACTGCTTTGTGAAAGGCTAGTTTTTCTCAGTAAAAATATGAAATATAGTGAGAAAATTGGATTAAGAACTTGACAACTCAAATTTATACTGAGAAAATTCTACCTGAAGTTAAAGTTTCAATATAAATGATGAAAGCAAAATAACATGTTTATAAAGATTGTTTTAGCTTGCTTACCTCATTTTTAATGGAACTCTTTTCTGAAGATTTTTCTTATGGGTTCTAGAAAAACAAAGGGTATGAATTTGCTAGGGCTGTGACAACAAAGTACCACAGACTGGGTGGCTTAAACAACAGAAATTTGTTTTCTCACAATTCTGGAAACTGAAGTTGGAGTTCAAGGTGTTGGCAGGTGTGGTTCCTTTTGAGGCCTCTCTCCTTGATCTTTAGATGGCTTCTCCCCATGTCTTCATATGTCTTCCCTCTTCACGTTTCCATGTCCCTATTTCCTCATATAAGACATCAGTCGTATTGAATTAAGGCCCACACGAATGACATCATTGTAATGTAATCACCTCTTTGAAGACCCTATCTCTGGACAGTCACATTCTCAGTATGGGAATCAAGACTTCAGCATATGAATTTAGAAGAGACACAATTCAGTTCATAATGTTTAGGTCAGTTTTAATCTTTTATTCTTAATTTTTTTTTCAGAAATTAAATTATTTCTGTGGCTTATAAGTCAGCTAACCCAACCTTTAGTCTTTTTTGTTTCTCAAAGAGTACAATACTGGGCAAAGTCCTTTAGGTATTTGGAAATTGTATACTTGGATAAGTGTTCCTTTCTGGGCTATATTTTCTATTATAAAGAAAAATGGAACCAACAACTATGAAACTAAAAATTTATTCTCTAGGCCAGGGATGTCCAATTTTTTAGCTTACCTGGGCCACATTGGAAGAAGAATTGTCTTGGGCTACACATAAAATATCCTAACACTGATGATAGCTGATGAGCTAAAAAAAAAAATAGCAAAAAACCTCATAATATTTTAGGAAAGTTTATTAATTTGTGTTGGGCTGCAAAAAGCCATCCTGGGCTGCCTGCAGCCTGCTGGCCATGGGTTGGACTAGCTTGATATAGGCTATCATTAACAATTCATGTATTTATATGTATATTTGCTACCACAGCTTTCTTCTACCATGTTAGGAAACATCTTTCACCACCACTACTTCTATTGAATAGGGATTTACAGTTTGTAAATTACTTTAACATACATTATTTCATTTCATTGTGTGAAGAATAGACAGAGCAGGTATGGATTACTATCCTCATTTACACATGATAGAACAAAGAGGCTTAGATTAATTATAGATTTCATTCAACAAGAGTTTCTTGAGTACTATGGTGTGTCAGGCACTGTCCGAGGTGCTAGAATGCAGCAGTGGTGAACAAGATAAAGTTCTACTTGTCATATAGTTTAAATTATAGTGGGGGAAAAAATCTAGTGGGAAAGACAACAAACAAATACATACACATTATAATTTCAGGTAGAGATACATTATGTAAAGTGAATAAATGAATAGAGAGTGACCAGCAGGGTGATTGTGGCCATTTGTGCTTGGGTGTTCTCTACAGTTGAAGAGAGAGGAAGAAACGTGTGTGTGCTTGCAGAGAAAGCAGAGGAAAGATCTGTGAGGGCATTGTAGGCCGTGGTAAAGACCTTGGCTTTTACTCTGGGTTGCAGAAAGGCCACCGGAGGACTTTGAGAAGTGAACGGTCCTTCGACTCCTGTTTTACAGCTTTGTTCATTTTACCACACCATCTCACATGGTATATTTGAATAGAGTGTAGAAAATATTGACATAACTCCCTTGTTTTAATCATTATTTCTTTTATAGATCTAATCTTTTTTTTAAATGAATGGAGAATATTTAAAGATATTTGATAACTTTCGTATGCTGACATGCCATACCTAGAAATACTGAATTTCAAGAAAGGCTAGCAGAGATGGTTCTTCAGCTCTGTGTTTATTGCAGTTGAAGCCGTTCTTCTGTTCCACTTGTAATAGCAAGACTTCAGGGGAGCATTTATGCCCATGGGGAGGGGCAGAGGACAACTCAATACTGTTTTCTTTGACTCGTTTGTCCACTTGCTTTCTTTCCCCAGCCGTTCCTTCTCCTCTGCCTACCCTTTGGATGCCTGGATCCTTCAGGCTTCCTCAGTACTTACTCCCATAACCTCCTCTGTGTGTTATCATCTTTCCTGTTCCTTCCATGGCTGCGTCTATACTGACTGGTATTTGTAGCCCAGACCTCTTGGTAGTTCTGGGTTTATATTTCTTACTATTTATCCCAGAGTCTTTTAAACACACTCAGATTCAACAAGTACTGGTTACTTCAGAGTTATCGTTAATTTTTCAACCTTGTACATCCACTGGGTCACTGAGAATTAGCAGATCTACCACCTAAATATCTCTACTACTGAAAGCCTTCATGGTTTCTCTATCTGGATAATTGTAGTACTATTTCCTGATTCTGTTCTTCTGTCATTCAAAACCCTGTACACCATTCCATAATTAGCTTTTGAATACACTGATCTGTATATGTCATGCCATTACACAAAATCCCAGAGTCCTCATTGCCTGCTGAATAAAATCCAGGTCAATTTCTAGGTATTCTATCTTGTTCCATTGCTTCTTCACGTGTCTAATAATTTTATTATAGTATACTTGCTGTTATGGCCTCTATGTTGTTATAAAGCCTAGATTTTATTGTTATTTTTTAGAACAGCACAGCTCAACCTTTTTTTTCATTATCACTTCTCCAAGGATACTTTTTAGACATGTTTTTCCTAATCGTCCCACTCCTTCCCCTATTAAATTTTAATACCACTGATATTCTGTATCTGTACATCTGTTCATGTACTATGGCTCCTTGGAGGGCCACACATCTTTGTAATATCTTAAGATTCATCATACTCCCAAGAACTAATTTTTGCCTCTGTGGACATGATATTGCTCCTGTTGACAATGCATGCTTTAGACCATGAGAGGCTTTATTCAGACAGTTAGATAATTTACTGGCAAATCAGATTGGTCCTTTCAGAGTTTATTGTTAGACTTTTTAGAACACATTTTGAGTAGCCCTACTTTTATGATTTGGCCTTTCTTGGGTTCCTTTTGAATGACTGTAGTGTTTAATAAGTGCTCTCTCGCCTATGTTTGTTTGGAATTCCATCTCTCTGCCCTGGGCAACCTCTAAAATATCCATTCAATCCATTACTCCCCAGTAGCTGTTCTCTGTGAGACCTCGTGGGGTCCCATCCTCTACATATGCAAGTTCATTTTCAGCCAAAGACTTAGGGGACCACTTTCTCGATTTCTGGAGCTCCTTCTCTTTGTGGCTGCTTCTCACCATTACCCTGCTATGTTTGATGATGCATCCCAGCAGTCCTAACTCCAGTGTCTGCCTCCTAAGTTCAGTGACTTGCTGCACTCCCTGTGGGCTCCCCCTCCGTGTGCTGCAATTGGGAAAGTGCCTCCAGGCTGAGAGCCATGCGGGGCTCATTTCACATGTTTTTCTTCTTTAAGGAATTACGCTCCTCCACTGCTTGTTGTCCAACTTTGGAAAATAATTGATTCATCCATTTTGTCCGTGTTCACAGTTGTGTAGAACAGGAGGGTTTGTCTTGTACCAATTACCCCACCATGGCAGGAAGTGAAAGTTCAGTGTAGATTTAATGTTTCTTAATTCCTTAACAGATAATTTTATATATCAGAGAATGAAAAATAATAGTCTGCTGTTTACTGTTGAAACTTTCCCTCTCAAGGGTTGAGTCGAAGTATGCTAAAATGAATTGACACTGGACAGATTAATGGGAAAAACCAAACAAAATGTATTGTGTGCGTAAGTACAGGGGCCACACGCAAAGTAAGAGACTCAAAGTAGGGCCACATAACTGAAGCTTTTATACTGTAGTGCAGAAAAGCATAGAGATTTGGAGTGTGGGAACAGGTTTTCAGAGCAAGAACGGAGGAAGGCAAGCAAAGGTTGTCTTGGCTCTGCTGTTGGAGCCTGGCAGGCAGCAGCCCCCTGGAAGAATGGATGGGAGCCTGTGGAAAAGCTTCCTCTGTTACCTTTAAAAGTGCTGGGTGCGGTGGTTCATGCCTGTAATCCCAGCACTTTGGGAGGCCGAGGCAGGCGGATCACTTGAAGTCAGGAGTTCACATACCAATGTTCACATACCAGCCTGGCCAACATGGTGAAACCCCATCTCTACTAAAATTGCAAAAATTAGCCGGGCATGGTGGCGCACACTTGTAATCCCAGCTACTTGGGAGGCCGAGGCCTCCCTTGAACCCAGGAGGCCGAAGTTGCAGTGAGCTGAGATCGCACCACTAAACTCCAGCCTGGGCAACAGAGCGAGAGACTCAGTGTCAAAAAATAAAATAAAATAAAAAAGCATCAGACTTTCAGTCTCCCTTTCCTGTGAGTTCATCTTTCCAAGATCTGGGTAAAGCCAATACGGGTCAGGGTGGGGGCGCTCAGAGAAAGCCTGTTTTGCATTTGCTGTTTACTTAACTAATATTGATTTCCTCTACAAATGCAAATCTCCAGCTTTTCAGAGCCATTTTTGTGTTTGTAGCCCTTCTGAATAGCTATCTCAAAAATACACCAAAGAAGTATATTTTGGGGTGGCATATTTTGGTTTTCTTCATTACGGTGGCTTATCATAGAATATAATTTGTAGCTGACTAAATACCTGTTTAAAGGATTTTAAAATTCATGCGGTAATTTGCAGTCAGCATCGTGTGTGTGGGAGGGTGTTAAGGAAAGTTAGGGGTCATACTTACGTGCCCATTTATACTGTTACCATTCCTGATTATTCTGTTCACTTACCTAATTTCATTCTTATTGATTTTTTTTTTTTTTTTTTTTTGCTTCTTACAGCCTATAATTGTTCATTTTTGGCTTCTTGTGTAGCCTCAAAGGAAGTTAGGAATATTAGGTTCAGAAGAGGTCAAATCTAATCACCTTATGTTTTAGATGAAGAAATGGAGGACTGAGGAGACCAAATGACTTAAAGTCACACTGCTTTCTGGAGCCAGAATCAGAATCGAGTAACTAAGCACCCGTTTTAATGTTCTCTTCACAATCCTTTGCAACCTGCCCGCCTTTGAGTTTCCATAAAAATGTATTTAATAGTCTGTTTAGGTATTTGAAAACAACTTTTAAAAAAAAAATTAGAATTCCTGTAAGCTGTTCTTGTAATTTCTTCCTTCAACATTGATATGAGGTTAGCTAGGGCCTTCTCATGTCAGAATGTTCCAGGAAAATGAACCAGCCAAGAGGAAAAAAAAAAATGTAGTTAAGGAATTTTTCAAGTTTAAGATTAGTTTGCTTCTTAAGAAAATTAAAGCAAATTTTAAAACCCTAAATTTATACAAACAAAAAACCCTCCAAAATTGTATAAAATGTTTGACCAAGTCTCAGTAAATAGAAAAAGAAAGAAACAAGTAAGTGGTGTGCTGGTATAAGGTTCTAAAGGTTATGAGGACATGGTGTGTTGAATGCTTTTTCACGTCTCTGATATTGTGCTATGATGCTAGCACCATCTTGTGGTTGATTTATATAGTTGCATATTTCTTTTTTCTTGTAACAAAGCTGAACTTCCTTTAAGACATACACAGAAGGATTTGGGGTGAATGATTAGATCGTAATGAATGTTAAAAAGAGAGCTTTCTAGCCCCAGTCTCAAGTTCACTTCTATCCCAGGTCAGTGGTGCCCGAATGCTGCCTTTTCCTGTTTGGCAGGCTATGTGATGTGATTGTTAGACCAGCTCCTAGTGCAGAGCTGTCTACATCAGAGAATGGCACTTCTATTGACAGTCTCAGCAGTGAGGCTGAATGGTCCTAGAAATCCAACTACCTGCAGACTATCGGAGTTGGTCCCTTAGGTCAGGGTTCAAAGGATGTTGTGGAACAGCTTGAAGCTTTTACTGATACTACCTGTACTCTCTCTTTTCATAGGTGAATGGACAACTTGAGTATCTGAGTTTATGAGTAAAGCCAGTACCCATATTCTTTTTTTTTTTTTTTTAACTCGAGATAGACTAAAGAAGTTCAAATGAGAAAGGTGAATTTAAATTTTGATTTTTGTTGAAAGGTCAAGAACGTATGCTTCTGTTTACATTTTATCTTTTCTGTACTTACAGCTTCCTGGGATATTTTACTTCTATTTCTGTGGAAGCTATGGGAAACCATGAAAACATGTTTTAGAGGTTTGGATAGTCTCAGTGGTAATATGTGGTAACTGTAGCATCAGCTAATCCTTCTTACAGGACCATAAGTGCATTCTAAAAAGAAATGAGAAAGGCTAGACAGAGCCACCTCAGAAAAGAAAATTTTCTTTACTGTGTACACTTAATGAATATGCCTGCTACTTTAAAAAATTACATTTGTTGTTTGATTCTGTGTAAATATAATACCTGGTCGTTATAGAATATTCTGAAAATGAAGAAGAGTAAAAAAGAAAAAAAAAATCACCAGTAGCCCTATTTTTGATTTTGGTTTGTTTTTTCCAATCTTCTCTCCCCTTCTCCCTTGCATAATTTATTGTTTCATTTTACATAACAATGAGGTCATTTGATCCACTTTTTTTTTTTTTTTTTTCTTTTTGAGACAGAGTCTTGCTCTGTTGCCAGGCTGGAGTGCAGTGGCATGATCTCAGCTCATTGCAACCTCCACCTCCTGGTTTTAAGAGATTCTCCTGCCTCAGCCTCCCGAGTAGCTAGGACTACCGGAGCGCGCCACCATGTCCAGCTAATTTTTGTATTTTTAGTAGAGACGGGGTTTCACCATGTGGTTGGCCAGGATGGTCTTGATCTCTTGACCTCGTGATCCACCCACCTTGGCCTCCCAAAGTGCTAGGATTACAGGTGTGAGCCACTGCGCCCGTCCCACATTTTTTTTTAAATAAAAGATTGTAACATTAGTATTTTCCATTTCTATATATTCTTGATCATTTTAATGTGTGCATAATATTTCCTTGAGTGATGTTAGCTAACCTTTTGTTGAATCCTAATATATTTCCATTTACCTCCTCTATCATTTATTGTGCTGCAGTGAACATATTTGAACAGGATTATTTGATTAGGATCGTCTCTCAGAAGGCAGATGACCAAGTGAAAGGGTATCAACAGTTTTATGGCTCTTAATAAAATATGCCTGGAACTACATTTTTACTGCGGCTCATCAAATCACTTGTGTTCTTTCTCCATATTTTCTCTGTGTTAGAATGTGACTTTAAAAATAAAAATCTTAGGTAGACCAGGACTAAGTACTTTACATGCATTACTCATTTAATCCACAAACAATTATATAAGAAATATACTGTTGTTTATGATTTTGGGGATTTTATAGACTCTAGAATTAAATACAACTGAGATTCCTTTTTCTAAGATACTCTTCCATGGAAGATACATTTAATGTTAGTAATGCTAGCAAATTTGCATGGTTCTGAGAATCTGGCCTTACCCTAAATCCACTTTACATACTTAACATTTCTTAATCAGAAGCTGAAGAATATTTCTTTTAGTTATTTGGATATGACTATGACTTTTTTTTTTTTGAGATGGAGTCTCGCTCTGTCGCCTAGGGTGGAGTGCAGTGGTGTGATCTCAGCTCACTGCAAGCTCCGCCTCCCGGGCTCATGCCATTCTCCTGCCTCAGCCTCCCGAGTAGCTGGGACCACAGGTGCCCGCCACCACACCTGGCTAATTTTTTTTTTGTATTTTTAGTAGAGACGAGGTTTCACTGTGGTCTCGATCTCCTGACCTTGTGATCTGCCCTCCTTGGCCTCCCAAAGTGCTGGGATTACAGGCGTGAGCCACCACGCCCGGCAACTATGACCTTTAAGAGAGAAAGTACTACTCTATTTATATATTATGTGCATGTGCATGCCCATTATTTTCCTTGTTTGCATTCATTTTCTTTTCTTCATTCTTTCCTTTTTTTTTTTTTTTAAGACAGGGCCTTGCTCTGTCACCCAGGCTAGTGTACAGTGGTGCAATCACAGATCACAGTAGCCTTGACCTCCTAGGCTCAAGTGATCTTCTCACCTTATCCTCCAGAGTAGGTGGGACTATTGGTGCAAGCCACCACAGCTGGCTATTTTTAAAATCTCTTTGTAGAGACAGGGTCTCCCTATGTCACCCAGGCTGGTCTCTGACTCCTGGACTCAAGTGATCCTCCAGTCTCAGCCTCCCAAAGTGCTGGGATTACAGGCATGAGCCACCATGCCTGGCCTGCATTCAGTTTCTTAAAAAGTTGGTTCTCCATTACTAAGGCTCTGCTAGGTGAAATTGTTAGAAAATCATCATGCAGTTGCCCTTCATTGTTTATAGGATTCTTATTCCTGGCCTTGACCTTGGTCAGTCTTCTCACAGAGCTCCCATTAATTTCAAAGGCCAACACAGGAAAGGGACCCATCAGGTAGAGAATTTGCCAAAAATCTATCCTCACCTGTTGTCAGTGCCTTCTGGGAGCTGATGTGTGCTTGTGTATCACCCTGCTCTCCTTATCCAAGAGCCTATAAAAGGTTCGTGTTCTTGACCCTTCTCATCATGTACACTTGATTAGAATAATATTATGTGTTAAAGATTTTATTGTTAGTCCTATGTGCTGAATTTGAGATTGGTCTTAATAGATTTTCTTCACTTTGGAAACTCTGGCACTTTCTTCCAATGTGACTATTTTTATGATGACAACTTTGGGCTTGAAACTGTTTGCCTTTAGCTTCTGTAGAATTTTATAACCTGTAAAATAACTTCCATGTTCACTGTAGTCATTGTCAAAGTTGAAGCATGTCCTGATACAGATATGTGTGTGCATATGCACCCACACAGTCATGTGCATGTAAATTCTTTTTAAGTTTATGTCAGATTCCTGATTGAATTCTGCAATTTAATTGCAGTTTTTTTCCTACCTTACTTAACAATGATTTTTCATCACTGGAATTATAGCTATGTTACCATTTTATGGCAGAAGGAGCAAATTTTTGCTATGACTTTATGGCATTTCTAGTTGTTTGAGTTTTCCAAGTAGATGAAGTATATATTTTCCAGAAACAGTGCTAACATGCTTTATATATGTATATAGTTTATTGGTTTTAATACAGTTGTTTCTGTTTATAATCCTTCTTAAATGACTTAAATTATTATCAACTTTGTTTGCTTGTTTTGCCCAGTGACTTTGATCTTACCTAGGAAATAAAGAGCAAAGATAAAACCAGATAAGATTTTGAGAGATTAATTATAAACTGATGACAAATTTGGCTTTGTTAGATGGCACTAGATGGC
Source organism: Homo sapiens (assembly GCF_000001405.40). Lineage (NCBI taxonomy): Eukaryota > Metazoa > Chordata > Mammalia > Primates > Hominidae > Homo > Homo sapiens. The sequence continues at coordinate 112,475,809 of NC_000010.11, forward strand.
ACTGTTTGTTTGCAGAGTGCCATTTTTTAAAAAAGAAACTATGGTAGTAACTGAAATTACTGCCTCATGAATAAAATATTTCTGATGGGATTTGCATTTCTATATTGGCTGAAGACACTGTGTTGAATGTTTTATTAACCAGCCCAGTGCAACTGTCAGCCTATTAAAGAGATCCAATGGTCCCTGTTTAGATAAATAAGCTAAATAAATCCAATTCGTCAAATTGTATTTCTGGCTGTTTATTTTCCATTCTTTTGATGTACAGTTTATTTTAAGTTAAAGCCACATCGGTTTAAAAATTAATGGAAAAATGTTATTTGGTGTTTGGAACATGAAGAAGCTAATTGCCATCGTCAAAAAGCCAGCTCTGTTTTAATGTTAAATTGTTTGCTCATAAATAGTAAACTTTTTAGTGGTTGCTTACAGACTGTCCCATGGTCAACAGTAGTCCAATATTCTGCAAATATATGGCCAGAAACTGTGTTATCAAGACTAGTGGAATCTCCGTTTAATTTCCCTGGGAAAAGTACTGCATAGTTTAAAAGACAAACCTTTTCCTTGGCTTTCCCTTTGAGTCACTCTCATTTTTCATGTATGGTATACTATTACTTGGAAAGAAAAGTAGCTAATTGATTTTTAAATGAAATGCCTTTTATGAACGTACTTGCTAGTCACTCTCCTGGTAGAATATCAAACATTAAAGAAGAAACAGTGATGCTGTGGTAGTGATGTTGCTGAAGGGAACAGAGGCCTTAAGGTGATGGCTCAGTATGGTAGTGATGTCCACATGTTCATTGTCCTCTTAAGGCTTACTTACGTTCTAGAATTCTTGAAACTCACAATTTAATACCACAAACTGAACTAGAAGATTTCATACTTTGGCCCTAGGGTTACAAAAGTATTTGAATAAAGTGTGTCAATTTTGTGCTTTGCCAAACTGAAGTAAGGTAGCAATTTGAAATGACACATCATGATTCCAGTGTCTCATTTCTTTTTTCATAAGTCTTCAGTTGCTTTCATACCATTCTTATTGGCTTTACCCAGTTCCACATTTGTGAGATGTGGAACAAAATTTAAAATGGGTTAGGCACTTTTGACTTAGCATATAGCTTTTAGGTGAGTTTAGCTGGTGGTGGTAAAGACTGAGCCAGATCTGATCTCTAGGGTGAAGATTTTTAAACTGTGTAATAGTGGTTGAGTTTTGCTATGTCAACTATTTTAAGCTTTCTTATACAAGAAGTTAAATTGGGACTAGAATAGATTTTGCCAGAGACTTTTCTGATGATTTCAAGTCCTCATAAACCTAGCAGAGAATGGACCATGTGTACAAATAGTCTCATTTTTTGCTTATATTGTTTTGTTTGACTTTGTGTCCTTTAGTTCCCAAAACTGGATGAACTATGTTTTAGGAGTAAAAACAAATAACAACTGTGCAGTCAAATTGTGCTTTTGGCTTTTCTTTTAAGAAGTTCATCAGATCATGGATTAAAAAGCCTTTGCTAGAAATGCCTCTGAAATGCTTAAGTGCGATCATATTGGGAAACCTCTAGAAACGTGACTCCATCCTCAGTGCATTTTATTAGTTCTTGAGGCTCCTCATCTTTGCAAATACACCAAAGCTATTACAGGTCAAGCTCCATCAAAGAAGATTCTAAGGAAATGTCCAAATTTTCTCATTCTCCATTTGGTTCTGTTAAGTATTATTTAAACAAGTTACCACTGTCTTGGACTTGGAAATGTACTGTGAAATGAAGACTTCTTTTATTAGTCATGAAGAATTTGACCTGCAATTGCATTATTAAAATGGAGAAAGAGTGTTAGATTTTATGCTTTGGAAAGTCACATTGCATGGCATTGGCCTTGGTGTGAAATGTCTGATTATAGAAATCAAATGAGTTCCTTAAAACTGTATTTTGTACTTTAAAACAAGGATGCCCTTTGTTAATCTCTTCTGAATTTTTTATCTGATACCTTTTGATTTTCATAATGGAGTATTGCATCTTTGCATATTGAATGACTGACTTTTTTGTTTCATTGTTTTCTTATTTTGACCTTTTTCTACAAACCTAGTCTACAAAAAATTCATCTGAAGTAAGGCTAGAGTTGTCTTACTTATGGAAATGTAATTTTTAAAGTAAAGCTTAGGAGAAAATTACTATCCTCATAGCTAGCATCTTGCAGATTTATATTCATTTTAGTTTCAGTGAAGTTTAAAATTTTTTACTTTTTTGAATGAATGTGGTTCAGTGCTAACCATTTCATCTTTGTATGATCCTGGGCTCCTAGTTGAATGTTCTATTTATACTTCAAAAATATTATGTATATATTATTAGATTGCTAGAAGTAGTGAATCCTATACTTTTCTAATATTGTGTGCAAGCGAAATTTGACCATACTACCAAAAGAGAAAGTGAAATAGTCAGAAAAGCCCAGGCAGTGTAGATTGGAGGCCTTGGACATGTGGCATATTCATTCTGTGCTTCAGTTTCCTTATCTGCAAATCTGGATTCTAATACCAACTCTGCCCACCTAATGGGAAAATGCGAGGGTCAAATAGATAATGTTAAAACACTTGGAGAACTGCACTGCTTTTTAGTCAGTGACTTTCCTGTGAACAAGTGGTAATGCTATAATTAAAGAGGTTAGAGGCTAACGTATCTCAAGGTCAGAAAATTTCTTAAATATCCTGAAAATGTAAACCCTCTTCTGCGTTGCTTCAGAGCGCTAACTGTGGGAGCGTACACAAAGGATTAAAATATGAAATCTTCCATCTCATTCTTGAATATGACCTTCTGAATTGGATAGCTTTTGTATTCTAGCACATTTTGTTTTGTAGAAAACATCTTAGAAATTAATCACTCTATGATAGTAGAGTCAGAATTAAAGGAAGAAGAAATATGATATTACATATTATTTTATATCATTTTATTATTGTATTATATTACTATTTAGAGTTATATTTGCACTGAGTTTTTATCTAGAGTTCATAATACACATTGGATTACTTTGGATTTCCTTCCCATTTCTTCCCTAGCTTCTAATAACTGACACACCCGGCAACATTTAGAAGTCACTATTGGCCGGGCGCGGTGGTTCACGCCTGTAATCCCAGCACTTTGGGAGGCCGAGACGGGCGGATCACAAGGTCAAGAGATCGAGACCATCCTGGCCAACATGGTGAAACCCTGTCTGTACTAAAAATACAAAAATTAGCCAGGCGTGGTGGCACGCGCCTGTAATCCCAGCTACTAGGGAGGCTGAGGCAGGAGAATCGCTTGAACCTGGGAGGCAGAGTTTGCAGTGAGCCAAGATTGCGCCACTGCACTCCAGCCTGGCAACAGAGCAAGACTCTGTCTCAAAAACAAAAACAAACAAACAAAAAGCCACTTTCTTTACTAGGCCGGACACTGGCCTAATATATACTATATTGAGAGGGAGAGGAGGAAGACTCTGTAGTACGGGGCTTTAGGCATGCTACTACTTTTGAATGAAAGGAAATTGGAAGGACTTAGACACTACCTCAGAACCAAGGACTTTCTAACTTTCTCTTGTTTCTCTCTCCCACCTTACCCCCAACCCCTGCTTCTGCCGCAGCACAGGGAGGGGTTCTCTCTGGAAGTTCCCTTATCTGATGAAAACTTCTTCCAAAGGAAATGCACTTGTCTTAAGATTCCCTTTCTCTCTGAATCTCATCAAATAACCAGGAAAAATCAACCACTTGAGAAGAGACTCAAAGTCCTCACCATGCCCAGACAGATTTTCATTTATTCTTCTGAGAGCTGCACCAAGAGATTACTTAAGAGACTGTTTTGGCATAAGACTACCATTAACAGTGCAGTTTCACCCCCCACCTTCCCGTAACTCATCCCATTCAACTTCTGAAAATAATCATTTACAAACTATTGTCTGATCTTTGGGCTCATTAAATTCCCCTAAATATTATTCACTACCTTTCAAAATTGTCCACTCCCCTCTGTCTTCGACCTCTCCCCTAGGAAGAGGGTGCATTTTAAACCTCAGCTATCTGGACCTTCTTTGAATCTCATATTCTATCTCATGTACACATTAATACATTTGTATGCCTTTTATCCAGTTAATCTGTCTATTGTCAGTTTATTTCAGTGGGATGACTCAATTATTGAATCTTCAGAGCATAAATTTAAACTTTTCTAAAAGTATCTGTTAAATATTGTCATTCATATTGATAAAGTATTGACTTTAGCGTACATACCTAAAGACAGCAAGAAAATAGCCCTATAATTTAAAAGTTCCAAGTATTGTTACATACTGAGAACTTGGCCTAGAGTATACACACACATAGAAGGCAGTGTAATACACAGCTAGAAATAATATGGTAGAAACGAAAATGACTTAAATCAGGCTCTCATTAGTAAAACAAATAATATTAAACAAATGTCAAACTAAAGAACAAATGAGGAAGCTGAAGCTAAGAACTTTCGAGCTGATGGTGTTTTAGTCACTTCAATAAAGTCAGTTTTAATTTTGGTGGTTCTTAACAATTTTTTGTTATTGTTTTGATATAGATTACTATAAACAACTTACATAGTGCAAGTGGCCAAAAGATGAATAAGACAAATTTTTCAGGGAGCTTGTTGCCTTAATAATTACAATACTGTGGTAAGCACAATTACAGAGGTACAGATGGGATCGTACGTGGAAACAGGGAGGGTCATTCAACCCATATGTGTGTGTGTGCATGTGCATGTGCATGTGCGTGTAGGCATGCATGCGTGTGTAGGAAGTGAGGGTTTTGAGGAAGGCACCCTCTGGGAGGTGATATCCAAACTGAGACTTGGAGGATAAGGAGGAATTTGAGAGAAGCAGGGTGTAGTCAGGTTGAACAACATGAACAAAGAATTTTGGGGAGGGATAGTGGAAGGGAGGAAGGGGAGGACTGGAGTGTTTGAAATTGCTCCAGGTGTAAAATATAGGGCTAGAGACTTGATTCTTATACTTTGCTATACATTAGAATCTGAGGATCTTAAAAAGGTTCTGATGCCCAGCTCCCACTCCCAGATGTTGTGATTTAATTGGCATGGGGTGCAACTTGGGCATCAGAAGGTTTTTCTAAATCTCAGGTGATCCTCTATGCAGCAGAGTTTAGGAAATACTGAGCCAGAGTATGGAGAACTGAGCCAGAGAGCTTGAGAAAGCCTTATTGGTTAAGTTGAGCAGCTCAGCCTTTATCTCATTTAGGATTAGACGCTATTGAAAGGTTACTTGTGCTGGGTAATATGGTGGCTTTATATTTAATGAAGCACCTGAAACAATGAAGCTTTTTCTTCCATATGGGTTGCAGTGCCATTTTATTTTATTTTTATTTTTCTCCTTGAATCTTTAATGTTATTGTTTTAAATAAAAAATTTAAAGTTGGCAAAATCCAGTATTTTACATTTATTCTGTATCAAACTATTTTAAAAGTTAATTTCCTTTCAGTGTAAAGTTAGGTGTTAGTTGGGGAAAACAGAGAAGCCGCGACTGAATAATGTTTCTGCTTAGGTGGCAAAATGAGTACTTTAAATTTTCAATTAAGCTTAACAAGAAAACAAATCCTCAGTCTTTGATAGCATACGGACTGTCTCTTTGGCCTACCTTAAGCCAATGCCAATGGAATGTCTTCATATGAAGTTTTGTTTTCAAATTTGCAGTCTAACTGCTTTGGAAATAGGTATATTAACTCCCTGGTAAGAAGGGAAATATGGTTATAAAAGTCTTGTATATGTATGTTGTTTCTGCATTTAGTAGGAGACACTATATATGTCCATTTTTTTTCTTCACCCTGTGAAGTCTTGTAAGGCTGATTTTAACTTAATTTTGTACAAGAATTGTCAAGAAATTGCTAGTAATCTGTAATCAGAGAAAAAGAAGTAAGGATGTGATGGATAAATAGGATTCTGTTATGGCCAGCATCTTCATTGATCTTAGCAGAATTGCTCTTTGCCTCCCCAGTGTCTGTATTTTCTCTTGGCAGTGAGCCGAGTGAATTTGGAACAGAAAGAAAGAGAGAGAAAATCTGCTTGGTTCCAAATGATGATAGCTGTGCATTGGTGTGGGGAAAATAACGTACAACTTGATAGTACAATTACTAGAGGATTTCTTGTATCTTGTTTAGGGGGAAAATTGAAGTTCCTTTTGTGGCTAGATTGGAAAATTTCTAGCTTAACATAACCCGTAACTTATGATATCAGTTTGAATGATCATCATATCAAGGGATAGAATTTTTAATTAGGAAATTACTTTTAAAAACTATTTCTGAATAGTAGTCAGGAAGACTTAGAAAAAAATACTATCCTGTGTCTTAAACAATTGCTATTTTAAAACCTGTTATATTTCTTAAAGCAAAATAATTGTTATTTTCTCAGTTTTTTAACATAATATATTGATGAAAGAGTTTTGGTTCATAAGTATATTATTTTGCTATGGACTTTGTAATCAGAGAGGTTGTCCTTATGAAAGTGTGTAATTTCAAAATGTTTTCATCATATAAATTTACTTCTTTTAAGCAAATTGTTGTACCCTCAGGTGGATTCTGAGGATATAATCTTTCTATGTGTCTAGAAGTAGAGATCTAGGGTGAAGTTTTTGTCAGTGCATTTTATATCTGAGAGGGCTTTCTCCCTACTCTGTTTAGAGAACTGCCAGAGTAGTAAAATTGTGCTTTCTAATTCGAATGAAAAATGGCCGTAGATGGCACTGTGGCTCACACTAATATTTAAAATATACCATATTTTGGCATTTTGTGAGAAAAATTTCCAAGACCAAATTTATTTAAAATAGTCTCTTTGCATTAAGAATTTGCTTTTCACTCTGAAAAGGCATTCTTTTTAACCCAGTAAAATTCAAAATGCGAACTGTATTTTTAAAATATTAGCAAGCAATATTTTATAATAGATTATGAGCAGTTGTATTTCTTGTGCCCTTGGTAATGTATTTCAAAGCTGGGTCTCTTTTAATACTATTTCTACAAAATCTTTTTACATAGGGATGACACATAGAAAGTGAAAATTAAATTATGCATATGCCCATGCTTCTCATTCTTACCTCCAAGAAAGCATCGCTGAAACCTTGCCACTAACTCAAGGTATTCTGTCTTTTGAATTCTGTCGTGACTGGGGCTAAACAACTGTCACTGGCAAGTGACAAGAGGCACAGACAGCAGGGGAAATAAAAAGAGAGAAAAGAAGTAGGCGTAGGAGAAAATAAAAGCCTAAGAGATGGGGAGGAAAAATACCCAGTATCTTCCAGGAGGGTAAGGATGCTGGAAGCAACTGTCTCGGGTGCCAGTTTGTTGGTGCTCAAGCAACGATCTGCCTACTCCTGCTATATCCAGATGCTTTTAATGTCTTTTTTGGAATCTAGAAAGTACTAAGAAATGTCTCAAAGTACAGACTGATGTTATCATTACATTTAAATTTGCCTAAAGAATTCTGCCAGTTCTCCAATTAAAAAAAAAATCCATAAAGAGCTGCTCAGCTGCAGGGTTGTCACTGCATGCAAATAGTGAGGAAGATTGCACGACAATGAATATTAACCCAATTTTATTTTTGTAGTCCATGGCATAAACTCGAGTGTCTGATGCATTTCTACCTTGATATTGATACTTTGATAAAGTCAGGATGCTGCCTTTTAGGGCAGCAAAGATATGATTTTTCTTTTGACTGAACACTAGTGGTAATGGTAAGTCTTTCTCTTTGGTCTAGAACAGGATTCCTCAACCTCAGCACTATTGAAATTTGGGCCTGAATAATTCTTGTGAGGGGTGGTCCTGTGTCTTCTAGGAAGTTTAGCAACATCTCTGGCCTCTACCCACTAAATGCTAGCAGACTGCCACCCCAACCCCAGTCATGGCAATCAAAAGATGGCTCCAGATATTCCAAATATCCCGTTGGGGGCAAAATTATCCCTGGTTGAGAGCCACTCAGTCTAGAATGACGTTGATGGGGATTTCAGAGAGAGAGAGAGAGAGAATATTAACAATAACAATTAAAGGCATCTAATAGGCTGGATATCATGTTGTATATCATTTATTCTTCACAGCCAGTTTATAATTCAGACACAGGAGGTGATGAAAGCTAACACACTTTCCCAAGCTCTCCTAATTTGGATCCAGGACTAGAAATCAAGTCTGTCAGACTTTCAAGCTACTAAATCATGCTCCGTTATAGCATTTATATTTAAAGAGTCACTAAATTCTCTGCTCATCTAATGTGTAGAGTTTAAAGATGATTTGGTTCATAACCAACCTACACTTATTTCAAATAGGCTATAAACCAAGAGAGGCAGTGTGATGCAGCAGCAGGTACACTAGATTAAAGGTCAAGAGTTCTGACTTTGGGTGTCAGCTCTAATACTAACTAGCTGAGTGCCATTGGGCAAGTCATTGTGTCTCAGCTTCTTCGACTCTAAGATGCAGAGGTCAACCTCCATGCTTTCTAAGGTCAGTAAGCATTGTTGTTTAATGATGCTGAAAATTTGAATACTTGGCATTTTAAGGCTTGTGAAACTTTTCACATTGCTTTAAATCTATTCTATATCTAGTTTAGGACAATCAGTATGCTTTGGAATATTGGGCTCAACTTAATCTGTTAGGCTCATAATGATATGTCTTCCATGTCTACGATTTCATAACCATTATTCACCTCCTTTGTGAAGTCTTTTCTAGGACTTCATGATAGATTTTCTTTACTTTCCATTCACCTTGACACTTATATTTGTAACCTGTATCAACTTACACACTGTTTCCTTGTCAGAGCTGAAATGATTTATCGATTTTCACTTACTTAATTAAGTTTTATTACTTCAACCAGTTATGAGATCTTCAAGAGAGGAGAGTGGGTCATCTATTTTTTGTAGTTTTGAAGTATTTAACAGATGCTGTACATAGTAGCTGTTCAATAAGTGCCTGTTGATTAATTTTAAGACCCAAGATTTATGATTTTAAAGCAAACTTTTTAGGAGAAACATCTATAATAAATGATAGGCACACAAAACATAAGTATTCCAATGAAAAAGTTGCATCTAGTATGAATTATTCTTTAAATGCAATTTTTATTTAACTTAAATAGAACAAAATAATAATGCCATGTGTTACAGTAAGTGTTTTCTTTGTTCTGACTTCTTTTAAATTTCTCTTACCTAGGAATTAAGATGCTTTAAGAATGAAGTTTCTGGCTGGGTGCGGTGGCTCACGCCTGTAATCCCAGCACTTTGGGAGGCCGAGGTGGGTGGATCACCTGAGGTCAGGAGTTCAAGACCAGCCTGGCCACCATGGTGAAACCCCGTCTCTACTAAAAATACAAAAAAATTAGCTGGGCGTGGTGGCAGGCATCTAATCCCAGCTACTTCGGAAGGCAGAGGCAGGAGAATTGCATGAACCCGGGAGGTGGAGGTTGCAGTGAGCCGAGATTGCGCCACTGCACTCCAGCCTGGGCGACAAGAGCGAAACTCTGTCTAAAAAAAAAAGAAAAAAAGAAAAAAGAAAAGAATGAAGTTTCTGAAATGGTCCATTGAGCATATCTTTTGGGAAATAGCCATGTATAGGAAAATATGACATGTTCATTGCCAGAGAAGAGCTGATATATATGATTTGATGTTGTATTTTAGCAAACATTTCAATAACTTTTTGACATTTTCCCCGTAGTCCTTATTTACCTTATCAGTAGTTATAGTGACATATGATTGTCAACTTTTTATATTAAGACCAAACTAATAAATTAAACATGTTGTGTTTATATCTGATGAAAGCTGACGTTTTGGAAGGATGTTAAAATATACTGACAGGTCCGGTTCATAAGCTCTTTTGGTATAAATATGCAGATGACATCTTTAGATATTGTTTGTACACATGCTGATAGAAAGCCTTGACAATGTAACAAATGCAAATGTCAACCTCACAATTTAACCTTTCTGTGTAGAGAAAAGATGTTAGTTTTAAGTTGCCTGTATCTTTTAACTTTATTTCAAAGTTTTTATTATTTTTTAGCCTGTTACCATTACTGTTTCATGTATCACTAAAAGCAGCTGTTGGAATAAGATTTGTACTTGAGAACTTTTTTCTGTGGTGCTCCCATTTAAATGATTGCAACTGCAGAGATGTATATATTTTTCTGATTTTTAAATGTTTTTTTCCCATGCTCATTTCCTGCCTCTCGGATCTTTTTGTAGCATCCTTTTATTTATCTATACAAAGTACTTTGGGTTAATAAGTGAGCCTAAGGGAAATATTATGAATCTCCCTTTCTGTCCCACACATATTTTATGTTAAAACACTTCTTATAACACTTTACCACGCGTATGTCTGTGCTAAGATCAAACAGTTTAGAATGCCATGTAGCACTGCAGAAAATTTTGGTTTATGGAGGCTTATATGTGACAGCAATGGGGTGGACTGGAAAGAGCACTGAACTTCTAGTTAGAAGGCCTGGATTTAAATCCTGCCTTGGCCACCAACTACCTTTGAGAATTTTTGCAGGTTAACTACACTTTGGGGCCTCCCTTTTTCATTTGTAAAATGGAAATAATGATACTTGTTTCACCTACCTCACAATGGGTTAATCATGAAATAATACATCATGAAAATGCCCTGAAAATGTATTTTGGAAAATACATGGAAAAGACACATTTGGAAATCCTTATTACAGTGCCCTTATGTGGTACATCCTTGATGTTTTCTTGTTTACTTGCTCTGTTTCTAATAGACTACTTTTCTGCTTAAATCTAAAACTAGCCTTGGAAATCTGAGTTTTCGACACTGTTAAATCCAAGATATTAAGATTTTTTAGTCACTGTACACAATAATCATTAGAAATAATATCACAGAATATACAGTTGTATATTCTTAAGAATATACAACTTATATTTAGAATATACAACTGTATATTCTAAAGAATATACAATGTAACAAAAAGTGCAAATAACCAATAATGTTGCCTACAATAACACACTCAAAGACCACTGGTACCCTAAGTTTTGTACTTATACATAAATCTTTTTTTTTTCCTTGACTTTATGGCCAATCCCTAGGCCACAGTAATTTCTGCATTTCCACATCCACATTCTTCTATTTATAGTGATTTTTGATTTTGCCACATTTAATCTCTCTTTACCGCAGTGCATTGTGTATGGTTCTGTTAAAACAGTAATATTTCAGATAGAGATACTATCACTATTTAATAGAGATACTATCACTATTTAAAGGGAGAAGTGACCTCAGATTAAGGAGGCTTGTGTAGGCATATATATCTTATAAATACTCTGCATCCGGGTTGAGAAATACTATGATAAAACTGAACAAACTTAAATGCTTTTTTTTTGAGACAGAGTCACACTGTGTCCCCCAGGCTGAAGTGAGGTGGCATGATCTTGCCTCACTGCAGCCTCCATCTCCCCGGTTCGAGTGATTCTCCTGCCTCAGCCTCCCAAGTAGCTGGGACTATGGTTGTGTGCCAGCACACCTGGCTCATTTTTGTATTTTTAGTAGAGACAGGGTTTCACCCCATTGGGCAGGCTGGTCTCAAACTCCTGACCTCAAATGATCCACCTGCCTCAGCCTCCCAAAGTGCTGGGCTTACAGGTGTGAGCCACCGTGCCTGGCCTAATCTTGCATTTTTGAGAGGCATGCAAGGTTTATCATTGGCAATTGGATCAAATCCAAATTTGGCATTGTAGCATTCATTTTGCTCCCAGTTCTTCCTGACCCCCAAGCCTCATCATTTTACAAGCATAAATTGTCTTTATTTGCTTGCTGTAATCAAATTAATCGGACCTTGTTATGTACAGTTGCTTCACTTACTCTCACCTAGTTGTCTTTTTATACAAGCTATTCTGTCTGGAATTCTCTCCTCCTGCTTGTAACCTATGGCCTTCTGTATATAACTCAAAAATCATTACTCCAACTTAGTCTTTCTGGCTGATGCCATCCCCTCTACTTTATATATCTTTTATAATATATTTACCTGAAAGGAAGAAAACACTTTTGTCCAAATAGTTTAACTTAAAAATTGGCTGTCATCTCAGAATTTAACTTAAATTTATACAAATATTTTGGTAGTAGTTAATAGGTATATTGGTAGTAATTTGGTAGTTTGGTACATTTGGTAGTAATTAATAGGTACATTTTCTGCCTGTGTAGATTGTTTAAGAAAACAGTGATAATTATGCAAAGAAATGTTCAAATAACTGTTTGGGTAGTGATTTTGGCTTATTGGGTCACATTTCATCATGTTATAAATAAATTAAAAGAGTACTGTGGTAGTGTCAGAATACATACTTCCAATTTAATTTAAACATGTTCCTTATTGCTTCATCCTGCATTCTCCAATGTTTGTACTATCAGGTACTAAACCTTATATTGCCTTTTAGTTTACTTTGTTTAATTAGTGTTGTTGCTCCAACTACATTATATGCTATTTTAGAGCAGGAACTGTGATATAGCATGCTATGTAAGAGCATATAAATTCTAAGTAAATATTTCTGAATGAATAGATGAATAAGGTTATCAAATCTAATATTCTAGAAAAATTGAAATAATTGTCCAACTAGCTATTCTCTGTATTAAGTGAAGAGTACCAAGTCGAACTATCATTATAATGCAGAGCTTTCCTAAGTCTGACTAAAATGCCTCTGTTATTCTTGGTTAAGATAGAGGATTTTGCTATCCATATCAGCCAGAACCAGACCCAAAGGTATTATTTAATAATATTATTGAGCTGATCAGTGGCTTGAGCAAGAATTAGAAACCTATATTATTTGATTCTGTATTCAGCGTTACTTCCAGTGTACCACTTTGTCTTCTATAATTTGCACTTCTTGTAGTGGTCTGACTTTTTAAAAGTCATGCAGGACTCTGGCTTCCTCTAATTTCTCTGGTCTTCATTTCTTTTTGGTTCAATATTTGTGGAATATTATGTTTGGAGGAATGGGTAACCAATACTCTAGGAATGTCTATGTATTTTGGGTCCCAAGAGCTAAGTATACCATGAAAGGAAGCACTGTTGGGGAATGCAAGCCTCAGTAGTCCTAGAAACTACAGTATTATATCTTATGTATTAACAAAGTTTTTTTTAATTAAAGGAAAAAAAGATGATAGTAAACTCTTTGATGTCATCCTTTTATTTTATTCTCGTGTTTTGGAACTTTGGCCTCTTAGCTCGCAGTTTCCTCATCTGTACAATGAAGTGCTTAGACTAGACCAGTAGTTCTTAAACTCAAGCAACATCAGAATCACTGGGAGTGCTTGTTAATACACAGGTTGCTGGGTCTACCCTGGAGTTTCTGATTCTGAAGGCCCAGGTGGGGCCGAGACAGGGCCTGGGGATTGACATTTCTGAAGAGTTTCATATTGAGGCTGAAGCTGGTGTCACAGGACCATACGTTGAGAACTACTCGAGTGGATGATCCCTGAGATCTCTTCCAGCTCTAAAATTTTTATAACTCAGCTCTGTCAATTTCCTGGACTTATTGGAAGATACAAGGTACTCCCTGAATCTCTGCTTTATTTAATTTTGTTTGGTGCTGTTTCTCATCCTACTCTAAGTTGCTTTCCCTTAGAAATTATTTCCTTCCCCCAACCCCCCATTCTTTGTGTACTGCCAAACAGAATGTTTGTTTAAGTAATATTAGTGAAATACATTTCCAGAACTGCTCTTTGGGGAAATTTAAATGAAATTTTAAAGTATCATTAAGAATGCAAACAATAAATTCTTTGATTAGCTGTAGGCATCTTTACATTGGGATGACTAAAAAAGGTTCTGGTTAATTAGAAGTAATTTGTTAGGAACCTGAATTCTCTTTTTTTCTCTCTCAGAGTAAAACTCAGTTCCCAGCTGGATGCTTATAAGTGCAGGAAATGTCATTGTCAGATGATTAATTGCAAAAGATAGATAATTAGAGTTCATATGCTGTGTCAAATATGGATAACCAAGAGGTTGACTTACATGTTGAAAGGGAGCAGCTGAAATCTAGATTGTGGGTTGTGGCTATATATAGGTAATTTACCTTTACTACAAGAGCTTGTAGAATGAACATTTGCCTGAACTTTGCCTTTTTAATCCCATTTTGATCAAATTCCTCACAATAAAAAATATTGGAAGAGTTCCCACTACCTGAAATCTGGATTAGAAAATTGAGCTGTTGCTGAGCCACCATTCTAACGTCAAATAAAAGATTTGGGCCATTGTCATTACCTTGTTCTTTTTAACTCTCTATTAAACTTACCTGATATATTTTTACCCAGTTGAAATGACTTGTTTTTATTTATTAATTTTCAGTGGTTAGACCTTATTTCTTTTTAAATCAATGCCACTTGTTCCTGGAAATTAAGTGCTTTCATGGTAAATTATTGGATCTCAAGATGGAATCATTTTTGCCTTTTTAAAATAAATGTATTTCTGCTGTTTCTTTTTAAATCATCCAACAACAACAACAAAATAGTGAAATGAGAAAAAAGTCTTACAACCTGTCGGTGATTAAATAGCCATCTCCAGTTTGGCTCACCGGTTGGTTTATTGAAAGTCACAGTGAAATTAATAAATACGACATTTTTCTCTTGCATTTGTAATAAAACTCTTTCTCAATCTTCTAAACTTTGTATTTTTACTAAAGAGTTTTTCAGCCCTCATAAATACTGTTTTACAGATTCAGCTAATGACCCAAATCCAGCTTGTTTGTTGTGTAGGAGTTGTATTAAAATAACTCACTATATGTGTATTGTCATTAATGATATGCTCATTTTGATAATGGGGCTGCAGATTCTTAGTCTATAGTCCTTGGGGAGATGCTACAATTTTTTTTTTTTTTTTTAAACTAAGTATTGTTCTGGCTCCTTTCCTTGATTGGCCCAGAAATAGCAATCAGCTGGGGAGCAGGATGACATGCCTCTTAGCGATCCCTTTGATCTTTGAGATGAGTATCAACATTGTATGCTTCCTAATGGAAGTGTAATTTAATGAAATCTATTGGGTAAACATACTTCAGATGTTCAAAGGAGGTGACAAAATTTTTGCTGGCAGCCGGGACCTGGCTGCTTTCCAGCTTGCCTCTAGCTGCTATGCATATAGCATTGAGAAAGGCACTTAAAATAGGAACACAAAGTATTATTTTCATTGTGTTTCAACCCCCCTGCCCACCCTCCCCTACCAATTTCTTTCCCTTAAGTTTATTTCTGTGGTGTTTCTGCAAGTGCTCTTTGACATACCACCTTTCCCCAGTATAAAGTGGAATGTGAGATCTGATCTTTTTATATTTTCCTTGGTTTATTTCATGACAAGAGTAGAACATTCGATGTATGGCACCAAACTCAGGAGAAGTTGTAGGCAGGAGACTTACATCAAAATCCTAGAGGGAAAAAATGTACTCTAAAAAAAGGACATATTTCAGTACCAGTTGATTAAATTAAACATTCTATTTTGAGAGGAGATGATAGAGCATTTTTGTTTTAACAATCCTTGGAAAAGTGTAATGGAAATAAGCATAGACAGCAGGAGTCAGGGGACCTGACTAATCTCAGTGAAGTTACTTTCTAGCTGAGTCATGTAAGGCCAGTTACTTTCTCTCTCTGGACCTCAGTTTCCTTATCTGTAAGATGAAGAGATTGTATCAAGTGGTTCTAAAGGTCATTTTCAGCTCTGAGATGTGATTCTTTTTAAGACTGAAGATCAGCACTGTTCAATAGAAGTGTTATGGCAGCCACATATGTAACTTTAAGTTTTCTAGTAACCACATCAAAAAATGCAGAACAAAAGAGGCGAAATTGATTTTAGTAATATATTTTCTTTAATCTAATAGCTCCAAACAAAATATTACCGTTTCAAAATGTAATAAATATTAAAAATTTTAATGAGATATTTTACATTCTTTTTTTCTTGTCTTCAGAGTCCAATATATGTTTTACACCTACAGTAGATTTCAGTTCTGACTATCCATATTTCAAGGGCTCAGTCATCACATGTGGATGGTAACTACTGCACCACATTATACAGCAGCTCTAGGTGCTACAATGCAACTATGCCAAACCACTTTTCCAGGAGCCTGTTGGGCATAAAAATAAAGGTTCCTAAGCCTCCGCCTCTTCCCTCAGCCAGTGGTTCTCAATTTTGGCAGCACATTAGAATCACCTGCAGAGCTTTAGAAACTACTGATGCCTGGATCCCCTGCCAGAGATTTTAGTTTAGTTGGTCTAGGTGTAGCCAGGACCCAGGGATTGTTTTAAAAAGCTCCCCAGGTGATTCCAATGTTCGATCAAGGTTGGGCACTGCCTCCCTAGACATAATGTTCTTAAAAGGCAGCTGTGTCTTATTCCACAGACTTCCCATTGCTAACGAAGATTCTGTCGTCTCCAATCTCCCCTTTTCCACCCCACTTTCTTGTCAATAAGGGGTATATAGAATCTTTAGATCAGTCCCAAAATGTTGTCACTCAGTAAACCATAAACTGAGGGACTAATAGATATTTGTGGACACTCTGAAGTGTTTTCAGAAAAATAACAACAAGAAACATCATATAAGGTACAAGGGGAGCCTTTGATATTAGCCCTAAGGGTCTTTTACACTCAGAAATTCTGCGCGGTATATCATTGCAATTGCCGCAGTCAGTAGTACTGTTTTGATATTATAACAGATTTATTTGTTAGATAAAAGCTATTTCTCCTATAGACCAGCTACTTCTTATAAAAAAACAAATTGGCCAGGCACAGTGACTCATGCCTGTAATCCCAACTTTGGGAGACCCAGGCAGGCAGATCATGAGGTCAAGAGATTGAGACCATCCTGGCCAACATGGTGAGACCCTGTCTCTACAAAAAAATACAAAAATTAGCTGGGCATGGTGGAGAATGCCTGTAATCCCAGTTACTTGGGAGGCTGAGCTAGGAGAATCGCTTGAACCTGGGAGGCAAAGGTTGTAGTGAGCCAAGACCACGCCACTGCACTCCAGCCTGGCAACAGTCTCAAAAAAAAAAAAAGCAAAAAAAAAATTGATTGAGTTATAATTCACATAGCATAACATTTTCCATTATAAATATACAATTCAGTGATTTTTTTAGGATATTTATACAGTTGTTCAAACATAACCGTAATCGAGTTTTATGACACTTCTTAGAGGCTCCCTCACGATCATGTGCAGTCCGTCCTCATTCGTACTCCCATTCCATGTGACCACTGACCTGCTTTCCTGCTTCCTCTTTCCATAGTTTTGCCTTTTCTAGAAATTTTATATTAATTTGTTGAATAGAATCTGGATAAATCAATATGGGAGAAATTGCTATCTTAAAAATACTACATCTTCCAATCCATTTAGTTAGATTTTCTTTAATTTCTTTTAGCAATGTTTTGTAGTTTTCAGTATACAGGTCTTGTACCTCTTTTGTGAAATTTATTTCTAAATATTTTCTCTTTAATTGTGTCGTGAATTATGTTTTTTCTTTCCTTTTTCATTTTTTCATTGTTAGTACATGGAAATACAATTGATTTTTGTATATTCATCTTGTATCCTGCAACCTTGCTGAACCCTTTTAATATTTCAAGTAGTTTTCTTTGTTGATTCTTCTGGATTTTCTACATAAAATATCATGTCATCTGTGAATAAAGACAATTTTACTTCTTTCCAATGTGTATACCTTTAATTTTAAAATTTTCTTTATTTTTTATTTTTCCCTTTTTCCACTGGCTACACACTGATATAATACTGAATAAGAATGCTAAGAATGGATTTCTTTGCTTTCATCCAATTTTAGGGGGAAGTATTCTGATTTTCACTATTAGAATGATGTTAGCTACAGGTATTTTGTAAATGCCCTTTATCTGGTTGAGGAATTTCCCTTTTATTCTGAGTTTGTTTTGAGTCTATATTATAAATAGGTGTTGGATTTCATCAAATTCTATTTCATTCTGTTGAGATGGTCATGTTGTTTTTGCCCTTTATTGTGTTAATATATATTGCATTAATTGATTTTTAGATGTAAAACCAGCCTCGTATTCGTAGGATAAATTTTACTTTGTAATAGTGTATAACCCTCCTTATATGTTGCTGTTTGGTTTACTTATATTGTGTTAAGGATTTTTACATCTCTGTTTACCAGGGATACTGGTCTGGAGTTTTCCTGTCGTATCTTTATCTGACATTTGCATCACGGTAATGCTAGTCTCATAGAACAAGTTAGGAAGTGTTTCTTCCTCTGTTTTCTAAATGATGATTTTGTGTAGGGTTGTTTATTTCTTCCTTAAATGTTTGATAGAAAATTCATCAGTGAAGCCACTTGAGTCTGAGCTTTCTGTGTGAAAAGATTGTTTTACTAATTTAATTTTGTTACTTCTTATATTCTATTATCTTTTGAGTCTATTTTTATAATTTATAGATTTCTAGCAATTTGTGCCCTTCATCTAAGTTCTCTGATTTATTGACAATAAATTCTTCATAATATTTGTTTATAATCTTTTTTATTTCTGTAGTGTCTGTAACAAATGTCTCCTCTTCTGTTCATGGTTTTGTAATTTTTGTGTCTTAAAAACAACTTTTGGTTTCTTTTATTTTATTATTTATCTGTTTTCTGTTTTGTTGATTTTGACTCTGATTTTTATTTCCTTTTTCTACCTACTCCAGGTTTCATTTGCTCTTCTTTTTCTAGCTTCTTTTCTAGAAGTGAGATTGATTTTAGACTTCCCTTCCCCTGCCCTCCTTTCCTCTTCCTTTCCTCCTTCTTTCCTCCTCCTTTCCTCGCTCCGTTGCCAAGGCTGGAATGCAGTGGCGCCATCTCAGCTCACTGCAACCTCCGCCTCCCAGGTTCAAGTGATTCTCCTGCCTCAGCCTCCCGAGTAGCTGGGATTACAGGTGCATGCCACAACACCCAGCTAATTTTTGTATTTTTAATAGAGACAGTGTTTCACCATGTTGGCCAGGACAGGATGGTCTTGAACTCCTGAACTCAAGTGATACACCTGCCTCAGCCTCCCAAGGTGCTGGGATTACAGGCATGAGCCACCGCACCCAGCCAGATCTTTCTTTCTTTCTTAAGACAAGTGTTTAAAGCTCTAAATTTTCCCCTACCAGCTAGCTGCTTTTAAAATTTAAACCTGTGGACATTTTCTATATTATTACCCAGATTAATGTTAATATTGGGCTATAATAAAATTTGAAAACAGGCTTGGGAAGCTAAGAATCGGAGCTTTTTTTCAGTAGTAACTCAAATGCTTTTAAGGTCTCAGTAATTGTTTAAGGTATATGAATGCAAAAACTGATGGAAATGTGTCTTTTTTGATTCATTGAAGAGGCCTGAATGTTTTACCACAGTATTTTTACTTTAGAAAAATTAGGTCAATAATAGGAATCACATGCCAATGGTCCGTTTCATTGATGGGAAGAATTCAGTAATGGTCTTTTTTTTTTTTTTTTTTTTTTTTAGTTAAAAAAAAATTTTCTCCATAAATTTTTATTTGAAAGCTTTCAAGCATATAGAAAAGTGAGAAGAAGTGTACAATTGCCCAGGTACCTGTACCTAAATTCAATAACTGCTAATGCTTTTTCCTCGTTTGCTTTCTCTCTAGGAGAGGGATTCTTTAATTCAATCTGTGAATGTTTCTCAAGAAGGAATTAAGGATAAAGTCCCAAGTTTCTATCTTGAATGACTAGGTGTTTCAAGAGATGGCACTACCTAATTAAGTTGGGAGAGACTAGGGGTGGGGCAAGTTGGTTTTATTTTGGTAGGGGAATAGTTGTTGTAGAATCAGTAATTCACTTTACGTGTTTTAAATTTGAGATACTTCAGATACATCCCAGTGGAGAAATTAAATAGCCAGTTTGAGTTCAGAAGAGAGTTAAATATCAAGTTTGATTTCAGAGGAGAAACTGAGTTAAACCAATTTTGACGTCAGCATATAGATATTATTTAAAGTTTCAGAAATAAATGAGGATACTTAGGGAGAGAAGAGAGTTCTCGACCAAGCTCGCAGGAATTGTATTTAGAGTTCAAGTAGAATTTAGAATTGTATTTAGAATTGTATTTAGAGTTCAATTCAATGACTTGAATTGAATTATGAAAAAAGCTTCTAATCAGGAAGATCATTTCTACAGAAGAGACTATTTCAAAAAAGAGGGCATTTTAACCAAGTTGAATGCTATTGAGAAGCTGAGTGAAATGAAGACATAAAAAAGTATCTATTAGATTGTCAGCATGATGGTCACCGTTAACCTTGACAAGAACCTGTAGGTTGAGTGGTAGGACCTAAGATTCAGCAAATCCCTTTAAAGCCTGACTTGGCCAGGTGCGATGGCTCACGCCTGTAATCCCAGCACTTTGGGAGGCCAGGCCTAAGTGGGAGGATCACTTGAGCCAAGAATTCAAGACCAGCATAGGCAAATGGGGAGACCCCCCCCCCCCCCCCGCCGTCTCTAAACAAAATAAAAATAAGTAAAGCCTGACATGATCATTTCTAACCATAGTTGTTGAAGTATTTACATATGAAGGTTGGGCCAGGTGCAGTGGCTCATGCCTGTAATCCCAGCACTTTGGGAGGCTGAGGCAGGCAGATCACTTGAGGTCAGGAGTTCAAGACCAGCCTGGCCAACATGGTGAAACTCTATCTCTACTAAAAATATGAAAAATTAGCCAGGCGTGGTGATGCGCACCTGTAGTCCCAGCTTCTCGGGAGGCTGAGACAGGAGAATCGCTTGAACCTGGGAGGCAGAGGTTGCAGTGAACCGAGATCGGGCCACTGCACTCCTGCCTGGGCAACAGAGCAAGACTCCATCTCAAAAAAAAAAAATTATACATGAAGATTATTTAAGGCAAAATTATTGCTTTATTAAACAAATTCAGTTTTAGGTTCATTTCACTTAAGCAGATATTTATCAGTAACTCATTCAAATACTCTTGATAATGTAGATGGTGACAATGGGCACTGCAATTTTTCAGTCAGTGTGAACCTGATATGCTGCTGACAAAGGACTGTTTCAGCTAAGAACACAAGTTTACTCTGAATGTATATGTGATCACAACCACTTAAAAGTATTTTTCAGCAGAGTTTTTTTTATACCTCTTTTCTTTCTAACCAATACAACTGCCAGTTGTACCAATGTTTAAAGTAAGTTGCCTTAAAAATAAAAAATAAACAAGCTAGCTATTCTTTCTTTGGCAATAGGGGGTAGAGGTAATGATGATAAAAGAAGGGAAACATATGAGGACATGTGACTAGATTGATTATTATAAAGTGATTTAGAGCTGGGTGCGGTGGCTTATGCCTGTAATCTCAGCACTTTGGGAGGCCGAGGCAGGCGGATCACCTGAGGCTAGGAGTTCAAGACCAGCTCGGCCAAAATGGTGAAACCTCATGTTTAATAAAATTACAAAAGTTAGCTGGGCGTGGTGGCAAGCACCTGTAATCCCAGGTACTCGGGAGGCTGAGGCAGGCGAATCACTTGAACCCAGGAGGTGGAGGTTGCAGTGAGCTGAGATCGTGCTACTGCACTCCAGCCTGGGTGACAGAGCTAGACTCCGTCTCAAAAAAAAAAAAATAATAATAATAAATAAAGTGATACAACTTTAGAAGCTTTGCCTGGTTTTAAGTTCTTGCTCTGATACTTATTTTCTTTCTGAACTTGGGCAAATTATTTAATGTCTGTGCTTCAGTTTTCCTATCTGTAAAATGGAAATAATGTCTGCCTCAAAGGATTATTGTGAAGAGTAAATTAACATACACACACACGTACTCACAGCTCTTAGAATAATGCCTGATCCATAGTAAGCTCAAAAGATATATTAGCTATTATTTTTGTCTGACACAAATTAGGTTTGTTTTTAACTAACTTGCTGAATTTCAGAGTAAAATATAATCTAAATTAGGCCAAACTTTCCAAGAGAGATGGTTCCTTTGGCTTGAGACTTTCCTCAGTTGTAAACCCACAAACCACACTTGGTTACTCAGTGTATTGAGTGACACCATTTAATTACTGATTCACCTTACTTTACCGTTATTGTATTATATTTTCCAGCTCTAGAAAACAGACCTGGATGAATATGTAAATAGGTTAAAGTTTATCTCTCATGTACAGTCTCACATAAACTAGTGCCAGTTTTACTTACGGGAAAGAATGAAAGATATTTGATTAACTTCTTCTAAAAGTTATAGTTCTTAAAATAAGAAATCATGCTGTTATTTTCAGCTGACTCCCCACTGTTTATATTAAATGGCATGAAATATTATAATAGATTACCCCTAAATAATTTTCATTATGATTCAGAATATTTGATGTTCTTTGGTATGACCTTTCTCCACTGGATTATGTCCTACATATAAATGCTTTCTCTCCAAGCATTCAGAATGCACTTGAGTTCTTATTTAAAACAAGTCTCTGTCAGCAGCCAGCCAGGTTTATACTGACTGAAGAATTGGTCTTTCTATTTTATTAGACCATAATCTGCATTTTCCTCATCCATAAGGGGATAAGGTTAAGTTATTCTTAAAGAGTCTCATAATTCTGAAGTGCTATTATTCTATGATTTATAAAATGTTAATATATATTTATACTTTATTCTGTGACAGCATTAAAGTTGGTTTATTTTGTTTGAAGTTGGATACTTTTCCTCTTACTTGATTTATCCACAGATTCCAAACACATGGTAAACTAATCTCCTCATCGCCGCCACCACCACCAAATGAGCTCAATGGGATTTCCTTACTTCTTAGAGTTCCTAGATACTTCTGTAAAATCTTCTTTCTTAAAAAAAAAATTTATAAAATGTGCTGTGACTATTTAGAGGAACAAAATGACCATAATTTGCAAATATATTTAAACTAGACAGAAAAGAAAAAAATAAAGATTGTGGGATACATTCATTGTAACTATTGATTTGCTATTTTTGAGTTTACTCATATGGGGCTCAAATGAAATAAAGATTGAGTGGACGCAGTTAGAGTTTTGACCACCATTTTTTTTTTGTTTGTTTGTTTATGTGACTTCCAAGGGTTATCATATTTAGATGAACAATTTTCTTAGAAATGCTGTTGCTTCAAGTGGTAGGTGCTCTATTCAGGTAGCCTGTCACTTTAATAAATGTCTTCCCTCCTAAGTGTCTCTACCTAAATTATTCTATTTTCACCACTGGGACTGAAATGTTTTCCAGTAGAGTTTTATCTAAACAGAAAGGGGGCGGGAGGGTTGGTACCATCAATCATTCATCTGCTAGATGTCAGCAAAGGCTTAAATGAAGAAATAACCAGGCTTTGGGAAAAGTTGCCTTATCTAGTCTGTATCCTGTACAAATATTTCAACATTAGGTAAGGGGAGATATGGCATTTAATAAGTATATATAAGGAAAAATTAGAGTATTTAACTTCTTTTTACATTGTATTGCTTGCAATACTATGATAGATATCATACCTCTGAAACTTTTTTGCTAAAGTCACACGTGACCCCTGTTTCTGAGGTCTTTCTCCAGCTTTTATCTTACTTGTCATCTATGTAGAACTTGATTCCCTCCCTCCTTCTTGAAACTAGCTTCCTTGATTCCATACTCTCTTGGTCTCTCCCTGGGTCTCTGTTCTGAATCTCCATTGGATTCTCTTTTTCTGCTTTCATCTTAATGTTTGCATTTTCATGTCATTGTTGTTTTGACTTGTCATCTCTTTATTTTCTCTGGTTAATTTTATGTATGCCCATGGCTTTCACCAATGTCTATAGATTAACGACTTCAAAATTATATCTCTAGCCTAGACTTTCACATTGCATTCTCCACCATTTTTTCAATTGTCCATTTCACATGTCCCAGTCCTACAGACATTAAACTACAGTCTTCCAACTTGAATTCATTAAACTTATTATCTTTTCTCCAAAACCTGTTCTTCTTCCTGCATTTCTTCTTCCCGCATTTATTATGCTGGTTAACGCATATGTTGGTTATTCTAATTAATGTGCCATCTACACAGTTACCCATATGAGAAACCTTGAAGACATTTCATACTTGTTTCTTTGCCTTACCCTCACCCCCACTACGTCTCATGGATTCCACCTCTAGAATATCTCTCCCTCCATCTTCACTGTTGCTCTCTAAATGAGGGCCACATGGTCACTCTCTTGACATGTCACTCTCTTGTTCTCTTGACGTTTAGGAACCAGCCTGAGACTTCTGTCTTCAGTCAAGTCCTCCTGTCTGTTTTCCACTTTGAGTTGAGAGGAAACTCCTGAAAAACGTAAAGCTGACTATATCAAATTATTGTTTTCATGACTTTACAGTACCTATAGGAGTTCATAAAGCCTCAGTCTACCAGTTAAATCTAGCTAAAAGACATGATATCCTTGGCCTTTTCAGTGTTTTTCATACATTGAAATTGGTTGCCAAGGCCGGGTGTGGTGACTCATGCCTGTAATCCCAGCACTTTGGGAGGCCAAGGTGGGCGGATCATGAGGTCAAGAGATCAAGACCATCCTAGCCAACATGGTGAGATCCCGTCTCTACTACAAATACAAAAATTAGCTGGGTGTGGAGGCTCGCGCCTGAAGTCACAGCAAGTCGGGAGGCTGAGGCAGGAGAATTGCTTGAACCCAGGAGGCAGAGGTTGCAGTCAGCCGAGATCGCACCACGGCACTCACTCCAGCCTGGCGACAGACTCCATCTCAAAAAAAGAAAAAAAAGAAAAGAAAAGAAAAAAAAAAGAAAATTGTTGCCAACATTAAAATATTGAGAGATATCACATGCATTCAAATTTCAGGTTTCTACAGAAATTCTGAGAGATCTGGAAAATTTGGAAATAGCTAAAGCTAAGTGGCTTTCCACTGGGAGGAACATATTTTGTCTGGGTCCCCACTGTCACCTGCCATTTCACCCACTTTTATTATTGGCCTCCCTCCTGTAGGCATCTGAGTTTGCTTCTCCTAGATCAATGTTGGACTCTTGATTATACCTTTTAAGGCCTCCTATGATGGACCTTTCCTTTCTACCTACCGTTTTCTCTTACAATTCTTTTCCTTTCACCCTTTGCCCATACATGCTAAAGCTCCACCGTTTAGAGTTGTGCCTCACATTTTAGGCCTCAGTTATTTTATACATGCTATGTCCTTATCCTGGAATGTTTCTCCTTTCCTTGTCTGCTTGACAAACTACTTAGCATGTAAGCCCCAGGTCAGGCTTCTTCTTTGTAAAGCTGTTCTTGACCTGATTCAACCAAGTTAGTTCCTTCCTTTATTTGACTGTATCAAAATAAACCTCCATTTTCTAGTATGTCAAGTTTACACTTACTGCAATTATTTGTCTTCATGCCTGCCTTTCCTGGTATCATCGAGGAGCTCACAGTTCAGGAACCTGTTTCATTACTAACACAATGTCTGGCATACACAGCTGCTCAATACATTGTTGTTAAATGAAGAAACAGATGGATGAATATAGAACCCTATATCTGTAGTCTTATTTAGATTTGTTATCTTTTTTGGTTTGAGTACAAGATGGTCAATAAAACTTCATGGCTTTATTAAATAATAAAATTTTCTCCCCAAAACTAGTGGTAATCCTTATTTTATGTCATCATAACATTTTCAGTTTTATAAGTGAAATTCCAATATTTCTGGTCTTTCATGGTAAGCTATTTTAGTAAATTTAAATCTTTCTGTTCTCTCTTAAGGTAAATTCTTTGTTAAAATTCTTAAAAGATATTTACAAAAAAATGAACAAAAAGAAAGAAATGAAAGAAGTAAGAAAGTAGATATTCTAAAATTCCACTTCTGATCAACATTTTACCTACTTTGATTTTTAAGAATGCTATATTAATAGTCATACTTTAAAAGGACTCTGTGTAATTTAGCTACTAATTGGAAGTAAAAACCTTTTTGCTACTCCCTCCCCAACCCCCCACCCCCACCTCCCGCCCTCAGAAATCTAAAACTTTTACACTAAAATTTTCATGTTTGCTTTTAAATTGAATAGTCAGATTGTTTTTGTTTGTTGGGGATAATTGAGCAACTTATTTTCTAAAATAATGCCTGAAATTAAAATGTAGCTCTTTCTTAAAAGGGATAATGCATGAGTTTATAACAGCACAGTTTGTATGTGGGAACTTTTAAAGTTGACATTTACTTCAATTTCTATGATCTCAGGCCCTCGAGTTTCCACAATATTATATCCTCCGTGCTGTTTTACCAATAAACATAAAGTGGTTAGTTAGCCTTAAAGTTAAGTAGCAAAATATCTCTCTGCCCATGTTCCCTAGAATCCTTACTTTTTTTTTTTTTTTTTTTTGGAGACAGGGTCTTGTTCTATTACCCAGGCTCTAGTGCAGTGGCATGGTCACGGCTCACTGCAGCCTCGACCTCCTGGACTCAAGCAATCCTCCCACCTCGGCATTTTGAGTAGCTGGGACCACAGGTGCATGCCACCACACCCAGCTAATTTTTTTTTCTAATTTTTTGTAGAGACGGGGTTTTACCATGTTGCCTGGGCTGGTCTCCAACTCCTAAGCCCAGGCAAATCCTCCCACTTTGTCCTCCCAAAGTGTTGAGATTACAGGCGTGAACTACTACGCCCAGCTTCTTACTCATTTTAAATCTACTATAATTTTTTAACTTATTCTAGGTAAATTAGATATTCATATTTGCTTGTTGTTATCTGTGTTGCAGTTATACCTGTGACCTTCCAGTCAACAACCCCTACAAAAAAAGAAAGACATTAAATCAAATAGAATTGAATGGTTAACAAATGTGATAAATACAGTATATTAGAAGGACGTCTGCAGATGTTTATGTGTTGAATTTCTTACATGAACATGACTGTGGACCCACTGTCATCAGGTCATGCATTCTGAATTATTTTGCTAAAAGTGAACTGGTTTTATTTGCATCTCTCTTCATTTTCTTCCCAACTCGTGCTTATGACCAGAAGCATGAGCATATCTTTAGTGTTGGCTCTAGCCACTGGAATAAAATGTCCCCAGCTTCCTCAAGGATTGAGAGATCGTGACCTTTTCAAGAAAGTGTAAACTCTAACCCTATATAACCCTGTGTGCTTTTTTAAAAATGGTAATTTAGGATTAAACTTCTTTCTTTTATCATAATTAACTTTGACTTCTTTTTCATTATTCTGTTTCTAGTGTTAGTATCCTTCAAGTAACTGAATTCCATGTTTTTACATAGTGATTCTTTAGGAACAAACAAAGGGTTTTATAGAAGTTTGGAGTGTGTTTGTTTATTTATTTTTATTGATACATAATAGATGTACATATTTTCAGGGTACATGTGATAATTTTATATATTTATATAATCAAATCAGGGGACTTGGGATGTCCATCACCTTAAATATTTTTCTTTATGCTAGGAACATTCTAATTATTCTCTTGTGGTATTGAAATGTACAGTAGATTAATGTTAACTCTAGTCATTCTACTGGTCTATGGAACACCAGGTCTTATTTTTTCTGTCTTACTGTATATTTGTACCCATTAATTAACCCCTCTTCATCCTCCTCTCCCCCATCCTTCTACGCCTGTGGTAACCACCAATCTGTTCTCCATCTTCATGAGATCCGCCTTTTTAGTTCCCACATATGAATGAGAACATGTGATATTTGCCTTCGTGTGCTTGACTTATTTCACTTAACATCATATAGAATGTACTTTTTATTTCAATTGCTTAGGCTTTCTCTCACTTCTGAAAGAAAGCAAACAAATTTTCTTGCTGCATATTGTTTATCCTAAGAAGACAGAAGATGCTCCTTTGGTAAGTTACTAATTTTGTAATTAGTGAAATCTAAAATTAAAATTTTGATTTTGAGCAAATGTCTTCGTTAAATAAATTTTCTAAGTTTTCTTCAACTAACAGATGGTGGCTTTGGTAGAAATTTTAAGAGGACAACCATTATATTAATGTTTAATTCTTGTGGAGTATATGATAGAAATCATCTGGTATCACTGATTGGTCAGTTTTGAAAGTTTTATTGCTTGTTGCTATCTACGTGAAATAGTGCATTTCTGTTGTAATCTCTTGGGCATTAGTTACCATTTCTTATTTCACCCAATGCATATATGTATGATGTCATAGATCTGCAGAAACAGGATAGATAAGATTCACTGGATTCCTTATTCCTTCTTAAATGGGCCAAAGTGTGATTGTTCTCCATGGCACAGGTTTCAGCATTCTGCCACTTTACGAAATGAGTCAAAAATGGGGATTCCTTCTTTTTCCCTTGAGAAACTGCTCCATGGTCCAAAAGATCTCACTGTTTTGGAACTTTTCTTAAACTCATGCCTGAAATTTCCCCGTCATTTAAACTATACTGCTGAAAAGTTGTTCTAAAAATACAACCTGAAGTTCTTGTTGCACTGTTGGAAAACTTACCTAGAAGATGCTAGAGGTGGTTCTGCCAGTATGATGAAAATGATTACAGTTATGATGATTATAAAGATGTATAAGGAAAACTCTCCCTTCCACTTCTATTCCCTATCCCATTTTGCCATTCCAACCTCCTCCCAAATCTCCAACCCAGGTAACTACTGTTACGAATTGTTTGTGTATCTTTACAGATTCTCTTTAAATATACACAAGCAAATACAAGCGTATATTCTCCCCCAACCCTGCTTTAAACAACAACAAAATGGCACATCACACGAAAGACAGCATATGCTATACACACTATTTTACATCCTGCTTTTACAGTCGATGTTGGAGAACTTTCCATATCAATATGTAAAGAGCTTTTTTATTCTTTTTTTTTTATAGCTTAATGGTCCCATTGTATGGATGTACCAAATTTATTTAACCAATCCATGTGAATTAGCTTTTGCTATTGCACATGCTGCTGAAATGAATAACTCTGAACTATGTCATTTTTCATATGGACATTTTTCATAAGAAGTAGAATTACTTATTCAAAGAATATATGGATTTGCAATACTGATCATTCTTTCATAGTTGTCCTCTATGGGGGATGTATTAATTTACATGACCCCGGCATTGCATGGAGATATTGGTTACTTGCAAATTGAATTATCAGTTATAAAATGAAGTATCAAACTTCTGAATATTGGTTAACTAATAGGAGTAAAGGGGAGGTCACTGTAGTGTTTATTAGCTTTTATGAGCAAGATGGAATGTCTTTTTATATGTTTTCAGAAACCGTTCTTATGCTTTGCTAGTTTTTTTGGTGGGGGGGTGTGTGGGGATTCGTTGTTGATTTCTTTTGTTAAGTTCTATTATTTTTTTTAATGCTTTGAAGATTGTTCCTTATCAAAGATGAAATCTGCATGTACTTTTCCAGTTTATTATGTCTATTATTTTGTTTAGTCAAACACTAAATTTATCCTATGTTTGTTCTATATGTTGCCGAACATTTTTGTTTTTTATATAGTTGAAATTATTACTCTTATATAGTTATGCTTTTAGAGTCATAGTTGCAAAGGGTTTTTGCACCTCAGGATTATAAAAAATTAAGTTTAATCCTGTTTGTCTTGTCTTTAATGGTTTTACCTTAAATGAGGACTTTTCTTCCACTGTATATTCTCACTGGTTGTTTGTATGACTTGATTTCTATATTTTAATTTTGTAGCATGCTACCGTATTAAATTCACTTATTGTTTGCAATTCAGTTTATTCTCTTGAATTTTTGAGATATACAATTATATCATCTGTAAGTAATGATGGTTTTACCTCTTCCCTTCCAATTTTATGCTTCTAACTTCTTTTACTAATCTAATTATGTTTGCTAGTATTTCTAGTAAAATGTTAAATAATAGTAGTGTTAGTGGTCACTTTATTGTCTTTTTTTAAAACAGCTTTATTGAGATATACTTGACATATATGTGGCTGTGCGTAAACTATGTTATATGCTTGTTTTTTATTCCTGTGGTGCTTACTTCTTGCCTTCTGTGGGTAAATCACATAATTTTTTTTTTTTTTGAGATGGGGTCTTGTTCTGTCACCCAGGCTGGAATGCAGTGGTGTAACCACGGCTCACTCTAGTCTTAACCTCCCAGGCTCAAGCAATCCTCCCACTTCTGCCTCCTGAGTAGCTGGGACTACAGGTGTGTGCCACCACACCTGGCTAATTTAAATCACATAGTTTTTAATATTCTGTTCTATCTTATTTATTAAAATTTTAGTTATATAGTAGTCCCCCGTTACCTACTTTCTGTGGTTTCAGCTATCCATAGTATAGTATAATAAGATATTGTATTATTGTTAGTCTCTTACTGTGCCTAATTTATAAAATAAAATTAATAATAGGTATGTATATACAGTCATGTGTTGCTTAACGACAGGAGAATGTTCTGAGAAATATGTGTCGTTGCCATTTCATTGTGTGAACGTCCTAGAATATACTTAAACAAACCTAGATGGTCTAGCCTATTGTTCCTAGGTTACAAGTCTGTACGGCATATTACTGTACTGGAGACTGTAGGCAATTGTAACACAATGATACGTATTTGTGTATCTAAACATATCTAAATATAGAAAAGGTACCCTAAAAATGTGGTACTATAATCTTATGAGACTGCCTTCGTATATGTGGTTCATCATTGACCAAAGCATTAAGCAACACATGACTGTAGGGAAAACTATAGTATATATAGGGTTTGGTGTTATCTGAGATTTCAGACATCCACAGGGAGGTCTTGGAATACATCCCCCACAGATGAGACGGGCTACTATGCCATTTTGTGTTATTTTTTAGTGGTTCCTGTGGAGAGTACAATGTGAGTCTTTGGGTTTTTGCAGTCTACTTTCAAACAATATCATATTACTTCCTGGATAATGTAGACGTTACACACTGGAATTCCATTCACCTGTCTCTCACCATTTTGCTCTTGTTGTCTTCTATTTTACTTCTACATATGCTATGAGATTCGTGACATATGCTCAGAAAAAGTCTTTTATATTTACCCAAGTATTTACTCTTATTGGAGTTCTTTTTTCCTTCTTGCAAATCTCATTTCCATTGAGTGTCATTCCTCTTCAGTTAAAGAACTGGTTTCAGCATTTCTAGTACCTCTGGGTAGTTCTGTAGGAGGTAAATTCTTGCAGCTTTTATCTGTCTGAAACATTTATTTATTTCACCATCATGTTTGAATGATATATTCACTGGATATTGAATTTTAGTTTGACAATTTCTTTGTCTTCTTTCTGTATTTAAAGCTGTATTTTTTTGGTTTTTATGGGTGTTTTTTTTTTTGCTTCTTCATGCATCTTGGAATTTTTGATTGTGTCAAGTATTTGATGTAAAAGTACTGTAGAGAATGAAGTAGGGGAGCAGTTGTTTTGGCTTTTTTGGTTTTGAATAAAGTTTTACTTTTGTTTCAGGTGTCCAGAATGGAAGGGTTAAGTCAATCTGATCTTCAGTTGGACTGTGTACGGCTTTTTAAGCTTCAGTTTAATTCAGATGTCTTTAGGCTGGAGTTAGGATTCTCCTTTCAGCATCACTTAAGCTCCAAATGCTGGCGCGTTTCCAGAGATCTCTTTCTGCTTTTCAGCTGAGCCACAGGGAGGTTTTCCTGTGCTTTATAGCACCACTGCTTTTTGGGTCTCTGGCAAGTTCCGTATATTCTCCAGTCATGCTCCTGGCTTTCTGAACCTTGAGAGAGTTCTCTCTGCCCTGCTGCATAGACTAAACCTTACAAATGTAGTTGCCTTACACCCTTTGAAGATTCTGAATGCGTCAGAATATTTTCTCTCAGCCCTTCTGTGCCTCTCTTCCACTCTAACTTTTGGTGGCTGAAATGCCAGAATGCCTCAGATAGGTTTCCATCAGCTTTTCTGCCCCCGACCTCCACCCTCAAACCTATACTATACCCAAGATCTCAGAGCACTTAGCACGGACTTCCTTTAGTTCTGCTGCCTTGCAACCCTCCTTAAGAGAGCTGGCTTAAAATTGGGAAAGGTCTCACATGACCCAGGGGGCATCTCTCTTAGCTCTTTTACCATGCTCTGAGCACTCAATGATGAACTATAGGAAAAAGCATTGGCTGGTTGACCCTATTACCTCACTCTGGCTCAGGCTCCTTGAGATCCTAATCTATTGTGCCAGGTCTAATGCAGCCCTTAAAAGTTTGCCAGAAGTTTGGCTGGTTTCTTCTTACTTAGATCTGTGGAGGTTTCCCCCACTCCACCACGAATGAGAACAGCTGTGGCTCTCTTCTCTTTAAGAAAAAGGTTCATGATGTTCTGGAATGTAGTTTCTTTAGGTGTCTTTGTGTCATCAGCTTTCTGATAGGTTTTCAAAACTATGATTTTGTGGCTTCTCCAGCTTGTATTTGTTAAGGTGCAAACAATAAGTCTATTGTGATTTTCTATATCCTTTGGGAAGCAGAAGTCCTGTGTTATTCTTTACATAGCCCTGCCTCTTCTGCTTCTCTGAACAAACCGTTTCTAGGAGGCGCTTCTGCCAGCAACCAGCTTAAACCTGTTCTCACGTTTGTTGTTTCAAACAAAGGAAATAGATTTTGTGCTTCTGAATAAGTCCCTCATCTTTACGAAGTGTATTTTGGCTGGTGCTTCTCAAGCTTATCTATTGCTGAGCACTCTTTATTTTTCATGCTCTTTGTCACCTTCACCAAGTGGCTTGTGCATGATCTCATTGGCTTTTGGATACCTCTCCACATATTTTGGAGTCTGTGAATAATATCTATTTTATAGTTTTGCCAGAAATAGAGAATTCAGGGTATATTTGTTCTTGTTTTTCATCCATCTATTCTATTCAAGGGGGTAGGAGAGACAAAAGTGATGACTTCAAGGGAACCTGTTAACTTATGAAGCTGTGTTCATATTGTGAGTCCCACTTAATATGACAACCAAGTATGCATTTTTATTTCCTCTAAGCAGATGTGTAGACTGGGTCTAAGAATGGTTAGACACCCTTTCTGCACCCACGCAGGTAATAAATAGCAAAACTGGAATTTGAATTATTGTTTAATTCATACTACTAAATCATGTGCTGATAATGAAGTGCGTTATCTTTGAAGTTTTTATGTTTTTTACTGTCTGAATTCTTCAGAGTTCGGGATAAAATATACAAGTACTTTCTCCTGTAGGGACAGAGCCAAAGGGTGAATGGGAACGTAAATCCTCAGAAAACACTGATGGCTCAAAGCAGAGAAAATCAAGCTCAGATGCAAGCAAATAATGTCAAAAGCAAAAAGACCAAAATTGGGAGACAAACGTGAGTCACAAGAGCCAAGAAGAACTGGAATAGAGTAGCCATCTGGTCTTTTTAGTCAGGAGAGGTTGGGTCATAACTGGGATTGGGTCTAAAGTGACTGTGTTGGACATGAGTATTTGAGGCCACATTAAAATAAAGAGCTCAGAGGCAAACACAGTTTTGTATGCTAGAGGATAAACTTGCTGGCATTCTCAATAATAATTGTTATAATCAGAGTAGTTGTTTTTAATTCCTAGTATGTGCTAAGCACTATAATTGCTGTTTTATTAACTTTATCTTAGCTAGACCTGAAGTCCATATGAGTTCTTAATCACCGCTTAAAAGACAAAGCTGGAATTTGAACCCAGGCTCATCAGTTGCCCAAATCCGAGGCCTTTCTACTTTATAATATTGTTTCTTCTAAAGGCAAGAAAATACCAGCCAAGAAAACAAATTTAAAGGAGTGGTAGAAAGTAGCCCCAAAACTCAATTAAAAATTAAGGTGCATTTACAATGTGAAATATAATTAGAGCAAAAATAAGAAAAAGAAAAAAGAATGACCTCTTCCAGTTTACATATCAGGCGTTAAGATTGAATGCCCTGTGGTTCATGTGAGACTCTGGAAGAGTTTACTAATGTTCATCTCTGGGTCTAACTGGGGCTACCATGCCCAAAGATAATTCAGAGAAAATTCTGGGGAGTGCCTGTCAGAGGAGTTGGAAAATTAGATGGATGAAGAAAAGTCCTGGGATCATTTTCCCTGGTTGGAGAGTTGTAGAGTTGTTAAGAGTCCTCACGTCTGTGAAGAGCTATTATGCCAAATATGGTCAGCAGCTGTTTATTGATCTCTACTGCATGTGCAACTGCAGAACATAGGTTTAAGTTTAATTTGGAAAAATCATTCCTGCCAGTAACCAGTGATGGTTGGTAAGCTTCTTTGTGAAAGGTAAGGGACCTCCTTCCTGAGGTCTTTTTAAGATACATTCAGTGTAAGATGCTGTGAGGGAGCAAGGCACCCTAAAGGACCTCTCAAGGTCCCTTCTAGCCCTAAGGTCCCATTATTATTGCATATTTATAGAACGCCAAAATCTTCTGTGTTCTTTGCAAGGACTAGAATTACATTCAATCCCTGTCCAGTGCTATCACAGTCAAAATTAGACAGATCAGCAATATCTTAGTTGCCAAATCGAGTTAAAGTTTACTGGGCACATGTCTACCTGAAAGTGTGTATTCTCTTCAAGAACATTTGACAATGACCTAAGAGCACGGTAAAAGATCTTTGGTTAGTGCTGAAGCATTCCAGTGAGATTTGCATTAAGTTCCTCTAGGCATTTTTGTATAAACATCAATCTGGCATTTATTCTTATCTGTTAAGCAATCTAATTTAGAATTGTTGTCCCAAAAACTTTTTATTTAGAATAAAGTGGACCTGGTGTGGTGGCTTATGGAAGTAATCCCAGCATTTCGGGAGGCTGAGATGGGGGATTGCTTGAGGCCAGGAGTTCAAAACCAGCCTGGGCAACATAGCAAGACCCCATCTCTAAAAAAATAATTAAAAAGTTAGCAGATTGTAGCAGCATGCACCTGTAGTACCAGCTACTCAGGAGGCTGAGGTGGAAGGATTGGTTGAGACTGGAAGGTTGTGGCTTCGGTGAGCTATGACTGTGCCACTGGTCTCCAGCATGGACGACAGTGAGGCTTTGACTCAAAAAAACCACCACCACCACCACCACCACAAAAACAATTATAGTTAAACGAAAGAGAAAAAGAATTCATACTTCATTGCCAAATAGTTTTAAATGCTATGGAATACTCTTTTATTTTGAACTGATAACTTTGAACTTCTCTGACCATGGATGATTTGGAATCCATACTAATTGGTGAAATAAAAAATAAAAGTATGTTGCTAATTTAAAACTGTAAAATAAAGTCTCATATTTTATTGCTAAAAAAGGAAAACACCATCATATGGGATAAAAGTTTAAATTGCCTGAATTTGAAAGGAATCATGGTCTTATGTTTTTGTTTAACATTAGCTATCATTTCTTCAAGGATTTATTTGATATTCACTAATCTCAGACATTAGTTACTTGTTGAAAATTAGCTTACCAGGGACCTTTGCCCCCTTTTTTGCTAATCTTTTCATTTTTAGATCATTTTAAGCTTTGTATTTGAAAATAATCTCAAACTTGCTGAAAAGTACAAAGTAGTACAAAGAAGAACATACACTCTCTACCGGGGTTTACCTTTTGTTAGCGTTTTGCTCCATTTGCTTATTTATTTATTTAATCTGTACAAATGTATGGGATACATGTGAGGTTTTTTTTTTTTTTTCTTTTTCAGAGTCTTGCTCTGTCACCAGGCTGGAGTGCAGTGGCATGATCTCGGCTCACTGCAACCTCCGCCTCCTGGGTTCAAGTGATTCCCCTGCCTCAGCCTCCCAAGTAGCTGGGACTACAGGCGTGTACCACCACGCCCAGCTGATTTTTTGTATTTTAGTAGAAACAGGGTTTCACCATGTTGGCCAAGGATGGTCTAGATCTCCAACCTCATGATCTGCCCACCTCGGCCTCCCAAAGTGCTGGGATTACAGGCATGAGCCACCGTGCCTGGCTCATGTGAGATTTTTTACATATTTGTATAATGCATAGTGTTCAATTCAGGTTATTTACGGTGCTACCACCCAAGTTAAGTATATTCACTCTACTCTGCTGTCAGATGTTGAATTTGTTCCATCTTACTGAATGTTTGCACCCTTTAACCTGCTTCTCTTCATCCTCCCTCCTCCTCCTCCTAATTCAACTTTCCCAGACCCTGTTACCTATATTTCCACCGTCTACCTCCATGTGATCAAATTTTTTAGTTCCCACATATAAGTGAGAACATGTAATATTTGTCTTTTTGTGCCTGGCTTACTTTGCTTTAGAGAACCACCTCCAGTTCCATCCTGTTGCTGCAGATGACATATTTTCAATTGTTTTATGCCTGGATAGGATTTCATTCTGTATATGTACCACATTTTCTTTATCCATTCATTTGTTGATGAACACTTAGGTTGATGCCATATCTTTGCTTGTGAGTAGTGCTACAATAAACATGCTAGTGCAGGTATCTCTTTGATATATTGATTTCTTTTCCTTTGGGTAGATACTCCGTAGTGGGATTGCTGGATCGAATGGTACTTCTATTTTTAGTTTGTTGAGAAATCTCCATACTGTTTTTCACAGTGGCTGTACTGGTTTACATTCCCACCAACACTGTTCACTTTTCTCAGCATCCTCACCAACATCTGTTACCTTTCATTCATAATAGCCATTCTGACTAGGGTAAGAGAATATTTCATTGTGGTTTTGATTTGCATTTCTTTGATAATTTGTTATATCGAGCATTTTTTCATATACCTGTTGGCTATTTGTGTATCTTCTTTTGAGAATATCTATTCATATACTTTGCCCACTTTCAAATGGGGCTATTTGTTTTTTCCTGTAGAATTGTTTGAGTTCCTTATATATTCTGAATATTAGTCACCTGTTGGATGAATAGTTTGTGTTTTCTCTCATTCAACAGGTTTTCTCTTCACTCTGTTGATTATTTCTTTTGCTGTGCAGAAGCTTTTTAGCTTAATTAAGTCCCATTTGTCTATTTTTGGTTTATTACCTATGCTTTTGAGATCTTGTCATACATTCTTTGTCTAAACCGATGTCCCCAATAATTTTCCATAGGTTTTCTTCTAGTATTTTCATAGTTTGGAGTCTTGTGTTTAGGTCCTTAATCCACTTTGAATTCGTTTTGTATATGGTGAGAGATAGGGGTACAGTTTCATTCTTCTACATATGGATAGCTGATGTTCCCAGCACCATTTATTGAAGAGCAAGTCCTTTCTCCAGTGTAAGTTCTTGTGGGCTTTGTTGAAGATCAGTTGGCTGTGAATATGTCTTTATTTCTCAGTTCTCTTGTTCCATTGGTCCATGTGTCCAGTTTTATACCAATATCATGTTGTTTTGATTACTATAGCCTTGTAAGATATTTTAAAGTCAGATAATGTAATGCCTCTAGCTCTGTTCATTTTGCTCAGGATTGCTTTGGAGATTTGGATTCATTTTTGGTTCCATATAATTTTAAGATTTTTTTTTAAATTCTGTGAAGACTGATTGATGGTATTTTGATAGAGATTGCATTGAATCTGTAGATTGCTTTGGGCAGTGTGGACATTTTCACAGTATTAATTCTTCTAGTCCGTGAACACAGGATATCTTTTCATGTATTTGTGTTTTCTTCAAATTCTTTCATCAGTATTTTATAGTTTTCAGTATACAAGTTTTTTACTTCCTTGGTTACATTTATACCCAAGTGTTTAATTTTTTGTTGCTATTGCAAATGGAATTGTTTTACGAATTTCCTTTTTGTATTAGCTTGTTATTAGTATATAGAAACACTATTGATTTTTGTATGTTGATTTTATATACTGCAACTTTACTGAATTTATTTATCAGTTTTAACAGTTTTTTGGTGGCATCTTTAGGGTTTTCTATATATAAGGTTATGTCATCAGTAAATAGAGATAAGTTTACTTCTTCCTTTTCTGTTAGGATTCCTTTAATTGTTGTCTCTTGCCTAATTGCTGTGGCTAGGACTTAAGTACTATGTTGAAAAGAAGGGGTGAGAGTGGGCATCTTTGTCTTATCCCGGATCTTAAAGGAAGAGCATTTAACATTTCACCATGGAGAATTATTTTAGCTATGGGTTTTATATTTATAGACTTTATTGTGTTTAGGTATATTCCCTGTATACCTAATCTGTTGAGGTTTTTTTATTATGAAAAGGTGTTGAATTTTGTCAGATGTTTTCTGTGCATTCATTGAGATGATCATATTATTTTTATTCATTTTGTTAATATGTTGTATCACATTTATTGATTTGCATATATTGAACCATCCTTGTATCTCTGGAATAAATCTCACTTGATCATGGTGAATGATTCCTTTAATGTATTCTGGAATTCAGTTTGCTTATATTTTTATTAGAGATATTGATGTATATATTTTTTCCCTGTAGTGTCCTTGTCTGGCTTTAATATCAGGATAATGCTAGGCTCATAAAATACATTTGGAAATATTCTCTCTACTCCACATTTTTGGAAGAGTTCGAGAAGAATTGGCATCAGTTCTTCTTTAAATGTTTGGTAGAATTCAGCAGTGAAAGCTGTCGGTCCTGGAATTTTCTTTGTTGGGAGACTTTTTATTACTTATTCAATCTTCTTACTTGTTATTTTTCTGTTTGGATTTTCTATTCCTTCCTACTTCAGTCTTGGTAGGCTATATGTGCCTAGGAATTTATCCATTTCTTCTATTATCCAATTTGTTGGCATATAATTGTTCATAGTAGTTTCTTATGATCCTTTGTATTTCAGTTGTAATGTCTCCTCTTTCATTCTAATTTTATTTACCTGAGTAGTCTCTCCTTTTTTTCTAGCTAGTCTTTAGCTAGGGTTGTTTATTTTGTTTATCTTTTCATAATATCAACTCTTGGTATCATTGATTTTTTTCTATTGTTTTTCTAGTCTCTTTTTTATTTATTTATGCCTTGATCTTTGTTATTTCATTCTTCTGCTAACTTTGCGCTTAGTTTATTTTTGTTCTTCTAGTTTCTTGAACTGTAACAGTAGATGGTTTATCTGTTATTTTCTTTTTTGATATAGACATTCATTGCTATAAACTCCCCTCTTAGGACTGCTTTTGCTGCATCCCATAAGTATTGGTATGTTGTTTCTTGTTTTTAAAGTAATATAATTTTATAACTTCCTTTGAAGTAAAAATGTTTTACTGTCAGATAGCTCTACTATTTAACAAAATGTAGCGGTAACTTGAAGCATTATATTTCACCTTGCCTTTGTCCTGTTACCTATTTTAACTACCAATAATGAGGTCCTTTTCATGCCTGTATATGGAGTATATCGTTTTTTGCAGTTGTTCTTTGGTAAAGTCTTG
This sequence comes from Homo sapiens, assembly GCF_000001405.40. Lineage (NCBI taxonomy): Eukaryota > Metazoa > Chordata > Mammalia > Primates > Hominidae > Homo > Homo sapiens. The sequence continues at coordinate 112,514,914 of NC_000010.11, forward strand.
AGTCTTGACATAAGTCCCTGTTGCTGTAACGTGTAATGCTACAGGTTTACCAAGTGACATATTACAGAATTTTGCAAGCACTAAATTCTTATCTAATTTTAATATAAGAAAACATTTAAAAAATGTAAATATTTACATTTGAAAAATTGAATTAATTAGATTTGTTTAGAAAATTACATGGGTTCAAGTGAAGTTTTTGACCCTTACTTATTTTCTGTTTCAGCTTGATGCAGAGTCATAGGGCCAAATTTACATATTTGTTTGTTTCTCTTAAAGTAGTTTATGATTCCACAAGTCCAAGACTGGTTTTCACTGAAGGATTAGCTATAAAAGATCAGAATGAAGATATGGCTTATAGAAAGGGAACAGGATTCAACTCAAATAAACATAATGGAGGAAATTAATTTTTTTAGATATTGATGAGTAGACATATTATTTTCAATTGTGAAAATTATATTATTTTTTATTGATTTAATTATCAATTATCAATATCTTTAGTGTTTGATGTTAACATCAACTTTGAATAGATCAACTCTGAATATTCTTCCAGATAGCCTGAGATATAGTGTAACTGTGGTGAGGTCAATTTACTAGTTTTTGCTTGTTCTTTATGGATATTGAAGACATAGAGCCAGAATCAATTTAGGCCTAAGGAGAATTATGGTCTCACTCCTCAAATTGACTGTTTTGTGGGCAGAGGCACTACCTGCATTCCTGGAGGGACCATAGATCAGAGAACAGATTCAAAATGCAACATAATGTCACCTTCATCTAGCCACTGAATTTTGACTTGGAACTTCATTAGGCAGCCTCATTCTCCTCAGATAACAATTAATTCCTTTTTGTTTGTGGCTTTTTTTTGGTATGTTTATTAGTATTAGGCATACTATGTGCTTGGTTTATATTAGACTACAGCCAGAAAAACTATACAGAATTAGTTCCAAGAACATTTTTCTTCCTATAGCACCCACATACAAGATGTGCGATCTATAGTAATTCTTATTCATTTGAAATGCAGCAATTTGTTCCTGTCACTAGAGGATAGGATTGTTGTTTTAAATTGCTGTGTTTTGTTTTTGTTGGCATGTTCCCCAATACAAATTGAGTGGCTGACAAAAATCTATTTGTATGACAGTTCAATCTAGATAAGTGCCCTCTGTTGCCTAACAGTACAATTTGGGGTCTCAGAGATAAAAGCAAACTGAATGCCAGGCTTGTAGCGGAGCTTCTTGTGCAGATAACAGAGGTAATCCATATTCCTCAGGTCCACAAATCAGACAAACAAAGAAGAAATATGCATGCACATCATCTCATTTGAAATGGTGGTCTTTTAGTTTCTACATAATAAAAAATGGCAATATCTAACTCATGAGAACAATAAAACAACAGATATGAGATATGCCTATATTTGAAATTAAAGAAAAATGTGGTATTGACTTATAAAGTTGGAGAGTGGTCTGTTGCTTACCATTTTCCCATAGTATATTGGCTTTTGTTGAATATATTTGCTTTCTATTTTAATATTTCTATCCTGAAATAAGTTATATTTTTAGACAATTATTCATTTATAGCTTTGATATTCTGTTAGAAAAGGTATCTCCTTTTCTGCCCAAAATGAGGAGCTGAGACTTTGGACCTATTGGCTTACCTCTGCCAAAAACATGTCAGTCTTTCCATCCAAATATCTCCCAAATATAATTCATATATAAAAAGAAGGATGAGAAATATATGTTAATAACAGTTATAAAGAAAGAATGGGGACTAATGCATAAGATAACAAACATACTGGAAATAGAGCCAAGGGCCCCAGTTGTAGATATTCTGAAAAATAAGGGTTTAATTCATAGGGCCTGCTGATTGATTGGATTTGTGTAATGAAGGAGAGAGTGGGATAATTTTTAGGTTTTTATCTAAGAATACCATGTGCATGGTTATACTATCCATCATTAGGGAAAACAGGAGGTGGAGCATGCGGTAGGAGAAAGATAATATTCTACTTTGTCTGTGTTAAGCCTGAGATGCCTTTATATTATTTAAGGTACTCAATAGGAATTGGATTTGTAGTGGAATATGCAGAAAACATCTTTGCCAGCTCCTAGGTGATAGTTTGAACAATAGGTATGAATGAGATCACTCAGATGAGTGAGAAGTGGGCTAAGGACGGAGACCTAGGGGAACACCAGCATTCATGGGCAGATCGTGAGAGAAGTTACAATGAAGGAGACTAAGAAGGAGAGACTGAGAAAGAGAAGCACAATTCCTCCAAGGATAGGAGGAATTCAAAGGGAGTGTGGTGCTGAATCTGTTAAGGAGAAAGTGGGCAACAGTGTCAGGTACTATCAAGAGGTCAGACCTGAAAAAGGACTCAAAAGTGGCCATTGCAGCTAAAATTGGCACAATCTGAGCAACAAAAGAAATGAAGTAGTATTGGACGATAACCCAGAATATAATAAATAGCCATGATGCCAGACTGATATAAATAGATGATTGAGTAATGATTGAATAGACAAATCTCCTATGCAATAGAATGCCAAATAATTTATGTAGATACTCCGCCCTCAAGGGGGTGGAGCCTAATTCCCAACTCCTTACCTGTGAGCTAATGCATAGTGAGTACAACATGAAAAGAGGAAAAGGGTAACGTTACAGTGAATAAACTTGATAAACACTACCTCAGCCAAGTAATCAAGGTCAGCATCAACAGTGATGAGTCATGCTGATCGTATGTAGCTTCGATATGATCTGATCAAAGTGGCACTTTACTTCTGTGATCTCCCTCCGGAAAATATATGACTCCAATCTAGTCATGAGAAAAATATCAGGCAAATCCTAATTGAGGCACATTTTACAAAATACCTGAGCACCACTCCTCAGAACTGTCAAGGTCATCAAAAACAAATAAGTCTGAGAAACTACTACAGCCTAAGAAGTCATGACTACTAAATATAATGTGGAGTCTTGGATGGGATCCTGGAATACAAAATGAACGTTAGGTAAAAGCTAAGGAAATCTGAAAAAAAGGATGACTTTAATTAATAATAATGAATAATTTATTAATTGTGACAAACTGGGTGTGGGTTATATGGGAACTCTCTGCACTGTTGTTGTAAACTTTTTATAAATCTTAAACAATCATAAAATAAAAATTTCATTTATAAAACATGGCCAATAATTTTGACAACTAGGAAGTCATTGGTGATCTTTGGAAGACCTGCAGAGTGGTAGGAAGAAATCCAGTTTATAATAAGCTGAGAAATGACTGAGACATGAATAAATGGAGTTATTGCATGTAAAATAGTCTATTAACCCATTTATGCTGGAGGTTGCAAACTTTTTTCGTGAACAATCAGACCTTTGTGATGACCTTGAGCGGTAGGATATAAATAACTCCCACAAGCTTAGCGTTCCAATAATGGAACACTGGACATAAATGGGTTAAGAAGCTTGGCTAGGAAGGGAAGCATAAAGAGAGGATGGCATTTGCTGGGGGAGAGTAATGTAGAATGAAATAACTGCCAGGTGCTGTGGCTTATACCTGTAACCCCAGCACTTTGGGAGGCAGAGATAGGAGGATTGCTTAAGCCCAAGGAGTTCAAGGCCAGCCTGGGCAGCATGGTGAGACCTCATATCTCTTTCTCTCTCTCTCTCTCTCTCTCTCTCTCTCTCTCTCTCTCTCTATATATATATATATATATATATGTGTGTGTGTGTATGTGTATATATATGTGTATATACGTGTATATATATATATATATACACACACACACACATAACTTTTTAAAATGTGTAAAGCTGGGATACACTTAAAAGTGTTGATATACCTACCATAAAGGAAAGAACCAGTAGAGGGTGAAACATTGAAGATACTCAAGAAAACATTTAATTGATGAAGCGAAACATCTGAGTAGGCAAGATTTTATTTTATTCAACTGAAAATGGAGAATCTTTCAGGAAGAATATGTTATTTATGAATGAGGTATGAAGTTTCATATTCATTATATTTTGTTTTGGGTCACCCTAGTATAGAAGTAACCGTCAAAATGTTTTCATAGAAAATTTGGACTAAATTAATTTTCTTATATTGCCTAAACATCATAGTTTTATTGGCTATATCCATAAAACATTAAAAGACATTGTATATCTCTGAATTATGAACCCTATAACCTCACTATAACACAGCATAGTCTATAATAAAGAAACTGTCGCAACATGGGTCCAAAAGTAAGTACCAGGAAAATAGGTTATAAAAATTGTTTGCCTATGAGATGGCTGATTCCAATCTAGAATTTTGAAGTAACCAGGAGTTACCAGATTTTCTGAGTAAGCAAGCAGTTCTGAACACATCTTAATAGCTGGTGCGGCTCCTCTCTGAGCCATAGGTAGGCTATTGTTGCTTTATGGTACAGCCTTTGAAGATTAATCTTGAAACTTGTCTAAATAACACCCATAGGTGTGGTTATGACTCACCCTCTGAGATCAGATGCTTTATTCTATCAAATAAAACAGTTTACCTTAAGCATTTATCACCCTCGATCTTGATTGGTGTCCAATATTCTAGCTATTGATAGCAAAGAATAAAGGTTTGTTTGTTTGTTTTTAGAGAAGGGTGACCAGAAACAAAACCTTTAGACTAATTAGCTGATGATAAGTTGATAGAACTAGGTGAATCGTTCATCCAACCATGGCTTTGGAGAATGAAGGTAGGGGGACTCCAGCCTGTTGTGGCGGTGTAATAAAGTGAAAAGAACACTGGCATTGAGGAATGGGGTTCTGTCCTTGTTCTGCCTCATCTTTCCTAGCTCCGTGGCCTTGGATAGATCATTCATCTGGCTTAGAACCCCTTGTTTTTAAATTTGCAGCCTGATCTAGATGAAACCTCATGCGATAACTTAGGGTCAGTTACGGAGAATCCTCAGGATAACTTGTTCTTGGATGTTTAGATCACTTGAAACTGTGACTATGGACAGATTTTCAATGAATGACCCCTTTTCCTTCCCAATGCTAGGCAGATGATATAGAGAAACTAGCATTATAGGAATTAATTGTATACACTTATATACTTTGTTGCAGTAGTTTATTTTAAAATACAAATGAAGCATCTATTGCAAAACATTTATTTATCAGAGTAACATTTTCCAGTGGGGTGTATAGTGTATTTATAAATCATTAACAAAGAAAATAATAAACATTTTGATATTTTGATTATTTCAAGTAGAGTCTATGGAGTTATTTTATTTTACGTATCAAAAGACTTTAAAGGATGAGATTTCCTCCACTGCATACTTACACTATTCCAGATGCTGACAACAACATCTGGGCATTCTATCATGAGCTGATTTTCTGAATGAAGTAATTTAATTGTTGATTGACAAGCTAACATGATTTAAGACACAGCCACACCGTATTCAATAGCAGTGTCAAAAGTCATAAACTGCAAGCATATGCAAGCAAGTGGGGCCATGATACTAACTTATGTTGCCTTTTGAAACATTCATGCTAAATTTAAATTACAGGCTAAAGTTTAGAAATGCTGGAAGAGGAAATGAAGAACTGCAGTTACATAATTTCTGGGATCTCTGTTTTGCAAATCATTAAATGATACAGCAGCAATATGGGCAGAGTTCCTAATATAAATAAAAGTCTGTTGTAGCATTGTAAACATAGTTATTATTCCATATGGATTGCAAATGGGTTTTTTAGTCTCTATATGTGTGTGTGTGTGTGTGTGTGTGTGTATATATATATATATATATATATATAAAACCTCATGATATGCATATAAATATTCACATATGATATTATAGCTAAATTTTAAAAAGTAATTTAGGGGAAATGTGGTATAATTTATCTTATTGTTTATAGCCAAAACATAAATATCCATTCTGAACATGGAAAATGTGTTTGAAAGTATAAGCAAAAATAATAAATGAGAGTGATTACAATAAAAAGACAAAATTTTTTAAAACTAATTTTTAATTTTTTTTCTGGTGTTGCATACTAAAGAACAATGGATTATTTTGGCAGTCTCATGGTAACCTACTTTCCAGCTCTGTTGGTAGCCTTGCAGCAGGGTATGTTAGTATTTTTTCTCTGGTGGCTTGCATATGGTCCATTGCCCATGAGTTTATGATAGACACAAAGTGTGCTTTCCCTTTATTAATGCTACAGTATTGGTGACATGTGGCATGTGCACCTTCCAGCGAATGAGCTTGACCTTTAACTCTAAACAGTCCCTTGAGCAAGAGCAAGCCATACTTAGAGGAATGACTACATAGAAGAAACAGATTGGAACTTACTTTCTCTGATAGCATTAAAGAAATGCAGTAAAATTTTTTACTATTGGAAGCCATCCAAAAATTACACCACCATAAAATAAGGAATTGGGCAAAACAGTATGGTGGAATTACAGGATCTAAATAATACAGATTTTTAAAGCCATTTTTGGTATGTATTAGCAAATGATTTTTTAAGAAGGATGCATAATTTATACTTTCAGCCATGTATGCCTACTAGTTTTATTGCATCCTTTCCAGTATTATCAACTACAATTTAGTTGAACATGCTCTGGAGGTCATCATATACAAGGTGTTAGGGTAGGTTTGCATTTGTTTATAACATTTAAATCTTCACAACAGCCCTAGGAAATAAATACTATACCATTATTTTAGAGATGAAGAAACTGATGCTCAGAAAACTTAATTTGACCAAGATCACATACTGAAATGCTCTCTCTGTTCTTTTCATTTAGTACCCTGTGCTTTTCCATCCATCCTAACAATGTTCCAGGGATCAAACATATATCTAACAGTTTTCTTTACCTTTACCTAAGCCATGTAGTATGATACATGTTTTAACCTTAAATTGCTTTTTGCTAGAAATTAATACAACATGGAGAACACTGTGATAAACAAAAATTCATAAGTTCCATTTATTTTTTTTCTGGACTGTGTAAGCTTTCTGTCCTGGATTGATGAGCCTTTTTGAGTCCTGGTGCAGGGGTGGTGTGTGGCTGAAAAGCTGAAATTGTCCATGAGAAATAGAAGTGAGGCTAAAAATGGAACACTTGGTGCCAAAGATAGATGCATTTTAGAAAATGCCATCTGGGCATTACAGAAGTATGATATTATTTAATTAGAACCAGATAAAATTAGTTAAGAAATGAGTGCCAGCAATTATATGACTAACTAATCAATATAATTTCATGGTTTTCTGTAGATATCCCAAAGTGTTAATTATAACAGGAGCAGTTAAATTCTTTGGAGCAGTTAAATTCTTTGGCTATGAAAGCATGCAATTTTTAATAGATGTATCACCTGGTAACCTTGGGCATTATTAAATATATGGAGACTGAAAGACATGTAGAAGCAATGGAAAAGTCTGGCCAGACTGGGTAATTTGTTTTAGACCTATGGAGAAATCTATTAACCAATTCTTCTATAGACCCATTTGATTAGGAAGTAGGACAAGCTGTTCTTTCATTACTTACCAAAACCATACTGCACTCTGTATCAATTATTTGGCTGTCTGCAGCACATAGATTAGAATAAAGGGCTTGCTTAGTGTTTGTGAATGTTGCGGATTGCTGATTAGTAATTAAAGTGCTGAATGAAGAAAATTAGGCCAAAATCGAATGGGAATGAGAACGTCTTAATTCTGTGATACAGATGTTAGAAACAGATTGTCTTCAGCAGCCCCATTCAATGTACTGACATTCTACGTAGCCATCGAATATTTGCATCCCATGTAAAACTCAAGTCGAATGCCTTTTGAGATGGTTTCCTCTCCTATGCCTTGTGATGTAGCTGTGTGGGTATTAATTTAGTGAAATATCCTGTCTGCCAGGTGTGGGAACTAGCTGATTTTATTGTAATACCAGATCATTACTTAATTCATATGCAACAGAATACAGCACATGGAAAGCATTATAAATCTATTTACAATGTGGCTGGTCTGATGATAACATTGTATTAAATTCCCAGGTGAGGCAATTTAAGCAATTGCTTTGCCATGTGCACGCCATGGAAATTAAATTCTCATATACGCTTTAGTAATAAACCAACTTCATTGTTATGCTTTTGCTAGTTCTGGGCTGTAGAATCCTCATTCTGGTTACGTATACTCTATTTCACATGTAGAATCATACAGGAGGCGGTACCACAGATCACAGTTTTTAATTAGTTTAAGCTAAGTTAATTCGTTTTGTTTCTAATTTAGCAGTGCCTGTCCAGGAACACATTCAGTTCAGTTGGGAAATGTCAAGGCTTGGGTCAAGTAGAAAGATTGTTTCAAGCCAAATTTCCAGACAGAACTAAGCAAGTGTATCTGTTTGAACTTGGCTTTAAGAAAATCAGCCAATCAGTATGCAAAGGACCTGTTCATATACCAAGTAAAAATCGAAAATCGCCTTGAATCCGAAATTCTCGCATTCATAACTCACTTGTGTCATCAGTTTAAAATAGCCATTGAAACTTGTGCATCTAACTTCTTAGAGGTAACAATCAGTTGTTTATTTGTCATATTTTTTTCTATAGTTCATATACGATCTGTAGATTTTCTTTCTAACCATGTAGTCTACCAAAGTATGTAAGTTAGAAGAAGTAAACTTTACACAAACACACAATTAAAAGTGAGGAGTACTCTTGTATTTAACTCTGTGTATGTTGTGTGTGTGTGGGTGGCGGGGGGAGGCAAGTATTGTCAGCTGAAGCTTTTCTACTCTTATGGTACAGACCAGAAATTGCAGTAGATTACAAACTGCATAGAGCTTCTGTCTTCTCCAGAAGCCACATATAAAGCACCAGTAGACAGTGGTAACTGACAACTAAGACTAAAAATGTTGACAATTTCTTGATTTGCCTGGTTAGCTTATGTATAGAAGTCATTAACTATTTATAAAATGCATTATGAATTGGGTTCCTTCAAACTGTAGCTGAATGTGTGACATTTCCAGCTCAAATTCTCATGTTTGCATTTGGCTAAAGTACGAATTTTATACCGTTGATAATAAAGAAAAAATATTTTAGTGAAGTTTATCAAGATACAGTAAATGCTTCAGTTTTATTAACTTTGAATCTTCCAAATTAAATTATTGTGTAGGTACTTATTAATGTAGCATGGGTTTTTTTTTAATTCCATAAAAGGTAACATAACTTATTGATGTTTTAGAGGAAAATTATCCATAAAATAAGCAGTTTGTCATTCAAAGGATTTTCCCCCTTTTTTGGTATTCAGTTAGTTTAATGATGATCTTGCAGGCTAAGTTATGGTTGGGTACAATCAGCTTACTGAAAATTTTAAGTCGTGAAAAATTATGAGAAAATACCAATGTTGGGCATCTAAATATAATTAGTTTTTTTTAATAGTCTTGATTTGTTTTGTTTGGAAAATGAAACTCACATATAAAGAGTTCAGTTTTCAGCATTGTTGTGTCGTGCTCATGAGGAACTGTTTCTGATATTTGAAATGAGTCGTCTTTTCATTCTTTAGGAAAAGTCAGTCCTGTCAGAGAACACTTGGTTACACTCAGCATATCATTTACTTAATTATATCCAGAAAGCCATCCAAACAACCAGTTTTTACCATCCCAATGGTGAAGAATGACATTTATAGGGACCACCCTTCAACTGTGGATAAAGCCTTAGTTCTCCTCTGTTGCTGAGCATGTACACTCTTAATTGCTGGTTTTTAAAAGCGGTGGATTCTAACCAAAACAAGATTCGATATTTAGGGATACACATTTATAATTTTCTCCTTTTGAAGTATAGTAAATCAAAATAAGAGTATAATGTAATTGAACAATCTATGCCAATTTGTTGGTATTTTGGTGAAAAAAGGGAAAAACAAAAGCAATCTCCATATGATCCTCTTGCATACTGTGGAATGTTTTAGTCCCCCATAGTGATGAGATGAATAATTAAAAAGGCAGCTCTGATACCACAGCCTGTTTAAAGGTTCTCATTTCCTTTAATGCAGTAAAATACTTTTGCTTAGCTAGTTTGAAACTACTGTAGTAGGAACTCCAAATGAGCAAAGGCAAGCTTTGGCTTGATCTAAATATTGTATTAAGGCCATGAAGTGGACTGCCCTGATAATTTAGCATTTTTAAGTGCAATTCTGTATGAAGTCAATAGAAATAGCTAATTAATAATGGCTTCAGTAAATACAATAAGAGAACCAGGCTTAATATATGCTGTGTGCGATGGTCAAAAGTCTGGCATGTTCACAAATGACTGAGTTGGGTCACTACTGAATTGTCGAGCGATCTGATGTAGATATCTTTACTGACTTCATGCTGAGGACTTGACTTCTTTACTCTGTCCTCCTCTCTGCAACGTTGTTGATTTTATTTATCTACTTAGAGACTTACTGCAGAAGTCAAGGTATAAGATATGCATTTGTGCAGCGAAATGGGGTTTAGGGTGGAGACTCAGGGCGGGGAGTGGATGCCACTGTCTCCTTAATATCAAAACATTTTGCAATTCTTGTGCCTTTTTCCTGAGTCACTCTAAAGGTAATAGAATGAAGAGGAACTTTTGTGTGGTAGAATGAGCACTGAGCTGTGAGTCAGGACCCCAGTGTTCCAGTGTCAGTTTAACCAGAGCTACCTTTAGAATTCCATGAAACTTACTTTTTTCCCTAAAAAGCAAAGGAATGTCTAGGTTTATTTATTTTTATTTCTATTCAGCCTTTTCAACTGGGTTCTGCCAGAGACTTAAGACTTGTCTTCAAATATATGTAATGAACTAAATTTTTTTCTTATGTACCATCCTTGGGAGAATTGATAAACATAGTTACTGAAATAATTTTCTGTGTTTTGTGGTTAAGATAATTGGGAAAAGTTGTAACTTCAGAATGATTTAAAGTCTATTGGTTGTTCTTGTCTAAGGTTCTTTTCCATTCAAATGTAATACGTTTGATGTTTAAGGTATTATGATCTCTATGTGGTCAAGCAGTGTCGCTTATTCACTAGTTTAAAATCTAATTTAAAAATCATATTGTTGACATCTGCTCTGGAATTATTGATAGTCCTTTTAAACTACAATACTTTTTCAGATCACAGTTGAACAAGTAAGAAATTTTAAGTCCCAAACTCTAGACCCCCAAGTGAGGAAGAGATTACTGTTTTCCAGCTGCCATTTTTTAATGGAGTAGTTTTCTTAGTGAATTCTGAAGCAGGAAAGACAACAAAGTAACTTGCAAATCTGAATTTAGGTCTGAAATAGTGACGCTGAAGTGGGATCTGAGGCCCACACTTTAGCTTCCCAACGAATTTTCAGTCTTTTGGCTTTTCCAAATGTGTATACATTTAGATAATTCATGAATTGCTTGCAGACATGTCCCTCTGACTTTATAGAGAGGGGTATATTTCTTGTAAAACACATTTTCAGGGTGTGAAACATTGACTCATAGCCCACTTGTCTTTATTTACTGGGACTGTGAAAAGTTGACTCATAGCCTACTTGCCTTTATTTACTGTGACTGAGAAATTTAGTTTCTTTTACCAGACACACACATGTACGCATGCATGCACACATGCACACACACACTTTCATTACTTTTCCTTAGGCCATTATTTATAGAGAGCTGGGAGACATTTAAATTATTGTTTGTACAGGGGAGGGGCTTTAAATTCTCTCTCTTTCTGGTTAGTAGCATCACAATAATGAAAGAAATATAGACGTGCTATTCTAGGCATTGCAGAGTATAGTTGGAGATATAATTATTATCCTAGTATTAGAGACTTTTAAAGTGCTAAATTGAAAGCTTTGTAATGTCCATTTCCTGCCACAATATTGAAAAAAAAAAACATATACTCCTGTCTTAAGTACAATCTAGTGAGTTTTACAGACATGCAGTTATATAGCTGTATTTCTTTCAGCTTAGTGGTCTTATTTGAATGGCGATGTATGGAACTATATACAAGTTCAGATGCGTTTATGAATAGAATACACAATGCAGAGTTTCCTTTCATTATTGGCATCTTATAAACTTCTAATTTACATGAAACTTATGAAGTTCAGGAACTTTACACAACTTTGGTGTGCAGATTGTAGCCAATAGGTTTCCATTAGGGGGCTCTCGAGGTTTGAGATCAGCCTTGATACCAATAAAGCTTGGAAGCTTTTACTTTCTAACGTTCCTCTCACTCTCTCCCTTTTTGTTTTGTTTTATAGAAAAGGTCACGGATCGCCTACAGTGACGAAGTACGGAATGAGCTCCTGGGGGATGATGGGAATTCCTCAGAGAACCAGGTAGAATGCTAATCAGGAAGGCCCGGTGGGTGGCTGGAGGGTGAAGGAGGTCACTGGCGCACTGGGCTCTCAAGCTGCTCCTTAACGGTATTAGCAGCAACTCATGTGGAAGCGATACTGTTTAATGCAAAGCTGGAGTCTTAATCAACTTCAAAATGTTTCTTGGAGATCTTACATTTAACCCTTTACCTTGTGATCACTGTCTGCTATCTTTTAAAAAAATCTTTTCTTCTCTTTTCTTTATTATTTAGTACTTAAGGAATAACTTGAAACACACCGTTTGCAGACAAAGCCAAGGTCTTCACCTCAAACACATGTAAAAGGAATAAAAAAGTACATAATACAGCTTTGATAATAATGCAGTATAATTAAATCAACACTTGCAGCAAAACAAATGAAAGTAAGCTTTCAAAATTCAACAGGGCAGCCCAATCTCCTATTGTGTGGCTTCTTAAAAATACATTCACCAAAATGCAAATTGGAAGCACCAGTGTGGAACTTGGATACCCATACAGAGGAACTGCTTCTGTCAAATAATAGTCATAATAATAATAATAATAATAATAATAATAATAGGATAAGTCTTTTTGCAGTTTAAGATCTGCGTAGGCCAAAAAATAAGATACAGTTTCTTCTTAAAAGAGCTTTACAACTTGGCTGTCGGTTCTCATTGGATCATACCGTAGTGTCATGAGTCTAATTAATGTCCCGCCTCTTTCTTTGAATTAATACTACAGACTTCATTAATTCATGTAGATACTATATACAACTTTAAAAAAAGTTTTAAGAACCTCATTGTAGAAATGACTTTAAAAATGCCTCAAAAAAGCCCTAATGACTGATTTTCTTTGACACTTTTAAAGAAAATACATGATAGGGACCTTCAGAAACAAGACCTGAACATGGTTACTAATGCCACTTTGGCAAGTAGTATAAAAGTCTCTACTCTGCCTAAATGAAAATGAACATAAATCAGTCACTGAGTAAACCAAAATTTTAATAGGATAGTGAAACCTAATATATTGATACATATTATAAAAATTGCATAATTGTATTTACCATCTCAAATAGATGATATTATAGGTCCATATATGCTAATAGTATTTGCTATCTATTATACTATAATCTGTAACAGGGATGTTGTTTGTGTGATTAAGGACTCTACTCACCCACCCCCAAAAAAGAGAGAAGAATGACTGAGCTGATTATGTTTGTTTTTGGAAAGATGTCACCTCCTCCACTATTTGGATGTTATCAGCTTGAGTTCAGACATGTGAACACGTTCAGATTTGACTTGGGATTTCAGCTTCCCTGATTGAAATGTGAGAATAGCTAAAGGAAAAAAAAAATAGCACATCAAACATAAAAGGGTGATGTGATAAAGGGGCTTTACTCATAATAGATTAAATAATGTGAGGATGAGAGAAAAAATATTTTCTTCTGTTTTTAAAGTGAGATTTAGATTGCTCATACCTCTTGAAAATGAGTGAATCATAATTTTATTTCCTATCTACTGCAAAAAACACTATCTTTTTTGCAAAAAAGTGAATGCGTAGTTCCCATGTCAGTTCTTTAAACAGCTATAGATCTTTCCCTCATTTGAAACTACTGCCTAATGCAGAGGAAATAGAAAGGAAGGGGGTGTGCCTGTCTAACTCAGACTCCTTTATCGTAATGGATGTTGTAGTTCTATGATAGGGATCCCTTTTTTTTCAAACGTGTTCACTTCTCTTAATGGACATTTTATATGCCTAAAACATTTGCCTTGCGTACATATAAGTATGATTTTTATGCCTAAAGAAAACTGTTCCACAAAAATAGATTGAGTTCATATTTTCTGAATTTTTCAAATTATATTCCTGTCACCTTAAAGTGATTATGCAGAGATTTCCCCTGGACTTGTATAAATCAAACTTACAAATTCTGAAAGTGCTTGGAGAACCTGAAGTTTACATGTAAGGAACTGTCACTTCAATAAATAGAGTATGATAAATTATAGTCATGAGAATATGTACTGTTAGATTATTACTTGTGTGAAGTTTTCCATCTAAAATTTGATTGAGGTGTAAAAGTTCAAAGAGACCACACTGAACGTTTTGGATATTTCGTTACCAAATGTAGCAAAGTTTCCATTTCATATGAAGTCATTGCATTTTGTTTTAAGGCTCTTTGTCATAATATAGGAATTAAAATCCCTCAAACTAAAACACATCCTTAACTAGGTATGGTCACTTGAGAATAACTTTTTTATTCCGCATCAGCATTCATTCAGAATATGGAGTCAAAACGGAAGCTCTTTCTGTAAAGAAAGAAAATATTTTAATTTGGCTCTATACTAATCTTTGTAGCTCAGTAGCTAGGAAGAGTTTTTTTCTAGGTAGGGCTGCTTATAATTTATATAAGAAAAGGTCTTCTGCCTACAAATAAGTTTACTTCTAAGTTATTTGCTAATAAATTGATTTTCAGAACTTCTTATCCATGGAATACTAACTATATAAATGGATAAAACTTGGAGATAAACAAAATGAGATAAAAATAGCAATATTCATTTAATTGCAATTGGGATATACCTGTCAGTTTAAAAATATAGATCAAAATAGGAAAATAAGGAATTAATAGCAATGATTATATAGGTAAAATACTGGCTAGGTATTTTCAATGTAACATACACATCCTCCTTATAGTTGCTTCTTTGTGAAGATTCGATAATATGAATACAATAGCTATTATTTCTCATTCTGATAATTTATGATGCAGTTTTTTTAGGCATCTGAAACCTGACTGTAATACATATAATTATAGTCTGCCAATTAACTATAAAGTATGTTAATTTACTCTTAGGTACATAAACATTTCTGCCATGATTAGAAATGTTAAAAATTCAGAAATTAAGAATTTTTCAAAAGCATTTTTAATGTCCCTCATACAATACCCTTTGCATTTAATTCCAAATTAAATGCTTTGTATACATTCATTTCTGATTCATATTCATTTCATTCAATCAAATATAGCTAATGCTGATTTACAAAGAAGGGGCAAGAAAATTACCTACTTTGTACATTTGAGTACTTTTGGGCTATCAGCTTTCCAAGGATTACTGTCTTAAGCATTATCATTCTATTCTTTGAAAATACCGTATTTACCATTCCATGTGGCAACATTTTATTTCTTTGAAAGAGTTGAGTTCTTGAATGTAGTGATGTTGTATTTAGAGTGGAAACATTAATAGTTCATAACTTGATTGCATTTCATGAGAACCATTCTCATAAAAGGAAAAACACAACTTATAGAATAAAATCATAAAGCCTTTCATAGTGAAGTGTGATAATGGGGCAAATAAACTGTTCCAAGCTTTGATTTTGAACCCTAATACTCTCTCAGTTTCTATATGCAGAATTATATTGATCAGTGACTTTTAATAAATCCTAAATAGAAGATTCAAAATATAAAGAGTAGACTATTTCCAAATGTGGGGAAAGTTTTGTGGCAAAGCAATATTTAGCAGATAATGATTGCTTAATTTCTTAATACAAGGTTCTCTTAAGTTCTGATTTGGGCTTGCTGTGCATAAAGTGTGTCAAACTTCAGCTACAGACCAGGGGGTGAAGTCGGTCAATTTAATTCCCCAAGATCTAAAGAAGGTCGGTATCATTTCATATAGCCCTGGCAGAGCAGATCATTACCAGGCACAAATCTGTTCGTTACGTGCTGAGGGTTTATAGCAAAATAAATAGACTGTCATCATAAGTTCAGAAAATTGTGTGTTCGACCCACGATAATGTGTAAAGGGCGTTTAATAGAGTTCAGCATTTATTCGTTATCTGTATGCGAACAGAGACAGCAGTCGCGTTATCAGCTTTAAAAAAAATTCGGTAGTTCTGGGGTCACGTGACACACCTCACACACACACACACACACACACACACACACACACACACACGTGCGCACGTGCGCGCGCGCGCATGAACCCTCACATGCTCTGCAGTGCAGTTTTGATTTTAGTCACAGCAGAAGGCTTAACCACAAGAGATTCCACTGGTTCAAACCAGCGTAAACCAGATTTTTTCAGCCCACAAAGGAACAGATTACCTCTTGTATCAAATTCTGCATTGGGGGAAAAAAAATCTTTGTTTCAGAAAAGATGTTGATTATCATAACTCAACATGGTGGCATTGCACACTCTCATGTTGCCTATGATGGAGCTAGTAACTCGAGAAAATACGAAATCACGACTTACAGTCCAGTCTACGCATTGTTAATTTTCAGAAATAGGCCATCTTTTGTTTACTTGAATGAATAACTCCCGGCCTAAGCAAAGAAAAAAAAAAAAAAGAAAAAAGATAAAGATGAAAAACCCTCCCATTACCTAGCTTGGCTACAAATCCGATGTAGAGCTTGAATGCAGCCATGCAGCACAAACAAGATAGAACGTTTTTTGTTTGGAACCTATTGAAAAAACAAATGGGTAGCATTTTTAAACACTCATTGATTATGGCAGGGTGGCATGCCCCAAATGGTCTCTATTGCTGAAGAGTAGTTTTAAACTTTGGCCCTTTAAGTATCATAGTCAACCAAAGAATAGTGCCCCCAGAAAGAAAAGATCGCTGGCCGATCAATTCCCAGATCGTCTCTTTCTGAGAATTAATGTTTGCCTTTTTCTCCCATGATGTTGGGATAGCAAAGAGAAAGATTCCGATATATGATAGGCCAGGTATTTTAGCTTAAAATTTTGCTTCTTCTGGGGAAGAATTATAACTTTTCATGTGAAATGAAAAGATGATTTACTTGTATGTAACTGGATGGTTGCTGAGTGTGTTAATTAAAAATAAAGAAAGCTTCTTATTTTGAAACGATGATAATAAAGGTTTCATTTTCACTGAATGTACTGTGAGACATTACATGATAACTTATGTACCCTTTTTATAAAGATTCTTAACAGTTTTTAAAATCTTATTCTTTGGTACTCAAAATACTTTTCATATAACAAATGAAATAACAGAATAAGCTGGAATGCATACTGCCTTCCTTGAATTCGGGACAAAAACAGCGTTAAGCATTGAGATATCCGGGCTATAGTAAACATGATACTTACAGAGACTTATAGTGAACAATTCAGGCACATTTCTCCCAAAGCAATAGTTTAATTTATTGACCTGCATATGTCAAGTGTTATAACAGATGTTACAGATATTTGGATGTTTAAAAATTATCAGTCGTAGACCTGAATTGCTGAGGATGCAAATTTCAGACCTAGAATGTGGTTTAGTCTGTTACAACATAGGTTTCAGTTTCTAGTCATTGCAGAAACTGTGGTCGTCATCTCACTTATACAGTGATATTTGTAGTTTAGAATAATGTCAAACACACACACACCCACACGTACACACAATGAGCCAGATATATGGTTATATATTTTAGTTCCTAAAGAGTTAAACAGCTTGTTTTATCTGTTATATTTAAGGTAAATAGAAAAATGTTCTAAATAAGAGAATTAAAATGTTATCATAGGATAATTTACTAAGAAGTAAGGAGTGATTTTTTATTTGACTTTAGTGAAAACAAAACTGCAATATAAATGAAGTAAGAGCTCATTGCCAGTTTACAATATGAAGAAAATTGAAAACTGAAGAAATCATTCAAAAATTAAAATGAAAACATGCCACATGATTGTGGTAGCCTCTTAAGCAAAATAAAAATGTAGAAATTGACTCTTACATACACAGAAGTTCATATGATCGTGAATTTTTGATACTATGATCTAAATAAGTATTATCTCTCCTGGCATACTTTATTTTCTATTAAAATAACATTACTTCCAAATGCAGTCTTATTACTAGAGTGGGTACAAGTATAACATTAACTAACATAATAGTTTGTTGTTTTAAATACTTACTGGAACCAAAGCATGAGCTATTAATCATTTTCATTTGTAGGTAAAATCTGAAATCAGTTGTCAAGATTCCAAATAGGGAAACATCCTGAAAACTTGTATATACAAAACCTCTTCAATGGTACATTCTTAGAAGAGAGGAACAGTAAACTTGTTTTCTTTCTTTATAATATAGACTTCTATGAAGTCGTTCCCCTTTATTTCATGATGGTGTCTTAGATGTACTTTAAAAGAGAATTTCACACTATTCTCTTTGTTTAATGTGACAGTGTGAGAAAGTGATCTTTATTCGTTCAAAAAACTCTGCATGTAGTCTATGTTTAGGTTCTTTTAATGTGTTTGTCTGTGATTTTTAAATGCTAAACATGTAAACAGATAAATTGTCAATGTTAATTCTGTATCCTGTCAGACAACTGATCTTTCTTTCCTGCCATTTCTTTCCTTTTTATCTTTTTTTTGTGCATTCATGTTGCAGTTGATAAAATTACGTGAAGAGGTGAGTACTTCCTAGCTTCTTTTTTTTTTTTAATTCTGCTTTTCCCTATAAAATTGAGTTTTTAAATCTGAAGTGGATCTTTGGATTTGTTTTTCCAGGTAAATCTATACATAGCAAAAAGTATCATTTATATTGTTCAGAAATCTTTTCTGCTCACCATCTTTTAAAACACAACTATATCCTAATCATGCTTATCTCAGGGATCATTGTTCTTTGTTGGAACTGGGACAAAGTTAATACTTTAAAGGCCAAAAAAAAGGAGGAATAATAAAGGAATATCTTAAAACTCTACCTGAGTGTAGTTTTATTGTAGGCTGTAACTTCAAGTTTATTTATGTAGTTTCTCAAAGAAGCTAGTATGATTTTTTTTTTCTAACATTCTGATTTACTTTACTGTAAACTGTTCTTAAATAAACTCCTTTCCCCCACCCAAAATTATTGGGTTTAACATAAGACACCATGGATGTATTATCCTTTTGGGGAAACACACATATGTTATAAATGCCCTGCTACTCTGTGTACATAGATACCTAAGAATAGCCAAAGCTTTCGTCATTGTTAAACACTTTGCTTTTTGTAGCATGCAGCACCCAAGTGAGTTCTCATTTTTCTGAGTTTGCTGGACTGTTTCATAATGCAACTCCAGATTTTTTTGTGTGTGGCTCAGCAAATATTTACTGCAATGTTTATAATTGTATCCTTGTATTAATGAGGGATGCTGAATAATTCTATTTTTAAAAAATTAAGTCAAACATATCAAACATGCTTTGGTACTCTTTTTTAGAGATAGTCATATTTTTTATTTAGTAAGATTGGGTTTTATTTTTCTATTAAGACATAATGGCCTATATTGCAATTTAAAAATTGTCTAATTGCTTATAGTATAGAGTAGTATGAATTACTTTTGAGTTTAATTTGACTGCATTGATTGAGAATTCTCTAGAATTTTTTTTATTGGTATGTCATCATTCTCTAGGTGATACAGATGTTAATTTAGAAGCTTCTAGATAGTGTTTTTCAACAACTCTTTGAATTTAAGATGCATTACTGATGTCCTCCCTCAGAAAAAGTAATAATGATATATAAAATGAAGGGGAAAAATATACAAAAACCCTCGCCCTCCAACCTTTTTGTGTTTTTTATCTTCCCTACAGGGGAGCAGTTGTATATATACACTAAATGAATATAATCAGTTGCAGTTTTGATGTATAAGATTATTCTTGAGGTGAGGGATAACATAAATATTATTTTTCTGCAAGATAGAGTATGTGCTTGTTGTATTTGCATATATTCATGTTTAGGTGAAGAATCTGAATTTTCAAATGTTAATGGAACTAACAATTGACTTGAAAACCTCTATACGAAGAAACTACGTGAAGCCCTTGCCCCTGAATTTAAGCAATGAGTATTGTTTATGTATTAAATTGTGGCTTATTGCAATCAACATTTTTGACAGAAGATTTATTTTTGTTAAGCCTAATTGTGTCAAATTAGAAGTCTTAATTCCAAAAACTTAAAGCATCACGTCTGCATTTCTTTTAAAATATTTTTTATTTTTGTTTGATGGCTTATTTCTTTTCTTATGCCTGTAGCAGCAGTTTCATCAGTTATGATTCTGGAATTCATGTTTCTGAAACTGTAACATGTAATTGAATTATAATTGGAAAAATTAGATTAATCAACTAACAGAATAATATACTCTGAAATATTCTTTTAACAGTCTTTGATATAGATCTAGCATTGATATTTATAGACTAGATTACAGTGATGATGCTGCATTGGTATATGGCTTGCTGAGGAGTGATTATTTCTCAGTTGGGATTCTAATAGTAATCATAGAGAGAATGTTACCCCCATGTTTCTTAACTTGCAACTGTGCTAAGAAGACAAGCACTCAGCTGCTCCAAAATGTGTTTTGTTTCGCTTGGAAACAAAAATATGCCCCTTCTCTTCCTTGTGTTGCTCTTTCTGGGCTCAGTTTTGGAAAGGGAGCATGCTTGGAGGCAGGGTTGTAGTGCATAGGGAGCTGATCTGGTGTTGGCTCTGCCGAGCTCCGTTTGAATCCTACATCTCCAGCTCTCCACATTGCGCAGCTCCTCACACAAGTTGAGCTCTGTCTGAAGCTCCTGCACAGCTTCACTTACCTGCTTTGAAAAGGGCTGAGAAGAGGGTGAGAGAATGAGTTTGGGATGGAGTGTGGGGGCAAGTTGAAAGCATCAGCTGCTACTGTAGTGTATTTCCTTTCATTTACAGAGACCAGGGCAATGTACAACTAAGGGAACAATGTAAATAGTGCAGCTGTTTCAAGAACTTGATTTTAGTTTGACTTAAGTGAAGAGGTTCCAAAATAGAAAGTGAAATCCTGCTGTAAAGCTGCTGATAAACTGATAGTCCTCTTGTGTGCAGATTTACTCTGATAAAATTGAACTGTTCTGAAGAAGAGTTACTTCTATTATTCAGTAATATACATATTTTTAAAGGTCTTTCAGAAATTTTGCTATTATAACCATGAAATCCCCCTAGTTATTTTACATTTAAATGCTTTATTTCCTACATTAAATATTATTATAAAAGTGGAAGTCCATTTCCAGTATTGATCTTTGTTTTTTTGTAAATCTCTAATAACTAAATGTTTTCTTTTAATTTTGGGATTTCATCCAATATGAAAATGAACCAAAGATATTTGTTGTCTTATTCTGGATTAAAATTCAGATTTACTTTTGATTTCACAGATCTGATTGATATCTTTTTAGAGAATCACCAGTTTGCAGTTAAGTCCTTTGTTAAGGTAGAAAACAATTTTCAAGGAAGGGAAGAGCAATCCTTACTCCCAGAACCTGCACATAGGGAAACTTAGGAATAAGAAAGCTATTTTTGACAAGCCTTAGTAAAGTGTTTAATTTTATTTAAAAATAGTCATCAATGCCAGACACACAGAGCTCCCCTTTCTCTTCTTTTTCTTAATTACAGCCTTCAGTGATTTTGCTTTTTAATGATACAAGAAGCTTTCCTCTCTGTTTTATTTATTTATATTTATATTTTTTTTTTGCAGAGGGAGGGGACAATTTTTCTCTTAATATCTCTGCTGTACATTGGACGACTCTATTAATTATGATAGACTGTTGTTGCAGCTTCCTGACCTTCACATCAGGTCCTATCTCTCTGTTCTAAATGCATTGTTTTAATGATTCTCACCCCCCCACCCTTCCCCCCAAAAAAATTTCAAGGAAAGCTTTGATGTGGCTTTAGCTGCCTCCAACGTCTGGCCGCATCTCAGATGTGTCACCTATGCCGGGAGGGAATAAGGAAATCACGTTGTGAATGGTAATGATAACATACTAATCACTTCCTTTCTTTGAAGATGGAAGCGAGATATTCTGTCAGCATCCCTGGCTGCTAGAGCTTGGAGGCACTGGTCTAGGTGTATTAGCTTAAGTGTGCATGTCAATACAGCTTGCATCTCCAAGATCCATGGGGGCTCATTAGAGCAAGGTAGATCGTTTCGCTCGACAGCCACTCAGATAATATGTGTGGCACCTCCTTTTTTATTATTATTAGAAAGCATTTCTCCAATTTTAAATGACATCTGTCAACAACACAAAGTTGTAGGAGTTGTGGTTGTGTTTTTTCTTTCTTTTTGACCAGATACCAAAACTGATTTGAGAAGGGAAGATATTAACGTATGCAGATACATGTATGCATGTACACACACACGCACACACACACAGATACATACATTTATATATTTCTAAGTATCTAGGTATATATATATATATATATATATATATCTGTATCAGTTTTTATCCATTCATAGCCATGATTAGATTATAAATCTGTTTGGCAACCTGAATAGATCTAATGTATGATCATTATGGTTACAAAAAAAATCAACAACAACCATCTCAATGGAGGAAAGAAAGTTTAGAAGCTGAGGATTTGAAGAAAATCCTCTAATTTCCCCATCAGATAAATATAAAAGAGGTATATATAATTACTGTAAATTTAGTTCACAGTCTAAAGCACTGTGTGTTAAAATATCAACATCAATCTACATAGTGCCATATATTTAGGAACAAATGCACAATATTGTACATCTATGTAAATGGAGAAACATGTGTCTCTTGTTTCTTAGTGTTGCCTCCAGTTGTCTGAAAAGTAGAAGTGCTGTTTAGTATTCTGTCTTAGTAGCATATGCTGTTCTATATAGCATCTTGCTGCACATCCAAAATTATGGATCATTTTCTTACAAATAAAGTTCCTGTTTTAAAATTTCTATCTGCAAGAATCAAAGGAGCAAATGGATCTTTGAAATGATTGCATTTTATAAAAAATAAATACAAATAGGGAACGTAGATCTATGCAAGTATCTCATATATCCATCTCTGCTGAAACAGCAAAGATCCAGTTGGGTATGGTCTTCGTACTTTTCTCAGTATTTTGAAGTAAGATTCATTGTGGCCACATACAACACGAGTCTCCTTTTAAAAACACGAAGTGGATGGTCCATACGTGATTGCTGGAAATCTGTCTATGGTAGTGGTTCCTATAATGGAAAATTTGCTAAAAATTAACTGTAATGGGTTGCGAACCCCCCCACCCCATGTTAGGGCATACGAAGGCATTTTTTTTTTAAGGCAAAAAAAAGAACATTGTAGACGGCCGTCTGATTTTTTTTTCCCCCTTTTTCTTTTTCAGAGGGCACATCTGCTCGATAACACAGAGAGGCTGGAAAGGTCATCTCGGAGACTAGAGGCTGGATACCAAATAGCAGTGGAAACCGGTAAGAATTCTGAGAGTGAGCAAATTGTCTTGCTTATGCACAGCAGTCTTCACAACACATGACATTTCAGGGAAACTTCAAAGGAGTAGCAGAGACAGCAGCCCGAGATGTGGTTTACATATTGGGGAGACAATTGGGAGCTTATTTGCGCTTATCTTTTTTCAAGTTAAAAGGCATGACATCTACTGAAAACAGTTCCTGAGGTTTAAAAGTATACATCTGAAAAGAGATGGAATACTTTGTCTAAATTCTACATTTGTCTTAATATGCAGTTACATGTTGTCAGTTTACCCACCCGCAATGATTGCTAGCACATGGCGCAATCTCCAGTTTGCTCCTTTACGTTTTATTCACATATGTAAAAATTAACATTTTAATCAATCTAAATCATGTGAACTAGGGACAAAGAAATAACAATACCCACTTTACTTTGCATATTTGTCCTGGTGTTGGAAATGATTCCTAATAATCCTGTTTAAAAAAAAAAATCATGAATAGAGCCTATAATCAGATACGAAAATTATGAAAAAGTCATAGCAAGGAGTAAGGCTAATGTTCATGATAATCTTATTAGCATTAGTTAATGCTCTTCAAACTTTTGGTTTGAATTAATACCAGTTATTAATTTCAGAAAACATAATCTTAGTATGACTTCTAAAATCAGTCTACTTAAAATGAACATGCTTTTTTGTTATAAATGTTTCATGCAATGACTGTTTGTCTCCAGAGTAAATAAATATCCATTAACACCTTAGTAGTCATCAGTTTCTTACTGTTACTCTACGCTTTTTATTTTGTTTTGTCAAGCATAGATTGTAAATAATCTATTTTGTGTATTTTGGATAGCTCTTGCCCAATGTGTAAACCACAAAAATATGTAATCAACAATGTTTTTATCAATTTTTAAAGATTTAGAGTCATAGAAATGTTTATTTTGTAAGAACAGGTATGATGAAAATGATTCCAAATAATTTCTTTTATGAATGGCCAGTGTTTTTCTTGTCCTGTGTTCATGGCTGCCCTATATTGGTTGGTTAATGTGATGAATTCTAGGCAACCAAACAGGAAGAATACAAACAACTTTGGCATTATATTAATAGTGAAAAAACTAAAGAAAACCACAAACCTTCCCAGATTTAATAGTTATGGACAGCCCTTCATCCTGAGGTAATTGATAGATTGGCTTTCTGCCCGGATTGGAATAAAAGCCAGCTTTTGTGTGTTCTTTTTGTTTGGGAGCTCATCTTTAGAGGTGACTGTTCTTGGGAAGAATGTGAATAATGGAAAGAGCCTTGAACATGAAGTCAGAGGACCAGGCTTGGGTTCTAGCTCTTGTTTGTGTGACCTTGAGGAGATCACGTAACCTCGCTGAGCCTCAGTTTCTTCTTCAATAACATGGAAATAATATTGCCTATCTCCAAACATTCTTAAGAAAAAATGGTACATGTAAAAATGTTTTATATACCAAAAAACACATATACAAATATAAATATTATTATTATTGTGTGGTCATTGACGATCTACAGGCATTTATCTTTATCTCCTAGAAGATAACTTTTATTATGATTGAAATTTATAAATAGTAAAGGAATAGAAAACAAAATGTGTTACTTTGACAATCCTTGGGGAACATAGCACTGTGTCTATGGAATATGACCATAATCACAGGGACCTTCCTTGACAAAACATCCATTGGTCAGCCTCTTTCCACATGGGGCTGGTTCAGACTCAGGGGGTCTTCTCGTCGTGACACTGATCACAAGGCTTGCTTTGGTTGATTGGGCTACATACTTGTGTGTCTTTTTTTTCTTTCACTAAACTATTCATATAGCTCCCTCCCAAAGCTGAAAGAAGATCGCAGATACCAAAAGACTGTGTTTTGATCAAGGTTATTTGCTTGAATGGGATTTGATAGTTATTATTTTTGGTGTGTGCTAAAACATAACATCCACATCAAACTATCAACATAACCAACATGGAAATGTCAACTTAAGAGTGTCCTGTCAGCCTACCTCAGTCCCTTTGGACTTTTTAGTAAAATATTATGGTATTGAGTATGAAGTGTTATAAAATTAGATGTTGACTTGTCACATAAGGCTTGGGAACTTCTTGCAGAATACAAGACCAAGTCTGGGAGGATGGATAAGAATGGGCTTTGTGGAAGTAAAGACAGATGTGGCTCAGCCTGTACATGGACGGGAGTCATCATTGCTAATTTACTTTTGTGGATGAATTTGAAAGTGGAGTGGGAAATGAGAAGGCAGGGACAAAGCATTTTTCCTGCTCTTGCTACTTACTGAAGTAATGTGGAAGGAATACACTGGGGTGGGCACCATATTGCTTCGTATTTCCTGCTTCCCTACTGGTCCTCAGCCTAGTCATGGCTTGTCAATCCATAGCTCTGTGTTTTGACTGTGATGTAAATTTAGGATACTTACCATTTGTTAAAGTATCAGAACAGCATCTTTGGAAAGGAAAAACTTTCAGCACTTATTGATGTCTTCTTTTTAAAGACTATGGAATGCAAGGAGGAAGAGAGGTGGAAGAACTAGTATAACTTTTGAAACAGCACAAAACAGGGAAATGGCTTCCAGGTATTGGTCTGAGAGCCAGTTCTAGACCACAACAGTTTTCACCAGTGCACTGCAAAATGAGAAGAGAAGTAGAACATAGTGACTTTCTCATAAAACATATTTTATTAATTCACAAGGCTACAGTTATTTCTAAGATGATGTTTTTCCTATTTGGGGGTGTAAAGGAAAGTTGTAATGTGATTGAAATAGTAGGTAGAAGTTATTTTTTTTTCTTTACTTAGAAGAATAACAAAATTGGCATCCCTATTTTAGGCCCTTCAAATTTTTTTTCAAATTTTACTTGACCACAAAATTAGGAACTATAGCCTGATATACTGAATTGGAGAGAGAGAAAAACCACATCATCTGTCCATGTCATTAATCAGCTGTGTGACTTTGAGAAATCATTTAACCTCTCTGCATGTGTTCTTATATTTGCAAAATGGAAACTGTCAACCAGATTCTATGTATCCCTTAAGGTTTTTATGAAGTAAAATAAGGTCATATATATTTAAGGGCTTAGAAACTAAAGAGAGCTCTGTTAAAATCATCATTTTTATAAACTACCATCAGCAAAAGTGGTTAACTTTGAGAATCATTGGCAAAGATTTCAACAAAAATCTGTAAACTTTTCTATTCATTAACTTGATGAATGTAATTGGCAAATACTATAAAAGAAAGTTAATGTAGAAAATAGAATGGAGTAGAGTAGAATAGAATGCACATTATAGGGTCTTCTTAATAAATAATGAAATCCATCTTCTAAAATTCTTGAATCATTTTTGACATCTTATTTTGTCATATAGGCAGTCATTGTCTCTTCTGGAACTCAGCAGAGGGACACATGTCCATAATGTGCTTGGTTTGAGAAAAGGCACATGATTATTCCTAAGTGCTGTTCACACCCTGATATGCACGGAGTTTAATACCAGTCAGGTTTCTTTGATGGATCCTTTCTTATTTGAGAATATTGATGAAGCTACAAGTTAATTGACAGAACACTACACTGGTTGCATGAACCATTGGCTTGATCCAGTGTGGCATTGCTTTTAAGTTCTTGTCCTAGAATCTGTGAATAAAAAGCAGCTCTTTTTTTTTGTTGTTGTTACTATTAATAGTCAGATATGACTTTTAGCTATGGACATATCCATTTTGTTTGAGGTCAGGGACTTAATACTCAAAATTCTGGGTCATCTGCCCTTTATTCTGAAATGATGATTCTTCTTTTCTCTGAAGTAAATATCCCAGAATTACAATAGGCACAAAACTAATGGGAGCTGTATTATTAACAAAGAAACAGGCTGAAAGAGAAATTGTACAAGGGCAGAAATGCAAGGCTCACTCTCTGCTTTTAATACGTAAACAGGTAGCTTAAGACCCTCCCAACTGTCCCACCGGTACTGTAGATGGGCCCCCGTGCACCTGGCAGTGCATCTCTGGAACTGTGAGAGTTTGTCTACACTCAGCAGCCTCACATCCTTGAATCACGATCTGTACCACTTGATGACCTTGCTCCCCCATCCCTCACCAGCAAGCCTTACAAGTTGTCACCCCTTCTCTCAGTAGTCACTGCAGGCCACCTCGCCCTGACTTCCCAGGTGGCCACTGATCTCTCCACGACAGGGAGCTAACATTCTGTGAGCCTTCCTGCCACGAAGAAGAGGTGCTCGAGCCTTCACCCAGGGCCCTGCGTGTCCTGATGACTGAACATATGTAGAAATAACACAATGTTTATTGAACATTTAATATGGGCCACACACTGTTTTCCATACTTTATATTCATTCTCTCTTTAATCCTCACCACAAACCTATGTAGTGATTATCCTTTCCTCATTTTAAAGATGAGAAAACAAGTTAGAGAGAGATTAAGTAATTATGTCCACACTTACAAACCTAGGATTCTCCTAATGCTATCCCTCCCCACTCTCCCCACCCCACAACAGGCCCCGGTGTGTGATGTTCCCCACCCTGTGTCCAAGTGTTCTCATTGTTCAATTCCCACCTATGAGTGAGAACATGCAGTGTTTGGTTTTGTGTCCTTGCGATAGTTTGCTGAGAATGATGGTTTCAAGCTTCATCCATGTGCCTACAAAGGACATGAACTCCTCCTTTTTTATGGCTGCATAGTATTCCATGGTGTATATCTGCCACATTTTCTTAATCCAGTCTATCATTGATGAACATTTGGGTTCGTTCCAAGTCTTTGCTATTGTGAATAGTGCTGCAATGAACATACGTGTGCATGTGTCTTTATAGTAGCATGGTTTATAATCCTTTGGGTATATACCCAGTAATGGGATCGCTGAGTCAAATGGTATTTCTAGTTCTAGATCCTTGAGGAATCGCCACACTGTCTTCCACAATGGTTGAACTAGTTTACAGTCCCACCAACAGTGTAAAAGTGTTCCTATTTCTCCACATCCTCTCCAGCACCTGTTGTTTCCTGACTTTTTAATGATCGCCATTCTAACTGGTGTGAGATGGTATCTCATTGTGGTTTTGATTTGCATTTCTCTGATGGCCAGTGATGATGAGCATTTTTTCATATGTCTGTTGGCTGTATAAATGTCTTCTTTTGAGAAGTGTCTGTTCATATCCTTTGCCCACTTTTTGATGGGGTTGTTTGATTTTTTTCTTCTAAATTTGTTTAAGTTCTTTGTAGATTCTGGATATTAGCCCTTTGTCAGATGGGTAGATTGCAAAAATTTTCTCCCATTCTGTAGGTTGCCTGTTCACTCTGATGATAGTTTCTTTTGCTGTGCAGAAGCTCTTTAGCTTAATTAGATCCCGTTTGTCAATTTTGGCTTTTGTTGCCATTGCTTTTGGTGTTTTAGTAATGAAGTTCTTGCCCACGCCTATGTCCTGAATGGTATTGCCTAGGTTTTCTTCTAGAGTTTTTATGGATTTAGGTCTACATTTAAGTCTTTAATCCATCTTGAATTAATTTTTGTATAAGGTGTAAGGAAGGGATCCAGTTTCAACTTTCCAGATATGGCTAGCCAGTTTTCCCAGCACCATTTATTAAATAGGGAATCCTTTACCCATTTCTTGTTTTTGTCAGGTTTCTCAAAGATTAGTTGATTGTAGATGTGTGGTATTATTTCTGAGGGCTCTGTTCTGTTCCATTGGTCTATATCTCTGTTTTGGTACCAGTACCATGCTGTTTTGGTTACTGTAGCCTTGTAGTATAGTTTGAAGTCAGGTAGTGTGACACCTCGTGCTTTGTTCTTTTTGCTTAGGATTGTCTTGGCAATGCGGGCTCTTTTTTGGTTCCATATGAACTTTAAAGTAGTTTTTTCCAATTCTGTGAACAAAGTCATTGGTAGCTTGATGGGGATGGCATTTGAGATGGAGTCTTGCTTTGTTGCCCAGGCTGGAGTGCCATGATGCAATCTTGGCTCACTGCAATGTCCACCTCCTGGTTCAAGTGATTCTCCTACCTCAGCCTCCCGAGTAGCTGGGATTACAGGCATCCACCACCATGCCCAGCTAATTTTTGTATTTTTAGTAGAGACAGGGTTTCACCATGTTAAGTTATCCACCCACCTTGGCCTCCCAAAGTGCTGGGATTACAGGTGTGATCCACCACGCCCGGCTGAGACAGACATTTCTTAAGTTAATAATGGACAAGACCATTTTGGATAGCAGTAAACGACGCGAGGTATTCAAGAGTAACGGCACCAGCCTGCACAACATAGCAAGACCCTGTCCCCCGCCTCCAGAAAAAAAAAAAAGGATAACTGATAAAGGCTACCTTACATTGGCTAGTCAGGAAGGATCTCCCAGGGAAGAACCCTGTAAACTGAGCCTTGAATGGTACCAAGATGCCATCAGTAAGCTGGGACAGATGATTCTGAGAAGAGGGAAGAGCAAGCACAAAGGCTCTGGAATGAGAATGTGCTCAGGATGTTCAGGCAACAGAAAGAAAACCAGTACAGCTGGGATGAAGTGAGCCAGGGAGCACGGGGCATGATTAGGGCAGTCAAGTGGGGCAAGTTGTGTGGGGCCATGGGACATGGAAGGGGTCTGGATTTTATTCTGAGTAGGGTGTGACAGTCATGGAGGACTTTCATCAGGCAAGCGACCTGATCTGAAGTGTGGAGAACAGGGATTGGAGTGGTGGCAGAGCAGAGTTGGAAATGAGAAGACATGTTAGGAAGTTTATTATAGTAATCCAAGATTTGGTCCTTTTACCAACTGAAATTGCCAACAGAGGAATTTGGTCGTGAAGATACAGGAAAAATTATAAGCTGGCTTAAAAGGCATTTTGGAACAAAGAGCTTGAAATTTATCATTAATTCTTTAACAATTGGCGTGTGTTTCCAAAGATTCTTTTGTAAGGCTATCCCCAAAACAAATGGAGACTTATTAATCTTTGTGCCTTGTAGGGACAAATGGACAGTGGCCAGTCCCATCAGGCTGGCAGTAATGGACATTTGTGATTATAAATCTGGGCTGAAAGCCAAGTTTATGATAATATTTTACATGAAGAATGATGATAATGATACTTATTTCCTAGAGTTCATGAAAGGCACAATAAAATAATAAATATATTTGTTAATTATCTCACAAAACTATGGTATTTCTTTTTTCTGTCTAATCATTTTCAGGTAAGTTCCGAGTTTAAACATACGTTGTCATTTTGGTCAATTTTGCATCAATCTAAAGAGGAAATGAGTTAGTTTCTTGCTACCCAAAGTGGGGTCCAGAACCAGCAACGTTGACATCCCCTGGGAGCTTGTTAAAAATGCAGGGTCTTGGGTCCCATGTCGGATCTACTGGATCAGAATTTGCATTTTAACAAGATCAGCTATGATTTGTATGCACATTAAAGTTGAGTTAAATGCTTACTTTCCAGTGCTAGTATTTAGTCTGTGTTTATTCAAACTGGATAAATGTCATTTCATTGAATCTCGTGTGTGTGTGCGCACGCGTGCGCGTGTGTTTGTGGCTGTGTGTGTGTATTTTGCATATATATGTGTATATATGCAAAAATTTGACCAGGGTGTGTGTGTGTGCATGTGTTTGTGTATTTTGCATGTATATGTGTGTGTGTATATACGTGTATACACGTATGTGTGTGTATATACGTGTATACGCGTATGTGTGTGTATATACGTGTATACGCGTATGTGTGTGTATATACGTGTATACGCGTATGTGTGTGTATATACGTGTATACGCGTATGTGTGTATATACGTGTATACACGTGTGTGTGTATTTTGCATATATATGTGTGTGCGTATATATGTGTGTATATATATACACACACACACATACGCACACACATATATATGCATACACACACACACACACACACACATATATATATACAAAAATTTGGCCAGGTAGCTAGCTATAGTTAATATGTATACTCCTGGCCAGGCATGGTGGCTCACACCTGTAATCCAAAGCACTTTGAGAAGCTGAGGTGGGAAGACTGCTTGAAGTCAGGAATTAGAGACCAGCCTTGGCAACATAGTGAGATGCCCTCTCTATAAAAAATTAATCAATTAAATTTTACAAATGTATACTCCCTATGAAATAATTAATATGGCTATGTCTGTTAATTTAATTATTGGTGGCACTGGGATGGTCTTTTCAGGAGCTGTAATAATTATCTGTCTTACCTCAGGAACATGTGAGTAGGCATTACTTGTCCGCTAGAATAGCTAGTAAAGCATCCAGTAACCCAAAAAGGGACTAATTATACACCTTTATTTTTGTCAAAACACATTTTATCTCTATATTTAACACTACTCACATCCTTTTTTTTTAAAAAAAGAGGCATATTCATCACAATTTCCTGCATATCTTGTTTCATTAGGGAAATGCAAAAATAGACTCTCTGAGTAAGAATAATACCAATGCCGTGTGTTTTCAAGTTCCTTGCATAAAAGAAAATATTTTCCACCCAAACCTTATTTGTTGTAGAATTGATAGAGTGGATTCTTTCCATTTCTGTTTGAGGGTTTCCTTGGGAGTCCTGTTTCTTTTCTATGAAGGCTATCTCTTTTTAAAAAATAAAAATACGGATTTCTCTTCAATTTCAGTATTTCCATGCTATGTTATTGTTATCTAATTTTAAACTGCAGGCTGGCAGCAGTGGCTTACGCTTATAATCCCAGCACTTCAAGAGGCCAAGCAGGCAGATCACTTGAACCCAGGAGTTGGATACCAGCCTGGGCAACATGGTGAAACCCCATGTCCACAAAAAATACAAAAATTAGCTGTTCATAATGGCATGTGCCTGTAGTCCCAGCTACTTGGGAGGCTGAGGTGGGAGGATGACTTGAGCCCAGGAGGTCGAGGCTGCAGTAAGCAAGCGGTGATTGTGCCATTGTACTCCAGCCCAAGTAACAGGGTGAGCCCTTGTCTCAAAAAATAATAGTCCAGGCGTGGTGGCTCATGCCTGTAATCCCAGCACTTTGGGAGGCCGAGGTGGGCGGATCACTTGAGGTCAGGAGTTTGAGACCAGCCTGACCAACATGGTGAAACCCCGTCTCTATTAAAAATACAAAAATTAGTTGGGCGTGGTGGTTACATGCATGTAATCCCAGCTGCTTGGGAGGCTGAGGCAGGAGAATCACTTGAACCCAGGAGGCAGAGGTTGCAGTGAGCCAAGATTGTGCCACTGCACTCCAGCCTGGGCAACAGAGGG
This sequence comes from Homo sapiens, assembly GCF_000001405.40. Classification (NCBI taxonomy): domain Eukaryota; kingdom Metazoa; phylum Chordata; class Mammalia; order Primates; family Hominidae; genus Homo; species Homo sapiens. Next base: position 112,547,566 of record NC_000010.11, read on the forward strand.
AGACTCTGTCTCAATAATAATCATAATCATAATAATAATAATTTTAAGCTGCAGTCATTCCCCATTATAGGAATATACTTCCACTGACCTGTTTTACATGATATGTTCAGTTTATGTATGCCCTTTATGCTTATTTGATCAAAATTTGAATTCATTTGACCTAATAGAGTTAGCCAGAGAAAGATATGGAGTATTTTTTCTTTTAGAAAATAAATTATTTTTAGATTATAGCGTTTTAATGAGAATTAGATAATTCGTGTACACCACTTTGTTTGTTTTTGTTTGTTTGTTTCTTTCTTTATCTAGTTCTTTTTAAAGAATTTTTGAAGAAAAGCAATCAATCAACAGTAGTATAAGCTTACTTTTTTTCTTTTTTCTCTTTTTTAATATGCTTACCCAAGCTTACTCTTTTTAAAAATCAGCTAAAATGTGCTTCATGTTTAGAACTTTTTAAAGAAGCTGAACAAATGCATTTAAATTTTGAGGTGCCTTTTTAATGTATTTGTTTGTTTCCAAGTCTTGACTGAACTACTAATAGAGTTTTCCTAAGTCGTCTCATTATATGGAGATTTTGTGGTATAAAAGCACAGTACTGCAACTTTATCGCCTTCTGTCTTTTGGTTCTTGACACTGTCTTTCAACTCACCTTATTATTTTAATCAACTCAGTATAGAATTCATTCAGAAATTTGAGTAGAAATATCTGTTGAGGCAGTTTTTATCAAATTCAAAGCCAGTCACTTTTTTTTTCTCATTAAATTTTTTTAATGGGTCTCAAAATTCTGTGACAGATTTTTGGTCAAGTTGTTTCCATTAAAAAGTACTGATTTTTAAAACTAATAACTTAAAACTGCCACACGCAAAAAAGAAAACCAAAGTGGTCCACAACATTCTCCTTTCCTTCTGAAGGTTTTACGATGCATTGTTATGATTCATTAACCAGTCTTTTACTACTAAACTTAAATGGCCAATTGAAACAAACAGTTCTGAGACCATTCTTCCACCACTGATTAAGACCAGGGTGGCAGGTATTATTCATTGAATAATGAATAAGATAATATTCATTTAGCCTTCTGAGCTTTCTGGGAAGACTTGGTGACTTTGCCAGCTCCAGCAGCCTTCTTGTCCACTGCTTTGATGACACCCACAGCAACTGTCTATCTCATATCACGAAGGGACCCAGAGATGGATAGTCTGAGAAGCTCTCGACACACATGGGCTTGCCAGGAACCATACCAACAATGGCAGCATCACCAGACTTTAAGAATTTAGGGCCATCTTCCAGCTTTTTACCGGAACGGTGATCAATCACTTTTTAAAAAATCATTTTAGAAGTTTCTTCACATCCACTGACATTTTCTTCTACTTCTACCTCCTCCTCATAATTATATCTTTCTTTCTTCTCTTCTTCTCCTTCCCTGCCCTCCTGCCTTCTCTTCAAGAAATATTTTGAGTGTTCACTGTGCCAGGTACAATGTAACATCTCCTGCAGCAGATACCAGCGCTTACATCTGCCGCCCCCTACCACCCCGCCTCCCATTTACTGATGAGTCATTTTTAAGACTCCTGAGAAAATAGACCCAAAAAGTATTCACTACGTGTTCCTTTCCCTCAGAGCTGTTATCAATTAAGGTAGAAGAATAAATTTCTGATTCTGTCCTATTGGTGAAAGTGGTATAAGATTATATGGAAGAAAGTAAATGTTATATTTCACTTATTCAACAGGTTTCGTTGAGCCCTACTGAGTGTCAGGTGCTGCAGAGGTGCAGAGCTAGGGCCAGTAAGATAACACAGTCCTGGTCTGGGTTATCTGAGTAGAGAATGTTATGTGTCCATAAACACTGATTCAGATTATTAGCTGAAGTAATTTTGTTTAAGTACAGGTTGGAATTTAGAAAGGCACTATGGTGTCCAAATTGTTGCGAAAATAACAAATTAACACTTTATGTTATTCTCCCATATAGGGACAGAAGATAGGATTCTACAGTTGGGTTGATATTAACTATCTTTTTTCCAACCATAAATATTTTAGAGAAAAAATTGTCTATAGAAATATTAAACTTTTTGACAGAGAAAGTTCTTTCTCTAGAAAAAGTTTTTCTATTCATTATTTTGGACAGTGGAAGGATATCTCTGCTTGAATAGGTATTTTTTTAATGCTGAGAAGAATTACTTGACCAGATCCTATGAATTTTTAAAAGTCTGTCCAGTTCAGTTGCAGGATCATCATTTTTAATGTGTAGTTACCATTTACCTTACAGTTACAAGCCTATTAAAGTCTGATATCTCAAAAAGCTGTGATTCTTTTCTGAAAAGAATTGAGGAGGTTATCATTTGGGCAAAGCTCTTAAAGAGTATTTTCAAGTTGTGCTTATATATACTTTGTGAGGTCCTCTGAGGTATTGGTGAGCTCCATGGTGGTAAGAAAAGAATGTCATTTAAATCCTGTTTGGAGAACCTTCTCCTTAGGTAGTCCAAGTGAATTCATAGGGTTCATTTTTAATCTGTTAAAAAGTGTTATACTCATTTTTAAAGGTGACTTCCCCATAATGCCTATCACTTTTCCAGTTGGTTTGTAAGATACACGTGGAGCCATTCTTACTCTCTTGCATCTCTGTGAGTTTAGAAAAAGAATGAAGACTACAGCAGATTGTGAAAATGACAGTTTAATTTCAAATATTACAGTGAAGCTTATGACCTTGTTGCACTGTACTTATATAACTTTCTTTGGGAATTTTTAATCAAGTTTATTTTCCCTTTGAGTCTGACTTCTAGTGCCAGAAGGTTTTTTTTTTTTTTTTAACAGTGTTTATGTATTTAACAGAATTTTTTTGAGATGGATGCTACAGAATTTTCACAGCATGGGTTTGCATTGGACTAAGACTTTGTGTACAACTTATATCAAGTGGAAAACTTGATGGGCATGAGCTTTAAAAATGGCTTTTTTGTGTGTGCTCTACATTTGAAGCTTTCGTCTGTATTTCCTCTTGGGCTACAGTGTTTTCCAGCGTTGCCACAAGAGAACAAAGTAAACATTAAAAAATAATTTTTTATTGAAGAATATGTTTTTCCAAGTAAAGTCCTTATCAAAGAGACTGTCATGGTGGGTCATCATTCACATATGGCACTGTGTTGCCCTTCTGTATCTTAAGATATAAGCGTGAAGTCGTAGTTAAATAAATATCTATTTATTTAGAGAGAGGAAGAAACCATCCTAAAGCCAGAAAAAGGAAAAAGGCTTTTTGGAAACTGTTCCTTTTGGAGGATAAAGAAGGCACATTGTTGAGTAGTAGTCCTACCATTACCCTCCACGTTGCTAATTTCATTGTAATCAAGTGTCTAAGGTCCTGGTCTACATGAAAAGGTTGATATTTGTGTTTATATAAAGTACCTTCACGGCCGGGCGCGGTGGCTCACGCCTGTAATCCCAGCACTTTGGGAGGCCAAGGCGGGCGGATCACGAGGTCGGGAGATGGAGACCATCCTGGCGAACACTGTGAAACCCCGTCTCTACTAAAAATACAAAAAAATTAGCCGGGCGTGATAGTGGGCGCCTGTAGTCCCAGCTACTCCGGAGGCTGAGGCAGGAGAATGGTGTGAACCCGGCGAGCGGAGCTTGCCGTGAGCAGAGATCGCGCCACTGCACTCCAGCCTGGGCGGCACAGCGATACTCCATCTCAAAAAAAAAAAAAAAAAAAAAAAAAACCTTCACAATGGAGCTATTTTTTTTTAAATTTCCATTTTCAAAGTTGTTTGCAATATATAACACTTAAATAGAGCTCAGTGGAACCTTAACATTTTGTTCAGCAAACAATTATTAGGCTCTAAGAAATTAGGATTGGATTTATTGGATGTGGACTGGACTTCTATTGATCTCTGCTATAGCAAGAAAAATACTGCCTTACATTATTATTATTGGCAAATTTTGCGTTTGGAATTAAGGTGGAGGAGAAATTCAAGCCACCTGAAAGGGAAAATAGATTTCATATCATTTAGGAAGGAACAAATCCTGGCACTGTCCTTGGCTGTTATATAAATATAAATTTCCTTTAATAAGCTGGAATATCTTGGCAAAATGCCTATGGGAAAATAAATAGCTATAGATTCTAATAATAAATACAATTAGTGTTTTTAAGGAGGGTAGAGGAGGTAATTAAGTCTATTTCATTATGTCGGGGAAAGACTTGAGAAAGATGGGCCTTATGGAATACATAAGGAGAGGAGGAAGGAGAAGTAAGTAAACTGTGAGCAAAGCCAGGCTTTGGGGCAAATACATGGCTTATGAGAATTCCTGGGGGGTGTCCTATGGCATAGCTAACATTCATCTTTTAACATTCATCATTCAGTAATTTTTACTTGAAAGTGATAACACTTATTTTTAAAACATTTTCCATCAAACTTTTTATTATTTCAGAGTAACCATCCCAATTAACCCATTCATTAATAGACAGATATGTAATTATTTAATATATTATGGAGGTTTTTAATGCTTTAAATCATAAATGTTGGTAATTGTTAATGTATTATGTGCTAAAAATAACAATGGTAACACAGGCGATAACATTGTATATTCTGCTTTAAAATTTTCAGACTACTTTTACATCTGTTAACTCATCGTATCAATCAATAAATTACCTTATCTGAAATGGAAATTTGTTCAAGCTGAGTAACACTGATCCCCTGAATATTTCCCCAAATGCCATCTACTTTCACCATCCAGAATATGTATTAAGTTTTATTTGGTTTCATGAAGAAATAAGTACTTTTAGTTTCCCTCTTTCTCATTAGCATATCTTTGAATTATCTATGTAATGTTCAATACTCTGTGCAGATCTGTTGATGATTAGGACCTGTTCATTTGAAACCAACAAACCAACCAACCAACAAACAAAATCTGTCCTAAGAAGGCTACACAAATTTAAGAGATGCACGAGTTTTTCTCACTAGTGTTAGCATAAGACTTTTACAGACATCCAAATTTTTCATGTAGGTGAGTCAAAGGGATTGACTGGAGTGACTTTGTTACTGTAAAAAGAGACCTTTTAAAAAAAAAAAAACCATTGACTCTAAAAGGTAAGCATGAAGATGGACCAAGTATCTTATTGCCTCACTGATACTGCCTGCCAGCTGTGAATTTTCTTACTACAATGAATCCCCTCATTTTTATTGCTGTGTGCAAGGTACAGTGTTTCATTTTTCTTCCTACTTGGGCTTCCTGTAGAATGCACACCCCATATAGTTCTTTAAATTCATACTGTTGTGAGAACAAGTACGTCTTTCTCTTCTCTCTTTTGTTAACTGTAAACCTTGTGGAGCAACAGTTCTTTCGTGCCCTCTGTAAGTTGCTGGCCTCTGCTCAAATTAAACACTGTAAGATTATCAGCAGGTTACAAAGGTGTAGTGTATCTCTCTCTTCTGCATTTTTGTATAAGGTTGTCTTGATCTGAAAAATGCTAACAAATTCAAATGAACTAATCGTCTCACATCCACCCCTTGTAAATTGGGACTTTGTGTCTTCTACATAAAAAGTAGGGAGAACACACGTGCAATTTCTGTTCTCCTTTGAGGATTTAAAAAAAGTTACTCATATAAAATGCACAGAAATTATTTTTTCATCCAAGTGCCAAGTCAGGTCACCTCTCTTTCACCTGCAGTGAAGCAAAATGGAATGTGCCTGGAGCTTTGCTACGAGACAGACTCAGGTTCAAATCTTGGTCCTGCCACTTAATAACTGTAAGACCTTAGACAAGTTCCTTAGCCTTTCTGAGTCTTAGTTTTCAAATGTATAAAAATCCTTGCAGATCTTCTATATGGAGGTTGTCCTGAGAGATAAATGTGATAAACTATATAAAACATCCAACACAGTGGTGATCCATAAATGTTAGTTTCCATTTGTACTAATTTGCATAGTAACGCTAGCTGCTGTAACAAATAAACCCCAGTCGCCCCAGTGGCTTGATTCAGTGACGTTTATTTCTCACTCTTGAAACTGTGTAATGCAAGTGTCCAAGTGGGCAGACAGCCCTTTCAGGTAGTTATTCAGAAATCTAGGCTTCAGCTGTCTTTTGGCTCTGCCCTGCCCTGGGGCTTTGGTGTCCTTTACCTTTAGCCAGCAGCTAGGCAAAGAAAGTGGAGAAGGTATACCCACTTTTGAAGCTCCGCATTAATTCTACCTGTGTTCCACTGTCAAGAACAGTTGAATGGTGCTACTTAGATGCAGGGGGACTGGGAAGTACAGTTCCAACTGAATGACCACTTTCTAATACAACTTTATACTAAGAAAGAGGGAGAACAATATAGGTGGGTTGGAGGGCAGTTTATCTATCTCTGCAAAGTATTTATTTCTTGCCTACTTCACTGCCTCATACATCATCAGTTAAGACCCTAGCTATTAACAGTACAATGGGCAGAAGTGAAAGGATAGATGACTTACAGGCCAGGTCAGTGGTTGTGATCTTCTAGTTTTTGTGGCAAATGAGACTTTATTTCTCTCTTTTCCATATTAATAGATACATTAAGGAGTCCGATATCATCTGCTTTCTTTTCTACTAGACATTTATCTTTATTCACTTTTCAAATTTATATTCCTTAGGTCTGTAACAAAAAATAATTCTGCTGTGTGTGTTTTTATCTAAGTGGTGACAATAGTTGTAAGTCTGCAAATGTATATATGTCATTTCTAAAGCATATGCTAAAAGTACACTTACACTGCAGACTGTCACAGCCCAGAGGAACTTAAGGAAACTTAACATAATGCAAGTTCTGGATGGAATCCTGGAACAGAAAAAGGACATTGTGCAAAAACCAAGGACATATGAATAAAGTTATTGATTTTAGTTAATAATAATGTATCAATATTGGTTTGTTAATTGTGACACATGTACCATAATAATGTAAGTGATAATGGGGGAAACTGGATGTAGAGTAAATGGAAACTCTGTGCCATGAGCATAATTTTTTTGTAAATCTAAAGCTATTCTGAAATTAAAAGTTTATTTCAACAAAAGGACATTGCAATCACAGTAGTCTTCATATTTATTGAGTACCCATCATGTAATATCATCATTGTTGCAAACCTGACTTCTCTTTTTTAATTTTTTATTAAAATTATAGATAATTTGTCCTTTCCAGTAACTATGAGGCCTCATGTCTATTTAAAAGCACCTTGGCCAGGTTTGGGTACTAGTAAATGCTCTAAGAATATTTGCCTCTTCTTTCTTTCCTCCCACTCTCTACCTCTCCCTAAGTGCTTCTAGTAATTACAAAAACAACAATATGAACTTTTACTTCACTGTTGAAAGGGTCAGGCTAATCAATCATTTAATTTGATGAGTCCAGGAAGTATTCGATGTATATGGGGACATGGTCCCAACGTTCATGTGGTCTATCCCCACATGCCCATCTTCAAGATGCATAAGAATGAATAGACCATTTTACTTATTAGAAGAATGAGAGTTAATATTTTTTTCTTTTTCAATCTAGAAAAACAAGAGTGTATTATGATAATAATAGAAATGGTAACATAAGAATAATGAGATTATAGATTTTTTCCCTATTCTGAATTTTCTAACATGTTACTATTTAATTTTACAATTAAAAAAGAATTTTCTCTATATTTAAAGTGCCTAAAATCTATTCTTGAAAAATTATTTCACATCATAGTTTTTCAAATATATATGCATACACACACAACATACACAGAGATACAGAGTGCGAGTGGGGAGAGATTCCATATGTCAATATCATGAAGAAGCCAAATGCTGGTAAAACATAATTTTTACTTACGTTTGTTTCTCCTTATTTAACTGCCTGAATTATGTAGTAGTAGGATTTATGTCTAAGGTTCAATATCTCTGGAAATTCTACAGTAACAGACTTTAAAAACTCTTTCTATGTATGCTTTTAACTTCCTTGGCCTATTCCTTTGGATTATTCTGGCTTCATAATGGTGATTTCCTGGTTTCTCTAAACACAGTTGTACCCATTTCAGCAATATTTATATGTGAAAGAAAGTGGAAATTAGAATCCAGATTTGTTGACCCTTGAGATCTTATATTGACCTTAGTAGGTGTTAACTTTTTAGATCAATAAAGAGCTGTTATTGACCTCAAAGAAAAGTCAATATCTGCTTGTTAATTTGCAGCTTAGAAATGTTATACATTTTGTTCTTCATTATTACCCTACTTATTTCAGCCTTTTAAAAAAATGTCTCTACTGTTTCCGCTAGAGATCATCATGTCTAGATCAACATTTTAGTTTTGGTGTTTAAGGAGATAATCATTGGACATGGTGGTCATTTATCAGTGCTCCATTTTAGTTTCTTATAAAATTGCAACTGTCTGAGATTCATACTATACAGAAAAGTGAAATATATTTAATTGTACTTGATTTACTGTTGTTATTAATGTTTGAGAAACAATTTTAAGTAATCTATAGCTCATGGCAAGAATATTCTGACATGTATATATGAGAAATGAAAAGGAAGTTAAATTGGAAACAAGTGGTCTGAAAAGAGATTAATAATGTTTTGCTTTTCTGTGTATAAATGGAAATAATCTGTGTAGATTGAGGTTTCGCATACACTTTTCATGTGGATAAACATTTAAAGCTTTTAGGTAAGGACTTCTTATGTGAGTCTGAATCGTAGAAGCCTATGATTCTAAAGTTTTATTAAGTGTTTAAGTATTGGTAGAGAAGTCGCTTTTCACATCATCGTTGTTTTGTATATTAACATGGAAATGTCAAGTTTTGCATAACTTGAAATGTCTCAGAATTGCCTATTGCTGAAATTCAAATGTCAGAACAATGCTTCTGCAAATATATGACTCTGATATTTCAACTCTAAAAACCTCATAAATGATTCAGTATCAGTTTGGCCTTGTTATGATATAACTTTTAAAAGAGGCAGAGTGATTTAAATCTGTTCTAGAAAATGGTGGTCTCATTCAGTGTAGACATCAAACACAAATCTCTCAACCCATTAATGCTCATTAATTTTTTTATTATGTTACCATTTTGGCAAAGAATTTAAGTTTTCATGAGGACTCTTTAAGTATATTTCACCATTGTAAAAATGAAGCTATTTCTTTGTGAGCAACAGGATTGGCTTATATCTTATCCTAATTTGTGGCATTAATTGTTTTAGAGGGCTCAATACTTTTTGTAAAAGAAAATTTTTTTTGTTTTTCAAGCGATGAATGCCTTCTAGGACATAAATGATATATAGAGACCAAAAGGCCTGTAGAAATAAACCTTCTACTATTAATTTACTCTTCCAAATTTTGCATGGCATCTAAATATTTAAAATTAAAAGTTTTACAGCTGGCATAAGCCTTGGAGATAAGAAACCTGACTTTGTCATTTTATACAGAAAACTGAGTCTTGATGTCTAGTCCCTATTTATTGTTACTGGCTTTGAATTTTTTATTTGAAAATCTCAATATTGTTGACCGTTACTGATATATTAATGGTTTGAATAAAATAACTTTACTAGTCCCATATTTTTATATTAAGTATTTTTTTTCTTATGGAAGAAAAGCTTTCCACAGGGGAACTTTATTGCTTGAAGAATCTTATTTTCATACATATTCTTAATAGCCTCTTTTACTTTCTCTTCTAGGATATAAAGTTTTGATAATTAAAATTTGTCAACATTTCAATATGATAAAATTGATATGTTTAGTGGCGTGCTATTCCAGAAATTTTTAAAAATGCCATTAGGATCATAACTTGGAGTGTGTACCTTGGCATGTTTAATTTTTCCTCTGCTAGGAGATTAGTGGAAAATAAGCTCTGTAAATTAAATTTTATTGCAAAATTATCTTCCGATGTTCAGCAGTAAAGATAGTATTGAGTGATAAGGCTGGAGTGGATTTTGTATAAAGCAATTATAGCATGAAGACCACAATCTGAATGAAAAATATTGCTGAAGATTTCCTATAGTCTGTAGAAATGTCATTTTGGAATGTGTTTAAAATTGCCTCATTTTATGCAGGTGATTATAATACTTAAGGTATATTGCAGTTTGAAAACAGCATTACTGAATAATTTTAAGGACCATTTATATATGGTGGGAGGAACAAATTATATATATATATTCACACTTGGACAATTGTTATCATTTCAAAACATTTCTCCACTACTGGAGATTTTTCTGTAAAGCTTGCTTTCTCCAGTGAGCCCATCTTTCTCTTTAGATAACTGCATATGAAAGGTGGGATCAAAATGCCCACTGTGTATTTTACTCTCACCCTGGCATGTGTAAAGGAGGACTTCTTCTCCAGGGCTCCACCATGTAGATGAAGAAGCACCTGGTGTTTTAATAACTTTATTTACACCTCAACTCTTGAATTTAACCTTTACATAGCAATTAGAAACAGATAAGAACAAAGATATTGTTCTTGAATGAGGTAGAAAAGGCGTGGTTTGAAAGGGCTTCCTACAAGTAAAATTGAAGAAGAAAATACGCATGCACGTGTGTCTGTAGCCACCCACCCCTCAACTCCTGTTCATGTGTGTTTCCTGGACTTGCATTCTTCATTCCCCCAAAATCAAGGCACATTTAGTGAATGTCTAGTCTGAGCAAGTCAGTGTCTCTAAGTACCAGAATGGTGGAGACAGAGAAATCACAGTGTATGGCAGTGTCAGGACTGGGCTTCATCCCAAGGAAGTGAAAATCCAGTAGTATTTACAGTAGAAATTATTAAAAGAATCTGTTTCCTAATGGGCAGAGGATCCTGTCGTCCTTTAATTTTTTTAAAAAAAAGTCATGCCCTTTAATAAATAATCATGTAAAAGGGAAAAACCTCTGATTTTAGAAGTTACTTTTTATTTCTTTACAGGGAGCTGGGAAAAGACAGCTTATTGATTCAGTGTGCATAAATACTTATCATAGACTTACTGTGTAGCCATTACTTTAGGCAATTCATCCAGCTAAATAGCCTCTAATGCTATCATGAATGAAGACTATAGAGGTTTATCAAGATGAAAATAGCCCATTAAGAATTGATCTGAACCAGTTTAGAGAAGCAGAGCCTGAGACCTGGCCTGTGCAGCTTTGGCTAGTAAAAGTTCACTTGGTGCTGGGCATATACCAGCTCCACAGGCCCCAACTTTATTAGTGTGGAGATAAGCTGATTAGGTCCTGTCAATCAAAGGTGCCCATATCTCAATTGAGAGACACACACTCTCTCTCGATTTTTCTTTAAGCATTGAAGCAGGCAACAAAGAAAGAGATGTGTGGTATGCATCCCTACGGTTGTCACCATGCAGGGTGCAAGGGTCCTGTGATGATGTGGTGACTGTATTAAAGAGTACATCAATTTGTTTTAAAGTGTTTTGATTTTTTATGGTGGCATTAAGAGAGAGAACATTGTGGTTGCAGCTTTACTAGAAAGCAAAGAGTTCTAGAAGAAGAAAAAAAAAGTGTTTCTTTGAAGCCTACCAGGGCTTTGAATCTTGCTGTGCCAATGGGCGCTTAAGTGCTCCCGTAACTGGCAACCTCAGATCCACCATCAGCTTAGGAACTACCATCCTCTCCAAATAATTCATTTAAAGGAATAGGAAAAAAATGTGTAAATTGACCTAAGCAATATTAATGATGATTGACTGCAAGTTTTTCTTTCTTTAAGTGATTTCAGATTTTGGATGAACATATAACACATGTTGGTTATACTGATGTGCACTGATTCCGTTGTAAAGAGCAGAGATACTTCTAAATTTTGCCCAAGTACAGATTGGCAACATTGCTCCATTTAATTGTTTCATACATAATAATGAATGCTTTACTTTGTATATCTGGAAAATAAACCTGACTAATAAATATAGGCTGTCAAAGTATAATTCTGTAGGGCTTCAGCTTGAGACCTCATCATCTCGTCAGTATTGAGAAAAAGGTAGAGCGATGGTGTAGGGGGAAAACCTGGCCTTTTGTTCTTTACATCTGAAGTTTGCTCACTGCAGGCCTCCTTCCCACTTCAAATGCAACAACAGAAAGGAGGCCTTCCTCTTCTTCCCTCACCCTACATGCACCCCCCAGTGCTGCCATCCCGCACAGCCACGTTTCCACAGTGGATTATCTCTTTATCAGCTATTCTTCCCTTCACTCCATCCATTTTCCACTAACCAATCAGGCAGCCCTCTTAGGAAAGACTGGTGCTTACTTCAATAAAATGTTAATTCTGTACACACAGAGCCACACAGCCATTCTAGATGTTGCTTGTAACAGAAAAGCATTCATGTACCCCAGACATGGAGAATACCTGTATTGGGTGTCTTATGAGAAAAAATTGGGGGAAATAAAGTTATGATGGGTAGTAGTTACTGAAATGGAAAAGGTATTCTATTCTTTATAGTGCTGACCAGCCAGAGTGGCCACACACGTGTGTGGGGATGTACCCATGGTTACCTAAAAACATGCATCCTGCTTTTAAGGCATCTGAGATAGTAAAAGCTAGTTTGTCACTTGTAGTTCTAACTGACCCAGACAGGAGTAATTGCAGTGCTGACTCTGGTCCATTGAGTGTATGATCTTGAAAGGCCTTCTGACTCTAGAAAGATTAGGGTGAGCGATGTTTAGTAATGGGTGTACTTTAACATATAAAGATTTTCTATTCAGGATTCTCTGCTTTGAGAGTTTTTATTACTGGATTATCTTAATAGTGATAGGTCTTTAGAGTACTTACTAGGGTTTTTTTAAATAAGAAAAAATGTAGTATGCAACTTTCCAGAAATACCTTTTTTTAAAAGTGTTGATGCATTCGCATGTGAAAGGAACTTGGCTAAGCTCCTTCTCATGGTTTAGGTTTCTAGTTTAATGTTATGTCTTCAAAGAAGACTACCCTGACCACTCTTTCTAAAGCAGGCTTCCCCTGAATCTTACCAAGCCCCTTCCTCATAACATTAATTGTAAGGAGTAATCCATTACTCATTTTTTGTTTGCCTTCTCCACAAGAATGTAAGCTTCCTGAGAGGCATTTTGTTGAATGATTGAAGGAAATGGGCAGCTATATTCCTTTACTGCAAATAGAAGTGCTTTTTTTTTTTTTTTTTTGCGATGGAGTCTCACTCTGTCGCCAGTCTGGAGTGCAGTGGCATGATCTCGGCTCACTGCAACTTCTGCCTCCCGGGTTCAAGTGATTCTCCTGCCTCAGCCTCCCGAGTAGCTGGGACTACAGGCGCGCACCATCACGCCCAGCTAATTTTTGTATTTTTAGTAGAGACGAGGTTTCACCATGTTGGCCAGGATGGTCTCTATCTCTTGACCTCAAGTGATCCACCCACCTCGGCCTCCCAGAGTGCTGGGATTACAGGCGTGAGCCACCGCGCCTGGCCAGAAGTGCTTATTTCAAAAAGTTTCTCACTAACCTTTAGCATTATAATAATTATAGCCATTTCCCATCCCAGACCACTTTTAAGAAGATTTCGTGTGGTTTTATGACATTTTAGAATTAATCTTTGTCTCTTATTGTATTGAAATTCTTAATACATTCAAGTGGTTCTCTCAAAAAAAATATTTTTTTAAAAAAAGAATATTGTGTTTCATTTGGCAAAGTTATAATTAAGAAAAGTATACTCTACTCAAGTCAGTTTACCCTGCAAACTAGTGTATACTCATTAATAAGCATTTGGTGGTAAAGATTTTAAGCCAATAATGAATCTAGGTTCCCTTTTTCATTTGCTGCATGCTTTAGTTATTGAGCTTTGTTTCTTTTCCACTGTTTACCCATTCCAATTTCATAAGTTTACTTTGGTAATTGTTTTTAGGCTACAAAATTAATAGTGAAAATTAGGTTGCAGTGTGATCATGTTGCTTTATCAATCATTGGAATATAATGTTTGTTTCGCTGAAATTTTGTAACAAGAAGTAGGCAGAAATGGTTGGACTAGGGACATTTACTTGTAGTGTCTTTGTGTAAATCTCAGTTTTCCATTTTATTATATGATAAGTAAAATCTCTTTGGTTGCCTACAAGGATATAACAAATACTTAAATTCATCAACATGAAGCTGTAAGCATCATCAGTTCATAACAATGATTTCTGAAAACTGGTTACTTTTTATTTAAATTTGGAAGTTTAACTCAAATGGAAAAAGATATTTTAACATGGTTTTCTGATCACTGATAACTGAAAAATTCTAGAATAATATAGGAACTCATACAACAAAATAGATCATGCTTACAGTCAGCACTTGAAAAAAACATTCTGGAAAAAAGTCTTTAAAGAGACTTTAGGGAGACTCTAGAAATATATGGAAGAATATTGCAAACTAAAGGCTGTTGTATTCTCTTTCCCTCTCAGAAATAGTTTTTTATAAATAAAGAAATACTTTTCTGAGTTGCTTTTATCATCAACATTTCACTCCCCCAAAATTAAAAAATCTATCATCGAACTCTTTTACCAGAATTTACCAATTCCACCTGAAGTTCTTAGCCCCTGAGATACAACTTTTTTTTATTTCATAAAAGCCAAAGGAGTGTTCTGAGTCATTTGATGAACTTTCCTTCAGAAAAAATAAAATAAAATAATGGCAAATGCCTATTTTTCTGCTTCTCAAATGCCCTTTCCAGTACTTGTCATATATTCCTGAGTTACAGCTGGTTTATCAGGAGCAAACAGGCAGACATAACTTACGACACTGCAGGTTTAAAGTATCATCGTCCAGAAACAATGATGTTTTATTATTTAGAAACAGTCTATATTTTTTCATATTCTTCCTTTAAGCCTTAATGTTTGTTCGAGAATTAAAGGGCCACACTCTTCTGTTTTCTCTGTGTTTACCTTGCAGTTCTGCTTGGCAAATGTTTATTTCTGAAAGTAAGTATGAAATGTCAGTATATTTAGGATAATTAAGTCAATATTACTCCAGTTTGCTTTGCTTTTAGAGTGCTATATTTTCCTAAGTAATAAATACCAGGTAACTTCCAGAAATGGAAGGATTTAGAAAGTAATATTATGTTTGTGTGTGTGTGTGTGTATATACACACACATATATAACTATATAAAATAGATTTTCTTTTATAACAACATCTGAGTGTCTCTTGATTTAGATAGTTTTATCATGGCAATCGCATGTTGTGGGGAGTTCTTTTGTACCATTAATAATAACTAAAACACAATCATCTTCCTAAAGGAGAGAAAGAGAGAGAAGAGGGAAAAGGTGGAATTTGAAAAGGGGGGAAAATCTGTTCCTATTCCTTCCCTGAGGCTGAACTGTTTATCACTCTATCCTCATTCGATAAAAGTGAATTTTATAATAAAATTTTCCCTAATCGGGCACTGTCAGTGGAGGTGTCTTATCGCTGAGAGGAAAATGACACCGATCCTATCGGAAAACAGAAACGATGTCACCATGTTCCCAATCACAGCTCTTCAGCCCCCATATCTACCTTCTCCACAAACACCAAGCAGTGCTTTTTTCATAAGAACATCAAAACCCAGCAAAGTCATTAAAATTGCACCCGCGTAGAGTTGCAGGGACCAGCCGTACTAGCACAAAATGGGATGTGGGAAAACAGACTCTCTAAATGTGCTAATTCCATTGTCACGTGTTTACGGCTTAATTTTAATCAGTTAAAAAAGCCACACATTGCAATAAATTGGCATTATCTTCTGTGACACCAGAAGACACAGTTGCTTCAAGGATTTAGAGGGTCACTGGCAACAGTATATAGTATTACAGACAAAGTATTTTTACGCTTGAACTACGGTAGCTAAGGTACAATCCCCAGTTAAGACTGCAAACAAAGACTATAACCCACATAGTACTAAGTTCAACTTGCAGACCACCTTCATCCTTGATGGACTTTGTATGCAAAACAAAGAATTTTGTGAATTTTTTTAGAGTCATTCATTCATCATATAAAAAAAATTTTTAAGTAGCCTTTCAGTGCTGTAACCTTATCGCATACTTGGCAATAGACCAAATGTTCTTCCCATAGGTCCTCTCAGTAGACTTGTTTTCCAGTCCTGATGTTTCATTGACTGTGTTTACATTGACCATTCGACTTGCGAGCCTAAACAAAGAGACATTAACACGCTTGAGGAAATGCAAACAGAAAATAGTGTCATTGACAATTGTTGAAGGCCAACAATGAAAGACTGTCTCTAATGGTCTTAATTTATTAACGTCAAATTAGCACCAATATATTTTTACACAATTAAGTTGAGAAAGTACTGAAGTAGAAACTACTGGCAAATTTAATTTTAATTTGTTCCATGGGGTTATTCTTAAGGTATACATATCTCTGTTTTAAAGCAGAATGATTCCTTGATGTGGACTGGCTATTCTACATGAGAATATCTGTGAGTAGTTTTTGGACAAAAACATTTCTTTTCATGGCAAGGTATAGCATATTACTTCAGTTCTCAAATTTAATATTTTAGCTTTGTAAATTGACAGTGCATTTAAATATGGTTTTTAAACATTAGACATCATAAAGTTTATTTTAAAAACCTAAGGTGATTAAAATATCTACTAAAATGTTGAAAATTGTAAAATCTCAGTAGTTAATGAAGTATGAGTGGAAAAATTTCAATTTCACCCTGAAAATAGTTTTTTTTTTTTTTTAATTGACAAATCTGACCTTGAGGGAGAGAAAAAATAAATGCAACCACAACTTGCATGGAATGAAAAAAGCTTTTGGAATTAAATCATTTGGCAGTGACTGAAAAATAAACATCGGAGTGGCTTTTGTTTTAATTTTGTTCAGCGCGTTGTTGATTTCTTTATAACAAAAGCAATAGAAAGAAAAGATGAAGTAATAGTGAACCAAACAGAAATAATTTTCCGTGTATTGTGCTTGTCTTCACTGTGAGTTTAGTTTTCTATAGTCAATGTCAAATTGATCAGACTTCTACTGTGTGATTGAAGTACTTCTTTAAAAAAAAAAAAACACTCATATTGTGAAGTTAAAACAGTTAAGTTGTAGTGTCACTGAAACAGTTTTTCTGATTACATTTCGCTTTGCAACAGAGCCTGAGTTTTTGCACTTCTTCCTTGTTTAAACAGCTTAAGTAAATTTACAGGGTTACCCCCCTTTTTTTAAATAATGGAGAAATGGAATGGGTGCAAATTTTGAATATGGTTCTTTTCTCTGTTAGAATTAGCAGCCAACTCTGCATGAGGAGAGAAAAGTTGAGAGTATATAAAAAAGATTTCCCTGTATGATGGCTCCTGGCTTTTTAAAGGAGATACAAAAATAACAATAAAGTTGACTGTGTACAATGGAATGCTGGCTTTCATTGCAGATCTTAAAAAAAATGGTTTTACTGACTTTTGCTCAAACTTTAGTAGTAGCAATGAGTGTTTGCCAATAATTTTTGTTTTCTTTCCTTTTTTAGGAGATGGGCTAGCTTAAAATTTCAAATATACATATACTTACATGTATATTTACCTCATTGAATGCTAATGTTAAAAAAAGTGGTGGGAGCTGATCACCTATGCTGCCGTAAAATGAAACAGCTCCCCCTCTTATATTTGACCAGAGACCCATAGTATTGAAGGAGATTTATGGAAGTGAATGTATTTATCAAGTTCATATATGAGGCAGCAGAACAGGCTTTATTTAGCCTTCCTATCACTTGTACCATAAAACAGTGGGCCTCTGTTTAGTTGGCCTAATACAGTTGTTAAATTGGAATAATTTTTCTGATTTAAAATTTGTAGTGTATTTATTTGTTGTTTTTCAGGGAAAAACTATTTTAAAGAGATTACCAACCACAATGTCATATGTTAACCTGACAGTAACAAATATTGAAAATATTAAATAGTTGGCCACAAAACACCATGCTTCTTTAGGTTTATGAAAGTGAAGGAAACAGAAAATTTTTTTCTGTATTCAAAGGCAATTTAAAATTAATTTTAAAAGACTTATTTATACATTTTATTTATATTTACTTTCAGTTTATTTTAAATCATTTTGCAAATAGCAGGGAAAGTCATGATGCAATAGAAGCTAAATTCTTTCCTGTATACCTCTGATCATTTTTCAAAGCCATATTATATTTTTAAACCCTTATTTACAACTTACACGACTGGCTGTAGTTTGCTCCTCATGCTGTATTATACTTTTCTACACATAGGCTGCGCCATTGAGCCACTAGTTAAAGAAATGTTTCTTGTGCTGCCAGTAGTACATGGAAATGGAAATGTGGAGGACATGGAAATCAAGAGGACGGGCTATCAGTTTTTAAAATGTGTGTTACTATAATTAATATAACAAAAAAGAACATATTTTGATATACGTCACTTTTTAAATCTTTTAAGATATTTTCTAATAATTTTCAATGTAATACTTTCAAAACCTCATTTTTAAAAGTTTTTATTTACTATTTCCCATAGATGTTAGTAAATGTATAATAGAAATTTAAATGTATTAATAGAAAAATATAATTTGTAACTTAAGCATGTGAAGTCATTTTGGTATATTTTGAAGATTATTTAAAATTTATTATAATTTAAAAGATAAACATTAAAACAACTTTAAAGTGTGAAATATAATTAACAAATATGTGCTTGGAAACTTTACATTAAAATCTAGCTATTTAGCATTCTGCATTAGAAATTTGTGAAGTCAAAATTAGTATGTTTTTTTCTAATGAAAGATATGAAACTTCAATGAATCTAAGTAAGAACTGATTTGTTATTATTATTACACACTGCATTTTAATGTTTTATTTCCATTCATATTGAGACTAGCTAACATATAAAAAACTTACAGTGATATTTCTATTGCATTTTTACCTTTTAATTCAATAAAATGTTAAAATAATAGATTTAAAATAACATCAACTGCATTGCATTTAAACATAAGCACTTCTTAACTTTTATACGTTGGAAAATAAATTTTAAGAATAATCAAATACTTTTGTCAAATACATGAAAAAATTTGACTTGTACATTTAAACGTCCTTCTTTGATCTTGCATCTTGCAGATCGGCAGATTCTAGAAACTGCTCTGGGACTATTTCTTTGCGAAAATACTCTGTGTAAATTATTGTTTTGCTGTTTAATAATTAGAGTGATTTATTGGGAAAAGTGAGATATTTCTCTCTACTATAATAATAGTAGAGAAACTTGTGATTGAAAATTTAAGCAGTGATATTGACTATTTACCCCTTAGCAAACGTTATGAAAGTATTTTAGTATTGTTGGCGAATGGGACTCTGCTTGGATTTCCAGCATGTAAGAACTTGCATGCTCCGGGTCATAAATGCTGCTTCATGAATATTCCATCACTCTATATGTGAATCTTTAGGGAAGGGTTTATAGAAAGTATATTTGTCAGCCAGTTATGTGTGGGGCATGGGGGTCTTTCCCAATGTTTATATTGTTGCTAACTTGTCCTACTGATAATTTGGACATAGTATCTGAGATTTTCATTAAAAAGAAAATCATATTTGGACCTAGTGCAACATATTTTTTGTAAGACACCTTTTTTGTATCTCATAAAATTCACTTCAGATGCTATAATGTAATTTATTTAGACAGAGTATCATTTTGTTGCCCAGGCTGGAATGCAGTGGTGTAATCACAGCTCACTGCAGCCTCGACCTCCCTGGCTCAGGTAACCCACCTAGTTCAGCCTCCCAAGTAGCTGGAACTACAAGCACAGCCCACCATGCCCGGCTAATTTTTCTATTTTGTGTAGAGACCAGTTCTCGCCATGTTGCCCAGGCTGTCTCGAACTCCTGGGCTGAAGTGATCCACCTGCCTAAGCCTCCCAAAGTGCTGGGATTACAGGTGTGAACCACTGCGCCGGCCATAATTTACTTTATAAAATGTGGTTTGTTAGAGGTTTACCATTTTATGAATTCACATAAAGTGAATGACAGTTCTTTTTTTATGATAATGTGAAAATTTATTATTGCTCACATTTATATTATCTATATCTCAATTCTGTTGTGATGTCTGTGATATCACACAATCCTATCAGAAATAATAGGTTGATTTTCAAGTTATAACATTAGGCTAACATGTTTTTTTCTTAGTATATTTTATGTAATTAAGCCTTTTTCTCATAGTAAATAATGTCAAAGCATCAGAGGTATGATTGGGGGCAGATGATTCTTTTTTAGCTAAAACTATGGCTTAGGAATCTACCATGTTGGATAATTGACATTATTAGTCTGTTATTTGTAGAATAACTGCGTGGTATGATTTGGAGTGCTTAGCAAGTGCTATATTGGTGACCTGTTCAAATTCGAGAGTCACCACTGATTTATATCACAGTTATTTCCAAGGGCATGGTAGATCATGTCTCTCTGGTAATGACCTTAGATTATTTGGATCTCTGTGGAAAGGAGGACCATTTTAAATGAAGATGAGTGCTGAGAATTAGTGCTTAAATAGGGCACACATCCGTATAGGCAAAACCAGATTTCTCTTTATATGTTTTTGAATCTTAAAGTGACTAAATCGATTTTCGGTACTTGGCAGTTAAGCTTGTGATCATCTCACTTAAAACAAGACTATGTAATGTACCCAGATTTCATTTTGGAGCCCACTGTGATATTTCATAGCTGTTTCACAGCAACCAAAACTCAGATATAAAGAAAAAATATGCTGTGCACCGTATGATATTCTGGACAGAGAAAAAAAAATAAGTTTGTGGTCTCAGAAGCACCAAATTACAAGTCCTAGGAGGAATTATGCACCTTAAAATGTGATGGTTGGCTCACGCCTGTAATCCCAGCACTTTGAGAGGCCGAGGTGGGCAGATCATCTGAGGTCAGGAGTTCGAGACAAGCCTGGCCAACATGATGAAACCCCGTCTCTACTAAAAATACAAAAATTAGCTGGGCATGATGGTAGACGCCTGTAATCCCAGTTACTCGAGAGGCTGAGGCAGGAGAATCTCTTGAGCCCGGGAGGCGGAGGTTGCAGTGAGCTGAGATCGCGCCACTGCACTACAGCCTGGGCAAAAAAGTGAGTGAGTCTCCATCTCAAAAAAAAAAAATTGTGATGGAGCTGCTTTTCATATTAGCAGCTGTACATAGCCATGCTCAGGAGGTGGAGCCAAGAGAAGTGTTCTGTAAATGATAGCAAATGGTTCTTGGAAAGGTTAGAGAACTCTAAATAAGATCCCCGTCTTATCCTATAACAATCACCCAGCCAGCTAAGCATGATCAGGTTTGATTTTATGTTCTCGCCTTAACTGGTCATCTTTTACCTACTTGTATTGTTTATTCAGTTTGAGATGATCAAGTCTTCATGTTTTTCCCCCCACTTTCTGTAACTCTCCTTTGACCACCTTTCTACCCTTGTGTTCCTCCGCCATGCAGTAGGCCCACTTAAAAGGTGAAACTCAGCTGGGCGCGGTGGCTAATGCCTATGATCCCAACACTTTGGGGGGCATATGTGGGCGGATCACCTGAGGTCGGGAGTTTGAGACCAGCCTGGCCAACAAGGTGAAACCCTGTCTCTGCTAAAAATACAAAAATCATCCGGGTGT
This sequence comes from Homo sapiens, assembly GCF_000001405.40. Classification (NCBI taxonomy): domain Eukaryota; kingdom Metazoa; phylum Chordata; class Mammalia; order Primates; family Hominidae; genus Homo; species Homo sapiens. The sequence continues at coordinate 112,569,018 of NC_000010.11, forward strand.
GGTGGTTTGCACCTATGGTCCCAGCTACTTGGGAGGCTGAGCCAGGAGAATCATTTGAACCCAGGAGGCGGAGGTTGCAGTGGGCTGAGATCGTGCCACTGCCCTGCAGCGTGGGCACAGAGCAAGATTCCATCTCAAAAAAAAAAAAGCTATGGGAAAAAAGGTGAAACTCAAGTAGGTTAATTGTGTGCCTTCTAGAAACCCTAATGATAAATTTGCTGAGAAGGCGGACAACTGTTTGTTGCCTTCTGTGATCCAGGCATACACTTCATTTGATCTTCATAATTATCTTACGGGGTAAGTACTGTTTTTCCCATTTTGCAAATAAGTATACTGAGGTCCAGAGAGGTTAAGGAATCAGTCCAATTGAAGGGCAGTATAAAGTCAAATCCTTTACTTTTTTTCATTATCACATGCTAAAGATAAAGTGTTTAATTATGCCAATTGACTTCTAGTCTAGAAAACAGAACTGAAAGTTGAATTGGAACATCTCTTAAGTTTATACTCTGAAGACAGAGGTTGGCTTTTGCCCTCAACATGGAGCCAACTGCCAAAGCAGTGCCATCTGTAATGATGTTGGCAGATAACTGTACATTAGTGAGGACTGACAAGCGAAGAGGGTATCCTGGGAAAACTTTGGAAGGTGGTGATATGGTGCTGTGAAGAGCATGCCTCTGAAAGTGGGTAAAAACTTGCATCAGTAGTGCCTGGGTGCCTACTAAAAAAAACACAGCTTCCTGGGTGCCAATGATAATCGACCAGATCAGAATCTCTGGAGGTATGGCCCAGGCAACTTCCTTCCTAAGAAGTAACTTCAGGTACTTGAGAAGCATATTAACTTCTGAGGGTTATTGCTTTCATGTATGAAGCTAATAGGAACCTAGAAGAACCTGTGCTTTGAAACTTTACATGCCTATCTGCAAAGTCTGTTTTTCTCTAGAGAAATGTCTTTTCTATGCAAAGTGTGCATTCAGTACCACCAATTCCCTGCATTTTGGTGCTCAGACCCTCAAAGACATAATTAAGGGGATTTCTTCTTTAAAAGCCTACTGTGTGGCATCTCATACAATTATATGGCCCTTGCTTTTTGTTGGTCTTTTTTCAAATATAACATGCAGTGTTGCCAGGAACACCATCATATTAAAATATAAAATTACCTTTTGTGAAAAATGGAGTCAGGGCATACATCTGGGAATCCAACAAACTCTAAACTGGCTGTGTACAAAATTTTTTTTTTTAAGTTTGGAAACTGATAGCTGCCTGAAGGTTGCATATTTAAAGTCATTTTCCCTGCTTCCTTCATTTTCCCCCTGTGGCAAAGCAAAGCAGCACTTCTTATGGGGAAAAAAAAATTGAAAGAAAGAAAAGAAAACCTAATATTGGCATTCTAGTAGTAAAATAATGGTAAAGATTGAGCCTGGATTTTGTAATACTTTGGATATTGGAATATCCTAATTTCCAGTTGGAAAAATTAGTATCAAATGTATTTTAGATGAAAAGTTCAGTGAATGCTGACCCATATTTTGAGATATAAACAAAAAACAATTAAAAGATAGCTATTTTAATGAAGGAAAATATAATATTTAAATAAAGTGTTTAGACTTCAAAGTAGAGTGTTGCTCACGTAATAGCCAGAATACCTCTGTGCATACATCTCGGAAGAGGCTAAAATGCCAGATGTATTTTTGTGCTAATTTTCTCACCAGCTTCTGGAGCCAGTAGAGGAATTCAGCACATAATATCTCATAGAAGGTATCCCTCTCAGCATTTTCCCACGTTCCTCCTTCTGATTCATTGCTGAAAGCAGAGATAAGAGAGTTAACAAATAACTAGACTAATAATAACCATAATAACAAACATTTATTGAGTGGTTACTGTGTGCCTGGCACCATGTTAAAGAGTTTACATAGATTATTTCATTTAATAACCATGTAAGTCCTATCATCCCCACTTTACAAATGAGGAAATCAGCAACCATTTCAGCTAATATTTATTGAGCATCTTCTATGTGTTGCATACTGTACTGTGCTGTTCCCTGTGTTATCTTTATCTTCAAAACATTCCATTTTATGGTTTATGGGTATTTATCTTTATTTTACATGTGAAGAAATTGAAACTGAGTGATTAAATGACTTATTCAAAATGCCATACTGCTAGATATTAGAGATTCCAGACTTCTTAGTTCCCCATTTTACTTTGTCCTAAGATGATTTAAAATATCTTCCCATCTTGTCTATTCCTTCCAAGTTTATACTCCAAAGAAAAGACTAGTAATATCTCATGTATCCAGTGATTCATCTTAAGGAAACTCGTTCCTCTATAGGAGACAACACTAGCCTTGGAAAGCCATCTTGGGATGCCTTAAAAGAAAAAACTCACAACAAAACATGCATTATAAGATAGCAGTTGACACAATGAGATGCCATCTCATGCCAGTCAGGATGACTTTTGTTAAAAAGTCAAAAAATAACAGATATTGGCGATGCTATGGAGAAAAGGGACACTTATACACCGTTGGTGGGAATGTAAATTAGTCTAGCCACTGTGGGGAGCAGTTTGGAGATTTCTCAAAGAACTAAGAGTTGAACTACCATTCCACCTGGCAATCCCATTACTGGATATGTATATATCCAAAGGAAAATCATTCTACCAAAAGGTAGAATGCACCTGTATGTTCATTGCAGTGCCCTTCACAATAGCAAAAACATGAAATCAACCCAGGTGCCCACCAACAATAAATTGGATAAAGAAAAGATGGTGTATACGTACACTGTGGAATATTACATAGCCATAAAAAAGAACACAATCATGTCCTTTGCAGGAACGTGGATGAAGCTGGAGGTCATTATCCTAAATGAACACAGAAACAAAACTAAATGCCACATATTCTCACTTAAAAGCAGGAGCCAAACATTGGCTACTCATTGGCATAAAGATGGGAACAGCAGACACTGGAGACAACTAGAAGGGGGAGAGAGGAGGGGCACAAAGGCTGAAAAATTATTGTTGGGTACTATGCTCACAACTTGAATGACAGGATCATTGCACCTCAAACCTTGGCATCACACCATATACTAATGTAACAAACTTGCTCATTGACCCCCGATTCTAAAATTTAAAAAGATGAAAAAGAAAGATAGTGGTTGATTGTAGAATTCTGTTTCTGTGTAAATCCTGCTCTGCCACTTTGCTAGCTGTGTGACTTTGGGAAAATAATTAATCTCTCTATCCCTTCATCATCAAATAAAATGAAGACAATGATAGCATGGTTGTGCACCTAATAAGCTTTCAATGAAAGGTATGAGTGGTGGTAGGTGTTGTTGATATTATTCCTACATTTAAATTCTTAAAAAGGTTTGCTTTTACAGTTCTTTGGTAGTTTTCTTATTTTATCTCTCAGCCCTCACCAGAAGAGTTAAAGAGGATAGATAACATGAAATAAGAGAATGACCATTAAGGAAAGTCATGAAACTATCATTAAACAATCAAAAATGGCTGTTTGTCATAATAACTTTGTCAATAAAAAAATTGAAATGTTCGGTCAGGCATGGTGGCTCACGCCTGTAATCCCAGCACTTTGGGAGGCTGAGGCGGGCGGATCACGAGGTCAGGAGATCGAGACCATCTTGGCTAACACGGTGAAACCCCGTCTCTACTAAAAATACAAAAAATTAGCCGGGCGCGGTGGCGGGCGCCTGTAGTCCCAGCTACTCGGGAGGCTGAAGGCAGGAGAACGGCGTGAACCCGGGAGGCGGAGCTTGCAGTGAGCCGAGATCGCGCCACTACACTCCAGACTGGGCGACAGAGCGAGACTCCGTCTCAACCAAAAAAAAAAAAAAAAAGAAATGTTCTCTCTTCTTCAGGAAACCATGAACTGTATTTTAATGGTGTATTTTAGAAGTTTCTCACTAATTAATCAAATAAATTATTGCTGCTTGAAGTTAAATCAGCTTTGTCTGGAAAGTTCTTTTTCCTGAAGCATCCCATCTCACCACAATACTAGATAAATAAGTTGTTACCCAACTCCTGTAGTGCTTTAGGTTTATTCAGGGGTGACAGACCCAAATGGGTTGAGGTTTATACTCATAATGTAGCAAATTTTGAGAATTGTTGCTGAGCTTAAGGAAGAATTGTGCTGGCCTAGCAGATGTGATTGGAGCAGTATTCAGCCCAAGGTTTATGGTCCCTGGAATGAATTGTATTCATGGTCCTTAATGCTCACTGCCTATGTACCTGTCCTTGTATGCTATCTGCTCTATTATCCGAAATAAACTAAGCAACTTGGAAATCAAGACTAAGCCCTAGATCTCTTTATTGTCCCGTTTTCCTGTCTAGTACCCTGCACTTAAATGTTCTGCAACTCTTGCTGATAATAGAGGGTATGTTTATTAGGAAAAAAAAACCCTAATGGTATTCATGAAATAATTTTATTATTAGACATAAAATGACAATGGTATTTGCATGTTTGGTGAAAATATACAATCCCTTAATAGATCAAAAAGAAATTGACTGAGGTACAACCTATCCTACTTACCTGGGAGGCAGTGTAATATAGTGAAAAGACCACGGAATCAAAGAGATTCAAATTTTATTGCCAATTCCACCATTCACTGTCTATGGCTTTAGGAAAATTATTTGTCTCACACTTCCTCCTATTTCTTCTGGACACCTCCGTATTTTCTAGCAAGCTCAGTAATGCATCAAAAATGCATGTTAGTTGAGGTAGACCCAAGATCTAGTTGTGAAAGCCGTTCAGAACAGCAAAGCTGTCTTATTGCCTGAAAAAGTTTGTAATGTTTATTACAATTTAAAAACCCCTTTTTTGCCTAAGGTAATTTGAGATGGGTTCCTGTAATTTGAAAATATATTAAGACTAATACCATTGGCTTCTGTGAGGAATGTTTTGTACTTTGTCTTCCCCCAGAAGCTTCAGAATATGATAAAGTACATTGTTAAAAGGTTAGGTTCTTTATCTGAATATAATTGTTCATTCTCATAGATCTCTACATGTTTGTAGTGAATCATATTGTTTAAATTCCATTTTTTTCTAAATTACTTAAAGTACAGTACTCATTGTATACTCAAAATCATTGCCTTCTAGATATTTGGATTGCAAAAACAAGCAAAGTTTTAAAAATAAAATCAAATAAGTTTGAGGAGTGGCACATGATTGGAAGCTGTTTATTACTTCAAGTATGTCTATAAAGGGGACAGGGAGAACTGACGTCTACTAATTCTGTATAAAGGAAATAATATTTGAATGCCACAAATTGGGCATTTGTAGCTCAGAACAAGTGATTGTCCTTTAATGCAAATATATTTAGTCTTAGGAAAAACTTGTTCCACTGTTCTTATTTTTAAATTTGAACCAGCACCAGTCTATGGACCATAGTTTGGGAGCCACTACTCTAAAGCCATAGCAGTCTTATTCGTTCATTGCTAAATCAACGAACATTTGTTAAATACCCAGCAGAGGCTGGGTTTGGGAATCAAATAGACCTGGATTTAAATCCCAGCTTTCTTTGCTATGAGCTGTGTAACTTTGGGTTAGTCAGTTAACCTTTCTGAGCTTCTTTTTTTCTTATCTACAATAGTAGCTTAATAAGACCTTGCTAAAGTGCTTATTGTTTAAATCTACCACACGTTAAGTGATGGATGGAACCTATCAAGTGATACATACTGTATTAGGCACTAGGAGCAACATAAAATCGAATGGACATGACAGAAGTAAATGAGTGAGTACAGTGTAGGTGGATGCATTGGGTCAGAGAAGCCTTCAATGTCCTGGTCTAATTATGTGTTTACCCAATGTACAAAGGAAATGTTGCGTGAATTTGACTTGGCTGGTACTAGACTATTGTTGAATTGTTTGAATTCACTTTTTGAATACTGGTCCTAATATTGAACCCTGATATTTGCATTTTCTCCTCAAAATGATTGAACTCAACCATTTCATTTTACCAGATAAAATAAGGCCCTGATGTGTTAAGTAGCTTGCCCATGTTTACACAGCCAGGTAGTGGTGAAGGAAGGACTGAGATTCCAGATCACTGTTGTAGTTTGCTTCACTAGCATGCAATTTCCATGACCACAAGGACCTTGTATGGTTTGCTCACCTCTATATCTCTCTTTGGTGCTAATAGTAGGCACTAAATAAATAGCTATGAAATGAATGATTGATTTCTCTTTTGAGATTTCACAGCCTAAAAATCTTTTTGCTTTCTCTCATCTAATGATGTCTCTTCCCTGGCACTGAAAACTGATGAAAGTTAGGTTGTGTTCCTGTAGTTCGTTTTCAGTTTCTGACATGCAGATCTAATTTATGGATCTTTTCATTATAATCTTTGTAGCTGTTTTCATAAATGTACAAGTCAAGGTTTTCTTCATGTGTGTTTAAATATCACTGATATTTATCCTCTCTTTGCAAGAGTGGATATTGATAATGGCCAATGGTACAGCAGTTTTCTGCTTCCTTCAGTAAGCGTTTGTTCGCGTCCATTGTGTGTTTTCAAGAATGTTAACGTTCATCTTCATCCCTGCTGAGAGTGCTCTATAGGGAAACATGCTGGCTCTGTTTACAGTCCAGTGGAATTAATACTGCCCTCATTTAAATTAGCAATTTATTAACTAATTACAAAACAAAATTACCTTTTACCTTATGAAATTAATTGTTTAATATTTAACTTGAAGGATGGCACTATGTTATTCTTGTTATGAAGGAACATTCATAAAATCATTTCATTGTCTTTTTAATTTTCTCAGCAGCATTGGAGCCATTGAAACGATTTTGCCTGATAGACTTCATATTTTTAGCATTCAAATTGTTCTGTTAAATTAATACTATTCCATTATTTTAGATGATATCTTGTTGAAGAGAATAGCTTCCAATTAGCAATTTATTGTGTAGAAAAGTTTAAACCTCTCGTGAATTTTTCTTTGTTTGTTCATTCTGTGTATCTTTTGCCCATTCCCACCCTGCCCCCTGCCTTTTCTTTTCTTTTCTTTTTTTTTTTTTTTTTTTGAGAGGGAGTCTCGCTCTTTCGCCCAGGCCGGACTGCAGTGGCGCTATCTCGGCTCACTGCAAGCTCCGCCTCCCGGGTTCACGCCGTTCTCCTGCCTCAGCCTCCTGAGTAGCTGGGACTACGGGCAACAGCCACCGCGCCCGGCTAATTTTTTGTGTTTTTAGTAGAGACGGGGTTTCACCGTGTTAGCTAAGATGGTCTCGATCTCCTGACCTCGTGATCCGCCCCGCTCGGCCTCCCAAAGTGCTGGGATTACAGGCGTGAGCCACCGCGCCCGGCCCCCTGCCTCTTCTAAAAGGGCCAGACCTAACATGTTCAAAATATTTGCTGTTTTAGCATGCATTTAATCATTAGATCGTTTCTAAGTACCTCCTAGGAGCCAGGCACTGTGCTAACATTCAGGAAACACCCAATTTAATAGCCTTAGAACTGTACCATTCTCAAAATAGAAACTTTGGAATCTGAAGATAATAAAAAAATTTCCAAGTGGAAGTTGAAATTACATTTTAAATATATTCTTGGAATAAATATTAAACTCTCAAGAGTATCTTGGGGTGGGATGGTGGAATGGTGATTACAAGGTACTACCTCCCATCATCTATAATGGTAATATTTTAATGATGCATTACTTTCCTAATCAGACGAAGATTAAAAATAAGATGTTTTCTGATATTTCAAGAAGCATTCCTTCATTCTATATTTGAGTGCCAAATATGTACAGGGCTTTAGGCTATATATGTCACAGCAGTATTTTTCAAATTTTGTTATCATGACCTATAGTAAGAAATACATTTCACGTCACAATTTATATTACACACACCCACACACACAAAACTGAAATAAATATTTTATGAAACAATACTTAGCCTTGCTAACTACAGATAGTATATGCCAATATTTTCTACTCTTGTTGTTTTAAAAAAAGAAATGGCAGTCTTGATTTCTAAATTGATTTTATAATCCGTCTATAAGGTCACAATCCACAGTTTATGTTAGGGATGCATAGATAAATAAGTTTTAGCTCTAACTTAGAGCTTGTATATTCCAAGAGGGAACATAAAACATGCCTACAAAGAACTCACTGAGTCCTCACGTGGTGGGGAGAGAGCTCTGATCTTTCTTCCTCTTTTTATAAGGACACTAATCCCATCATGGAGACCTCATGACCTCATCTAAACCTGATTACCTGTACTATCACATCTAGGGGTTAGGGCTTCAACGTGTGAATTTTGGGGGACAGAGACATTCACTCTATAACAATATTTTTCTATCAACCAACTTTAAAGCAACTGAAATTTTTTATTACATATCCTTATCCGCATGAGTTAGACATACCAGTCAAGCTTTCCCTAATATCTAAATATATAATTGTATAATGATTGAAGTATATACCACCAAGAGTAGACCAGGCACTCTTTGGTAAACAGTTAAAAGTGAGAGGGTTTTGGGAAACTAAGTCCAGGTTGAAGAAGAAGATAACATTTGGAATGGGGCCTTGAAGATTGGGAGCAGTTACAAAGAAAGCCATCCCCTGTGGGGATAACATTGTGAACAAATAACATGCCAAGTAAAAAGTTGTGTTCAATAGCTTCTAATATGTTCTTATTAAAGGCATATGAATGACAGGGTGATATGATGAGGCCTATACTTAAGGAACATTATCCTGGTAGTAGTGTGGGAAAGGAACTGGGAGATGGACAAGCTGGAAATATAATTTAATCAAAAATTGTATTTTAAAATTAGACATAGAATCATATGTACGTGGTTAAATCAGCCAAGCAGCCTTCCAGGCAGTGAAGAATTGCAAGAGGGCATGATGCAGGGAAAAGACCATCAGACCACCAAATCCGTTCGCTGTTTAAGTTTCAGCAAATCATTTACCCATTTTCTATTCTCATTTCTTCTTTTGAATGGGGTTAATAACGCTTATCCGACCTCATAGACTTGCTGAGAAAATCAAATGAAAAAAGTCCGGAAATACTATGTAAATGTGAAGTAACTTTCTTATTGTTTTGTTTGAACCTTTTTGAGCCCAAGAAGTGACCTGGTGATAACGATGCTTTAGGAGACGAATCTGGCCAGTGGCATATAGGACAGCTCAGAGGAGAAGAAACCCTAAGGAAAGCATTTCAGACAGTATGGCAGCAGGTCATAGAAGAAATAACTGAGGCTCGAATTAGGGCTGTGAGAGCAGGAATGAAGAAGAGAGGATGGATGCCAGAGACATCACTGAGGAAGAATCAACAGACGCAGCAATTTGGCTCTGAGGATAGGAGGTGGGGGGCAGGGATGAAGGGAGAGTTAGGAGAAACCCTATCAGAAATCCACGGTTTCTGGTTGAGTAAAAGGTATATATTGATTGAGTAAACAGTAAAGGAAAATCAGGAGGAAGAATAGGTTTGGAGGGCAGAAAATACTGAATTTAAGATATTAACAAAGTGCCCAAGTGTTTTCATTGAGTAGCCAGTCAAACCTCTGGGATTGAAGCTTAGGAATGAAGTTATAGTTAGACATGTAGACATAAATCATTCTTGAACTGATAGTCATTTAAATCTATATATTTCAAACTTTATCCATATGAGTGCAACTTGTAAGCTTTTTGTCATATTTGCATGATACTTTTACTTAATATTTTCAAATCTATTTTAAGTTAGCTCACTTTTTGAAAGCGTAGCCCCATTCTAAACAATAATATCTTGAATTTGATGTGATGGATATAGTTTTTAAGATACCCATTAGATGTATAATTACCATATTGCATGATTGTAAGATGTGTATCTTTTTACAATTTAACATTTCTGTAATTAGAGTGTTTTACAATTAATGGCATCTTACAAACTCTGCAGGCCAGCAACAGTGGTGATATACTTGTCATTGTCAGCACATGAGCCAACTTGCTTGCTATTCCTGGTGACATCAGCAGAAAAGTGTAAGTTTCTATCAACAAACCATTTAAGGATCTTTATAGAAAAGAATATGAGTTTAATTGTCATCTGAAAAACCTTACTTTCTGGTACATGGAAACTTACAGAATAGTATCAGCAACATGGAAGATAATCCCAGAGACACACTTAAGAGATGCCGTATCCCAGTACCCTTGATGCAGCATCAGGTGCAGAGGACATTGATGACTGTAAGTTGAAAAGTGAATCAGAAGAGGTGGACACTTATGTGTGGAAAAATTCTAGGAAAACCTTAACCCATTCATTTTGCTTATATTTCCATTTTGTGTATGCACAAGAGAGATGTATGTAAGATCTCTGAGTCAAAAAGAGCTCATTGAATAAGCATAAAATAAAAATTTTAAATGATAAGAAAATATAGTGTCATAATTTAGTTGACAGCTGTTTTCTGAGTAGTGTATAAAAAATGGTGCATCTGGCTGGGCACTGTGGCTCACACCTGTAATCGCAGCACTTTAGGAGGCCGAGGTGGGAGGATGGCTTGAGGCCAGGAATTTGAGACCAGTCTGGGCAACATAGTGAGACATTGTCTTTTAAAATAAAAACTAAAAAAAGGTATATCTTACAATAGATGCTGACTAAGGTTAGATTGAACAAAGTTTCCAAATAAAAAAGTGTCAGTTCATGTTCCACTTAAAGTCATCTCATAAATGCTACTTTTCAGAAACACATTTAAAATACGGGAATAAATAAGATCACCCAGAGAATACTAATAGAGAAGAAAAGAGCCTTAGAACCCTAAGGAAAGTGCATTTCACAGGAGAAAAGAGAAAGTGGGAGAAAGTAAGTGAAGAGAATTTGCAGATAACTCTGGGAAGTGCAGCATCATGGAAGCTAAAGAAAGAGATTTTTCAAGAAAGAGAAGTAACTTAGAATAATTAAATACTATAGAAGACCCAGAGAGTATTCAAACAGGTAGGAAGTGGTGGCTTTTAGGAACAGAAAAGTTTGAGTAGTGGAAAAGTTGATCCTAGAATTTTCTTTTTAAGAAAAAGTGACTGGGGAAGAAAAAAAGGTGGTTTTGATGAGGATTAGAATTATTATTTTTTTTCTTACGTTCAGGCTAGAGATCCCTGATCATGTGTTGGGGCCTAGAGGTGGAAACTGGTAAAGGGGTAGTGATGCCAGCATGAAGGAACCTCATTGATCATTTCAGGACCTGGAAGATGTACAAAGGGATGGAATCAACAGCAGAAGTTGAAGATGTAACCTCAGAAAGGAGAAACACTTCCTCTGAAGCAGGGGTGAAAGAAGCAGAAGATAGATTTTGAATAATGTATAAATATAGAAGAGAGAACTTCTGGAGAATCACCATGATTCCAAATAGGAAGCCAAGTTACTCCCTGAAGGTGAAAGGCAAGGTCAAGAACTTAGAAAGAAGATGGGAAAGGCTGAGAACAGTTGTGGTGGGGAATGTCAAGGTGACTCAGCAGGAGCGGGATTGGAAATTGCTGAACCATCGCAAAGGCCCAGCTGAGGTTAGGAAGCATTAATGTGTATTGGGCTCAATAACATGGTTTCACAGTTCTCCCCAGGATTGCTTGGCAGACCAAGAATGGAAGCCAAGAAAGTGAACAGTGGAAAGTTGATGCCTTTTGAGAACTAGCAGACTAGGAGTGACAGGAGAACAAAGAGGGAGTGACTGTAGGGTAGTAGGGAGTGCAAAGTTGAAATGGCTAACTGTGGGAGGCAGGCCAGATGGGGAGGCAGTGAAAGGCCAAATCAGGGTGACAGATAGGAGGAAAAGGGGGGCATCAGGTGATTGACATTTCACAGTGTGCATAGAGAACCAAGAAGGGAAAGAAGGAATGTGGGAGTCTGGTTGACTAAATGGAGATTTTGAGAATTTCAAGATTTTGAATATAGAATATTTAGGAATAACTACGTACTGGAATTACGAATGTACATGTCTTCTTAGAGGGCAGTGTATATAGCCTGATAGTCCATAGCAATAGATTTGGATCTGAACCCAAGACCTACTAGCATTTATACACCATATGATCATGCTAAATATAAGTTTGCATTTCCCACATGCACCCTGCATAGTTCCTAGGAAGATCAACTCTATGGATCACACCAGTGGGCTCCGCATGCCTTCTGGGTTCCAGTTAGGTCACCCCGTGGGAGCTCTGGCAGAAGATGGAACACAGGGAGGAGAGTGTAGTCCAGGTATGAATTCACTTGGTTCTCTTCCTCTGGGATTGCAGTGGGCTGGCTGCATCATTCTCTCTGCATAGCCCTTTCTTTCAGAGTCCTGATAACTCCTCCCTCCCTTCCCATATTCAAGCCTAGGGGTGATAACTTGTCCACTGTTACTTGCCCCAGGTTAGTGTGCCAGGCCTTGTGGTTTCCCACGCCTTTTAAATTATCTCTGTTACAAGGTCTGCTTAAATTACCAATTTGAGTATGTGGTCTGATTTTTATTGGGACTCATAAAAATCACCTTGTGTAAGTTACTTAGGCTTTCAGCCTCACTTTTCTAATCTGCAAGATTGAGATAACAGAAGTACCTACCTTGTGGGTTTGGTAGACAAATTAGATGTGATAATGTGAAATCCTTATACAATGCAAGGTATATATTAATAGTAAGCTCTTGATAAATTATGATGATGATGATTGATTATGATGATGATGATGCAGATATAGACACTGGAATTTCCATTTATGTTTATAGAGATCTATAGATCAGCGACAGCATTCCTGTTAGCAAATAGCACTTCCTGATGCGTCTTCATCAATGGCAGAATTTAAGGGGCAAATTGAAGAGGGAGGACACTAGCCACCTCCATAATCTCTATTAGCACCTCCCCTGAAAGGCACTTTAGGTTGATAGTATCACAACCTAATATGTGGAAAGAAGAAACTTAATAGGCAAAATGCTCTAAACTACAATTGGAATATCTTTACTATAACATCTAAGTAAAAATAACATGTTTGATGTGCAAATGCAACTTCACGGCAATATCTCTGACTTACCTCCTTGACACACCTTTCTGTCTTGATGCTAATTTCTGTCTTAGTCAGCTCAGGCTACCATAACAGAATACCACAGGCTGGGTGGCTTAAACAACAGAAATTTATTTCTCCAGTTCTAGAGGCTGGAAGTCTGAGATCAGGGTGCCAGCATGGTGGAATTCTGGTGAGGACTCTCTTCCTGGCTTGCAGATGGCTGTCTTCTTGCTCTGTCGTGGAGTTAGAAAGAGAGAGAAGGACACTCTCTCCTGTCTCTTCTTATGCGGGCACTAATCCATCATGCAGACCTCGATCCCATGACCTCATGACCTCCCCAGTGTGCATTCTCCAGATATATTACATTGGGGATTAGGGTTTCAATCTATGAATTTTAGTGGGCAAAGACATTCAATCCATAGAATTCACCTCTTGTTCCCCCAAATATATGTTCTCCTCACATGCCAAGTACATTCCTTCCACCCCAGCAGCCCCCAAGGTCGCTGTTAAGTATGGAAATTGTGGAACCATCTCTGGTCATCTTGCTTGTGAGCCCTTCTCCAGATCTCATGGTGACATAGCTAGTGGAAACCTTTGAGGGCATGGCTGTGCCTTTTAGGTGGTAGAAAAGTAGTGATTTTAAAGACTTGTGGTCCAAGAATGACTTTGGTAGAGAGGAAACTCCAAAACGCTTACCTTGTTAAATTTGTTATGACCTAACAAGGCAATACTTAAACTTGAAGTGTTCTAAATTATTAATCTATAATAGTGATGCCATCTTATACTTGATTAGTGCCTTTTAACTTAAACGTGTTTTTAGTCACTTTTTTAACGTATAAATATTATTATATTGTAAATATAACTCCTCTGTGAGGTCAGCCACCTGGAGACCACCACTGTGCACCAGCTTTGAAGAACACCAGTAAGTATCTCTTGGCTGTAAAAAACCTCCAAGAAAATAAGACCCTCTAAATCTCCATCAGTGACCTGCCCAGCTTTACCACTGACCATGATGCCCAGGAAGGGAGGCACGTTTGCTGATACATGTATTCAATACTAGAGCAGTTCTGTAAACTCTTCCCAAATCGTTTAAGTGGTTTCATGTTTCATGTCTTATATGCATGTGGGCATCTTATAGAGATAAAGAAAGGAAAGGGGAGCGATAAAAGGATAAGCGATGATCAAGAGCAGAGTTCTTGGAGCTCAACTCGTACTTTCATGATTCTCTTGTGCCTTCTGGCCCTGGGTGCTGATAATAACAGCAGAGGATTTGTATGGCTTTACTCACCTAGACACCATATGTAGTTTTAAGCCCGGATAACAACTTCGGTTTGGTAATGTCTTCTTTTTCATTTTCTCAGGTCCCTAAGTTTGATTTTAGAAAACCCTCAAATCTGAAGGCCATTTCTCTGTTGGATATGTTTGTGTGTATATCCGCTTTATCAGGAATGCGGTTGCATTCAGGTCTGTTGTCCTAAGCGCCTTTGTTTGTGGCTGCATTCCATGCAGTTCCGTCTTTCAGTCCTATGTATTTACTAACTATTCAAATGCCTTGTGGTATTCACACACAGATTATGTAAAATAAAAAAATACATTATTAAGGCTGTGGGTGCTGTGAATGGATTATTACAATTTGCCTATCATGGTAATGGCACCTGTTAGAGGTGTGATACAAAAGGCAGTGACAGGCAGTGTAATTTAGTAATTGTGGCCATTGTACTGTATGGCTGGTCAGTTCACCAGGCAAGTACAAAGGAAGCAGTGTTATAGCAGAGCAGGGGTGGGTACGCTTAATAGAGAGAGCTAGTTGTGTACTGAAAGAGACTTTTGGTGGAAGGCTAACTCCCAGGGGGCAACTTAGAATGAGTTGAAAAGAATGAACAAAAGTACAAAAATGGTACAGGTTTTCCTATTTCAGCTCTTAAAGTGACAGACGAGTTACGTTGGTGCACATTGCCAGCACTTTCTCTTACTGCCAAAACAGCTTTTTTCTCCCAGAATACCCAAAGTTGCCTTGTCATATGGCAGTCACATATAATGTTCTCTTTTCTTCTCCTGTATGTAAAACACATTGTGTCAAAGTTCAGATCTAATTGGCATAGGGGCAAATGCACTGTATTCAAGAAAACCATTTGTTTAGCATCTACAATAGTATTTAAAGAGCACATAAGTAAACAGATTCAGAAGGGATATAGATTTATGTATCCTTTTTCATTAATTCCCCTCCTCTCCGTAGTATTATTATGGTAGTATTTTGGGTGGTTTTGCTACTAGTCTGGACATTCTAGCATCCTGCAAGTCATTGTAATTAAGGCAGAACTTTGACATCAGAATAGATAACAGAAATTAACAGTCAGAATTTATGGTACATATTTTCTCCTTGCCTTCTTGTGAACTCTGGAAGTCAAGCCATTTTTCAGGGCACTACTGAGAAATACTTCAGAGGAGGAATGAGTAAGAGCACAACGAAAAGGATCAAGCATGCCAAGATGACTTTTGTATCACAAAGTAATATATTGTGGGTTCACTTCTGGAGAGAAGATGAGCTGACTACTGGGCATCGCTCGCCTGTCAGGTATGCTTCCAACATACAGGCATGCGCCATTGGAAGCAGCAGCTTCCTCCACAGCTGACTTGCTTGCCTTAGTTTTCTGACCCAATTCAAATTGTGACCGACAACAAACTAAGCTTC
This sequence comes from Homo sapiens, assembly GCF_000001405.40. Lineage (NCBI taxonomy): Eukaryota > Metazoa > Chordata > Mammalia > Primates > Hominidae > Homo > Homo sapiens. The sequence continues at coordinate 112,584,644 of NC_000010.11, forward strand.
TCAGATCAGACATTGACTGCGTCTTATGGACCAGCTACTGTACTAGACTCTTGATAAGCATTTCCTCCTTTAATCTTTGCACCAACCCGTGGAGTATAGATAGAATTATTGTCCCCATTCAACAGAGAAGGAAATGTAGGCGCAGGAGGTTCCATAGCCTCCTTACATGCAGTGAGTTGGGATAGCATATTCACATTCTCTCTATGGAGAGAGATAGTGAGGGGCAGGTACCAAAATAGTACATTTAAATCTGTAGTCTTTTGAAGTAAAATAACCATGATGTATTTAGAATGTTATTTGACAGGCTTTTGAAAACAGAATTGTGAAAATTAGTCAGAAGACTCTGGAATCTTAACATGGAGTAGTATCTGCATTTTGTTGCAGAAGTCATTTTAATAACAAGGATTACACAAACTAGCTTCTTTAATTGAGGGTGGATCAACTTATGTAGAATATATAATGCTACTGGGAACCATCCCAGTTTTAATAAAGGGCCACACAGAAGAAAATGTATGCTACAAAATGTCGATTCACATCTCCTAACTTGTGTAAACAGTGTCGCAGACAGTACGAGACATGAATGGGCGAGGTGCACCACTGTTATGAATCACTCCAGCAGGGCTTTGGCCATCAGCCTGATGAAACAGGCATGCCACTTAGGATGCCAACTGAATAGATTCAGTTGTGTGATATTTAAAACATGATTTTGTACTTTTTGCTGCTCAGAACAGCTATTACAGCTTGTTACTTTTTTTTTGCACCAGTTTTGACATCTGAACATTCTTAACTGAAAAAGAATGTCATTTTCATGAAAGAACTTTCTGTACAATAAAGTTAGCATTTAGAGTCATCCTAACATATGCAATGATTTGCCAAGCTTGAATATTCTTATAGGCATAAGTTTCCTTTTCTACTTCCCAGAAATCATTCCAAAGTTTGCAGAGAAGGCACAGGGAAAGATATGGGAGTTTATTTCTGGCATCAAGTGGTACAGAGAAACAACAAAAGATTGTGGATTTCTTTTTTTTTTTTTTTTTTTTGGTTGTGTCACATACACCCTCGCCGCCTCTTTGCACCATGTCGGTAACTTTGGAAAGAATTAGCATATTGACATAGAGTACATAAACAGTATTCCAAAACTGTAATATAGCATTCTAGCATAAAAAGTGTTGGGTGTTTCGGACAGACAGAAGCTGAATCAGAAATCAACATTATCTAGCCTTAAAGATTGCAGTTACTTCTGATAAAACCACTTGGGCTTCCTCAGAGGTCAAGGATGTGCCTGCAAACCCATGTGCTCATCAGACTGTTGGAGTCAAGTCCTCTGTTTGTATACAGTGTATAAATGGTAATATGGGTAAACACTGCCCTCTCAAACCACATAATTACGTCGATTGCTGAAAAAACCCAGAAATGTACCAAAATATCACAGGGAAGCTATTTCTAACACGACTTTGCTCTTTATGGCTAAGTGGCATAAAGAGTGGCTTTTTTTTTTTCCTTCTAAATTATGTGTTCTTGTTTCAAGCATTGAGATGATGCAAAACAGATTTTTGTGGCAACATTCTTTTTCGCAGCCAAAAAAGCATTCAAGGAAGCTCTGTACTCCTCCTTGGTTGCTATTTATTCTGGACCTTTTGTATTATCCGTGTAAACTCATTTCATTTTAAAATAAGAACTAACCTTCTTTGGGTTGTTTTTCAGCACTGCTAATAGTGCCAATAAAATAGCTAATTATGGTGCGAAGTGGGCGTTTTTAAATGATTCGTTAAAACTGAGAAGGAATAAGTGAACATTACAGGTGCAAAAGAGAACCTTTTTCCTTAGTTTTCCTGCAATCCTCTGTATAAAGCCTATTTTCAACAGAGACCCACTAGTTTTTCAACTGGATAAAATAAAGGATAATTTTGACATTGCATGTGACCTGTAATCTCAAAAGCAAGTAATACTTTCTCAGTCTTCCTTATCTCTTTTTGTCCTCTCTTCATCCTTTCCTCTTCTTTCTTTGTTCCTGCTGCCTCTCTGTGTACCCCGCTGCCTCCTCTAGCCGATCTCCTTAGAAACAATTGTGGTTAACAAAGTCGGAAGTCAAAACAGTTACTCTCATAGCCATGGTAAAAAAGACCAAAGTAAACAAATTCAGAATTTCTCATTTCCAACATCTCCATTTTGCACATCCTATTATTATAGCACTTAGTTTTAGGGTAACCACTGGTGATTTAGTCGTCTAAAAATGGCCAGTGGTTTTGAGCAGCAAACATGTTTCATTCTTTCATGGACCTTGAAATTTAAACTCAGAAATTCCACATCCATAAACTTAGCTTGTTCTAGCACTATTCATTTATATATGTAAGTTCACATTTTCATTTGTTTGTCTTTGACTTTCCTAGGCATTGCATTTAGGATCTGAGTAGGGTTTTGTATGTTTCAGTTGGGCCCTGACACTATGTATGGAATATATATTTCTTTTACAGGGATCAACATCTGTTGCTGCAATAATGTTTTAATTAAATAAAATTTGTGGGAAATTATGACTTTTCTGCTTGTGCTACTTCCAAAAACATGCCCAAGGTTTCGTAGCTCTATAAATGTTCTGAGTAAACATTGTTTTCCAAAGATTCATTTCACAAATTTAATACTTGCCATGTACCTACTGTTGCAGTAGTTAGTCACTGTGGAAAACTTCAGAAGTGTATATTGTATGTTCTTGCCCCAAAGAGCTTATAACATAGGAGAAGGAAAGTTAAACAATACCAAATTAAAAGCTGGCATAAAAAAATAAGTCAAACTGTGACTAAGAGAAAGTAATTGGAAAGAATATTAAATTAAAAGGACTCCTTTACATTAATGAAGCAAAAAGGAGAGAAAGATAATAAACTTTGATGAAGACCAAATGGCTATGTTAAACAGAATTTCTAAAATTTGATATCAAAAGGTACCTCTGCAGAAAATGTTGAATATTTACTACTATTTAAGTTGCACTTCTTGGACAACTAAATGTAATGACATTACCTATGCCTGTTCCCATAATTTGAATATTAATTAGCAAATGTACAGATACAATTAGAACTAAGAATTAGACTGGAATTATAAAAATAGATTACAAAAAATTAGTAAGATTTTCATAAAGGTTTTTTCCCCTCAGTATTAGGGGAGAAAATGACTTTTAGACTTCCTTCTTCTCCTCCCTCCCTCCAAATTCCTGGACTGTTTGAAGTGCTTCTGCTGCCTTCTTACATTCTTAATGCAGTACTTTATTCAAGAGAAGTGGTTTTTTTTTTTTACCCTTAACTTATGCTTTGTTGGTTTTAGTAAATTAAGGTTTAAATGCCACTTCTTTCCCATTGAAATGAAATTAAAAACCACTGCTACTCTGATGTCATAAAGGAAAAATGAAGTGGATTAAGATGGCAAAATGTGTAAAGAAAACCTGATGGGGCTTTTAAAGGAGCTTGTGCAGTATCTTCTAACTTGAACTTAGCTTCAATTGTGTGTTCAGCTTCTCTACATTGAGCTTAAGTTTTATGAAAAGAAAAAGGTAGACAGGCAACAGAAATATATAAATGAAAATCTAAGTGGCCTAGAGCAAAAAGCAATAAACTATAGTTTGTTTTTCCAGCTAATCTAAAATAATTGTAATTGGGCCATACCATTATGAAGTTTTTTTTTCTCTTGAAACAATAAATAAATAAAAACTTAAAATGCCTAATTTTTAAAGCAAGGCAGTAACAAAAGTAGTCAATATAATAAATTTCAGAGTATCACTTCACAGTAGTATATTTGTAGGAAGTACTACTTGTTGAATATTTGAAGTCATTCAGTGAAAGACTGAAAATATTATGTTGTAACATGTTTGAAAATTAGGTTTCTCTATTCAGTTCAGAGCTACTGTACATCTTCTTTTGAAATGAATAATAACCCCGTCTTACAAAGTGAGAGCAAAAAGAAGGACGAGGCTATGTTTCACTCCAAATGGTTTAAAGGCAGGCTCTTTCCTGAGTCTTAAAACTGCAAGTAGCAAGTAGTAGGGAACAGTAATGCATGAAAGGTCATTTTTATTGGCCTTGCAAGCCCGTATTCCTCACATAGGCCATCATTGTGTGGGACTTTAATGTATTATAGTAAATGTGTTCAACACTTTCTCTTTCCTGGCAGCATTAACTTCCATGCACGTCATCACTGTGTCATGGCTTTATTTAATCACATTGCTCCTTTACTTCAGGCTTTGTCTAGCTTTCTTACCTCTCCTGACACCTTCACTCACTTGCAGAACACAGTTCCTGGAAGGGATAGAGGTATTTATTTCAGTCAAAAGCATCGGTGTCATTTTCTATCACCACATTCCCTACATATTTCAACACTTTGACTCCTTGTCTTTTTTTTTTTTTTTTTTTTTTAACTTACAGTGAATGTACAAATGTCGAAGATGTTAGCTGGTAAAAGAACTATTTTGTCTTTCTGTGTCAGGGAACTGGTTTGCCTTCATAAAATTAAAACCTCTTTCCCCTTAATACATGGGGGGTGATATGATTTGGCTCTGTGTTCCCCACCCAAATCTCATCTTGAATTGCACTCCCATTATTCCCACGTGTTGTGGGAGGGACCCGAATGGGAGATAATTGAATCATGGGGTCAGTTTCCCTCATACTGTTCTCATGGTAGTGAATTAAGTCGCATGAGATCTGATGATTGGATTAAGGGAAACCCGTTTCACTTGGCTCTCATTCTCTCTCTTGCCACTGCTATGTGAGACGTGCCTTTCACCTTCCACCATGATCGTGGAACTGTAAGTTCCACCCAGCCACATGGAACTGTAAGTCCAGTAAAGCTCTTTCTTTTGTAAATTGCCCAGTCTTGGGTATGTCTTTATCAGCCACGTGAAAACGAACTAATACAGGGGAAAAAAGGAGGGGATATGAATTCTAAAGAATAACATCTGACATAGCTAAAAAATAATAGTAATGATAATAGCTAATTGTTGAGCATGCACTGTGTGTGACACGGTTGCAAGTGCTCTACATGTATTAAGTCTTCTCTGCAACCCTCTGGGGTAGGTATTTTTATTGTCCCCATTTATAGTGAAGAGACCACAGAGAGCTTAGTTGTTTGCTGAAGTAATGCTACTAGAAAATGGTAGAACAGGGATTTAAACCAGCAGTCTGACATCAGAATCTGAGTTCTTGATGAGGAAATTATTACTGCATGCACAAGAATTAAGTCAGAAGAGAGAATATTTTATGTTAAGAAAGCCTGAATTTATTTCATGGGAATTGCAATGTGCATTTCCTTAAAGTTGATGATTTATAGTTTTCTTCCTTTTTATAGATTTAATTTGTATAGGGTTTGAAGGGCCAAACCTTAATGTTAGGGTGCTATTTAAGTGCAGATTTCTCGTTTTCATGACACAATATTTTTGTACTCAGAAGATGAACTCAGTAACTGAACATGGTTTACTCTTCTACCCAGATGTTTTTACCCTGATCTCTATTAGGGATATTTTGAGTCCTAGCTAGGACCTAGAGGTGGAAGTTGGTAGCTACTCAAAAGTTTAGTTGATATTAAGAAAATTTTATTACTCAGAGATGATAATGAAAATGTATACTTAGTGAATCAGAGAATGTTATAAAGAAGAAAGTGGAGTATTGGTTGTATGGATGAATGTATAGATAGATAGATAGACAGACAGACAGACAGATGGGCAGATAGAATATCCTCTCTATATATGTTTGTGTATGTGGGAAAGAGATGTATAAATTTATTTATTGCAGGCTGGGCACAGTGACTTACACTTGCAATCCCAGCAATTTGGGAGGCTGAGGTGGGAGGATCCCTTGAGCCCAGGAGTTCAAGATTAGCCTAGCCAACATGGTGAGACCCCTTCTTAAAATTTTCCAGACATGGTGGCATGCATGCCTATAATCCCAGCTACTCAGGAGGCTGAGGTGGGAGGATTGTTTGAGCCTAGGAGGTCGAGGCTACAGTGAGCTGTGGTCACGCCACTGCACTCCAGCATGGGTGACAGAGCGAGACCCTGTCTAAACAATAATAATATTAATAAAAATAAAATAAATTTATTTATTTCATTAGCCCAGAGATTGGAAACGAGAACAGAAGGTATATGCCCAAGATAATAATTAATGTATAGTGAGATAACCACAACTCAAGAAAGAAATATGGCCAGGCATGGTGGCTCACATCTGTAATCCCAGCACTTTGGAAGGCCAAGGCGGGCAGATTACTTGAGGCCAGGAGTTTGAGACCAGCCTGGCAAACATGGCAAAATCCTGTCTGTACAAAACATACAAAAATTAGCTGGGCATGATGGCACATGCCTATAACCCCAGCTACTCCGGAGGCTTAGGCAAGAGAATCGCTTGAACGCAGGAGGCAGAGGTTGCAGTGAGCCGAGATTGCATCACTGCACTCCAGCCTGGTCAACAGAGCGAGACTCTGTCTCAAAAAAAAGAGAAAGAAAGAAATAGCTTCAGCTACGATATTTCCATTCTGGGCAGCATTGGCAGGAGCTGAGCAAGCAAAGCTCAGGAATTCAGCCTCTCTGTTGGGTACTCAGGTTTATGTTAGAAGAGATACTGTTGACCGGGCGTGGTGGCTCACGCCTGTAATCCCAGCACTTTGAGAGGCCGAGGCAGGCGGATCATGAGGTCAGGAGATCAAGACCATCTTGGCTAACACGGTGAAACCCTGTCTCTACTAACAATACAAAAAATTAGCCGGGTGTGGTGGCAGGTGCCTGTAGTCCCAGCTACTCGGAAGGCTGAAGCAGGAGAATGGCATTAACCCAGGAGGCGGAGCTTGCAGTGAGCAGAGATCGCACCACTGCACTCCAGCCTGGGTGACAGAGTGAGACTCCGTCTCACACACACACACACACACAAAACGAAGAAGAGATACTTTACTTAAACAATTGTGTACTGTTTAATTGTTTTATACTGAAATTTAACTTCTCAAGGTCTTTACCCTTTCCTTATGGCAAGGTAAAATCTGGACATCTCAGGCTGGTGTTCAAGGCCCTTAAGCTCCTTCGCTATATTCCCAACTGTATTATACTGATCATCCTGCAGATTACCTGACTTGGTGGGCAGAAGGGTCCCCTTCCAAATATGTCCATGCCTTAATCCCTGTAATCTGTGAATACTTTACATTACATGCCAAAAGGAAGTTTGCAGATGTAATTAAAGTAACAGACCTGAAGTTAGGAGATTTCCTCAATTAACCAGTGGGCCTAATCCAATCATGTTAGCCCTTTAAAGCAGAAAACTTTCTGTGTTGGAGGCAGAAGAGATTCAGCAGAAAGGGTAGATGCAGAGATTTGAACGTGAGAAGGACCAAATATGTCGTCTCTGGTCTAAAAGTAAAGGGACAATGTGACGTGGAAGGTAGACAGTGTAAGGGGCCAAGAGAGTTCGCTGGCTGACAAGCAGCAGGGAAACCAAGACCCCAGTCCTACAATCACAAGGAACAAGTTCAGCCAGTAACCAGAAGGAGTTTGGAAATGGATACATCCCCACAACCACTGGAAATGAACACAGCCTGGGCAACACCTTGATCTTGGCCTTGTGAGACCCAGAGCAGAGGAAGCAGCAGTGCCCACCAGACTTCTCACCTAAAGAACTGTGAGATCATAAATATGTACTGTTTTAAGCCACCGAGCTTTTGGTCATCTGTTACAGCAACAACAAGAAATGAAGACATGGATCCAAAATGCCCTTCCCCCACCATTGCTAACAGTCATCATCTGTTCATCCTCCAAGGCTTACCTCAAAGGACCTCTCCTCCATAAAGGCTTCTGGGAAAGCCCCAATCAGAAAAATCACTCCTGCATCTGTTGATGCCATTGAGTTTCTGCCTCCGCAATGGTGCATCTTCATTAGACTCCATATCAGTTTACCTATTTGCATTCATCTCTCCCTGACCAAATCACAGCACTTGATCTATCCGTGCTTTGATTTACATCCACATATTATTTGACATAGTACTTTGCACACAGTAGGTGCCCAATTCTATAAATGTTGCATTTGGAATATATGTCATCCTCAGAGAACCTAAAAAAATGGTTAGACAAGGTGCCCATATACATTTACACAATCAGCAAATTATGAGGATATATGGCAAATAAAACTGGATGTTACTCTTAGTTGAATGGATCTTTCAGTCCACAGGAAGAAAGGAAGGTGTTAACCGAGTGAATCCTGTGGATAAACCTACAATTAGACTTGTGTTACGTTCCATGAAGGAAAGTGATATGGTGCTGTGAAGACTATAATCAGGAGCGTTTATTGAATGCAGGACTGTGTGGTGTCTGAAGAAGGAAAGGAACAATTGAGATTATTCAGTTTAAAGGAGAGAATGCAGAGTAATACTTTCAAATAGATACTAAAACTAGATGCAGTCATCTTATACCAAAAGCGAGGATGATCTCCTCTCCCATCTTCCTAAAGAAAGCAGTGAGAAGTGAAATTAAACTGCATTCTGAAAAGTTTAGGTTAGACCAGTAGTTTTCAACCCTCGCTCAACATTAGAATGAGCTTAGGAACTTTTAAAAATGACTGGTGCAGGGGCCCCATGCCAGGCCGATTGAGTCAGAATCTCCAATGGTCGGGTGTAGGCATCAATATTTTTTAAAGCTTCCCAGCTATTTCTGAAGACTGTGAACAACTGCTTTGTGTTTTTGGTGTATTTTCTGAGTTCGTGGTGAAAAGATAGGATTATGAAGTGAAGGCAGTGAAATCCCCTTCCTCAGGGAGGGCTCTGCAAATAGCACAGAAAAAACCTCTTCAGAGCATGTGGGTGTCAGTAGTTCTGACGAAAAGCCAGCTCGAGGTGATTGCCTCTTTTTTCCCATCTCATAACATTCATTGGAATTTTTCTGATTATAAAAATAAGGGGTTCTTTTTCATATGGAAAGTTTAGGGAAAATAGAAAAGCACACAGAAAAAAATCAAAAATTACTCATAATCCCATCAACCACCAACCAGTCTAAACATTTTTTGGTAAATACCAGGCGTCATAGGCTAGCAGGCTGTGTATGTGTGAACTCGTTTATTCAGGATATGTGGTCTCCATCTTTTTTTTATTTTTTTTATTTTTTTTGAGACGGAGTCTTGCTCTGTCACTCAGGCTGGAGTGCAGCGCCACAATCTCGGCTCACTGCAAGCTTCGCCTCCCGGGCTCACGCCATTCTCCTGCCTCAGTCTCCTGAGTAGCTAGGACTACAGGTGCCCGCCACCACGCCCGGCTAATTTTTTTTTTATTATTATTATTTTGAGACGGAGTCTCGCTCTGTCACCCAGGCTGGAGTGCAGTGGCGCTATCTCAGCTCACTGCAAGCTCTGTCTCCCGGGTTCCCGCCATTCTCCTTCCTCAGCCTCCCGAGCAGCTGGGACTACAGGAGCCTGCCACCATGCCCGGCTAATTTTTTTTGTATTTTTAGTAGAGTCGGGGTTTCACTGTGTTAGCCAGGATGGTCTCGATTGCCTGACCTTGTGATCCGCCTCGGCCTCCCAAAGTGCTGGGATTACAGGCGTGAGCCACTGCGCCCGGCCGGTCTCCATCTTTTAAACTTGGTCACTTCACACCGTGCACTTGTTATCATCCTCTAAACATTTGAGCTCATAACCCCGGAAGTTTTAATATGGATCCTTTTTTAAAAGCCTGCTTTAGGAGAAGGAAATAAAGGGTATTCAATTAGGAAAAGAGGAAGTCAAATTGTCACTGTTCACAGACGACATGATTGTATATCTAGAAAACCCCATTGTCTCAGCCCAAAATCTCCTTAAGCTGATAAGCAACTTCAGCAAAGTCTCAGGATACAAAATCAATGTACAAAAATCACAAGCATTCTTATACACCAATAACAGACAAACAGAGCCAAATCATGAGTGAACTCCCATTCACAATTGCTTCAAAGAGAATAAAATACCTAGGAATCCAACTTACAAGGGACGTGAAGGACCTCTTCAAGGAGAACTACAAACCACTGCTCAATGAAATAAAAGAGGATACAAAGAAATGGAAGAACATTCCATGCTCATGGGTAGGAAGAATCAACATCGTGAAAATGGCCATACTGCCCAAGGTAATTTATAGATTCAATGCCATCCCCATCAAGCTACCAATGACTTTCTTCACAGAATTGGAAAAAACTACTTTAAAGTTCATATGGAACCAAAAAAGAACCCGCATCGCCAAGTCAATCCTAAGCCAAAAGAACAAAGCTGGAGGCATCACCCTACCTGACTTCAAACTATACTACAAGGCTACAGTAACCAAACCAGCATGGTACTGGTACCAAAACAGAGATATAGATCAATGGAACAGAACAGAGCCCTCAGAAATAACGCCACATATCTACAACTATCTGATCTTTGACAAACCTGAGAAAAACAAGCAATGGGGAAAGGATTCCCTATTTAATAAATGGTGCTGGGAAAACTGGCTAGCCATATGTAGAAAGCTGAAACTGGGTCCCTTCCTTACACCTTATACAAAAATCAATTCAAGATGGATTAAAGACTTAAACATTAGACCTAAAACCATAAAAACCCTAGAAGAAAACCTAGGCATTACCATTCAGGACATAGGCATGGGCAAGGACTTCATGTCTAAAACACCAAAAGCAATGGCAACAAAAGCCAAAATTGACAAATGGGATCTAATTAAATTAAAGAGCTTCTGCACAGCAAAAGAAACTACCATCAGAGTGAACAGGCAACCTACAAAATGGGAGAAAATTTTCGCAACCTACTCATCTGACAAAGGGCTAATATCCAGAATCTACAATGCACTCAAACAAATTTACAAGAAAAAAAACAAACAACCCCATCAAAAAGTGGGCAAAGGACATGAACGACACTTCTCAAAAGAAGATATTTATGCAGCCAAAAGACACATGAAAAAATGCTCATTATCACTGGCCATCAGAGAAATGCAAATCAAAACCACAATGAGATACCATCTCACACCAGTTAGAATGGCAATCATTAAAAAGTCAGGAAACAACAGGTGCTGGAGAGGATGTGGAGAAATAGGAACACTTTTACACTGTTAGTAGGACTGTAAACTAGTTCAACCATTGTGGAAGTCAGTGTGGCGATTCCTCAGGGATCTAGAACTAGAAATACCATTTGACCCAGCCATCCCATTACTGGGTATATACCCAAAGGACTATAAATCATGCTGCTATAAAGACACATGCACCCGTATGTTTATTGTGGCACTATTCACAATAGGAAAGACTTGGAACCAACCCAAATGTCCAACAATGACAGACTGGATTAAGAAAATGTGGCAGATATACACCATGGAATACTATGCAGCCATAAAAAATGATGGGTTCATGTCCTTTGTAGGGACATGGATGAAATTGGAAATCATCATTCTCAGTAAACTATCGCAAGGACAAAAAACCAAACACTGCATTTTCTCACTCATAGGTGGGAATTGAACAATGAGAACACATGGACACAGGAAGGGGAACATCACACTCTGGGGACTGTTGTGGGGTGGAGTGAGGGGGGAGGGATAGCATTAGGAGATATACCTAATGCTAAATGATGGGTTACTGGGTGCCGCACACCAGCATGGCACATGTATACATATGTAACTAACCTGCATATTGTGCACATGTACCCTAAAACTTAAAATATAATAATAAAAAAGCCTGCTTTTAGAATTTAATATAGTATGAAGACTTTTTTATTTTACCAAATATTCTGCTTTGAAAAACATTAACGGCTGTCTACTGCTTTATCCCATGAGTATACCATAAACTTATTTGATCAGGCCCCTATTATTGGACATTTTGGGGTTTTTAAAACTATTTAACTAATATTGCAGTAGGGATAGTTATTCATAGTTCTTTACATCAAATTCTGGCTATTTCTTAGTGATAAATTTTTAAAAACAAAATTGCTGGGCTGAAAAACATAATATTTTCAAGATTTTTAATGTATTATACCAAATTTTCCTCCAAAACACTACCATAGTTTAATTTTCCTTTCCCTAAACCTTCTCTCACATTGAGCAGAAGGTATGCTTGTACTTTTTATTACATTTCTTTGTCACGAGTAAGGCTGATAATTTCTCTTACATTGCTTAACTGTAATTCTTTTGCTTATTTTTTCATTAAAAGTTAATTTTTTGCTGATGTGTTTATGTTTCTCTTCCTTATTTACATAAGAACTCTTCTAAACCCTTTTGTGTCAAGTTTGTGGTATACTTTTTTCAAATTTGTTGGTAAGCTTTTTCTTCTGTTCTTGAAGTATTGACATGTGAATTTGATACAGTCAAATCTTTCTTTTTAAATTAGTTTTTCGTTTGAATGTATGCTCAGGAAAGCCTTCCATACCATAAGATCAGAAGAAGCTTATTTTTTCTTCTAATGCCAGATGGTTCTGTGTTTTACTTATTAGGTTGGTATCTGCTTCTCATTCTTTGAAGCAAACTTGAACTGGAGGTTTGAGAATCAAACAGATCTGGGGAGAGAGTCCTGACATTTCCACTTACGCTAACCTTTGGGAATTTTTGGAACCTCTTTGGGCTGTGGTTTGTTTTTTGTTTGTTTGTTTTTTTGAGACAGAATTTCACTCTTTTTGCCCAGGCTGGAGTGCAATGATGCGGTCTCGGCTCATCGCCACCTCCGCCTCCTGGGTTCAAGCGATTCTCTTGCCTCAGCCTCCTGAGTAACTGGGATTACAGGCGTGCGTCACCACCCCCTGGCTAATTTTGTATTTTTAGTAGAGACAGGGTTTCTCCATGTTGGTCAGGCTGGTCTCGAACTCCCGACCGCAGGTGATCTGCCTGCCTCAGCCTCCCAAAGAGCTGGGATTACTGGCGTGAGCCACCACACCTGGCCTGGGCTGTGTTTTCTTTGTCCATTCAAAGTAAATTTCAACCAAGCCAGGTACAGTGGTACATGCCTATAGTCCTAGCTATGGCCGAGCCCAAGAGTTTGAGGCTGCAGTGAGCTATGATTGCACCTGTGAATAGCCATTGCACTCCAGCCTGGGCAACATAGTGAGACCTTGTCTCTTTTTTTTTTTTTTTTTTTTTTGAGACGGAGTCTCGCTCTGTCGCCCAGGCTGGAGTGCAGTGGCGCGACCTCGGCTCACTGCAAGCTCCGCCTCCCGGGTTCACGCCATTCTCCTGCCTCAGCCTCCCGAGTAGCCGGGACCACAGGCGCCCGCCACCACGCCCGGCTAATTTTTTGTATTTTTAGTAGAGGCGGGGTTTCACCGCGTTAGCCAGGATGGTCTCGATCTCCTGACCTCATGATCCGCCCGCCTCTGCCTCCCAAAGTGCTGGGATTACAGGCATGAGCCACCGCGCCCGGCCAAGAGACCTTGTCTCTTAAGAAACAAAACAGAATGAAACAACCTATGAGGGATACCTGGTGTCATAGAAAGTACTGAGCATGAGGCCTGGTGCATAGTAAATGCTCAAAAAAAATAAAAGCAGTTTTATCTAGCTTCGTTCTTCAGAGTAACATGAGACTAGCACTTGAAGATCCAAGACCATTCTGAGTCAGTTTTCTTGCAGTAAACTCTTGGGCACCTTGATTTTTGGCTGTCTTCAGCTTAACCCCTTTCACTTGTAAGTCTCTAATTATCTAAAGCGTATGGTTGTGTTTTCACTTATGCAGGTAGTTTATGTACCATTTATTGAAAGACCTCTTCCTTTCCTTCTGAACCATTGTTTTCCTTCTGTTCAGTCTCCAAATGTACCTTTCTCTCCTCTTTAGCCTTTGACTGACATTTCTGTGAAGCATTTTGTGATGTGCATTTAGAACACTACGTAAAAATAAACTGCATTGTGTTATTTAAATATTTAGAGGCCTTTGTAGCCTTGCAGGCTATTTTTAAAATGACCTTTAAAACCATTTGCAAAGAAGACAAAAGTAATGGGGGGAAAGCATAACCTTTTAATGTTTCCTTCATTAGTGGCGTTCCCTACCTTGGATGCATTGCCTTGCTTTGATAGTTCATAATGTAGGATACATCAAAGACCCAAATAATGGAGAACAATGGGGACCAATTTTTTTAAAGCTGATTTTGCATTATTGCTGCTGCCATTAGGTGTCAGATGGAAAAGATCCCTTTCTTTTAAATAAGCTGGACTCATGATTGATTTTCTACGTGTGGTAGACCCCCTTGGTAATGCTGGTGTGTAAAGAAAGACCTGCTATGCATTCATATGTGAATTGGGCTTATCCGGTTTCCTACGACTTTGCTTTTGTACAGCAAGTTTATTTTTGAGAGGAGAGAGTCAATCTGCGTTATATCTGACTCAATAATAACAAGAAACCAAGTTGCAGTAAGAGTCTGCTCTATTCCTTCCTTCATTCAGTCAATCCTCCGTTCACCATTTCTCCAAAACATACCAGTCCGTCTTTGACTGTATTTTGAGGGTCTGGACCCAGAACAGGAAGAGTCAACCTTCCAGAAACTTCTCTGATAAAGAAAAATGAGAGACAGAGGTCCAGGGCCACTGTGGAAAGCCAATGTTTGAAACCCTCAAAAGGCCCGAAACAAGAAGCAGCTTGCAGAGTAGGATTGGGGGATCTGCAAGGCCAGAGTGAGGTAGGAAGCAACCCACAAGGAGGGCCATGATTGCATTAAGAGCATAGTAGGCAAGAAAACACAGGCAGCCAGGATGTGGTGTTGGGTAGATATGGTGCAGGCCAATTGGACAGACCTGCTTTTATTGATTTTAAAATGGAACCAGGGCTTAAGGAAGATACTGCCCTCTTGGATCTTCGAGCATAGCTAGGGCGTATGCATGTGAGAAGTTAAATATTAGGACAAAACAGTCCATGGTGGATGCCAAACGACTGGACCGCCAATAAGCGCTGAAGGAGAAGGCCTTCATGGAAAGCCTTCAATGCCAGAGACTTTCTTTCCTTGCTTGATTTGCTTTGCTTTTTTTCTTTCTTTTTTTTAAACAGAGTCTCACCTGTCTTCCAGGCAGGAGTGCAGTGGCATGATCATGGCTCACTGCAACCTCAAACTCCTAGGTTCAAGTGATCCTCCTGCCTCAAATTTCTGAGTAGCCAGGACTACAGGCACATACCATTCCGTCCAGCTAATTTTTAAATTTTTTGTCAAGACAGGGTCTCAGTATGTTGCCCAGGTTGGTTTCAAACCCCTGGGCTCAAGGATGATCTTGCCTCGGCTTCCCAAAGTGCTGGGACTACAGGCGTGAGCCACAGTGCCCAGCCCACTGGAGACTTTCTATGCTCAAAACGAATAATAACGTTCCAACTCCGGGCAACTCAGTAAATTTTTTTTAATAAATTATGCTATGTGTTCATTAGGTTATAGATAGATACTTATTATTCTCATTTTACAGAATTGGAAACTAAGGTTTGGAGAAATTCAGAACCATATCTGCAGGCTCACAGCTGGTGTGTGATGAAGCAAGTTTTAAATCCAGGGCTATCTGACCCTAGTTATTTACCACCACATCACAAAACAATCTGAAAAACGGAATGTTTGAAAACCATGTGTGGTACATAGAATAATGCACCCCTCCCTCAAAGATGTGTGACCACAACCTAATTCCTCTCCCATCTTCCAGAGTGCCCCTACTATAGTCATTTTTATCCTTATTAGCAGCCAATGTGATGCTTTGAAAACATAACTCAGATCAAGGATCTTCTGATCAAAACTGTCCAATGACTTCCCATCATATTTAGCATAAAATCTCGTCTTTAACGTGGTCCACAAGGCCTTTCATTATCTGACCACTTATCCTCCAACCGTAATTTCTACCACTCTTCTTTACTTGCTCCTCTAAAATACCCAGCACACCCTTGCCCCAGGGTCTGTGTACTTGCTGTTTTCTTCTCCCAGATACGCACATGGCTCACTGGCTTCGTTCATGTGTGGCCTCTGCAGAAAGCGCTTTCCTGACCACCAGTCTAAAATAGCATCTTTCATTTTCACCTTACCCTTCACTTATCACTAACTGACCTTATAGTCTATATTTATGGGTTTATTGTCTTTTCTTCCCACGAGAATGAAAAGTCCGTGATGTCTGGTCTGTTTTGTCTCTGCTGTGTCTCTAGCTCCTAAAACAGTGACTGACAAAAGGTGAATGTTCAAAAAATCACGAATGAATGAATTTTTACAAATGTTTAATGTTTGATGTGAATTACATTAAGACAGTTAGTTGCAGACATTCATTTAAAGCATGGATATGCATTTGCAATATTCCATCTGCTATGGGCACTTCCTAGTGCTAAGGCTTTAAAATATGCAAATATGAAGAAAGTGCAATCCCTTGCTTGCCCTCAAGGCATTTACAATCTAGTAAAGAAGACAAATTTCAATCGGTGTTGGACTGACAGGTGTAAGTTGTAGTAGACTCTGACATCTGTAATCATGTTGCAAGGATAGTTTTATGGGGATTCAGAGAAGGGAGCACTGTATCCAGTTGCTAGCATTAGGGAAACCTTCATTGTGGGGAGTGGGAGAGGTCATCTTTGGCCGCATTTTGGACAATGTGTAGCATTTTGATATGTGGGACTTAAGGGAAAAGCATTCTGGGTGAAAGGAACTGCTTAAACAAAGGTACAGAGGCAGAAAAGTCCAAGATGCTTTTCTAAAGAAAGATATTGACCACAGAGAAACCAGAGTCAATATTACCCCAATGACAGTAAATATTGAAGTTCAATAAAAACTGGTTGGCATATCTGCTATGCCTAAACAATTTTGCTAATATTAAGAAGGTTCTCGGCTAAAATTCTGACTCATCAATTATTTACTTTTTTTTTTTTTAATTTAAATGACTATTTCTATGGGGAATCTTTTGTAAATGTGTCTGGTCTAATTAATTTGGTGCCAACCAGGCACCAATGCCTTGTCGACTCTCTTTATTTACTGTGGTATGCAGTCACTTTTCTTAGTTGTTCCGTGCCTCATCCTAGGAAGTAGGTTTGTCCTGTTTGCTTTCATAAGCATGACTGGCCAGTAAAACCCTTGACCTTTAAATTAATGGGTAATACGAATTCATCTCATTCCATCATGAAACAAAGATTCTCTGTATCAGATATTACTATTTATTAGTAAGACAAGGGGATGGGGGATGCCATGTGCTCTGAGGTATCACTATTAGTTAATGAGAATGGTCCACATTTTATCCTTCTTAGGAGTAATTTTTCTGAAGGGCATTGGGAAATTAAATAAACACATCTGAAATTGGATTTAGATTTTGATAGAGCAGAATGATTACAACTAGGGTCCCTTAGTAGCCTGGGGTTATTCAAATACAGATAAAGACAATACATTTCCATAAATTCTGAAGAAAACATGTGGCTGGAGTATGAGCCATATTTTTCTGAGTGCTGGGGTTGATGGCCATTAAAAATGAGAAGAACTGAAACATGCAGGCATTAGTTCCTCACATGACAGTTGCTCTAAATCACCATTTATAGAATGCACTTTTTAATGTGAGCATTTCTAAAGTTAACATGAGCAATAGAAATGTCAAAAGTGAAAATTAAATCATTAATTCTAACATATTCCTTTCCTAATTAAGAATAATTACAGCAGGGGCTAGATTTTATTCACCCTTTGACCTCAACCTTGCTTGCTCAGTGCCTGGGACTTACTGTTTATTGAGCGAATGAAAAAATTTTTTTTATCAAATCTTTTGCTTAGGCAGGTCCACAAATGGCAGGGGGCATACCCGGGATATTGCTGAAAATGAGCAATTGATATGCAAGAGTTAGACAAAATTCAGCTGAAGCAGTCCAGGGCTTAAATAATACTAGCTCAGAAAATTAAGATAGAGACTTATCAAAGCTTTCTTTCAGACTGATCCTTAAATGTTTTGAAATGTTTATCTAAACCTCTTAAACTCTAAAATAGTTTTGATGCCTTTTGATAGCAAATTCTGAAATGCCTCAATTAATGTGAAGCCACAATTGATTATGTTTTTAATATACAAATATTGGTGCTAATGGATTTATAAGACATTGTGATGGACTTAGAATTGTAAGTCTTTACTATCAGGCAGCCTTTAGGAAGCAGCTACTAACATGTTTATAAAGGATGCATACACTGGGAAATTGTGGTCAAAATGTCAAACAGTAAAACAGCAGAGTTCAAGCTGGTTCACATCAATATTTATTTTAATTTTGTAAACACTTATTTGGGTGATTTTTTTTATGAAAGCCTAAGCTTTAGAGAAACACCTTTATAGATCAATTTTTTAAAAGCATTTGGTCACATAGAACTACTTGAAACTATTGTCCAAATAGCCTGCTAAAGCAGATGTGCTGCTTAATTTTTTTTAAACCCAGTGCATGATTGAAACATTTTCTGTGTCACCTAGTTATCTGTGGTCAGAAGTGTTTGTTGTTAATAATACTTTATTTTGAATTCATAAATGATTTGTGGAGATTCATGGAGTGGGTTCTTTTCAGGCTTCTAGTAATTCATTGTATCGTTTGCCTAAATTGTATTACCATGCTGGCTGTATAACTGAGCCATATCGGGGGAACTGACTTGTTGAAGCTGGTTTGGGCCATGTGGCATTGAAATTGCAAGCATGAGTATAACAAGCTAAACCCAAATGAAGTTGGACATTGCTAACTGGGAGCTTGTTGACAATGTGTTGAGATAAGAGCCTGTTCCCTTCAAGAAAGACTTGTCCCATAGAAGTCTTTTGATCCTGAGGGTGTGGGGCTGCCCTTGACCATTGATATATAGCAGAGGTAGGAAGGGTTTTGTTTAGTTTTTCAATAACATTCATTGCCTTTTTTTTCCTGAGTAGAAAAGTCATTATTTAATTTAATTTTGTTTTATGTTTTGTTTGTTTGGTTTTTAACCATTTCAGTAGTAATAGTAATAGTGATTTCCTTAGTTGTCATGATTTTTCCCAGTAGGTTTTTTTCCCTCATAGGAACTAAATACTGTTTTACTTCAAACTGAGTGCTTCACACTTTGGATCTCAAAATATATCCTAGGAATTTCCAAAATTTCTTCCCCTTGTATGGTATGCTCACAGATTTCTTAGATAGTCAAAAGGGGCATTACATCCCAAGACCAGCTCAATGAATGACAAGAAAGAATAGCTTTCCATCATCCACCTTAGCAACCCACTCCCTCCCAATGCCTTCCCCATCCCCCACCCCACCCAAGCGTACAAGGCCTGGCTGTGTGCCTGGTTACCTGTAAAGGAGAAGAGCAGTTACTCTTGGTAGATGACAACACCCAGTAACAATAACAAAACCTTCATGAGCTCATCCCCCTTAGAAAGCAATTTAGTTAAGCCCACCTGGCTCACTGTTTCCCCCTGAGCATTTTCCTGTGTCCAGTGTGCTGTCTTTTAGGATGTGAGGCTGTCAGTGCCAGATTCACATGCTTAAGAAATAAACTCATTTTTTTTCTTTTGGTTTGAGGGTTAACACAGGGTGGGGATACGAGTGACCCAGTAGACAGTGGAGACCGAGCCCTATGATCTGTTTTGTTAATTTTGCATAGTGGGTGCTCTGGAGCCACACTGCCTGGTTTTACATTTCAGCTGCCTCCATCAACTAGCTGTGTTAGTTTGGGTATGTTATCCAACCTCTTTATGCTCCATTTTCCTGACTTACAAAATGGGGCTTGTAACAACTTCATGGGTTATTAGGAAGATACATGTAAACAGTTAAAGTTCATACGTGTAAAGAGTTACAACACCTAACACAAAGTCAGTGCACAATCAATTATGATTATGTCCTTGTTTCTCTATCCTATTCTTCTCTTTCTTCCCCCTCTCTAACTCGCTCTCCACCTTTCTCTCCATTTTTGCTTTCTCTTGTTTCTATAAAGAATCTAAGATACACTAGGATTAAAATAAGTATATGAGAAAATCAGTGTTCTTTGGGGCTTTCATATAACTTGAAACTCTTATACACTCATAAACTGCTAATGATTTTGCTTCCACACAACCAGATGTATCTCTGGTTCTACACATCACCTCTTTCTCATGGAACTGTTTGGGCATATTCCTGTATACGAGTCTATTACTAGAAAACAAAGGAATAAATGAGGAGAAAATACTATGTGTAAGTTAAAAGCCAGAAGAGATATAAAACATTACATTTCTGATTCTTCATGTTTATTTTATGATCTGGTGACCTTGTCTAATTAAAGGCACATTTCTTGGTGTACAGCGGTGATCACTGAGTACAGTTTTACTCACTTAGGTAAATGAAGTATTACTCTCATTTAGAATAGGGTAATCAAATGTGTCATAGTGAACATTGTGTTTAAATATATAATTCTGTACATCTATCTCTGGATATTCTACCTCTCTTATATAGGCCTCTTTTGAAAATTTGTGCAGGAAAAATTAAAAAGTCAACATAGAATTCCTTTCGGTATACATTATAACCTTTTTCCCCACAGAGAGGTTATTTTTAGTTTCTGTTATGTCCCTGACCCTGACAACGTAGCCAAACCAGACTTTCCATCCTGATCTTCCCCCACACTCGGCTCAATCTCCACAGGTTTTGCCCCTTCCAGGCGACCTTGTCCAGGAGTGTGACAAACCCAGGCCTGGCTCCTGGGGCAGAAAGAGGAAGAACGATATGTGTAGTGTCCCCTTGCCTTCCTTTCACCCCTGACGTATTTATCTGGGGAAGTTGAACCACACTGTACTGTAAGAACAGTGTTGAGAGGGAAAGAAATTTACAGAAGAACCAACAAGTCACCTAAGAGGTAGAGGAAGAAAGGAAAATTGGTTCCTTCTACTTTTCCAGGGAGGGAGTAAATAAAAGGACAGGCTCATAGCTTTACTGTTTCTCCACTACAACCTTAGCTGCTTCTGAGCGTGTGCTGCTTTCAATTCCATGGATTCGCCTAACTCCAGAGACAGCTCTGTGCACACTGGAGGATCACCGCTCCCTCTCTCCACACCAGGAGTCTGTAACTCAGATATCTGGAGACAAGCAAGAAATGCCTTGTGTAAGACAGATGGAGTGAAAGACAGTAGGCATTTTCCTTGCAACTAAGGCCACTATCTACCTACCCACATCCAGCCGCCTGTGCTTGCAGCTCCATGTCATTCTTACCTCCACAATTATGATGGCTTAGAAGGGCCTTACAGGGAAAGGATGTGAGTAAAATAGGCCAGAGGTGGAACACAGGGGTATGGGAATTGGCACACACCCTGTCCCTAGAAAGGACAGCTGTGGTGGAGAGTGCATCTTAAGTTATTGGACCATCCAACTTTTCACACAAAGCTAGAAAATAGTATGTTCTCTTTAAAGTATCCAATTTTTAAAGCACTGTGTGAGTCAAACAAAACTCTTCAAACAAAACAAGACCACATGTAGTCTTTAGGCCATTGTGTGCTAGTTTTCTTTTTTTCTTTTTTTCTTTTTTTTTTTTGAGACAGAGTTTTGCTTTTGTTGCCCAGGCTGGAGTGCAATGGCGTGATCTCGGCTCACCACAACCTCCTCCTCCTGGGTTCAAGCAATTCTCCTGCCTCAGCCTTCCCGAGTAGCTGGGATTACAGGTGCACGCCACCACCCCTGGCTAATTTTGTATTTTTAGTAGAGATGGGGTTTCTCCATGTTGGTCAGGCTGGCCTCGAACTCCTGACCTCAGGTGATCCACCGACTTCGGCCTCCCAAAGTGCTGGGATTACAGACGTGAGCCACCGCGCCCGGCCATTGCGTGCTATTCTGATATAACTCTTACCAGCTTGAGCATCAAGTCTTCATGCCCTCACCACCCGTGGTGTGCTGCTCCTCCCCCGAATTCCATAACCAGCATCCTTTACCACTCATTTGTCACTTACTGGTGCTTTTCCTCATTATTTCCAGGAAGTGGGGCAAGTCACCATAAGACAGTTATGAGCTGTGTGAGGACAAGAACTAATGTCTGCATTTCCCCATCACAACTTTCTCATTGCCTTGTGCACAGCTGGGCCCAAGTAAATACCTATAGATTTGTTGTTCTTTTTTTCAGTTACTCCTAGTACTTTCTTCATATTACATGTCTAGGACCATAGCTCAGCTGCCCACTAGTTAATGACACTTGAACAGACACTTACATTTGTTTTATTAGTGACTGATGGCTAAGATGAGAATGGGAAAAGAACTAGAGGGAAGACTCACTTTTCTGTTTCCTTGTTAAATTTTGTCCTTTATGCTATTAAAATGAAATACTAGTTTTCACAATCAAATTAGCTTCCTATTTTTAAAGAACCTAGTCCTAGTGGCAACAGCTACCACGTAGTATTAAACACCAACTTTATGTCAAGTGCTTTACATATGTTATTTCTCATCCTCGCAGCAACCCAAGAGGTAAGTGTTATTATTCACATTTTAAAGATAAGAGAGCTAAGTTGGCTGGGCATGATGGCTCATTCCTGTAATCCAGGCACTTTGGGAGGCTGACGTGGGTGGATGACCTGAGGTCAGGAGTTCGAGACCAGCCTGGCCAACATGGTGAAACCCTGTCTCTACTAAAAATACAAAAATTAGCTGGGCATGGTGGTGGGCACCTGTAATCCCAACTACTTGGGAGGCTGAGGCAGGAGAATCACTTGAACCCGGGAGGCAGAGGTTGCAGTGAGCCAAGATCACACCACTGCACTCCAACCTGGGTGATAGAGCAAGACTCCATCTCAAAAAAAAAAAAAAGAAAGCTAAGTCACAGAGAGATTGAGTGGCTGTCCAAGACCATATAGGCAGGAGGTGAGCCAAGATAGCAGAGCAGTTATACTTCCCCTGTTACAGCACTTAAGACATCATTGTAATTGTTCACTGCACTGTACCCACTCTACACCAACAACTCCAGGAGCAGAGACTGACTTTGTCTTATTCATCACAGTATCCTCAGTGCCTAGCACAGTGCCTGGCCTAAAATGGGAAGGTAGGAAAGATTTTCTGAATGGAAAAGTATCCTACTGCCCCACTTCTATTACTTGTCCTTTGTTATGAAAGAAATTACTCCAAAACTGAGATAATAAGCATTCATTTTGACACTGTGTCTTTGGGTCATGGATTCTTGAGTGGCATAGCCAGATGGTTCTGACTCGGTCTCTCGGACTCATGAGGTTATAATTAACTGTAGGCTGGGGCTGTAGTCATCAGCACACTTGACTGGGGCTGGAAAATCTGTTTTTAAGCTCACTCAAATTGCTGCTGTCTGGAAGCCTTGTGCTTTTATTCCATCCCTTGGGCTTCTTCATAGGCAAGTATCCACATGGGCCTCTCCATAAGTGAGTGTTCTCACAACATGGCAGCTGACGTCTCTAAGAGAGAGTGTAGGTGAGAATAGCCAAGACAAAAGCCTTAGCATCTTTTATAACCTAACCTTGGAATTGACACCTCATCACTTCCGCAGTATTCTTTTGATCACATAGACCAACCCTGATACAACGTGGGAGGGACTACATAAGGGTGTCTGCTCCCAAAAGGTATTGGGGGCCATCTTGGGGCTGGCTACCACAGAACTCTACTGTAAACCCTTTCTGTGACACAGACACTCACGTTACAGCTTCCTCCTTTGAAAAATTTTACTTTAAGCCTTTTAGAATTTCTTAAAGAAGATACCCTTCCAGTAGAATTAGACAAGACTTCCACATCATTTACAGTGCTGTTACATACATGCATGCATACATACATATGCATATATATATAGAAAACCAGCTATTTAAAACAGTGTATGCCTGATGTGATAAATAAAGTGCGATTTGTTTAAAAAGAACATTTATGGGGTTTTTGAGGAAGCTGTATAAATAATTTGCCAAGGAAAAATGATACACAAAGCCTATGGGCCACTTGGACTATAGTTTTTAAAGTTTGTAGGTGTTAGTTCTTTTCTATATTTAAGTCATTGAAATGACCACTTAAACCACATGTAGACATGTGGGCAAATATATCTAATCACTGGTATAATTATTTATTTCATGAAGGGGAAATAGGCCTTTTATATGATGACCTTACAATAAGGGTCATTTTTATATTCGGAAAGATAAGCACCTGTCATTTTCTTGTTATTCTGAGGTCAGAGCCTACCACAGAGATTTTAATATTTGAAAACAATTCTATTCACTGGAATTTCAGCAGTTAAAATAATGATTTTCTTAAGATGCAGCATTCTGATGCACTATGTCTGACCTTTCTTGGTCAGGAAAATAACATCTTCAACATCTCTTGTTTCTTATTCTACTCTTTCCATATTGCTTGAAACTGATGTTAAATGATCAGGATGCTTTTTCACTTCTTTAGTATCTTAATTAGCATGTGTCTGTTCCTGTAGCTATCATGAGATGTAGCAGCTTTTGCAGTGACAATATCTTCAGTCAAATATTTGTACTTTAAAAATATTTTAACAAAATGTATACTAGTAAAAATGAAGTTGGAAATCGAAATCTATAGAAATAATTATCATTGGAAAATGGTTTTTTGGTGGGATATATGGTTATGATAAAGATTTGGTGAATCTTATTTTATTTCTATATCAGTACGTTTTAAGAAGTTCCTCTTATACTGTGCTGCTTAATCCTACCAAAAAGCTGGGCATATGCTTTGGGAAAGGATTAAGTGATGAGGTGTATTTTTGCTCTTTGAAGGAGAATTCATTAAAATAAGAACTCATTCTAAGAAAAGGAAGCAAGTAATATTGAACAAACATTTAACATGGTTAAATTAATGAAGGTAGTCTTAGCTTTGGAACAAGATCATTAAAAATATGAAAAACTTCTTTTGGGTAGTTAAAAATCACTTTAAAAGTAATTACATTTGTAGTAATGATGAAGAGGATGGGGGAATAATTTGAGTGTAAACTCTGTGACGACAGGGATCAGATCTTGTTAATTTTCAAAGTCCTCTTCCTGAATCTAATACTTTTGAGTATAGTAGAAGACAATAAATGTTGAATGGATACATGAATGGTATGGTAGATTTTTATAATGTAATTATATGACCTTATTTCTGCATAGAAGCCATGTTTCTTGTTTTAGAAACATTCTATTTTTTAAAGTCTTTCTTCTGAATACTTTGTCATCATAAAATTATTTTAAGCATTTATCCAGTATGCATCCCTCCCTGACATATTATTACGCCCTCAATTTTAAAAAAATGAAATCACATTGGTGAATTAAATGTTCTGGGTTTTGTTTGCCAGATTCAGTGGTGCCTCATGGAGCAGCGGTCCCAAATCCATGTGGAAAGGGGTTTGCTGCTGAAGTCTCCATGGCCCTTAGGCAAATGGCTCCGTCCAGAATGGTACTCTGAATCTCACTTTTAAAAGGATAGGGAAGTTTTAGTCTTATTATCACAAAATAATGGCAGTTTATTCCTAGGCATTTTCAAAGACTGCACCCTGGCTTTCAAGTACAATATTTGCAGAAAAAAAAATGTGGTAAACACATAGGAAAAGAGAAACAGTGTGGTAAACAAAACACACAGGAAAAGAAAAAAAAATGAGGCGCATTTAACTGGCCTTATTCCAGTTAAAATCATCTTCAGTGTTCAGGGGGAATCATAAAAATTATATACTTTTCCAGTCTTTTTTTTTTTTTCCTCAAGTTTTTTCAAGATGATCCATTTAGGACCACACTGTGGCAAAGCCTGTGGAAAACATGGGTGGCCCCAGGAGTGTCTGTAAGAGCTTCAAAGAAGCCAATGATGAGCTGTTGTTGCCCTAGGTAAAAGCCCCCAAAATCAATAATCTCTTGAGCCTTGTAATCTCATTTTCCTTTCAGAGGCATTTCCCAAACCAAAACACCAAGCAAAATGTGGCATAAAGTCAAAGAATCTTTGATTTGGAAAGGATCTTTGAAATCATCCAGTCCAATTTTTATCTCCTACTCAAATTTCTTTTAGACAGTTGACTCTAATATTATGACCTAATGAATAAAATAATTTTGCCAAAAGAAAAAATAAATCTGTGTACATTTCTTTTGTTTTGCTTTGATAGCTTATTACTCAGAACTTAGGACAAAATACCTATTTAAGAATTACATTCGGCCGGGCGCGGTGGCTCATGCCTGTAATCCCAGCACTTTGGGAGGCCGAGGCGGGCGGATCACGAGGTCAGGAGATTGAGACCATCCTGGCTAACATGGTGAAACCCCGTCTCTACTAAAAATACACAAAAAAACTAGCCAGGCGCGGTGGCGGGCGCCTGTAGTCCCAGCAACTCGGGAAGCTGAGGCAGGAGAATGACGTGAACCCGGGAGGCGGAGCTTGCAGTGAGCTGAGATCGCGCCACTGCGCTCCAGCCTGGGCGACAGAGCGAGACTCCATCTCAAAAAAAAAAAAAAAGTATTACATTCCCTCTGAACTTTAGGATGGATCTAGACTGTGTGGACTGTCCAACACGTGAAATGAAAATGTCTATCAGTTGTTGTCAGGCAGATTTTTGCTACTTTCTTAATACCAAATTTTCTTATGTTCACTGTAAAGAAACTTAGAGCTACTTTTAATCTCAGCCATTTGTAATGAGAGCTGTCCCAGCATGGTGACATTGACAAATCCTAATAATCTTTAGAAGAAACGACAATAGAGTAATGTTACTTGCTGTGGCCAAAGTCCAGCGGTTCTAGGGATGACTTGTGAATAAGATTTCTTGTCTCATTGGACCTAGGTAGAACAGAATAAAATGTATTATCTGTTGAGCTTGATTCTCTACTCTTTTTATTGCCATTGTTTTTCATTGTTTTCATCATCATGCTATGTAGCAAGTAACTTGGAAGGACTTTTGGAAGGATTAGAAGTTCTGATTGATTGTCCATGCTTCCAATACGGCAGTTCCTTAAAAGCTCCCTGGTAATTTGGCAACATATTATTCTGATCACTTGTGTAAAATGTACTTGTGTATGATGACCTTTCTCAAACTACATGGTAAAATGAGGGTGAGGTTCAGTGGGAAGCTTGTTGAGTTCCTTAGAGGTCATCAAGATTATGCCATAGAAAATAATTAATTTTTAATGTCAGCACCTAAATTGATGTTTTTCGCATATAAAAACCAAATCTAGAAAGAAAAGAAGAAGAAAAAGTGAGTTTTGCTAATTGCAAAATCTGACAAAATAGTCACCTTTGGTAAAGCCCATTTGGTGAGAAAGGTAATTTTTTTTTTTTTTTTTTTTTTGTGACGGAGTCTCGCTCTGTCGCCCAGGCTGGAGTCCAGTAGCGCTATCTCAGCTCACTGCAAGCTCCATCTCCTGGGTTCACGTCATTGTCCTACCTCAGCCTCCTGAGTAGCTGGGACTACAGGCGCCTGCCACCATGCCCAGCTAATGTTTTGTATTTTTAGTAGAGACAGGGTTTCACCATGTTAGCCAGGATGGTCTTGATCTCCTGACCTCGTGGTCCGCCCGCCTCGGCCTCCGAAAGTGCTGGGATTACAGGCGTGAACCACCGTGCCCAGCCTTGAGAAAGGTAATTATTAGAGTTATTTTTTCTTGGATACAAACCTATGGATTCTCAAATTCTTTTAAAAATAAAAAAGCCATTTTATCGTAAGTTTGAAAACTGAGGTATCAGGATTTTCATGTGACTAAAAAAGTGTCTACTCTCATTTTCTATTATCAATCGGGTACCCAATCTGGTCAGATAGTGATTTGTCCTAGAGAGGTCTAGAAAGGAAAACACGGTTTTAATTAAGATTGGTAGAAACTAGAACAATAGTTTTCAGTCTAAATTAAATTTTGGTCGTCATACATACATTTGGATAACCTAGAGTGATTTCTTTCTTGCTTCCTACTAGTCATACTATAATAAAAAGACAAGCACCTTTTTGTTTTGTTTTGTTTTTGTTTTAAGAGACAGGGTCTTGCTCACTCTGTCACCCCGGCTGGAGTGCAATAGCACGATCATAACTCACTGTAACTTTAAACTCCTGGGCTCAAGTGATGATCCTCCCACCTCAGCCTCCTGATTAGCTGGAACTACAGGTACATGCTGCCACATCCAGCCAATTTTTTGAATTTTTTGTAGAGATAGGAGTCTCATTGTGTTGCCCAGGTTGGTCTAGAACTCCCAGCCTGAAGTGATCCTCCTGCCTCAGCCTCCCAAAGCACTGGGATTATAGGCATGAGCCACCATGCCCAACCCACAAGTACCTTTTCAAAGAAGGCTTTGTAGATAATAACCTATAAAATATAAATTTCTTGTGATTTTTTGCATACCCAAAACATGTAAATAAAAGTTATAATGAAGCATTTTCCTATCTTGACAATAGAGAAAAATAAAACAGATAATAGATATCTACGCCTGCCTGTTTGGACACCTAGTCACTTCTCAATGTTTGCCATTTATTTTGCATATAACCTGAATATTTTACAAATGTGGCTGTGAGGTAGGAAACAGACCATTTTCTTCTTTCTGGTTTATAGATAATGGCTGTTTTTTTAAAAATGATACTAATTTTCTCAATGTTAATACTTATTCAACAGAGTGAATAAATATTACTCTTTCTAATAAAGCATATATTCAGTACACATTTCCAGTCATTTTGGAAGACTTTGCCGAATGGGGAGATGAAGAGGACGTTTTAATAACGGGATATACTATTTTATACCATTCAATATACTATTTAATAATAGTCTTTTAGTTGCTGAAAAAAAAGTTGGTCTTTTTAAAAAGTTACAATTGTGCATCTTTCGTGAAGGTTAACATTTTTCTTTTGCTGCGTTTGTCTTTTCACACTTTGGCTCCTAGAATTTTTATCCTATTGGAAGAATATGTAAAGAATATGTTTCGTTTCCCCCCACTTCTTATGTTGGTATGGCTATCTTTACAAAATTATTTATACAAAGATGTCTAAAAACACTGAGGTACTTCCTATGCTGTATTTCTTATGCCTTTCACCTTCTCCCCTCTCTGTAGAGCTCATTCTCTCTCGGCCTCTTTTTTTCTCTTCTCCTTCTGCCTTTTGCTCTTTTTGTATCCCCTCTTTTGCAGACTCTTCACTGCCTAACTTTAAATTGATTAGAATGCATTAATTTTTAAATAAGTGTCACATATCCTTAACTGAGCACTAAAAGGTTGAGAAGGCTTCATGGTGTAGAGTCTGATCCAAAACTAAGTGAGAAGAATTTTAAAAACAAGGGCTGCCCTTCATTAGCCCTCATGCTATCTCCTGACAGGCTCAGTGCACTTCGTTGCCATGCCAGGCCAGGGCAAGCCCTGCTGCCGTGCACCATTTACCCTCTGTCAGCAGCTTCAGTCGGAGCTTGGGCGATACTGTACATGCGAGTCTGTCATGCGTCAGCCTCAATTAAGCTCATATTGCTGTGCTTGGGAAACACATCAGCCTCCTGTTAACCATTTTTTTGTTCTTGCTGTTCCTTTTTTTTCGTCCATTTTTCCCATTCAGCAGTCTCTAGAAATCCATGTTTCATATGGTGAAAATATGTTCATATTTTTTTCAATTTTTTACAAAGAGAAGTGGGTTTTAGAGGAAGTAATGCACATAGGTTCCAGTAAGTTGATTGTACTCATGGAAATGTGCTCAGTTAACCCCTGAGTTCGTTAGTTAAAGAAGGGAATTACAGGTAACCCTCATTTGTACCTGTGCCATGCGTGGTCTTGAGTCTTAAGAAGCAATTTTTCTTTAGGCCTTGTGAGGGTACAAGAGCATCAGGCATCTGGCATTATCAAATGTTGAAGTACTTCTTCACAACGTGTTGTTTACTCATGCCCTTGTCACCTAAGGTGGCGCTTTTATTTTTTTAAGAATAGAATGAGACCTTACTACACTTGAGGGGGAGAAAGTGTAGACAGCAGCGGTTAATATTTGGTTCACTCTTTTGTGGCTTACCATAAGTTTATGGGAAAAAGAAAGAGACCGCCCATGGCTTCATCATGCCTGGTGGTTGGCTCACCAACTTAGTCTCTTATAAGAAATTATCTTTAAAAGGGGATTCTCCAAAAAAATAAAAGAAGAAGCTTTGAAGGGGGTTTGTTTTCTGTACCTAGATAACTATACATTATCCAAGAGAGCTCCTGTATATTTTAATGGACAGGTAGACACTGAGACAGTTGGGCATCTTGAAGGACTTGTGGAGATTTTATGGGCCTGGTCAGTTGTGAAGTCAGGTTAGATTTTATGGGCCTGGTGAGTTTGTGAAATCAGGTTAATCCAAGAGGCTATTGTCAGATACTGGTCACAAGGCACAGTTATGAAAGAAATTACAACACTGAAAATCTTGTGAGATCTGTGACAGCAAGGCTCTCAGCAGAAAGCAAGGTCAGTTTCACAGATGAGAATAGGGACACAAAATGTGCCGTTATTTTTTTTTCTTTTTTCATAAGCACACCACCAGCATAGGAAAGTAGCTTTTAAATAGAATCATATTGATGGATCAATCCAAGGAAAGGGATGGAGTACACAGATAATGGAATTCAGATTTCCCAAATATGTGGCAAATGGATCATTGTTGAAATTATTAGCTGAAAAAAAACCTAAAAATCCATAAGTATCTAACATTTGTATTGGCAATGGGTTAAGGATTTCCAATAAGACTGTGGCAGTCCATGATATTGACTTTCTGGAAGATATATATTAGCATTAAATGTGAAGTTATTGAACATCTTAAAGGAAAAATTATTTGCAAGAATAAACTGTCACAGTAGTTTAGCAAGGGCAAGGTTTTTCTGAGATACTATAGATGGAGAGATTTCCATCTGGAAAACAGATGGCAGCAGAAAAGTGATATAAATTAGTATTTAGGAATAGTTCTTTTACATCTCAGGTCCTGATGGATATTGTCAAGGGAGTCTTCACTTTAACTTTTTCTAGAGAACACATCTCTTTTTGTTTGGATGAGTCACAACAATGAAGTTGTTTATTTAACACATATTTTTGAGGCCCTATTACGTGGCAGACACTTGTTAGGTACAGGTGAGTTGGTGGTGAACAAAATAGACCTCCCTGGCCCTCATGGGCTTTACAGCCTAATAATGGAAATAGACATTAAAATATATAAATTTTAAGCCATATTAATTGGATTGATGGAAAGTCCAAAGGGCTGTTAAAGTGTGTAATAGGGGATCTTGATCTTCGTCTGAGGGAGTCTGGGAAACTTCCCTAAATAAATGACATTTAAAATGTGATCTGAAAGATAAGTAAGAATTAAGTAGGCAAAGGGCATGGGGAAGGGTGGGAGATGGGAATAGCCCACTAAGCAGAAGAAAGAGCCAAAGCAAAGGCCCTAGGACAGGAAGGAGTATGGCACACTGAGACAGTGAGGTGCACAGGGAGTAAGGTAGAGTGTGCTAGGAATGTGCCTAGAGGCAGAGATGAGAGCTAAATCATATTTAGCCTCTTCATGGGCCATATTTGGATTTTGCCTGTATCTGAGGCAGACATTTTCCACCTGCAAAATGAGAGGATTAAGCATCAAAGTTCTCAACCTAGGAGGCTGTTGGAAATTAGTGATCTGATATTACTGGATATTAGATAAAAGTTTAAACATATTATTTAATGCATTGAAGGATTATTAAGAAAATAAGGAAAATCCCCAAAAAGAGAAAGAGAGAAGCAGTGGGTTGAAATGAGAATAGAGAGCAGTGATTTATAAGTGTACAAGAAAGCCCAAGATGTTCAGGGACCAAATTTAACCACCAGCACTGCAATCAGGAATCTAAAATGCAGGAGTACATGCACATTTGCATATATGCCCACATATATATTTGTACACACATGTACATGTGCACACACTCACACACAATGGGATAGCTAAATTCGAAACTCTTCTATTTAGCCAGTACACTTGAAGAGGGTTAAAATAGTCCTAGGTAAATCATGCCTACTGGCTTCCAGAAAAAAATAAACAAATTTTCTTCTGGAGGAAAGCATCCCTAAATTAGGCTCTCTGGATTCCTATACATTCAGTTCAACAAAATATGAGCTTATTAAAAAGATTTACCAAACATACAAAGAAAAAAAAATGACCATAAATGAGAGTCAACTCAAACAGCAAATAACACATTTTTACTTCACAAGGTTTTCAGATTCTGTCATTATCAATGTAGAATAAAAATAAGAATTGTATATAATATATACAGAAAACTAAAGTGGAACTTTTAAATGATCAAGCAATATAAGACTATTAAAATGGCCATAAGGAACCATACAGAACTTTTTGAAATTAAAATCTGGAGGAATGGATTTAAAAGCAGATCTGAGAAAGCTGAAGAGACAATTAGTGAATTGGAAAATATATCTGAAGAAATTTTGCAGAATGCAACAGAGAGAGAAAATAAAATGGAGCACACAAGAGAGGTGTTGAGACATGTAGGATACAAAAAGCATACCAAAAAGACATCAAATTAGACTTCCAGAATGACAAGTTAGAGGAGCAATAATTTGAAAAGATAATATCTGAGAATTTTCCAAGTCTGCCAAAAGACATAAATCCACAGAGACACAACACAGACCAAGCAAAATAAATACAGAGTTTCACATCTAGACACGTTATAGTGAAACTACAGAACACCAAAGCCAATGAGAAATAAAAGCAGTCAGAGATAAAAGACACATCACCTATAAACAGATGGCAAATTAGATTGAAAGTAGGCATCTCAACAAGAATTGAAGCCACAAGACAGTAAATAGTATTCCAAGTTTTAAGGGAAAATAACTGCCACCCTAGAATTGTCTTCTCAACATTGTGTCTTTCAATAACAAGAGCAAGACAACATTTTTAGATAAATAAAAACTAGGAGATTGCCATCTGTAGATTTTTACTAAAGGGGTTTTTTAAAAGAAGTACTTCAGAATGGAGGAAAATGACTCCAGAAGGAAGATAGAAGATATAAAAATGAAAACTGAATGAGAAATTACTAAATCTAAAAAAATTATAAGATTTACATTTAAATTTAGATTAAAAATAATAATAACAATATCTAATTTGGAAGGAGAGTTCATTTTAAATAAAAGAACTAACTCCTTCTGACTATTTTGCTTTGTTATTGGAAGTTAGGAGGTGAGTGATCAGAGTTCAAGTATTCTAAGGGCCTTGTATTTTCAGGACAGGTGTAAAAATATTCATAAACTTTGGACTTTGTTGCATATGCATGGTAAAATTTCAAATATTCTTATTTAAAGAATAAAAATAAGACTAAAAACAAAAAACTTTACAAAAATCACTTGTATTTCTATTTAAAAGCCAAAAAAAGGAAACAAATTAAAGGTGCCATTTACAACTACAAAGTAGAAGATGCCTGGGAATGAATATAATAAAAGATATACAAAGTGGCCGGGCACAGCGGCTCACTCCTGTAATCCCAGCACTTTGGGAGGCCGAGGTGGCTGGATTACCGAGGTCAGCGGTTCGAGACCAGCCTGGCCAACATGCTGAAACCCTGTCTCTACTAAAAATATAAAAATTAGCCCGGTGTGGTGGCACCTGCCTGTAATCCCAGCTACTTGGGAGGCTGAAGCAGGAGAATCACTTGAACCCGGGAGGCGGAGGTTGCAGTGAGCTGAGATGGTGCCATTGTACTCCAGCTTGAGCAACAGAGTGAGACTCCATCTCAAAAAAATAAATAAATAAAATACAAGACTGAACTCTTCTACTTAACAGCTGTGAACTTGAGCCAGTTAATTTCTCTGAGCCTGTTTCTCATCTACAATATGGCAATAATAGTAGTACTTAATAGAATGGTGAAAATGAAATGAGATAAGTAGCATTTAACAGTGTGCCAAGTCCACAGTAAAACTCTCAATAAAAATTAGCCCCTACCTCATCAACATCATCATCATCATCATCCTTAGGTGCAAAGCTAAAAGGCATGAGAGAAGTAACGACCCCAGCATTCCAAGATCTTAGAGCCTGATAGGTTGGGATAATGAAATATACAAATGATTATATTATATATATATATATATATATATATATATATATATAGAGAGAGAGAGAGAGAGAGAGAGTAAATGTCAAAAGGTAATATCAACGGGCTGTTAAGAAGGAGCAATAATGTTTGGCCTAGGGGAAGGAGGAAGGGTTGTCAGAAGAGACTTTGTGAGGTAGATGACTTTTGAGCCTGACCTTAAAATATTGGTATAGTTAGAACATGCATACCATAGATAGGGAGGACATTAGGCCAAAGTGTTGCTATATATACATTTTGGCGTCTGCCTCCATTAGGCAGATATCTAATTATTGAATATTATTAGGACATCCAAGGTGAACAGCAGGGAGATGCAAAAACACAATGGTTGATTAAGGGGTAGTTCAGCTTGACTGGCTAAGAGGAGGTGAGGTTGGAAGGATAGGGTAGAGGAAATACATTGAAATTACAGAAGTGAGTTTTGTTCACACAGCCTATCATGACAATCAACCAATTATTAATTAGCTGTCAGATAACAAGATGATGTCTGGGAGAATCTCCAACAAAAAATAAATACATCTTCTGGAATCGTGCCTGGCACATTAGTAAACACAGTTTTTTTTTTTTTTTAAGGAACTAATATATGTTGTGCAGTGTGTTCAGAAAATTGTCATATTGGTAATGTCATGTTGAAGTAAACTAGCAGGTATTTTTTTTTCCAGCTGACTTCATGATTGAAGGGATAAGTATATGCGTGGTCCGAGCCAATCCATTGCATTTGGAAAACAGTTATTTGGGAGAAACAGTGGAAAGGGGGCTTAATGGGAATAAAAATGTGGAAATAAGACAGACATGATAATGAAGACAGTTCCTCTAACCCAGGTACCTGTAAGCACGTTCATCTGGAGGTCTGGGTAAGCACGTTCACCTGGAGGTCTGGGTGGGGAACACATCCCAGAGATGGAGAAAATGTGGGCCCTTGTGCTCAAGGATCTTACAGTCTCATTTTAGGAGCTAGACTGATACTCCAACAGCTCCTCTTTGAACTATTTGCTGCCTCCACCTGGGAGGCCCCCAAGCGACAGGGCTGGCCTGGGGCTTCTTTAATGTTGTTTCTGCAAAATATGTAGACTATGTTTATTTCTTATTTCCAAACCATACCTAATTTTTGCAGAACTTTCCTCTTTAATGTTTTGCCCAGATGCACACAATCGTCATTCTCCTCGTGACTAGACACAGCTGGGGGAGGAATGTCTGCTAGATGAGACTTTAATTAACTTCCTTCCTTGGAGTGAGGCTTGGGATAAAATGTACATGGATCTTTCTTGCCTTTTTCCTTGACAGTGGAACTGATTTGCTTGCCAACAAGTACATATGTAGTGGGATCAGGAAGGGAGGATGGAAGTTAGAGGTGGAAGGGAAGGAGACACCACCTAGGGGAGGACATAATTGAAAGGGTGTCCAGCATGGAGAACATGGCTGTCCATGTGGTTCGGGAAGGTCTCGACCCCTGGGTTGTATTTTTAACTTTGAAATTGTTCAGCAACAATCTGGTTCTCCCAGGGCTTTTAAAACTCTCCTCTAAAGTATTTCTGGCAACAGTCTGGAAATCCTGGTGACAGGTAAAAGCACACTATGTTTTTAAGCCTGGTAAGTAACTTTGT
Source organism: Homo sapiens (assembly GCF_000001405.40). NCBI lineage: Eukaryota > Metazoa > Chordata > Mammalia > Primates > Hominidae > Homo > Homo sapiens. The sequence goes on from NC_000010.11 coordinate 112,620,113, forward strand.
GTAATATTAACAGTGTGTGTTGTTCCTTTCACTTAATTATTATTGGACTTTAGTAGAATTTGCATCTTATTGTTGGACCGTAAATCTCTTTGGGGTATTATTGTTACTGATCATTGAAGCTATTTGATCCAACAAGCATTTATTCTTTATTTATGTGCAATACATTGTACTAGGCACTGTGGATCTATGAAGAGGAAAGACACACTGCCTGCTCTGGAGGGATGTACACAGTTTAGCGGAAAGAATGGCTCTGGGAAAGGCTTGCTTATGAGTCTGACAGCTACAACAGAGGTGGAAACTACTTATAGGCCTATAAGAGAGGAAGAAACAGATTCAAGTGGGGAGAACTGGTAGGACTTGTGGCGGGGGCCAGTTTTTAACTAGAAATTTTGAACTGGCTGGGCGCGGTGGCTCACGTCTGTAATCCCAAAACTTTGGGAGGCCGAGGCGGGTGGATGACCTGAAGTCAGGAGTTCGAGACCAGCCTGACCAACAAGGTGAAACCCCGTCTCTACTAAAATACAAAAATAAGCTGGGCATGGTGGTGGGCGCCTGTAATCTCAGCTACTTGGGAGGCTGAGGCAGGAGAATCGCTTGAACCCAGGAGGCAGAGGTTGCAGTGAACTGAGATCATGCCATTGCACTCCAGCCTGGGCAATAAGACCGAAACTCCATCTCAAAAAAAAAAAAAGAAAAGAAAAGAAAAAAGAAATTTTGAACCATGGCCAAGAGATAGGAGAATTCAGAGATACTTAGCAAAAGTGAGTGTCCAGAGGCATGAAGTGCCTTAGAATTGGTGTTAGGTGAGCAATGCGGCATTCCAGACCGGGACTATTGGCAGAGCCTTTGATTATAGGCTAGGACTTGATTTTACATAGGGCATTTTGGATTTTCTCTGTTCTATAGATGGAGAATTCCATCCATATGAAATCTGTTGAAAAATTGCCTGTTCTTTTCCATCTTCTTGTTTTGGTAGTTTTCAATAATTGCCATCTGTTCCAATATTAACTTGTAAACTCTAAGCAGATAGCTACATGTAAGGACTTACAGCGTTGTTTCCTAAAGTGTGTTTCGCTGCAGAAGGAGGCGTTCCACCAAAAGATGACTTCATGGCCAAGTGTCTGTGTGCAAGGCTGCGTACTGCACTCCTGTCTTGTAGAGATTACACATTAGCATATTAATGGTTCTAAGAAGTAACATTCCTTTTTTACTTTTTATACCAAAGAGTTTCTCAATGTATTTGGTCACAGACCCTGTACATCTTATCATCCCACGAAACAAGATGGGGGGAAATGTTGGACTTAGGTACACTTCATAGTTTTTATATATGCTTTATGTAAGTTTTTCATAGTCCCCATACCATCCTTATCAGGTACACATTATTGTCCCCATTACTCAAATGAGAACTTAAGGTTAAGTGACTCTTCCAAGTTCACAAGCCAAGAAAAGAGCAAAAATTTGTACCTAAATTCTCCTAATCTGGGAACCATTCCACCACACTGTACTACCTCTTAGATTCATGTGTATCATTTCAGTGAGCACCAGCGTGTCCCATCCTTCTCTGGACCCTGTCTCTAGAAGTCCTTTATAAATGTACTTCTACCTTGGCTTTTCCAGTCATAGCATGTAGCACGAAATCCTTAATTGTCCACTGTGTAACACCTTTCATGACATGTGCTGTTCCATGTGGCACTGACTACTCCAGAGTCCCTGGGAACATTATGCTTTTTTTGCACACTCGTCTCCATTTTCCACGCTATACGCTCCTTATATGCAAGGTACTCTTAGTAGTTGCAGCATCTGTCCACCGTCCTTGGCTCCGTAGTATCACCGGGTGCTTCTTTACTAAATGAGAGTATTCCTCAGTTGTGGGAGTCGAGAGAGAGAAGAAGGAGACAGAGAGAGAGAGAGAGTTGGGGTGCTTATTTTAACTCTGGTTCTAATCATGCTGCAGGGTCAGCTTGCCAAGAAACACTTAAGGCTCTGTTTTCTGTATGTAGGCAGGTAATCCTCTGATAGAGAAACATAGAGTTATCCCATCAAAATGTGAGCACAGAAATGTATCAACAACATGCCATAAGCCAGTCGATATACCTAAAAGCCAAACTGCAAACCGGTCCCTGTGCCCCTGAAAGGGGTGTCAGAATATAGTTGTTTTTGCAGGTTTTAACATTAATTGGCACTAGACACACCCAGCTGAAGCAAGGTCTGTCGCTGGTTTTGAGCTTCCTCTGCCTTTTACTGATGCTAAAATGTTTAACTTTGGCTTTGGTAGATTTTAATGCAGACCAAGAGTGCTATTTTTATGTATAAAATTTTATATTTATAAAACAAAAAGTACCTAAAAAAAAAAAAAAAGAAGAGGTGTAATGGGATTGGGTAGAAGAGCCAGGACTAGAAAGAGTCACATACGTATTTCTTTATAATGGATTAAGGGAAAACCAGGAAATAAGTGCAGACTGGCCATGTTTCAAAAGAAAATAAGATTTGAAAGATAAAAATCATCAATTCCTATAATTTAGATTTTTACCCAGAGTCAGTGTGTTCATATAATCTCCTTTATTCTTTTAAGCATTTGGTGTAGCAAACTTCTTTCAAACATCTTGAAAATTTTTTGTCCAAATAGCTATACTTTCCAGTATTGGTTTAAAAATGCGAATTTAAAAATCTGAAGTACAAGTTAGGAAGTAGATTGGTAGAAAGTTGAAGCTATGTAAATAAGAATAGGCTGTTACTTAAGTTTTCAAAATTCCAATTATGAGTATTCCAGTGCATTTAGACAAGCTGGGTTTGTTATTTTTGGAGTTAGTAAGCAATTTCACAATGTGCTATATATCACTTTTAAAGACATGATAAATTGTCCCTAATGGTATTGTGTGTATAAACTAGAGCTGTTTCTGCCTTGTGTATAATGCTCAGGATTGGGTGGTACACCTGAAAAGGCTCGGATTTTAATGGGGCCTTTTTAGCACTTTTGCACCTCGTATGTTCAGGATTATGTTTGATTGATGACTTTAAATGTGCTGGCATGAGAGATATGTAGATCTTAATGCTCTTAAACCATTTGTTTTCCAATCTCTATAAAAGGCCCCTCTGTTTTGGGGTAACACTTTATCCTTCTTAAGTAAACAGAAATAGGTTTCTGGGATTTTGCTTTTTAACATTGTAAATCCAGCAGGAAAGAGACAGGCTAGAGGCTTTTAAGAGAAGGCTGAAAACACCATGTTCCCATTTTATTAGAGTAGCCCCAAAAAGTCAGGGCATGTGTGTATGTATATATACGTAGATATATTTTTCTTTCTTCTAAACAGTATTAAAATAACCTTTTTTTTTTTTTTTTGCCAGAACTCTCTGAATCTTTTCTTTCCTTTGGACCACTTGATATCTCAGCCATTATCCTCAGCCTGCTGGCTGAGAACTCTCTTTGGATCCCGTCACGATCCGAAACAGCTACAGGGTTGGCTACTGTGTGGCCAGGGGCACATTCTCCCCAACAGGTCTTAGAACAAGAGATTGGGGCTATAATCGAATCCTGCTTCCCAAAAGGCACTGGGACTTACTACCCAAGCCTGGAGGTGTTTTATAATCCATTCCTATAGGATTCCTCTGACTTGGACAAAATCTTCAGTGCTTCAGGAGGGGCTAGAAAAAAATACTGCGAGGGTTTCCAGCTTCTGATTAACAACCTCGGCACTGTGCAGGGAAAGGGGGAAAATTGCCTCTGCTAAAGGAACAGATTGTTTTAAGATTTTAAGAACTGATTATAAACAGGTTACTTAGGGAGGAGAGAACTGCACTGGTCAGAAGCAGCCTCTGCTGCCAAGCTGTGAAACCTATTGTAGCAGCAGATCTATTTGCAAGGGCCTTCAGCCTCGGCTCCCAGTTGTCCATCATCTTTCAAGAAAAGAGACCAGCATGGGACTGACAAACACATTTTCACTTCCGTCTAAGATATGAACTTAGGGGCTCAGGAGTTGAAAGACTAGTGCATTTACCCATATTTATAATATGTTGCTAATTAGCAGTCACTGTCCTTGTGATCTTTTTCTTTGTCGTCCTCTAGAGGCATCCCATTTCTTTCATTTCCTTTCTTTCCATCATCAGCAATACTAAATGGAATATGGATTATTCTGGCAGCAGGGCAGTTTGAGCCCCATGATTAGTCTAGAATGAAATGTGAAGGGGGAAAAAAAAGTATGAAATGAGCCATTGTGTCTCCTTGTTCTCAAGATGTTATTTTGAAATCTTTGTGGTAGTGATGTATTTGCTAGTGGTTCCTATTACCTAGAGACTTCTAGGATACCTGGGAGGGCTTTTTAATATACATTTTCATTTTTTATGTCTTATTTTTAAAATGGTTCTTATTAGGATAAATGATTATAAGACTCCTAGGATACCTGGGAAGGTTTTTTAATATACATTTTCATTTTTATGTTTTTTTTAAAAAAAGTTCTTATTAGGATAAATGCTTATAAGTGAAATACGAGTATAACAGAAAGATAAAAATCGAAGACACGTAGGGTACTTAAAATGGCTCAAACCTCATAACCTTTTATCAGCAGTTTGCTGCTGTTGTTGTTATTGCTGTTTTAAGTCTGTGAATCAGCAGTTTGGCAGTTTCCGATATGTTTTCTGCCAAATAATCACAAGATTATTCTTCACTTGAATAATTGGAATTGTTTATTGTAATGGGTAGATTAAGGGCCGGGCATGGTAGCGCAGGCCTGTGATGTCAGCATTTTGGGAGGTCAAGACAGGAGAATCACTTGAGGCTGGGAGTTCGAGACCAGCCTGAGCAACATAGTGAGACCCCATCTCTACAAAATATTTAAAAAATTAGCCAGGCACAGTGGCACACACCTATAGTCCTAGCTACTCAAGAGGCTGAGGCAGGAGGATCACTTGAGCCCAAAAGGTTGAGACTGCAGTGAGCCATGATCATGCCACTGTACTCCAGCCTGAGTGCCAGAGTGTGGCACTGTCTCAAAAAAATAAAAAAAGTATTTTGTAATAAAGTAAGCGCTGAATACATATGTTTAACTTGGGGGGTAACCTTTGTGGCTACGCCTATGTTTGTGTGTTTATGTGTTTGAGTGTAAAAGACTGCTGAAAGCACAGCAGCAGCCATTACATATGGAAGCACGATTATCAGAAGCATCAGGTATATGCAAAGGAAGAGCTAGTGACCTGGATGGGATTGGAGACTATTATTCTAAGTGAGGTAACTCAGGAATGGAAAACCAGGCCGGGCGCGGCGGCTTCACGCCTGTAATCCCAGCACTTTGGGAGGCCGAGGCAGGTGGATCACCTGAGGTCAGGAGTAAAAAACCAGCCTGGCCAACATGGTGAAACCCCATCTCTACTAAAAATACAAAAAATTAGCCGGGCATGGCGGCACATGCCTGTAATCCCAGTTACTTGGGAGGCTGAGGCAGGAGAATTGCTTGAACCTGGGAGGCAGAGGTTGCAGTGAGCTGAGATCGCACCACTGCACTCCAGTCTGGGCAACAAGAGTGAAACTCTGTCTCAAAAAAAAAAAAGGAAAACCAAACATCATATCTTCTCACTCATAAGTAGGAGCTAGGCTGTGAGGATGCAGAGGCATAAGAATGACGCAATGGACTTTGGGGACTTAGGGGGAAAGGGTGGGAAGGGGATGAGAGATAAAAGACTACAAATTGGGTACAGCATATACTGCTCAGGTGATGGGTGCACCAAAATCTCACAAATCACCACTAAGGAACTTACTCAGGTAACCAAACACTACAGAAATAAAAAATTAAAAAACAAAGACAGTACTAAAATAAATCTCTAATAAGTCACGTAAAGCACTTCAGCAGTAGCTGCACAAAGTGGTAGATCAACAAATTTTTATTACTGTTTTGTCTATTCTAATCTTTCCGTTTTCCCCAAGAAAATGTCAGGAAGAAGAAACAAAGTACATTTGGAAACTGCATCCTTTTTTTTTGTAATGATTTCGCAGTAGTTATGTGGACGCATCATTCAGTTCTAGAATCAGTTTGAATCAACAGCTTGGCTCCACACAAAACCTTCCTTTTTCAGATGATGTGGCTGAAGCACAGAGAGGTAAAAGCCCCCTTCCGGAGGTCACATAACAGTAGAAATCTGAGATTTTAAGACCATGAAATCAAAAACAATTATGAATTTTGGGGCAACTGCTCAGCTTCTTCATGTGGCTATATCTTTATTTTTTTTAATCTACATCTTCAAAAATCCAAGCATTTCTGCCTTTGAAAACAAGATTTTTTTCTGTTTATTAGGCAAATTGAATTTGAGATATATAATCAACATTCATAAAGTTACAGTATATTTATCCATTGATTTATAGAATTAATCTGTACTAATGAAATTATAATCTTTTTCTGTTGCTGAGGACAAGGACTACATCTTAATCTTCTTTGTGTCCCTAAAAGTGCTTAGTAAAATAACTCCTAACAAGTATTTGCAAAAAAAAAAGAAAGAAAGAAAAAAGAAATACAGACCAGAAGTGATCTTAAAACCAACTCTAGCCGCTTACAAAGGAGAAAACTCAGTCCTAGTGAAGGACCATATGTGTTGGTCAAAAGGAGATAGAGCCAGGGTTTTCCAGCTGGTAGTCCACTGCTCTTCAGGTACATTGGGGATGACTTTGTTTTCAGATAGCCTGCATTTGCCATCTTCCAGTTAAAATGGGTAAAGGCTTAATCTAATAATTTTATTAAATGTAATATTATTTTTAAATTCACACAAATGCAGCCACAAAGCCTGCATCATAACTTTTCACTTCCAAGATATTTTGTTCTGTTCAGACTGGTATAGTGTTTAACCACTTAAAAATTAATTGCAAACACAGCTTGCTGAAATATTCGTCCACTAATAGCCAATTAATTAAACTTATCTAATGTTTATTATCCACAGTTGCCTGGCAGATAATTGATCCTCATTAAATATATGTTGATTCAGTCTTCCCTGTCTCAGCTCTATCTCAAGATGAGCTCTTAAATGATGAGCTTTGAATAATCTTGGATGATTTTTAAAAAATAAAAATTCCTCCTACCCAACCCTATTCAGAATCTCTGGGGATAGACCTTGGGATTCTATTTTTAACAAACTGGACAGGTGCATGCATAGTTGAGAATGACCACCTAAAGTAAGGAGATTGAAATTATCATTGATGAAAATACCTTCCATTGATCAGTCCAGTTGAAAACTAGAGATACCTAAATGTTATCACCAGACATATTTTTAAAGTAGTTATATAGGTTCAGCAAACCCTAGTCCTTATATGACAGTTTTTAAAATGTTTTATCATACCTTAATTCATCTTTATTACAAATTATTTAAATAAGATAGAAGTATATAAAAAAATAAAAGGATCGTCCCCTTTACCCCTACCCATCTATCTCTCCCACTCTAACTACTCAAATATAACCACTATTCATAGTAGGTATTTAAGCTTTGAGGGTTTCTCCCCTATGTATTCGTATGTTTTGTCTGTATCTAAGTACGTTTATATGTGTCAATATATATGCACACATACATGTGCATATATTCATATTTACATTTATAATGAGATTATTTATTCAACAAATATCGAAGCATCTACTATGTAACAGGACCTGGTGCTGAGATAACAACAGTGACCAAACTGATGAGATCCCTGTTCTCATTAACTCAACATTATAATAGTGAGACAGGCAATATATCAATAAAAATGTGATATAAAATGTGGTAATGATATATAATATAAAGTAAAATAAAGTAGGATAAAAGGATAGATAATTCCAGGGGGTTCTACTTGACCTATGATGGTCAGGGCAAGACTCTGAGGGATATTTAGGCAGAGAACAGAGTCACATGAGAAAATGAGCCCCGCGCGTGTGTTGGAGAAGTGGACGCCAAGGTCTTCTAGACTACGTATGCAAAACCACACGTTTTTCTTTTTAAAAAATAAAATTCTATTACATATACTGTCCTGTACCTTAATTTTTCTAGCCAACTCTAATTTATGTACACACCTCCAAGGTCTGTATAGATAGATCTAAATTATTTCCTAGTGACTGCTTAGTATTCCATAATGTGTCTGTATCATAATGTAATCATTCACATGTTGCTGGACATTTTTTGTTTATATTTTATATTTATAAACAATGCTGCAATGAAATCTTATGGACTGGAATCTTTATGTTTAGGTGTTTAGGTATTATAGGATTAATATTATTGTTCTGTTGCAAAACGAGGTTATTGTAAGTATTTGAATTCTATCAGTGAAAAACAGAGTCACCTATACAAGAATAAAGGAACCAGGACCTTGGGATGCAAACATGTATAATAATCATTTTATGTATAGATAGAGGTAAGATTTATTTAATCATGTTTAATTTTAAAATTGGGCCATCAAAGAATCCTAAATCAAGTTTTTATCATAAAAGACCATATTTTACAGATTTCCATGGTTTAATAGTTGTTCAACCAACTGCCCTGGCACTGGTTCTCATTTACAGGATTGCATCCAGTTTGAGTTTGTTTATTTTTATAATGTCTGTTCTCCTAGTATTGGATCATCCATTTAATCTTCAGTGTTGCTGCTTTACGGTTTTCTTTATCCAAAAGTATTTGATCTAAACTATATTTTATCTTTTAAATGTAAGATTTTCTTATTTAAAGTCTTTTAAAATATTATAATTATAAATACAGAAAACCTTATCTCCCAGAGATAACCACTGTTAGTATTTTGGTGTATATCCTCGCAGTGTTTTTTTAATGCATACACGTGTGTCTACATTTAAAGTATGAGTTTTTTAGATGAAATTTTTAATTTTGGGTTCATTGACTCTCTTTGATACACCAGACATCTCATAACCCACACTTAAAATAGACCCATTACCTCTCTTATCATCTTTCTATTACTGGTTACTCACTTAATCATGAACAACCTAGCAGACCCTCTCCATGTTGTCAGTTGAATAGACAGGTGCCTTGCAGGTTGTTTGCCAAGTGAATGGCTTCTGGGGTAACAGGTGATGTTACTGGGACACTCAGAGGCCTCAGACACTTGTCCAGCGCTGTCATCATGGCTGCAGGCAGAGCCTGCCTCAGGATAGCACTCTGGAGCATCTGAACCCATGCATCACATTCCTCCTTAGGGACAGGGCACCAGAAAGTTCTTCTATCCTACTCTTCCTTATGACCAGGCCCTGAAGGGGTTGCTTTGGATTTTCACAGAAAAAGAGATTTTCCTCCTACACTATTCCTCCTATCGCCGTCATTCTTCCCATTCCCTGTTTCATCACCGCACAGCTGTTAGGAGGATAGTTGGCTTTTAACTGGAGGCTTATCTGGGATTTCCCCCACATTGGAATTAAGAAGAAACAGAATCTTTTAAAAACAGGACCTTTTTTCCAGTTAGGCTTCCCTTAGGAAGGGGCTTCTTGTCTCCAGACTCCTGCATGACCTTTGAGGAACGAGTGTGAAACATGCTGTGATTTAGGAATGAATGCTTATTTAACGCAGAAGTTATTTTAAAATGAGGCTATACAGCAGCAGTTTAGTAATTAAACATTTTTAACTTGCTCTCCAGTTCTCAAAAGTGGCTTAAGCAGTATTGAGCTAAGCTTGCTAAGTTTCAAGTGACTGCAGTTAGTAAGTTTGCTTGTTTGTTTTAACTGGATAATTCCTCAGTCAATTTGAGGGTTTTGATGCACATAAATCCACTGTGCTTCCAGCCTCATATGAGCCAAATCTCCTAAACATGCCATATGCCATTCATAAGTCTTTCTGTGGAGTACAGTGGACAACTTTGTGACTACTGGATTTTTTTAAACGAAGATGATTTTTCAGTATTTAAAAAAAATATGGTTTTATAGTATTAAAACTGAGAGTAGAGTTGAGAGGGACTCTAGTATGTTAAAGAAACACATTAATTGTGCCTAAAGGTGTTTGTTTTTTTCTCGAAATGCCCACTTCGTTCCCAATTGATCAAAAGATGAAGGTTCCAGAGACTCTTTCTTCTGACAGACTTGATTATTAGGGGTTCCTTTCTAGAGAAGTTGTTATTTTGTAAACACATGCATATGCATAATATATTCTGCCCAACACTCCCACTTTCTGATCTGCACAGGACAGCAGAGCATCCTATGGAGTCACAGAACAAAGAAAATCCTCACTCTGAAATTCTTTCCTGGAGCCAAATGTGTCCTCAGCTTCAGAAAGAAAATCCCTAGCCTGGGTTGGGTCACCCCTCCAGCCCTCTGAGGAAATTTTAGGTATGCTCTCCAGGAAAATATTACACTTGGGGGTGCTAGAACTTGGTTTTATTTTCTAGTATGGAATCAGGTTTTGTTCTAGATATTTACCTATATCATTGCAATTAATTCCCCCAATGACCCTGTGTTGTAGGTATTAGTACTCCATGTTTCACATAAAGAAATGGAAGCTCAGAAAATTTGAATAATTGGCTATAACTGTATAGTATTAAGTGGTGGAGTCAGGATTTGAACCTCTATTCACTTGATTCTAATGCCCTGACATTTCTATTCTGCACAAGACAGATAGTAGCTTGTAGAGCTAATGGAGAGAAAACCACTATACCCCATTCAACATCGCTGAAATGTCTTTTTCAGCCTGCAATCAAGCCTCACAAAATTTTATTCACTGGTTTATGGTATCCACCTCCTTACTCAATAACCAGAAAACAAAAGGTAATATATGTAACAATATAAGAAGGCAGCCAAGTGCGGTGGCTCATGCCTGTAATCCCAGCACTTTGGGAGGCTGAGGGGGGCGGATCACCTGAGGTCAGGAGTTCAAGACCAGCCTGACCAATATGATGAAACCCCGTCTCTACTAAAAATACAAAAATTAGCCAGGCATGGTGGCATGCACCTGTAATCCCAGCTACCTGGGAGGCTGAGACAGGAGAATCGCTTGAACCCGGGAGCCGGGAGGTGGAGGTTGCAGTGAGCCGAGATCGCGCCATTGCACTCCAGCCTGGGCAACAAGAGCGAAACTCTGTCTCAAAAAAAAAAAGCAGTATGAAAACATGACACTGCTATGCTACTCTCAACTACACTGGGGAGCTCAAGCTGATAAGAGCGTAGTATAGAGTAAAGAATATTAATTTTTAAACCTTATTTATTTATTTTAATGAGGTACAATTCACGTAATAGAAAATTAACCATTTTAAAATGTACACATCAGTGACATTTAGTACTCTTACAGTGTTGTACTACCACCACCTCTATCTAGTTCTAAAACATTTTTGTCACCCCAGAAAGAAACCCCATCCTCGTTAGGCAGTTGCTCCCCTTTTGTGCTCCACCTAACCCCTAGTAACACCAGTCTTCTTCCTGTCTCTATAGATTCATCTATTCTGGATATTCCAAACAAATGGAATCCTACAACATGTGACCTTTTGTGTCTGGTTTTGTTCACTCAGCATAATGTTTTTGAGGTCCATTTACATTGCAGCCTAGGTCAGTACTTCATTCCTTTTTATGGTTGGGAATATTGATTTTAAGTTCTAGGCCTAGCTCTGCTATTAACTCCCTGAAAGCCTGACGCAAACCTCTGAGCCTTATTTTGCTCGTCTGTAAAGGTGAGGGCTGTGTAGCCTATGGCATGTGAGTTCCGCAGGAAGCTCTGGAACAAAAGGTCTTCAGTTCAAGTAAGTGTGAGGAACAGTGCATACTGTGTCTTGTTTGTCGTGACTCATAATGCTCCATGTACTAAAGATTTGCACTCTTTAGCCCAGGATTGCTCAATCTGGGACCAGAGAACCCTTTTATTTCGCCTATTTTTGTTTACATCTTATAGAACATAATCCAGGATTCTAAGACACTGTAATCTATGAATCACTTATTGATGAAATTCCACAATATGGTAATTATAACAATATAATTGTAATTGTAATTGTAAAAATATACAACTTGGCCAGCCATGGTTATGTTGATCTTTTCTCCAAGTTAGTGTCCATCAGTTGGGGTAGTATTCTTCCCTAGGGGACATTTTGAACCTTTGTTGGGGCATTTTGGTTATCTCAGTGATAACTCAAGGGTAATAAACATCCTGGAATGTATTGCGTAGTCTTTTACAACACTCCCTGATCCTGCACAAACTCTCAAATGTCCTGCTGGTCATTTGTGAAGGTGCACACCCTATTTATAATTATCTGAACGTAGTTTTCCATATGAACACAAAGTATTTTTGTGTGGCTTGAACGTATGTGGAGTTTTCCAAGTATACAATAATTGTGTAAAATCAGGGTTTATTTTAAAAGAGTTCTTTACCATTGAAGGATAGACAGGATTATGCTACAGTAACAAATTAACCTAGAAATTCTGGTGGTTTAACACAACAAAGGTTTCTTTTTTATTTATGCTAAAAGTTGATCAAGCATTGACAGAGGGCTCTGCCCCACTTACTCAAGCATCCAGACTCCACCATGGGGATCGTTGCCAGCCACTGCGGGCAGGGATAGACGGGATTCACATACCAGCTCATCAATATTTTGACCCAAAGTTGAGGTACATCACTTCTGACTATAGTGTACCGGCCAGAAATAGTCATATAGTCCTACCTAACCATAAGGGGGTTAGGGAAGAGGAACAGGTGGAAAGTTGGGTGAGTACAGTGTTCATGGTAATGCGACTTGTAGTATTTGAGCTGTCATTACAGTGCTTGTGGATTGGTTTGCATATGTAGTGTCACATGCATGTTGATTGTACATGCATGTGACAGTTGTATAGGCACAAGCATGTACTTACTTAGTTGTATCTATTAGTATAGTAATGCCTGGGTATTTACAAATAGAAATACTTCTTATTTTGTTGTAAGTTATTTTCCTGTATTTATATTACAGCTAGGGCATTATATTGATTTCTTTTTTAAAAATCCTGTGTGAAATATTTGTTACAAAAAGGTGGTCTGGGCTGGGCGTGGTGGCTCATGCCAGTAATCCCAGCACTTTGGGAGGCTGAGGCGGGCAGATCACGAGGTCAGGAGTTTGAGAGCAGCCTGACCAACATGGTGAGTCCTGAGAGGAGAGGTCTGAAGGAGAGGAGAGGTCTGATGGTGATGAAAGCCACTTTTCTAGGTCTTCGGCATCATCTGGAACACATAGTGGGTCATAGAGAATTACGGGACTTACATAATAATAGTAAGAAGAAGATTAGCTCACATCCTTTGAGTACTCCGCATGTGCCAGGCACTGTGCTAAAACCCTGTAGGTTGATTCTCTGCTTTAAGCATCACCAGAAGCCTGTGAGGAAACCTCCGAATTCTCCATCTTACAGGAGAGAGCTGCTTTTTTCCTTCAAGTATAATGGAAAAGTTGTGGTCCCCAGAATTTCTGTCCTCCCTATGCTAGCACGAAGGGATAATTGATCTTCAGACATTGAAAAGAGATAGCAGGCAAAACACCGGGGCTGGAACAACACAGCAGGATACCCAGGGATCCCAAAAGGAAGTCAAAGAAGAGATTGGAGAAAAGCAGTGGTGAGGAAAAGGGCATTGCCCCCAAAAAGTAATGTCTCCCATGCAGAGAAGACTAGCATTACATAAATGTGTCACTGAGAGAGTTACCTTACCCTGACTCTGTCACCAAATTTTATTAAATGCCTCTCCTATTTCATCCTTGTTGGTGAACTTCCCAGTTCTTCTCTTATTTTATGGGCATAAGAGCTTATACTTTGCAGTTTAGTTAGTTAATTTATTTAAATAGCATTATCAAGTTGGCTCTAGACTAAAAAAAAAAAAAAGTCATGACTCACTCCAGAAAATACCATCAGTTAACAAACGGAAAAAAGGAAAAAGGATCACAGTTAACTCAGAATTATAAAACAATGGTTCTTTTAGGCTTCCTATTTTAGTGGTGTATCCAAACACCTTTTTCCCAGAGTAATAGAGCTTTCTTCCCTTTTGGTTGCAAGCATTATATGAGCAAGATTGGCCACTTTAAAAGTTTTGTTGCATCTTTACTTTCATTACTCAACCTTTATTTCTCCTCAGTCTTTATTCCATAAGAAATATGCTTCAATGGCTTATGCATTTAGAATTGACTTTGTGGAACAGTGCAATGTTTTCCTTGCCTGTGGCAAGACCACTTCGGTTCAAGGCTAAGAAACTAGACTGTTCCTACAGAGACCCTCTGGGTGACTCATCTCTTTTGAGATCCTGATTGTCCATTTTTTGGTTGGTGTTCTGGCAGCAGTGTGTGTTGCCCTGAAGGCACCCTCTCATATGGTGTTGACTACACTATGCTGTGCTATTTAATTCTTGTTTTGGATTGTGCCTCGAGTTTTAAGTCACTTGACAATACAGAAGGTTTCTTTCTCCAAAGATTATCAATATCATACCATTGCCTCTCGGTGGTTATACACACACACACAGACACACACACACATACACACACACACACACACACACACACACACACACGAATTTCATGTTTTCTTCCTTTTGAAACTAAATGTGATCTGTCTGACCTTTCTGAGGAGTCTGCTGCTTTTTCAGATTTATGTCCCTGTGACAAGGTGGTTTGGCAAGCTGTTTGTCTTAATCACTCAGCATCTCCATTAGACAAGCTGTTTAAAAATCTTCTACGTAATTATCTTTTTTGACTCTCACTCTTCCACATTCTTTTCTTTATTGTAAACTTTCTTATGACTTTTTTATATATCTGCCATGTTCTAAAAGGCATTTAAGCCTTCTTACACTGTTTTGTCTGCTTTTCATTAAGTTTGCCATCAATTTACAATCCATGCCCATTGCCTCCTTCACAATCTGAATACATAAACATGCATAATAAATAAACTCTGGGGTTGAATCCTGGACTGAGTGGCCAACATTTTTTCTGTGTCTTCCTTAACTGTTAAAATAGGCAGACAGAGGAGCATTAGAGGAGCTAATTCTAGGAGTCTCCTACGGACATTTGCCGGAGTTTTCACTGCCTTGTTGTTGCCTGTAACTGCAAAGTTCAGAAAGCTGGGGCTGGAGGTGCCTTTATTCATAATATGAGCCAGGCACTGTGCTCATTATTTGGGGGGAATAAAAGATAACACATTTCCTGCCTTCAAGCAGCTTTTACTCTGGTAAAGAGGATAATGCAGGCATGTAAATCTTGTGGAGATGAGACAGCGTGCTGAGGAATTTAAGGAGAAAGATCCCTTTGGTAAAGGCAGATGCAGAATTCATGGCAGATGTAGTGTTTTAGCAGAACCGTGAGCAGTCAGCAGGATTGTACGGATTGGAGATTGGTAGAGGCATTCCAGACAGGGAACCGCAAGGGTCAAAGCTCAGAGGTGGCCAAGTCTAGAATATATGCCAGAGAGAATTGAGAGAGAAGCCTGAAAGAGTATTTAGGCCTAAATTCTGAAAGGTTCTAAATGCTGGCTTAAACCTTGGATTTTTCTTGGTGAGCATGGCCAGAGTGGTGTTTTAGGAAGATTTTAGAAAGATCAAACAATCGAGACGTACTGATGGTTGTAGACAATGAAGACAGGGAAACCAGTTAAGAGGCTTTTGCACTGGTCTTTGTGAGAGGTTACAACAGTAGGAATGGAAAAGAAACAAGTATGAGAGATAATTCAAAGAAAGATTTGAGAAAACCCGATGACTGGTTCAAAATGGGAAGCAAAATAAAGGAAGATTCAAACTGAGTTGATATGTGTGAGTCCCAAGAGACCCACTTGATTCGCCCACATTTAGCTGATGGGAAGAGGCACATAGCAAGAAGCTGTGATTTTTATTCATGCCCACTGAATTTAAGGGATGAGTGAACTACCCAGCATGTAATAGGAAATGGGGAGTAAAACTTGGAATAGTTTTTAACAGATTAAGCATAGAAACAGAGATGATATTTAAAAACCATGAAAGTGAATGAGGATCTCAAAGGAGACTGTTTGGAGAATGTAGGAAAGAAATACAAAGTAAGAACTTGAACTGCCAATAATTATGGGTTGAGATGAGGCAGCACCTGCAAGGGAGAGAGATCCGAGGGTTGGGCTCTGAATGCTTTGCTCACAGTAGGCACTCTGCACAGATGCATTTGTGGATGAATACCTGTCAAAGTCAAGGCTGACTCTTTCACTACAAACTTTGCCATCCCATAAATCTTTATATAAGGGCACTTTGTAGACCAATAATCTTGAGCTCATCAACTCACATAGTTGACATTCAATACCAGGGCTTTATATAAAGGTATACAATTGCAATTAATATTACTTGTTATTTTTACCTATTGTAATAGCTCATTAATTTTCTCCTGCCATTGGATGGTGTGTTATGGGTGGGTATGGTGAGTATCCCATTTTGTCAAATAGATTATAAACTCCAGCCGGGTGCAGTGGCTCATGCCAGTAATACCAGCACTTTGGGAGGCCGAGGTGGATGGATCACAAGGTCAAGAGATCGAGACCATCCTGGCCAACATGGTGAAACCCCGTCTCTACTAAAAAAAATATATAAAAATTAGCTGGATGTGGTGGTGCGCACCTGTAGTCCCAGCTACTTGGGAGACTGAGGCACGAGAATTGCTTGAACCTGGGAGGCGGAGGTTGCAGTGAGCTGAGATTGCACCACTGCACTCCAGCCTGGGTGCCAGAGCAAGACTCGATCTCAAAAAAAAAAAAAAAAAACTTCAAGTGTAGAGGTAGTATCTTTTGTTCTTTGGTGTATTACTAGAGGGTGCAGTCAGTATAAATTAAATGCTAGAGATCAATTATTCTCTTCCAAAGTAAAGAGAAAATAAACAACCATAGCAAAACAAAATGAAACAACCAACAACAAAAAACAGTCATTAAGATTCATTGTCATGGATATAGATAGATCAGAGGAAACATTTCACATTTCTTATGTATCAGAAGGCCAGTCTATTCTTCTAGAACCTAGAGGCCTCTGTCAACTCATTCTATCTCAGAATAGCCTTAACCAGACAGATATATTTAACTTAAATAATGACATGAAGGCTTTTTTGAATGGTTCCAATAGAAACATTAGAAATTGTTTATTCCTAACTTTTATTTAGTTTTGTTTTCTTTTTTTAAAAGGAAAACAATTTGGAGACTCGTGAGATTTTATAGGTGTCATCTATTTTGAAACAGTTTACTTTTATGATGTTTATTCATTGAAGGGTGTGAACATTATGGGTTTTACTGCATGGCAAACTAATGCTGTTTTTACAATATACTTTATATATGGTGTCAGCTTTTTTGGTGCCTCTTCTAATGTTTCCTTGTTGCATATCCGCAAAAAATCATGATTAGAACTGCTATATAGGGCTGGGTGTGGTGGCTCACGCCTGTAATCCCAGCACTTTGGGAGGCCAAGGTGGGCGGATCACGAGGTCAAGAGATCCTGGCTAACAGGGTGAAACCCCATCTCTACTAAACATACAAAAACTTAGCTGGGCGTGGTGGCACATGCCTGTAGTCCCAGCTACTTAGGAGGCTGAGGCAGGAGAGTCACTTGAACCCAGGAGGTGGAGGTTGCAGTGTGCCGAGATCGCGCTACTGCACTGTAGCCTGGGTGACAGGGTGAGACTCCCATCTCAAAAAAAAAACAGCTGTATAAAAGACTCTCTTTTTCTTTAGCATTTAACTCTTAAGTAAAGAAGAAATTAAAAAGTAAAGTAAAATTGTAAATAAGTAATTGCACCTTTATTTCTGTACTGTACATCCCATAAAGATAGACAATATGATTGACCTAAAAGTTCTAAATAAATAAACTTAAATCAGAATGTGTGGATTAGGGAGTAAAATGGTAGTACGAAAAAATTGTCTTGTATACAGTTGCTTTTTAGATGTGTAAAAACTGTTTACTTGACACACAATGCTTTGGAATTAATCACATATGCAAGCATGTTGTTTGTTGGGGAAACCCCTTATAGTCTCTACATATGTGAATGAAAGATGGGATTTGTTTGAATTACTCTATAGCCTTCATTGTTAAAATCAGAATTAAGTTCTTTGTTCAGTGAAGCATTCGTAGCAATCCTTGAGATTTCTGAGCAGGGCTGGTTGTTGGCAGAGAGTTCTCAGTGTATTATGCTGTTTACCTAAGGGTTTTATTCAAGAAGCTCTCTGAACAGCTGGGCTGATTATTGAAAATGCCTCATAGTAACTTCCAGCCTAGGCTGATCGATATCGGTGCAAAGCTTTACATGGGAGGGAGTTATTTAAACATTGAGAGCCCCAGGGATAAAAGAGAATGAAAAAATAATGCTGGACAAATATGCTGAAATGTTCAAAAGAAGAGAGAAGTATCTTGTCTTGGTATAGAGGGGAAATTCCTAAACAAACAAGCTAGAAAATTTGTAAGCTGATCTTATTACACCCTAAACATTTACTTATTTTAACTTATAGCAATCCCCTAAATATTTATTTATCTTATAACAACACCCTAAGTATTTGGTGGCAAGAGGAAAGATTAATTAAAAGTACCAAAGATCAATTTTATTTTTATTTATTTTGAAATGTAACCTATTACATAAAATTCCATGAGACACTTTTTAGTGATAATATTGGGAAATATTTAACTTTATTGTCAAATAGATTCAGCTCTCATAGTTTAAATGTAGCACAAATGTATTTCACCCAAATGTAAGCAGAAAATTCCTATTTCTTTAATTTTTTTTTTTTTTTTTAACTACAGAGATCTAGAATACAGATATTACCATTTCCTTCTGGCTTAGTCCTAGCAAAACAGGTTGGGCTTTTTTTTTTTTTCATTTCTGTTTTTAAACAATTTAATAAAATAAATAAAAACTGTACTAGAAATAGGAGATTTTATTTCCTAAAGGCATTTGGTGGAATTATGACATTGAAGCAAAAGTATCAGCATTTAAAAGCCTGTTTCTTTCTACAAAATGGGAGAACAGAGAAATACTCCAAAAAGGGAGGGAAAAACACTCAATTTATCAAAGTGGAAGCCTGTATCAAGAAATCCTACATCTTGTTACATCCAGGATTTCTTACTTTTGCTCTGCTCATGAGCAACAGACAGAAAGTTCAGAAACACAAAGGCAATCAATATGAAAACTGTGAAAGTCTCTTAATTAATCAACTCACACAAACTCTCCAAGTAAGAGGATTTTACAAACATTTCAATTAAAGCTTTCTCTTTTTATTACTAAATTTCATTGACAATTAAAAATGCATAATGAGAGTCGACATGATTATAAAAAGCAAAATATCATTTAAATACTGAGCTTTTAGACGTATAGGAGACTGACTTTCTGATGCTTATTCTTTTGATGAATCACATAGACAATTACTAATTGGATAGTTATTCTATAACAGTGACATTTTGGAATTTTCAAAACAGGTAGCTCTTTGAACATGTTTGTATTTCTCTCCTCATGTTAACATCATCATTTTGGCATACTCAGACCTAGAAGCTTCATGACTGACTCACTAATGAAATTCAGCAATCATACATATGCAAAGAACTACCTAATTCATTGAAATATTTAAGAACTGACATGGGGTGACTAGATGTTTTAACATTTAAGAGCTCTAGAACAGGCTGAAAACACTAACATCCAAGTGTTTACCTATGAATTGATATTGGAATACAAGAAACTAACTTACATTGAAAAGGTATATACAGAATATGGAAATTTTTATAAAAAACAAAAGCCAGCTTAGTCTAATAGTTTGTTTTTGCTTTTAAAAGAAAAGTTTGTTTGAAATCTTCATTGACTCTCAGCTGCTGGTTCCAGAAACTACACATATTCCCAATATGGCTTATGCCAGTTTTCTGCTTTGAAGACTAAAAAATAGACCAGAAGACAAAATATGATTTCATGATTCTGTGCCTCCCTTGTGACAGTAGAAAAGTAATTTAACTCCTTTGTGCAGCTTTTCTTCACCAGTAAATTAGGAATAATCATGTCTTCCACCTTCTGTTGGGGACTTTGAAGAGTAATGATTCAAGGGCCATTTGGAGTTAAAATAGAAATATGAAATTATTTTTCTTTACCCAAAGACTTAAGTTCATGGAATATGAGAATATCTCTTAAATCATTTTTATTTTTAAATGCCCATTTAAAAATTCAGCATTTTAAATCTATTTACTTTGTGTTTATATTGCAAAAATAGAACACAGATGCTAAAGATGTCATATTAGGACATCTTTAATAGCAATATCTATCAATGCCATTAAAATATTATCTATCTATGAAGCATAAAGTCCCACTGTTCTAAGAGTAAAACATGGGTGTTTAAAAAATATGCAGAAACTACCCAATTTATCAGAAACAATCGCAGTCAGTTTTTGAATCTGACTAAAATCTTATTTTGCCCATAGCTTGCCTCCTCTCCCACTCCTCCTGCTCCCACCTCTCATGGAGGAAGAGTGGACCAGCTCACATGGGGATCAGGCATTCCACAGCCTGGAGGTGGGTAAGGAGGATCTCAACAATCTGGGAAAAAAAACAAACAACAACAACAACAAAAAAAAACCCCACTAGCTTCTATAGATAAATATTGATGTGGATCAGGTTGTTGTACTTTGTAAGTAATTTATGTGCCTTTATTAACTGCTGAAATGATATAGACTTGTACCATATAAAAGGGTTCCAATGTTGATTCCCAATAGAAAAATACAGCTAAAGCATTTTAATATTGGCCTATCATTTGGCAGCTGTTGAATTAGGCAGTTGTTTTATTTAAAGTGAATCAGTATTCTTTTGTGTATAAGAGAGGAGTAGCCCTGAGGGTAGTCGAATGCAAAATACAGGGCTCAGTCCAGAAACAGATCTTGGCGTCATTCATTGTCTGGGCTCCAGAAAGACGTTGATGGATGCTGTGGTTTAGTATCCAAATTACTCTATTTATATCTCAGTTTCTAGCCAACAATGGACCATCAGGCATATTCAGATTGGCTGTTTTCATATAACTTCAAAAGAATACTAAATATTGCCCTGTTGTCTTGTGACTATTACAGAAAAAGCAAAAGTTTTTTTTTTCTTTCAAGGTGATCATTCTGAGAGGGGGTGTAGTTGGGGGGCAGATAGCAAAAGTCACGGATTTTCTCCTGTTGGAAAAAGCCCTATCTGAGCAGGCTTGTTGAGCTGTCAGTTGGGCACTTCAGGCTTTCTCTCTGATCATGCAGTTCGAAAGCCTTTGCAACTCTCCTTCCAGTCCTCCTGCAGGCCCCAGTGATCCCACATGTCCCACATTACCTCCCTGCTACCCCATCCTTCAAACACGCTAAGCTTGCTGTTGATAAAGGAAAAAACAGAATAGCCACTTTCCTTACTTTGCACAATGTGGAAAGGTTGAGGACCTTTCCCCACTCGCCGCGGCTAGGAAACTGGGGGATTTGGAGGGACTCACAGAGGCTATAGCAAATGACCAGGTGATGATGTGCATGACAGTTTGGGCTCAAGAGGGGAGGTGACCTTAGCAAGGAATAGAAGTGGCAGTTCTGATAGTGTGGAGATGATCTCAGGCAGAAACTCCCAACAGCAGTTGGCAAGGGTCCCAGCATCAATTCCAAAGCCCCACTCGTAGAAGGTCACCCTTAAAAGATCTTCTTCTCTATTACCTTTAGTATCCTGTCCCTTCCAAATGTTCCTTTCCCATTCCCTAATTATCCATTTTCAGTGAGAGCACGAGATTAGCCAAACTTGCAGTTATGTTTTTTTATGCTGCCCAAAGTGCTTGCTTTTACAAACCACATTTGGCCCCATATCAATCCGTTGTGTAGACCACATCAAGTTTCCAGTCCACAGCCCAACTCCTGCACTTGCGCTTGTCTTTGAACACAAATGGGCCGCAGAAAGAGGAACTGTTGGGCTTTGTGAGTGACCGGAAACAGGGTACCATTGAGCAGAAATTGAACTGATCGCACCGTGTTAAGTCAGGAAGATTCTCAACCCAGACCACTCTTTGAGCACCAAGTTAACATGTATTGCATTTAAAATGTAATAAATGCAGTATTCATAAACTTATATGTGTCTTGTGCCTTTTGTGTCAGCAGGGTTTCTGTAGGCCTCTATTTACATCAAATAAACTTCAAATATTCCAGAATGTAGACCGCATCTGGTTCATTTTTGAAGTGTCCCTCTAGGAACATTTCTAAAATAGTAGATTGTTCCAATTTTTTTCCTAATGAGAAAAATCCATGTGTTCTGTGATTATTAATAATAATGGCTTCAAATAAATTATTGACTGGTTGCAATGGAATGCACTTTCGAGCAGCTGAGGAACTCCGCACAAAATGTCTGAGTTGTATTCCTCTGATCCCCCCCTCTCCATCAGTTCTATGGGTTATCAGCCAACCCAAGCACAGTTGCTGACGGGTTAGTAAGAGAAAGATGGGACAGATGTGAAGGATTCATGGTTCAAAATTATAGTAACATTTAATAAAAATTTAAAAGCAGTTGCTGATTCTTCTGTTTTTGATTTATGAATTTGGGGGCTTAAAAAATGTTGTATTCATAGCATTCAGTATATCAGCACATATATACGTATACACTCATAGTATACAGGGTAGTGTGTGTGTGTGTGTGTGTATGTGCATGCTAAATGATTACCATTTGTGAGGCATTGTATGGAGGGAAATGAATGAGACTGATTCCCTGCTATGGGGAAGTTTGTTACAGTCTAATGGGGAGACAGGCATGACCCCAGTTAGTCATTCTTTAATAACTAGGCCGAGCATAGGGAGAAGACCAAAACACCAAGCCTTGGGGTCTGTGCCATAATAGTGGTACAGATAATGAATTGAGTCCAGAGGAGGGAAAAATGTTGCCAGCTAAGTTGATCATGAAAAACTTTTGGACATTGGTGACACTAGAACTGTATTTAAATGCATGTTCCCTGTGCATAATTATCTGAGCATGTTTTCTTTTTTTTCTTTTCTTTTTTTTTTTTTTTTTGTTTTTAAGACAGAGTCTCACTCTTGTCACCCCAGGCTGGAGTGCTGTAGCACAATCTAGGCTCACTGCAACCTCTGCCTCCCAGGTTCAAGCAATTCTCATGCCTCAGCCTCCCAGGTAGCTGGGATTACAGGCACCCGCCACCACACCTGGCTAATTTTTTTTTTTTCTTTTTTTTTTTTTGTAGAGACAGAGTTTCACCATGTGGCCAGGGTGGTCTTGAACTCCTGGCCTCAAGAAGTGATCTGCTGGTCTCAGCCTCCCAAAGTGCTGGGATTACAGGTGTGAGCCACAGTGTCGGGCCTCTCTGAGCATGTTTTCTATTTCAATTATATTAAATTTTGAGACATATAAGTCAGTGATCATTTATGATTATTGAATGTCCTGTGATTTCATAAGTAAATCTTTAAAATTTTAGCTTTACTCAAAATAATCCAAGACCATTTACTATGACTTAAATTATTCATAAAGCAAGGTGATTATTACTCTTGAGACCATTGTACAAAGCCCTGAAGTGTGTTACACATAGGCCAGAAACCTTTCTCCTTTGTTATATCTTATGAGTCTGTTAGGTTAAAAAAAAAATTATCCTTTTTTTGCTATTTCTGTTCTCAATACTTGAAAAATAGAATTTTGTGTGCCTCAATCTAAAAGGAGAATCATCGAGAGAATCTCATTCTGTACTGCATAAGCTACGAAAGACTTCAAAATTCCAGAGGAAAACAGACAAAAACTCTTTGCTTATTAATGTACACACCTCCATTTTCCTAAAGTTGCATAACTAGCCGAATTAGGAAAATGCTGTAAACATTGCATCACTGTTGACATTGAACATTGCATAGCTAGAAAGAAAGGCATATATGTAATTTTTTTCGTTTACTATTTCAATAGTCTGAGTCTCAGTGGCAAATGAAAATACAATTGAATCTCAAGTGAATGGCCAGAAACACCGTATATTTTATGAAATATGGCAGCATAATGAATAGGAGGTAAAAAAAAAAAAATGTCCTGGCTTTCAAGTCCTGATGGTTGTGATGTGATTGAATCATAGTGCATTCTGTTTGATGTCTCGGCTTTGCTATTCAGATGCACTGCAAAGTATGTGCATCACCCTCTCTGCAAAGTGCACCTGGCAACCCAGCACGGATGTAGTTTGTTTTCATTGCATCTGCAAGAAACATATATATTAGAGTAGAATTTAAGTAGGAGTATTTTAATTCTTCTAATTGTGATAGTTTCCCCACACAGAGAAAACTATCAATCAGGTACAAAAGAAACTGCTTAGGATTTGAAGGAATTTGACAATTTTGTTGTAGTTCCTAGCCTGGCAGGTGGTAATAATGCCTATGCCAGCACTGTCAAAATATGAAAATTAAAGTGACGATGGGTTTTAATGAAATCCATTTGACAAATATAATTAAGGTGTTTTAATATGAAGTCCTGTAATAAAGACTACCGGTGGACTCCCTGAGGTCCTGACTAATTGTGTAGATTGCTTTTAAGCTTTGAATAGTTTTATTGGATAATGAACTGTTAAGAAGTGTTAGATCTTTCTTAAGCAGAATTTGGTTTGAAAAAGAAGAGGAGAGACAGGCCTGAGGTGTGGCATTTTAAACATAATTAGAGGAGAGATTTAAGTTAACATCTTTGATCTTGCTGTCAGTTTTTGATTAGAGCTGTAAATGCTTTAATCAAGTGTAGTGTAGTCATTACATTTCTAACTGTTTTTTAAACTGCGAAATTACTGAGACATTGACATCAATTTTAACACATTCTGAAAATGTACAGCAGAATTGGGCTTCTCTACCTAGCGTTTGTATGAGAATATCAGATTATACTGATTTACCAACCTTAAGCAGAATGGCAAAATGACATTATGGTAAGGAATAGTTTAGTTTCAATCATAGTTAGACATAGTAACAAAATAGTACAATTATTTGATATTTATTGTGCTTTCTAGGAATGTGTTTGTAAGTTGAAAGCACTCATATGAACCTGTTCTATTAAAACGTATAGATGAGGAAGGAAGTAACCTCAAAGTTTTCTATCAAGTAGATTTTATAATGTTAACTGGTTTTAACATTCGTTTTTCAAAGAGCCATTGTAGCTCACTATAGTCATCCAATGTCATATTTGGTTTTGTATTCCCCTGCCTAGCGCATAGCAAGTACTCAGTGTGTGTTTGTGGAATTAATGTGGAATCTATTTATGATAGCTCAATATGTACCCAGCTTAAATTTTCCCCCAGAATTCAATAAGATCATAAGTGAAATGTAAGGAAAAGTACACTCCTCTTCCCCTTTGCCACCTATCTTAACCCAGTTACTCATTATGGGGTGTAAATGGGTATATATTTGGTATTTCTCACTAGTTTCAGGAAGCATCACTAAAATGATGAGTTAGACCAGTGCTGTGCAGGATTCTTCTTGGGGGAGAGCAGCTTCCCTAGCATGTCACCCATGATTGCAGAAGTGCTAGGGCTATATAAAGGAGCCATGCCCCAGGGCCATTCATTGAAGAAGGCGTCCACACTAATTACATGGTCTTGAACTTCCTGCTTGTGTATTTTGCGTTACGTAAGATATGAAATGAGGAGTGAAGAAGCCTAGGTTCTAATCCAAGCTCTGCTTGATATGCCATTTAGAAAAATCACTTCTCTCAGATGATCTAATCCAACTCCTGAGTGGAATAAATAACTTCTAAAACGCTCCTGATTCTAGAATTCTACTGATAAGTGTATATCTAGTGTTCTCTCTATAATAGTTTCTTTACCAACTTTACCCCTTTGCCTTTCTTGCTTTTAATGTTCTCCCCTTTTTACTTTTTTTGGTGCATTTCTACTTATTTCACTTGATCATTTATTTATTTATCCATCTATCCATCCATCCTAGAAGCATGTATTGTATGCCAGGCATTATATGGAAAAGAAAGAACACCAATATACTGTGTTTTTTTTTTTTTTTTGGTTACCTGATGCCAATGTAGTGCCAGGGATGGGGAGTGGGTAGACAGAATAGAATGCTATCTTCTTATCATCCATTTTTATTTATGTGCCATAGGGTGATAGATATATGTTTATAAGTAGAAGGAACTGGACTAGATGCCTTTCAACATTTTTTACCTACAAATTTTGCTAGAAATACAACCTATCTTGTAGGTTATCCAACTACCTATCCTATTGTTTTAAATATTTATCATATACCATTAGTTTCAGGTCAATATTATGTGCATTCTGAAAAAAACCAAAACAAAAACTTGGAAGTTAAAAAAATAAAATAAAACTAGGAAGCATTGTTTCCATAGGTTCTTACCTTTGTCTTCTAAGATTTGAAAAGAAATGTGAGGCACCCAGTAGATTATTAGACACAGGTTGTCAGTAACACTCAGATTATTATATCCAAAGATATCCACATCATTATGGGGCAGATGAGTATGAGTGTAGGAGCAAGAAGCCCAGGGTGGACATCAGGAAATGTGAATTGTGGGTGACCTGCAAGGGTGATGAGCAAATCTGTGAAGAGTACCATGTTCTTTTTTTTTTTTTTAAGATGGGAGTTTTGCTCTTCTTGCCCAAGCTGCAATCTTGGCTGACTGCAACCTCTGCCTCCCAGGTTCAAGCAATTCCTGTCTCAGCCTCCCGAGTAGCTGGGATTACAGGAGTGTGCCACCACGTCCAGCTAATTTTTTTGTATTTTTAGTAGAAACGGGGTTTCACCATGTTAGCCAGGCTGATCTCGAACTCGTGACCTCAGGTGATCCACCCGCCTCAGCCTCCCAAAGTGCTGGAATTACAGGTGTGAGCCACCGCGCCCGGCTACCATGTTCTTTTGTTAGTTGATACAACACCTTTGGCACATTCCTCAGTTTAGCACTTGTGCAATGTGCTGTACTTTATCCTGATGGTGGTTCCATTCATATCATTCTACTCCATCTAAGTGTAAGCTGCTAGATGTTGGGACCATGTTTTATTTTTATTTCTTTGCATGCCTGTTATGTAATTGACTCTCCGTAATATTTATTGGCTTGAATTATAATCCTACCTCTGACCTAAAATTTGCCCCCACAGGCAAGTTGTTTAACCTTTCTGGAAGAGTTCATTTTCATCAGGATTTCCAAGAAAAAAATGAGTGGAGAGCCCATGGGATAAATGAAAGTTACTTTAAAACTTTTTCTTTACTTCCATGGGCATGTGTAAACGGCTTAACTCTCTAGCCCACCCCACTCTGTCCTTATCCAAATTACATAAATATTTTCTAATGGGACCATGACGGTTTTCACTTTTGGAATAGCTGTTTAGCGCTTTGAGATTGTGATGAAAGACCTGTAGAGTGGGGAAGATTGTTCAGGTGCAATCTCTTCTGAATCCATAGATATAATCAGAGTCAGGCTCTGCTTATAAAATCATCAACACACTATTTCCCACTGTACTAGGTGTTCTTTTGAAGTCTCTCATACTAGGTTCTGACCTCATTTCTCAAGATGTATCCACATTTTCTAAATGGAAAATTTTGGCAAATAGAAGACAGCCCCAACATGCAAAATGTTTTTGAATGTTGCTTTCCGTTTAACACATAAGGACATCAATAAAGTCAACTATGATATGTGTGGACTATATTGTGTTAACTGGTGTTTCATTAAAGTTGTCAAGACTAAAAGTATGTTTTTCCGTAGTTTATGTATAGATTTGTTTATTATCAGTATAGAAAGGATTCCACATAGAAATTTTTTGTAAAATAATTATACTTTGTCTCTGCATTTTTTAAATTTATTTTTAATTTTATTTTTATTTTTTGAGACAAAGTTTCACTCCTGTTGTCCAGGCTGGAGTGCAGTGGCGCAATCTTGGCTCGCTGCAACCTTCGCCTCCCGGGCTCAGGTGATTCTCCTGCCTTAGCCTCCTAAGTAGCTGGGACTACAAGCACATGCCACCGCACCCAGCTAATTTTTCTATTTTTGGTAGAGACCAAGTTTTGCCATGTTGCCCAGGCTGGTCTCAAACTGCTGAGCTCAAGCAATCCGCCCGCCTCAGCCTCCCAAAGTGCTGGGATTACAGGCGTGAGCCATTGCACCCAGCCTGCATTGTTTTTAAAGAGAACATTGAGATCATCTATGTGGAAATTACACATCAGTTACACATCTGGATTGATTTGGTAGCTTTTTATGAAAAAGCTAAAAAGATTTTTCTCCTCTGTTGGACTCAGGGCTTAAGAGTAAAAATTTAAGAAGTCAGAAATCAGCTTAAACCTATCCATTCTCCTTCCATTTTGTTCTCTCTCTTGCTGTCACTAAGGAAAGTTAATGGTTTGTGCTGAAGTTTACCTCCATGAAACTAGAGAATGTTTGAAACTTGTCAGAAGATGCTATTTGTGATATTCAGTGGCAATCCTAGCCCATAGCATGCTTCTTTGTTACTGATGGCATCATTGTCAGATTTCTGAGAACAGTTCTGGTACCAAGCTCAGTGCACCAGACTCTAAAATGAGCATCAACCATGATAAATTAATTAAATCATCTTTAGGGTTAACCAACAATGAAGTTCATGAGAATATTATACATAGTTCAAAAAGAGGTTCATTTTTCCTATGGTACTAGAGAACCAAGAATAATTTTCAATTTATTCTGCCTTATTCTGTCTTACTCTGTAAAGATTTGTTGTTGTTATTCTTTTGGTAGGAGGCTTAGACATTCTTTCTACTCAGCAGTCTTTTTAAAATTTTTATTATTACCCTTTCAGTATTTTGAGCCTCTAACTTTGTAATACAGTTTTCAAAATACAGCATTTTGCTTTCAGACAGAAGTTTCATAGGAGATAAAAATTCCTAAATAGATTACCTGATCAACAATTTCTCAGCTTGAGTAAAATGTGTAGTGGGTTTGAGTTTGTCAGTGGGTAAAATATATATCTATTAAATAATTTCTTTACTCATCTATTAAGAGGTTTCTGGCTTTACCTGCTGTGTATTAACAAATATTTTATTTTTATTTAGATATTTGGGGTATTTTTTTTAAGGTTTCAGTCACTTTTCCTGTACCTGAAGTGGAGAATGGGATTTGCCAGTGATAAATGGGGAAGTTGACTAGCTAACTAATAAAGATTTGTCTTAATCAAGTATGATTTGTCAGAACAGGAGTGCACTGGGGTCAGGGCACGCACAATGAATTATACAGCATTCACAGGAGGGAAGGACCCGGCAAGAGACCTCATAAATATGCTGCCATTACCCACTGCTAATTCGTATTCAAAGAGTGCTCTGCACAGCCAGTTTCTAGGTTGCTGAGCTGTTCACCAGTTTCCTGAGCTTTCTGTTTATGTGAAAAAAGAAGTTTTTAT
The DNA here is from genome assembly GCF_000001405.40 of Homo sapiens. Classification (NCBI taxonomy): domain Eukaryota; kingdom Metazoa; phylum Chordata; class Mammalia; order Primates; family Hominidae; genus Homo; species Homo sapiens. The sequence continues at coordinate 112,649,326 of NC_000010.11, forward strand.
TTTGTTTTGGTATCATCTGGATTCTCAAGGTGTATCAGTCTTAAAAACTGAATTGGTACCAATAATTTGAAGTGTGGCTTATCATATTACATCACAAATAATATCAATCTAGTGCCTACTATGGGCTCATGCATCATGCTGGACACAGTGTGGAGGAATCAGATATATAAGGCACAGTTTCTGCTAGAAGAGTTTTCTGATGCTTTCTTATGATTCTCTTCAAGTATTGTCTCTGTAAATTCAAGTATGGCTACAAGAGGAAAACCCATCTGCCTTTTTGTTAAATATAGTCATGCATTCCTTAATGATGGGGATGCATTCCGAGAAATGCATCCTTAGGCATTTCATCATTGTGCAAATACCATGGAGAGTACTTACACAAATCTAGATGGCAGAGGATCCAGCACACCTAATGTAATGGTCTAGCTTATTGCTCCTAGGCTGCAAACCTGTATAGTATGTTACTGTACTGAATACTATAGGCAATTGTAATACTATGGTAAGGACTTGTATATTTAAACAGTAAAAATATGATATAAGAGATAAAAAATGATCCACCTGGACGGGACACTCACCATGAATATGAATAGAGGTTAAAGGACCAGAAGTTGCTCTGGGTGAGTCAATGAGTGAGATTGTAAAGGGCGAGGATATCAGTGTACACTACTGTAGACTATATAAACACTGGACACTTTGACTACACTAAATTTATTTTTAAAATGTTTTTCTTTCTTCAACAATCAGTTAACCTTTGCTTGCTGTAACTGTTTTACTTTATAAGATTTTTAATTGTTTGATTCTTTCGTAATAACGCTTAGCTTAAAACACATTGTACAGCTGTACAAAAATATTTTCTTTCTTCATATCCTCATTCTATGAACTTCTATTTTTAATTTTTTTTCCTTTTGTTCTTTTTAAACTTTTTTTGTTAAAAACTAAGACACAAACACATACATTAACCTAAGCCTACACATGGTCAGGATCATCAGTATCACTGTCTTCTACCCGCACAACTTGTCCCACTGGAAGATCTGCAGGGCCAATAACATGCATGGAGCTGTCATCTCCTATGATAACAATGCCTTCTTCTGGAATACCTCCTGAAGGACCTGCCTGAGGCTGTTCTACTCTTCACATTTTTTTTTAAATAAGTGGAAGGAGTACACTCAAAAATAATGATAAAAGCTATAGTATAGTAAATTCAAAAACCAATAACATAGTTGTTTATTGTTATCCAGCATTATGTACTGTGCATAATTGTATATGCTATACTTTTGTATGACTCGCAGTGCAGTAAGTTTGTTTACACCAGCATCACCACAAACACACGAGTAATGCATTGTGCTACGATGTTCGACAGCTACCATGTCACTAGGGATAGGAATTTTCAGCGCTATTATAATCTTTTGGGGCCACTGTCCTATACGTAGTCCCTCGTTGACCAAAACATTGTTATGCAATGCATGACTGTATGTCCTCTCAGTGAAGAATTTTCAAATTAAAAGTACTGTTACTATTTCCTGCAGTTTGACATACATTAAATACATAGAAGATATTTTCTCATGTTTCTGCTAAGCTTGACTTTCTAACCTATGATTCATACTATTCTCATCTGTTTATATGACTGATTGCTTTGATAAGTTACATAAGTTATTTTTCACAGTCTTTATTTTATAAATTACTTCTTTGATTTGAAGAGGTTATTGTTTCTTCTCTTCCTGTTGAGCAATTATAAGTAATGCTGTGTGGCTTAACCAACATTTAAGGCCACCTAATCTGTTATATCCAGCTACTGTTGGGATGATGTCCTTCTTGGCCCTAGAAAGTCAGCAAGGGGAGCATTCCTGTCTTCAGCACTTCCTTCATGCTTAAGTGACCTATTAGATGGTTTTTACATGATATTTTAAATATGACAAAATAGTTTATAATATCTCAATGTCTTAATTGGTAGAAAAATATTGCCATCATCTCTCTTAGTGGAATAGCCCCTCTTTTATTTTTTGAGATGGAGTTTCACTGTTGTTGCCCAGGCTGGAGTGCAGTGGTGCGATCTCCGCTTACCACAACCTCCACCTCCCAGTTTCAAGTGATTTCCCTGCCTCAGCCTCCTGAATAGCTGGGATTACAGGCATGCACCACCACACCCAGCTAATTTTTGTATTTTTGGTAGAGACGGGGTTTCACCATGGTGGCCAGGATGGTCTCGATCTCTTGACCTTGTGATCCGCCTGCCTCAGCCTCCCAAAGTGCTGGGATTACAGGCGTAAGCCACCGTGCCTGGCCTGGAATAGCCCTTCTAGTAGTTGATGATCCCAGTCTTTTTTAGCTGAAACTGATGTCCACATTAAAATAACAATAATAGTAATAATAATTATTTTTTAGAACTGTGAGTATACACTTTCGGTGTGTCAGGGAGGAAATGAATGGACTTTGAATACCAGGTTACCTTCTTACTTCTAAGGATAGTTCCTCCAGGAAATAAAAGGTTGAAATAGAGAGATGGGAAAGTCCACTTCATCCAAGTCTGTTTTATCAAAGGAAAAGTTTTAGCCAAAAGGCTACTACTTGGTATATTTCTGCAAACTTCCGCAGAACGTTAGCCTCAGCCAGAAATAGAAAGGAGCACAGTCCTCTGATTGATCTCTTACCACTTAGAAATTGTCATGACTCCTAACAGGATGTTTAGAGTTGAGTGTGGTAGAATATTTGGAATTCTATAGTGATGGAGATTTCTTTCCTTCAGGTGAAAAAAGAAAAAAACAGGCAAACAAAAAACAACTCTTTGAATCAAAGACAATGTAAAGGGATGGAAGTATGGTTGCAGCAGTGCTTAGTTAGAACAATGTCTAAACTTTAGCGTAGACAAGCCCTGAGTGAAATCAAAGCCTCCCACTGCCATAACACCATGAAGATTTTCACAAGGGGACGCAGATAAATGGATGGTGAAAACAGACTAGAGCGGTACACTTCAGTCCTCAGAAATGAGTGTCCTTCACATTGGCTGTCACCGACTGTCTCAGTGAGTATGCAGTTGCTGTGTGTCTCACAAAAAACAAAATGCACAAAATCCTGGAAAGGGAATTGAGGACTCTGAGGGCAGAACAAAGAGTTAGAGCCAGTTGCAGGGGCTCACGCCTGTAATCCCAGCCCTTTGGGAGGCCGAGGCAGAAAGGTTGCTTGAGCCCAGGAGTTTGAGACCAGCCTGGGCAACATGACAAAACCCCATCTCTACAAAACATTGTTTTAAAAAAAGTAGCCAGACATGGTGGCATTCACTTGTGGTCCCAGCTACTGAGGAGGCTGAGGTGGGATGATCACTTGGGCCCAAGAGGTCAAGGCTGCAGTGAGCCGTGTTCATGCCAGTGCACTCTAGCCTGGGCAACAGAGTGAGACCTTGTCTCAAAAAAAAAAAAATGGAAAGAAGGAAGGAAGGGAGGAAGGGAAAGGAAGGAAAGTAAGGAGAAATATAGGCCCACTGGGCCTAGGAGGCAGACCATGATGTGTCTGTTGGGCCCTAAAAGACTCACCTTGCTTTTCTTTCGTTGAAGTAGTGTTACTGGTGGAGGGTGTCCAGGTTCTTGGCATCTTGAACAAAGAATTGGACAAAATGCATACACAAAACAAGGAAAGATTTAGGCAACAAAAGCAGAGATTTGTTGAAAATGAAAGTACACTCCACAGGTTGGGGGCGACCTGAGCATAGGGGCTCAAGAGCCCCATTACAGAATTTTCTGGGGTTTAAATACCCTCTAGAGGTTTCCATTTGTTACTTGGTGTACGCCCTCTGTAAATGAAGAGGATGAAGTCATGTTACGAAGTCATTTACTCAGTGTACACCCTATGTAAATGGAGAGGATATTTTCTGTCCTAGCTGAAGTGTTTCCATTTGATTTGGTTCTAGGAAGTCAGCGAGAATCAGCCTTATGTTCCCTGCCTCCAGACCCTATTCTCCTGCCTCATTAAGAGGGAATTTTTTTCATTTTGCTTTGTATTCCTGTCCTTTTATTTGATTGATGACATCCAAAGAGTCATATAATGTCTAGCTTCCTTCTTTGGTGTGTGTTTGTGCGAAGTATAGGTCCAAATTGCGCAACCAGAATGCCCATGACGTCGGCCACCTGTGTGCTGGGGAAGGCACAGTGCACAACAGTGGCCATGTAATCAGCTTAGGGATCAATCTGGCCTGGGTCTTGAATACTGGCCAACCTTGGGCAAATTACTTAACTTCTCTGAGCCTCAGATTCCTTGTCTTGAAATGGGATTAATAATAATCGACTTCATGTGGTGGTTGTGAAGATTAAATACGGTATCCATTAAGTGCTTAGCACAGTGGCTAGTATAAAATGAAGCAGTCAATAAATAGTAGCCCAAAATAAAAACCTTTCCCTGGAGGGGAGCATTCATTGCAGTATTTTATACACAGCCTGTAAGCAATAAACTTTTGTTGGATATATACTGAATGTATGCAGTCATTTTTTTGTCCCCCAGGGTTTCAACCTACGTGCTTGTTTCCCCCCCAAAATAAGTCCCATCCCAACTTGTTAATACTCTTAGGTGGAAGTTTGGTAAAAGACTCAGTTTTAGTGGTTCCCTAGTAAAGTCTATTCAGATATAATTAAAAATTCTTCTTACAATTATGCTAATAAGTTCAATATACAGCCTGGCTGATGAAGTCTAATAAATTCCCTATTGTACTTAGAAACAATGGTAGCTTTGTTGTATTCTGTATTTTAGAAACTCCCGATGTCATAGTGCTTGCTAAGAAAAGCAAACAATAATAAACTTTTTTGTTGTTAGGAGTTTTACTAAAAGAAGTCTGTAAGTGCGTATTTGGTTATGTACTCTCCTTCTAGGGTCACGCTAATACTTCAGTTTATAAAATGAATAATTTTTTAGTGTGCTTCATCTGACATTGACCAGCAGTTGCCATCTAATAAGCAAGATTATCAAAATCCACATTTACTTAGCCTTTTCTTTAATGTCATAAGGATAGCATAAATATTAGGAAACCTTATCTCCTTTTATTTTTTTACAGGACAATAATTTGAGCTCAGTTTAGATCTTTTACCACGCATACATCTCAAATTTAGAAATAATATTAAGATCGTATCACCTTAAAACTCTTTCAGAATATGCCCCACAGTCATCCATTCTTTTTCTTTTTATTTATTTATTTATTTATTTTTTGAGACCGAGTCTAACTGTCACCGAGGCTGGAGTGCATTGGCACAGTCTCGACTCACTGCAAGCTCCACCTCCTGGGTTCACGCCATTCTCCTGCCTCAGCCTCCCGAGTAGCTGGGACTACAGGCACCCACCACCACACCCGGCTAATTTTTTTGTATTTTTAGTAGAGACGGGGTTTCACCGTGGGCTCGATCTCCTGACCTGGTGATCCTCCTGCCTCGGCCTCCCAAAGTACTGGGATTACAGGCGTGAGCCACCGCGCCCGGCCCCATTCTTTTTATACTTTTCTCCATTTGTTCACTAGTTCCCTTGTCTTGAGTTTTGTTAGTTTCCACCTCTCAAAATGTCACTGTCTAAAAATGCAAGTGTCTTCTACATTAAAGTTTTTGTCTGCCTCATGATATAGCATAAATTCTCCCACTTCCTCTGTAGATTGCTCTGGCTTACACGTGTGTGTGAATAAAACTTTATTTACAAAAACAGGCCACAGGCTGGATTTGGCTAAACTGCCCTAGATTGCCAACCCTTACAGTAAAACAGTGGTTCTCAAAACATAGTCTTAGGGAACCAGCATCACCAGCAGCATCTGGATACTTGATAGAAATGCAACTTCTTGTCCCTCCACCCCCCATACACACCCGTACTGAATTAGAAATTGTGGATTCACGGCCCAGCAATCTGTGTTTTAACAATCTGGCCCTTTCATTTATCAATTGATTTATTCATTATCCACTTCCACAGAAAAGATTTGAAGTATCTTACTATAGATGATCAAGTAGGTATATCAAGAGCAGAAAAAATTAACCCAGAACAAAGGATAGAAACCAAGGAGTAAAGAGAAGGTGTGTGTATATGTGGTGGGGTGGGGCAGGGGTAGCAGGGCTCCATGAAGACCTAGAGAAATGCTTTAACAATCAAGGATTAAACTCACCCAGGGCTTCCTAGGATTCAGACCAAACAAACATGTTGGATTGCATAGCTTGCCTCAATTACTAGTACAAAATGAATTCTGCCTTGTACTGTCAAAAAAAAAAAAGTGTTTTTTATTAGGAAGGGGAGGAAGTGTGTTGGTGGTCTTTGAATAAGACAAGCTAAGAAACGTGATGAATCCTATTCTTGAAATCAGCCTGACTACAACTGTATAGATGTATTCCTTGTTTCATAATTTAAGTAAATCTTATGAGTACCAAAGGCCCAGAGCTAAAGGGGTAAAGATCTGTCCCAGGGCCAGGTATTTTGGACTACAGAATGTTGAAGAATGAAGGCCAGTGGCCCATAAGAAGGAGTTTGACATGACTGACAGACATTTTTTAAAGTGTGCCTATCTGTGCCCCATATCTAGGCAATTAGTCAGCCTACAATAAGGGCTACACAACAGTGTTTATTAAAAGCTTCCTAGATGATTCTAGTGCACACTAGCAAATGAGAATCTTTGCCAGAGTCTGTGACCTTCAAATTTCAGTCCTCTCACTCAGGCCTTTAAAGCAAATACATGCAGAAAATCTGAGAATGAGAGCACTAGCTGGAAGCTGAAAAGTGAAGAACTCAAAAAATTACCATTTGTCAAGTTTCTGTTGTCAATTGAGAAAAGGTCCCGGTGCCATAGGTCCAGGATAGCAAGTGGGTCTTATCCCCTGTGCCAACCCGAGTTGACTGCCTGGGGTGTTTCGAGGAGAGGGTTTGTTGCAAGGTGTGTTCAGGGCACTGTGATTGATTGACAATACCTGCCAGCTGTTTGGTGTTTAGGAGCTGTGGCATGTATGGCATGTGTTTGTTGACCTTATTCTCAGGGTTAGATAAATGAATAGAAGAAATAACATTTTGTTGAAAAATTCAATAAACTGACTTATCTCTTTGAATTTTTCTTCCCAAACCTTTTTTTTTTTTTTTTTTTTAAACAGGGTCTTTCTCTGTCACCCAGGCTGGCCTAGAACCCTTGGGCTCAAGCAATCCTCTGGCCTCAGCCTTCTGAGTAACTGGGAATACAGGAGCATACCACACCCAGATAATTTTTTTTTTTTTTTTTTTTTTTGAGACAGGGTTTCCCTGCATTGCATTGCCCAGGCTCATCTCAAACTCCTGGGCTCAAGTGATCCTTGATCTGCCTCGGCCTCCCAAAGTGCTGAGATTATAGGCATGAGCCACCACACCCAGCCTACAAACTTTATTTCTTGAATTTTAAGCCACCTTTATGTCAGTCTTCTCACTTTCTCAATTTTCCCTTCTCATGATTTCCTGCGGGATATTTCTTAAAACTTGATCATCCTTGATATGGTTTGGATCTTTGTCCCCACAAAATCTTATGTCCAAATTTTAATCCTCCGAGTTGGAGGTGGGCCCTGGTGGGAGGTGATTGGATGATGGAGGTGGTTTCTCATGGTTTAGTGCCATCCCCTCAATGCCATTCTCATGATAGCGAGGGAGTTAGTTATCGCGACATCAGGTTGTTTAAAAGTGGGTAGCACCTTCCCCTCACTCTCTTGGTCCTGCTCCTGCCCTGTAAGCCATGCCCGCCCACCCTTCGCTTTCCGTCATGACTGAAAGCTCCCTGAGGCCTCCCTGGAAGAAGAAGCCACTATGCTTCCTGTTCAGCCTGCAGAACTGTGAGACAGTTAAACCCCTTTTCTGTCTCAGGGGTTTACTTTATAGGAATGTGAGAACAAACTAATACAATCCTTTAGGTAAAAACTTTGTGTTTCTTTCAGCTCAAATATAGCAGCATGTATGTGTAAGGCCTGTTCTCTTCCTGTATCCATTGTCCTATATTTTTCAGGCTTAATAACTTTACTTTTTCCATTTATTCAGTATATCTATACTTTCTTCTCCTATTTTAACCCAGGTATCTTCTTTCTTTCTGTGTGCTCAGAAGAGTCAAGATATATAAAAATACTATATAAAACATAACATTTTAAATTTATGAGTCAGTGTAAACATTTGTCCAGGCTTTGAGTTGGGGTACAAATTAGATTTTTTTTAATATAAGAGGTATAAGAAGGCAGTAACTTCTTCCAGATGAGTTCTAAATATTTTGTATGAATCAAAAATTACTCCTTGCCATCCCCTACCTCACACATATATAATATACAAAAATTAAATCAAAATGGATCGAAGACCCAAGTCTAAGAACTAAAACTATAAAACTCTTAGAAGAAAATACAGGGACAAATCTTCATTGGCATGAAGTTGGCAATGGATACTTAGGTATGACACCAAAGCACAAAGCAACAGAAGAAGAAAACAGATTAGACTTTATGAAAGTTAAAAACTTTTATATATCAAAGAACACTATATTGTGTGTGTGTGTGTGTTTGTGTGTGTATATATATGCCTTAAAACAGAACAACAAAAAGATGTGTAGTATTAGGATGCCTTGTCCTCCACATTGTAATGCATGTTTGTTTTCTTTTTAATTCGTTTTTGTTGTTGTTAATGCAAAGATCAAAGGCCTAGGAGTTGGGAGACTTAGGATCATGGTTGCAGCTCTGTGGGTAATGAGCAACATGATCTGGGTGATCTTGGAGATCTCCACCTCCCAACTTCCTGCATTCTAGTTTGCTCATTTGTTCTATTACTTTATTTATTTATTTTTCCCAGAGACAGGGTCTCACTCTGTCACCCAGGCTGGAGTGCAGTGGCACAGTCATAGCTCACTGCAGCCTCAATCTCCTAACCTCAAGTGATCTTCCCGCCTTAGCCTCCCAAGAAGCTGATACCACAGGCATGCCCCACCACGCCCAGCTAATTTTTACTTTTTTAAGAGATGGTGATCTCACTATGTTGCTCAGGATGGTCTCAAACTCCTGGCCTCAAGTGATCCTCCCAGCTGAGCCTCCCAAAGCACCGGTATTACAAGCATGAGCTACCACACCCAGCTCATTTGTGCCATTACTTTTACAGCCCACATTTGTTCTAAAAATCTTTGATTCTATTGTTACAAATTTATAAAGGACTTGACCATATTTTTAAGTTGAATGGTTCCAGTGAACAAAAATTTCCTGAGCACCTGCATATGTCCTGTACTGCCTCTTAAAATGCGGCATATACTGAGAGGAATGAGACATGGCCTCATCTTTAAAGTCATTTACAGTCTATTAGAGAAGAATATATAAGCAAAGAGTCACAAACATCTAATCCTACGGCAGCCAAGCAGGGAACAGAAATGAGTGAAACAGGCCAGTGGGGAGGTGGCAAACTGGATAGTACCTGGCTGTTCTAAAGAAAGAAGCTATAACTCAGTTCCAGCCTGTGTTTACCAAGTGGGAATGGGGACTCACTGTTGCCAGATATTCCAAATTTCAAAAGAAACTAGAAGTTTATCATTTTATATGAAACCTCCTGTTTAAACAAATTTTTCCTGTGATTGCCAACTGGTTCAAAAATGCTTAGAATAGTCTTTCATAAAAGCAAAAGATGTTTGCTAGCCACGTAAGTCCTGTGGTCCACCCAATAGTGACTTCTCAAACATGTAATTAAAATGCTATACATTTAGTGATAGCAATGTGTGCAGAGTTCACAAAGAGTACAAATAGTGATTAACTCGGCTCAGAATGATTTCTAAGAAGCCTTTCTAATTACTTTCTAATCACCTCTCAATTCTTTAAGCACTTTTTGTTTTTTTAGAATGAGTAATTCATTCACCCTGGAGAGCTGGATGACGCTGAACACGTCTCCCTTGTCTGTTAAGTAAATACGTGTTTGGTAAATTCCACAAGTGAGCCTTTGGAATGTGTTTTGACAGTTTTGCCCATTCAGGTTTTCTGCTGCTTCATCTCCTGGCTTTTTACAGGCTTTATTGAATTGTGAAAAAGGGATGTCCTTCCTGCTGCTCAAGTCTCATTTTATAGGATAGAATGGATTCATTCTCATTTTTGAATGGAGCTGTAATTAACATGGTTCCTTTTGTTTAACAACCTCAATTTACATAGTACCTGCTCATTCCAGAGCATCGTTACTGGTAGCACAGCTTCATTGACTGATGTCTGAGGGCTCTGGGAATAGTGTTTGTTAATTATCTGCAGCAAACCAGGTAACTAAGGGGAGGTTCTGCTACTATGACTTTGATGAAAGTAGCACTGATGATTTTTTTAATTGCTTAATGATAGATTTGATCATCTTAAAGCAAAATAGAATACATACTCAGCTACTGAGAAGGTAGTGTTAAAACATAATTGCTTAAACACAAACATACACGCACGCAGACACACACACACACACGCGCACGCGCGTGCATAGGCCCTGCATGGTCTTTAGCTATATTTCTTTAAGAATATGTTAAGTTTACCTTCAGTTGAGATGAATGTATAATTTTTTAAAATAATGTCATCAAGTGCCTGTAAATATTTTATGGTACATAGTAAATGCTAATGTCCTCAGAGGCCAAGGAGGCTACTGTATGAAGCAGTCTAATGTTGGGGACTTAGGCAAAATGGAAACAATATGATCTGCTTAAAAGCATTTAAATTTCTATTGTTTTGGGTTTTTTAAAACGTTATTCTGGGGGCAGGATGGGAATACATCTGTGGGCCTTATTTGGCCCCGTGCTCTAGTTTTCTTATATGCTCTCTGGAGTCACTGAATTCTAATTTGTTGTTGTTGTTGTTGTTTTTGAGACAGAGTCTCGCTCTGTCACCCAGGTTGGAGTGCGGTGGCATGATCTCGGCACACTGCAACCTCTGCCTCCCAGGTTCAAGCGATTCTCCTGCCTCAGCCTCCTGAGTAGCTGGAACTACAGGCGCACGCCACCATGCCCAGCTAATTTTTGTGTTTCTAGTAGAGAGGGGTTTCACCCTGTTGGCCAGGATGATCTCGATCTCTTGACCTTGTGATCCGCCCTCCTCGGCCTCCCAAAGTGCTGGGATTACAGGCGTGAGCCACCATGCCCGGCCCAAGTTCTAATATTTTAAAGCCAAGTGGCACTAAAGATCATCTAGTCTAAGAGTCTCATTTTACATTTAAGGAAACTGAGGCCCAGAGAAAGGGAATGTTTTACCTAAATTAAACCCCAAGTGAATACTTCTTGATTTCTTTCAGTTTGCCTTAAAGACAAAGGAATTTGGAGATCATTTTAGAGTTGGTTGTATTTCTGCATTCTCCAATACAGTGACCGCTAACCACATGTAGGTACTGAGCACTTGAAATGTGGATAGTGCTACTGAGGAACTAAAGTCTTATTTTATTTTATTAATTGAAATTTAAATAGCCCCATGTGGCTAGTGGGTACTGTGTAATATTGCAGAAAGAAACTCAGAAATTAAGGTTTTTATCCCTAATTTGTTACAGCCTACCTTAAATAAATATGCTACTTTACATAAAACTCAAGAGCCAGTCAACAGAATACTTCTGTTTACCTCCTCTTCATCTTTTGTGCTAGTTTTCATACATTTCACTTCTGCATGTTATCACTATTTTTATTTTAAACGGTTACTTTGAAAGAATATAAGAGAAAAAGAAATGTTTTTATTTTTATTTACTTATTTATTTATTTTTGAGACAGGGTCTCAGTCTGTCACCCAGGCCGGAGTGCAGTGGCATGATCTTGCCTCACTGCAACCTCCGCCTCCTGGGTTCAAGTGATTCTCCCACCTCAGCCTCCCAAGTAGCTGGGACTACAGGCATGTGCCACCACACACGGCTAAGTTTTTGTACTTTTTGCTAGAGATGGGGTTTCACCAAGTTGGCCAGGTTGGTCTCGAACTTCTGACCTCAAGTGATCCGCCCTCCTCGGCCTCCTAAAGTGCTGAGATTATAGGCACATACCATCACCTGGCTAATTTTTGTATTTTTAGTAGAGACAGGGTTTTGCCATGTTGGCCAGGCTGATCCAGAACTCCTGTCCTCAAGTGATTCACCCACCTCAACCTCCCAAAGTGCTGAGATTACAGGCATGAGCCACGCACCTGGCCTGCTTTTATACTTATCCACAGATTTACCATTTCTGATGTTCATCATTCTTTCTTGTACATTCAGGTTTCCATCTAGTGTCATTTGCCTTCAGCCTGAATTATTTCCCTTAACATTACCTGCAGCTTAGTTCTGCTGGGTAATATTTTTTGGTTATCAAAGAGTATTTTTATTTCATCTTAATTTTTGAAGGCTATTATTGCTGGACGTGGAATAATAGAATGACCTTTTATTTTTTCTTTTAGCACCTTGGAAAGTTGTTCCATTGTGTGTTTGTATTGTTTCTGATGAAAATTCAGGCTTCATTCTTATTATTGTTCTCCTGAATGTATCTTTTTTTTCTGCTGTTAAGTTTTTTTTTTTTTTTTTTTTTGAGAGGAAGTCTAGCTCTGTCACCCAGGCTGGAGTGCAGTGGCACAATCTCGACTCACTGCAACCACCACCTCGCAGGTTCAAGTAATTCTCCTGCCTCAGTCTCCTGAGTAGAGTAGCTGGGACTACAGCACCCACTACCACACCCAGCTAATTTTTGCATTTTTAGTAGATACAGTGTTTCGCCATGTTGACCAGGCTGGTCTTGAACTCCTGACCTCAGGTGATCCACCTGCCTTGGCCTCCCAAACTGCTGGGATTACAGGCATGAGCCACTGCACCCAGCCAAGATTTTAAATTTATCTTTAGTTTTCAGAAATTGGACTGTGACATGACTAGGTGTGGTTTTTATTTATTTCTCTTGCTCAGAGGTTGTTAAACTTCTTTGATCTGTGGATCGGCTTTTTACAAAAATACAGATTGGAAAAGTTTGACTGTTAGTTCTTCAGATATTTATTCATACCGTTTTTTTGTCTCTAATAATCTCTTTTTCTGGGAGTCTAATAACATGTATGTAAGACCACTTGTTATAACCTCACAAGTTATTGATGCTATGTTCATTTTTTTAACTTTTTTTCCTCCTTCAGTTTGGATAATTTCTATTAACTATGTTCATGTTCAGTGATCCTTTATTCTATAGCGAAGGATATTCTATGTGGTATACCTAGTGAATTAATTTCAAATGTTATATTTTTATTCTACAATTTTATTTGGTTTCTTTTTAGAATTTCCATTTGTTTCTTGATAAACTCGTATTTTCACCGATTATGTTTACCTTTTCCTATAAATTCTTTAACACAATTATAATAGTTCTAAAATCTTTATGTGCTAACTGTAGTGACTAGGATCTATTGGGATACTCATATAGACTGTATTGTCTCTTGATTATTCTTTTTTCCTGTTTTTTTGCATGTCACAATTTTATAGTATTCCACACACTGTATAAAAAAGAACAAGGGAATCTGAAATATAACATCCTGGGTTTGTTTTTTTCCGAAAACATTTGACACTGTCTTGTATTTAGATAATAGAAGGAGCCGATTCTCCCAAAAGTTGAGTTGGTGCTGAGCTGAAGCTGTAATAAGATTGGATTCATCCGTGATTAGTGCACTCCCAACCTGTGTTTATGCTTCTTCTTACAAACAAACAAACAAACAAACAAACAAAACATATTGTCAATGTTTGAGCTGGAGTTGGTTGATCTGCAGTTGCAGATATTTTTGGGTTCACCTTTAGACTCAACTCTGACGGCGTCTTAAAATATAAGCACACAAGAATGTGTGGGAATATGTGATTTCTCTTTACTGACGAGCTCCTTCTTTATTCCCTCTTATTTGGCAAATTTGAAGATTTGGGGAGAAATATCAGACCAAGCAATTTGTTTTTGTGTTTAGAGTTCATCTAGATTCCGTTCTGTTTTGTAAGCCTACATCATCATTTAATGTTTGACTGATTTCTCTCATCCCTATAAATCCTATCTATGGCAGGCTCATTCTCAGAGCAGGTACTTGCCCTATATCGAAGTTGGTATCAAAGTTGCCACAACTGTTTGCTCCTACACAAAGTACTTGTTTCTCTCTAGAATTCATCAGAGCTTCTTTGCATCTACTTACTTCCTCCAGAAAAGTTTAGTAATTATTTTGTCTGGGTTTTTCTTGTTTCCATGGGAATGGTAATTTGCATCTTTCTGTGGCATCTTTCTACATCGTAACTGGAAGCAGAAGTTCCTCACATGTCTTAGGTTGTCAAATAATGAAAGATGTTGAAAGAACTCTCTTTTCCATTGTGATATTTTTCCAGATATCAGAAATTCAAAAGGCTCTTCATGCCTGAGTAACATCAATACAGAGGATAACCTAGCTATTCAGGGCATGATAGCTGAGTCAGTGCCCAGGAAGCTATGCTAAATGCCAAAGAGTGACTGACCCAACCACTCCATGATCAGATCCCTCCTGAGAAAGCTGTGTGTCAATCCCTCTGCTTCCTGAAGCAGCACGTTTTCTACCTTCATTAGACTCCGTGGCCAGAAGTTCCCAAGTCATGTCCAAAATTCAGTGCTCCAAATTGTTAGGAAATATTACTTCAAGGTTTTTCATCTGGTTGGTGTTCTGCAATACATATATGAAAACACACGCTTCAGCATAGCTCTTTTGCAGAACTCCTGCACTTCACAAAAGTCCTTATATGCAAACAATAGTTGTGTAACTGTGAATGTCTTTTATCTGCTACTAAAATTGTTGGTGAAGTTTTCAAGTACCAGAAGATAACCTTACCTTCTCTTAGTTCTTTAAAGACCCAACTTGCTGTTTTCACTTTTTAAAATAATTCGCTGGATACCACATTCTTAACAAAGTTTATGAAAAGAAAAATAAATATAGGTGTGCTGAGGAATAATCACTGTCTTCTGGAGAGTGTCCTGCATATTCCAAATGACTAATTTTTAAAAATGTTTTGAATGTATCAAATGGGACATTTCCTGGTGAATTAGATTTGAGGCTCGTTCCCTTTCAGCCAGTTTATAACATGATGTGAGCTTCAGTCAGTCCTAACTTCTTATAGAGAATATTTTGATCTGCTCACCTCCGAAATACAGGTCTTATAAATTTTTTTTAAAAAAAAGAGTTCATGTTAGTCCTATGTTAGACTTATACTGTTGTTCAGATGGTATTATTATTTTATGAGTGGAGAGACATGATGCTTTCAGTGATATAAGCTCTTCAAACTAAATCTTATTTTCATGATGTCAGGCCAGTCCTTTAGGAAGTATCTTGCTAGATTTGAAGTTACCTGATTCTTTCTCAATTTCTTTATGAGGCAGGAAAGTATTCAATGGCTATTGTGTATATCTTCCAAAAGATTGAAAAGTAAAGGAAATGTTAGCCAAAAACCCTTTTGCACGTGTGTTTCTCTATAAAAAGGGGCTATGGATCAAGGATATGATTGATTCTGGGTAACTGTAAAAATGAAAATTCATTTTATGTGTTTGAGAGCTCTACTCCCAGGATGATTCCCAGGACCACTGTGGAAAGGAGAGAAGTAGAGGAAGGAGCTCTTCCTTCCAGGAATTCGTTTATCATGCTCATACTGACATAGAGAATTCCAGCATACACCATCAGTTTTCATTGCCTTGTTATGCTTCCCATTGTTTCTTAATCTCAAGAAGACCCTCGCAGTCAACAAGTATAATATTTATAAAATTTATGATTTCTCAAATTATTTCAAGAGCAGCAGTATGGCTGTTCCATTCTTAAGGCCCTATGGAAGTTAAAGAACTGAAAATTTAAATATCACATCTGCCATTGGCTTAGGCCTCTGAGCTTGTGTTCTTTCTATTATGGTGTTTTTGGTGAATGCTTACATCTTCAGTTAAATTATTCAAGAAAAATAAACCTAACGATGTTTCTAATTATTTAATGAAATAATCGCTAAACCCAAGATAGTCTATATTTAAAAAATCCCCTCTAATTTGTTGTCTTGTTTTGTTTTGGTTCAACTAGAAGAGTGGGCCCCACAGTGGGGGAAAAAAAAAAAAAGCCCACATAAGTTTATTCACATGAATTTTTTTTCATTCCGTAATAGTAATCATTGTGATATATTTGGCCTGAAATTTTCTATATTAGAGCATTAAAATGGAAGATAGCAAGTTAGAAATGAAAAAAGAATTGTGTTTCCAACAGTGCATGACATTTGGGTGTTACGACCGGGATGCATACGCTCTTGCCAATATCTCTTCTCTTGCTAGATGGAGTTAGTACTTGGGATGCTGAGCTATGTCTAGGGAGGCAAGGAGATTGTGGGAGTGGTTTATAACTCCTGAAAAGACCCAAATCTTTACTTCCTGTTTGTTGATTCCTTCAGTAGCAGACTGTAGGTCCACTCAGAGTAGAGTTTTCCCCTCGGCGAACCTGATAGAAGGATGAATCTATTACCTGCTTTCTGATGTTGACTTCTCCAATGCTACACTGGATGGGCTTTAAGAGCAAGAATAGGTCGCAAACTTTATGCATACTTTATTTAATTCTTTTATTTCTTCATTCTTTCCACAGATACTTACAGGGGATATGATACTGGCCACAGACACAATAGTAATAACGTATTTCCTCTTCATTTTAGATTACATGTTATAATACCATCAATCTGAACAGGAGAAAATCTGATATAAATAGTATTTTGCTGAAATAATTGCAGTGTTCATGGTGCTCATATATATTAAAAGTTTTAAGTGAAAAAATGAATTATAATTGCTATATTATGTTGATAAAAGAAATCCAATGGAATAGTAATAACAGTATGACAAATTTGAATATTGTTGTGCAAGAAAAGAAAAAAATTCAACTTCAGTTGTTTCCTCCTTCTCCATTATTGATATCATCTTCCACTGCTGTGATGCTTCCACTAGGAGCCACATATCTTACCCAATTTTACCTTAAGGATAAATTGTATGGGGTTAATAATAAAGAGCTGGAATAAGTCTAAGAGGAGCTACTATACTGGGAAAGAATGTTAAGAATTTGTATGCTGTCAAAAATATATTTATGATAGTGTATGTAACTGTTTTCTATGAGTTGGATTTTCTGCCATGAAAGGAATATGCAGTGCTTTTTCTGATGTGCTTTGAAACACAAATTCTTCTGTTAACACTTGTCTGTAACTCTTCTGTAACACTTCTTTAACTGCTTGTTCCTCAGTGCTGGCATGGAAGCTCCATGAGTGCAAACACTTGATGTTGATTCCTGGCCATATCCCTGGCACCTGTACCTGGCACACAGTGGGGATTCAATGATTCTTTGTTGAATGCTCTGAATCTTACATACTGTATCATGACATGCCTTTATATGGTACCCTATAGCTTCCACAACATTTTTACTTAGGCTACCTCATTGGATCATAACATCAACTTGGTGAGAAAGGCAGGACAGATATTTTATCCTGTGAATAAGATTTTAGCTCAAATGGGCTACAACAAGACTAAGATAGGAGAGTGGCAAAATCATAGTAGTCCAGTGATGTTCTTATATCAATCAATTATCATTCAATAAATGCTTATTATTGTTGTAGGCTAGTCACTGTGCTAAATATTGTAACTGAATTACCTTATTGAACTCTTACAACAATCTCATGATATAGTACTATTATTATTATTGTACCCATTTATGGATAAACTGAGGCACAGTGAAGTTAGCCACACAGCTAGTAAGGGCCAGCACTGGGATTTTGGGTCAGGCAGTGTGAGTTCACAGCCAAAGCTCTCAATGTGGCCTAACTACTGCTCTATATTTTTAGGGTGTCCTTTAAAAAAAAAAGTCTAGCAGTGTGCATATATGAGCCAAATAACTACCATGGTGACTTCTTACTAACATCATTAAATTACTTGTTATTATTATAATAGATGCTTGTTTGAATGCTTATATGTTTATAAGCCAGAGATGATTGTTGTTATAGGTATGAGTAAAGAGACAATGCAAGAGGGAAAAGGAGAGAGAGATGTAGAACAAGGTAGTCAGATATTGCCAAGATTATAAGAGAGGCATCCTTCTAGTATGGAGTAAGGCACCTCCCAGGTAATGGGGAATGAGTCTGAAAACGATTTATTCAAGGCAGCTGGTTATTTATGATGTCAAGCCATACCTACTGTCTTCTAAAAGGGTCTACGGCTGGAGAAGAGACTGCCTAGTGTCAACCAAATAAGATGATCATGGCAAGAGAAAACCTCATTAGAACTCAGCAATGTGACTTTTTAAAGAATGTTCTAAATTGCCTATAACAGTATAAGGGTTTCAAAGTTCTGGGGTGAAAACACTGTCTCCAGCATGAGCTCTCTTCAACTACTTGAGAAGAAATGCACCTCACCTTGAGTTGACTCAAGTACCTACAGCCACTGGTAACACGTTAAATGAGCCCTTGCCTTGAAGAGAGCAAAAGCCTAGAGATAGTTCACTACCAATAAGCTACAGTAGGTGAGCATATGAGGATTACTTATGCAGGGTGAATACACTAAAATTAAAATTGTTCTAAATGGAGTCTGACATACATATGCAAAATGAAAGGGGAAAGGGAGAGCAGAATCATTAACATTACTAGTAACCTGTAAAAACCAACAGCTAAATTCCATGATGACAAAATAGACTAATGGACCTCAGATCTTCTCCACCTTTGCTGATATTTGCTGGAGTGGCCTGGACAAGACATCATCTCTAAATCATTATTTTCATGTTGGTTATGTTCTATAGGTCAAATATCTAATTATGCCTAAGATAAATAGATAAATTTATCAAATACTGTTTATATTTTTCAAATACATGAATTGAAATATGTGTCTGATGTATAATGCATGCATGCAACTTTAACATTTTATGCCATTTTAGTATTTCTGAGATTTACTCTCATATGCACTCCAAGTCATTTTTCCTCACTCAAATTTTCTTTTCCGTAGAGCAAATTGGTCAGGAGATGTTGGAAAACCTTAGTCATGACAGAGAAAAGATACAGCGAGCACGTGAAAGAGTAAGTACAATTGATACAGTTTTTTCACATATTCAGTAAATGAAGACATAAATGAAAGGCATTGGGACATAAACAATAGCAATTAGGTAGATATATGTGTGTAAGGTGAAAGAGGGTATAAGGTCTGTGGAAAGGAAAAGGAAGAGGGTGAGATGGAGCAAATAGCAGCTGACTCTATGTCCCCATTCCAGAATGTTCCCAGGTAGGTATTTTATTTACTTCTTATAGAGGAGAAGGTCACTGAGGGAGATTTTGGAGTATGTTCATCTTTTAGAGTGAAAACTATAGAATTATTGGTGGTCATCTTTCCTCACTTCATTTTATTTTTGTTTATATGTTTTTAGGACTTTGCACATTCATAAGCTGGAGATGAATTACCAAATGTATATGAAACTTTTTCAGCCTGTGCTTTGCTTTTATGTCCAGTTCTAGTATCCAGCTTAAAGCTCCCAAGATTACCTCTCACGTGTCATTCTCCAAATTTAAGAATTTTCCAAGTTTGTGTAGCTGTCAGAATGTATTTATTTTTGTGTATTTGAACATTTTTATTGTTTGGATTTTCTATCATGAAATAAATTGTCGCTTGCCATGCACTTTAGAAATAATCTAATTGCATGAACTTCTGTTTTGTTTTGTTTCTTCTTGTAGCTTCGGGAAACAGATGCTAATTTGGGAAAAAGCTCCAGGATTCTGACAGGGATGTTGCGAAGGTAAGAGCAAGGTAGGGACATATCTTTCTCTCTGTGTGTTTTTTTAAAATACTATGTTTTCATTCAATTGCAATGGGGCATATTACATGCTTTTGAGCTTCTGCTCTTAGTACCCTGTGCAGGACCCATTTGAAATAACAGAGCACTGATGTTAACTCTTGTTTGGACAGGGACACATACTAACACAGATTAGAGAGAAGGCTTGAGCTAGGGGGGTAACCTCAAGCTATGGAAAAAATTAGGGTTAGACATGAAGTATTTTTTCATAGCCTGAGGAAGGCCCCATGGGCAGCAGCAGGCTGATTTTATTTTCTATTTCGATGGCCTTCTTCTTATGGAGGGAATGCAGACCTACCATTTTCAGGAGCACATTTGCCATTAGCTTTGCTCTCTGTTGCCTTGTTTTCATTTCTTTAAGTGACGCTGTTTGGGGAAACATTTCCGTTTTATGTATATACTTAAAGATGATTTATAAAACGTCAAGATTATCTGAATAATATGTGCTAAGAAACAAATGTTCATGTTTTATATGTGTAACTCTACCTTGATTGATGGAAAATATGCTAAATAGTATGAGAAAATAGATGAATGAATGTAGGTAATGTTCTTATAAGTACATTCAGCACGAAATTATTTCACATTCAGAATCTACCACATAAAAATATCATCTAGCACGACTGTCAGTTTGGAACTGTGGATAGAAAAGTGAACGAGAAACATTGAGAATGGCCTCTGGAATGGCTTAACTGGAATTTTTAAGAAGGAAATCTTTATAGTTGATACTATAGAGACAACCATCTAAAAATAACTAAAGTCTTGTCTGATCACATATCCATATACAATAGTTTGCTAAAAGTATGTTTGCCGTGTTACAGACTTATTGCATAAGAACCAATCAAATGTCTAGTGGTTTGGTCTTCAAGGCTGATAACATTTTCTAAGCAGCCTGACCAGTAGCAAGCCTAAAGTTCCTGGGACATTTCCAGCCAAGGCTAGTATAATGTGACATTTCCCCTCATTTCCTTGAACCCGACTCCCAACTCAGAATCATAAGCCATCAAATTCTGTGATTAAGAGTACTATGTAAATGGCCTAAGAAAAACTCAGAATTCAGAGAGAAGGGTAGTAGCAATTGAAAGGAATGCTTCAGTGCCTATAGACAATAAAAAAGAAAGGAAGGGGAGGGAAAAACCTCTGTTGCTTCCCTGGGAGGGCTCCTGCGTCGTGAGCTGTAACGAATATTCTGCATATGTCTCCATTTTGTCAAATCTCATTAAAGAGTCCTCCTGCTTTATGTCAATTGAGCTGTCCAGAAATCATTCATCATTTTTAGTGTAAAAAAAATGATGTGGTTATTTAAATAATATCATATTAATGTTAAAGTTCAGCTGTCATTTAATGGTATGGCTTAATCAGATGTAGCATTTAGGAAAAATAGTTTATGCGGGCTCTACGTGGCTTTCAGGTTGGCAGATTCAAATAAGGATTTATGGGTTTCGAAACCAATGTATTTCTGTCCATGTTTCTGCTTGATCTACCTCACCCTTTAGTGCGGGACACTGCAGACAGTTATTTCAACAAATAAAGCATCTTCTCATATTGTGTTTGAATAAATTTGCAAGTCATTTAGAGAGGGTGAAGCACAAACAACTTCTGCAACCTTTGACTGGGCTTTCTGTAGGGAAATCATAATAACGTGGTTGTTTCAGAAGCCTACGGAAGAAAATTACTCTGGTGAAATCTACATGGGGTTCTCTTTGTAGGCAAACTCAGTCAATCACTGACTCATCTTCTTTTGGGATGTGTCTAGAGTATGAACAGAAATAAAAATTCCCAGATGGACATCACCTTGCTACATCTGAACCAAGGGTATGCTTAAGTCCACCTGTTCATATGCATGACAATGTTTTTCACTAGGCACAGCTGGGATCTTGGTATCAGCCAGGATATTCAGATATTTTCAACCAATGCCATAACGTGGCAGGTTTTCTGGGGACCAAATGCAGTGGTTTTAGTTTCTAATTACTGCCGCGTATGATATACAATGTATTTTGGACTTGAAAAGGCACAAACATTTTGCCAACCTCTCTGCTTCATTATTTTGGTTATCTCATGGAAAAGCTCTCTCTAGAGAAGTAGAGGCAGGGTTTATGTACCAAAGCCTTTTATTGAATGCTCTGATTTTGCTTTCCCTGTTACAACCCTCCCATTCATATGGCTTTCACTTCCAGCCCTTGTGAGCTTGTGTTTCAGAAAGAAAAGCCACATTCTCTTACTCTTCTTCTTACCAAAACTGCATAGCTATATCGTGTGTCAACAAGCGTTTCTGATTTAGGAAATGTTATGTTATTGAATCTTGTACTCATCTGTCACCTTCACAAATCTATAAAAGAAATGAATGTCCTCTTTGTGAAGTGTGAGCATTTACCTGCATATAACATAAGCTTATTTTCATATGATAAATTCTGTGTGACTGAAAATAGTTAAATATTCTGTAGTATACCAAACCAAGGAGTTGCTTTATTTAAAAGAAAGATTGCAGGTTATTTTTAAAATTTTTTAAACCTTGATTGTTCTTAAATTTGTAAAGTGAACAGAAATGGCTTGGCACGGCTCATCATTTGAGCCATTTTACGTATGGTCTGTTGTGAAGACAGGTGAAACCAGTGTTCCATTGATACCAAGATCTGTGCGTATGGCCACTTGATTATCTGTAAAACTGACCAAAAGGAATTGGAGAAATCAAAATAAGTAAGCAACAAAAATTAAGTTTATAAAATCCAGCAGCCACTAAATAATCATCTACCACTCATGCTTTTTAATATTTTATTAACTTCAAATAAGATAAACATCTATTTCCTTCCTTCTTTCCTTTCTTCTCTTCTTTCTTCTGCTTATTCATTTCCTTAGTAAATATTTAATGTCTGTATGCCAGGGCCGGGGATCCTGAAATGAAACCAATTTTATCCTCACTTTCAGAGTACTTTAGTGTAGTAGAGGACGTATGCATAAAAATGTACTATGGAAATTCACAAAATTAACGGATTCTCAAAGCAGCTATTGAAGATTCCACAACTCCAGTTAGTCCTTGCTGGTCATTAAAAGGGACACCAGAAAAACAAATAACTAATAAAAAATACGAGTTAAATGGCTATAATGCCCACCTGTTTGGAAAAAAAAATAGGGAAATAGAAAATGGTATATGGAATCATTACAAACAAATTTTGAAAAGAACTAAGGTGTGCAAAAACATTGACATATAATATGTAATTTAGTGAGACAGCAACTGCTTCAACCGAAAAGAAATTGCTCTTCATGTAAGCATGCCATGTTACCAAAAGAAAGAAAACAAAGGAGAAAATTGGTTCATTCAAAATTATAATAGTAAAACTCGACATCAGAACACAGCTCTGGCTGATTTCCTGGAAAGTAATTTTTCTTCGATCCTGACATGTGATGGAGAGCCATCCAGGGACAAACTGTTCATTTCCTAACTCTGTAGACAGAGTTTAAATACAGTGGAATTCAGATAATAATGAAAATGGTCATGAAACAAGTGACCATTTATGTTGTAACTGGGTCCAATAAATGGGTCTTTTCATTGACTTTCACAAAATTTGATTATTATAATTGGCTGTCTTAAAGTGTCACAGTATCACTAGGAGACTTAAATGTCTCTCTTCATATGTGTGTATTTATGTGTGTGTCTGTGTGTGTATTTTTTCTATACCTTTGAGCAGAAAGTCTTATTCGTTCAAACTGTCGGCAATCTGTAAAAATGAAAATTAAGATTTTCAAAATTCAGTCAGAATAAAAAGAAATCATGATTCTATTTCCTTTTACCTCTGAAGAGTTAATGATTGATCACTAATTGTACATTTGTTTCTAAAAGTATATGAACAATGCCTCAGGAATGTAACAAAGTTATAGCTTAAGAGCTCCACTGACAAAAATTTACAGGATATGTTACTACTTTACCTTGGCTCCTCCGCTGCATTGTATATGCTGGCAAAGTGCTTATAAAAAAAATGGCATAAGCCAGGTGTGGTGGCTCACACCCGTAATCCCAACACTTTGGGAGACCGAGGCAGGCAGATCACTTGATGCCAGGAGTTCGAAACCAGCCTGGCCAACATGGTGAAACCTCACCTCTACTAAAAAATACAAAAAAAATTCGCCAGGTGCAGTAGCTAATAATCCCAGCTACTTGGGAAGCTGAGGCATGAAAATCACTTCAGCCTGGGAGGCGAAAGGTTGCAGCGAGCCGAGGTCACATCACTGCACTCCAGCCTGGGTGACAGAGTGAGACTCCATCTCAAAAAAAAAAAAAAAAGAAAAAGGAAAAGAAAAGAAGGAATGGCATAGATGATTAACACCCATTCTGTTTGACAATCTCAAATCAAATAATTTCCTCTCTCCCCGACACTACCTATATTTGCCCCCATTCACACACATGCGCGCGTGCGCGCGCACACACACACACACGCACTCAGATTGTTTCCTTCAGAAAGTGAATTTTGTTTATCCTTCCAGTATGAGTATGGTTAACTTCCTTATGCGTGGAGCTGCTAAGAGGTCTTTTGTAACTAATCTGTAGTATAAACAAAGCAGACAGTATTAAATGCAGTTGACCTAGCCAGGACCATTCACACAATATTATCTGATATGCATATTTTTGTTAGAGTTACTTTCGAGTTAGCCTGGGGAATCATTGCCACCTATCATTGCTATCATATTTTACATTTTAAATGTAGTCTTTGGTAGAATGACAGGTAAAACATCTGGAAAGCTTAAATGCACTGTCAGAATGATTCCTAAGAGTAAATAGACCAGGAATGCCAATGCAAGATCTGTAAGCTATAGAAATGTAATTTTTAAAATAAAAACAGGTTTATTCTTACATATGCCATGGCTAGATGTTTAAGCTTTTTTTAAAAACTCATTCTTTTTTCTCCTTCATTTTGCCCAGGAAACATTCTGTTATATTCTAATTGTTCTTACTACAATGTCTGAAAATTCAACAGTATAGAGTTTTCAAGACTTGTGAGAAAAATGTCCTTGAAAATTTGCTGTAAATTTTTAGGCACTGAAGAAAGTATCTTCTCTCATAGTACCTTGCATTTATATTTTTACTTCTCTATCTCTTTTTCTTTTCTCTGTTCTCTCATTCCTCTTTCTCAGCACATTTTACTTACTGGTGATAAACTCGGGCCCTGACCTGAAATTAGTGTAGCAAAATCTCAATGTCTAAACTGTTCTTCAGCTTTTAATCAAGTGCTTATTCTTTCAGAATAAAGTGATTGAATTTCCTATAGATTCTTTGGACTTAACAGATTTAGGATCTGAGCTAGAATAATGCTACAAAGAGAATTTTTAAAAATCTTGGTTCTTTTTGTGTGCATAAGTTTATTTCTGTACAGTTGACTCATTGCCTTTGTCCTACGACCTCTTCAAGGCCAGCATGGGTAACGTTTTTACCAAACCAAAGAATAGCTTTGGAGTTGCTTATATGTTTCTCTTTAATAACATGCTTGTGCCTTTAAACATAGATTTTTGCTCTAGTGTCAGACACTTGAATGCAACACCTTATCTGTCAATGATAACTCTACCAGCTGCATTCTTTGAGCCTTAAGTGCATATGTGACCCTCAATCATGTATTGTACATCTTATCTGATTTTATCCTTAACAGTTCTGTGAAGGAGGCATCACTATCCCCCTTTTACAGGTGAGGCAAACTGTGCTTAGTGAAGTTAAGTAAACTATCCAGATTCACATATTGTAGAAAGGAACAGAATTAGGATGTGAACTTAGTTTGCTCTTTTGACACACTACACAAGGTTCCCAAAGGCCAGTTTGTGAATCAGAACCAGTTTTCACTAGTGGTAAAATGAGAAGAGTAAGAACAAACAGTTGAGTTTTTGTTATGCCAACTTTTATTGTGAGACACTATTATAGTTCCATTTCTTCTGTGAAATAATTGGTGGCAGTAAATAATTTCCTTAAACTAGGTTCATTGTTACAGTAAATAGAAAAATAAATACTTGTAAGTATTAAACATTGGCAATCATATGTCAGTCCTCCCACTGTCCCATGCCCCCCTCTCATTTCACTGACCAGGAAATTCAAAATCCATACTATGCTATGCCTTTTAATAACCAAAAAAACTGCTACTTATGCACTCTCTGATAGGTAGGTAGCAGCCACAGTCCTAGACATTTGTTATACGTTATCTTCTTTCACTTTCTATGATAACTCTATAAGATGGATACTGTTACTCCCATTTTAAGAAATAAGGGAACCACGGGTAAATATCATCAGGGTCTACATAAGTCATCTGCCTCCAGGGGCTGGTTTTCCTACTGTACCAACTATTTGTCCTTCTATGAAGACCCAGTTTCCTCACAGATGGTCAGACAGCCCTTCTGGGTGTGCAGACAGTTGTTCCTGAAAGCAATGAACAAACCCTACCAGATTCCACCATTGAGGGTGGGCTGAAGGCGCTCAGCTGCAGCTACTGTATGCCACAGGAGTCCCAAGTGAGTGTGTTCTTAAGGAGTCCTTTCGAATTGTTGTATTGCTAAGCATAGACTGTGTGGCATTAACCAGAACCGAGAAATAACAACACCGTGCAGCAGAAGAATCTATAATCTCCCTTACCTCCGGAATTTGACAAGTGTCATTGTTAGGAAATTTTATTTCTATATCTAACTTTGTCATCTGAGTCTTATCCTTGCTGGAGCAAACAGTTCCAGTCTTGTTTAATTACTCATGTGAAATTTCTATGTATACGTCCAGAGGCATATGTCCCAGTAGATAAGGGGTAGTAGGCTCTGGAGCCGCACTGGCTCTGCCGCTTTTTAGCTAGTAACCTTTGGCAAGAATCTCACCTCTCCGTACCTCAGTTTCCTCATCTGCAAAATAGGGATAACAATAGTCTTTACTATGGAAATTTTTATAAATGTGTAGATACATGTAAAGTGCACACAACAATGCCTGGCACATAATAAAGTGCCAGGAAACATTGAGGTATTTGTTATTATCATTATCGTCATCGGTTTTAAAAGAAATAGGGCCTGAGAGCAAAGACTAAAATCAAAATGTTAATTAATAGTTCTTCTAGGTTGATGAATTTTAAATTTATGTTTTTAAATTTTCTTTTTCCATTACTAGAGTTTCCTAAGAATTTTTTTTAATTAAAAATCAATAATAATAAATCCCATCATCCTTTCCTTATGTCCCTATTCCTGTCATGGCGCCACCATTCCCCCTTCCTTCTGGGACCCTCACTCAGCAATACTTCTTGCACTGCTCTGGTGCGTTCTGAGTACTACCTGGAGCAAAGCAATCCTCCAGTCTCACACATTTCCCATCTCATTTAGGCTGTTTAGGGAGGGGGGGCTCCTAGTTGGTCTCTGTGCTTCTTCTTCCCTTCTTTTGCCCTTTTGAATATTATTGACCAGTTTACTTGGAGGGTGCCAGATGAGTGCTGTTTCTTCTGCACTTAGGAATCTCCCATGGTGATGTCCAACACAGAATGTCTTCCTTAGTCTCATCGCTAAGGTTTTCCAGTGAACTTTCTAGCCTTGTTTGCTGCTGCTCTCTTTGGGTGGGCAGTATGTCCCTACTAGTGGTAACTACTTACAACCTCCAAGCTAGCTTCACTCTTCACTAATTCTAGACATTTGCTTTGTCTGTTACTTCTACCTGGAATGTTCTCCTTTTGCCACCTATATAAGTCAAAATCTTCCAGTTGCATGTGGCAGAAATGTAGATCAAACTGGCCATAAATATATCAACTCACGTAACTAAATAGTCCAAGGGTAGAAGCGACTTGAAACACAGTGTTGGAATCTAAAGGTTCCAACAATATTGTCAGGACTGGGTCTTGCTCTTTCCGTCTCGCATCTCAGATCACTTATGGATGGGTTCTGGCCTTCGTCAAGGATTCCCCTGGTGGAGACAGCTCTTGCCAGCATCTCAGTACAGCCATTGAATATAGCGATTTTTTCATTCGAATGCTTCCAGTGAAAGTAATGGCGTGGAATCTTACTGATTTGGATTGGTTCTGGTTAGGTAAAACTCCATTAATCTATGATCTGATGTTCTAGACATGAGAACCTGTGCAGGGGACGGACAGACAGACTGAGAATGGATGAGGCATAGTCCCCTCAGAAGAATCCGAGAGCTTTTTTCCGAAAGGGTAATGGATACTGGGTGGGCAAAAACAACAGATGTTACCTTTGGAATAGGAATATTCCAAATGAGCTTTTGTCTATACTCTGGGTCTCAGGTGAATTACCTCATTCTCCCTCAAGCCTTCTTCACTCTCCCAGCCAGAAATGATGCATCTTGTCCTGATCTTTCACAGCAGCTTGTACTTCTCACAAGACATGAACATCATCCACTTTGCATGGCATGTATTGTAATTATTATCAACTGTGTCTTAATTTTCTTCTAGATTTTTTGTATCCTCCACCTTATCCCCAAAAGGATGCTTTACAGCTCCCCCACAGTATTGTGCAACCAGCAGAAATTAAGAAGGGAAGAAACACGGATGAAAGAGAAATAAAACAAAGCCAGGGAACCATGGTGGTAACTCCTGTGCAGATTCCTAGACAGGTTTAGAATTTCCCACCTGAAAGCAGAGCAGGACGCACAGTCAGCTGGAGGGTCCACAGTGTTTCATGAAAGCTAAAGCAGCCTTAGTCAATGCCCAGCATAGCCTTCTTGCCACATACATGGGCCCTTGATAACCAGTTGATAACGTGGTTACTGGAGAGTGGTGATAGTGCACGCAGCACATTGCTGTCCCCAAAAGAATGAGGAGTTGCTATAGGACCAGTTGTCTTCAGGATCCTGAGGTCAACCCTCGCTTCTCTATTGTGAGATACTGCTGGTCAGGAGCCTCCTCACATTTGGCTCACGGCCATGTTACCCTGATGTAGGCCTCATCAATGAATAGTCTTTGGAAGAATGCCTAAAAATAGTTTCAGAGTTGTTATCTGGGTTCATATGGGTATAATTTAGTGGAAACCCTGCGGGTTTTTATCTATTGCACTTTGGCTACATGTAAACATGTCCATTCAAAGATAAAATATGTAACTTCCCAATAAGAGAATATTTTTCTCCATTATTTAATCACAATGGAAACACATCTTATCTTTTTTCTTGATTGTGAGCCACAATTTGACCTAATTTTTGAATTACTTTCCTTTTATGATTTTCCTTTTTTCCCCTGGATGCATGCCATTCTTGAATGTCACATAGAATATGAAGGGTGCACTTTACATTTTCCGTCAATGCCTTCTTTGAACGCAGCCTTGAGCTGTTAACTTGAAGCAAGGAGCCCTAGGCCTTCCTTATAAACAAGTAATGGAGCCCTTAGCCCCCCTTGTAAATGGCTATTTATTAACATATACCATCACCAAACAACATTTTATAATTCCAGGCCCCCACACCATTACACCACTGTCTGCTCCATTGTAAATTAAGGGAGGGCTTTGGCCATCTGTTTCATTAAATGCCAGAGGCAGCAAACAATATCTGAACTTTATAAATCGAGAGTTAGGGCTTCTCCCTCCACAAATCTCCCCCTTCTTCGGCTGCCACCACCACTACCGCCACCATATTTTTTTGTTTGAACGCTCACATTGTAAACTAGCGTATTCACACATCAATTTTAAAAGGCTGGCTGTGTTATAAGATGGGACAAAGCAAGCTCAGTAACAGCTCATGCACAGTGCAGGTGGTCGAGCTAGCTGCTACCCAGATCAAAAGTCAAACAACTGTGAATCTGCTTTTCAAAGTGCAGTTAGGGAGACAAGGCAAGGCTTATCTGCACAAACAAGGACGAGTTATAGATATACATCACAAACGCAGGAGGACAAAAGGGGATTTCATCATCTTGCAGGGCAAGAAAACCTTGTAATGCTGACAATTCTGAGGGCATCTCTGGAATATGTGGCTTGTTTTCATTTTTGTTTTTTTCTATAATATAAAATTAGTTTTTTATTATGCGGCAATTGATAATTATTATTTACACTTTGGTGCTGTTCCTAAAGTAGCTAAGAATTTTTTTTAAGCCACCGTTAGGGCAGGAAATGGCTCCTTTTCATGATTGCATTTTATTTTTCAGCAGCATTTAAGGACAGACTCCTATTTATACCACACAAGCAGTTTTGTCTGTTGTAAACAAAGTAAGTGGCTGGGGATTGTGCTTTCCCAGAAATGTTTTCCAGGGAAGCCATAATAAGAAACAACTGTGTATATCTTGAGAATTTGTCATCTAGGTATTAAGAAAGAATTCTTTTCTTTTATGGGGAAAAGAAAGCACTGTGAAGAAATATATTCCATACTCAAAAGCGTAGTTAAAATATTTCTTAAATTGTGATGTTTGACCACCTTGCTAGTATTAATTGAGGTTTTCATTTTTTATTTAAAATTATCTCTAACATTTTTGACAACATGGAAGCTGATGTGATAGGAGGTGTCACGATTTTTTTTTTTAACCTCAGTGTTCTTTTAAAAAGGCTAATGACTTCTTTTGCAAAGTTATGTGAAGAACTTTGGAACCAAGGTGTGAATATCAATGGGGAAAATGCAAGAATGGCAAATTTGACCACAATTTTAAAAAGAGGATTGAAGCAGTTTGGAATTACGAAAACAAACAGCACCTTAGTTTCCTGTGCAATTATAGTTTACCTAGGAAAAAGCTATTCCACTGCCCACCTATCTTCCAATGGCTTAATGATTTTGTGATGAGGGGAAAAAAAAAAAAACACCTGTCAACCATTTAATTCCCAAATCAGTTAAAGATGTCCGAATCAGGTCCCCCAATGCTTTCCTGAAACCACACTCCCTGTCTCAAGCCATAGGGCAGTGGTTCCTATCCTGGAGTGGGCTTCATGGAGTCTTGAATCTCTGAAGTTTTCTAAAAATGTATGTGCATATGTGTGTATATGCATCTTTCTGGGGCTTTTCCATTACATTTCCTTAAAAGGTTCAAAAGAGTCTACAACCAACTCCAAAAAAAAGTTGAGAAAATGAGATATTGTTAAAGAACTGTGTCCAGTTTCGTAGCTAAATACCATTTAATTACTTTGATACTCTGGCTTACTTAAAATGCATTGACCTACAAGGAACACTTATTTTGAATTTGTCCACAAAGTTCAACAAGACACTGAAAACTCAAGGATGCCATCCTTGGGAAATCAGATCATTTGTCAAAAGTACGTCCTTAAAGACAATCAGAACAATTACATTTATATGGGACCTTATGGTTTGTAAGACACAGTCACATATATTATTTTTTTAAGTTATTCTTCGTAAGAACTCTGAATTCATATTGTCATTATTATCTTGTGGTATAGATAGTTGAGACCTACAGAAGTTGAGTCTTGCCCAAGTTCATGCCACAAAGATAGAGCAGAACTTGGACCAGAACCCTGGTTTTAGCCACAGAAATCATGTTCTTAGCAGCATTCTGGCGGTAACACCATCAGCCTCTTCTTCAACATCAAATGTTTAATGTCTACTGGGTAAAAGGGCATATGGAGATTCCCTTAAGAATCCAATGTTAGTCACTGGAGATTCAACAAATTCAAAACTCTACTCCTAGGTAGCTTAATATCTAATTGGGAGCTTTTGTTGTGACATTTTAAGAAACAACAATACATAGTAACTTGTGCTACATAGTAAGTGAGAGATCATTGCTCTAGGGGATGACAGGAAGAAGAAATTCCTGGGGCCTGGATGTGCAGATAAGACTTCACAGAGGAGATGATAGGTGAGAACCAGACCTGACAGTCACTGCCCCATTCTTAACCCACATATGGCATTATGCCTCTTTCCTTCTCATGGCAGCTTCAAGGTAATAGCTCCTAGCGGCAGAATTTGAATCCTTGCAGGCAAACAGTGGTGATGGTGTTGGGGTGTTAGGAAGATGTTTGGCCACAGCTGTGTTGAGGATACATAGGAAATTAACAAAACAACTTATAACCTCATCTGCTCATAAAGTTAATATAATGTGAAAGCTTCAATCTTACCTTAAACTGTTGAATTTTTCTCTTTTTTTCTTTTCTTTTTTTTTTTTTTAAAGGGACAGGGTCTCACAGTCACTGAGCTTAGGGTACAGTGGCCCAACAATAGCTCACTGCAACCTCAACTTTCTGGGCTCAAGTGATCCTTCCACCTCCACCTTAGCCTCCCAAGTAGCTGCGACTACAGGTCCACCTCACACACCCAGCTAATTTTTAATTTTTTCGTAGAGACAGGATCTCCTTATATTGCCAAGGCTGATCTCAAACTCCTGGCCTCAAGCAATC
The DNA here is from genome assembly GCF_000001405.40 of Homo sapiens. NCBI lineage: Eukaryota > Metazoa > Chordata > Mammalia > Primates > Hominidae > Homo > Homo sapiens. The sequence continues at coordinate 112,681,323 of NC_000010.11, forward strand.
CTCTTGCCTCAGCCCCCCAAAGTGCTGAGATTGCAAGCATGAACCACTGTGCCCAGCCAGGAGCCTTCAGCTTTTAGAACAGGAGTGAGCAAATCATAGACAGCAGACCAAATCCAGCCTGCCACCTGTTTTTGTATGGCCTGCAGGCCAATAATGGTTTACATGTTTAAATGATTGGGAAAAATCAAAAGAAGAATATTTTTGACATGTGAAAAATTACACAAATTCAAATTTTTTAATTATGATGAACTCTAAAATTTTAAGTAAGGCTTGAAATCACCTAATAAGATCTAATTGTAAACAATTATGAAAAATCTTTTCACTGGTTGTGCCCCAGTTTTAGAATAATATTGCAAATTTTCACACACTTGACTAAAATTACATATTTACAAAACTTTACATATTTATAAAATTACCTATTTATTAAAAAGTTCATTTTAAAGACAGGTCTTTGAAATAATACTGCATGTTGACTATACATATTCTACATATGATTCATGAATAGATGCAAAGAATGTTGGCAGAGTACATAAATTATTTTATTGTGGCATATTATTAACTTGATAAGCATATCACTTAAAAATACTGAATCTTTTCATGTGTCCCAATTAAATCTTTATCATCGAATGGGCTTATAGAAATTTAGTTATTAGAAAACTTGCTCAGCCAATAAAGAAAAGCATTCATTTTCTATTCTGTATACATGATCTGAAGCCATAGCTTTTTAGGTCTTTTAATCTGTTTGTTCAAGGCCAAGCTATTTATATGGATAATTTTTAAAGCATCTGTATAAAGAAAAAAAGAACATTTTATTTATTCACTGGGGTTTTTATGTGCCTTGAAATTGCATAGATAAAGTATTTTCGAGCTCATGGATCTGGAAGAGATAAAAGGTCTCTTATTTTATAGGGCTTTATGTAAGCTTTTCAAATATACAGTTTTCTCATGGATAGAATTTTTTAAATAAAACATTATTTCACTATTATAGCTAGAGTTTGATGTGGGCACCTCTTTTTCTTCCCTGAATTACATGTTAAATTATGTGTTTAAGGTTGTTTTTATTGTATTTTACCTTCTGAATTTTAACAGTTTTCCTTTTGGAGAAATTAATTTACCAATCTTCATTTTTAGTAGTGGGCAACTATTTAATAAAACCAGAATGCTAAGTGTTAAATATGAGTAGAAAACTCAAAAGTCAGATTTAAGAAACAGAGAATGAAACATACCACTTTGGTTTTTGCAACACGCTGATATGAAGATGAAAAATTATTTACCTCCCCCTCCTTAAGAACTTTTGCTAAGCCTGGTAGACTGAGAGAGAAGGAGCATTTTTAAACTCTGGGGCGACTGGATCCAGACTAGATTCTGGATGAACATTAGCTGCTGTTAGCTCTGCCATGTCAGGGCCAAGAAACAGCTTTCCCTGGCTGGAGCATTCCCAAGCTATCATGGCCATCAGACAGGTGGGGAATAAATATTGTAGAATGGTGGGACATTTGGAGAGCTCGCTCCTGATCCCGGGGACTCAATTTGGATGGGCTTCAGTTGGAGCAAACAGGTGTTCCTGGGAGGAACTGTCCTCAGATGGCTGGAGGGGGTGCCATTCTTTCACACACATAAAAAGTTCCTCTTCCCTCTGCCCGCAGGAAAATTAGAATTAACTACAGCTTTTTCTTTTGAAATGGAAAAAGAGAAATAAAAATATGGCACCAGGTTTTGGCTCTGGCTGGATTTCCACAGAGCATGCAATCTATGATAAGTGATGAGAATTCTTGAAGCAAAGCATGCTTGTAGTTTCAACATTGGAGATGCTATAAAAAGTAGATGAATGCAAAGAATCTTTTTACCAAAAGATGTACCTATAAAATCAAATAGTCTTTCCTTCTGTTATTCATTTGTTCATTCACCAAATATTTCTGGAGCAGTTGCGATTCCCCAAACACTGGGCTAAGTACTAGGGATGAGAGTGTAACATATAACAAGGTCCTGCCCTTATAGTGCTTGGCCTGAGTTAGTAATTGGTAGGAACATGAAAGTGAACCTGAGTGGTCTTTGGTAGACTATAGGCAGAAAGTGGTTGCTGACCTCAGAAAGATTTGTTTTTCTGCAATATTACCATATCAAAGATATGACTAACTTGTTTTATTTGGGAATATTCTTTTTAAATCATATTTTTCCTATAAAACAGAAAATAGTAATATTAAAGGAATTTTTAAATAAAAAAATTGTTTTTAATCCCTGTACCTTGAAGCAAGCTATTCCTTTGACCCAAGTATTCCCTTCCAATCTTTCAGTCATGTTTCAAGTTCAATATTATATTGCTCTACTCACTTAATATTATAATCTTAAAGTTTCCACATAGCCTTTGTGATTTGTATTTTTGCCAAGTTTTAAAAAGTTATTATAATAACAAAGGATTTTTAAAAACCTCTCATTTGGGGCCAGGCACGGTGGCTTACACCTTAATCCCAGCACTTTGGGAGGCCGAGGTGGGCAGATCACCTGAGGTCAGGAGTTCGAGACCAGCCTGGCCAACATGGCGAAACCCTGCCTCCACTAAAAGTACAAAAATTGGCCGGGCATATTGCTGGGTGCCTGTAATCGCAGCTACTCAGGAGGCTGAGGCAGGAGAACCGCTTGAACCCGGGAGGTAGAGGTTGCAGTGAGCTGAGATCGTGCCACTGCACGCCAGCCTGACAACAAGAGCAAGACTCCGTGTCAAAAAAAAAAAAAACACCTCTTATTTTGTAAGGGTAAAAAACGTTATCAAGAAACAGGGAGAAAATTATTCATAATTATACTGGCTAAAGGTCACAACTATTAATTGGCATATTTTATTCCAGTTTTTTCTGTGTATTTTATGTACAACATATAAAACTTTATATCCTATTATTTGCATTAAGAGTAAACGGAAAGTGTTTTCCCATGCCATTAAAAACTCTTTGTAATCATTATTTATATGGTTGTATGGTATTCCCTCATAGAAATATTTCCTTTCTGTTAAACATACAGGTTTTTTCTAGCTTATAGCTATACAGTGAAGCTATGTATCTTCATTCATAAACTATATTATTTGCTTAGTGTGGCATCCTTGAAGATAATAAATGCTCATCTCTTTTTTTTTTTTTTTTTTTGAGACAGAGTCTCATTCTGTCACCCAGGCTGCAGTACAGTGGCGTGATCTTGGCTCACTCCAACCTCCGCCTCCTGGGTTCAAGAGATTCTCCTGCCTCAGCCTCCTAAGTAGCTGGGATTATAGGCACGGGCCATCACGCCCAGCTAACTTTTTTGTATTTTTAGTAGAGATGAGGTTTCACCATGTTGGTCAGGTTGGTCTCGAACTGCTGACCTCGTGATCGGCCCATCTCGGCCTCCCAAAGTGCTGGGATTACAGGTGTGAGCCACCACACCCGGCCTGCTCATCTCTTTTATGACTTCCTCATTCTTGAGTTCTTAGCTCTCTAATCTTGAAGTCAGCTGGGATATATCTTCAAATAACTTTTCAAGAAAGGTATATGATTTGGATCTGTTTTTTCTATATAGGAACTGCCACCAACTGCATATATGTGACATACACATGTGTATGTATCTGTGTACATTGGGCTGGCCGTAATATTTTTAGATCCTACCCTTCTTAGGAATCTATAGATGTGGAACCATTGTCTTCTGGCATTTCGTGTTTCAGAATAGCAGAAAAATAGACCAATTTATGATACTCTGGAGTGACATGTTGTAGGTTTTCTTTGTTTAGTTTTGGTTTTTTAAATCTTTGGAATTGAACAGAGTCTAGATATTTCTATATATGATGACTTTCACTCATTTTGCATGGATCACAGAACTTTAAATCTGCAAATTCAAGTCTTCCCTCTACCTACCAGAAGCGGTTTTTTAAAAATCATGTCTTGGATTATTGCTTCCATTTCAAATTTTCTGGTGTCAGGATCATCCATGATTCTCACACTAGACCTCTGTATCTCTTATGTTTGTCATGTTTTAAAAATAATTTTTTTCTCTTCTTTTTCTTCTCATTTATCTCCAACACCATTAACTCCCCTCTCTAGCATTGTTTCTAGTCTGTGCTGCTGGTTATGTGAGTATTAATGCTGCTGTTGCATTACTGGTTTCCTTGAAATCTTTTCTTTATCCTATTGCCTCATCTCTTATCTCCTTGAAGTCTCGCTGGTTCTTACCTTACCGTTTTCTGCCCTGGCTTTATAAAGCTTTACCTTCTTACTGTTTTTATTAAGGACACCAAAGTATTTTCAAAAACATTTTTTGGTTTCTTTAGTTCATAAGTTTCAGAATCGCATTCTTTCTCAGAATCTTTAGGATGTTGTTGTTTTTTTCCCCCCTTGTTCTGTAGTATTGATTTTTCCCATCAACCTCATGTTATTTTGAGTTTTTTATTTAGTTACTTTTCAAAACGACTTCTTGAATCTGCAAATGGAGAGCTGCTTGATATGCTCGCCTCTGTCCCAATTCCCTTTGTCTGTGGACTGTCTTTATTGGAAAGAAATGAGACTTCTTCCTTCTCCCACTCCTTGACTCTGTTGGGAAAAATGTCCACCCCTTATGTGTACAACTGTCATATCCTTCCCAAGCTTACCCTGCCACCACCACAAAAAAACACACTATTTATGAAGACCACAGTTCCCAGAATTCAGTGCATGATGCCATACCTTCTCTATAGCTACCTAATACTGATTTATTGTTTTCCTGGGAACTCTGGTTTCCTTACTGCATATGGAACAGAAACAAGATGGGGAATGTGGAGAAAAGGAAAAGAAGACAGCAGTCCAAATACCTCCTGAGTTACGATACTTATAAGAGAGATTGCATCTTGATTTCTGGTTGTTACAAACCATGCACTTTCTATCTAGTAGAAGACTATGTGGCAGGTGAACCACTTCTTTCATTTTTCAGCACAGTTCATTTTTTGTAGCAGTAGAAAATCCTAGGCTCTGGCAGTTTGTGATGTAAGTTTTGGTGGTGTAAATTTTCATCATCTTCTATTTTCTTCATTCAAATGTAATGGACACTTTGATAGGGGCAGCATTAGGATCCATGGAGAGGCACCATTGTAAACTGGAAGCTGAGTGATTTTTAAAATTGCCCTAGATAAGGGGGCCATACAAACTATTTCTATAGCCCTACCCTTGGGCCTGTCTGCCTGGGTGGTCCTGTTTTAACTGTTGGTATTTAATTATTGATGATTTACTGACACAAGGCATGGAAGCCTTAGGGAAAATGAATTCCGACGTGCTAGTTTCTTTAGATGAATCTTCTTTGAGGTTTAAGTGTCCTTCTAAGTGGTATAGTGAGGCAGGATTTCGGGGGCCATTTCAAATACTGCCTCGCAAAGTCAGCCACGGTGTAAGTGCCTACTATATGCTCTGGACAGAATGAACCTTATTAAAGGGCCTAGTTCTTTCATAGTTTTCATGTAACCCATTGATGTCTTTCTTTTCACACGTTATTTCCTCTTGAACATCACTGGTTTCGTGGTGTTTTTCTAAGGCTTCTGAAAGGTACTACAAACTATGTATATAGACAGGATTGAACTCCACCAGAAGGTGGAATTTTTCTTTAGGGGCACTGTGCCATCAAAACTGAGCTGGTGCCCAAATGCCTCCCTTTAGAGCTTGCTGCCTTGATCATGCAGCTGAGCTGTCTTCTCAGATGCTCTGTGGGCACCGCTGTAACCTGTTCCCTCAGCTCTGCTGAGTGTGGCATAATCAGATTCCTTGCTGAGAATCGGTGAATGGAGGGGTAGAGGGGAGCCAGGGCTAGATCCTGGAGGACTTTAGGAAGCTGCAGATCAGATCAGAGAGCCTGGATAGGCAAGGATGAAATCAAACTTCACCACATCAACAAAACAGGCCTAGGCATACTACAACTTTTTTTTTTTTTTTTTTTTTTTTTTTTTTTTGAGACGGAGTTTTGCTCTGTCTCCCAGGCCGGAGTGCAGTGGCGCGATCTCAGCTCACTGCAAGCTCCACCTCCCGGGTTCACGCCATTCTCCTGCCTCAGCCTCCCGAGTAGCTGGGACTATAGGCTCCCACCACCACGCCCGGCTAATTTTTTGTATTTTTAGTAGAGATGGGGTTTCACCTTGTTAGCCAGGATGGTCTCGATCTCCTGACCTCGTGATCTGCCCGCCTCGGCCTCCCAAAGTGCAGGGATTACAGGTGTGAGCCACTGCGCCCGGCAACTTTTTTTTTAAGCAACAATTTTGCTTTAATAGGACTTGAAAATTTTCACCCAGTTTTGCTTTAGGGAAAAATGTATCAACAATATGTCTTGTCAAGATATTATTTTGTAACATTTTCAGAATGAAACCCATCTCTGGGCACTGGGGTTCATTCTTGGTGCACAACTGCCTCGTTGATCAAGTTCTCTGGCTTTTATTATTTCTGCTTGCAAATAGAGATACAAAACAGCCAGCCTCAGAAGAAGGAGGGGCTGATTTCATCAGCATGACTAAAGCTGACAGAGTACTTGAGAGGACCTGGCAGGGTACTGCAGAACATCTTGGCCTTGCAGATCTGTGAGAAGGAAATGGGCACAGCCCTACAGACATGAACCAATGGACATGATATGGAACCATCCTGGCCGGTGACCAAGTCTTTTTTTTTTTTTTTTTTTTTTTAAGACTGGGTCTTGCTCTGTCACCCAGACTGGATTGCAGTGGCGCGATCTCAGCTTACTGCAACCTCTGCCTCTCAGGTTCAAGCGATTCTCCTGCCTCAGCCTCCCAAGTAGCTGGGATTACAGATGTGCGCCACCATGCCCGGCTAATTTTTGTATTTTTAGTAGAGACAGGGTTTCACCTTGTTGGCCAGGCTGGTCTCGAACTCCTGACCTCAGGTAATCTGCCCGCCTCAGCCTCCCAAAGTGCTGGGATTATATGTGTGAGCCCCTATGCCTGGCCAAGTCTTTTTCTTCTCATTTTTATTACACAAATAGTAACGTCAAAGCAAAAGAAAACTTTTTTTTAAAGAAAAGGAAAAAAAATCACTCCTAACACCATAACCTACCCCATCTACAATGATCTCTCCCCTCCCTTTTTTTTAGTTTTTACTTTTTATTCATCTGTTGACATTTTTCTTCATATGGCTCTAATTGTAGTGTAGCCAGTTTTAAGTTCTGCCTTTTTGTTGTTAACATTGCAGCTTGTACTACTAATGTCAATTTTTTTCTTTTTTTTTTTTTTTTTGAGATGGAGTTTTGATCTTGTTGCCCAGGCTAAAGTGCAGTGGCGCAATCTTGGCTCACTGCAACCTCCGCCTCCTAGGTTCAAGCCGTTCTCCTGCCTCAGCCTCCCTAGTACCTGGGATTACAGGCACATACCACCACACCCAGCTTATTTTTTGTTTGTTTGTTTGTTTGTATTTTTAGTAGAGACGGGGTTTCATCATGTTGGCTAGGCTGGTCTCAAACTCCTGAGCTCAGGTGATCCACCCACCTCAGCCTCCCAAAGTGCAGGAATTACAGGCATCAGCCACTGTGCCTGGCCTACTAATGCCAATTTTTCATAGTTATTATAGTTATTGTCAGTAGTGGGTTTTTTAAAAATCAAGTTATTATGACATATATGGAGGCTCAGGAAAGCCCAGCAGTGTGTGGTTGACATTAATTTGGTTTCAGAAAATAAAAGGGCTGCCTCTAGCATGTCCTTAGAGCTCCTCAGCCTGGTATTTAAGAGCACTCTCAGTTTTGACAACTGGGTACTGAGAATTATTTGTACCTTTCTATAGTGACCATCCAAACCACTTGCATGTATTAATTTTAACGTGTTTGATGATAATATTGATGACAAAAATGTATGTATAAGCAGAGCAGGCAAGTCACTCTGGTAGGGAAAAGTGCAGTGAATTCCAGAAATAGCCCCACTTTTCCCAAGGTATTCCCTACCTGACTGGAAGGTAATACTGAACTTGGGTTAAGGCTCCATGCATTGTCTTCATCAGATGTCAGTGCTTGGAAATGTCATCAGTAACAGTCATGTGCACCTACCTGGTCATGTGTTAACCAAGTGTAATGTGTCTCCACCTTGCACAAAGCACTGAGGGGCAGCCTCTGCATTCTGGAGGTCAGGAGGAGGGCCTGAGGGAAGGGTGGTTTTGGAGCTGACTCCAGGAGACATGGGTGGGGTGCCCTGGTAGGAGGTGCTGGACAGCCAGGGGGCAGCATGGGAGCATTTTGTATGTGATGAAGGAGGACAGAGAATTGGAAGAGGGGGATAAACGAAAACGTCACCGTTCTTCCTGAGCCCAGCCCTGGGGAGGATGATGGATGACTTTTTGTCATCTTTTGTATTTCCTCGGGGCAGCTAAAGCAGAATCTCTCCACTGAGACCAGAGGTTGAAAACTGGAAGTCTGTGGGCCACAAGTGGCCTACAGATTTTTTTACTTTTGCTCTGCACAGTTTTTTTTTTAATTATTATTTACATACAACAAAATTCACCCATTTTAACTGTAGAGTTGGATGTTTGTTGGTATGCATATGCAGCTGTGTTGCCTTGCTCCACCACCACACATCAAGATATAGAACAGTTCCCTCACTCCAGAAGTTTCCTCCTACCCCTTTGCATTCAAATCTCTTTCCCCACCCTGCCACAGAGAGCCACTGATCTGCTTCCTGACATTAGAGTTTTGCCTTTTCTAAAATTTCATGTAAATGGAATTATACAGTGTGTCATCTTTTGTATATGACTTCTTTCATTTGCATAGAGCTTTTGAAATTAATCCATGTAGTTGCATATGTCAGTATTTCATTCCTTTTAATTGCTGAGTAATATTCCAGAGTGGGGGTATACTACAATTTATCTATTCACCAGTAGATGAATGTGTAAGTTGCTTCCAGTTTGGGGCTATTTTAAATAACGCTGCTGTGAATATTTGTGTATATATCTTTTTGCAGACATAGGTTTTCGTTTCTCTTGGTAAATACTTAGGAGTAGGATTGATGGGTCATATGGTAAGTATATGTTTAATTTTATAAGAACCTATCCGATTGTTCCCAAAGACACTGAACCATTTTGCAGTCCCATAAACATGGATGAGAGTTCCGGTTGCTCTCCATCATTGCTCTTAAAGCATCCAAACACTCAGAACCCATTAAAGGGCCACATGGCCTCCAGCTCACCCCAGTTCCTATTTGACCTATTTTCCTCATTTACATTACCCACCTGTAACCTGTAGGTTTGTGACCTGTGCCATTGAGCAACTTTATGCTCCATAGCATATAGCAGGGTGTGACAGTTAAGAGCAGGGTCTATGGAGATTCTCGGTTGGAATCTCCATCTTGCCATTTATAAGCTGTCACTTTGGACTTCTCTCTGAATTCGCTTCTTCATCGGTAAAATGCTAAAAACACCTTATTTATTAGCTGGCTAGTTGTAAAAATGAAAAATATAGAGCATGTGAAGCATCCATCACAGGACTGGGCCTGTAGAAAATGTACAATAGATGGTACCTGTTAGTATCCATGCAATAGCCCCATGATTGTCTATTATATGTGTGTGCATCAGAGTCACCTGCACAGATTCTTTTTAAAACATAGGTCCTGCCCTAGCCATAGGTGCCCCTGCCCCAGCCCTCCTTCAGAATGAGAACTTCCCAGGCTGGGCCTGTGCATATGCATTGTTTTAAAGTCCCATAGTTCGATCAAAGTGGTTCACACCTGTAATTCCAGCATTTTGGGAGGCCAAGGCAGGCGGATCATTTGAGGCCAGGAATTCAAGAACAGGCTGGCGAAACCCCGTCTCTACTAAAAATACAAAAAAATTAGCCAGGCATGGTGGTGTGTGCCTGTGCTCCCAGCTGCTTGGGAGGCTGAGGTGAGAGAGTCTCTTGAACACAGGAGGTGTAGGTTGCAGTGAGCCAAGACCATGCCACTGCACTCCAGCCTGGGCAACAGAATGAGACTCTGCCTCAAAAATAAATAAATAAATAAATAAATAAATAAATAAATAAATAAATGAAAGTTCCACAGATAATTGGTATGAGCATCCTTGGCCTACAACTGTTGGATGGGAAGATGTAGCAAGGAACCCTACATTCTAAACTCAGTTCTACTGCCAACTAGCTATGTGACTTTGGACAAATCACTTAATCTCTCTGAGAGAGCTAGTTTAGTTGAGATATGACTGTAGCAAATTTGGTCTTTCACAATGATTAGGTTCTTCTTGGTGGACAGTAGCTACATTTCGAGGCAGAGGAATTGGAGGTGGTTGAGGGCTATGCCTGTATCACAAGTGATATATCCAAATGAAAGCAAATCTCAGCCTGGATTCAGGCATACATAGAAATGTGAGTTAGCAGGCATGCACAAAACCATCACTCAGCATGTCCAATAGGCCCAATGAAGTCCTGTCCTCTTTCCTGATGGGAGGGTACATTGACAGCAACTTGCATGGAAGGTTCACTTGAGGCAGATGTGAGACTATGCAGCAATGGGAGTTGGCTAACCTTCTAGTCAAAGTGACATGGTAAAATCCTCCCTTGAATGGATGGATTCAGACCAAAATCTGAATTCAAGGACACCATTCAGGGAGACTCAATTGGGATCACTGCATTCTGATAACCTTTCCATGCATGCTGTGGAAGTGCAAGTGACACTATTTCAAGCCAGTCCACATATCTTCAATACTGTTTCTAATGTCTTAATAATTATTAGTTATGCTAATTAAGAGTAATTAATTAATAAGATAAAGATAGCTGCCACACATGTATGAGCTGCCTCTGGAATGTGGCTTTTCATTAGTCTTTTAAATGTTACTAAACACCTCTGAAATGTATATTCCCATTAGCCCACTTCAGTTACAAACTCACCACCCTAGAGTGTAGATTAAAATAACTAATGCACATATATGTCTCCCTATCTGTGCAGAAATGCTTTAAAGTTAATTACAGACGGTATAACAGTTGATTTCTGGGGTTCCATCCAAACTTAAGATTCTACAATTCTACAAATGAAGGGTCCTAGTAAATGTACTTGTTTCTCCTCATTCTTCTGTCTGCTCTTTCTGGAAGCCTCTGAATTCCCCAGGCCATGTCAGTGTCTTTCCCCTCCCTGCACCTTCATGGAAGCACACACTTCTTTCATGGCATCTTACTTCAGGCCCAGAAACATGCACTGAGGATTCCAGCCTTTGTAAAATGGCATCTCTTTTGATTTACCCACACTGACCTACCTTATTTCCCAGATGTCAATGATTTGAGTAGTACCATCACTGTTTTTATTGTGGGGAGGTGGGGAGGGCATACCTACCTGCCTAACACCTATATTATTTTTCCTTTAAATTGGCACAATTTCTTCTTCTTTAGCTTTATCGCACAGAGTATTGCCCATGGTTTTAATGTGCTAGCTATGCATTTTTTCACACGTTAAAATAGATGCATAACTAAATACCTGAAATAAAATGTTAAAAGTAAGTAATCATCTGCGTGTTGCCTAAAATCAGCTCTCGTTTCTCCAGTGGTCTGCACACATCACAGTGGGAACCACTGCTGCACTGGCCTTGGCGGGTTCCTTGCCCATCTCCCCACCAGACAGTGAGTCCCTGGAGGACAGGGACGAGCTTTCATCTCTGCCTCACCGTGTCAGTAAATCTGGTGCCTTGTGCATAATATGCATTCAATAAATGTTTGATGAATGAATGTCTCTCTCACGAGCACAAGTGAAATACCACAGCAAACACAAATATCTGCTATTTTCTCTCACTTTGATTCCCAACCTCTGATAAACTCTTAAGCACTCAAACATAGAATCAAAACATAAATAAGTACCAAACATGTGTAAGTGAAGTGCAGCCCATTTTTCTACCTCTTAAAACTTTTTTCTTAAGTAACTGTTATTTATTTAGTTCCCCTAATGTTAAGGGGAAAGAAGTTAAATGATTTAAATTTGTAAATAATTCTTTAAAAATAACTTAACTGGCGGGGCGTGATGGCTCATGTCTGTAATCCCAGCACTTTGGGAGCCCGAGGCAGGCAGGTTGCCTGAGGTCAGTAGTTCGAGACCAGCCTGGCCAGCATGGTGAAACCCCATCTCTACTAAAAATACAAAAATTAGCCAGGCGTGGTGGTGGGCACCTGTAATCCCAGTTACTGGGGAGGCTGAGGCAGGAGAATCTCTTGAACCCAGGAGGCGGAGATTGCAGTGATCTGAGATTGCACCATTGCATTCCAGTCTGGACAACAATATTGAAACTCTGTCTAAAAAATAAATAAATAAGTAAATAAAAATAAAAATAGCTTATCTGACACAAGGCTCAAGGCACCTTCACCATGTAAAATGTAAAGATCTTGAAGAACTCTAACTTCCGAGTTGAAAATGGTGCTTGAACAAAAGCAGTGATCAAATTATTGTCTCAGTTTCCCAGAGGAAGCACAAAAGGTAAATTAAAAGGCCCTAGTTGCTCTTTCTGAGTGCTGACTGACCCAAGATAAATATGCACTTGGAGAAATAAAAGGCACTTCTGGCCCAAGAGCCTGTACACATTCAGAGTCTCCACGGGATCACTGTGCCCTCAGTCTTTGTCCCACTGTAGAACAAGGCATTCCTGATCCAAAACTTAAAATATTTTATCTGTTTTAATGCGAGGCTCGGTGGCTCACCCCTGTAATCCCAGCACTTTGGAAGGCCAAGGTGGGCGGATCACAAGGTCAGGAGTTCGAGACCAGCCTGGCCAATATGGTGAAACCCTGTCTCTACTAAAAATACAAAAATTAGCCAGCTTGGTGGCGCGTGCCTGTAATCCCAGCTACTCGGGAGGCTGAGGCAGAAGAATCGCTTGAACCCAGGAGGCGGAGCTTGCAGTGAGCTGAGATCGCGCCACTGCACTCCAGCCTGGGCGACAGAGTGATACTCCATCTCAAAAAATATATATTTTTTATCTGTTTTAATCTGGACTGCCCTTCCCATCTCCCTCTCCACCCCAGAAGCCTTAAAGCTGCTTGAGGGCAAGGGACTGAAGCTTATTTTGCTAGTACCTTGCTAGTTCCTGGAACAGAATGGACACTCAGGAAGTATTTGGATGGATGGATGGATGGATGGGTGGATGGATGGATGGATGGACGGACGGACAGACTTAATGAATAAAAGAACAGACGAGCTGTGACACTAATTTACATGAAGCTTGCTGACTTACCTTTCTGCATTTTAGTTAAAGATCTGGAAGGAAACATTTAGGAGAGAACTCTAATGTCTGGAAGCATGCCTCTGAATGGCAGAGTTAGTCTCTTTATTTGGGGTGATTTTTTACTTCTAACCTCCTTTAAACAAAGTTTGACGATTCAGTCTCAAAAAAAAAAAAATCTTTTTCAATCTGAGTTGGTCTCAGAAAGCATATGTTCCAGCTGGGCACGGTGGATCAAGCCTTGTAATCCCAGCACTTTGGGAGGCGGAGGCGGGCAGATCACCTGAAGTCAGGAGTTCGAGACTAGCCTGGCCAACATAGTGAAACCCCGTCTCTACTAAAAATACAAAAATTAGCCAGGCATGGTGGCAGGCATCTGTAATCCCAGCTACTCAGGAGGCTGAGGCAGGAGAATCACTTGAACCTGGGGGGCAAAGGTTGCAATAAGCTGAGATCACACCACTTCACTCCAGCCCGGGTGACAGAGTGAGACTCTGTCTCCTAAATAAATAAATAAATAAATAGCAAATGTTCCAAAGTAAACCAGTTGACTGAAAGGTATAAATTCATCTTCCATTTGTTGGATGCCCTTTAAATTATGTGGGAAATGGAACACATGAAATTTTTTTTGAGCTTTGTCTTTCTATTAATTTCCAAAAGTGAAAAGTTCAAGTTTAGAGAAACATTTATCTTACCATAGTACCTACCTTGAACTTTGCTGCATAGTATATACTGTTTTTATTTCTGATCGAAGCATTTGCATTTAATTACTTAAAGCATTTAAAAAGTTCAATATTTCTAATTTGAGGGTTAATTCTACTAGCATTAGTAAGAAACATTGGGTATAAGGAAAAGGGCATATGTATTTACATAAATAAAAAGCATCTAATTAAGCCTTCAAATGACATTTTTTTTTAAGGGTAAGGTATAAAGATTAAAAAAAAAGGCTTGGTTTATTTGCATTGATTTTGCTTTTTCCCATAATTGCTGAGGTTATTATGTTCATAAAAAGGGAAGCAGTGCTAATAACTTCAGGAGGCAATTGCTCAGTGTCAGCCTGGGACATTGTGACTGTTCTCTAGCTTACTTTAAATACACATATTTGCTTTTGCAAATATGGCGCCAGTTGATTATGGATAGTTCCTTCTTACACTGGAATCTCTGGGAGGCTCATTCCAGGAAAGGTACAAAGCTCAAGGCAGTGGAAATGCACGTTGCAGATGCACTGCGTGCCCAGTGGACAAGCACTGTCCTCAGCTTGCCCACACCCAAGCAGCCCTGGAGTGGACACACCCAGGGCTGTGAAATCAAGAAAACTTACACCTTCAGGAGGCTTTTTACGCCACACGTGACCCATCCACTGAGGTTCATGATGGTTACTTCAGACAGAAAGCAGAGGAGGTTAAAATTATGTTTCTAATCATTTTTCCCGTCCTCTGAAAAGTTAGATGAAACGTGTAAGTTGTTATGTAAGATTTGCTAAGCACCTTATTACTCTACAGAACATTGTACAAAGTGCACTAGGCAGAAATTTTTTACAAAAAGAGCTTTCCTTTACAATGCCTCCAATGTATTTTGTTTACTGAGTAGGCCATCTCTATAGAAAAATGTAATTAGAGAGAATGATTATATATATATATATATATATGCACGTGAGCACATCCAGGGAAATTCAGAAGTTTATCTCAAGGACTGTATCTCCATCAGAGCTACTTATCTTATTCTATTTTCTATAAAGTGGAATGTGTTTGCATGCTTGTTTGACTTAAGACTAGGAGCCTTCAGTGAAATTGACCTGACTAACAGTTCTAGCTGGTTCTGAGGACTCAGAAAGCACACTCTCTTCTTTATAGATTTTCTCCTAACCAGTGAAATTTACAGAATGTTTTATAATTTTGGTAGCATAAGTCTTAATTCCTGAGGCTGGTTTGCATGCATTTCAAGACCAACCTAAGTAAAATTGTTTCAGATTTCAGGAT
This sequence comes from Homo sapiens, assembly GCF_000001405.40. Taxonomy (NCBI): domain Eukaryota; kingdom Metazoa; phylum Chordata; class Mammalia; order Primates; family Hominidae; genus Homo; species Homo sapiens. Next base: position 112,696,447 of record NC_000010.11, read on the forward strand.
GTGTTTACTATTGATGGAATATAGATTGTCTACATTCTATATCCATTTTTGCTCTGTTACAAAGTAAAATGTCTTAATATTGAAGAAACGTGGGATTGCTAAAATGAATTCTCTCATCGGGCTATTTGTTTTGGTCAAAATAAAACTATTAAACATAAACTAAGAAAACCTATGAGCAACTTTCCTCTATTATTTCCTTGGTCAGATTCTGTTTTCTTTGTTTTCTTAATTTGGGCTGAGTCTTCGAGAAGAAAAAATAATCACCATCACTTTGTCAGTGTGCACTCTGGAATTTGTTTAAGCAAAGAGTCAGGTCACAGCAGCCAGAAACCATGCTTTTTCTGCTGAGGGATTGTATTTCCTTGAGTATGTACTGAGCTGCGTGAAGAAATCATTAAGTGACACAAGTGAACAGGAAAAGAGAAGTATTCAAAAATTCTATGACCTCTGCTACAAAGGTGGCTGGCAGAAAACACTAGCTTTAATTGTGTGTTTTCCTCTTGCCAGTTTTTATTCAATAAAGCATTCCATGATCTTGAAGCAAAAGGTGATTGGGAAGGCAATATTTTTTTTCTAATGATGTATCAGTTTTTCTTTATTCAGAATAATCAGAAATATTTTCCTAGGTATAGTCAAATAGTACTTATACATAAATTATTCTGTTAAGCAGAAAAAGGCGTATTAATTAGTACTGTGTGAGAAGTGGAATTGAAACACAAACTTGCAGATCTTTTGCTTTTCTTCTGTTCTTTTTTTTTTTTTTTCCAGACAGGGTCTTGCTCTGTTACCCAGGCTGGAGTGCAATGGCGCTGTCTCGGCACTCTGCAACCTCCGCCTCCCGGGTTCAAGTGATTGTCTTGCCTCAGCCTCCCAAGTAGCTGGGACTATAGGTGCATGCCTCCACACCTGGCTAATTCTGTTCTTGGTATTTTCTTTTCTTTTCTTTTCTTTTCTTTTTTTTTTTTTTTTTGAGAGAGTGTTTAGCTCTTGTTGCCCAGGCAGTACAATGGCGCTATCTCAGCTCACTGCAACTTCTGCCTCCCAGGTTCAAGCAATTCTCCTGCCTCAGCCTCCTGAGTAGCTGGGATTACAGGCATGCACCATCATGCCCAGCTAATTTTGTATTTTTAGTAGAGACAGGGTTTCTCCATGTTGGTCAGGCTGATATCGAACTCCTGACCTCAGGTGATCCGCCCACCTCAGCCTCCCAAAGTGCTGAGATTACAGGAGTGAGCCACCGCGCCCAGCCTTGTTCTTGGTATTTTTAAAAAGAATATGTAATTATATCCATTACCAGCAGAGAAATGAATGGGTTTAAATAGCTTTACTGGTTTATTTTGTTGATAGCTTTGTTCCATAACAAGAAGATAAAATAGAAAATAGCTGCCTGAAATTTTGTTTCTCTGTATTAGCATTTACATGTGTGTGTGTGTGTGTGTGTGTGTGTGTGTGTGTGTGTGTATTCTTTTCTTCACCCTGTAGAAAAGCATTAATAGCACATTCTGGGTTTTGTCTACTTTTATTCTTTTTTAAGTGACATCCAGGGTTGTGTATTTATATTTTAAACTAAGCAAATCTATTTGCTTTGGAATGGAAGCCTACAGCAGCAATGTGATTCATAATGTAACATAAGCTAAAATATTCAGCAAATAGTGTCAGATATACCTTAAAGCCAGCCTCTATCACATGTTGCTATCAATAAGAACTCTAGGAATCCCTGTTCTTAGTGCAGTGATATGTATATTTTAAAATTGAAAACAGAAAGCCAAATCCTAGCTGTGGGAAAGGAACCCTGAGTCTGTGGGCTATGCGGCTTCTCAGACCTTGAGACTTGGGTAATATGTCACTGCATCTTCCGAACACTGCATATTGTCTCACTGTGTATTCAGTGTGGTTTGCCCCTCATTTCTCACTGTTGCCTCCCTACATATGGAGTGTACCCCAGTTTTTGCTTACACTAGCAGAAGAGCACTATGTCTTTTGGAAACTATAGACGTAAATCCTTAGTGATGAAACCAAGACAGGAAAAAAGAATTCTAGCTTCAGTTTTTTTAAGTTTAATAATTTATTGTGTTAAGTTAGGACAACACAGAGCTATTGCTTAGCAACACTGGATTAGGGAGAAAATAATTTAAGCCCCCAAATGAGAAACACTTGTAATCGAATCTGCTCTAACACTTGCTTTACCACATGGCTTAACACCCTTCTGCTCACACATGGTTAAACACGTGTTTGAACTGATGTTTTAACACCCGTCTCGCACATCTTTATGCCCTTTGTTCACATATGCTGGAACACATGCTTTGCCACCCTTTGTGCACTCATTGTTGAACACAGGCAGAGTATTGTCTAGAGTCTGACTTTCCAGAGGTTCGTTGGTGAGTAGCATTCCATCTAAGATTGGTGCCTAATAAAGTCACAGCTCCTTCTGCCAGATGATGTCCACACTTGTGTTCCTTCAGTCCACCAGAGAAGAAAATCCTCGCGGAGATGACCACAGCTGTGGTCCTCCGTAGCTACCACACCCCTGAGTAGTGGCCTGTTCAAGTGTTCCAGCAGATGGGTGTGTCGTGTCACAAAGTATTATTTTCCACCCCAGCCAATTCATTTGTATTTTCCCAAACTGCCAAGCTCTAAAGTCTTAACTCATGACCAGATGTAGAGTTGAAATGATTTCATATTCTCTTTCATCTTACTTGGTAATTTCAGCATAGATGGCAGTTACCATCACTTTAGGCAAGCTAACTACCTCCTCCTCACTCTACCTAGACCTGTCATTGGTGGTATCTTAGCTCAGGCTGCTATAACAGAATTCCACAGACGGTGTGGCTTAAGCAAGGGACATTTGTTTCTCACAGTTCTGGAGGTTGGGAAATTTAAGATCAAGGTGCTGGCAGATCTGCTGTCTGGTAAGGACCCATTTCCTGGTTTATAGATGGTTGTCTGCTCATTGTATCCTCACATGGAGGAGAGCTGAGAAAAATAGTAGTTCTTAATTCAAGTTAGAATTCAATGGTGATATTAACCTAAATTTAAACTATGGTTTATAGTTTATAAAATGTGTTTTAGCCATCTTTTTGGATCCTTGTCAGAACACTGGGAGGAGCCGGGCATGGTGGCTCACGCCTATAATCCCAGCACTTTGGGAGGCCAAGACGGGTGGATCATGAGGTCAGGAGATCAAGACCGTCCTGGCCAACATGGTGAAACCCCGTCTCTACTAAAAATACAAAAATTAGCTGGGTGTGGTGGCACATGCCTGCAATCCCAGCTACTCAGGAGGCTGAGGCAGAATCGCTTGAACCCAGGAGGCGGAGGTTGCAGTAAGCTGAGATCGCGCCATTGCACTCCAGCCTGGGCAATAGAGCAAAACTCCGTCTCAAAAAAAAAAAGACTGGGCATGGTGGCTCACACCTGTAATCCCAGCACTTTGGGAGGCCAAGGCGGGTGGATCACGAGGTCAGGAGTTCAAGACCAGCCTGGCCAAGATGGTGAAATCCTGTCTCTATTAAAAATACAAAAATTAGCCGGGTATGGTGGCGGGCACCTGTAATCCCAGCCACTCGAGAGGCTGAGGCAGAGAATTGCTTGAACCCAGGAGGCAGAGGTTGCAGTGAGCCAAGATCGTGCTACTGCACTCCAGCCTGGGTAACAGAGCGAGACTCCATCTCAAAAAAAAAAAAAAAAAACAAAACAAAAAAAAAAAAACACTCGGAGGTAAAACATTATCCCCATCTTACAGATAGACATGCTAAGACCCAGATATCTTAAGAACTCTGCCAAAAATTACATAGCTAGTAGGTAGTGAGATTGGATGTTACTGGTCCCTTGATACCTAAATCAGTGTTTTTCCTGCTATGTCACAAGGGTAAGTACTGTAAGCTGTACAAGAAAGTCCAGAAATAGCCCTTCCCATCAAAGAGCTTATTGAAAAGCAAAGATACTTACAAATGAAAAATAACTCCAATCTATTGAGCATGAACTATGAGCTAGTTCTCTACTAGGCACTTTCTAATCAATCATCTTTCTTGATCTTCACAACAACTCATTTGACAGGTGAGGAAACTAAGGCCTCAAATGCATAATAAACATACTCTGCATCAAAGAACTCATAAGTATCAGAGCTAGAATTTGAATGCAAGCCCAATTCTGAATAAAACCCATACCTTTAGCCAAATTGCTCATATTGGCTTCCAAACAACAATAATAAATGAGTTCATAGACAAACCATAGCTATTGTATAAGTCAAGTTTGGATGAAGTATATTCTTCCCCTAATCATTCCTGGTTATGGTACTTTGTGATTGATTTTTTAAAAATGTTTAACATTATGAAGTGGATAAATATAACAAGAAGTAAAAGTTACAGATATTATATGAAAGCATTTGTAAATTAAGTCCAAGTTTCATCTGTTCCACCACTTTGGTTAAATGCAAGGCCATAAAATGTGCTACCCTGGCTAAATCTTCATGGAAATTTGATTTTACAGGTAACTTGTGCTCACGATTATCAGAAGAGAGGAATCATTTCTCTTCTGTGGGTTTTAGGTTGCAAAGAGAGTTAATGGATGCTAAATTAAATTATTTGAAAATAAGTTGTATCTCATTGACTGGACCCTAAAGGGTCATTTTTGAGCAAACTATATAATGAGGGATACCCTTGAGTTTGGTGAGTCTGAATGGCATTTTTCATAATTGTATGTTAATAACTCCAGCTATTTTTGTAGCTGGCTTTAAAGATAATTTAAAGGTGACTGAAATCCTTGAACTAACTTTCCATGTTAAATTGGTTTGGACCCAGATGCAGAAACCAACAACTAGACCATTTAAACACAGAACAAGATCAGCCAGGAATAGCAACACTTGGATGCCTGACTTGTGGATGTAAGCAGGAATTAGCGATTACTTCGAATGGCTGGAAGATCCCAGAGGGAAATTTAGGGGGGCTCTTCATTCTGTTTTGTCCTGAAAACAGAATTGCTCATACAAATATCTGGCAACATCCAAACACAGGTGCAGATTTGGAATGTATAAAGCCTCGTGTTGGTTTCTTTGTATTTTCACTGCATTTCCCTATGTTGAGGCTCAAGATCAAATGATTGTATTTTAATGTAGTATTTGCCAAATTTCCAAACCTCTAAGCACGAAATCCTCAGCCTTCATTTCTTCATTTGCTTGGAAATCTAGGTAGCACTGAGCCAAAAGCAGAAGTTATGAAGTGAGATTATACTTGATTAGGAACAAAAAAAGTCCTACATTCAGAAATGCAGATGTGCACAGCAGTCCTAGGGGAATGTTGGTATTTGATCTCTGAGTCTTAAAGGTTCATGTTCCCAAGGTTAAGAAATGCAGAGAGCCAACTTTTATTAGTAACTAATGCTGAAATTACTCTGGAGATTCTAGAAGTATTACATTACAAATCACTCAGCTTTAGAAATCCTACATCTAGTGAGTTACAAATATCACTGTATGAGAGAAAGGGGCAGTAAGTGAAGGGTGTCATTCATAAACTTAATTTCTACTCTTGCAGCATGATCATGGGTATACTGTGTGAGAGTTTTCATTTCAGTGAGAAAGGAAAAGGGAACATACGAAGTCCATGAGTCAGGACCCCAACTGAAAGAAGCAGGAAGCAAAGGCCTCCTTGTGTAGGTGGACTTTGGGTAGGGCTGTGGGGTGCAGCAGTCCAACCTGGGCTGCAATATCTTCCTCCTTTTCTAATACTATCTAACTTCGTGACCTGGGGCAAGTTCCTTATTTATTGAGCAAGCCTTCCATTTTGGTGAAAGCTAAAGCCTGGGTATTCATAAAATGATATCCTTCAACAAACATGGCACCTACAGCCTTCTATGAAAAAGATACAGATAGCAGACATTTCACTTCAAGGGGAGAACCTTAATAGCACCAAATTCAGTATTAAAACCAGGATTCGTTTAAAGCATTACTATGTCACATAGTGCCCTGATTTTTTTGCTTGTTCGTTTGTTTGTTTTCAGACAGAGTCTTGCTCTGCTGCCCAGGCTGGAGTGCAGTGGCACAATCTCGGCTCACTGAAACCTCCACCTCCCAAGTTCAAGTGATTCTTGTGCCTCAGCCTCCCGAGTAGCTGGGATTACAGGCGTGTGCCACCACACCCAGCTAATTTATTTTTTATTTCTTTGAGCCAGAGTCTCACTCTGTCGCCCAGGCTGGAGTGCAGTGGTGTGATCTCGGCTCACTGCCACCTCTGCCTATGGGTTCAAGCAATTCTCATGCCTCAGCCTCTGAAGTAGCTGGGATTACAGGCACATGCCACCACACCTGGCTAATTTTTGTATTTTTGGTAGAGATGGGATTTCACCATATTGGCCAGGCTGGTGTTGAACTCCTAGGCTCAATGGATCCACCCACCTTGGCCTCCCAAAGTGCTGGGATTATAGGTGTGACCCACTGCGCCTGGCTCTGCCCTATTTTTTAACCTCAATAAATTATATTACTTTAGTAGGTACCTGGGTACTCTCTAGTATTAACTAATTGGGCCTCCTTTTTGGCTAGACCATTCTTATTTTAAACTCAGTAGTGATCTGATTTTTTTAATCAATGACTTTAATTCCAACAACAAAGAAAAGGTGGATAAATCTGCCTTGGTTACAGTAATAAGCTGTTAAAGGCAAAATTATACTTTTTATACTTTTCACCAATAATGTCTACTACTAGATGTATTTTTTTTTCATTGTGAGATTGATTTGCCCTTGATATGTATTGATAAGTGTTTTCTTTATAAATGAAATCCATTTAAATCATTACACCTTGGGAAGAGTTTTTAAACTGATCAGAATGCATGATCTTAAAAATATTTCTGGGCCAGGCGCAGTGGCTCACGCCTGTAACCCCAGCACTTTGGGAGGCCAAGGCGGGCGGATCACTTGAGGTCGGGAGTTCAAGACCAGCCTGACCAACATGGAGAAACCCCATCTCTACTAAAAATACAAAATTAGCCAGGCATGGTGGCACATGCTTGTAATCCCAGCTACTTGGGAGGCTGATGCAGGAGAATCGCTTGAACCGGGAGATGAAGGTTGCGGTGAGCCGAGATCATGCCATTGCACTCCAGCCTGGGCAACAAGAGCAAAACTCTGTCTCAAAAAAAAAAATTGCTAAAATTTGGAATATGATGCATTATATATAATTAATCTACAGTATATGATTGTAAATGTATATTTTAAGTAGACAATATAAAGCAAAACATAGGAAAATGAAACATCACATATATATTATTTACATCACACCAATAAATTCATATTCAGGTTGTAACATTTGAACATTTGCTACTTCACTCATCCTCACTCATGTTATTTTTCAGATCTTAGATTTTGATAGATGCACTGTAGAGTGTAGAAATAATCATTATTTAGGTAGCTAAAAAATAGCTTGCCAAAATTAATAATGAAAGTTATTCAAGATGTTCTGTCAAAATCCTTTCCAATTAGTGTTGAGGTCTTGAAGGGCCAAGCTTAGCTTTATATTAATATGTTAGGTTTATTAATGTATTTTTTGATATATGCATAGTGTGACTGTCTAATACATCTCATGATATTGCATAATTATGGTACTTTTAATTTGTTATATCCCAGTCTTTTCTTCGGTCTTATTTAAAATTCAGAATTACTTCATAGTTTCATAACTAATCACTCATTAGGAAGCTGTGCCATGTACTTGAGGTTACCTCTAAGGCAATTCGTATTAACAATAAACCAGAGAAGTTCCTGGCTACTTGACTGTCATTGACCAGTTTAAATATTTAAAGTCATCGTCTGACCCTTTGTCTAACCACTTACAGAAAATGAAATAAAGGTTGTGTACAAAATGGAAGAAAGAGAAGCCCTTTCAAATAGTCTTTTCTAAATGAAGAAAACTAGTTGTGCTGTGAGTAATCAAATTCTTAGATAACAATTATATATATATGACCCCACAGGGACAATATGTTATTTTCAAAATAAAGGGCCTATTTTTCTTTTTCTTTTTGCTTGTTACTTTTCACCAAGACATAGGCATTTTAGTGTGTCATTCTACAGTGGTCAAGTTCAGACTCATTGTTAATCATAATAATGATTATTTTAGATAGCTTTTGACTTTTGTCTTCTCCAAATGATGAGAAATTGAGACTGTTTTTAATGCCTTGCTTTACCCAGATAAGTGAACATGGCTAGAAATTACAGTGTTTCAACCACTTGTTTATTGAGGTGTTTGTTATGTATATTATTTAGATCTTGTCACACTCTCTAATTGGTAGTTGAATGGTGTTAAAATTTGATCAGCATAATGCTGTGGCTATAGTAGTGTGATTTAACTAACATTCAATCTACATGATAAAAATGATGCTAGGTCCAGTAGGGATACAAAGATGATGGTGTTATGGATACCTCTTATGAGGTAATGAGATAATGAGGGTCTATTTTATTTTTAATTTACTTATTTTTCAGAGGCAGGGTCTCGCTCTGTCGACCCAGCCTGGAGTGCAGTGGCACAATCATAGCTCACTGCAGCCTGCAATTCCTGGGCTCAAACAATCCTCCTGCCCCAGCCTCCCAAGTAGTAGGACTACAGGACTGCAGGCACGTGCCACCATGCCCGGCTAAGTTTTTAAGTTTTTTTTTTTTTTTAGAAACAGGATTTTGCCATGTTGTCTGGGCTCGTCTGAACTCCTGGCCTCAAGCAATCCTCCTGCCTCAGACTCCCAAAGTACCTGATTACAGTCATAAGCCACTGTGCCCAGCCCCTCTATTTTAGAATTTGAATTGGTCAGGATTCTTAGATTCAGAGGGTTAGAATCAGTAGCTAACTTAAGCAGAAAGAGATAAGCGCTAGAATAGCTTACAGACTCTTTGGGAAGGCCAGTGAAGCTCTTTTAGATGCTACACAGCCATGAATTTCAGCAACAGAACAGGCAGTCAGACTGTTCTGGGAGGTCTCACTGCCTCACTGTTATCCCACATGGCATCCATGATACTAGCTTCTATACTGACTCCATTATTGCTGCCAGAACTGTCCCAGAAGAACCAAAGGCACGCCCCTCTTCTCCCTCTACCCCTACCCCCGACACACACACATTTCTGGGAAGTGCACCCATCTCGTTCCCTGTGGCTGCCTCACACTGCTCATACCCACTTTCCACGTTTTGCCCAGGCTCCTCCAGAACCTTGGCCACATCCAGAACCTGGTAGCAAGAGACTTTTGGAAATGTCCTTCTTAGCTTTCTCACCTAGCTGTCAAAGAAAGCTGCTAAAGAGCATCAGAATCCGTGTGGACTGAGTCAATGCACAGTACTCCCAGAGATGCATAAAGGAGGGGTTCTCAAATTGTATTCCAAGGAACCTTAACATTTGCCCACCCACCTAAAGGTCACCAAGGAGGAAGAAAAGGCAAAACAAACAAGACTTCATCTAGAGAAGCTAGTTCCGTGTTAATCTGGTCCTCTGTTGGGCATGTCTACGATTGTCATTTGAAAAAAAAAATTCTTTTGTCGTTGTTGTTTTTGTTAAGTTTGAAAACCACTGCTAATCTACAGTTTACATTCATCAATCTTCCATCTTTTGTGTTAGGTGGACTGTCACAAATGTAGCCTAGGATTCCTTTCCGTAGCAAACCTTTTAATAGAACATCATCATTTTCGTAGCCAATATTTGAAAATGACTACAAATCATGTGCCTCTCCCACGTCCTCAGAGAAAGTGCTGCCGACAGCCTCATTCATATTAGGGTTTTTAATGTGAAGTTGCCACCTCCTGAGAACATGTCTTTTAGTTATTTCAAAGCCTTTCCAGCATCTTCTCAGAAAACCTCAGCAGTGGAGGGCAGCCCAGTCATCATAGCCATAGGGATAAAGGGAGTGGACACGTTTAATTACTCTTCAGCTACTTTATTTCATTTGACTTCAAAAACAAAATTAGCAGTAGCAGAAGACAGTGGTTACATGGGGTTAAGTTAATCAATGTGTGCTAATTAAATAACTGTTGTGCCTATGCCATTACTGCCTGTTTCAGATGGTGGAGAGCTCTTAGTCTTACCTACTTCGGTCTCTGTACTCTCAATATTTTGCCATACAGACTAGATTAAAGGGATATAATCTCTAAATTAAGTAGGAAAGAGACAAAGCTATTACCTGCACGCATATTGGTCCTTGTGAAAGGATTGTAGTTGGGAGCTTTTCTCTTACGGTCTCTAGAGCTTCTCCCTCCATAGCACATGTGGCCTTTCCCACTCTGAACCATAACTGCTTTCGACTTACATGCACTCAAGAAACCTGCACTTTTGCTACCAGTGCGCTACTTCTTCGTCTTTCATGTGTTTTCAGGATGCCCTGACCTCACCCCTCCCTGTCACGCAACATCAAAACACAGACCTGCTTTGTCACCCCAGAAACAGACCAGCAGCCCAACAGTTCTTTAAAGCAGCAGCAGGTTTTTTTCATACACTCAACATGTTTATCATGTTGCTCCCACTTGCTTAAATCACCTTCAGAGTATTTAATTTTTGTTTTTTAACACAAAAAAATGTGGTGAGTTTACTGAACTCCTTGTAATTTTAAACAATAAAACCTAAACGTTTAAAAACTATTACTTTCATATTTATTATTGAATATTTTGAAAATTCAGAAAGGGTTAAAGAACAAACTAAAACTCCCTTTAAGCCTCATCCTCCATTGAACCATTGGGGGTTTTTTGTGGCGCGGGGAGGGGTTGTATTTGTTTTTTTGAAACAGGAACTCATTTTGTCACCTAGGCTGGAGTGCTAGAGTACAGTGGCATGATCATGGCTCATTGCAGCCTCAGCCTTCCCGGGGTCAGGTGATCCTCCCATCTCAGCCTCCCAAGTAGCTGGGACTACAGGCATGTGCCACCACACCAGGCTAACTATTTTTTTTTTATTGAAATGAAGTCTCGCTCTATCGCCCAGACTGGAGTACAATGGTGCGATCTTGGCTAACTGCAACCTCCGCCTCCCAGGTTCAAGCAATTCTCCTGCCTCAGCCTCCTGAGTAGCTGGGATTACAGGCACGCGCCCCCATGCCTGGCTAATTTTTGTATTTTTAGTAGAGACAGGGTTTCACCATGTTTGTCAGGCTGGTCTCGAACTCCTGACCTGGTGGTCTGCCCGCCTCTGCCTCCCAAAGTGCTGGGATTACAGGCTTGAGTCACCTTGCCCAGCTATTGAACTATTGTTAATAACTTTGTATATATTCTCCTCCCTTTTATGTATATTTTACATACAAATAATTGAATGTTTTATTGGCATTTAAGTTTTCCAGACCTGTCTCTGATTTGCTCTTACTTTGCATAAAAATTTTAAAGTTATTGTCCTAAATTGGAAGATGATGTATTTTAACATAAAGAGTATTAGACTCTGCCAGAATTATTTATTTGAGATTGACTATGAGCTATAAAAGTCTGTTTGGTTCATGTAATTGCCTTTTAGTTTTTTTGCTACCCTCAGCTGTAAAACATCAAACAAAATTAGCAGCTGCAGTCCTGGTTGCACTTTATTAAACATCTAGCCAATTTTTTCACCCCTGTTCCTGGTGAAGTTTATTTAGGTAAAAGGTTGATAACATTCTTTACCGCCAAAGAAAGCAGGTTCATTTCTGTTAGACAGTTCTATCCTGATAACATTGAAGAAGCTAAACACAAGGACTCATTGCTTCTCACTGGTATCAGTGGGCCTGTCCTTCCACTGTGCTAGCCAGGTGTGTAAAGTATGTAATTTCACATGCAAAATAGAATAATTGTGTGGTATGTGTATACAGCATGTATATTACTGTAGGTTTGTTGAAATACAAAATAATTCTGAAATGTTTGCATTTTGAAAAAGACTTGGCCTCCACCAGGCACTAATGTGCAGTATGCATTGTTTATACATGGGCATATTTATATAAACAGGGTTACAGGTCTGTGTAAAGAAGTTACATTGATTACAAGAGCTAATATAAGCTTGGGAATATTTGTGTTAATACTTCAGTTTTTTTCAAATAAGGTCCCATGTATTTCTTACATAGAAGACTGTTTCCTAAAAGTGGTAAAAAGGAAAACACTCATCTCTAATGTTTTATACTGTGCCAGCTACATATTTGACAAGATTCTTTTAGTTATTCTACTTATTAGAGATATTTGTAAAGGAATGTGTTCTGCATACTAATTAGCATTAAGCAGTATCTTTGACAGAAGCGAGTCACCAGCTATTCTAAGTAAGAACTGAAGAACTTTTGGATGGCATGGAATATTTCAAATATTTCACCATTCAGCAGTCTAGCTCGTGATGATCAAATACACCAATAAATGCTGCTCATATTTCTATAAACATGGAATTATGTTGTACATGCATCCATTTTGTGTAGCCTTTCCCACTTCGCCGTTTGCCGTGAACATTTCTTCTTGACAGTAAATAGTCTCCTAAAAACATGTTTCGTAGTTACACAGTCTGTCTCCTAAAAGCGCAAAGAGCAGTACTTGGTTTCTGGGTGGAAACCCATAGCTGGCATGTTTATGCCACCCCGCGGTTGCTGGTAGTTTCTGAATCTATGGACTTGCTGGCCCTCCAGCGTCTATTGTCAATTTTCTTAGGGATTATCCCGGGAGGGGTACGTGTCCCCTTCCTCACCTCCATCCTGTTCCTGATTAGACCGCCTTCCTCTGGCATATATTCTCCTTCATCTCACTCACCATCCTCCTCCCTGATTAGTCCCGGCCTTCATTTCATTTCAGTCACCATTTCTCCCCAGGAATTGGCTCCCTTTTTTGTGTCCCTTCTTTAAGAGTGTCTGGTTGCTTTGCTGACAAACACCTCAGAAAAGGGACAGAAAGTTGGAGCCCTGTATTTTCACAGATAAAGAGTATACAATGAAGATTTTTGACCTCTAGTTCCCTAAGAGTGTCTGTCTTCAGACAGAACTGCCCCCCTGGTGCTGTGGGCTGGCCTAGGCCTCTGCTGGCCCTCAGCCTTCTCTGCAATGCAGCCTCTACCTTCCTTCCCAGCCACCCTCCCCTCGCTTGACCTGCACCTCAGCCAGCCGGAACTGCTCCCTGCCTACCAGACTTGCCTCTTGCTCTTAATCTTGCTCATGCCATTCCTCCTGCCTGGACATTTACCTTCTCTTCCCCATAAAAATCCTGCCCATCTTTCAGTTCCCTGTCTTCATGCTGCATCCTCAAAGAAAGGAGAGATCACATTTTTCAGATCTCCCCAACAAGAGGCACTCTATGTGGCTTTTTTTTTTTTTTTTTTTTTTTTTTTTGAGATAGTTTTGCTCTGTTGCCCAGGCTGGAATGCAGTGGCGCAGTCTTGGCTCACTGCGACCTCTGCCTCCTGGGTTCAAGCAATTCTTGTGCCTCGGCCTCCCAGGTAGGTGGGACTATAGGCAGGCACCACCAAGCCTGGCTAATTTTTTGTATTTTAGTAGAGACAGAGTTTCACCATGTTGCCCAGGCTGGTCTCGAACTCCTGAGCTCAAGCAATCCACCTGCCTCGGCCTCCCAAAGTGCTCTGTGTTGCTTTGATTGTACTGCTCTTGTTGGACAGATCTAGTATGCCTTAAGTTTCAGCTGTTTCAGTACCTATCTCATTCCCTCTACTATAGGGTTAACTCCTGGAGAACAAGGAATACAGCTCTCATATTTGAATCTGAAAGCACTCAGCACAGTTGCATTCACATGGAAGGTGCTTGGTAAATATTGGCCCATGAGGATTTTTAAACCTCTGATTTGAATCCATTTGTTGTCCTCCAGTTAATGTCTTTTTTTTTTTTTCTCCGAGATGGAGTCTTGCTCTGTCGCCCAGGCTGGAGTGCATTGGCATGCTCTCAGCTCGCTGCAACCTCTGCCTCCTGGGTTCAAATGATTCTCCTGCCTCGGCCTCCCAAGTAGCTGGGATTACAAGCGTGCACCACCACGCTGCCTAACTTTTGTATTTTTAGTAGAAATGGGGTTTTGCCATGTTGGTCAGGCTGGTCTCAAACTCCTAACCTCAAGTGATCCGCCCACCTTGGCCTCCCAAAATGCTAGGATTACAGGTGTGAGCCACCACGCCCGGCTCAGTTAATGTCTCTGAATTGTATTCACTTAGTGCTACTGCAGAATAATTATAGAAATTGCAGAATTGCACGTGGTTTATATAAAAGCATGGAATGACCTAACTTGTTTATATTTTTTAAGCAATGTCCAAAGAGAGGCCACTTCCAAGTTGGGGTTTACTCTGAGCTCATGCTTTGCCTGCTTTTTTTCCCGGGTCAGTAGCATAAGTTACCTAGGAGAGTCTTGAGTTATCTGCCTTAGCTCTGAAGACTCTTCCTCAGCTTTCTCAGTCAGTCTGCATTGTTGTCCATGTGTATCTGTGTGTGTGTGTGTATGTGTGTGTGTGTGTATGAGAACCTTCACTTTTAGAATAATATTACATTCCAAATCAAATTCTGCCTCAAAAGAGCTATTCTTCCACAATTTTCTGCATTTCTGTACAGGTTACAAAATGTCACAATTCAATGGGGCCAATTATTAGATTTTCATTTAATGGGCAGTTTTAATATTCTCAGAGAAGCTGAATAGTAATAACATTTTAAACCACTGCATTCCATTTAAAGACTCACAACCAGTTCTTCTCTCTTTGAGCACACCTAGTTATATTTTTGGGTATCATTTAAATTCAGGCTCCCAATCTGTAGAAAAAATCAATGAGTTAATGAATAGCTTCATTTTGAAAACTTTTAAAATATTTTATCCTAATTATAAGGCATATCTAGTGACATTAATTTGGCGAAATCCCAAATCATCAGATTGTGCAGAATAGCCCTTACCAAGGAGTAATTTAGAGCATTTTCAGTTTAACAAATGTGCTGTTTTTAGGACCAGATCATGGCTTTGCTTACTCTGAGAAAAACTTTCTACTGTTAAGGTTCAGGGGCCATGTCAGTGTAGGTCAAACTTTATGCTTTTTATTCACAGTTGTGTTTGTTTAGCATGTTTTATTTAGCCTATTAAATGAAAAGCATTCCTACTACTAATAATCACCCCGGACATTTGTATAGCATATTCTTATTGGTAAATGACTCCCACATGCGCTGTCCCCGGGCCTGGTGAGCTTCAGGCCATACTCCCTGACCATACAGTGAGTCATTGGTAAAGCCAGCCCTCGAATCAGAGCTGGCCAAGTTCAAGACCGGTGACTTCCCACACACGGTTGGTGTAAGTAAACCATCCCAAATCTTGTGGGGAACAAGATGGAGAATACGCCAACAAAGTGATTGCTTTGGAGTCATTTATTTTCTACTATGTGGTCCATAGCGTACCAACTGTGTCCTCTGGGACAACAACAGAAAATGAACTCTCTAACCAGATCGACGCTACAGTTTGTGAGAAACCCACAAAGCAGCCATCATCTCAGTCTTTCCTAGAGTGTGGTTCCCTCTATGTGGTTTTCTATTTTAATCTTTGTCCCACTTTATCTTAATCTGTTCTCTGTCCATTCTCTAGCTGAAGACACCTGACACATTCATAGTCTCAGGGAAGTAGAAATCATTTATAAGCAGTGCTTGATGACTCTTCATGGCTGCCCAGTAAAAGGAGCCTCAGCACCCTTGCTATTCCTTCAGTATTTGAATGAGTGACCCAATTAGTAAGAGAACCTAGTTCTCGTTCCCAGTCTGCTTTTCTGTTCATGACCTATATGCTGTTCCATCCTCTTCAGATATATCCTGCCTGGATATCTTCATTCTTCTCACCCTTCCTCCCAGCCAAAAAGTTGTAGGTGTCACACTCTGCAGGCATGGCCACAGAGTAACCTAAAATTTACTCTTGCAAATCTCTTTTTATTGGACCAGGACAGAAGGAAGTTGGAGTCCTCACATGTATTTTCAGTAAAAGCTCATGACTGTGGAGGTATGAAAAGCAAAAGCTGCCTGGAAATGCTCATCCTCCTAATGATTTGTTTCTCTGCTAGGCCCACAATAGAACTCAGTAACTCTATGTGGTCTAAATGATATAATACAGCTAAATGAGATCAACTATTATCACACACACACACACACACACACACACACACACACACATTAAATGATATAAATCTAGTTAAACGTTTACTCCAGAGGGGGAAGAAAGGTAAAAGGGTAGAATACATGCAGAGGGGTAGGGGCGTGAAACTAAGAGAGGCCTTTCCCTTCCTAAAGAATCTTTGCTTACATGCAACACATGCCCTGATAAGAAAAAGTGTGCATTAGGACAGACTTGCCCACCCTGATTTTCCACTTGTACTTCACTTTCCACTGCTGCATTCTCCAAGCATGTGAACTGATTTGCTTCTGTTGCCAATGGAGACTGGTGCAGGTTCAAGGGATGTTGATTCCACAACATCTCATTCTGCTATATGCAGATTTAATGGCTTTAGACTGTCAGGATGTGCTCCCCCATTGTTGTCTTTAAATTTGGGGTGGCAGATGTTGAACATCTGTAAAACTGAGTAGGGCAAAAGCTGCTGCAAATGTGGGGAGGCCTCAGAATGCTGGGGCCACATTCCACTGACATCGTGTCTCTCCATTCCTGTTGGATCTCCAGTTCCTGATATAGGACCCCGTTCTAGCTTTAGGGATCCCCTTTCTGTGTTTCCATGGCCATCAAGGCTGCCCAGAATGGTCCCCACTGCCCACTGCATTCTAAACCCCTTAGATTTGAGATGGACCCATGGTCCATATGAAAGACCCCTCCCTCCTTAGTTTCCTTCTCTCTCTGACCACCACGATGCATGCACCAGCCCAATGGAGCACTAGTATTCTCTTACAGAACTATTGGTTATTACTTAATCCTTTTAGTAATTTAGAATCCAGGGCTTTCCTTCTCAGTTTCAAAACTGAAGGACCTCGCATATGATTTTTTTTACCATTATTGTCAAGATTACTGTCACCATCTTAATTGTCATTTATTTTAAGGGTACTTAAATGCTAACTGCTATATAAGCATTATCTCGTTTAGTTTCATTTAACTGTCAGAGAAAACCTATAAGGGAGGCATTATTATTTTCTTTTACCGATGAGGAAACTGAGGCTTAGAAAAGTTCAGTAACTTGCTCAAACTCACACAACTCTCAAGTCTCAGAGCCAGGATTGCAGCAGCTCCAGTCTATCAGCCTTAAGAGCACAGATCTCCTTGTCTGACACCTGATACCAGCTGGGTTCTCATCATGCAGTCAGCCTCCAAGAATGTAAGTAATTATACATAGTCAAAGAAAAAAATCTGTTTAAAATCAGGCTATGCCTTTATCAATACATTTCATTTAAATTATCAGTGATGTTTTCAGTTAATAACTTAAGAATCAAGTTTTTAAGGAAAATTGCAAGAAGCATATTTACCAGGTCCTGTTACATAAAGAGGGGGAAAATGCTGCTCTGGTCCTTAACAACCCGTGTATTTAAGCCAAGGTTGGTATAGGAAATAATTTTTTTGTGGCACATGGAGATTACTACACTAGACCATAGGCAAGATAGCAAAAGAGGTCTTCGGTGCTCCCCGTGTATTTTGGCACCCAGCCTTTTCCTTCCACTCTTCCCCTCTCAACATTTTTGGTCACCTTTTAGCATTCTAGGTCTCCCCACTGTAACCCCATCCAGGCCATTCTGTTTCAGAAATGCATTCCCTATTGAAAACTTAGCCCTTGAAAGACACTACTGCTACTGAGAAACCAATCTGAGGACGGTACATCACACTAAGACTTGATCTTGGGGCACAACTGAGTTTTATAAGGAGAGTGGAAATGGGGACATGTGATATTATTAACTCTCTGGATGCTTTGCCTCTGCTTAAAACAGTCCACTGTTTTCCATGCTCCGTTGGATCTCAGATAAGCCCCTCATCACTCGATGCCTTTCCCCTGCTTTAGTTCTTTTTATCGCATATATCAATACCTGGAATCATTTTATAAACTTGTTGGCTTATTGTCATCACCTCCTGCAGAATGTAAGCTCCAGGAGAGCAGGAACTTTGCTTTCTTTACTGCTATAAACCCAGCATCTGCAAGAGGAGTTGGCATAGAGTAAGGACTTAATAAATATTCATCAAATGAAAGGATTAACTTCTTGTCATGCCTCTTCTGAGCTGGGTAGTTTTCCCTTAACTCGGTTGTTTTTTCCCAAAAGAACAAATTTAGGTAGTCATCAGACCTGTGATTTTACTGATATGGTTGTTTGGGATGAGCTGACTTTTTTCTTTAAAGGGCCAATTTAAAGTTGACATGAAGAAAACAGTTAAGTAAATACTAACTCAGATGGGTGCCCAGGCACAGGAGGATCAGGAAAATGGTATCTGGGTGTCTGGAAAACGCTATTCGATCAAAAAAACACTAACTGAAAAATCCACCATTATATTAGCAGATAACATTCAAGTAAGTAAAAAACTGGCCTACATAACTCATCTTGAAATTATTATGAGCCAACCTTTTCAATCTTCCATGATGTGCACCGTGTTCATGGTTCTCTTAGAATTGTCATCAGCGTTGCAGGTTATAAGTTATATGGATAAAATTAAAACCAAAACTTACCCATCACATTTGAGCCCAAATATTTCCTCTTTTAAGTTGTACCCCTAACTTTGAAATCAGGGTTAAACCACAGGCTTATTTTTTCTTATAGTCATTTTTTTTAATATTTGGGTTCAATCATACCTGGTAATTTGGTATGTAACGATGGGGTAGGCTTGAGAATATTCAAGAACAAATTGCACCATGTTATTCAGTTCTCCCTAATCTTACAAAATATGAAAAACCACAAATTACTGAATTTTAATACTTCCTGAATCTTCCAGCAAAAAGGAGGAAGATAGCACCTAAATGAATAATCTAAACACTGAAAAAGGGATGGGAGGAGAGAGAGAATCCCAAGCATTAAACCATATTGGCCTACCAATTATTATGATTGTTTTCAAAATCACAGTTTTACAGAAAAAAAATTGTTTTTATGGTGCCAGGTTTGTGGAGTCCTCTTTGTTAAAACCTTAGTAAATGAAGTTATGAAACTGAGACTAGTTTATTCTGGAAGCTTCTTAGTTGGGGGATAAGACAGCTGGATGAACTGGGAGGACAGTAAACGGTGGAGGTGGAAACCTTCTTGTTCATAAAAATACTGTTTTTCATATGTTAAAAAAAAAACTTTATCTCACGCTTTTCATCAAGAGCTGTAATCAGTGAGCCTGTGTACTTCCTTTTCCCTGCCAGATAGTTGTTCCTGGCTGGAAGACATTTTATGATATTTATTTGATGACACACACCTGCTGAGTGGATGAAAAGCAACTGTTCCTGGGGATGACCTACTTCAAGGGCGCAGTCAGCTTCTGAGGCCTTCAGCAGGTTATCCTGAAATCATTTTAGTTCACCTTGATATCACCTGTTGAACATATCTAAGACTGGTGTATTCGCAGACTTGTTGTAGGCACAGTTGCTAACCCCAGGGAAGAGATTTCGGAGTCAGTAACTACTTTGTCAGTGTATTGAGACTGGGAAGACACGCTGCTTTACCAAACCTACTCTGAGCATATGGAGTGCTGTTCTTGGCACTCGGGATGCGCATCAGCCCAGGGACCTGCCAGCTGGGAGCGGACCCCTAGAAGGGGATCTAGTGGGAACATAAGTAAGTATGGTCCAGCACAGAAGGGATGGATCTGAGGAAGAAGGCATGGAGGATGAGGATCCGAGGTGAGGGAAAGGGCCATGAAAAAATTTCTGACGAAGTGTTCTCCTGGGAGTTTCCAGCACAGAGAGAGATTTCCAGTTGAGATCAGGGAAGAGCAAGGAATATTTGAAATGCATGGAGACACTGTCACCAGTTCATCCTTTGAAGGCAACATGTCTTGGCATGTTCATTTCTATTCTACAAACATTTATGGAACACATGCTGTTGAGACATGGCAGGCCTTAGGTAGTGAAGATAAAATATAAATAATCCATGTCGCTCTCCCAACATGTATACTCTAGTGAGAAGACATAACTAAGCAAATTTTATTATAAATTTGAGTATAACATACCCATATGTGTACACAAGGAGTTCTTAGCTAAGTTGGGGTTCCTGGAGTTGGTGATACCTGGCCTGAGCTTTGAAGAATAAGTGTGTGTTAGCCAATGAAGAGAGAACAGGGACATGGAGGCCTTAAAACAATATGTTGTGCCCAGGAGCTACAGATTGACCATCCCTACTCTGAAAATCCAAAATTCAAAATGCCCCAAAATCCAAGTTTTTGAGCCCCAATATGATGCTCAAAAGGAATACTCACTGGAGCACTTTGGATTTCTGATTTTTGGATTAGAGATATTCAACTGGAGTGTTATTTTGCATATATTCCCAAATCCAAAAAAAATTAAAAACTCAAACACTTCTGGTCCCAAGCATATTGGATAAGGGATACCCAACCCCTACAAACTGTTCCGTTTTACTTGAGGAAAAAAGACAAGGCGGGAGCCAGGGTTTGAGCCAGTGGTACCTTAGAGGGGCTGTAGGTTCCCCACCACCCCAAGAGCCCCTTGCCATGAATGCTGCCAGGGCCACCCCAAGCAAACATAGTTGGAGTAAGAGGACTGTGCTTGCTATGTAAACGCAGCTTCGTAACAAGTGCCGTTGCACCTCTGCTGCCCTAAGCTCCTCTGTATGGAAAATCTAGAGATTCCACCGAAGGGACATTGGCTCAGTGCTGAGAGTTGGAAGCTCTGAGTCATGACTGAGTTGGAAGCTTACATGTTGATTTACAAGGCGTCTTTGCCCATTACATTTATTTACATGTCCAGAGGTCATGGCCTGAAAGGCTTGGCTCCAAATATGATGTGCCCTTTCTATTGTTGATGATGTGACTCTCCATTCAGTTCTCTTTTTCTCTTCTCCTGGTTATCTGTTGCTGAGTAGCAAACCACCCTAGAAATGCAGTGACTTCAGCAGCAGTCTCTCAGGATTTTGGCGGGTTAGGAAAATCAGGGGTTGCTTGGCTGGGTGTTCTGGCTCAGGGTCTCTCATGAGCCTTCTTCAGACAGAGATCAGAGCTGGAACTATGTAGGGGGGACAGGAGCCTGGAGTAGCTCGGGACTGGCTGGGCACCTTTCTCTTTCTGTCATTAGTCAAAAGGCCCTTCCATGTGGTCTCCCTGCATATGCTGGTTTGGGCAATCTTACGGTATGGCAGCCTCAGACTTGGCAGCCCAGGGCACCTAAGGTGAGAGCTACAAAAGCAAGAGGCAGAAGCTGTGTGGCTTTTTCTTACCCAATCTAATAAGTCACACAGTGCCACATTCTGTGCCTCATTCTACTCAGCAAGACAGTCGCAAGGGCCTGCCGAGGTTTAAGGGGATGGGATGTGACACATACCCCACTCTTTGATGCAGGGGTGGCAGGTTGACGAAGACCAGTGGGGCAGGAAATATTGTTGCAACCAGTTTTGGAAAATACAATCTGTCACATCCCCGAAGAACATTTTCATCCACTCACATAATCCTTTAAGTTACCTAAAAATTAATTTACTCATTACGGTGTCGCCCACAACCTTCCTTGCTCCCTTCCCACAGCAAAATCCAAGGCCTCAGTGCACACACACAAACCACAAAACTCCTGTTGTCTGAATGAGAGTCAGTCACTCAAGTGTGTACTGTCCCCATCAAGATGACAACATTTTATAAGGATGTATCCTGTTGCCCCATCTTCTAGGAATTTGCACTTCCATCCATTGTTAAAGCCAAATATTGCTCAGATCTTTCATGGAGAGGCCCCTTTGAATCTAACCCCTGCAAACTAGAGACTCAGGAGTGAATGATTTCAAATCTCTATTTGCTCTGCACCTGGGAGATTGATGGTACTCTCATAACAAGTTTGGTCAATGGCATTTAGTGGAGTACTGAATGCTTCAGGGAGTGAAAAAAGAGAAACTGAAAGAAAGGCCCAGATTTTGGGCTCAAGGAACTTTACAAACTGAAGCATTAGCATGTTCGTGGTAAGAAATCTTCTGATTTAAACAAATGATGTAAATTTTACATTTTTTAGTAAGCACTACTTCAAGTGTGCTATCTTTAATGAAGACTTTAATTCTTGTTTTTACACATATGTAGAAAACAGAAGTTGAGTTCTTCAAACATTTGTTATCAAAAATATAGGATATATAAGCACTGAATTGGAAGATTTTTTCCCCCTTGGATAATCTAGAAAAGAATATAGCTCTATTCTGAAATCCCTTCTCATTCAAGAGTTATCCAAGCAAATAGTGTTGACCAAGGTGTTGAATGCACCAGTAATAATAATGCTACCCTTTCATAAAGCTAAGTAATCAGGAATAATGCTGAAAATAAGAAGACAGTCATTTATTTACTCTGTTTGGCATTGTTAGTACTAATAATGCATTTCAACACAGTAAAATTGCTAGATAATGCTTTTGTGACTTTTATGCAGGTTATTGTTATTTAAATGAACAGTCGACTGCACTGTAATGAAGAAATGCATGCTTTTCCCAACTCAGTTATCAACCAGAATTCTAGGAAAATGAGAATTTGTGTCTGCTTTCATTCACAGAGCAAACTAGAGGTCAGTGTTTTCAATATGAACCTTTTTTTAGCTTTTCAACAGTGAATAATTAGGAGCTGCTGCTTCTGAAATTACCTGTATTCACTGTAGAGAAGGAAAGACTTTTATCTTTCACGATGAAATACATTTTCTCATTCAAACTTTGTCATTCTTTTTTTAAATGGCATTTTACATCACTGAGTCGATCCTCGGTAGTAAAATAAAAGAAATATATTTTGTGAGCTGCAATAGCCTTGTTTATTCAATTTTACTTCCTTAAATTTCATCTCCTCCTTGAAAAATGATCCAAATGCAAAAATGGGTTTAAAGCAGTTGAATGTACAAAGCAATTATCCACATAAAATGCTATTATACAAACATACATGTTCCTTGCACTTTGATTAAATGGAACTGATTCTTGATCCTTATCGATTATGTGCTTCTATTGTTTTTTTAACAGCTTTATTGAGATATAATTTATATGTTATATAATGCGCCCATTTAAAATGTACAATTCAGTAGCTGTTAGGATATTCACTGCATCATGCAACCATCACCACAAACAATTGTAGAACTTTTTTTTTTTTTTTGAGGCAGAGATTTGCTCTTGTTGCCCAGGCTGCAGTGCAATGGTGCGATCTCGGCTCACCGCAACCTCCGCGTCCCAGGTTCAAGCGATTCTCCTGCCTCAGCTTTCCGAGTAGTTGGGATTACAGGCATGCGCCACCACACCCTGCTAGTTTTGTATTTTTAGTAGAGACGGGGTTTCTCCATGTTGGTCAGGCTGGTCTCAAACTCCCAACCTCAGGTGATCTGCCCGTCTCAGCCTCCCAAAGTGCTGCGATTACAGGCGTGAGCCACGACACCCAGCCCAATTGTAGAACATTTTTATCACCGCAAAAAGAAATCTGGTATCCATTAATAGTCACTCCCACTTTCCTGCCAGCCCCTGACATCCACTAGTATACTTCCTGTCTCTATAGATTTGCCTATTCTAGATATTTCTTATAAATGGAATCATACTATATGTGGTATTTTGCGTCTGGCTTCTTTCACTTAGCATAATGTTTCAAATCTTCTTATTGACAAATAATATTCCATTGTATGGATACATAAATTTTATTTGTCCATTTATCAATTGATGAACATTTGGGTTGTTTCTACTTTTTGAATATTATGAACAATGCTGTCATGGACATTTATGTACAAGTTTTTGTGTGAACATACACTTTCATTTCTCCTTGCTGCCTACTTAGGAGTAGAATTGCTGGGTCATGTGGTAACTTTGCATAGCTTTTGAAAAACTGCCAAACTATTTTCTAAAGTGGCTGCACTGTTTCCCAGTCCCACCAGCAATGAATAAGTGTTCCAATTTCTTCACCTCTTCACCAGCACTTGCTTTTGTGCATCTTTTATATTATAGTTTTTCAAGTAGCAGTGAGGAACTATCTCATGGTGGCTTTGGTTTGCATTTCCCTAATGTCTAGATGTTGAACATTTTTTCATGTGCTTATTGGCCATTTGTATTTCTTCTTTGGAGAAATGTCTGATTCTATTGAGTTTTTAAAAATTCTTTTGCCTCACCTCAGGCATGTGGTTAGCAGAACCATTAGAAACAAATATATCTTCCTAAAGGGAGGGATTTTCAAACAAATGTATACGTTGAAGATGTTCTTTTTACCATGGTAGTATTTTAGATTAGGCGATAACTGAATTGTTCTCAGGAAGCAATTTGCTTCTAAAACTTTGTTTTCCGTTTGGTTAGCGATACGGATATTAGTGGTCCCAGAAGCATACCTAGAAAGATCAGCTTGTCTAATTAACTCATTTTACCAATTAGGAAAGCAAGGACCTAAGAGGTGAAATATGTGGGTCACATGGAGAATTAATGATAGAGTTGGAATTGTATCCAGGTGGAGTATCTGAAATTCTCTGTTTATTTTAGAGAGAATATAGCACTTTGCCACTAGGTTCTCACTGATTTAAAAAAAAAAATGGTGAAAATGCCCTGCAGTTTACTCAGTGACATTTATTGTTGAGTACTTAACACATATTATTTTCTTCTATCCTCATAGAAGCATATGTAAGATTGATACTTTTATTTTCTCGTTTTATGTGTGGGGAAACTGAGGTTAGCTCACTTTTTCAATGGCACCTACATAGTGAGTGGCAGATTTTCTGATTCCAAATCTGCTGTGCTCTGTTTCTTCTGATCTGTCTGAGGAATGAAAGACAGCATCAGCACATTGCTTCCTGTGCCATCTTCCAACTTCTCATGGTCACTGAAACAAATAACCGATAGGTGGCATCAAGGAGCACTCACTTACCATTGCCATAGTTAACAGTTATTTAGCAACGCTACAATACCAACTTCAGAAGTAGAATATATGGTTCTGTGGACAGAAGAATTGTTCAAATGTAAGAATACTGTACCTTAAGGCACCAATAACAGAACAACTTACATTCATAGGGTACTTTTCAGTTACAAAGCATTTGACTTACACTTTTAATTTGATGCTCACAATTTGACAAGCTTTTCATTGTCTTTGTTTTTATGTACTTTTAATACTCATGATGAAACAAAGGCCTGAAGGGCTTTAGTTACTACGGTCCTAAAGTCTGAGGCAGAGCTGCTTTTCAAAACAAGTCTCTTGGCTCCCATGTAGTCCTGTGTATTCCCTCCAGTGTACCATCCTCCGCCATAATGATGTGCTGTTGGGCACTCATTTGAAAGGAGAGGAGACTTTATACCATTATTTCAGACAACAACAGAGCTATGAACAAGTAGAAGTTATAGGGAGGCTAATTTTGAACCCATATAAAGAAGAATTGATCTGTCCAACAATGAAATGTGTTGTCTTATGAAGGAGTGAGGCCTCTTGTCATTGAACTGTTCAAACTAGGGCTGACTGACCATCTGGAAGGATCTTGCAGAAGGCATTTCTGCATTGGGGGAGGTGGGGAGTGTGTTTGTGGTGCTGAGAGATGTTAGATGGCACCTAAGAGCCCTTTCAACTATGAAATTGTGGATCTTTGTTCTTAGTTAAGAGAGTAAGCTGGTTTAAGGGGTCCTCTGTATCCTTATTGAGGAAAGAGAGTTTAGCTCTGATACACTCTTATCCTGCAATGTTAAGGGTACAGGGTTTTCTCTTTAAAAGAAAGTAACCAAATTTATCAACCTGGATTACTGGTTTGTAAAAGGTTAGAACAGCTGTTCCCATCTATGTTAACAGATGCTGTATACAACAAGGGATCTATATTCAGATAAGATTTGACTATCGCAAGGACAGAAAACCAAACACCACATGTTCTCACTCATAGGTGGGAATTGAACAATGAGAACACTTGGACACAGGGTGAGGGACATCACACACCGGGACCTGTCGTTGGGTGGGGGGATGGGGGAGGGATAACATTAGGAGAAATACCTAATGTAAATGACGAGTTAATGGGTGCAGCACACCAACATGGCACATGTATGCATATGTAACAAACCTGCACATTGTGCACATGTACCCTAGAACTTAAAGTATAATAATAAAAAAATTAAACATTTTTAAAAAAAGATTTGATATGAGCCTGCAACATGCTGTTGTTCTTTGTGACTATCCAAGAGAAAGAGAAAAGAGGCAGCAATTCCAAATTTGTTTTTTAGTTTTGCAAAGTGCTTCAGAGGTCAGTGGCTCTCAGCCCTTGTTGCTCGTGAGAATCACCTGGGGAGCTTTTTAAAAATCAGATGCCCAGGCCCCACCGCAGACCAAATGAATCATATTCTCTAGTTCCCAGATACTGGTGGGTTCCCAGTATCTTAACAGCTGTCCGGGTGATGCTTACATGAAACCAGAGTTAAGAAGAGCTCATCTAATCAGTCTACTCTGAGCATGAGTCCAGGCAAAATCTGGACGTTTGCTTTTGTAATTCAGCTTCTTGTCTAGCATTTCTATTATCAATTCAAAGCCAATGCTCTTTAGTACAATAAGGGGCAGTGTCTTACAGTGGTTCACACTGCTGCTCTTGAGCCAGACAGCCTGGCTTTGTCCACTTACTAGCTTTGTGACGTCAGGAAAGTTATTTTAATCACTCTGTGCCTCAAGTTCTTTATTTGTAAATCAAGATAATAATAGTAGTTACAAAGTAAAGGCTAAAGTTAATAAAGACCCAAAAGAAAATTAAAACTCTACATATTATGATATTATAATTACCACCATCATCATCGTCCTCCTCGTCACCATTATTGTTTTGTTGTTGGTAGCAGTGGTGTCCTGCTAGGTGTTAGAAGCTAGGAACCTATAGAAAAAGTGCTCTTCCCTGTACAGGACTATACCTGGCCTTACTTGAAAACTAAGAACTCTTAGCAACATTAGCAACATACTTCTCAGCTCTAGAACTTCCCGATGAAGTGGAATGTTTTGCATCGGACTTTTTGCAAGAAGATCAAGCTTGAACCCGGTAACCTGTTTTTCCATCGAGCACTTGATTCTACATTAAGATCAGGCCATAGCTCTGCAAGGTGGGGGCCCGGACTGAAGGGTCAGGCTGGGTTTCTGTTTCGTAACTGGGAAAGGCATGTACTGCATGCGGCAGGCTGACCTCCTGAATCTTCAGGACAATCTCAATTTCAGATGGCCCACCCTGCTGATCAAACCTGTGGTTTGGAAAGCATGGTTACTGCTAAATAGGAAGCAAGGGCTCCAAATGCCAGTGTCCTAATCGTTTAAAAAGTAAATATAATTTGAATATGTGGGATAGCCTCAGAGAAAAATCAAAGAACACAATTAAGCATAGTTTCTATTTAGTTTTCAGTTGATGAAGGAATAATTTGAAGTTGCTCTAGTCACTGAGAGTACAGTAGCAATAGTCCTCCATTCTCTGGGATTCAGGGCAAGAGCGGACATTATGTGCATATTACAGGTTTTCTAGCACACAGATTCTATCAAGATAGCCTCTAACTGCAATTGTGGACACTGGTGGAATATTCCTAGCAGGAGCTCAAAGGATTGTAAAGCTGAATAACATCTTTGTCTCAAGAACTTATATGAGAAACTTTTTTCCCTTTTTCTCCTACAAGCATTTAGTGGTTCACCATTGCAGACACTGCATATCTTTGTATCCCACACAGTCCCCATGTTAATAGTTGTTTGCTAGTTGTGGTCATTTAATTGAAAAAAGCTGGCACAGAGATATTACAGGTCCCAATAGGTCATTTCTGTATCAAGTATGGTGTTATTGCCTTTAACCAAGCCCTGTCCAAGGCCAAATTTATTACATGCATTAATAACATATAAGAGGATAGACAGAGAGCTGAAGAAAAGATGTGTGTGGCCTTTAAATATGCCAATCATCTACAGTTCGGAGGGTTGCTTACCGTGACATATTGCCAGCTGTGCATTATAGAATTCCAGATGGCATGGTACTGTTGGTACTTGTTTTGGATTTGCCCTGGGAATGAGGTTAAAGAGGACACCAAACTATGGCTGGGATCCTTTTGCTTGCCTCTTCCAGGGTAGATCCTGGAAGGCTCTATCTCCTCCAACCAATCAGAAAGCTGCCCTGACCTCTCTTGGGGATTATGAACTCAGCACAAATTGCTCTTTCCCCGTGAATTCCCATGCACCTAGTAACCCTGCACTAAGAGAGCAGTGAGTGCATTCCCTCATGTAATCTGTGTTCGCCCTCCCTCAGACCCCAGAGCTGGGGCAAGTTTGGACATGAACTCAAAAACTCTATAGATAAGGGTTGTGTTTTCATTAGCTTGCCTGTCTTGCTTGCTTTATATTCTGTGAGATTTCCTTCCCCCATCCCCCCTTTTTTTGAAAAAAAAAAAAAGAAAAAAAAACAAAAACCTTTTTACAGAAATTCACACACAGAGACAAAATAGTGTAATGAACCCACATGTCTCTAACACCCATCTTCAACAGCTACCAACATGTCACCCTTCTTGTTTTATCCTTCTCTCCTCTTTTTGTTTTGTTTTGTTAGAGTGTTTTAAAGCAAATCCCAGATGTCTGATTTTACCTGTAAATATTTCAGTATGTATCTCTAGAACATACAGCATAACTTTTAAAAAACGTAATCACTATTTAGAAATGACTGCATAACCTGTCTGGGTTCAGTATTTCCTAATTGTTTCCAAAGCATTCACAAATAGCTGGACGGTTTAAATCAGGCTGCAAACACAGTATATCTATTGCATTTGGTTGATCTGTCTTTAAACGTTCTTTAATCTATTACAGATCGCCCTCCTGTTTTTATTACATTTATTTGTTGAAGAAATTGTCCTGTAAAAATTTTTGTCCTGTAGATTATCGTCCTGTAAAAATGTTCATTTTATGTATTTGAATATTGCATCTCCATGGTGCCATTTAACATGTTTATATTTCCTCTGTACTTTCTGTAAATTAATACTTAGATCAAATGACTTAATGAGATGCAAATTCAACTGTATCACATCAGGAGGCACATAACATCTGTTTGCATTACATTTATTGAGATCAAGATTGATCAGTGGGTTCAGGTGTGGTCAGCCTTTCATCCATTATGAAGTTCTCTATCAACCTGTTAACATAATAGTTTTAGCAACCACTGATGATCACTGCCAACATTCATTAGGGATTACAACATGGTAATGTTCACTTCTGTCATTCAGTTTGCATTTACTAGCTATTATTCTATCATATAGAAAAGCTTACTATCATCAACTATTTGGTTACTCTGAAATACAGTTCATATCAGAAAAGCAGCATAAATGCCTCTGTTTATTAAATAGTTTTCAGATTATTGAATGGCACCAGCAACCTGCAAAAGTGATCAATGATGCTTGCTTGTTTGTTTTGAGCATCAATATAAACCCTTGGACTTTTATCTATTTTATAGGTGTCCATCCATTACTCTTTGATCGGTGAGATCCCCTTCAAGTTGCCTCTTTTGCCTTTTAACATGATTCCACTAGTCTTTTCTGTCAGGATAAGATGCCATAGGCTCCTGGCCCAAACCTGGAAGCAACTATTTTTACAAGGAATCCTGATTCCTTTCCTTAGGAAATAGTATATAAAGACTTCAGTCTAGACACCAAGGGTAGATTTCCCCTGAAATGGTTATGTTTATGTTGGAGTGGTAACGCAGTCTTCCTTGGTATCTCATCGTCCTGCTGTCCGTAGGCATCTGGTTCCACCTGGATGCTCCCTCCCCACACAGTCTTATAATGGCCAGTGCTCCCTGTGATTCCACCTCCTTCTCCAACCAGATCCTGCTGCTTCTCTCAATGCCTTCATCCTCTCCTTCTAAATCAGATACCCCAGCTCATCTCTGGGCTTCTAAGACACCAGAGTGGGGAACACTTCTCTAATGTTGAAGAATAATGGTACCCTTTCTTACACAGACTATTTTTATGTTTTTATTTCTTGAAGGGAGTCAACCTCCTGTTGCTGTCCAAGCCGTCAGTAGACAAATTTAGTCTTGTTCTTAACCCAGAACAACCATGCTTTGAAACACCATGGAAACAGGCAGTCCTGGCCCCAGACCCAGGAAGGCTTCATAAAACCAACAATCCCCTCAGGTGTGTGTGTTTCCTAGGAAGCATGGGCAGTTGCAAGTTGAAATTCTTAACTAGGGTTGCCAGGTAATGAAAAAGTGTTAAGGAGTTAGTTTATCTTAACCATTTTGAGGCCACATACCTATTTGTACATTTGATGAAAACTATAGAACCTCTCTCTGGAAAAATGTACATATACACAAAATTTTACAGACAATTTCATGGGCTTCAAGGAGCTCAGGGTATCTTGGAGTTTCATTTGTTTTCATAGACTAGATCCTGATGTGCACTGGCTTGTTGGAGGCTGCAGGGTTTGGAGGTGAGTCTGAACAAGAAGGCATATAGCTGATACCGGGGGGTCAGTTTCAAATCACTCCACTCAACATTATTTATTCTTTGGTATAGAAGTACTCCTGGTGCCAGTCTATGAACTATTTGATGTCATTCCGTGACATCATAAATGTAGAAACTGAGAACAGGCATCTAAAAAAATTTATAGCAATTTGATGTGGTCACAACATGCAAGCATATGGTCCTTGGACTTGTCTCATTGAATAGGGTACAAAGCATTTTGGGTGCTGATGAGTTCACAAGGTGAGTTGCACGCAGTGGGAGCTGCATAGCAGTCATGCAAAAAGGCCCCCCCATCAGTTGTCAACAGGTTGGAAATTAAAAACCAAAGCACAAACTGGTCCTTCATTTCAGATAGTCTAAGAAGCAACAACATGAAACCCAGAGTACCTTTACTCACCCTACTACCTTGTTGTTTTAGCCTGTCTTTCTCCACTCTATACTTCTACAAAGTATACCTAGAACAAGGCATAGAGTTGGTATTCAGTAAATCTTTGCTGAAAGGTGAGCAGAGCAAAACTGTTGCCCAAAAGAAGAAACCACATTTATTCCCTAATGATACCCTGCAGGGAAAAAAAAAATTTTTTTTATAATTCCTAGGAAGTTGAAGCTACTTACATGAAAAAAATATGATAGGAAATAAATTATAAGCAGTCATTAACTTCACTGAATATTCTCATAGAATGTGAAATAAATAGAATAATCTTAAAGAGCTGGTCCTCACTGTGGAAGTTGTGAGGCTTTCGGGACGGTTTGTATTTCAGTGTACATGTTGTATGAATTAACAAGTCAGTAACAAATGTGATCCATTTACAGGGCAGAAAAACTAGAGTGGTCTCAAGTATAATGATAGTCACAGTGGGAAGAATATAATTTACTTAATTGACAGAATAAGAGTTTATTATAAATGAAAGGCAAACGAGATATGGTCATGCATTCTCTGCCTAGTTTTTCCCTTCTCTTACCCCTTTATGTCATCTCTTTCTGTCTTCCCTAAGGATCCAGAATTAGTAAAATCTGTTCTTTGAAAATCTTGCCTTTAAAAACTGGGCTTGTAGAAAGTTACCAGGCGGCCTGAGGACCGACCAACTTAAGGAGGGGTTTAATCCCAACCTCACAGCCCCTCTTCACCACCCCCATACCCAGTAGGGTCCATTCCACACCCCTAGCAGCACATCTGTGACACAGCAGGCTGCTGGGGGGACAGTCTGAACCCGAAGTCACCGGCTGTCTCACTAACCAGAGAAAGGGATTTTACCTCAGGAAAGTTTCTCAGGTTCTGTGGAACCAGTCCCTGCGTAAAGAGACAGGTTTCCTTCTTTCTTTTCTTCCCCCCACCCCCCTCAAAATGAGTGGATTCAGAAACATTATCTGCTAAAAGTAAAAGAAGAAAAATTGAGAATATGTTGCACAGCTGGTGAAATCAGTAGTAGAGGGTGTCTGGGTATGTGTTGCAAGAGTGACACCTGGTTTATGTTTATCAACAACTAAGTGAGCTATAAATTTTGTGGAAATAACTTTGCTTTTTAACATCCCTTTTGAACAACACAGGCCGTTTGCCCTATCTAATAAAAAGGAAACAGTTGTCCTGCTTACCATGCATGGGACATTGAAGGGATAAAGGAGCTTGTCCACAGTATGTGGGCCCAGAAATGCACAATAGCTAAAGTCTGATGTGACCTTTGTCTTTGCAAATAAAGAGACTGATAACCCAGGTGTCACCACCACATTTTTTAAACACATGCATCACAAAGGGCTCAGCTTAATGACTATTTTCAAGTACAAATGAATTTCCTGAAATGGAAGAAAAAAAATAGAATCATACTTGGGGGTAATTAGGGGCTCAGGCTACCCCTAGTGTTCTCGGACAATATCTAACAACAAATGTTCACTGCACCAATGCCCTGACTCCTGTATGGAGTTTTATGGTTATTGATAGTAGCATGATTATGGTAACCATTGTATGTACCAGGCATGGGGCTATGCATTTTATGTTAGTAGATTTTTTTTTAATCTGCACAATAGGCCTAAGAGATCAATGTTTTTATTATACCATTTTATAAGTAAGGAAACAACTAACTCAGATCATGCCCTCCGTAAGTGGCCGAGCTGGTCTCAGAACCAGGTCTAACTTCTCAGCCTTAACAACCATGATGCCTTTTAGGGGTTTTGGTTTGGGTGGTTTTGATTTTTTTTCTTAAAAGTTTAAAAAAATAGCCTTCTTTGCTCCTTGACTAAAAAGGTTCCAAACCACTTTTTACCCTAGAACTCATACAGGCCAACAGAGGGAATGGAAATTGGCCACAGCACTGTCACTGAAAGGTAATAATTAATGAAAAAGGTGTCACTTAAAGAGGCCAATGACCAAAAGTGTGTTTCTCTTGGATTAACTTTTCTAACACTCTTTAAATAATGTGTTGATAGCAGCAGAGACCAAAAAGAATGCAAACAGACCTGAACATTTTAAACCTCTGGGAATAAAAATATGAAAATAAAGATGTTTTCATAGCCCTAAACAACTTTTTGCACTTCTTTTTCTGTGGTAGTAATTGTGATGTTTACCACTTCTTGTGTGCCTTTTTTGTGCTAAGCAACATGCTTATTTTTTAATTATCAACAATCCCCACAAATAGGAACTGTCTCAATTTTACAGTTAAAGAAACTTAGACTCCATAAGGTTAAGAAGTTATAGCTCTGTGTAGAATCTTAGGAAGACTTTTCTCATTATGAAATAGACCACATGCGAAATATACAACAGAAGTAACAAGAAAAACACACGCAAATTGATGAGCACTTCCAAGAGATCTCTTACGAGGCACAAGCAGTGAAGGGTCAGCACCTCCTGTGGGCTGATCCATTGTTGTTGATGGGGATATGAAGCAATTGAAATACAGTCAGGTGGGCACTCCATTTTCAAATCAGCTGATTGCAGGCTGGACACCCTTGGTGTAATCTACAAAGACAGGGAAAAGGAAACCTGCGCCTCTTCAGCGCTCTAGTGGTACTGGCAAGTGTCATGTCTTGTGATCAGGAGAGTTCTACCAGCCCTCTTTGTGCGTAGCAAACCTGATACTCCCCAGAAAGTTCCACAGCCAAAGGCTGGGCATGCTGACCTCCAATCCAGGGGCCCCAACATCAGGACCTCTCTCCCCAGCAGCAACACCTGGATTGAGTTATTTCACTTCTCTGGAGCTGAATCTCACTGACCATAGAAGAGGGCATATTTCTCAGCAAAACAGCTGGAAAATTATGCTGGCCTTTTGTACAAGTCATGTTAAGCTCCTTCAAAGAATACATGAACAATCTGCATTATTTTAAAGGTGAAGATGGGCTTTTTAAGGGGGAGAGGTTACAGCTACCAGCAAACCAGAGATTTCCTCCATTCTGTGACCCTCCTTCCTCTGCATTCTTAAGGACTTGGCTAGAACCTGAGTTTTCCATTTCTCCTGGTGAGAATGTGTCTTCAGGAGCTTATTGATAATTCTGTCTTTCAGCACAACTTTGTAAAGTTGAAGTCCCTGCCAATTGATAGTCACCTTGTGGCGTGATCTTGTCAGTCCAAAAGAATAAAGATCTACCTTTACATTCATTTAGAGTGAGGGATGATGTACAGCCAGGATGCCTAAGTGTCACCTCCTGCAGTTCACTGACACATGGAGTCCCTTTGACAGGTGCCCGAGTTTCTTTTTCCTATGTATTACAACATCTACTTTTAGGATTTTTTTTTTAACCTCTTTCCCCCTTTCCTTCCTGTTCTTTCTTCCCTCTTTTTTCTTCTTTTTCCATCTCCTTGGCTTTTTAACTCTCTCCTCTTTTCTCTCTTTCCCTTTCCACTTTTCTTGTCAGCAGTTTATTCAACCACCGTATAATAAATCCAGTAAGTGATCATAAAAATACCAATCCCAATTGCAAAAATGGCAGCACAGCCTCAGCTTGGAAAAAAAATTTGGAAAAACAAACTGAAATCATCAAAGACTAAAGACCAGATACTAAAAAGATGGGATTTGCTGTGAGATATATTTTATAATAAAAATTCTGCTATAAAGAAGCATCTTTTTATTTTTTTCCTTGATAGTCTGAATAGTTTATACCTGATGCCAAGAAATTATATATAATTAGTCTGGGTAATATATAATTTCCATTTGATTATATATATTAAAGTGATTAAGGAACTTCAGTTTTTCACTAGTAAATATCTGCCTTCTTTGTTGCATTCTGGGTCTGTAATGACTGTTTATATCAAGGGTAGCACTCGTTCAGAACTGAAGGGAGCAAAAGTTGGAATGCTTTCACCAAGCTTGGTTGCCTGATGTCTATGAATCTGGGAGATAACATGAAGTTAGCTACATTTTGGGAAAAACTGAAGGGAGATTTCAGTCCAATTTCTTGAAACCACCATGTAGTTTTGCATGACTTCCCGTGAATAAACTCCATAAGGCCAGGCCCGGTGGCTCACGTCTGTAATCCCAAGACTTTGGGAGGCCAAGGCAGGTGGATCACCTGAGGTCAGGAGTTAAGACCAGCCTGCCCAACATGGCGAAACCCCATCTCTACTAAAAATACAAAAAAATTAGCCAGGCATGGTGGCAGGCACCTGTAATCCCAGCTACTCAGGAGGCTGAGGCAGGAGAATCGCTTGAACCTGGAAGGTGGAGGTTGCAGTGAGCCGAGATCGTGCCACTACACTCCAGCCTGGGCAACAAGAGTGAAACTCCATCTCAAAAAAAAAAAAAAAACTGCATAAAACAGCATACATGAGAAGGCATATTTTAGGAAGATTACTCAGTTAAGTATATGACATCACCAATATTTTTAATATTGCATAGAATGAAATGAAATTTTTGATGTCAGTTTTTAATTAATGACTTCTATTTGCCTTTTGTAGATTACTTTCATATGTTTATTCCACATATTTTATAGCAGTTTTTCTTTTTCCAATTAGAGGATAGATTTCATCCTTTATCTTTGCAGGTAGCTGATCCAAGACATTTTTATGTAAATGGATTAATTAATTAGTAGCCTTCATTTGAAACTTAAAAAGAAAATAATCCTTTTTGAGAGGCATTAACTATTTTTTAAAGCCACAAACAATTCTTTACTTAAGCACCTTGTCACACCATTAGAAATTATTTGACAGCATTAATCATAATAAAATGCATTACCCTTTACCGAATCACCTTTTTTTCAAGCTAATTAAAAGAATCCATTCCCTAGGAGACTGTACAGCAACTTCACTTGTAAAAATCACATTTTTGGGGAACTTAACAGTACATATTTATGAAACTTTTGAGCAAATGACATCACAAGTTTGATTACCTGTACAGCCTTTGTGAGAAGGCATCTAGCTACAGAGATGTGCTGGGTTCTAGGGAAGGCAGCTACATCTGGCCTTTTTTGAGAGCCTTTAAGCCTCTCTGCCTTCCAGCCTTAGGATTTATGCAAATCAGAAATCTTTGGCTGTCTCTACTTCCTGGCCAGGCCAGCATAATCCACTTCCTTTGGGTTCATGTGACCATGCAAATTTGAGCACTCCTGAATAGTCCCAGAGGGGCTGTGCCTCTCATTATTCCTGCCCCATTCTCTGTGCAGTGCAAGCATTCAGACTATGAATGGACAAGGGTTTAATTACTCACCACATCTGTCAGATCAGATTCAACTTCAGAATGAAGAGAATCCCAGACAAGCCCGGTCGTTTCTTTGCAATGTTCTTCATGGTCGAGGTCATCCAGCTCTGTCTTCTAGGGAATATTTTCCACTCCTTGTTTCATGACCTTCTGGAAAGCAGGGACTGTGGCTTTTGGAGATCCATTACTGGGCCTTTCACACTGTGTGTGGCCTTTACAAATGTTAATTAATCTTCCTGATGATGCACTGAGCATCAGGAAACCCTTTATTCCCCTTGGGCTACTGATGACCAATATGAATGCCAGAAAGTTTTTCTTACTGTTTCCTGACCCACATGCTTCTCTCTGGATGTACTTTGCTGCTTTTTCCCCTCCCTCTGATATGTTTTCACATGGCAGATTGACTGCTCACATTACTAGGTCAGCCAGAGTTGACACAGTAAAGGTGGATGGTCCCCAAGAAGAGAACATACCTCCAATTCCAAGGCTATCAGCCTTCCCAGCAAAACGTGCATAATAGCAGCTAGGAAGGAGTGTGTCCACTGGGGACCAGGTGATTCTGCTCAGTGCATGGGCACTAGCAGTCCTTCCCTTAGGTTTCTTTCCTTACTGGGATTATCTGGGTTTAAAAGGAGATTCCTGGCACGTTCAGCTCTGGAATACAAGGCTTTTTGGGCTGCCATGGTGTTTTTGGGTTTTGGTTTGATTTTTTATTTTTGGTTTGATTTTTTATTTTTTATTTTTTGCTTT
This sequence comes from Homo sapiens, assembly GCF_000001405.40. Classification (NCBI taxonomy): domain Eukaryota; kingdom Metazoa; phylum Chordata; class Mammalia; order Primates; family Hominidae; genus Homo; species Homo sapiens. Next base: position 112,733,230 of record NC_000010.11, read on the forward strand.
GCTTTTATCGTTTTAAAATTGAAATTCATATGAAATTAACCATTTGAAAGTATAGCATGCAGTATATTTACAATGTTATGCAACCCTCATGTCTACCTAGTTCCAAAACATTTTCACCACCCCAAAAGGCAACCCCATGCCCATTAAACAGTTGCTTCCCATTCCCCCAGCCCCCGTCTCCGTGGATTTACCCACCCTGGATATTTCATACAAATAGAAGCACATAATATGTGACCTTTTGTGACTGGCTTCTTTCATTTAGCATGAAGTTTTTTAAGTTTGCCATAATGTTTTACTATGGCATTCTCTGGCGTAGTGGTGTTTATTATTTGGTCAAAGTTATTCATATGTTCTCTGTTTTGGGTAATGTCATCATCATCTATGGAAGTCTGAGAAACAGCTGGGTCCTCTCCCTTCTCTCACTCCTATTGTCTAATTGTTCTTTAAGTCCTGTGGATTCCACACTTGCAATACTGCTAGTCAGTTCTCATTTACATTATTTTATTTTATTTTATTTTATTTTATTTTATTTTATTTTATTTTAAGAGAGAGTTTTACACTTGTTGCCCAGGCTGGAGTGCAGTGGTGTGATCTCGGCTCACTGCAACCTCAGCCTCCTGGGTTCAAGTGATTCTCCTACCTCAGCCCAAGTAGCTGAGATTACAGGGGTGCACCACCACACCCAGCTAATTTTGTATTTTTAGTAGAGACAGGGTTTCACCATGTTGGTCAGACTGGTCTCGAACTCCTGACCTCAGGTGATTCACCCACCTCAGCCTCCCAAAGTGCTGGGATTACAGGCGTGAGCCACCGTGCCTGGCCTTCATTTACATTCTTACTGCTCCTGCCCCTTTCAAATGCTATTCCTTCCCCAGTTTGTCTTTCTCAAACGCAGACCCATCTGACCATGTCACTGCCCTTCTCAGTACTCTCCAGTGGCTCCTCCCACCTCAAAATAGGGTTCAAGCTCCTTACCAGCAGGCCAAGGCTGCCCACAATCTGTTCCTCCTCTCCCTTCATCATTCCCATCCCTCACCTGTATACCATGTCTGAGCCAAACACATTAGACTGTTCGGGGGTCTCTGGCCCGTGGTGCACACTCGTTCTTGCATCCCTTTGTGTGTCCTGTTTCCTCCCCCTAAAATATTCTTCCTCTCCCCACAAATGCAGGAGTCCATTCCTCCTCTATAATCCTGCGTTTTACCTTCTCACCTTCCCTGGTCCATTAATCAGAGTGAATTCCTCCTTTCTCCCTAATTCTGGCATTTTATTTATCATAATACCTATCACAGCCAGTCTTTAAAAGGGCTCTTTGTAAATTTCTGTCCTTTTCCAATTAAATACTGAGCTTCATGAAGGCAGAAATCTTGCCTTACTCATTTTAATATCTAGCAGCAACCATTGTATAAGTCCTCAATAAATTTCTTTTTTTTTTTTTTTTGACACAGAGTCTCACTCTGTTGCCCAGGCTGGAGTGCAGTGGCGCGATCTCGGCTCACTGCAATCTCCGCCTCCCAGGTTCAAGACATTCTCGTGCCTCAGCCTCCCGAATAGCTGGGATTACAGGCGCCTGCCACCATGCCAGGCTAATTTTTTTGTATTTTTGGTAGAGATGGGGTCTCAAACTTCTGACCCCAAGTGATCCGCCCATCTCGGCCTCCCAAAGTGCTGGGATTATAGGCATGAGCAACTGCGCCCAGCCCTCAATAAATATTTTGTTGAATGATTTGAATTTTCTTCTCCAAAGAAAAAACCATGGGCCTACAAGGACCCCAAGTCAAGGAGAGAACCAGTCTGAAGCAAAGTAACAAGGACTAACATTTAAAATAGTAATTATTTTTATCTTCTGTTGAATTTAAAGCTACCCACAGTGATTTACCAGTTTTAATTCGCAGAAAATGCAACTTTGCTTTTTTTCCCTTCTGATTATGTTCTTCATTACAAATCTCAAGAGTTTTATATGCAGTTGCCAAAAATCTCTCTTTTGACAAATTGCACAGGAGGCATTTTGAGATTGTGTGATAGACTCGATTGAATTTAGGCCAAATCCTGTACACTTGTTTCACTCAAAACAAAAATACAGATGTAGGGCTACTCAAACATTTACCTATTTATTTTCTCCCAACCCTCCAAATTCATCTTTCTTTAAAAACAATCAATCGGATTCCTTTTAAATTAAATGCCGAGTAAACAATGCAAATAAAACTATTTTGTTTGCTGAGAAGTAATTGAAAATCTGCAACTAATTACAAATTGGCAAGCTCTGAGCCTACAAAGAGCTGAAACACTCTGCTGAGGCATTGTTTACAGCTGGGTTCAAAACTGGTTTCCTTACACCAGCCATCCACAAGTTATTAATCAATACTTTGCCAAGTTCTATACCTCACCTTCAAAAAATTGTAATAAACATTTCATTTTCAATATGGGCTTCATAAACAAAGCTGTTAAAAACTAGAGGAGGTTTAATTGGTTAGAACACACAAAGCCTGCTCTTGGGTTATGTGAATTGGCTTTTCGATTAAATACCCTGTTCTTCCTCAACTACTCAGGAACCTGCAACTTAGTTGAAATTAATATTCTGTCAGTCTGGTCACTGAGTCCCCTATGGCACTCCAAGTGCCACAAGACCTTTTTTAATTGCATTTCTGGAGAAAAGCAACATGTTCATGGACCACAGAGACACGGGGACAACGAATTTAATTTGGCATTGCAACATGCAGGTAAAGTAGAATTTGCACATGACTTTGTTCTGAGTGGTGAAATTTAAAATATACATATATTTTAAAACATATTTTATATTTATATATAGTATATGTTTATATACTGTATAATATATTTTATATTTTTATATATAGTATATTTTACATATATATGTGTGTGTGTATATATATATATATATATATATATATGTAAATGTATAACTTTTTTTTCCCAAATGCTCTTCCTCCAGATCTTCACTTGGCTGGCTTTTTCTTTTTCTTCAAATTTCAGTTGACTGTCACTCCTCAAAAAGACTCTCTGTCCACCTTACCTAATATCTCATATTTATTTCCTTTCTTCATTTATTTACTTGATTATTGTGATATACCACCACTAGATTGTAAGCTATGCAAGGACAGATTCCTTGTCTATCTTATTCACTAGTCTCTAGAACTACTCTCTCTAACCCTAGTCTCTAAGAATGGTGCCCGGCACGTAGTAAGTTTTTAGTAAGTATTGGATGGGCAGACGGATAGATGGGTAGGTGGGTGGGTGGATGGATGGACTAAAGCGATGAATGAGGGAATCGAGTTAGGTTGGTTGGGACAAGCGCAGAGTTAAGATAGAAATTGAATGCAAGGAAAAGGCATGACTCTGAAAGTGGCTCCTCTGATAAGAAACCAAAGCCTGCTGTTCTAAATGCCAAAATTGGAAACAAGTATACAAACTAGTGCATTTAGCAATGAGGGATGGTGAGAAATGCTACATAAGGATTTCTCTTCACTGTTCACAGGGGTTGTTCTGTGAAAAAACAATGTAACCTGTCTCTGGCCCCAAAGGCTTGAACCAGAACCAGCCAGTGGAAATTACTCAAACACGTATTGTGCCTTCAATGAGAAGCCTTCTCACTGAAAGAGCTGCCCTGGACGGAAAATGAGTAGTGAGATGATGCTGGTGGAAGTATTTATAGATGCGCAGTGCATGAGTACTTGGCAAGGATGCTATCAAAGGGGAAACTGACATCAAATGTGCTGTGGTTCTGGGTGATTTATCTGGTCCCTTCCCATCCCAGAGCTTTATGATTCTGTAATAATCAAGGGAGAAACCCATTACATAGTGGACAATTTTTTTTCTTTTTTTTTCTTTTTCTTTTTTTTTTTGAGACAGAGTCTTGCCCTGTCGCCTGGCTGGAGTGGAGTGGCACAATCTTGGCTCACTGCAACCTCCACCTCCCAGGTCCAAGCGATTCTCTTGCCTCAGCCTCCCAAGTAGCTGGGACTACAGGCACACACCACCACGCCCAGCTAATTTTTGTATTTCTTTTTTTTTTTTTTTGTAGAGATGGAGTTTCACCATGTTGGCCAGGATGGTCTCGATCTCTTAACCTTGTGAGCCACCGTGCCCAACCCTAACAATTATTTTTAAAAGGAGGAATTTAAATGAGCTGTGGATTATTCATTTTGTCCCATAAGAAGATAATTAAAAAATGACAAAAATGAACTGAACAAAAAAGTTCTAACAAAATAATAAGGCTGAATTTTTAAAGTCTCTTCCGCATCTTCTGTTCCCTGGGATGCCTTAGACGGGGTGTGCAGTATTTTAGGTACATCGTGAGCAAGGAGCCTGCATTCCCAGGGGGCGGCAGGGACAGCATGTAAGGTCTTAGTCCAGCTCTGTGATCTGAAGGCAAAGCCTCTATGTGTGAAACACAGGGGTACCTCAAAAATAGAACAAGAGCACTCCATCCATGTGCGGATGACTGTCAAGGTCACTGAGACCTACAGTGATCTGGAAAATTAAAGCTCTCTGGCCGCCTTTCCTCTCAGGACATACTTCTGGAGATCAAAAAAAAAAATTACAAATTGATGATTTTCTGTTGCTGAGTCATTTTTCTTGCATTTCTTTCTGCTTTTCCTGTTTATCGTTGGTTTGATAGCTGAGCCGTAGGATCGATGCCTTTCAGCGAGTGTGAGGGAGAGAGCTGAGGATGGAGGTATGTCCCCTCTAGGCACATTTAGGCGGGGATGCTTAGGGCCTCCTGCAAGTCCTCCGATGTCCAGAGATCAAGATGAGTGTCTTGTCTGGTTAATGAAGTTTGGATTATTCACTGCACCACAATCTCATTCTTATCCTTGTCAATTGTTGGGGCAAATGGAATACTGAGAATGGAATGTAGGAAGGGAGTTTAGATTCCTCACCTGATTTCTAGCCAGTCTGATTCGTTGTCTTACCAGAGAGGCCTCATTTGGGCCATATGTAAAGTGGCACCATCCCTGGCGAGCACCCCTAACGTTCCCTGTGCCCACGTGTCCCTTCATCTGGGTAGATCCCACTCATCTCACAAGGCCCAGCTTCAATGTTAACTTCTGTCTGAAGCTCCCCAAGCCTTCAGGCAGAATAACTATTCTTTCCTCTGTGCTTCCTCACTCTCCTCTATAACGCATTTGTCAGTTTATATTATGGATTGTTCTGTACAGACTTGGCTCTCCTCTGAGGCTAGGAGATCCTTGAGGACGGGGAGTGTGTTTCCTTTTTCTTTATATCTAGGATTCAGCACAGTTCTTGGTCCTCAGTGAACGGCTGATGAATTGGAAAATAAATGACTGGACATCTGAAATATTAAAGGAATTAATATTTTGTGGGTGGAGAGAAATCAAGACATGTAAAGTTCAGTGTAAAATTAATCTTTTCTCCCCAATACAGTCTGATTAAATGGTGACAGTTTCTTCCTCTCATGAGCCATCTGGATCTTAATGGTTATTTTCTTATAAGACTGTTGAGTTTACAGTACGACAGAACTGTGTTTACCTTGGAATGAGGGCTGTCCTCTATTAAGAAGCTTTCAGTACAGCCCAAGAGTCAAGTTATGGTGTTGTGGGCAGAAAGCCAGTAGGGAAAGCCTTGAGGAGAAAGCCCTCATGGAAGAGAAATGCTTTATCATCTGGTCCCTGAATCTTATGGAATTCAGCAGTGACCTAGCCGCATGATCCCGCAGTGAGGGCTTAACACGTTCCACGGCCTGAACTCGCTCTGAATGGACTCCAGATTCCCAATGATGCATGCAGCCCCTCAGGGTCAGAGGCCATCATGCTGCCAATCAGACAAGGCAGGTGGAATGTTGCACAGCTGCACTCTGGTTGCATTTCCCAACACCTCCCTGTCTCACGATGCTTGCACATTGGCATGCTGTTCCTGCCACCTTGTCATACTTGTGTGTGTGGAGAGCCTGTCCCCAGTGCTGTTTTCTCAGGACAAGCTCAACTTCACTTCCTCCCGCCTTATCGAACCCTTTGTTTCCAAAATTGTTAATCAAGCCACTTGGGGGGTTGAACTCAACTCCTCCCTCCCAATATCCTCCCAGCTCAAAGTAATGAGAAAAACAATTGCCCACAGTGAGGATGTCCATGGTCCCCATTTTCCCCAGTCTATCATGCCTTAGACAGATACTGTTGAATTTTGTCAGTTGCATGTCCCACATGCTAATGGTGGTTATTTGGACATCTCTGCTTCAAGCCCAGCTTAAAAAACCATATGGCCCCAGATTCTTCAATGCCACAGCTATGGTGCTCTTCCATGTTAAGAGACTTAACAGATGAAATATGGTTTTCCGAACCTCTTTTCATTTACCATCAAAATAACAAGCGATGTCTTGTATTTCAACAGAGACATTCTTTTCACTCAGTTACTCTGCAAAGAATGTGCCCTTGTCTCTGCTGTAGATTTTTATTTTATTTGTAAATTGTGCGTGCTGCATGCTACGGAATACTGAAAAGCCATACACCCTGGCTTGTTGGTTGACACATAGTATGTGTGATTACAGATTGTTTGAATAACAGTGGACTATTGAACTGCCATCCAGATGTGTGTGGAGTTAACTGTGGGAATGTCCACAAAGGAGGATTATCTTTCTTGTTGCTGGGGCCAAGGCCCCCAGAAAGTGGAAACATAAGCATGGCAGCTACTCAAATAGAACAGTAGCTACAATTGGCTCTTCAGAAGCAAAATTAATCATTTTTTTTAAATTATGCATTGCAATTAAGACTGGGTTTGTTCTCTAAAAGTAAATCATGCAAAGAAAATGCCAAACAATAACACAAAAATTTGCAGCTTTGAATGCCCTTTGTGAATGGTTTCGTCATTTTGTTTTTAAACGTTTAGAAATTCAGAACATTGTAGATTAAAGATAAGACCTCAACCATTGCAAGCCTCCGAGCCATCATCTTGTAGACTTGATCTGTGTTTCCTGCACTCTCTTCCATTCTTTGTACTGTACAGGATACTGTAAGCATTGATTAGTTGGTGTTCACAAATACTGGCCATGGGAAAACAATGCAGAATTCCCCCTGTGAACACTTTCTTTCTTTCTTTCTTTCTTTTTGAGACAGAGTCTTGCGCTGTCATCCAGGCTGGAGTGCAGTGGTGCAATCTCGGCACACTGCAACCTCCGCCTCCCAGGTTCAAGCAAGTCTCCTGCCTCAGCCTCCTGAGTAGCTGGGACCACAGGCACGTCCCACAACACATGGCTAATTTTTGTAGTAGAGACAGGGGTTTCACCATCTTGGCCAGGGTGGTCTCGAACTCCTGACCTCAAGTGATCTGCCTGCTTTGGCCTCCCAAAGTGCTGGGATTACAGGCGTGTGCCACGATGCCCATCCTTGAACATTTTCTTTAAAAGATATTTGAACCACAGTGAGATACTACTTCCCACCTACTAGAATGGCTAAAATAAAACAGACAGTAACAAGTGCTGACAAGGATATGGAGAAATTGGAATGCTCATGTGCTGCTGGTGAGAATGTAAAATGGGGTCACCACTTTGGAAAACAGTTTGGCAATCACTTAAAATGGTAAACATGGAGTTTACCCTATGATCCAGCATTTCCATTACTAGGTATCTGTATCCAAGACCCATGAAAACCTATGTCCACACAAAAACTTATACATGAATATTTATAACAGCATTATTTATAATAGTCAAAAAGTAGAAGCAACCCAAATGTCCAGCAACTGATGAGTGTATAAATAAAATGTGGTCTATTATTCAGCCATGAACAGGAATGAAGTACTAATCCAACATGGATAAACCTGAAAACATGCTCAGTAAAAGAAGCCAGATACAAGAGACCACATAGTCTATGAATCCATTGTATGGAATGTCTGGAATAACTAATCTATAGAGACAAAAAGTAGATTATTAGTGGTCACAGAGCACTGGAGAGGGGAAATTAAGAGTGACTATTAATGGGCCAGGCACGGTGGCTCACGCCTGTAGTCCCAGCACTTTGGGAAGCTGAGGCAGTCAGATCACTTGAGGTCAGGAGTTCAAGACCAGCCTGGCCAACATGGTGGAACCCCGTCCTACTAAAAATAGAAAAATTATCTGAGCATGGTGGCACGCGCCTGTAATCCCAGCTACTCAGGAGGCTGAGGCAGGAGTATCACTTGAGCCCAGGAGGCAGAGGTTTGCAGTGAGCCAGGATCACACTACTTTACTCCAGCCTGTCTCAAAAACTAAAAAACAAAAGAGTGACTGTTAACGGATATTGGGGTTTCTTTTGCAGTGATGAAAGTCTTCTAAAATTGATATTGATGATGATTGTACAACTCAGTGAACACACTAAAAATTCTTAAATTTTACCCTTTAAATGGGTGAATTGCATGGTATGTGAATCATACCTCAATAAAACTGTTTACAAATGAAGATGAATGAAGATATTTTCAGATAAAAAAATTTTTAAGGTATTTGAAGGTGAGTTTTTAAAAATTATACTTAAAATTAGGATATCTTCAAAAATCAACATATCTGAACTTTTTTACCAGCGTAGAAAAAAGGGGGAAATGCTTTTCAATTTAATAGCTTATATCTTTTTTTTCTTTCCTGGAATGAAAGATCTGTTACTTGTTCAACAGTGTCAATGCTTTCTATCTCTGGTTGGAATCTGCAGCAGTCAGTTGGCACCCAGCCATCAAATACCTAGATTTACCTTTGTGCAATAAAAGTCCCTTTAGCAATGCATATTGAGATATATCATTTTGAACCTATTTTAAATTCTGTAGCAAGCAAGTAAAAAAAATAAATAAATCATGAAACATCAGGCAAGTCAAAGGAAACAAAGAAACGAATAGGAAATCCTCTCTAGATTCCGTTCCCACTTTACTTTCTGTAGTTTGATCTAAAGAAAAATGTGGAATTTCCTGCAGAGTGATTAATAGGCTAATGTGGTGACTGACAGGCACTCTGAGCTTGACCTGGCAGGTAAAGGCTAACTGGCACGTTAAGTTGATTACACAATTTCCTCTAAATAAGTTGACAAGTGGTTTGCACAGTTGCCTTGACTTTTGCCCTTATAAATGCACACTTATAAATGAATTGCTTTTTCAACTAAAGCAATCCTTATTTTAGATGTGACATGTGTTAAGTAAACAGCTTGATACAGAACCCCAGCATCCTAGCCTTCCTAGCCAGGTCAGATTATCAGAGTTGCTAGGAAATAAGAGTTTTGAGCCTGAAACTCAGCTTTGAGATGTGGTTGTATCCCTAGGGCATAAGAAACCCAAAACTATTTTTCTTCCCTCTAGTATTGTGAAGCAGATTATTAGATTTGAGAAGATGTGTTCCACAAATGTCTCGAAAGAGTCCAGGAGTGGAGGCTGCTAAATGGTTTGCTTAATTCTAATGCTTTATACAGATCTCCTTTCAGGATGTCAAGTTTGTAGGAAAATGCAGCCTTTGGTTGGTATTTCTTTAAAAATATGACAGAGAAAAGATTTCTAGTTGGCATCTCTGTTCTATGATCATTTTCACAAGAAGAAAATGTCCATTTATACTTCAGAGAATATGGTTTATTGAGATATTTTGTTTTACAGATGTACTACTTCCTTCCATTTAAGGGGAGAGTTACAAAAAGCTATGATAAATGAACAGGAAATACAGTTTGAGATAATAAATCAAAATGCTCTTAAGGAAAATAACTATTTATTTGTAGATTTATAAGCCAGGCACCTTTATTGAACCTGATATATCCTGATTTGATAAGCAAGAGGAGATTTGCTAATGTTGTTGATTTAGCTGGGACCTATTCTCGTGTGTGTGTGTGTGTGTGTGTGTGTGTGTGTGTGTGTGTGTGTCTTCCTGAATGAATTAAACATTTGGAAAATGAATTGATTTTTATTTGTATATACAAAGATAATACCATTTACGCTTTCCAGGTCTAGAATATGACAAGCCTTGAGTTCGTCTGGAAAATAGAACATTATTAGGACTCAGAGGTTAAACGTACCATCCCATCAAAGTCTGTGAATGCTCCCCTGCAACAATGAGCAGACCCATTATAAATCGTCTTCATTCATGTTAACTCTTACAAAAGATGAAACTCGTCAGGCTTACAATGTTTACTACTTTCCAGAGATGACTCATGCAGTAATCTTTTTATTTATTTCATTATTTCACTCCATCATCTGGAGGTACTCGTAACAAAAGGATTGCCTTCCACTTTGTGGCTGGGGCTGGCTGTGTACTTGGTAAGGACCGGGCTAGTCCCTCCTGCAGTGTGGTTTCTCCTTGCAAGTCGTCAATATCCAGTAACCATTAACTATGAACAACATCCTCCACTCATTTCACTTCCGCCCCAGCTGGCCAGCGCCCTTTAGACATATTCATGAGCCAGGGGGGAGATATTTCATGCCCAACCCTCTCTGCCTTTGGAAGGTTGGAGTCTCCTGAGGTTTGGATTTAAACTCCACATGGCAAACCCAAGTTTCAGGAACCTCCCACCCCAGTGGAATAGTCAAGAGAAGTTTCTGCTGTGTCTCCTTTTTGCCTCTCCAGAGAGAACACTCTTAAAAAGAAAAAAATTATTTCGGTTATATACATTTTCAATCAAATATTTTAGAAATAAAAAATATAGGACATAATATAATGAACACCTTTCTTCCTGGTATAAGCTTTAGAGTTAATATTTTACAAATACAGTGAAGCCCCTGTTCAACCTCAAGTTTCCTTATAAGACCAAGTCTGCAGCACCTTGAAGAAATCCACATCAAATACTGGGACCCTCCCTGTGAAAGGAAACAGGGATGATATACTCAGGGAGGAAGAATGGACTTTTTCTTTGTCGGTTTGTGTTTTTAATATTCCAGATATTTGAACCATAAGAAATTGCCAGTATTCACTTGTTTTCTACTTACGGAAATGTCAATTTTATGTGGGTCAGCCTCATAGCAGGGAGACAAATGTCCCTTGCACATTACAGAAAAAAACTAAATCAAGCTCACATCTCCTCTTGTATAAGCTATTAGCTTAGCCTCAGAATTAGCTTCCCTGCCTTAATTCTCAACCCCCTCCAATTCAGCGTCCACTCTCTTGCCACAACCATACAGATAAACCTGATAAAAGTTCTGGCTAGAAATTTAAAAATATTTCCTTGCAGAAATATCAGTGATTGGTTATGGTGTTCTACCCCCAGATTCTGCCGGAAGTGATATGGAACATATGGCATATGCTTACATGCTTACATTTTCTTCTTCTTCCTTTTTTTTTTTTTTTTTTTGAGACAGAGTCTGTCGCCCAGGCTGGCACAACCATGGCTCACTGTAGCCTTGGCCTCTCAGGCTCAAGCGATCTTCCCACCTCAGCCTCCCAAGTAGCTGGGACTACACGCACATGTCACCATGCATGACTTATTTTTAAATTTTTTGTGGAAACAAGGTCTTGCTGCGTTGCCAGGGCTGGTCTCAAACTCCTGGGTTTAAGCAATCCTCCCACCTCCGCCTCCCAAAGTGCTGGGATTACAGGCATGAGCCAAGGCGCCTGGCCTACTATTGCACTTTCGATGTTGTCCCTTAGCTGTGCATCGACATCCCTCCCTGTCGGAGCTCTTACTAGAAGCCAGCTACATTGCAGATCCAGCACGTTCAGCATCTTGTCTCATTTCATCCTCACAGCAAACTGAGATATCCAGGGGTAGAACAGGTTTTGTGGGACCTGAAGCATTTACAGTTTGGGGTACTCCCTGAAAGAAACATTAAACTCAGTAAGTTATGAAAGTTAATGATTGTCTAGGTCAAGAAAAGAAAGTACAATACATTTTTTAAAGCAGGCAAATACTACAGGCACCATAAAATGCAGGAAAAAAGTAGTTTTATTAATTAACTGATTGACACATATGTAATACTTTTTTTCCCTATGTTTTTTGGCTGCATAATCCCTGGCCATTTCTTCACCTAATAATTATTTTATGACTTTTTGTGGAGAGAGTAGGAAGAGGGTTAACTTCTTCCTCTAGCATGGTTGATCAAAACTTGTTTTTTTTTTAATGATTGAAAGTTTTATAAAAGCTTCTTTGGCTCTGTGGTTCAGTATTAGTAATGTCGTGGAAGTTTTTAAGATTGTTGTCAAATGAACATATCTCTCACTTTTTGTCTATATATGAGCTGTAGGATTTGGATTTTTTTTTCTCAGACTAGTTTCTGGCTCTATACATTTTGTTTTTGTGCCACCCACGTACCTCCAGTGTCGAGTGCTCTCACTATGTTCACATTACAGTAAGACCTCTGAGCCTGCACCTTTGTGTCCCAGTACTCCATGAGTTGACCATCTCCAGCTCAACACAGCTGACAGTGATTTAACCAGACATGGAAATGACTGTGGACATGTGAATCTATCCCACTACATCCAAAGTAAATTATCCCTAACTCAGCTTCCCCTTAGCTGGATCCCAAAAGTGCTCACAGCCACACCGATGCTGTCCAACATGAAAGGGAATAGTAGAAAGTCAGTCGTCCTAACCATGCATTGCAGTTACTGTATCTTATTTTTACAAAGATATTTGGCCAAGTGAACATATTGCTAAGACCTCTTTCAGGACCTTGGAAGGAGCCCAAACAAGTGAAGGACTGACCCTGAAGCCCAGAATGAAGCTGAGAAGCCACATGTGAATCTCCTAGCAGATTTGTGCAAGGTTACTCAGGTAGCAAGAGACAGAGCTAGGATTTAAACTCAAGTCTTTAGAGGCCAATTTAAGAATCTTTTAAATTATGCTAATTCATGTCTTGTATTACAAAACCTTTCCCTTCCCTATCCCACCTTAGTGCTCAGTAAGTACATAGCCATTGGTCAACATTTGCTACAGAAAAAATGGACATCTAAGTCTCAAAACAGGTTTGCTGTGTTCTTGATCATATTTGGGCCAACTTCCTTGAAGACTCTGGAATTTCATGTCTATTTGAAATCAATTTTATGATATAGAATTTCAGATAAATCTGTACGAAACAAAACTCACTGCCTCTACTCCACCCATGTTTTAGAAACCATGTTGCTCCTCATTCATCTGGGAGTATTTCTCAGCATGCCCCAAGGACTGATAAATATAGTACAGTCCTTAGGTTTATCCTGGTGTCCCTAAGAGTCACAGTTCAGAAATGGTGGGACACTCTTAATTAGAAGGGGGACAGCCAGCAGCGACCCTGCTTTCAGTGCCCTGGCACCTACAGAAAAAAGCCTTTCTGTCTGATAAACCCTCTGGTGTGTGCAGCCCACCGCTGTACACATGGGCGGAACTCGCTCTCACAGAACAAGTGTGTTTGCCAAAACAGGGAGTGAAGTGTCTTGCAAGGCCACTTGTTCCAGAAGAAAGACAGGATAAGGGAAGTGGCAGAAACTGTGATAGGGAAGGAGTTTTTCCACGCTAACAAGCGTGAACCGATAAGCCTGACCTTATAGACAAATGTTGAGGGTCCTAAGAGCACCTCTCAGGCCAAAATTAACTGAGCAAATTTGACTTGGCTTCCCATTTTATAATGGAAAAAATTCCTAGGGAGAAAGAAAACTCAACATTGGCTGCTATCACGGCTGATGGATTTGACTTCTTATCTGCCAGATTTTCCTACTAAACAAGTCAATGGAATCACTTTCTAATATGTCCGAACTAGAAGGTTGCATGATAAAAATATGTTAATAATATTATCATTCTTACAGTCCCTGGGCCAAGAATGTTTACAGTCCTTATCTCATTTAATCCTCACAAGAACCCTCTGGGGCTATTTCAATTTACAGATGAAGACAGTGAGACTCAGAGAGATCCAGTCACTTACCCAGCGCAGTCACACAGCCAACAAGTGGTGGAGACCAGATTTGAACTAGGGCAGTCAGATTCGGGGGCCTGTGCATTTATCCACTGTTACACAGTGAGGTCCATCTGAATCTTATTCCTGTTTCCCTCCTCGGGACTCCACCGGGCCTCCAAACACTTCCCATAAATGGGGAATGCCTTAAGACACTCTCTGAATGTTACCTGTGATGTGGGTAAAGCAAACAGGAGCTGTTTTTATCATCTGCCACAAGTATTCTTATTAGCATGCATTGCTTGATGACGGGGATACGTTCTGAGAGTTCATCGTTGTGCGAACATTACAGAGTGTGCTTACACAAACCTAGATGGTAAAGTCTACTACACACCTAGGCTGTAAGGTATATCCTATAGTGCCTAGGCTACACTCATGTACAGCATTTTACTGTCCTGAATACGATAGGCAGTTATAACACAATGGTTAAGTATTTGTGTATATAAACATAGAAAAGTTACAGTAAAAATACTGTATTATAACTATAGTTTCCGTTGTTGACCAAAACGTTGTTAGGTGGCCGATGACCGTAATTGTTTTGTTTTGTTTTCTCTTGGGGTGCCTAGAATAAAACATAAGAATATTGGTAAGGGAGCAAAATAAATATGTATTGGTCCCCGAAAGGCTTGATACATGCTTGATTCTTCACCCTTACCTGGAGACTGGGTTGTGTAGAAGGAGGCCCTCAAAGAGGAATACGGAGAGTATGGCTTCTTCCTTCTGGCAAACTCAGAGTTCAGTGCTGCCCCTTTGGGGGCTGGAACAAGGTTCCCCATGTGTTTCTCAGTTGTACCTAGCAATTTCCCTAGGAAGTTTTTGAAGTTTCCAGGGTTGGCAGCCACACTCATATGGCCCGGCTGGAGGGTACAGTGGCAATCCAACGCCCAGACAGGGTCCTGGACGTTGGACTCCTAGACCAAAGCGGAGAGGAAGTGATGGGTCAAGGCGACAACAGGGAGCCTTAGGAGAATGTGTGCTCCAACCCCTCATCTCATAGGTGGAGAAACTGAGGCCCAGGTAGAGGAAGTGACTTGCTAAAGGTCACTCAGCTAATCTTGGTGGAGCCAGCACTAGGATTCCTGACAAGAGACCCCTTCCACCATAGGCTGCTGACATGCCCGGCTCAGGGCAACATCACCCACCCAGACAGGTACCTCCCACGGCAAAGCCTAAATACACAATGTTAGATTAGTCATACAGCAATCCAATTTGGGGTTGCATTTGGAAATTGTACTGGTACTGAAAACAACAATAGCCAGAGAGGCTTTGCCCATTTTTCTCAGGTGGCTAGATTTTCAGTGTAGAACACTAAAAAAGCTATTTAAATTAACTCTATTTTATTCGTACAGTTGGGGACTCATCTATAAAAACACATGTTGTCACATTACCTGAGCCAGTCAAGTTTTCTCCAGATTTATATTCCACAGCAGAGATGCAGGGAAGTTGCCCAACAAGTCCTTTATTACTTATTCTGAAAGCCAAGATGTGCCCTGGATAATTATACACATGTACAAATAACCCACACACAAATGACACCTGTTACTCTTTTTTTTTTTTTAATTTAGAAACCTTTTTTTTTTTTTTTTTTTTTTTGAGACGGAGTCTCGCTCTGTCGCCCAGGCTGGAGTGCAGTGGCGCGATCTCGGCTCACTGCAAGCTCCGCCTCCCGGGTTCACGCCATTCTCCTGTCTCAGATTCCTGAGTAGCTGGGACTACAGATGCCCGCCACCATGCCCGGCTAATTTTTTTTTTTTATTTTTAGTAGAGACGGGGTTTCACCGTGTTAGCCAGGTTGGTCTCGATCTCCTGACCTCGTGACCCACCCGCCTCAGCCTCCCAAAGTGCTGGGATTACAGGCGTGAGCCACTGCTCCCAGCAGAAAATGTTTTGTCTTACATGCTTTAAGTATATTCTTATCAAAACCTTGGAGTTACAGATTTAGTTCATTCGAATTATGGAAAAGTCTACCGTATGACCCAATGAGTAAAACCAATCTTCGTTGTCAAATAAAACAACCAGGTAGACTGATTTTCTAACAGAACAAGTCTGACATGATTTTTTTTCTGTTTAAATATATGCATTAATACATGAACCAAGGACAACCACATCACTTCTGTTCTAATTCTAGGGTAGTTGCGAAGCCAGTCCAGTGGCCTTAGGTGGATTTATGGAGTGTGGAGCTTTAAGCCTGTCTGTGAATTTGGCATATGGGGCAGAAGGCACTGCCACCTTCAGTACTGCTTACTGACACTCTATTTGCTTTGTCCTCACAAGACTTTCTCAGAAAAACTACATTCTTTGAAAATGAGGGTAGGGGGTGGAAAACGTGAAACCATGAATGAAGATTGTCAAAAGTTGCACCACCCTAGTCTACAATACATCTGAATTCAGATCATCCCAACAAGGGTTGAATGCTGCTTCACCCTTGATAGGAATATGTGTAAGACAGGGAGGAAACTCAGAGCTGTAGCTGGGATCTGTGGCCCTTGATGAAAGGAGTAGCTGCTTACAGCAGTCCTTCGTATTGCCTGTTTGCCTCTATGGAGGTTTTTACACTTCAGGCAGAGCTACTTAGTAAAGTGGGAGAAGGCATTTAAGGAAAGAGAGGGAAAAGAACTGCAAGATACCTGGATTGCTTTTAGCAAATAATACATATAGGAGGGACCTGGAAATCAGTTCCCTTAAACTTAGCTATGCTCTAGTTTGAAGACTTCAAGAAAAATCCTTCTAGATACTGACAAGAGGCCATATACCCAGGCATTTTTTGCAGCACTGGAGTAGCAGAAATTTAGAAGCAACATAAATGTTCATCATTTGGGAAGAGGGTCGATGCAGTAGCATACTATATAGCTGTTAAGTGAACCATGCACACATATATGCAGTTTGAAACTTACATTGAGTCAAAAGATAATTTTCAAATATGCTATACACAAAGTATTATGCATGTTGATATATATGTAGTAAAAGTATAAAAACAGGGACAAGCTTCAGGTTAGTAGTTACCTGGAGGTAGAGATGAATGAGGAGGAACTGTCACATGTTATCTTATCAAAAGACCAGCTCAGCCTTCCATGGGATTAAATCAATTATTGTCTTTGGGGAGAAACAAAGAGACTGACTTTTTTTTTTTTAGTTTTGTTTTTGTTTTTGTTTTTTGAGGTAGGGTCTCACTCTGTTGCCTACACTGGAGTGCGGTAGCACGAGCATAGCCCACTGCAGGCTCAAACTCCTGGGCTCAAATGATCTCCCCACTTCAACCTCCCAAGTAGCTAGGACTATAGGCATGCACCACCATGCCTGACTAATTTTGTAATTTTTTTTTTGGTTTTCTCGTTTGCTTGTTTTTTGAGAGAGGAGGTCTCACTGTGTTGCCCAGGCTGGTCTGGAGCTCCTGGACACAAGCAATCCTTCCTCTTCAGCCTCCCAAAGTGCTGGGATTATGTGAGCCACCACACCTAGCCAAGACTGATTTTTAAATCTGTGTCTTGTGCAACACTCTAATGGCAGAAAGGGCTTTAGAGTTTCAACTTAAGCTTTTGTGGGAGAACAAACTAACTGAGCTGCCTCTCACCTAGGATACTCCTACAGCCCAAACTACGAGTTCAAGAGAATTCTATCTTGGAAAGGACTGAGTCTTATTAGACTGCTTATCCCTAATACTCTGCAGAGTCATCCCTCATTTATTTTTTAATGAAATTTGACAAAATATGTACACTAAGTCTCCTGTAGAATGGCCATAATTTGTGCTTAGGAATGCATAATTTTATCAGGATCTCTGTAATTAGATATTGTGCAATAGAATAAAAAGCAAATACTGTGTGTCCCATGGCAACCTCGGCCTTTAGTATCTCACTATCTTTGAGATAACAAAGGTTTCCACAGACACACGTACCACATGGGATTTTTAAGTAGACATCCAGGAAGAGAACGAAAGTTCCCCTGTTGGTTTTCCCCTATTTTTAAGTGTGAGTGTATGAATGTGTGTTTTGTTCTCTTCCTTTTATATTGCCTCCTGGATTTGGGTTGTTTTCCTTTATCTGTCCGGACTGTAAATGTGGATATGAAGGTTCATAGTCCTGTAGAATAACGTCAGTGCTTGAGCTAGTGTTTGGTGTGAAGTACCTATCTTTTGAAGGGAGAGAAAAGAATTACGACTGTGGTAAGATTTAAGAGGACAGAATTAAGATTATGTAAGGGTTGAAGAAAGGTTTGCTGGGAATGTGGTGTGTGTTTTAGCAGAGACCCCAATGACCTGCCAGGGCACGTAGAGAGAGCAGGCTACTTGAGGGCAGGGAGTAGACCACCGCCATTTCTGTGACCTCACATCTGGCATGGCCAGGCACACAGTAGGTACTCAATAATTAACTCCCTGCTGTTTCCCTAATCATGTAGAGGAAAGCAACAATGTTCAGTAATTAACTGTTTAAAAAAAAAAAAAAAAAAAAAAGCCCTGCAAGCTGCATCTTTGCTTCTAGACCAAGAGACAGCTGCCCACATCTCATGGGGATGCAGTTAGGACATAATTTAAAATATCATCCATTTCTTCTAAAATGTGTAGTTTCTTTGGAGGCAATTGTAGCCACTTTTGTAAATAGGACCAATAAAGGGGATAAAATTGTCCATCACTCCACTGAAATAAGGAAATAGAGCAAGAACCTAGGAGTTATAGTACTCTACTAGAGATTACACATTATAGAATAGTGCAGAAAGCAAGCCACATGAAAGGGTCAATTTAATGTCGCATCCTGCAGAGGTGAGGAGTTGATCTCCAACTATTCTCATTGGTTACACAATCACATTGAGGTATTTAAATCCTGGCAGGTGGGAGCCTTTGCTTCCTTTGCTCAACGGTGAATTCACATGGTGGTGTGGTAGGCAGAGGTTGCACGGCATTCTCTAATAGCTACAACTTACCTAGTCTTATCCAGTATAGGTATCAGGGAAGTGATTACACATGTTCAGATACATCAATTTAACAGTAATCAAAGAGTTCTTTTAACTTAGAACTCAGGGAAGTCAGGTCTGTCTTCTCAAGCTGAGAAGAACCAAAGTCATGGTATAGACATAACCATACACAGGTAATGTAAAACTATAAGCTGAAAACAGGTATAGAAAAAACACGAGAAGATGCAGTTATGAGAGGGTTGCAGATGCTAATGACCAGTTCCTCCCAACTAAGCTGTGGTGAGACCCAGAGTCAGGAGCTACCAGGACTGAATCCAGCCTGGCTCCAGCCAGGGTCCCCTTCTCTGTTGTCATACTGATTCCATTTTGTCCTCTGATCCCCCTCTGTCTTTTCCAGGTTTGTGCTATTCTGATTACATTATCGACTAGTCTGAAGCAGAGCTGATATCTCTTTACCGGGGAGTCAGCTTCACCAGCCACAGCTGCTGAAAGAATAGCTTGGAGATTTCACCCACTGCATTTCTGTTGCTCAAACTTTTTGACCTTTGTGCTATTTGAGAAATCTTTGAAATGCTGAAGGTATGATTCTCCTTCAGGGGGAACATGCTTTGGAAAAACGCCCACTTAATAAAATGTATTTTCTTTCTGCTGTGGCTGCCAGGGTTTTTATAAGGCCCATTTGCTTTAGCTAGGTGAAGAACAGCTTCTAGAATAGATGTTGCCTCCACTTAGGAAACTATGGATTGTTTTCTGTATTGAACTATCACACTACAGTATTAGTGTTTGGGGAAGAAAGAATTCTGCTGCCTGGTTGGTGTTCTGCTATTTACTACCTTAAAATTCATCCCATTGGGGTTACAGTGGCTTGGCAGTCTCTTTTGGGTATAGTGTAGACTTATTTTTGGTACTTCAGCTCACTTACATGGACTTGTTTTTTACCAATGCCCTTTTTTTTTGTATGATAGAGGTCTATAATTTGTGGACTCCGAAGCTACATTTTACAAATCAATAAGAAAGACATGAAGCCTGAAAAACGGTTTTTTTTCCCTGATTTGTATGTGTATCTTACATAAAATTTCTTCTAAATTAAATTAGATTTAATTATACATTGGAAAAAAATTACCTTTAAAAGGATCAGAGTTTATAAAATAGATGTAGCCCTGAGGCAATGGTGTTATATGAACATTCTACCTGTAACATATACAGATTTGCGATGTTATCAGCTATTAGACTCAACAACTTATTTTTGAAAAAATAATCCTTTGCCAGGTTTATACACATAAGAGAAACAGCCAAGAAACTTTACTCTTTTAAATATAATAATAATAATAATAATAATACAACCTGGAGTTTCATAATCAGAAAGAACAGATGTCCCCAAGACACTTTTGTCAACTCTAGAAAGGGATTAAGTTTGTCTTTTATTTTTTGTTTTTTTCCCAAAATTACTATCCTCAGAGAGGGAGAAAGTATGCAAATCCTAGAAAGAGTTTATTCTCCTTAAAAAGAGAGAATTTTCCCTCCAGGGTTATTGTTTGCTCTTGAGACAAAACCTGTAATTACTATTATCTGATAGTGGATAGCATGGCGTGCGCTATTTGCAAAGAATTTTTTCCATCATTGTTTTCATTGGCCATTCGGAGATATAATTTGGTGATGAAAATTAGCTATTTTCCCCTGGTAAGGGAAAAGAGACTATGCAAGAGCAAAAATAGACTTTTTTCCCCAGACTTCTGTTCTGCCCACCCAGAGTTGAAGTCGCCAGGAGCAGAGTATGATTATTTTTCGTGAATATATTCATATGAAAAGAATTTGATATTTCTTTCTCTCACGGTTGGGAAAGCCTCAATTTCAGCTTATATCCTTGACTTTGTGGGGCTTATAAAAGAGAAAGAAAACCCTTTTGGAAAGAAACCCTTTAGGTCAGAATGAATCAAACCAAGAGAATTTCCAAGCATCCTTTCCACCATCAAGTCTAAAACTGTAAGAAGAAGAACAGTATACACAGCACAGGTCAGGATTGTGGAGCCAGGAAGAGATCCAGCACGCAGACGTCTTGCTGCAACTTGATGTAAGTGTGTAAGTTGGACCGCGAGAGAAAATAAAGCTGTCATTCTGTTCGGGACATTGCACTCTGCAAAAACAAGAAAACTTTGGGAAAATGTTAAGCCCAAAGCAAGCACGTAGAGGTTCCTTAGAAGGTACACCCACGGAGAAAGGGACTGTTGACTTCTCAGGAAGTTATGAAATCTCCTATGTAAAATGTAGTCATGTTTTTGTTATTACTTGATTTAACACTCCAGGAACTTAGCCCAAGCCAGCTGTGATCCTCAGGCCGCCCCGCTCATTAAAATCCCCCCCTTTCGATTCAGACTCCCTCTACCATGACTGACTCCTGCCCAGCCTGCTGTCTGTCAACTGATTCTCTGTAGAATCCAGGAATGTGCCTGTTCAGTGCTCCCAGGAAGTTTCTTCTTAACTGCTGCTTTTCTATCTACAAAAGTAAAAGTTCATTGTAGAAATTCTGGAAAATTCTGAAAACCACAAAGAAAAAGTTCACGACACAGTAATTCTCACCTGTACACACAGTGTACTGTTAAAACTTTGATGATATAAAGCTGTTAATATTTTTTAAGCATTCACACTAATTCTGCAGATACCAAGAGCTGCAAGAAATCACCTAACATGGAAGAACTGAGGCTTTCAAACCTCATTCTTAAGGACAAAGGCCACATCGTCTCTGTCTTTATGCCCTGGCAGCTGGCCAGGCACCCAGCATGCAGGGGGGCACAGAGTGTCTGCAGCATCCACAAACTTGGGGTTTCCGAGGAAAGGGAAGGCAACAAACTAGAATCGGTCTAGGAAAGAGGAAAAGAATTAGTACTTCTCTCAAATGGAGACTATAAAATATATTCCTCAATGATGACATTTTTCTGAAAATGTCAAAAATGTGTTCATAAGATGATTTGGGGACTGGGGCTCAAAGGTTTCCAAGGCTGTTCAGAAGATAGGTTTGCTTAGCTGGGCGCGGTGGCTCATGCCTGTAATCCCAGCACTTTGGGAGGCTAAGGTAGGCAGGAGTTGAGGCCAGGAGTTCAAAACCAGCATGGCCAACAGGGCGAAACCCTGTCTATACTAAAAGTACAAAAATTAGCCGGGCATGGTGGCACACGCCTGTAATCCCAGCTACCTCAGGAGGCTGAGGCACGAGAATCATTGGAACTCAGGCGGTGGAGGTTGCAGCGAGCCGAGATTGTGCCACTGCACTCCAGCCTGGGTGACAGAGCGAGACTGTCTCAAAAAAAAAAGAAAGAAAGAAAGAAAGAAAAGTATGCTTCAAATTCTGTGACATATCTGCCACCCATAGCAGAAAGATGCCCGCTTGGGAAAGCAGACCCCAGCAGATGCTCTTTGGGAAGAGGCCATTATCTGCCAGGGTGGGGGCCACACTATCCACCTTCAGTACTTGATTCCTGGTGGAGAGTGGGTTAATGAAGAATAGTGGAGAAGTAGGAGTGCTTGGTATCCAGGTCCTTATAACTTACCAGGGTCTGCACGTGGACCAAATGTCCCTGCACGGAGCAGCGCCCATAAACAGATTACAGAACAGCCATTCGTTAATCCCAAAACAGTTTTCTGTCAGTTAATTAGAAAATTCATCTTATTTTGCCTCCAGGCCCTGTAGCCTTATTGCATTTGCACATATTTCAAAATGTTTCAAGTACTGACCAGATAACATTAATGAATATATTAGATAGGCAAACGCTTTTAAACAAAAAATAATAAACATACTTGTGTGTATATATATAAAAAATGTTAATTTCGTCTGGAGCCAAACAGGTAATTTTCCCCTCAGCATTTTTTCAGTCAGCTAAGACAGGTTGGCCTAGGAGTGCAGTCAGCCTGTCTGCAGTCTCTGGCTTGACTTGCATACCAGGGTCAGAAACAGACAGCGAGATGATCTGATTGGCCCAAGTCCAGAGCATGCTCACAAGGGCTTCTTTGATGAAAGGGTTCTTGGTAAGTACTGTACCAAAAGCAGCCTGCCACCCTCCTTTCAAAGATACCCATTTAGAGTAATTCCCAGAAAGGAAAAAAACAGCGAGAAAAAGAGAGAGGGAGGGGAGGAGAGGGAGAAAGAGCTGAACTACGGGATCACCGCAAGAATAATTATGCTCCGTGGCGTGGAGAAAGGGGTAAAAGTTATTACAAGTAAACTGTTGGATGTGGAACTAGCTGGTTGGCAACTCCACAGGCACATAAGGAATGTGCAATTAAGCTCATTAAAACATCATCATTATGCTTATCAATCTTTTTCCAAAAGGGGTGGGGCGGGGCAGTGTGTTACGGCATGACTACTTTTGCAGATAAAGATCCCGGGCTACCTAGTTGCCTCTCTCAGCAAACAAAATCAGCCATTCAGTTCCACGCAGCATTTACACTTAGGCAGGCTGGCTCCGACTACATGACACTGGAGTCATGCCTGCACTCTGGGGGAGGCATCCAGGAGGCTGTCTTCTCTCAGCGGGCATGCTTCCTTCTGCTGTGATCTCCATCAGAAAAGCCGGTCTTTATTAAACACCTACTACATGTCCAACACTGGTGTTCAGGAAAATTCAGAAATACTACATATGATGGAAGCCCTGCCCTCTAGGTACTGTTAGCTTAGTTGGAGAGGTGAAATCTGGTCTATGAATCTAGAATATGTCATTAAAATATTTTTTTCTCTCTATTAGCCCCTAATAGGCCAATAGAGATATCCAGCAATAAAAGGCAAATGTAAGCCTGCTTTCTTTAAGATGTATCATTTGGCTGGGCACAGTGGCTCACACCTATAATCCTAGCACTTTAGGAGGCCGAGCCGGGAGAATCCCTGAGTCCCAGAGCTCAAAACCAGCCTGGGCAACATGGCAAAACCCTGTCTCTACAAAAAGTACAAAAAATTAGTCAGGCATGGTGGTGTGCCTGTAGTCCCAGCTACTCAAGAGGCTGAGGTGGGAGGATCACTGGAGCTCAGGAGGTCAAGGCTGCAGTGAGCCGAAATTGCGCCACTGCACTCCAGCCTGGGTGACAGAGTGAGACCTTGCCTCAAAAAAAAAAAAAAAAGATGCATCATTATGCATTCATTCAACAAATACTAATTCAGAGGCAGCCAAGTGTAGGCCTCCATTAGCTACTGTAGGTACAAGGGTGACCAAGCAGGACATGCCCTGGGCCTCACCCTGTAGCAGAGAGACAGTCAGTCAAGCATAACTTCCATGACACAAAATTGCTATGTGATGAGTGCTGGGAGGGAAGAGGAGTAACTATTCCACACACAACTTGCCCATTTTCCAACTTATTCCTGGAGGAAAAGCTCTTTTGCCTTTGCTTTCACCCTTTCTTTGTTGCTGTGATTTTTTTTTTTTTTTTTTTTTTTTTTTTTTTTGGAGACATAGGCTTGCTCCATTGCCCAGGCTGGAGTGCAGTGACACCATCTCAGCTCACTGCAACCTCCGCCTCCCAGCTTCAAGCAATTCTTCCGCGTCAAGTGATTCTCCCGCCTCAGCCTCCTGAGTTACTGGGAATACAGGCACGGGCCACCACGCCAGACTAATTGTTTGTATTTTTTGTAGAGACGGGGTTTTGCCATGTTGGCCAGACTGGTTTCGAACTCATGGCCTCAAGTGATCTGCCCACCTCGTCCTGCCAAAGTGCTGGGATTACAGGCGTGAGTCACTGCGCCTGACCTGTTGCTTTGATTTTTTAATGACATTTTTAATATGACAGTAATATGTTTCTTTTTAAAAACTTGAAAACAGAAAAACTTTCAAAGAAAATAAAAATCATCTGTAATCTGGCCACCCAAAGATACCCATTCTAACTTTTCAATATGTTTTCTTCCAATCTTTTGTTTTTGGTTTTTACAAAACATGCAAATAGAATTGTTGTTTACTTTTTCCACTTGACAGCATGTGAACATTTTATATGTTATAAACTATTGTTTAGGAGGTCTGCACAGTTTAATCTTCTACTGGATATTTTGTTTACAATTTTTCGTGATTATAAATAATATTGCCCTGAGCATCTTTGCATGTAAGTATTGTCATTTATTTCAATCTGACATATATTTGCAAATAGCAGTTATGCAATAACTACCTGTAAAATAAGGTAGGATGTGACTGTAGGACCCACATTAGAGCTGCAGAAACCTGTGGAATGGGAAGTTCTCAGGATTAGCATGAACAGGAAAGCTCATAGAGGAGGGGGGTCTTGCACAGGGTAGTAGAGTCTTTTAGAGTCCCATATTACTGCAGATTTTCTCAAAACCCCCAGCCTGCACTTTCTTCTCATCATCTCTAAGGAGTATCTCTCTATCTCTGCCAGCTCAGGCCTGGCAACCTCCACCACCTATGTCTACCCCTCATCTCAAGCTCTAGTGCATTGATCCACAAACATTTGTCTACTCCAGGATCACCTGGGGTACAGGTTAAAAAGACTCCTGGACACCATCCTAGACCTGCTAAATCAGAACCCGTGGCACAGGGTTCAGGAATCTACATTTTTAAATGCACCCCAAAGTGATTCCAGGGCAAGACATCCAAGACCCAATGCTGCAAGAGGAAGTGCTGGTTGCAGCCACAAAGGCTGGCACTCGGTATTCAAGAGCAAGGGCTTGGGCTGAGAAGTGTGGGATCAGGCTCTGGCCCTGCCATTCACCACTTTGTGGCCTTGGGCCATTCCCCTTGCTTACTGAGTCTGTTTCCTCTTCTGTAAAAGGAAGATCATAATAGAAAATCCCTCCAAGTGTGGTTGTGAAGACTGAATGAGGTGCTTATGGATGGCCCAGCCCATGCCCCATTCTCAATGCATGTTTTGGTAGTTGTTATTATTTTCATACACATCATTGCTTTTTAAGGCATGAGCAGCAGGTAGGCATCTTCCTTTCGAAACCAGCCGGGGCAACATGGCATCTACAAGGTAGGCATCTTCCTACCTGCTGCTCATGCTTTAAAGAGAAACGATATGAGCCTTTTATCTTGGCTGGAGCTGAGTTCACCAATGACACCCTGTGCTGTGAAAGTGGCCTCAGAGATGAGTCTCCTGCCCTGTTCCCTCCCAGGCCTCCCCTGCCTCCCTACCCCAGCCGGCTACCAGAGGGGAGGTCTTTGGTGGCATCTGATTGGTAGAAATGCATCCTTGGTTGGGAGCCAAGTTAAGCTACAGTGAGAGAGAAAAAGAAGCCCGAGGCAATGCTGATGTGGAGAGGTGTGACTGGAGAAACTCCAGGACCCTTCACCAGAGGAAGCCAGCTTGAACTTTCATTCCTGGTTTGATCAAGATAGTGTAAAAATGGACCCCAAAGGTCTTCAGATGGAAAACTAGGTTTTAGGTTTCACTTATGAGCTGTAGTTAAAGCCAAATGCTCATTCCACTCAAATTGTGTGGGTGGATCACTTTCCTCCCACTGTTGAAGTATCATGTTTTGAGCTGCTAATAAACTTAATAAAATCCATTTCTTATTTCCCCGAGCGTATAGAGTTCGTTCACATGCCTACCGAACCAACGTTTAGCGACACTGCGTTAGAAAGTATTTTTGTTGGAAACACAACGGACACAGTTCAATTGCAAAACACTTTTCAAACAAGCTTCTTTTCTCCAGTCTCCAGCTTGCAGAGAGCCATCTGAATTCAGGGAATCCTCCCAGTCAACCATAACACCTACACAAAGTATGAAGGAATTCCGTTTTATTGGTTCAAGAAGCAGATTCAAAGGAACTGCATGCTTTTCTCCTCCCACGGAAGCTCCCACCTGCCCTTCCCCAGCCCCCTTCCCACCCCACAAGTCTCCCATTGCCACTGATGGCTCACTGTTCCAGCACTCCAGGTCTGCCTGGATCAGAAGACATAGGGTATATTTCAGGGTCTAACCAACCCCACATATTCTCGGAGTGAGGGGTGATTGAATGTGGATGCTGTAATTAAACAAGACAAACAAAAACACACATCTGAGAAGTGACGGGGCAGTTTGGGATGGGAGAACAATTCCCATCAATTCCCAATGGGGAATACTGGAACCATCTCAGCCTGGGTTGCAAATAGCCAGAAATGAAGAAGAGGGATAGGGAAGATATAAACACAGAAAAATATATGGGAGTCCACACGAAGAACTAGAATCTAGGGAGGTAGATGTTTGAACAATTTCAAACACAGTAGTTCTCCCTTATCCAAGGGGGATACGTTCCAAGACCGCCAGTGGATGCCTGAAAGCTTGAACCATGGATAGTACTAAGCCCTATTTATGCTGTTTTTCCCTGTACATGTATACCTTTGATAAAGTGTAATTTATAAATTAGGCACAGTAAGAGATTAACAGCAATAACTAAGAGTAAAATAGAACAATTGTAACAATATACTGTAATAAAAATTCGGTGAATATGGTCTCTCTCTCTCTCTCAAAATGTCTTAGTATCTTTCAGACCTTGGGTAACTGAAACTGCAGAAAGCGAAACCATGGATAAGAGGAGACTACTATATCCTGTTCTATTCTAAAATGTTAAAACCTAGTGTTGAGACTCATCACAATTTGTTATGTCTGTGATACTTTTATTACCAGCGTGTGTGTGTTGGGTCAAGGACCAAGATGAGATTTTATTTTATTATAAGAAAAACCAGTCCAGGCACAGTGGCTCACGCCTGCAATCCCAGCATTTTGGGAGGCCAAGGCGGGCAGATCACAAGACCAGGAGTTCGAGACCAGGCTGGCCAACATGGTGAAACCCCATCTCTACTAAAAACACAAAAATTAGCTGGGCATGGTGGTGTGCGCCTGTAATCCCAGGTACCGGGGAGGCTGAGGCAGGAGAATGGCTTGAACCCAGGAGGCAGAGGTTGCAGTGAGCGGAGATCGTGCCACTGCATTCCAGCCTGGGTGACAGAGCAAGACTCCATCTCCAAAAAAAAAAAAAAAAAAACCAAAAAGTTGGAAACAATACAGATGTTCATTGATGTATAATATTAACTTCACATTTGATTTAAGAATGCAGAAATCGGACATAGAACCCTTGTCAGCACTGCTTTATTTTAGTGATAATTGAACCAATTATATACGTGAGCATTTAACTTTTTTTATTTTCAAGGCTGAAAAAATTAAAGTCAACCTCTTACTCAGGCTCATGCATACCATGGACTGTATGTCTTGAGGAATCCGCTGCTATTTAACGAAGTGATTGTGAGATCTTTGCTCTTCTGTGAGGTGAAAAACTAGAAAATTGCAATGCCATGCCCATGTTTGCTGAAGTGATCACCCTTAGATTCTGTGGGGCTTATCTCTTGGTATAATCAGCATGGCCCTCTTAAATAGAGCTGTCTTAAAAACACAGATCTACTGGTAAGGTTTGTTTTAATTTCGGTCTAACAGCCTTAGGATTACCCCTCAAGACTATATCGTCAGGCTTTTGTACAAACAAGGAGCTTACACAAAACTCCCATTATGATGGTGGTTTGAGGGGAGGAAAAAGCCTTGTTTGCTTGATTGAGTTATGATTGTATAGGGAACAAATAAAGGCTTTCTTTCCTTAAACATAACAATTATGTCTTACTCTCACTAATAATGCCACATTTTCTTTTAAAAAAATATTTACACAGCCTGACGTTATTCTTAATGTCAATGCAATGTGTTACCTCTAAGTTAAAATCCAGTTTTAATCCTATAAGCTAGAAAAATAAGTTCGATTTTACACAACTGAGTTTGGAAACTGCTGATTCTGTTGCTGTATTTATTACCAGTGCTTGTTCTCTTTCCCTCCTGCTCTCCCTCCTCTCTCTTTCTTTCTCTGTGTGTGTGTGTGTGTGTGTGTGTGTGTATGTATATGAATATATTAATATATGTATATGCTGATCTTGTATCTTTGTGTATCTATACACGTAGCAATCTTGTTCTTGCCATAAGAAACTATCTTATTTTGTTTTCTGAATATCTACTCCGCGATCTGAGTAAATAAAGTCTTTTACAGTGAACTGATTTACAGCAGTCCTGGACAGCATTATGCTTTCCCCTCCAAAGAAGTTAAATGGCTGTTCTTTGACAGTTGTTGCACTGGATACATTACAGTTTCATTTACTAGATTTTATTTAAAATCTCTCTTAAATAAAAATGGATGGGAAAGCTTTGTTGCTGGGTAAATATGTTATTTCAGCCAAGGGTGGCCAAACACTGGCATCGCGGTTACTTCAGGTCTTATTTCACATGGCTTCAAGGGCTACAGCCCCCTTCTCTGCAGTTGGGCTCATAGGGGATGCTAGAGCCAGTGTTTCAGATGCAGCTCTGTAGCTACAAGGTGTAAAGGGTGAGGGCCAAAAAAGAACAAAAAAAGTGAAATCAGGGGTGAAGTTGGACAAAAGTAGGCTGAGAACTTTTTTTTTTCTCCTGAATGGAAAGCAGGTAGTAATCCAGAAACACGAAGACAGAGAGGTTCCTACGAATTGGAATAGAAGCCGTAGTTAAAGCTTCCTAAAGTGCATTTGAAATTACTTTGGCCCTATATTAGAAACGGAGTGCTTTTTGAGTTTTCCAAATCCATCTTTAAATATTAGTTTCTGCAAGTATATTTGGGCAGGAGATTTGAGTTAGGATATTATAACTTCAACAGGACTGACTAATTTTAATCAGCTAATTTGGCATTTAAAAAGGACTACAGGTCATTGTAATTATGCAAGGGATATGCAGTCATTAGCGTCAGTATTCCAATTTCTCATTAATATCTACCCGGAAGAGAGTTGTTGAATATGAGGCTATCACCACTGCCTGAAAATGAACATTTTCACTTGAAAATGTAGCTTACTTTCCCTCCCAGCTACTTCCAGAATTGATTTCCGTGCTGGGCCTGGACAGCAGTTCCCTTTAGATTTCAGGGCCATGTTTCACATACTTGTAATGGATCAAGACATTTAAATCTCACGGATCCAGCTCAGCACAACCAAAAGATCTGGGCCAATGCTAGTTTTAAATATATATATAACAAGAGCCACAGCTGAAAGATGTTTCTGCATAGCCTCAACCCCTACCTTTTGGCACCAAAAACTCCATACCCAGACAGCCCCTGCCACTTGGCTCTGGACTCAGAAACCTATTAGTGGTACCAGTTTGGTGAGTAGAGAATGAATAACTGAGCATGTGGCCTCTTAGTAGACTTAAAATGTACCACTGGGCCAGGCGCAGTGGCTCACACCTGTAATCCCAAAGGCCTGTAATCCCAGCACTTTGGGAGGTCGAGGCGGGCGGATCACAAGGTCAGGAGATCGAGACCATCCTGGCTAACACGGTGAAACCCTGTCTGTACTAAAAATACAAAAAATTAGCCGGGCATGGTGGCAGGCGCCTGTAGTCCCAGCTACTCGGGAGGCTGAGGCAGGAGAATGGGTGAACCCGGGAGGCAGAGCTTGCAGTGAGCAGAGATCACGCCACTGCACTCCAGCCTGGGCTACAGAGCGAGACACCATCTCAAAAAAAAAAAAAAAAGGTACCACTGGCCTTTGTTACAAGTCTGATGTCCAGGCATAATTTTACATGCCTCACCTGCACTAAGGTGATGAGGTTGAATTGAGTTCTTGCTTCTTTTCTGCCCGTTTATACTAAGAGCATGTTGCCCTGCTTTATAGCTCTGAGAAGTAAATATAATGGCCTGGTGGCATTTACAATCCTGCTTCGCTGAGTTGTGAGACTTCGTAGCCCTGTGTTTGGGAGTTTTGTACAATATATTGATATAAGCTCTCTTGGTTTGGGACCTATTTTATCCTTCATCTCAGTCTAGCTCTCGGGTGTTGTTTTATTAAAATGCACATCGAGGTCATTGAGTTTCTGCCTTTGACCTCTAGCCTCACCCTTTTTCTGCCCACCACCATATAACACGAAGAACATGTGGTAAACTGGGTGCCAATCAGACACTGCTTCACTGGCATCTACAAACATCACCTGATCTCAATCGGTTTATCTGTCTGATTCACGCCAGAGCACCCTCTCCAGAAAACAGCATCCCAAGAATATGTACAGTTTCAGGGAGAGAAAAAGAGAGAGGTGGAAGGAAATATTTTAAATAGTTGCAATCATGCCTGCAATGACTGTCTCCCACATCCCTGGGAGTTGTTTAGAGATCCCCAACAGACTGATGCCCGACCTATAGCAATGAGGATGGCGGCCCCCATTCATGGACATGGCGCCCTCTGGAATCCTTAGTTAAGGGTAGGGATTTTATCTCTCCTGTGCCAGCAGTGTTTGGATGTGGTTTGCATGCATGCGGTCAGTTACCAGCTACTTAACCCCAATCAGTGCCTGCGGTACTTGATGTGTCGGTCATTGCAGCCAGTTGCAGAAATTCTTGATTTTCGGTGGAAATGGAGGAGACTTGCGGTGTGGTTAACCCAAAACAGTGAATAATGCAAGAGTCATCTTTTGAGAATTATCTTTAGTTGGTTCTGTGTTTACAAAAGTGCTTCGCCTTCCTAGTTATATTTTGCTTAAACCAATGTGGTGTTTAAAAATGTTATTGTTAATTCTCTGTTTTATATAGAGTGATATACTGAAAAAAATTTGAAAATTATAGGGAATTGTGAAGAAAATAAAGACCACCATACTGACACCATTAATAGTGCTTTTGCTGAGTATCTGTCTAGACATTTTTCTCTGGATATATACCTGTATAAATATAAATTTTTAATTAAGTTGAGCTTTTTCATTTTACTTAGTATTTTGAGCCTGGTTAATGTTAACATTGTGATCATGGTTAATTCTACATCAATTAATTCATCTCAGCGTCATCATTTTTGTTGTCTGCATGGTAGTTAGTGTTGTCAGCGCACCACAATTTGCTCATACAAATCTGTATTAGTGAATATTTGCATTATTTTAAAATTAGAGTTAACCATGTTATAATTTATACCCTTGTACATACATATACCTGTGTGCAGAGGTACTAATATATCCTTAGAGTTAATGACTAAGGGTGGCATTGCTGGGTCATTTTACATTTTCAAAATGATGACAAACTGCATTTCAGAAAAGCTACTCAAACCCACATTGCTACAACAGCAATGATCCCCATGTCCTGGTTGGATATTATAATTCCCTTTCATCTTTGCTAACTTGAGAAGTGAAAGGGAAATGACATCATATTATTATACCTGTTTCCTAGTTTACTAATTGAATTTGAGTGTGCTAAAATACCATTTCAATTTCTTGCTTTGTAAATTACTAGTTTGTATGTTTTGTTTTGTTTTGTTTTGTTTTGTTTTTTTGAGACGGAGTCTCGCTCTGTCACCCAGGCTGGAGTGCAGTTGGCACAATCTTGGCTTACTGCAGCCTCCACCTCCTGGTTTCAAGCACTTCACCTGCCTCAGCTTCCCACGTAGCTGAGATTACAGGCGCCCGCCACCACACCCAGCTAATTTTTGTATTTTTGGTAGAGGCAGGATTTCACCATTTTGGCCAGGCTGGTTTTGAACTTCTGGCCTCAAGTGATCTGCCCACCTCGGCCTCCCAAAGTGCTGAGATTACAGGCATGAGCCACCTCACCTGGTGTGTTTTTCCTTTTAAGCATTACATTTATGTTTAATTTATTGAAAAATATTTATTGAGCACCAATTACATGCTAAACACTGCTAGGTGCTGGGGAAATATTGGTGAGCAAAAGGGACACAGTTTCTGCCCTTAGTATAGTGGGGGAAACAGACATTAATCAAATAATCGCACAAATTTGAAAGTAATTGTGATGACTGTTATGAAGGAGAGCTTCATGGTGCAGTGGAACTAGATGATAAGTAAGTGGTTCTCAAACTTTAGCAGGCACCAGAATCCCCTGGAGGGATTGTTAAAACAAAGCCCAGATGTCTGGGCCCTACCCCAGAGTTTCTGTGTCTAACCTATCTCTCTGTGATGCTAACGACGCCAGTCCAGAGACCACACCTGGAGAAGCTGTGGTCTAGAGATTTTACCTTGACAGGAGTCCAAGGCAGGTTGATGAAAAAGTGAGACATGAGCTGAGGTATGAAGGCATTACCTAGATGCTTCTGTCACAGAAAAGAGCTTATGCAAGAGCCCTGTGGTGGAAGTGGGCAGAGGACAAGAGACAGAATTAGGCCAGTGTGTCTGGAGAAGCAAGAGAAAGGAGAGAGTGGTATGAGGTCAGGGCCAGACCTATAGGTGTAGTAGCACGTGCTAAGGAATGTTAAGGCCTTTTGACAAGGTTAAGCATAAAAGGAGACATTAGGCAATAAAGAAGGCGTTCCGTGGAAAGAAACACAAGTCAAAGTTTAAAACTGACTACAAGCAATGCAACAAGTGTGGAAATTATACATAAATAAGGTTAAGTTCAACAGATGGTAGCCAGTACTTTCAAAGATAAAAATAATTATTATGGAGTTACTTTAAATTTTTGTTTATAAACTTTGCTAAATTCAGTTAAGAGCTGTGTATAAACTTAAGTTCCAATATAATTTTAGATTTGTTAGTTAGAAAGAAGCTGTTTCTGCAAGAATTGGTATCTGATTCTTACCTGCTGGTTGCTCCAGACAACCTCACTTGAAGAGGAAACCATTGCATTCAAATTAATAGTCAATAGGAAAATCAGGAACTAGATTCTCCTTGGAAGAAATGCTAGTATACTTCAAAGAGGAGAGAAAAATACTTGCTTCAGATTAACAAAAAATGCTCAAGGAATATGGTCCAAAGAACTAAAATCTCCCATTGGATTCCTACCATAGGGAAGAGAAAGTGATGACTTTAGCAAGGGTGCTGGAAAACAGGTCTTGTATGCATCTTCATAAACCTTTTCCTTAGTTAGCTGGGGGCAAAGGAAATTTAACATAGCATAGGTATTCTAAGTATTTACAAGTACTTTAAGAAGTTGTGAGACTGGTTTAGTGGCAGGTAACTTGGATGAGATGGAAGCTAAGGATTTCTTCATTTGAAGCTATAAAGGGACAAAAGAAATAAGATCCGTGCCAATTGTGGTTTAGTGAGAAAAACGTAGCAATAGTACATTCAGGTGTTAGTTATTTAAATCTTGCTCCATATATATTACATATCCTTCAAAGCAGAGTTTAAAGCCACTGATTTCTTAGCCATGTGAGTTTTTATTCTTTAAAAGGGAAATGATTTCATCAGCTTCCCAATCTGTGGCTTAAAGTTGACTTTTCAATCCATATTGGAATAATAGTAATAGCTAGCATTTATTGAGTGCCTTACTGTGTGTCAGGTACTGTGCTAAGCTCTTATATGTGTTAGCGCATTTTAATTCTCACAGCAATCTTTGGGTAAGTAGTTTTATCATCTCCTGCTACAGATGGTAAGGCCAAGGCCCAAAGTCATGAACTAGTAAGTGGAGATCCTGGAATTTGAATCCAGCTGGTCTGACCTCAGAGCCCATACTCTTAATCATTTGTTTATTTTGCTTCCCCAAGTCCCTTCTTCACCTGGAGGCAGCAAACCCTGATTGCAGACCCAGTGCCTAAAAGGAAGTAAGTGCCTATTCAATGCCGAATATGAAGTAAAATCTGTCAGATTAAAAGCACAAGGAGAGAAACCATTCTAGTGTATTTGTGCTAGTTCTGAAAACAGGAGGGCATAAACTAATAACAACAGCATGGCACATACTGGAACAAAGGGGAGGAGAAACTCCCTAATGTTAAATGCATTCGTTTGAGTTTTCAACTAAAGGGTCTTTCCTGCCTGCCTACCTTATTTCTTCCTTACTCTTTTTTTTTTTCTGTTTCTCTGTATTCTCCCAATTTTCTTGGTTGCGATGAAAAAATAATAATTTTTAAAATTGTTTGAAGACCAATGGGACATGTAACTAACTTATTTTAAACACAAACTTCATGTAAGGCATGGTGAGATGATATAAAGGCCAAAATGTTCTGGGCCCTTCACCTCTTCCTAGGACCAGTCTTGTCATCAGGCATCTTGGGGAGGGTGACCTGCAGGTCATGTGCCCAGAGGCACTAGTGTCACAGAAGCCGGACACGTATTACTTCCCCCTTGGATCCTCATGCCTTTCCTGGACTTCTGTGCTCCTATCTGCTCCTTCCCAACCTCATGTGATAGGTGACCTCCAGGACCAAGCCAGGCTTCCCTCAACCCCTCTCTGTCCCTGCCCCGCATATTCCACTTCCGATTTTGACCTTCAGTGGTTTGCAGCTCCCTGCAGATATTGGAAAAGAGAATGAAGTGATTTACATAATGAAAACAAATTGCATGACGAGTGTGAGGATCCATTGTTATGGTATAATGGAATGATTTAGAGGCTTTGAGAGACACAAGGCTGACGAGAAAGAGCCTCTGCCACCCTGGAAATGTAATTACTGCTCCACAAGGCGCTTTCTGGAGAGGCTTGGGATGAATAGAGCAGGACGTGGCAGTTGTCTCTGGAAGAAAGCATAAGACCAAAATAGAAGACTCTTAGCTTTGCAAGTTGGCCTTCTCAACTTTAAGCATATGATGCAATTCCTGGAGCAACTGCTGCGGTCCACGGGAACATTTGGTATTCCCCCATGATCGTCTACCAGTTTCACCCATTACATTTGGGGTTTTTTCTCCTTTTTTGCATGTTTCCACCCTCAACCTCTATCTGTTCTGGTTCTCCGATGCCACAAAGAAAGCATCTTCAGAAACCAGTTAGGATTTCAGATTAAGAGAAACCAAAGAGGCATGACAACTAGAAAACTAAGTGCAGTTCATGATCCCAGGTTGAATCCTGGAGCAGGGGTGAGGGTGGGGAAAGAAATACAGAGCATTACTAGGGCAATTGACAACACAGGCTGTGGTTTCCATGTTAGTATTAGATCATTATTAAATTTCCTGATTTGGGTAAATGTGTTATAATCATGGAGCCTCATGTCTGCAACTGACTCAAATGGTTCTCAATGAAATATGCGTTTATGCAGACAAACAGAGAATGGTACAGCTTAGGG
The DNA here is from genome assembly GCF_000001405.40 of Homo sapiens. Lineage (NCBI taxonomy): Eukaryota > Metazoa > Chordata > Mammalia > Primates > Hominidae > Homo > Homo sapiens. The sequence goes on from NC_000010.11 coordinate 112,768,899, forward strand.
TGCAAAATAATAATAATTAGTAAATTTACATGAAGGGTATAGGAATTCATTTCTCTTGAAACTTCTCTCAAGTTTAAATTTATTTCAAAATAAGTTTTTTTGGTTTTGTTTTGTTTAAAACCCAAACCCATTAGGAAGTAATTCTGGCCTTTTAGGACTGACAGTTACTCATTTCTTGAAAGAAAAACTTGGAAGGGCTAGCAAAGGGAAATAACATGCAGAGCCCAAATAAATTTTGTGTGAAATAGGGAGAGCTAAAATTTGCAATTAATTACATCCACAAGTAAGTTGGAAATCCAGATCACCACCACAGCCCAGCTAACTTCAGAACACAGACAGCAGGCCTTGCTTATACCCTGATGCAGGGTGTGGCTGTCTCAGGGCCTCATTGTAAGGTTATCCCAACTAGACAGTGAGCCCTTCCTGTATGTGGAAGGATTCTACGCTGCCTCTGGTGGAGTCAGAGAGGGCTTTGTCGTTTAATCTGCAGGGTCTATTTACCTCTCCTTCTCATAAGGAAGAAAGTGAGTTGACTTAAAGTCCAAGTCCATTTGGAATATTAGATGAAAGACCATGGAATTTCCCTATCTTCATGTCTTTGATAAGCCAGACTTGCCAGCAGTAGCCTCCTAGTTCATGCCTGGGTGCACCACCCCTCCATAAGCTGGAGGTCCCCAGCAAGGTGGAGCCTTGGTGAGGCCTAAATGACCTCTGAATATCTCCCTTAGGTTCTGTTCTGGGTGTGGTATCAGGCTTGCAAGCCAATGCAGTTTCAATCCATGCATCCCATTGTTCTGCCTAGTATTGGAAAGGTATATGGCAAGATCCAGGAGTCTCACCTCTTTTACCTTCCTGTTGCAACACCACAGACCTTAGAACATAGCCTGGAGAAAGAGCAGGTAGGAATCTGGGAAATAACCCAGGTCAGAGGTGGCATATTTACATACCTTAGGAACCAGGTGGGTACCGCAGTGAGTGAAACAGGCCAGGAGGTGTTGAGAACTGGAGAGGGAGTACCCTATCCAGAGGCTTCTCAGAATCCACCCCATGGTTGCCATAGGGGCATGTAGGCCCACTGGGGTCATATCTTTTGGAGTTTCCAGAATGCTTGCATTCTGGATTACAAATCTTAGCATTTGTAAATGTTGGCAACGATTTTTTTTTTTTTTAATTTCAAACCGAGCAGGCCAAACCAACACATCTGCAGGCGGAATCTGGCCATGGACTGCCAGTTGGTGACCTCTGATCTGATCCAACCCACTCGTATTATGTGTTTGACACTTTTATTCCACAGTTATTGAATTCCAACTGGATGCTGGTACCCACAGATGGCAAGTAACTGGCCTAAGATCACACAGCTAGTTAATGGCAGAGGCAGGCATACTGTATGAAAGTGTTAAACTCATGTAGTCTGTATGCCAGTATGACACGAAAACAATAATTTGGCTGAAAGATGCAGCCTCATGAACAAAACAGATTAATTCCAAATGTTTTCTTTTTTCTTTTTTTTTTTTTGAGACGGAGTCTTGCTCTGTCACCCAGGCTGGAGTGCAGTGGCAGGATCTCGGCTCACTGCAAGCTCCGCCTCCCAGGTTCACGCCATTCTCCTGCCTCAGCCTCCTGAGTAGCTGGGACTACAGGCGCCTGTCACCACGCCCGGCTAATTTTTTTTTTTTTTTATGTATTTTTAGTAGAGATAGGGTTTCACCGTGTTAGCCAGGAAGGTCTCGATCTCCTGACCTCGTGATCCACCCGACTCCACCTCCCAAAGTGCTGGGATTACAGGCTTGAGCCACGGCACCTGGCCCCAAATGTTTTCTTAAAAAGAAAATTAATTCCGTAGTTAAATCTTATAACACCCTGCTTCTGCCATGTTTGTAGAAATATCTCCTTAAAACTCACCCAGTAGGTTTCTTCCTAACAAAAGTTTCTTCAGAAACAAATAGGGTTAGAGATGGTATTCAGCATGTCAGCTGCAGGGGAAAAGGTGACCCTTCTCCCATTTTCAAATGACATGTTTTAGAAATAAACAGGAGAGATAGGACTTATCTCTAAAGAATGTTCTAGCTTCTCTCTAAAGACATTTCTGGCTCTCCCAGGGAACACTGAGTCGTTTTGAATGGAGAAGACTTCGGGATTCCCCAGGACCCAAGGAGAGGATGGCTTGCATGAGCACACACGGGCGCCCTTTCTAGTGTGTAACCAAGGTTCACATATGCCCAGATTCGAAGTCAGGTGGACCTGGGTTCAAACCCAGGCACTGCCTCTTACTAGCTGTCTGACCTTGGAGAATTTTCCTCATCTTTAAGTGGAGAGATAAAAGTCGTATCTACCTCAGAGAGCAGTTGGAAGAACTAAATGAGATCATTTCTGTACAACACGCAGTGTGGAGCCTGGCAGGCAGCATGTGCCCAGAAATGAGTCAGTTCTCATCACTAGTGTTCCTTCTCTCCATCCTGCAAGGGATGAAAGGGAAAGCACTTCTAAAGTGAGCAGCACCCCTGCCCACATGAGGCCGACCATAGGAACTGGGGAGGGAACAGGAGAAAGGGTTTGCTTGTCCTGCAGCAAAACAGCTGTGCAAGAGCTTTGTGTAGTTTGGTGGTTTCAGGGAGTTTGGGGGTACTTTTTTTCAGTAACTGCTTTATTGATACATAATTCACAAAACCTACAATGCACCCATTTAAAGTATACAATTCAATGGGGTTTTTTTAGTATACTCTTATATGTGCAACCATCACCATAGTCAATTTTAGAACCTTTTTATCACCTCAAAAAGAAACCCTGTACCTTTTAGCTATATCTTCAATCCCCTCATTCCTCCAGCCCTATGCAACCATGATTCTGTTTTCTCTATAGATGTGCCTAATCTGACCATTTCATATAAATGGAATCATAGAATATGTGATTTTTTTGTGACTGACTTCTTTCACTTAGTATAATGTTTTTAAGGTTTATCCTGGTTATAACATGTGCCAGTACTTTATTCCTTTTTTACGGTCAAATAGTATTCCATTGTACGGATATACCATGCCACATTTTGTTTACCTATTCTTCAGCCAATGGACATTTAGGTTGTTTCTGCCTTTTGGCTATGTGAATAATGCTGCTGTGAACATTCGTGTACAAGTTTTTGTGTGGACATATGTTTTTATTCTCTTATATAACTTGGAGTGGATTGGCTAGATCAAATGGTAACTCTGTGTTCAACTTTTTGAAGAACTGGCAAACTGCTTTCCAAAGCAGCTGTACTATTTTATATTCCCACCAGCACAATATAAAGGTTTTGATTTCTCCACATATTCACCAACACTCATGGTTATGAGACTTTTCAATTCTAGCCATCCTAATGGATGAGAAGTGGTATCTGATTGTGGTTTTGATTTGCATTTCACGAGTCCTAATGATGTTGAGCATGTTTTCCTGTGCTTATTGGTCATTGTTATATCTTCTTTGGAGATGTCTACTCAGATCCTTTGCTCGCTTTTTAATTAGGTTGTCTTTTTATTAGTACGTTGTAAGAGTTTTTTAAGATAGTCTAGATATGTCTTATTGTATATACGATCTGCAAACATGTTCTCCTATTCTACAGCGTGTCTTCTTACTTTCTTGATAGTGTCCTTTGAAACACAAAAGTTTTTAATTTTGATGAAATCCAATTTAGTTTCTTTTGTTGCTTGCGCTTTTGGTGTCACATCTAAGAGTCTATTGTTAAAACCCACACCACAAGGACTTATTTATCTGTTATCTTCTAAGGGAATTATAATTTTGGCTCTTTCATTTAGGTCTTTGATTCATTTAGAGTTAATGTTTATATATGCTGTGAGGTAAGGTTCCAACTGTCTTCTTTTGCATATGGATATCTACTTGTACAGCCATGTTTTTGAAGGAAGAAAAAGAACTGTGGATTGATGTGGTCATCTACCAAGACACACCTCAGCCCAGTCCACCTTGGAAACCCATTGGTCAGTCGGAACAAAACTGACCGACTGGCATAGGTCATTCAGAGCAGAACAGGGTGGAGTTTAGCAATAGAATGCCACTTAGCTTGAGAAGCTCTAGCCTGCAAGCCATAGAGTGTAACTCGAAAACTCACAAAGTGTGCCCATTGAGTAGGTAAAATAATTACCAATAAGGTCGTGATTTAGTCACCATAATTTATATACGTCTCTTACCTCCCTACCATTTCTGGGCCTTTTGGGTAGAAGTAGGATGTAATAAAAAGAGAATTGACTTTGCTATCAGAAGTCTAAGAGCTGATTCTTGGTGACTGTTGTGACATTAGGCAAGTCACTTAACCTCTTTGAGACTTAGTTTTCTTCTCTCTAAGGTAGGATAATAATACCAAGTTCCTGGTCTTATTGAATCAATCAAAGGAAGTTTTTCCAAGGTTTGGGAAAGCACATAGTACCTGGTACCTAGTTGCCACACAAAGCATGCATGTTCACACTTATCACACTCCTCTTCCCAACTGTACCATCGATTACACTGAACACTAACTGAACTGCTGCTTCAGATCATAGAAGCCAGAACCCTGGAGTTCCACACAACCACAAATTCCAGAAACACAAACCTGCCCCATAAACTATCCTGTGCTAGCCCCATTCCTCCATCCAGATCATTAACCACTGGAAGTCTTAGGAAAGGATGATACTTGGACACACCTCAACTCGGCTAAGGGTGTGCCTGGGAAGTGTTCACCCTCAACACTTCTCAGTGTTGCAAGTGGTGGGTCCAGTATCTGGCAGAAGACAGTTGATTGGAAAGAAAATTTGTAGCCATAGGACCAAGTGACTGCCCATCCGGTGCATCCTAAATGTGGGAAGAGAGGACCAAGAGAGATCTTTAGGTGTGATTTGAGATTTACCCCAGGCCTGAAACTCCACTGTGCCTTTGGGTTAAGGCATAGTGTTGTTGCCAGGATCTAATATCTTATCTGGGGTGGGCAGCAGAGAGCCAGTGGATGTGAAGATATTGGGAGGTGTAGGAAGAGCTATGCAAACATGACAGGGCACAATAACTAATGAGTAGCCACTGACATAAACACAGGAGGTTAGAGCAGAGAGGAAGGGCCCTTAGGAGTCTTCTATCCAGCTCCCTTATTTGGCAAAAGAAGACAGCTAGGGGTCAGAGACACTGGGTGGCTTGGCTGAGGTGAGGCTGTGAGTAGCTGCAGCGCAGGACACCTAATGCTCATGCCATTTGGCACTGAGGCCGTGGAAACTGGAATGTTTCGATGTGGAGGGTGTTGGAGAAAATGTCACAAAAAGAGACTGAGCATTCAGGTCTGGAGCTGAGGGCACCAGAGAAGCAGTTCAGGAGCTATTTTGTTGGGGAGAGAGAGGCCAAAACAGGCTGATGCAGAGACACAAAGGCATCTGTGTTTTCTGGAAGGTTCTTCTCATAGTTCCTCTCATAGTTCCACCTCACTTCAGGACGCCAGAAAGAAGTGGTGGGAAATCCATGACCTGGGCCTGCCTCTGCCATTGACCATCCAGGGGCCACCCCAGGATGACTACTTCCTCCTCTGAACTTTGGTCTTCCCACTACAAAGGAGATGAGTGTGAAGAAGGTGAACTCTGAGTCTGACAGCTCTAACCAGTCTCCAAGGGGAAAGCCAAGTCAGGCTTAGGCAGTAAATTAATCTCAGGAGGAACAACTTTATGTGAGCACATTTAGAAATAAGTTTAGGGTGATGATTTTAAGTTCCACCTTTTTTTTTTAATGCCTCTATTCAGGTGACATATTTGACCTGATTAACAGAAAGTACATGGGCCTAATGTACAATATTAGGAGATAATTGCAATGGATGAAAGTCACTTGAGTCAATTAACTCTTATTACCTGGAAACCATTTAGAAGAGGCAATAAATTATTGGGACAACACAATTAGCAGTCCCAGAATGAAACAGATTTCGTGTGTGTGCACGGAGAAGCCCCCCTCCTGAGGGCCTGTCAAGTTCAAGGGTACATGTTTGAGGGGATTGCTGTGCCCTTTTGTGTTCACAGGAGTGTGTTAACATGCAACAGGGCTGACATATCCCAGGCTAGACCGAAGCAATGAAATAAGCTTTCGACGCCTGAGAACAATGACGCCTGTGTCACCACCAGTCAATGGCTGCCTCAGTGCCTTGTCCCTAATAGACTCTCACTGAACGTCGGTCAGTTAGCTGAGTGATATTGAGGTTGGGTCTTGTGACTCTGCTTAAAGACCATTTCTAACACCTCCACTGCCGAATTTAAAAACTGAAACGGCTTAGCATTTAGAAAGACCTTTTTTCATCAAGTTACACATTCTATACCAGCATGGATAGAGTTGGGATAAAGAAAAAGTTTTGTATAAAAATTCTTCAAAGTACCACTGCAGTAGCAAATAGGTTCCAAGAGCCTCATCGATCTCTTATATTTGTTTTCAATCCATGGAAGAAGATTGTGTTGTCCCAGTGCAGGCCCAAGTTTAATTCAATGTGTCTTAAGGCTGTAGGATCCTGAGCTCCTTGCCACTAAATCTACACACCATTTGCTTATTAAGTAAGGAACCATCCTAGAATTCTTTTGCAATGATCTGAAATAACCTAGCATTTGCTTTCACTGACCTTTTAGTGTTTCTATCACCTAAAGCATTTTTCCTTCCACTGCTGCATTACAAGTAGGATTCAAATTCCTAACAGCAGAGGGGGAAAAAAAATCCCAAAGCACAACAAATGTTAATGATCAACATTTCATTTTTATCGTGTTGACTGTTTCAACCACAAGCTTAAAGAATTATCAAGGCAGACTGCATTAGTCCAAATAAGCTGAAAATAATACACTGGCCAGAACTAGTGCTCAGAAGGCAAATTTATATCGAGTAATTGAAAATGTAATAAAGAAAGAAATAATTGCCATAGGACACAGGTCTCTCTCTTTTGTGTGTGTACCTCCAAATATGTGGGTTTTAAAAATATATCACCAGATACTTTTGCGATAGTCAATCTGTGACTTCTTCAGTGATGGTAAATGTGCAATCTGATCTTTTGAAAGAATAAACAGTTCCTTGTTAATTAATTTATACAGCTGTCAGTGCAGCTTTCTCTGTCTTCGCACTCTAAGTGTTTCCCTGCCATAGATTTTCTTGCCGTTTCTGGCAAACCTCCAGTGAGAGCCTGGGATTTATTAGGCTGACTTGGTGCAGAGTCTATTGATTGTGGCCCCGAGGGTAATAACTAAATAGAGCTGGAGCAACAAGTCAATAACACCATTGTTGCTGCAGCCTGCATTCACTCGAGGAGTAAGATTGTTTTACAGCAGCCGAGGGTAATCGTGGGCAGATCAGTGTGTTCAACACGCGCTGCACCGTGTTAGTGCTGAGGACTATTTGAAAGCTTTCAGCGGGATCACTGGAGAATTGGGGTGGGGTACTGGGATTATGAACCCTGTGAACTCCTTCATTACAGCTTAAAGGTTTCAACTTTAGTTTTTAACATCTGCTGCAACCTTGGGGAGCTCAGGAGTAAGGCTGGTGCAGGGGAGTGCAGAAACAGGCTCTGGGCCTTAGCACTAGGCGGTCTGTTCTGGTCTGTGTCCCGGAAACAAGATGGTTATGAGCAGAGAGATTATCTCACAGCTGCTGTCTGACATCCATCCGTCTATCCGGCCTCCCATCTGTGTGAGGTGCCAGCCAGTGGCACCATCCCTACCTCCTCATCCCCCAGGATGCATTTAATGTAAACCATCTAAACAGAAGAAGCCACATTATTATAATTTTCTCACTTCCAAATCTTGAGTTAGGCTGACTTAATTTTTTTTTTTTTTTTTTTGAGACGGAGTCTTGTTCTGTCGCCCAGGTTGGAGTACGTGGGGTGATCTTGGCTCACTGCAACCTCTGCCTCCCAGAATCAAGGAATTCTCCTGCCTCAGCCTCCCGAGTAGCTGGGACTACAAGTGCGCACCACCACGCCTGGCTAATTTTTGTATTTTTAGTATAGACGGGGTTTCACCATGTTGGCCAGGCTGGTCTTGAACTCCTGACCTCAGGTGATCCACCTGCCTTGGCCTCCCAAAGTGCTGGGATTACAGATGGGAGCCACTGCACCCGGCTAGGCTGACTTAACTTTAAAAGCCATTTTTCTTGAGGCTTGCTTAGTAAGAGAAACTAAAACTCACATCTTTCAAAGCTTTTTTTTCCTAATTGGTAGTGGTATGTAAAAGTTCACTACGCTGACTTTTACATACCTGATGATTAGTTTTTTAATTACAGAAAGTAAAATCAAAGTCCGTGTCAATTCCTGTCACTCTTTTGCCTTTTAAAGAATCCTCATGGATTCTGTTTCTATACATGGATGACCAGAAAATAAAAAAGACAAGTTCCCAGGTGTGGCTGGTGCTGACCTATCTCCCAGCCTTCCAGGCTTGCCTTGTCTGAGTGGTGTCTGAATTACTGTGGTGGGGGTGGATTTCTTAGGCCCACTATAGAAAATTTCAGGACCTTATGCACACAATACAAGCACTAAATTGACACCAACAAATCAGTGCCATCTCTTCAGGTGGGAGGATGGAGACAGCCACGGAGCAGTGCTTAATTATGCAGAAGGTTTATCCTTTGAGTCTGACATAGAGCACTGTGAGGAAAGGCCATCTCTGGGGCTAGAAAGTGAAAACAAGACTTCGCCAAAAAGGATTTTATTCTGAATGTAAGACCTGCCTGGTAGAGATATCTTCCTCAGTAGTTTTTGGTGATTATCTCATTTTAATTCCATGCCTGACATTCATCAGTCAGAGGCAAAACTCATTGGCAGGGAAAGAGATGAGAGGCCTCCGTTTCCCGGACATTGTGGCATTCATTCTCTGGCCTCTTCACTAAGGAAGTGCTGCAGTGAAACTCGATTCTGCCCATTTTGTCATTTAACTTTCACAGAAGCAAATACAAAGTATTGGTGAAAGTGGCCGGGCACCGTGGCTCACGCCTGTAATCCTAGCACTTTGGGAGGCCGAGACAGGTGGATCACCTGAGGTAGGGAGTTCCAGACCAGCCTGACCAACATGGAGAAACCCCGTCTCTACTAAAAATACAAAATTAGCCGGGCATGGTGGCGCATGCATGTAATCCCAGCTACTCGAGAGGCTGAGGCAGGAGAATCGCTTGAACCTGGGAGGCAGAGGTTGCAGTGAGCCGAGATCGTGCCATTGCACTCCACCCTGGGCAACAAGAGCAAAACTCCATCTCAAAAAAAGGAAAAAAAAAAGTGTATTGGTGATAGCAAGTTCCGTAATAGCCTTATGGAGCTCACATTACTCTAGAAAGTGACCTTTCTGATCTATGAGTTGGAATTACCAGCTACCTGGATAAACATCACCTCATTTTTAACTTAATACCAAAGCCATCATCCCCATGTTGTTGAACTGAAGAACCTTAGAATGGCTTCAGGAAAGGCCGGTGACTCTGAGCACTGGTGGAAGTTCTTCTGCCAAGACCATTCACCATTGTTACCCCACTTGTCCCCCTGATAACTGATGGCCATTGTGAATTATGCCTCAATGTCACCACGTGAACCGATTACCCACAAATAACCACAACCCCGATACCATCTGGACTGAGTGCAAATCTTTCATAAAATGTTGTATTTTTAAAAAGAATTTAATTATTCTATACAGGACAAAGAGCTTTTCCTGTTCACTCTATTTTACTGAGAAAAGTCTTTGGCAAATCTATGGCAAAGGTAAAACTTGGGAGGGTTTTTTAAAATTACTTGCAGTATGAGTCACCTTAATGAAAGCTTCAGAAGCATGAAGCAGTTCCATCAGGTAGCAGTCCTCCAGGAAAAAATTTTTTTTTTAGTTTAGTCAATACTAACATACAACATATGGGCAAAGGTAGACTGCCTCCTTGCTCTACTGGGAGACATAAATAGCTTTCTTATCAGACATTTTTTTGTCTGAATCAAGAAATTCCTGTCCAGTCTGCTTAGGTTCAGCTCTGTGATCCAAGAAGTTTTTGACATATCAAGATGACCTAAGAGTTGATAAGCCTTTGGCACAGGAAAGAAATATGCAGGAGAAGTTCAGGAACTGAGTGACACATTTTCCTAAAAGAAGGAAAAAAATAAGAATAATAATCGAAGTGGATTTGTTGAATACTTTCAAATTCTCAAAGATGTTTCTGTTTAGGTGGCTGTGGAAATCTCACGTTTGCTTTATCGCAGCTTGAAAAGGAACGAGAGAAAGAAATACCAAAGGGTACACATACTTCCAGTTCTTTTGAGTGATATTACCAATATTTCATCTTGAGATTTCCAAGAGTAGAGGCCAGATATTTTCAGTCTTCTGCACTCTTTAAGGGTCAGAAGGAGTCAGAATCAACTTGGATGGAATAAACATGGGGATAAGCAGCTGAAAATAATAGCTTCATGTATTTACTAGACGCTAAGAAGTCAAAGGAAGTGGTGTGTGAGCTTGTAAAACAGTGGCTGCCAGCTTTATCTTTTTAAGAGGAGACTAGATTTTGACACAGAGATAAGCAAGCTGGAGTAAACAGTGATTTCTTAAACTGTTACCCATAAAATAAGTTTGTTGTGAACATATCTACATAAGAGAGATTGTCCTCTCTTTTTCAGCTATGGGTCAGGTTATTCTAAGCTTTTATATACTCATGCCAAAGGTGTAGGCGCTGGGCTTATGTTCAGCTATTTCAGATCATCTGGACTTGAATTTAGAGAATGTCTTTGCTCTGTTAGCACATGCTCATCCCACTATTCAAAAAAATGACCATCTCGGTACAAAGTTTCTTTGGCAGTCAAATCTGTTTCAGCATCTCCAATCAACATATGTTTTTCCTCATTTTGTATTTTCTTGTTTCTGGCATTTTATGGATTAGAATAATCGGAAAATAGGCATCTGAAGGATTACTCCCATAAACAGGTGAGATTGGCGAGAGAAGAAATTATTTTTCAACGTTATTATTAAATAGAAGCTCTCATGCTCTTTATAGCCACATTCCTCCATTTACAATGTGCTGTTGAGGCTGAGAACTTCCTTGTTCTTTAGGTTTCTCACAGATTATTTTTCTGTTACAAGCTATTTGTTACTTACTCAGTTCTGAGTTACTGAGATTGTTTAATTCTAAACTTAGTTGTATGGCAGATTACAGCTCACACCTGTAATCCCAGCACTTTGGGAGGATCACTTGAGGCCAGGCATTCGAGACCAGTCTGGGCAACATAGCAGGACCTTGTCTCTTAAAAAAAAAAAAAAAAAAAGCAAAAATTAGCCCAATATGGTGGCATGTGCCTGTAATCCCTGCTAGGAGGATCGTTTGAGCCCAGGAGTTCAAGGTTGCAGTAAGCTATGATCACACTGCTGCACTCCAGCCTGGGAGACAGAGCAAGACCCTGTCTCTAAAAATAAATAAATAAATAAATAAATAAATAAATAAATAAATAAATAAATAAAATAATAACCTACCTATATGCCTAGAATTTTAATAATTGAAAATGTGGTAGCACCATGATCTTGGTGGAAAAGGCATTGAGCAATTTCACTTGGAGTTTGCTCAAATCAGGCACATTATTTCAGAATCAAACTTTTAAGCCTTTGAAAACAAAATGTAAAAATAAGCCCATTTTTCTCCTTTGCTTCTTGCAGAAGGCGTTTCCAGTGGAGGTTTTCTAAAATTATTATAATAATTAACCATGTGCTGTCTCATGTCCCGGGAACTAGAGTCAGAGCTCAATATGCATAATCTGATTTAACCCGTGTGTTAACCTTATCGAGTATGCATTGTTGTTCCCATTTTATAGATTAGGAAACTAAATATCAGTAAAATTAGTATGTGGCTTTCTCAAAGCCACATGGCTGATAGAACCAAAATCCTTACTATGGTCCACAGGCTGGCACGATTCCGCCTCTGTTTCCTCTTCAGCTCGCCTCCCTCCCATCATTCTCCTCCTGGCTTTTTCCTCCCCGGGCACCCCAGTGTTCCTCTACAGATAAAGGGCCTTTGCACATGCTGTGCCACCTGCCTGGAATCCCTTTCTCATTCCCACTCACCCCTCCCACTTCAGTTTTTAACCTAGCGCATTCTTCAGAATATATATATATATTTTTTGACGAAGTCTCGCTCTGTTGCCCAGGCTGATCTCGGCTCACTGCAACCTCCGCCTCCCAGGTTTAAGCAATTCTCCTGCCTCAGCCTCCCAAGTAGCTGGGACTACAGGTGCACACCGCCATGGCCGGGTAATTTTTTGTAGTTTAGTAGAGGCGGGGTTTCACCATGTTACCCAGGCTGGTCACAAACTCCTGAGCTCAGGCAGTCTACCCGCCTCGGCCTCCCAGAGTGCTGGGATTACAGGCATGAGCCACCGCGCCCGGCCCAGATCTTAATTCAACATCATTACCACCTTTGGGACACCCTCTCTGGGCCTCTAGAAAAGCTCAGTCCTACAGCAGCTACAGAGATGCAGCTGTCAACCTTTCAGGCATGCAGTCTGCCCCAGGTGTTGGTACCCTCAGAGACCCATGTCAGCATCAGAGCTAGGCCACACTCTTCCCAGGCGGCCCCCAGTCATTGACTAGGCACAGTGTGTGGTCCTGAAGCTAGGCAGTTTCTGCCTGAGGTGGGATTCCTCTACGGGGCTGTCTTGGCTCCAGAGCTCATCACTGGGTTGGTTAAGACTTTGTCAGTCCTGGCCAGGAGCGGTGGCTCACACCTGTGATCCCAGCACTTTGGGAGGCTGAGGCGGGTGGATCACTTGAGGTCAGGAGTTTGAGACCAGCCTGGCCAACATGGTGAAACCCCGCCTCTACTAAAAAAACAAAAATTAGTGGGGTGTGATGGTGCACACTCATAGGTGCACACTCATAGTCCCAGCTACTCGGGAGGCTGAGGCAGGAGAATCGCTTGAACCCAGGAGGCGGAGCTTGCAGTGAGCCAAGACTGCACCACTGCACTCCAGCCTGGGCGACAGAGTGAGACTCTGTCTAAAAAGTAAATAAATGAGACTTTGTCAGCTCTGCACTGTGGTCCGAGGCTCTTCCTGCCCAATTCTGCCTCCTCCTCCATTTATCTGCTACAGGTATTACCCCCAGGAAACCTCTTGCACACCTAACTCCTTCCAGCATCTCCTTTCCTAGAAGACCCTTCGACTGACACAAGTCCCCTCTTCTAGATGCTCATAGTATCATATCTGCTTCCTTTGTAGCGATTACCACAGTTTAAAACTCTATATTATGTACATGTGATTTTGTTAAGGCCTAGAAGCTCTGTGAGGACAGGGACCTAATTTTACTCATCACTGTACCCCCAGAATGGAACCAGATCATTTCCCACAGACCTCATCAGAGCGCTTGCTGGACTCTGTGTGTCCAGGGCCATTTCACTGGCTGTCGCCAGTTGCATGCTGGGGCTTTCAAAGCAGCACTGAGAGTGGAACACTAAAACCTCACGCCGACTTGGAGGCCACACTGGAAAAGGATGTTGCAATGACGCTTGGATCAGGCCAGGCCCTGCGTGAAGGCCCTTTGGCGTCTTTTTCGGCGTGGAAGCGCATGCTCTTTCTCCTTGAGGAGAAGATAGGACCTTAGCGTTTCCAAGGCCTTCTGAGTGAAAACATCTGTATCCGATCTTTCCCGTCGCGGCATATTAGTGAAGTCTGGCTAAAGAGCAGCTTGTAGTTGACAAGACTCTCATCAGAAGGTGTCACTGCCATCAGCTGGAATTATAGTGGGGCTGTTCGAGCTGGTGCCCTAGCCAGATGCCAGTCTGGGTAATTACATTTGGTCTACCTAAACTCCCTGCAGACTTCTCATCGGACACAGCATTCTTCATCTCTGCCCTGAACTGCTAGGGAGTGTTTGCTAAGAGCCTTTCAGCTGCTGCCATAGTTCATTCCAAAAATGGATACATTCCTGAAGGACCACTTGTCAGGGGGTGTTACTGGGGGGGATTCCAGCTTGGAAGAGGGCTGGCCTGGCTAGGTGGCCCTGAAGGTCCCTTCCCCTTCTAATTTCGATTTTGTGATTCAGTGATTATAACTCAAACTGTAGTGTTCGTGGAACTGGTAAGAGCCTCATAAATGAAAATACCATCAGATCGAAAGTGCAGAACTTGGTAGGAAAGATGTTCAAATAACACACACACACACCAAAAAAAGTAGACACGAATCTGGATATCCCTGGGACCCAGAAACAGTCACAGTTACATTTCCTCTCTCAAGTTGATTCTGAAGCCATAATTAAGTGAAGACAAAAACATATATACATTGAATGAAAGGTGTGTAATCTTTGGGATAATTCTGATGTAATTAACACAGCAGAGCTGCATTATGGCCAATGTACAATGAGTGGAATTTTCCAACATTGATTAAGCGGACTTGAAGAGAACTGAGTCTTTGTCTGAAAGCTACCAAATGAAAACAACTTTGGGATATTTAAATTCAGGTTGGAAATTGGTTTGGGTAAGGGATATTTAAACCACAGCTGTTCAAGGGCTAAAAACATATGAGTTGTATGTGCATGCCCGCGTGCACGTGCACACACACACACACACACACACACTGCCTCCTCTGAAAACAAGTTAGCTAAAGGTGTACATTCCTTCTAGGTTCTCATGATCAACAGATGTAAATGTTCACGGTGTTCAGATGAATTATGGACCCTAATGAGATTTCAATACTGAGCAAACAATAAAAATTTATGCATTGCATAGTTGCCGTGGCCTTTGGCTTCATGGCTAGTGTTCTACCTTTTCAACAGCTTCAGTAATATAATATCCAGCTGGCTTTGGAGGTAAGGAAAATTCGAAGGGAGAATTGAAATTATGAGACATAATTTGATGGATTACTTTGTCAGAGTAATGCATGGCCTTGGCATAATTACCGTGGCCACCTTAACCCTGGAGGCAGGTGGTGACAAAGGCCTGCAGGGCCTGGGTGCTGAGCCGATTCCAGCATGTGCTGCTGGCTCTCCCGGTCCCCAGAGTCCGGGGAGTCTAGGCACTCCTGAACAAATGCCGAACAAGCACATTCCTGTCCTACTCCAACAAGCAAGAAGGACAGCCGAAGGGCCGCCTTCTCCCGAGAACTGTCATCTGTGTCAGAGTGAAAGGAAAGAAATAAAAGGCAGACCAACCTTGAAGCAAAATGGGGTGAGGACAAGGAAAAGGATGAATAATATCTTTTAAAGCAGAACATTTAAACACAAATGATGGGCACAGGCACACTAATCTTTTTTTCTCTTCTCGTGTTTTTTTATCAGTTCAGACCTTGAACTTAACGCATGTCTGCCTTGTACTTTATAACGTTCAAATCTTAACGTGATTAATAGCAGATTCCCCGTGTGTACGTGTCAGAGACCACATCTGTAGCAAATCTGCCGGTATATTCCTTACACTAGTTTTACTTTGGAGCCATAAAGTAATTCCTGTTTTGTGAATGAGAATAAACCTATTATGCACTAATATAGCTACACCCAGCATCTGCTTTTCGAGGGGAAAAGAAATTGCCTATATGATAGGGCAGCTCAAATTTCAGTGTTCTGAAGTGCTGTTCAGTGTGGCCTTCAGCAGTGAGAAACCACTCCTGCCTATTTCTTGCTTTTATTATGATAACATAAATATATTTGCAGCATGTTGACAAACTCATTTGGAGTAAACAGAGTAGTCCTAATTGTAAGTTCTAATGTTTTAACGCTAAATTGGGCGATAAGTCAGTGTTTCAATGTGGCACAGTCAACCACACGTTTTCCAGAAATAGCCTTTGACACTTTTTAAAGCAAGTCAGTGGTGTACTTAGCCTGTTCACAAAAGGCTTCATTCTTGTCTACAAACGGCAAACCTCCCCTTCATCCCAGAGTGCCCAATTCAAGTGAGGTTGGAGAAAAATAGATACTTCCCCTGTTTTAAGGCATTTCTCCAACTGTTATGCTAGTCAAAACGAAAAAAATTTGGAGTATATGGGGAAAGCATGCCTAAGAAAGGTTATCTTGATTTTCATTTAACACACCCTCCCACTGACTTTTTAAAAGGTCCATCGTACGTATTTCTGCATAGCTGAAAACACAGATTCCACCCTGGAGAGATCTCAGGGTTGTTCATGTTACACTCTGAAGCCATGTGTTTTCACATCATGGCAAAACTCAAGATGTAGGCAGATCCCTTGGCCCCCGTTGGCTGTGGATTTTAGTCTTTTCATTGTTCTCTACTGTAAACTTATACAGAAAAAGACCTCCATGCCCCTGAATATAAGCACAGCCAGTAATGTTTTCCCACACATGCCAGTGGTGTAGCTGAGCAGGACCCCAGAATGGTGGGAAAGGGAAGGAAGTGGGGGCAGAGGTCCATGAAGCCTGTAGATGGGAGCAAGGGGCTCACTGGGCTCCCCAGGAGCCTTCCTGAAGGCAGCCATTCCTTCAGAATCCTTGTCAGAGGAATGACCAGAGGCAATGCAGAGAAGCCCCTCCCCAACAAAGGCAGCTCTGGAGCTTGTAAGACTCTGCTACAAAGCCATAGAGGGGCTTTATTTTTATACTTGTCTGTACACACCTTTTTTTGGATATATGATTTGCAAATATTTTTCCCCACTCTATGGCTTGTCTTTTTATTTTCTTAATGGGGAATTTTGAAAAGCAAAAGCTGTTAATTTTGATAAAAATTTATCAATTTTTAATTTTATGGATCATGCTTGTAGTGGTTTACCTAAAAATCTTTGCCTGTCCCAAGGTTAGAAAATTTTACTTCTATGTTTTCTTCTAGAAGTTTTATAGTTTAGCCTTTACATTTAGGTATGTGTTCCATTTAAATTTTTGTGTATAGTGTAAGGTTATGGTCTATGTTCATTTTGTTAAATATGGGTACCCAATTTCTCTATTAAATTGCCTTGGATCCTTTGTCAAAAATTGACTGTAAATATAAATGTTTATTTCTGGAATGTCTGTTGTCTGTTTTGTTCCATTGAACTGTGTCTTCCTTACACCCAGACTACACCGTCTTGATTACAGTAGCTTCATAGTAAGTTTGAAGTCAGGTGGTATAAGTCTTCCAACTTTGTTCTTCTTTTTCAAACTCATTTTTATACATTCTAGTTCTAGTTGTTTCATTTACATATACATTTAAGAATTCCCATTTCATTTTCACCGCCCCCCCAAAAAAAAATGCTTGCTGACATTTTAATAAGGATTGCATTGAGTTGTCATCTTAACAATGTTGAATCATCCAATTCATGAATGGAATTGTTCCTCATTTATTTAGATCTTTACTTTTTAAAGCTATGTTTATAGATTTCACGGTACAGGTCTCATTTTGTTAAAGTTGTTTCTAAGTTTTGCATTCTTTTTTGATGCTATTGTGAATTACATTGTTTTCTTAATTTCATTTGCAGACTATTTGTGGCTATAGCAATACACTTGATTTTTGTATATTCTCATCTTGTGACCTTGCTAAATTTGTGTATTAGTCCTAGTAGTATTTTGTCGATCTCTTAGGATTTTATACATACAGAATCACGTCAGTTGTGAATGACAACAATTTTCCTTCTTCCTTTCCAATCTGGGTGCCTTTTACTTGTAATTTTTAAATGCCAGATTGCACTGGCTAGAAGCTCCAATACAATTTTGGACAGAAGTGGTAAGAGCAGACATTTTTGCCCTATCCCCAATCAGAAAGAAAGCCTTCAGTCTTTCACCCTTAAGTATGATATTCGCTGTAAATTTTTCATAGATGCTCTTTATTGAGTTGAAAAAGTCTCCTTTTATTCCAAGTTTGTCGAGAGTTTCTATCATGAGTAGGTGTTACATTTTGCCAAGTGTTTTTTCTCTAATGAAATGATTATGTGATTTTTGTTCTTGATTCTATCAATGTCATGTGTCACATTAATTGATTTTCAGATGTTAAATCAACCTTGCATTTCTGGGATAAGTCCCACTTGGTCATGATATCTAAACTTTATTAATATGTTATAGGATTCAGTTTGATAAGAATTTTGGTGTCTGTGTTTATGAAGAATATTTCTTGTAATATTTTTGTTTAACTTTTTTATCCGGGTGATACGGCCCTCATAGAACAAGTTGGCATAGTCTCTCCATTATTTTCTAAGAGGATTTGTGTAGGAACAGTATTATTTCTTTCATAAATTGTGATGTAATTCATTATTTAAGCCATCTGGTCCTGGGCTTTTCTTTGTGGGAAGATTTTAAATTACTAATCCAACTTACTTGCTTGTTATAGGTCTATTCAGGTATTCTATGTTTTCTTGAGTCAGTTTTGGTAATGTGTATATTTCTATGCATTTGTCCATTCTACCTAAATTATCTGACTTGTTTGCATAACACTGTTCAGAATATTCCCTTGTAATCCTTTAATTTTTGTTAAGTAGTGATGTTCTTCTTTCATTCCTGATATTGGTCATTTGTATCTTCTTCCCTTTTTTCTTGGTCATTCTAGCTAAAAGTTTATCAGTTTTGTTGATCTTTTTGAGCCAACTTCTGGTTTCATTGATTTTTCTCTATTATTTTCTACTTTCTATTGTATTAATTTCTGCTCTAACCCTTACTCCTTTTTATTGCTTGTGTTGGGCTTAATTTGCTCTTTCTTAATGTGGTAGCTTAGATCATTGACTTGAGACCTTTCCTTTTTCCCTAACTAGGCAGATAAATTTCTCTCTAAGCTCTGCTTAAATTGCATCCTTCAAATAGTGATAATTATGGTTTGGTTTCCATTCATTAAATTTTTGTTGTGATTTTTTTCTTTGATTCATGCATTCTTTAGAAATGTGTTACTCAATTATCTAATACTTAGGACTTACCAAATTAGTTTCTTTTTTCTTTTTTCTTTTCTTTTTTTTTTTTTTTTTTTTTGAGACAGAGTCTCGCACTGATGCCCAGGCTGGAGTGCAGTGGCACAATCTTGTCTCATTGCAACCTCCACCTCCTGTGTTCAAGCGATTCTCTTGCCTCAGCCTCCCAAGTAGCTGGGATTACAGTCACATGACACCACACCCAGCTAATTTTTGTATTTTTAGTAGAGACGGGGTTTCACCATATTGGCCAGGCTGGCCTTGAACTCCTGACCTCAAGTGATCCACCTGCCTCGGCCTCCCAAAGTGCTGGATTACAGGCATGAGCCACCGCGCCTGGCCACCAAATTACTTTCTATTATTGATTTATAATTTAGTCTTGTGATTAGAGAACATATTTTTTATTATTTCAATATTTTTAATAATAAATTATTATTTAATAATAAATTATTGAGACTTGTTTTATGGCCTATGTATGGTCTATGTATGTTCTATAAATGTTGATTTCTATATCTAGTCTACTTAGTCTTCTATAGCCTTACTGATTTCCTGTCTAGTTATTCTATCAGTTATTGAGAATAGGGTGGTGAAATCTCTGAGTATAATTGTTGAACTTTCTCTTCTCCTTTTGTTTATCAGTTTTTGCTTCACGTTTTTCAAGACTTAGTTATTAGGTGTGTGTATGTTTATCATCATTGTATCTCCTCAATACATTGATTGTCTTATATTTGTGAAACATCCTTTTTTGTTCCTAAGACTATTTGTCTTAAAAGCCATGTGTCTGATATTAATATAGACACTCTAGCTCCTTATAGTTACTGTTTGCATATATTTTTTCACCTTTTAACTTTCACCCTCTATGTGCTTTTTAACCTGAAATGTGTCTCTTACAGACAGGATAAAGTTGGGTCTTTTATATCCAGTCTAACAATCTCTGCTGTTTGACTGGAGTGTTTAGTCCTTTAACATGTACATGTTAACATTTAGTCCATTAACATTTAACATGTGATTTTTTTTAGTCCTGTTGAATTTATGTCTGCCATTTTGCTATTTGTTTTCTATATTCCTTATGTCTTTTTGTTCCTGTTTCTGCTTTTCTGCCTCCTTTTTAAAAATAGATATTTTTGTATGCCATTTTAATTCACATATTGATTTTTTTTATTACATTTTTAAATGTTCTCAGTCTTTGCTCTAGGAATTGTATCTTGTAACTTTTCATGAACTACTTCAGGTTGATACTGACTTAATTCTAATAAAATATAGCAGTGTTATTCCAATATAACCAATTTCCTCCCTCTTCCTTTGTTACGTATAGATATGACTATGATTATCATATCTACACATGATATAAACCCAACAATACAAAATTATAGTGAGTGCTGTGCAATCTAATGGTTTTTAAAGAAATTAAGGGAAGAAAAATATATATATTTATACAGTCTTTTATATTTGCCTACATATTTACCATTTCCAGTGTTCTTATTTCCTTCCGTGGATTTGAATTACCATCTGGCATAATTTCTTTCAGCCTGAAGGACTTTATTTAGTATTTCTTGTACAGCAAGTCTACTAAAAAAAATTCTCTTATTCTTTGTTTATCTAGAAAAGTCTTTATGTCACCTTCACTTTTAGTGGATAGTATTGCTAGATATAGAATTCTTGGTTGATAAGTCCCCCACCTCACCCTTTTTGACACTTAGAATATGTCATTCCACTGTCTTCTCTTCCATTGTTTCTGATGAGAAGTCAGCCATTAATCATATTTGTTATTTGCCTGTGCATGATGAGTCATTTTTGTCTTGCTATTTTCAAGAGTTTAGCTGTCAGCCATCATTTCTACCAACATATTTATCTGCTACTCTCTCTCCTCTTCTTCTTGGATTCCCATTACACATATGTTGGTATGCTTGATATTGTCACACAGGTCTCTGAAGCCCTCCCTGTTCATTTTTCATCAGTCTTTTTTCCTTTTTCTTCTTCAGATTGGATAATTTCTTTAGACAGATTTTCGAGTTCATAATTCCTCTTCATTTCATTTACTGTATATTCAACTGTAGAATTTCCGTTTGGCTCTTTTTTATAATTTCTCTTTCTCTGTTGAGATTTCTTCTTTGTTGAGGCATTGTCATCATAATTTCTTCTAATTCTTTAAGCATAATTTTCTTCAATTCTTTGAACATATTTCTAATAGCTGCTTGGGAGTCTGCTAAATCTAACATCAGATCCACTCAGAGTCAGTTTCTATTGACTGCTTTTTTCCCCTGAATATATAGATCACACCTTTTTTTCTTTCCTTTTTTTTTTTTTGGTGGTTGTTATCATGTCATTTTTTTGTTGAAAATAGGACATTTTAGATAATATATTGTAGCAACACAAGAGTCTAGTATTTTTAAGTAGCTTTTCTGAATGTAGTCTCTAGAATCTGTCTCCGCTGCAGTCTACTCAGTTGTTGCTTTTTTCTTTTCCTCAAGTCTTATCTTTATTTTATGAGGCTGGTTTCCTAGGGGTTGCCCCTTTGTGTGCATAGCTTAGTGGTCAGCCAATGACTGGGCAGAGATTGTATTCAAAAACCTCCAACCCATAAGGCTTACATCCTCTGCAGTGATCTGTGTGTGGGTTGCAGAGCACATTCAAAGTTCAGCCAGTTCCCAAGCTTGCCTTGGCTTTGGCTTCTCACTGGTGTCTCTCAGGTCTTCCCAGCACATATATATACTTTCCCACTCCATAAGAGATGCATAGAGAGCTTATCTAGCACTTCTGTGGCTCTTTCATTTCCAGGATCTCCCCATCACATTTTTGGTTGGCCTGTTACCCGCCCCAACTAGGACTGTAACTTTAGGCTAGCAGAGGTGTGGGTTTTCACCATTCATTACCTACCGAGTTTGCTACTTTTATTGACAATGCTGCTAGGCCTGGGTTTTGCCCTCTGCTCCAAATCAAGTCAGCCTCTTCTGGCAGCCCCACCCTGGTAAAACCATCATTCTAGCCAACTAAGCTAAGGGGTGAGGTGGGGTTGTTCTTACCCAAAATTCTGCCAGTTTTCTATGAATAAGCACTTCTCAACTTGTTTTTTGCCTTTGGTCGTCATCCAGATCACTAAAAGACGTTTTTTTTTTTTTTGGTGCATTCTCCAGTTTTATACTTGTTTTGTGAATTTGCCGACCTCTTCGCTCATAGCTGGAAGTCCCCTGGTAGGAGGATTTTTGCTGGTCTGTAGAATGTGTTTGTAGAAAGTGTTTAGGATACCCTTGCAATGAAAGACCTCATCTTTGCGGATTTGGGCCTCTACTTCCCAGAATCCCAAAGACCCCTCCTCAAAGGGCATTTGGTGCTTGAGGTTCTCCAATATGGCAATGACCAGCTCTGCATGCTCTTGTTTCATTCCTTCCACCATCAGGGTGTAACTGCCAGGATCCCGTCTGCATGTGCTCACATGAGCTTTGAATCCAGGCAGCTCTTGGCCCATTAGCTGACCCAAAGGCAACAGGTGGGACCTGTTTTTGGCGGAACTGTTGAAGAAAAATGCCCTAGTCATCAGGTTGTTTCACTTTCATTTATCTCTGTCATCTGGGAATACAATATAGATAGTATCAGGCGCAACAAAAGGTACATTCTGATATTATTTTCAGTTTTTTGTCTAGACAGAGAAGACTAACCACTTGGATATCAGAAATGCCTACCACAAAAAATAAGAAAGACACGCTCAGCAAAAGGCCAGAGGGGGGTAGCACTGCTTGTTCACTTTCTCTCTATATATTCTTTTTTTAAAAAAGAAGAAAGTTTAAACCCCACCACCCACTCATCAGGTGATTGGAGACTATAGTTGTAAATATGTGCTGCAGGCAGAAGTTCTGAAAAATCCCAGAAAGTGTTGAAAACATCTCTAAACAAGGTATTTTTCTTCTGCACCTTTCTTGCTAAAGGTCCCAATTGCTGCCAAGAAAACCAGTGAGAATGTTAGCTGCCAAATAAAAAATTTATGACAGTGTTTGGCAAAGGACTATCTCGTTGCTTGTTTTATACATTTCCACAAGGTGCTTGAAGGCAGCCTCCTTTTTTCTTCCCCCCACAGCACCCCCTCACTTTGGGTACGTATAACTTACACTGATCACTGTTCTGAGTCTGTTCTCTAATAAAAAAGCAAACTCCTGTAAAGTAAGATTAAACAATATAACTTTTTTTTTTTTGCTTCAGTAGCCTCCTAAAATGTGAGGGAAACACTTTCAAATATGTTGTGTTGCATAGCAGGGGAAAAGAGATGCTGGGATTGCGTAGTTAGAATAGACACATTTATAGGAAAGGAATAAGAACCTTTCAATTAAAAACTGTGGACTCGGCCAGGCACGATGGCTCACGCCTGTAATCCCAGCACTTTGGAAGGCTGAGGCAGGCGTATCACAATGTCAGGAGTTTGAGACCAGTCTGGCCAACATAGTGAAATCCCGTCTCTACTAAACGTAGAAAAAATTAGCTGGATGTGGTGGTGTGCACCTATAATCCCAGCTACTCAGGAGGCTGAGGCAGGAGAATCATGTGAACCCGGGAGGCAGAGGTTGCAGTGAGCCGAGATTGTACCACTATACTCCAGCCTGGGCGACAGTGCAAGAGAATCCATCTCAAAACAAACAAACAAAACCTGTAGACTCTTAGTGTTAGAAGGAGTCTTAGAAGTCCCCCAGTCCTTACGTGTCCCAACGTCTCATGCTTTGCAGATCAGGAAATGGGGGCCCAGAAGCAGAAAGTGCTCTGCCTGAGGTCACACAGCCCAGCAGCCCACCTGGGACCCGAGCCTGGCTCTCACCTTAGTACCACACTCTTCCCCAAATGAGCTCTCCAGCCCAATGCTGCTATTGTTTGTTGACATAATCACCCCTACACACACACCTAGGGCACGTTTTATGAGCATTGGAATTTTGAGTGATTCTCCTTTATGAAAATTAAAACATTTCCTTCCCCAGAACTCTTCAAAAATCTGACTCATAAAAACCGAGTCAAGATACGGCAATGATACTACTGAAGTGGTATTGCCAGCCCGTATCAATGAAGCCTCCTGGCTGTGTCAGTGAATGTTTACATGAGCCTTTTAAAAGAGGGGAAAGGTGGGGACTGTATTTAGAAAAAAAGTTTTTTTGAACTGAGTTTGGATGTTGATGGTGATAATTACGTAGGCTGCTCAACACCCTGAAATATTTTGCCTGCCTGTCTGAGAAAGCAAAGTTACGTCTCAGTCTTTTCAAAATGCTGATCAGATTATGCTTTCAGTTGTTAATTGGTGCTGTTTAGCACATATTTCATCATCAGTCTCACTGACTCAAAAGCCTGTGATGCACTCTTGTTCCTTGCCTCGCCTGGCTCTGTTACAGGCATCTGCAGTAATTGTCGCACACTCGGTGAAGTGGAAGCACAGGGCTGGGGCTGAGGCTGCCTTTTGCCGTGGCTGTGTTAAGGAAGCCAGTGTTATTTGATATAAAGTGCTGCGGACAGACCAGGAGTAAGCGGATTATTTCAGACAGCGTTAGGAGGTAACCGGAGGAAGATTAGCTCGACATGAGGCAGATATCATAAGCAAATTAGAAAACCTCCCCAATTAGTACAAGAAACCCAGATTTGTGCTGTTTGTGATCCTTTGCTGAAAGGCAAAGTGTCGATGTTATGGGCTCTGGCCTTGATTCAAGTTGAAATGTTGGCATTTCCTATCAGTGCATGTTAGCATCTGAGGCTGTATACTGGCCTAATAAATGAAGTAAATTCCCGTTCTCCTGCACTGCTAAGTATTCCCCATTCCAAGGTTCTATACATTGGGTAATGTTTTACTTGGCCCTGGAATAATCTCTAGGGCATATTATAATGTTTCTATACTGGGAATATTCAACATGACTCCAATGTACCACACTTAATCTCTCTTTTGTTTGTTTGTCTTGTGGAACATGTATCATGCTGAAGTCATAAAAATGAAGTGTGCAAAATGCCAGATGCTACAAACGCAATTAGATACTTAAAAATAGCTTCCTTGGTGGCACTGCTTGAACTCTGAACTGGGCCTTGTTTTTACAAACAGGGTGGCGCTTTTCTGCTATGCTCCTGATTGTGTGCTCCGATAGGAGGCACGGCTCTGCTTCTAAGGCCATCAGGCAAACCATCAGATTGTTCTAGAATCAGACTAGGTGCTGATGTTTTACGACATCATTGCAGTTGCAGGCATGAGGTTTTTCTCTCCAGGTGCACTGTGTACCCTCCTGCTTCTTGACCTCTGATGGTTTGCAGTCAAGCTGTGTCGGCAAAAGCCCTCAACCGACTGAGTCTGACCTGCATAAAGAAGATGAAGTGCCCACACCCCTCACCCCTCACTTTTTAAGTTCTAAATGTATTCCACATAAACTTTTATTTCACCAGAACTCAAACAACCACAAAGCTCAGAATTTATTTTACAGTTTTATTCAAGGAAAAAGGTGATGTTTTTGTACTGTGGGGAAGAGGGGGCTGGATCATATTTTCTGATTATAGAAACAGTACATATTTATTACCCCAAAATTTGCAAAATTCAAATCAAAATGCAAAATGCAAAAAAAAATTGTAAAATTCAAAAAATCAGAGATTTTTAAAAAATCATGATCCTGGCCAGGCGCATTGGCTCATGCCTGTAATCCCAGCACTGTGGGAGGCTAGGTGGGAAGATCACTTGAGGCCAGGAGTTCGAGACCGGCCTGGACAGTAGAGTAAGACCCCATTGCTACAAAAAATAAATTAGCCAGGTGTGGTCATGCATGCCTGTGGTCCCAGCTACTCAGGAGGCTGAGGTGGGAGGACTGCTTGAGCCCAGGAGGTTGAGGTTGCAATGAGCTATAATCACGCTGTTGCACTCCAGCCTGGGCAACAGAGTGAGACTCTGCCTCTAAAAAATAATAATAAAATAAAATAATAAATAAAAAATTAAAATTATGATCCCAACGCCTAGACACAATCATTATTTACATTTCAATGTATATCTTTCCGATTTCTGTTTTACATTTATATATGTAGTTTTTGCAAAATTCAGATCATACTATACGTACTATTTGTAACCCTTGCTTTTTACATAATATATTATCAGCAAGAAAATTAGTGGTCCTAATGATGACTAGGATAGGGTCAGATTCTGTTAAACTTTCTGAATCATCAAAAACAAATTTATTCAATATAGTCTTAATAATAATTCTGCTTTTGTATAAGTTTTTCTTTGAAAATTATCAGTACCCAAAGAGCATTCGTGACAACCCTCAACTCACCGATATTATATGAAATATTATCATATTACCATATTCCTTTGAGGAGGACATTGCGTTTTCTCTTCTTTTACACGTGTGATCTAATTTCAGCATCACAAGAACCCATGAGATAGGAAAAAAGGACAGATGTTGTTGTCCCTGACTTTAATCATAAATGCAAAGTGACTCACCTGGCATCATAGCCGTTTGGAACTACAGCTAGAAAGCAAGACATTCTGTGACTTGTTATTTTCCTCACTGTTGTATTGCATGTGGTCTTTGACATCAGATCCGATTTTAAATACCAGCTTTTCCACCAACTAGCTGTGTGATCTTGGCTAACTTAACTCTCTAAGCCTCAGTCTCCTCCTCTGGAAAATGGGAACATTGACACCTTTGCCATAGATTTGGTATGAGGATTAAATAAAATAATTTGAGTGAAGGACTTAGGATAGTAGAAGTCACTAAAAAAAATTTTTAAATAATTTTTACCCTTGTTCTTTTTTCTCCTACACATTCCCTATTACTCTTTTTTTTTTTTTTTTTTTCTGAGAGACAGTCTTGCTCTGTCACCCAGGCTGCAGTGCATTGGCACAGTCTCAGCTCACTGCAGCCTCTGCCTCCTGGGTTCAAGCAATTCTTCTGCCTCAGCTTCCCAAGTAGCTGAGACTACAGACATGTGCCAGCGCACCCAGCTAATTTTTGTATTTTTAGTAGAGACAGGGTTTCACTATATATTGGCCAGGCTAGTCTCTAACTCCTGACCTCAGGTGATCCGCCCACCTCGGCCTCCCAAAGTGCTTAATTACAGGCATGAGCCACTGCGCCCAGCCCCCTCTTACTCTCTTATAACACTGTGAATAAATTAGTCTATTATGTTTCTTTTATTCAATATACTGAATTTTTAGTTTAGCATTATTTTAAATAATTATTATATATGTAATAAGATACGGTAATTCAAGAAAGTGTAGAAATACATAAAGATAGAAAAAACACCCACCACCCGAGTATAAACACCATTAACACTTGGCTGCGTTTCCTTCCAGTTCTTTTTCTTTCTGTGCAAAGACTTGCTGTTAGTTCAACTAGTGTTTTGAACTAATGAAAGCTAGACAGTCGTTAAGCCTTGTGTTCTGATTATAAAAGAGGTGCCCCCTTGAAATCCCACTTGGATTGCCAAGAAGCCAATATGGGGGATCTAAAAGCTGTCACGGGGCCACGCGCGGTGGCTGCCCCCTGTAGTCCCAGCACTTTGAGAGGCCAAGGTGGGCAGATCACCTGAGGTCAGGAGTTCGAGACCAGCCTGGCCAACACGATGAAACCCTGTCTCTACTAAAAAATGTTTTTAAAAAAATTAGCCAGGCATGGTGGCAGACACCTGTAATCCCAGCTACTCGGGAGGCTGAGGCAGGAGAATCACTTGAACTCCAGAGGCCAAGGTTGCAGTGAGCCGAGATTGAGCCACTGCACTCTAGCCTGGGCCCCAGAGCAAGACTCCGTCAAAAAAAAAAAAAAAAAAGAAGGCTGTCATGTGTCTGCAAGGGGTGTGAGAAGGTCTCAAGAACCTAAGGCATCCAAGTGAACTGATGAATTCCCAACCCACTGATCTCGTGGTCTAAGAGCAATTCAAGTAAAATGCAGCCCACCTCTTCACAAAACTGGCTCCTCTCATATAAAAGAGGTTCTGGACAAGCAGAGGCCACCATCTGTCAGGCCCCAGGTTGGCCCTGGTGTGGGCAAGTCCTTGGAAGAATCACTATACTAGAGTATCTTCAAACCCTGGGAGGGAAAAGTTCTTCCTGGGCCTGTAAAAGGCATTCTGTTTAGGCTGAAAGGAAATTTCCTACAGCCAAGCGTCTCCTGTCAGCTAATTTGATAGTTCTCTATCAAGTAAACCATTAGTGAATACATTGATCCTTTTTTTCCCCCTTTCTGCAGTTCTGCCTTGGCTATTCCCAAGATTTCTCTGAACCAGTTGGGCAAAATTGATTTTTATTAGTTCCACTGGCCTTGTGGAAAATTATCTCATGAACTGGTTTTTATAGGAAGACTCAAAGCATAGCACAGGGTAAAAAATAAGCCTATAGCAGTCAAAACTGTTGTCTGAAATGTCTTCAGACTGGAAGGCTGAATTTATTGCACAAAACAAGTACTAGCAAGGCGGAGGTGTGCAGTCCTGCTCATTATCACTGGAAAGGGGAACCAAAAAGCGGAGTAAAAAATTAAATTTTAATAATGCCAGTGATATTTTCTAAATCTTTCCTGACAGAAAGATTCTCATTATTTTTATCTGTCTCCGAGTAGGTTCTTTTAGTGCCATCTCAGAAATGGCCTCAGCTATGATTGTTTTCCAGGCTTTAAAGCATCTAAAAAAACAAATATATACAGAGAGAAATATGCTTTAGATTGTTCGAGGAAGGGCCGTGACCGTGGCAACATCCCGGCTAGTGTATTTGCAGCCAACATTTGCTGGGAACGCCTGCAGCTTTCACAAAAGAGGTCCATGTCGTTAAGACAATTGCTGTAAATCCCCCAAACAAAGGGGACCCACCATCCACTGCAGTTGGCTACAGGAGGAGCCCAGGGGCCCCGAGTCCCAAGTTTGGGTTCATTCTAGAAACCTCTCTATGCTGGCCATGAAAGGAGATTCAAGAAAAAAAAAAATTAAGATACCCTATTATTTTGGTAAATGTGAAAACTCATATTCCAAGTATGATATGATACAGAATTTTTGGGGATAGGAGGGAAACTAAAGGCAGAATCATTAAAGTAGCCAATCTGTGATGACGTGAGGATTTTTTGTTTGTTTGTTTTCTCACCTTTTTAGTGCCTGTGTATGAACCTGTCTTGGTCCCAAAAGGAATTAGAGCATTTACCTAAATATATGCAACACAATAAGATTGAATATTTACAAAAGAAGTAACGGGGAGGCTAGTACACAAACTGTGGAATCGCCTATACATTTGTAAGAGGTGGCCCACAGATTTCTCTCTGAGCGTTCTGGCAGCTGACTTGGAGAGGGCAATTGTTTCAGCTACGTGAGTCAGTATCTGTGAGATAGAAACTCAGCCTTTTCCCCTGCTCTGATGAGAGAGAACACTTTGTCGTGGGACCTCTTCGCAGGGACACACACTGTGCAGGTTAGTAAACACCAGGCTCCAAAGCTTCCTTCCAGGGAGCACAGTGAGCCCTGCAGGGCGCTCTGACCATCCTCCTTTCCTCAGGCTGGCGGTGTTAGGTCAGTGCGGCTGTGAACCAAAGCAATGCTGTGCAGGTGGGACCCTCAGGGGGCTCTGCTGCTCCAGGGTCGACTTCAGAGCCTCCAGCAGGAGAGGTGGACCCCAGTTCACTAGGCTCCTCAGCCAACACTGTCTCTCAGTTGGGCTTTCAACACGTCTTCCACAGGAGAGAATTTCAGGTTGTTCCCTTTGCTGAGGACCTGGAGTGGAAACACCTTATTATTGGTACTTAGGGGCCATCGTGTTGTCTAGTAACTAATTAGGGGGTCAGATATCACCCTCATCTGTGAAAATTAAGGCCAGGGAGCTTGAAGGGAGTGTCCCCAAAGAATGACAGAGTGAAAGGTCGCTGTCTCTTTGCAAGACACAGGCTGCCTTTTGACTTAGTCTGTATGAAGATCCCTCCTAATTCATGGGTGATTTTCCTACTCATTGCTGCCAAATACAGGACCTGAGAGAGTGATCAAAGGCCACACTACTCCTTGGCAACTAGTTTTCTTTATCTTCATCAAATCCACAAATACGGTTCTTGGTGCCCATCCTCAAGGGTGCTGGGTTCTCATATGTTTACTGCCATTTTAAAGATGGATAAACTGAGGCACTATTTGTTCTCCGGAAGATCACACAGCAAATTGTAAGTAGAGGCAACCCTACAAGGCTGCCTTTGCTCCTCATCCTCCAAGAGAGACCTCTGGCTTTCCCATTCCAGGCCTCCTGACCTATAACACGCTGCATAGAAAATGCACACCATCCTCCCCTAGAGTCACCAGCTGGGCTTTTCCAGCCACGTGCTGCAGACCATGCCAAGGTCAGGGGGCTGCAGATGTGTGGTCCAGCCCTGATCTCTGCTTATGCTTCTCGTGAGAGTCCATGAGGCGCGCACAGGCTGGTTTCTGGCTCCTGTTGACCCCTCCCTGGCCTTTGACTCCACGGTTAGGAATCGGTTATGGGCTAAGTTGGATGATCTCAGTGTAGACCCTAGTTATTGATGCTGCCACAGAGGCTGAACTTCAGGCTTCTGAGAGCCGCAGGGGTCAAGAGGGCTGGGCTTTTCCTGCCTCCAAGGGAATCTCCAGGAGGGTAAGGCAGGGATGCGCTCACCACCACTCCCTCTTCCTTTTAATTTCTTCCTTAGTAACTAGTCAGAGGTCGCAGACTGAAGGCCCACAGGGTGAGTCTACCCCACAGATGTGCTTTCTTTGGCCATCCAGTGTTTTGGAAAACTTTGACTTTGTTGCCAATATTTAAAACTTGGGAGATTTCACAAAGAGAACACCATTTCTGGCTTATCTTGGTAAATCAGAAGGTCTCAGTCCCAGCAGCAGTCAGCAGCAGCCCCTCGCTTTAGAAAAAGGGCAGATGCCCCTGTTCTCCCAGTCCCTGCCCCTGATGCCTACAGCCTGCAGACTGGATCTCCCCCACCCTCACAGGACTTTCTTCCTTGGTTAGAGGGAAGGATATGTCTTCCCAGGCTGGCAGGTGATGTGGCTTCACCTGCACAAACCTGGGGGCTCTGTTATCTGATCGTTACCCCACCCCACCCTCCTCCCAGCCTAAGAACCCAGAGTTCACCTGCGCAGATCTGATTAATGCTGCTTTGGGGTATGTGAAGTCAGTTTAAGATTATGAAGGAGATATCACAAGTTTGAATAGACAGCACACTCTGCAGCGGTCTCATTCAGTGTCCAACTAAGAAAACAGAGCAGCCCAGGGCTTAGCCACAGCAGGGCACCCCTCCACCTGGGCTGGGGGGACTAGACAAGGAGCAGTGGCCCTGGAGCCCAGAGAGAGAGAGAGAGAGAGAGTTCTGATGTTAGAGAGAGAGAGAGAGAGTTCTGATGTTAGGATCTAGAAAACGTAACCACATCCCTCAAAAGTTGGCAGAGATGCAGGTGGCTGATAAGCCTCTGCCAAAATGTTTGTCCTTCCTGACATCAGGAAAGAAAAAGGTGTTAAATAAATGACTATTAAGTGGTAAGTATCGAATGTCAGATCTTAGAGGAAAATAAAGCCCATCACAAAAGCCAAGGCAGCCGAGTCTTCACCAATATGTTCCAGGAGAGGCATCTTGGCCGTCAACGAGTATCCCCAGAGAAGCTCACAGAGCTGCAGAGGAGCTGAAGGCAGGGATTCCAGGCGAGTAGCTCAGCCTGGACCGGACAATCCAAGCTAATCAGGACCAAGGCCAGATGTGCCCTGTTGAGCCCTGGGCATCTGCAGGAATCTGAGAAGGGATTTGTAGGCTTTCAGAACAAGGCACCTGAGGCAGGAGGCTGCCTGCATGTGGGGGTACAGCCAGACAAGGAGGAGTTTCCAGAAGTAATGTGGGGAGATGGGTGAGTATGATAGGAGTGGAGTAATAATAGTTCCTATAGTTATTTATTGAGCAACTACCATTGGCCAGGCACTGATCTAAGCACTTCACATTGAATTAAGCCATTTATTTACTAATGTAATTCATTAACAGAATGCTGCTATTATTGGCCCCATTTTACCAATAGAGGGAAAGCAGAGCGTTGATTCTTTGGAGCGTGCCAATTCCTTATATTGGTACTGTTTTCTTTCATAGAGACCTGATGGTAGATTGTTCACTCTTTATTTTGCCCAGTAGGAAAGAGTAATTTCCAATGAGAGACTACATTTCTAATGTCCAAGGAAAGACACTGGTACATCTTCTCCTACTATCACTGCATAAATAAAGAACATTTTCATTTTCACACTAAAACAGTCAAGAGGATGTAATCTCAGAGAAGGAATGCAGTAACTTAACCAATGCTGTACAACTGGTGTGTGGTAGATCCTAGATTCGAATCCAAGCAGTTTGGCTCCAAAAATGAGGGTGGTTGCTCAACCTCCACGTGAATGTAGTATGTGGCTTCTCTGGAGGCTGAAAAGGATGAGGGACCTTCAGAAAAGAGCTTGGTGGGTTACTAGTTCAGAAGAGCAGTAAGTTTGCTTCTCAATAAAGGGTTAGGACCCAGTGGGGGTGGAGAACCTTCTCGAGCAGATCTTCCCAGGATGGCCAGCAGGAGGTGGGAGGGTGAGGAGTACTTAAAGCTGGGGGTTGGGGAGGGGTCATCCTGGCCCAGACACCAATCACGTCTGCC
Source organism: Homo sapiens (assembly GCF_000001405.40). Lineage (NCBI taxonomy): Eukaryota > Metazoa > Chordata > Mammalia > Primates > Hominidae > Homo > Homo sapiens. Next base: position 112,801,249 of record NC_000010.11, read on the forward strand.
CTGGGCTGAGACCTTTCGGCCACCTCTGGAGTGGGCCTGGCCTTTTCCCTGGGTAGGCCTGAGCCATCAGATCTAGGTCCTAATACTTAACATAATTATAAAGATTCAATGACATCTTGTATGCAATAAACCAGAAAAAGATACTCTCTTTTTAAGACTGTCCGGAAGTTATATTGCTCTTCACAACCCTCGCAGAAAATACTTGGGAGAGCTTCCTTTATTACCATTTCGTGGATGGGGAAACTCAAGGACCCGTAGTCCTTTCCCAGATTCGCACAGTGAGTCTAGCTAGTTCTTCCATCTGATTTTCTTTCTGTCTAGAACTCTATTCCAACAGATCCACTACAATAAATCTTCAGCAGACCTGAATCTTTCTATAGTGTATCCCCTCACCCATATGTTATGTAAAAATAAAAAATCGTGTGGTACCAGGTCATTGGCAGCTCCCAGAGAACACTTGCCATTCTTTCTGTCTCATACTCTTTGGTGAGGGATCAGGTGATCACGCATTTACCTAGAAGAGATAAATTGAGCCCCTTAAAAGGCTGAAAGAAAACAGGCAGTGTGCCAGTGATTGAGGAAAGCTGATGAAATATGCTGCAGAATAAAATGAATATTACCTTAGTAATGTACTGTGTATTTACATTAGGCACTAAGTGAAGAATCGGTTGACTTTGGTTAATCAGTGCCCTGCACTACCAACACAAATAAACTTGCAGCTGGGTGTGGTGGCTCACACCTGTGATCCCAACACTTTGGGAGCCCAAGGCAGGAGGATCGCTGGAGCCCGGGAATTTGAGACCAGCCTGGGTAACACAGGGAGACCCATCTCTACTAAAAAAAATTTTAAATTAGCCAGGCATAGTGGCATGCACCTGTGGTCCCAGCTATTTGGGAGGCTGAGGCAGATCACTTGAGCCCAGGAGGTTGAGGCTGTGGTGAGCAGTGCCATGGCACTCCAGCCTGGGCAACAGGGAGACACCTTGTCTCAAAAAATAAACATATAAATAAGTTTGTGTACTCAATGACTGTGTCTATAGAAAATAATGTGAAGATGTCCAAGACTCTTCTATCAAAGAACCAAGGAGGATCTAGTAAAGATTCTAAGACACACGATTATATAAATAATGATCTGTATGCCATACGGTGGTAGAAGATGGGGCTGGAGAAGTGGGTTGAGGCTTCGGTTTCCTCCTCTGTAAAAATGGGGATGATAATAGGCCCCAGCTCATAGGGTTGTTGTGAGGGTTCAGGCACAGTGTATAAAATGCCAGAACAGCACCTGGCCTGGAGTAAAGCCCAGCCAACCTGAGCTGCTCATGCAGGCATCCCTGCTGCCATGGCTGCAGCTGTCCTCACTGCAGTGGATGTTGCTGCAGCCGCATTCTCTAGAAGAATCACCAAAGAGTAGAGCCGGGTTGGATTTTCTAGCCCCATGCTTTACAGATGTTCAGATTTCTTGGAATGGACCTTTTTGTTTTTTTTAAGTACAGGCCTATTGGAAGATTGTCCACTATTTATTTCGCCAAGTAAGAGAAAGTAATTTCCAAGGGAGACTACATTTCCAATGTCCAAAGAAGGACACTGGGGAAAAACCCTGCCATCTACTGTCATCATCACTCCATAAAACAAGGGACATTTTGACACTGAAACAGTGGAAAGGGCATATTCTCAGAGAAAAGAGCAGCCTCGAAATTGAGTAATCTTGGTTTTAAGAAAAAAGCTACTTTCTAATGTTACTCTTCTTTTCCCACTTCAGCCTTGGCCTGGAGTTAGGGGCCACTTTTCCCAGTCGTCCCATGCCCCCTCTTCATTTTATTTTATTTTTTTATTTTTTGAGACGAAGTTTCGCTCTTGTTGCCCAGGCTGGAGTGTAATGGTTCAATCTCGGCTCATTGCAACCTCTGCCTCCTGGGTTCAAGCATTTCTCCTGCCTTAGCCTCCCAAGTAGCTGGGATTACAGGTATGTGCCACCATGCCCGGCTAATTTTGTATTTTTAGTAGAGATGGGGTTTTACCAGGTTGGTCAGGCTGGTCTCAAACTCCTGATCTCAAGTGATCCACCCGCCTTGGCCTCCCAAAGTGCTGGGATTACAGGCATGAGCCACTGCACCCAGCCTCCTTCTTCATTTTAGAGAGAAGTGAGTTTGGGTTGGGCTCATTAAGAGGTGGGGCCACTGATGGATTTGAGTTGCCGTCAGGTACAGACACCGTTAGAGGCAGTGGCCGCTTGAATGAGAAAGAGTGTGATAGTGAAACAAGAGTGGACGTGGGGCCGGAAGGCCTGGCTGTGCCGCAGATGGCTGACCCTGGGCATATCTCTTCCCCTCTCACAGCCTCAGTGTCCTCAACTCTAAAATGAAGAATCTAAGCCAGATGTGGTAATGTGTGCCTGTAATCCCAGCTACTCAGGAGGCTGAGGTGGGAGGATCACTTGAGCCCAGGAGGTGAAGGCTGCAGTGAGCTGTGATCGTGCCACTGCACACCAGCCTGGGTGACAGAGTGAGACCCTGTCTCTAAAAAAAATAAAATAAAATGAAGAATTTAGACTAGGGCATGGAGGCCTTTTCCAGGTCTAGCCATCTACAGACCTGTGAGGAGTTAAATATACCTTGCATTTCTAGAACATCCTTATTTAATTCTCTTCAAGTTCTTTCCAAGCCCTTTGATTGAAGTGAGCTGCCTTGATCCTATCTGGGAGTCTGCAGCCAGCAAAGCCGCTCTGCAGGCCCCCTGCCATTGTCAAGTCCATATTTAAGAATGGCAGTGGCCGTGGTGCCCAGGCTGAAATTTGCTGTACACATTTGGCAACATAGAGTGCAATGTAACTACACATTACTGATCTAAACCCATCGGACTTATCAGTGGGCTCTGACAGGTACTTGTTGGCTGCCTTCCCAGGCTGGGAAGGTATCCCGGAGCCAGCCAATGTGATGCCCTCCCCTCCCTTTTGATGTTTATGGGAGAGAAGGCTCGGCTGTGCTCAGGAGACTGTCAGCATGAGGCCCAGATGGATACCAGCCTGTGGGAACCAGAAGCCTGGCAGGCTTGGGAAGCAGCAGCTTCCTGGATTCCTGCCCCCACCTTCCCATCCAGCCACTGGAAGTTTCCTAGGCAGCTTCTCCAGCCTCTGACAACCAGTGCCTCTCACCTTTCCTGAAATACCATCTCCTTTTACAGAATGATTTGCCAGCTGCACACATGTAAAGAGCTTTTCAGAGTGCTTTAAAATCTTTAATGAGCTAATCCTCTCCTCCCTGGGGTGGTTTGTGAGTTGGCTGATTTTGTTGGGGAAGAAACTGAAACCCAAATGTCATGGGGTGACTTGCTCTAGGTCACACCAGGTAAATACCAGATTATGGGCACAGAACACATTGTCCCGGCCCTGGCATTACTCTAATCGCGGCCTTTGTCGTGAGGCTTCTGTCATTCATTGATTGCTCATTGTGACACCATAAGTTCCCATAGGGCAGGGACTCTGTGTTTCCTTTGTTCTTCAGAAGGACTTCAGCCAGACCTGCCAGACCTGTCTGTGCAGCTCATGCCTTGTCGAAGACCACCACATAATTTAACCAAGGAGGGCCGCCCTAGGTAGATTATAGATTTTTTTTTTTTTTTTTTTTTTTTTTTGAGACAGAGTCCTGCTCTGTCTCCCAGACTGGAATGCAGTCGTGCGATCACAGGTCACTGCAGCCTTGAACTCCTGGGCTTAAGCAATCCTCCCGTCTCAGCCTCCAGAGTAGCTGGGGCTAAAGGTGTGCCCCACCACGCCTGGCTATTTTTTTTTTTTACTTTTTGTAGAGACTTGGGTCTCACCATGTTGCCCAGGCTGGTCTCAAATTCCTGCCCTCAAGCGATCCTCCCACCATAGCCTCCCAAATGTGTGGAGATTACAGTCGTGAGCCACTGTGCCCAGCCAGTAGCTTTTGGCTTTTAGATCATGAGTGGGCAAATCACAGACAGTGGGCTATATCCAGCCTTCCTCCTGTTTTAGCCACGGGCTAATAATAGTTGTACATTTTTAAATGGTTGAAAAAAACTCAAAAGAAGAATTTTTGACATGTGAAAATTATACACATTCAAAATTATACAACTCAGATTCTAGTGTCTGTAAATAAAGATTGTATTGGAACACAGCCATGCTTATTCGTTGACATATGTCACTGGCTGCTTTACACTACGAGAACAAAGTTGAGTAGTTGTGACAGACTGCGTAGTCCCCAAAGCCTAAAATGTTTAGTTATGGGTTAAATTGCAGCCTCTCACCTTAATTTATATGTCGAAGTACTAACCTCTGGTACCTCAGAATATGACTTTATTTGGAAATAATGTCTTTGCAAATGCAATTAGTTAAGATGAGGTACGGGAATAGGGTGGGCTCCTAAACCAATGTGACCGGTGTCCTTATTAAAAGGAGAAACTTGAACACAGGCACTCACACAGAGATACCACCTTGTGAAAACAAAGGCAGAGATGAGGGAATGCATCTACAAGCTAAGGGACCCCAAAGATAGCTGACAACCCACCAGAAGCTGGGAGAGAGGCATGGATCAGACTCTCTCACTGCTCTCTCAGGGAACCAACCCTGCCGACACCTTGACCTTGGACTTCTGGCCTCCAGAACTGGGAGACAATAACTTTCTGTTGTTGAAGCCGCCCAGTCTGTGGGACTTTGTTATGCCGGCCCTAGCACACTAATATACTGACTATCTGGCCCTCTGCAGACAGAGCGTGCTGATTCCTGTTGAGCTAAGTATTAAGAAAAATTTAGAAACAGGGCGAAGCGACTCCAGTCCTCACTCAGGACCTAATCTAGATATGCCAGGGCTCAGGGAGTGGATGTGGCTCCTCAGTTCCTTGCTGGAGAAAGTGCTCATCTCCCTGCCCATCAAAACTCATCCCCACTGTGTCCCAGTCCCTCAGGTCTCTCGGATGACTGACTACACCTAAATTGATGTTAGCCAGTGGGGGCTACTAATGGCTGATGATGGCTTGGTAGATTGGCCCAGAGATAGCATCTAGTTTTCTTCCCTTTTTTTTTATTATTTTATTTTTGAGACGGAGTCTCACTCTGTCACCCAGGGTGGAGTGCAGTGGCAAGATCTTGGCTCACTGCAACTTCCACCTCCCGGGTTCAAGCGATTCTCCTGCCTCAGACTCCCGAGGAGCTGGGACTACAGGCACACGCCACCACACCCGGCTAATTTTTGTATTTTTAGTAGAGATGGGATTTTACCATGTTGGCCAGGCTGGTCTCAAACTCCTGACCTCAAGTGATCTGCCCACCTCCGCCTCCCAAAGTGCTGGGATTACAGGCATGAGCCACCGTGCCCAGCCTTATTTTTTTTTATTTTTGAGATAGGGTCTCACTCTGTCACCCAGGCTGGAATGCAGCAGTGCAATCGTGGCTCATTGCGATTTCACCCTCAGGCTTAAGCAATTCTCCTGCCTCAGCCTCCTTAGTAGCTGGGACCACAAGCACAGGCCACCACACCTGCCTAATTTTTTTTAATTTTTCACAGAGATGAGGGTCTCTCTATGTTGCCCAGGCTGGTCTCAAACTCCTAAGCTCAAGGGATCCTCCCACCTCAGCCTCCCAAAGTTCTGGGATTTCAGGCATGAGCCAATGTACCTGGCCTTCTTCCTGTTTTAAATGGCCTATTCCAGAGGCAGGAGTTTTGTGAAATGAGTGTTGTGGCACATGCCCCCTCAGTCCCCTTATCTCACATGGCTTCAGGAAACTGCCTGCTCTGCTCATGAATGGAATTCTTATTCTGAGATGTAAGAATCAAAAGCTTCGGAAGACTGTGAGCCCCACAGCTGCATGCAAAGCTTCTGTGAACTCGGCTGGGACTGACCTGTCCTTTGGAGGAGATCTTAGTGTAGATCCACAGTAAATGTGCAGTGCAGCCATGGGGAAGAAGGTGGAGACGTGGAAAACAGTCATCACGAAACCCAAGATAAGATCACCAGCTCCATATGCTGGTCTGGATCCGAGCACTCAGTGTATTCATTTTCCAGGGCTGCTAGGGCTGCCGTAACAACATGGCTTAAATGCACTTATTCTCTCATAGTTGCGAAGACTAGAAGTCTGAAGTTAAGGAGTTGACAGGGCGATGCTCTCTCCAAAAGTGTAAGGGAAGAATTCTTCTTTGCCTCTTGCAGCTTCTGGTGGCCCAACATTCCTTGGCATGTGGCAACATCATTCCAGTCTCTGCCTCCATCTTCACGTGCCCCTCTTTGTCCTCTCTTAAGGACACCAGTCATCGGATTTAGGGCCACCCTAAATCTGGAATGATTTCCTCTCAAGATCCTTAATGAAGTCCAGCTGTGGTGGCTCACACCTGTAATCCCAGCACTTCGGGGAGGCCAAGGCAGGAGGATCACCTGAGGTCAGGAGTTCGAAACTAGCCTGGCCAACATGGTAAAACCCCATCTCTACTAAAAACACAAAATTAGCTGGGCGTGGTGGCACACGCCTGTAATCACAGCTACTTGGGAGGCTGAGGCAGGAGAATCACTTGAACCTGGGAGGCGGAGATTGCAGTGAGCCAAGATTGCACCATTACACTCCAGCCTGGGCAACAAGAGTGAAACTCCGTCTCAAAAAAAATAAAAAATAAAAATAAAAAAGATCTCTAATGAATCACATCCACAAAGACCTTCTTTCCAGGCTGGGCATGGTGGTGGCTCAGCATGGAGCTCATGACTGTAATCCCAGCACTTTGGGAGGCCGAGGCAAGAGGATCTCTTGAGGCCAGGAGATCAAGACCAGCCTGGGAAACATAGTGAGACCCTGTCTTTACAAAAAATTTAAAAATTAGCCAGGTGCGGTGGTGCATGCCTGTAGTCCCAGCTACTTGGGAGGCTGAGGTGGGACGATCACTTGAGTCCAAGCGTTCAAGGCTGCAGTGAGCTGTGATTGCACCACTGCCCTCCAGCCTGGGCAATAGGCCAAGACTCTGTCTCTTAAAAATAAAAAATAAAAAGGACCCTATTTCCAAATAAGATCACATTCTGAGGTTCCAGGTGGAACCTCATGAATTTGCAGGGACACTGTTCAATCCAGTACAATCAGTATGATTTAAAGTAAGAGGCTGGGTGCAGTGCCTCATGCCTGTAATCCCAGCACTTTGGGAGGCTGAGGTGGGCAGATCACCTGAGGTCAGGAGTTCAAGAACAGCCTGGCAAACATGGTGAAACCTCATCTCTACTAAAAATACAAAAATCAGCTGGGCGTGGTGGCAGCACTTGTAATCTCAGCTACTCAGGAGGCTGAGGCAGGAGAATCACTTGGCCCCGGGAGGTGGAGGTTGCAGTGAGCTGAGATTGCGCCACTGCACTCCAGCCTGGGCGACAAAGCGAGACTCCATCTCAAAAAAAAAAAAAAAAAAAAGAAAGCGAGAGAATCCCCAACCATACTTGCTGCAGTCAATGGGGAATTGTTTGGCTCCTGTAACTGGGAAGCTGAAGTGTGACTCTTCAGGTTTCAGGCACACAGCAGGAAGCAGGGGTTCAAATATGTCTTCAGGAATCCGTCTCTTTTTCTTTATCTCTCGGCTCTGCATTCCTCTGGTGTCGGCTTCTTTCAGGCAGCCTCGTCCGGTATGGTAGTAAGAATGGTCCTTGGCAGCTCCAGGTTCTCACTGTCCTGACAGTCAATCTCAGTAAAGACAGTATCTTTTTCTTGATTTTCCAGGAAGAATCCCAAGAGGAATTCCATCTGGCTTGAGTGGCAGACCAATCCTTGAGCAAATGGTAGTGCAAGAGCTAGAGAGCTGTCATTGGCTGGGCCTGCCTGGGCCATATGTCCATCTGTGGAATCAGAGTGGGATCAGCCTCCCTGAATTCTCGCGATGGGGCTGAGGATTACTCCTAGAGATGCAGGACATAGAAGACCCAAGATGGGCATTATCAGGCAGCATGATAACCGCACAGCTCTAGCTCAGAGGCAAACATGTCCCCAGCTCTGAAAATAACCCTTCCAATTAAAGTGAGTGTTTGAGGCAGATGACAATTAACTGTTTCTCCTACTCCTGTTTTCATTTCTTTCTGGTGAATAGTAACGTTGAATTGGATATAGAATTTAAAGAGCTTTCCCTTGGCCCATGTTTTGGGAAGTGCCTAGAGAGAAGCAGATCCGGGTTCCTCTGCTCAGAATTTATCCTATGCTCTCACGGTTGCTAATTGTTACTGTTCTGTCAGACCCCAAAAGTGGGGCATCGTTATTCAGGGCCAGTCGGCCAGGCAGGAAGGCAGGTACAGGATGCTGCTCTGAACCTGTAAAGTGTCTGCCACTCTCCAGCTAATGAACACAGGCTTGTAAAAAAGTTGGGACTCCGCTGGCATCCTTAATGGGACAGTGGCTAACAGCTAAGTCCTAAAGCTGTGCTTATCTACAAGCAGTCCTTAGAAACCAGGAGAGCAATAACCACGTGACCCTGAGCACGTGTAGGTAGAGTCTCTCATTTCTTCACTCAGCAAGCATGTTTTGAGAACATTTATGCCAAGCTGTGTGTTAGGCATCAGGGATACAAAAGACAAAAGAAATTCGGACTGTGGAAGGTCCACTTTTTACTGGGGACTGTAGTCAATGTACTGGAAAGAGAGATGTGTAGGGAGATAGGAGAATACGAGAGGGACATAGCCAGGAAATGCCTCTTGGAAGAGGAGGGAAGAATGCACATATGCCGTAGATCAAGGACCTGGTTTTGGAATCAGGGTGACTCAACCTAAAAATGCTTTTTGGTCATAAATAACAGAAAACCCAATTCAAACTGACTTTGGAAAATAAAGTCAGTTTATTTTCTCATATAAGTTAAAGTCCAAAGAAAGGGTGGTTTGATTTAAAAAAAAAAAAATGTTCACTGTCGGCCTGGCATGGTGGCTCACACTTGTAATCCCAGCACTTTGGGAGGCCAAGATGGGCAGATCACCTGAGGTCAGAAGTTTGGAACCAGGTTGGCCAACACGGTGAAACCCCATCTCTACTAAAAATACAAAAATTAGCTGGACATGGTGGCAGGTGCCTGTAATCCCAAGTACTTGGGAGGCTGAGGCACGAGAATCACTTGAACCTGGGAGGGGGAGGTTGTAGTGAGCTGAGATCGCACCACTGCACTCCAGCCTGGAGACAGAGAATGACTCCATCTCAAAAAAAAAAAAAAAAAAAGTTAAAAATTAAAGTTCTCTGTCTTCAGGACTGGGGTTCTATTTCTCTGCCCACTGTGGGTCAGCTTCTTTCTTAGGTTGGCTTCCCTCAATGAATCAAAAGGCCTGCAGTGGATCCAGCCTGACATCCACACACCAAACTGTCCAGGTGACCCCGCATTTCAAGCAAAGTTGCTGAGATCCACTCTGTTGGATGGACTTAAGTCACAAGCCTGCTCCTGGTCCAGTTACCATGGCCAGGGGCATGGAATGTACTGACCATCTCAGCCTCAGTCACAGCTGTACCCCTGGAGCTGGGGTAGCATCAGCTGTTTGGAATAGGGAAACGAACGCAGCCACTGTAGATCTGCTGTACACAGGAAGCGGATGCCTGGCTAGGCCTGGTGAGGCCTCACGCATGATATCATCAGTCATCAATACACAGGAGCATTGGCTGGAAGAAGCTCCTGATTCTTCAGTGAAAAGTGTTGTGACCAAGAGGTCAGAAGAGGTTCCCAGCTTTTGAAAACCAAGAGGCAAAAACCTGTTCTTCAAGAAAAAAAAAATCTTATCAGTCTTCATCATACCTTAGCTTCTGAAATACATGAAACCAGAGCCTCTCTTGGCTTGGCCAGATGCCTCGTCTTGTCTGAGAGGCGGACGGTAGCGTTATCACTCAGGGTAAAAGAGCTTATGGTATTCGGCAGTGACAACCCCCAGTCCTCAATGGCTTAACGCAAGTCCACTGGGAGTCCAGGTGCATCTCCAGGACAGTGGCCCTTTACATAATGACTGCAGGATCCAGGCAGAAGATGTTACCACCATCCTATAACTTGTACTCTCTGGAACAATACAGCCCCTCCCTCCCCAAATCAAAACCGCAGGAAGAGCCCGCTAGAGAGACAAACACTGGAAGTTAGATGCCTCCAGCTGGCAGTGACACTCAGAACTTTTGCTCTCATTTCTTTAGCCAAAGCTAGTTCCATGACCAAGCCTAACATTAAGGTGAGTGCAGACCGGGCGCGGTGGCTCACGCCTGTAATCCCAGCACTTTGGGAGGCCGAGGCGGGCGGATCACGAGGTCAGGAGATAGAGACCACGGTGAAACCCCGTCTCTACTAAAAATACAAAAAAAATTAGCCGGGCGTGGTGGCGGGCGCCTGTAGTCCCAGCTACTCGGGAGGCTGAGGCGGGAGAATGGCGTGAGCCCGGGAGGCGGAGCTTGCAGTGAGCCGAGATTGCGCCACTGCACTCCAGCCTGGGCGACAGAGCGAGACTCCGTCTCAAAAAAAAAAAAAAAAAAAAAAAAAAAAAGAGTGCAGTCCATGCCTGGAAGTAGAGGAGAACTGGCTATTGGAGAACACTCGTAATGCCTGTTCCAGTGGAATTCCTGGGCTCCTCGAGCAAGAGCAGAGAACTGTGCCAGGTGCAGTGCCGCGCCTGTCCCCTGCACTGGAACCAGCCTTCTGTGATTCCGGCTGCCACACGCAGGAGCTCGTTTCCAGGCTGGGAGGAGACTGGCAATGGAAAGATTAACCGCTCCCTGAGTTCCACATGGGGATCAGTACTTTCAATAGTACTTTGTGAGTTCAGCCTCAAAGTAAATGGTTAATTCATCTTGTATCAACAGCACTGTGATTCATAATGTAAACTTGGAGAATCCTTGATGTTTCGGGCCCACATTCCTTTTATTTTGGCTCTGCATTCTTTTAAAGCCACAGTGTGCTCACTTAATAGAATGCAGCATGCAAATGCACAAGTTTTTGCCTGGAGGCAATTTAGCCTGGCTGTTTCAATGGATGTCTTCTTTCAAGTGTATATTCTTTCTTAAATTATTTACTGGGTAAACACACTTTGCATTTTCAAAAGGGAGATTAAGACGGCTTGCTGCAGACCTAGTTCAACATAAAGCCCTCCCCTTGCCCAAAGTTAGGAGGAAGTTACTTTGGGCTTCTCCCCAAGTTCCTTCGCTGCCATCTCACTAGCTGGGAACCCCTTGGCCTAGCTGGTTTTTCTGATTGTCTCCGAGCTCTGCATTCCTTTCTGCTTTGCCTACAGCAATACAGGCCGGCAGCCCCTGGCTGCGATTGCAACTAAGCTTCCTCACAGATGGGGCCCACCAATGCCAGCCTGTATTTCCCCCTTCCAAACTGGCTCAGTCCTATCCACCCAGATGCCCTGACAGTTCACTTTTCTGGTCCTGAGGGGTATCACATTTGCACAACTCCTTTGAGGTCCAAGGTTGGGGTGGATGGCCCAGCCAGTCAAGCTTGCTTAGAGCTCTCTCTATTCCAACTCTTTCCCCATCCCCTTCTACTCTTCCTCCCAAATGTCTGCCAGCATTTGGTTTGAAAGCAAATGCCCTTTCCTGCTGACACCCCGCCCCCACCCAGCACAAAGGAGTTCCTTCTAGCTTCAGGGGGAAGACCAAGTAGTGCTGAGAAGGCGTGATGGTAGGAAGTTTCATCTTTGACGGGGCTTGCTTCAACTTTGAACTTTAACCTTTTCCATGCAGACTTCCTGAGATTTTCCTGCAAATTAATTGCACAGACTTCTCCATTCTCCTTTGAATGGAAGATTACAGTTACCAGAGACTGCATTCTTTCACGATCACTCTTTGGGCAGTTCTCTTTTGAGTACCTGTGTGCAACGCGACTGTGCCATGTGCTGGGGTGGTAGAGGTGAATTCCACATGGTCCCAGTCCACACAGGTTGGGCCCTTGGAAGCAACAGAGCGGGCGGTGGAGGGGAAGCCACCAGGCCCTGTGGGTGCACCAAGGAGGGGGTGAAGCCCAATTAGGAAGGTTAGGGAAGAGCTGAGGATTTAAGGATTCCTGTGTATTCATATTTCTTACCATGCCTCAGATTGAACAAGTAACACCCACAGTTAATCCTTTCTAAATTAGCATCATGGATGCCTTGGGGCCCTCAACCCACAAATAAAATGGTTGTCAACCAAGCTGTACAAGAGACACACTACTGTAGATTACTTAAGGCAGAATTTTAAAGAGTTTTCATGCTTTTAATCTGTTTCACTGCTGAGTTTCAATTTTGCTGATTTCCTTTGCAAGTCTGATGCGGGTGACTGTGGTAAATAGAGATTTTGACAGTGACTTGGGCAAATGGGATGTGTAGGGACCATTCTGAAGGCTCCTGTCCCTCCCAGAGAAAAGGGGGAAAAAATCAATTTGGGTTTTAAACAGAGCCACCAAGTAGCACCGATCAGTGTTGATAATTAGCCTCACTATCATAAGCCATGAAGTCCTGTTTTTATTTATTTATTTGGGGGACAGAGAATCTTCCTGCCTCTTGAGTAAGTGTGGCCTGTTAAGTCTGAATTAGCTGTCATCACAGAAGAATTAATGTCGGAGTGCAGACTTTCTAGTGGGGAAGGGAAGAACTAAACGAGACAGATCTTAGCCAAGCCTTGAGTGATAAATGAGGACCAAGTGGACCATTCATCTCCTGCGAGGAGAGTGGACAGAGGCACTAAGGCAGTTTTGCGGAAGACGTGTCAGCAAATGTGATCATTTTGTTACCTGTCAGGAGGAGAGAGAGCTCGTCCTTTTAGGGGGCCACGAGGGAGTGGGTTGGTCTGATAAGACAGTTTCCATTCAACCGTTTAGGTTTGGAGAAGAAGGGGATGGGTGAGGAGGAATCTGACTAAAACTACAACCTGATGTCATCCTTCCAGGAAATAAACTCATCTAGGAAGTAGAAAATACCCTGCAAAGATTTTTTTGTGTGTGAAGATACAAAGTAGGGGTGTGGGGTCTCTGTTCCGTGGGGAGCCCAGCTTCATCTCCCCAGCTCCTCCCCATGGAAGACCCATGTCCAGTGTTTGGTGACTGGAGTAGGGCAGCAGGCCTTTTGCTGCTTGGTATTTGGAGGAGGGTTGGATGGGGTTTGCCGTGGGGTTTTAAGCTGGACAGATAGCTGGCTAGACTGCCAGCCAGCTCATGTCTCTATTTCCGTGCAGCTCTGTGAGAGCGAGCGTGGGCACGGCTGTTTGACCTAGGTTCCCTTTGAAACTCTCAACAAAGCATTCTGATGTTCGACCTCTTTTCTCCGAATGAGGTAACAAATTATGAAACAACCTCATCAGAAGCTCTCTGCAGGCATCTGGGAGCGTGTGTCTCCACTCTGGTCCCCCTTCTAAGTTGCTGGTTCCCCATCAGCGTGCAGCCCAGCCAGAACCCAGGGAGGTAGAATCCCTGGAGGTAAAGGCCCAGCAACAGACGCACAACAGGCACCTTGAGTACATTGTATATTTCTCATTTCCATCTTTTTTGCTATGGAGCAAATGTAACGTTTCCTCCTAGCGTAACGGAGCGTGAGCCACACTGACAGATGATGGTTTCACAGCCTAAGCTGCACATTTGACACTTGTTTCTTAATCCCATCCTTTTCTTCCTTAGTCTCTGTTTTACTTTTCCCCAGGTATTTTTGTGCAGGTAAGTACATTGCTGACATGTGTTTCCTTGGAGTATTTTACTTTAACAGGAAACACTGCAAAAAATGAGGCTTGTCTCGCCTTTTAAATTAGAAAGAGAAGCTCGCAAGGGGCCCTTGATCACTTAAAGAGGCTACATGATTTTCTGAGCCTCGAAAGCCATTTGATTCGCCTTAGCTTTGCAGTAAGCATTTCTCGGAGGGCAGCGTGACAATCATGTGGAGCCTTTCGTTTCCTCGTGGATCGTTTGTAGAACCAGAAAGCTGCGTGATGTCTCTTTCGCGCGCGCACACACACACACACACACACACACACACACACGCTCCCCACCCCCACCTGCAAAGCTGCCGTTTGATTAGCCAACCTGGCCTCGGACGGCGTTTGTGGGAAGGCCTTCCACTTATCTGTGTGTGTTTTTTCTCCTTTGCTGTCTCCTAGAATCATCCAGAACCGCATCCTGCTCGTCATCCTAGGGATCATCGTGGTCATCACCATCCTGATGGCGATCACTTTTTCTGTCAGAAGACACTGATGTATCTGCTCTCCCTTGATAAACAGCAACAACAGCTTGTTCTGAGTAATTAAGACAAAATGGTCACATGAATCATTCTGTTGCGCTGACAGGCCCCAGGTGACCCTCTCTCTCCCTCACCGCCGTTGGGCTGAAGTGCAAAGAGTGTAAAAATATTTTCTATTCCTGTTTGCATGTGGGTTGGTTTCCTTTTCGAGGTTTGTCTTCACCCAGATTCGTTTTTTAGAGGGGAAGGTGAATGTTTATTTACCTTTTTGCTAATGTCATCAACTAGCCAAAATAGCCCCAGTGACACTCCTAGCCCTCTGGACGTGTCAAGGGCCGTGGTTTGGGAGAGGACATGATGAGTCAGTCACGAGAGCTTCTGTTTGTCACCCGCCTCTTGTTGCTGAAAAGCTCTTCTGTGATGTCTGAGGATAAAAATGCAGCAAAAAGCAGGGGATGGAGTCAGTGACCCCGTCCAGCAAGCCAGCCCTGTTCCTACACAGGCCTCATGAATATAGTCATCAACCTGCCTGAGTGCTTTCATTGTAAAGGTCGGTATTTAATGTCGGTTGTACAGGAAATTGACTTAGCACTTTCCCTGTTTTTCTATTGCATAATTTTTTTTTTAACCCAAAGATATTTTTTTTGCTGAGCCTGCCCAGTATTCACTGTTCACAACTTTGATTACTGGCTACAAGAAATATTTTCTTGCCTTCCCCAAATCCCATACTCCCCAGAATCTGCTGGCAAAGTGAGCCCTGGTACAGGATTTAATTGTGACCTCGTCTTCCCTGACCTGTGTAAGCATCTCTGTATCCTTTCGGTTTTAATATCTGCACTGCCAAAAGCAGTCCTCATACTTGCAAAAGGTCTGACAAGGTTCTCTCCACATACATTCCAGTATGTAAAGAGACCATGAATATTTCAGTAAGAGCAAGAACATGACTCCATCAGTGTGAAATTTCAAATGTGATTATAAATATGGGAGAGTCCTATAGGAGGGTCCACCAGAGATAAACTTCACGGAAAACGTTCCCTAACCTCCTTTAAAAGAATAGAGGATGGCAGATTGTTCCAAAAGGAATGGCTTGGGTTTTTAACTAACAAATGTTAGCAAGCCTTTCTTGAATTCACTATGTATTCAAACTTCTAATATGCTTTGTGATTTTTTTCTTTCATTTCTTTCTGTCTGAGGTAACCAGGAATTGCGTTCAAAATGAGCTCATTTGTGATCAGGCTTAAAAGTTGCCCAAGCTGAGGTCGTTTCCCCCCAGTCACAAAGCAGAATGTTTTTCTCAAGACTTCATAGGCACTTACTGGTCCGTACTATCTTTGGAATATAATTAGAAGCTTTGAATCCTTGAAAAGCAAACCTGTTCTCTTCATCAAAAATGCTAACCACCTGTGCCCGTGGATCAATATCACCTGGATGTAGTGCTTGATATTTTTCCCAACTCAGAAGAAAACCATTATGGTTTAGAGAGGAAATGCAGAATGGCAGAATCCACCAGAGAAATTGCACTTATCGAAACAGGCCAAGGCCTGCATGTGTTCGGATAAATCATTTAGTATTGTGTAAATAAAGCTGCAGCCTTTACTTCGGAGGGATGGTGTGGGATTTTGGCCGAGGGAAGCAGGACAGAGAAGGAGCAGGAAGCTATGCTAATTTTCCTGTCAGCTTAAGGGATCCGTCTCAGCAAGAATCTTGTATTCTGATAACGGAATGCTGTACGTGCTGACCACATCTAAGAACCATTAAAAAGCAAGGAAACAAACAAACAACCCTTTTCTCATTCCGACACACGAATAGTCATCGAGTATTACACCAGCCCCTCTGGTGGCTTCCTTCAAAACTGTTGATCTTAGCTAAAGTGTATAACCAGTTACCAGCTGCACTTCGCACGGCCATCCCGTCCACAATGCAGCAGACTCTTCCCAAGGCCACCTAGCAAGCAAGGTTGATCGGATCATCTAAACTGGCCGCCTCCTGAATATTTCACTGAATCCTGGCGTTCATGTTGAAGCAGACAAAATGAGAAAGGAGGAGGGCATTGCTCACCTCTCAATAGCTTTTTTCGTTCAAGTTCTATGTCTTTATCAGCTCTTGCCTGTGATTTTACCCCAATTCAACCTTGGGAGTGGGAAGAATATGAACAGATAACCCTTGGCCTAACAGCTCCATCAAACCTCCTTGAGAGCAACTACCTAGGCCAGGCTAGTGAGTGCTTTGTGAGGAAGCTGGTCAGAAGGTTCCCTCAACTCCTTCCTGGTCCTCCTGGACACTGCAGAAAAGACTTAGGGGATCCCCAGCAGAGGCCAATTGCTCTCCTTCCTTCCCTGCCCCACCAGGAAAGGAATAACGTCCACAGACTTGAAGCAGATAGTGAAGTAGATCTGTGAGAGGTTCTAGGTACTTAGTGTGTAGACTTTGACGAATATTTCTCAAGTTGGGAGCCCTTGTTAAAAATGATGTTTAAGGGAGTGGTTGGGGGGAAGATGAAGGCATGGAGGAGGAAGAAGAGAAGGAAGCCCTTGCCATATAAAATTCATGCAGACTAAACAGTTTCCCTGACAGAATAAATAAAGTGGATGCTACCCCACTCCAGAATCAAAAGCAATTTAATTAAAGTCTCTTAAGTTGTAAAGAGTTTTAAATGATCCGTGTTGAAGGCGAATGCCTGCAAATGCAGTGGGTCTGACGTCAGCTGCCGGGCCTGGGCTGGGAGGCCATTTGCTATTCTGTTTAAGGCAGGCTGGATTGTCTTATTTTGGAACCAGCTTGGTGGGGGGTTTGCTTTGCTACTGCTTCTGAGCCCTGAGCTTCAAAGGCTGAAATTAATGGTGAACAAAATTGTGCGGCTCTGGCCATCCCATGCGGGGCAAGCCCATTGAGGGTTATCATTAAGTAAAGAAATAAAGAGGGGGAAAAAAGCCTGCCTGTTCCAAAAACCTCATCAGATAATGACCTCAGTGATTGGGTTTTCATTACCAAACAGCATCCAGAGATTATCAACCCATAGAAGAAGGGAGGGGAAAAAAAAGAAAGAAAGGAAAAGCAACTGTCTTTCTCTCCCTCTCTTTCTCCTTTTTTTTTGCACATCTTTTCTTTAAAACTGTCAGATCATTTCAGTATTTCAAATCCGAGGAAAACAGCCTGCCTGCTGCTGTATTTGAAGTTGTAATGGTGTCAAAAAGTCACGACTGACTGACAGCCGTCAGTCCCAGAGGGGCTCATTAAATCATAAAAACTTGACAAGGAAATAATTGCGCATTGCCAGCAACTTGGCGCCTGTTTAGACGTTTTTATTTTCTTTCATTATTAGTCCCCACCATTACGTTCATTAACAAATTGCATTAAACAACTGTTAAGGGCTAATGATTTGTTTATCGCTTTTTTTTATTATTATTATTTAAACATTAGCTGTGTCATGTGGTACCCCAAGCAGCCTCTTGCCATCATCTGACTGAATATTTTTCCACTCCGAGCTCTGGGTACTGTTGGAATATGAAATAGATTATTCATTACTCTCCTCTTTGCCACTGATTTGGTTTCATGTAGCGTCTTCCACAGAGAAAGATGAAAACTTGTCAAAAATAGGTTATATCTTATTCGAAGGGGCAACAATAGCAGCAGGTACAGGCACACTTTAATATTTAATTAAGGTTGATGTTAACCCCTTTAAATGACTTTAGCTGTAAGTTGTATTCAAATGCAGAAGAGAAAAATAATTGTTCTTAATTTGCAACCTGTTCAGCAGGCGTTCTTCATGGAGTGAGCTGGAAATTTAGGGCAGAATTTTTAAATAATGAAATTTCCCATCGTAAATATTAATAGCAGTTTGTCTACGTAGTGGAGAATTAACTAGGAGTGATGATTTCCTCATCCCTTTGGTTTGAACTGCTAGCCTAGTGAGGCACTCCATGCTTGGGAGTGGAGGTGGCTTTCCTGGGAGAAACGTGTGTGTGGAGGGGAAGTTCAGAGCCAAGTTCTGTTGGTTGGTTGTGGTCAGCGCTGGTTTCAGAGGAACCACCGTGAGTCCCTGGTCTCCAAGCCACTTGCCTTCCCCTTTGGCTGGGTGTGTTGTTGCAGGGATGTGGGCAGGCGGGAGAGCCAGTAGAGACATCTTAAAGGAAGATGTGTGTCTGGTTGGCTGGTTTGGGGAGGGTCTGATTGGGGGTATGTCTTGGGCATCTCCGTGCCGTCAACTGGAGCTCATTACAAACAGCGCTTCCCTAATATGCAACAGGGAGACACTTTGCTGAGATGGGCCTTCTGTCCTTTTTCCTTTCTGTGACTTGCTATTGGTGAATGGCTCTTCTTTTCCATGGACCATGAGCTTGAAGGGCCAGGGAGGACAAAGCCCCATCGTCCTCATCCTAAATCGGAAGTCAGTGGCCTTCTCCATGCTATGGCTGCTGTCTATGTCTGCTCAGCCTGTTTGTTTGATGAGTTTATATAACCATGGAAGCCACCCTCAGAGGCCCGGTTCATTGACACTTCAGGGCAGGGGTGTTGGGTCAATATCAGGGAATGGGAAGTTCCTTTCTCCCATCCCCAGAGGGACCAGGCCCCTTATGTAGCTCCACCATGGGTGTGAGGGGAAGAGATGGTGCACGTTCCTTGCTCAGTGTAGCATCTCTCAGCATCACCCATCCAAGGACAGATGGTCCTGCAGGAGCCACGGCGTGGGAGGTACCTGCCTGGCAGGCACGAGCCAGGTGGGACCTGGCCTCAAGCCTCTTTGGTTACTATGGGCGTAGGAACAGCAGACATGCCAGGCTTTGGAGGATCTCAAGCCTCCATTTCAATCCAGGATAAATTAGCCACATGACAATCTGTCCCCCTTGGGATGGCCTTCACACCTCAACAGAAAAGGTACCAAGAGCCATTTTTCCAAAAGGAAGAAAGGAAGGAAGAAAGGAAGGAAGGCTGGCTCTGTGAAGAGCCATCCTCAGTCCAACTCCCAGTGACCCTGGTTGAGGGTCTGCCTGAGACTAGCTCAAACTCAACCTCACCCTATGCAGTAACTCTCTAACTCTAAACTAGCCCCCAAGAGATATTCTGGTGGCTTCACTTTGCCTGTGACCCATCAGACTCAGACCAGTGGCACCTGCCAGAGGCTGGCCACATAATGTCAGCAGTCAGGTGGCTCTCAGCCCAGATGCCAGTCTTTGTTAAACAGGGCAGGTGACTGCGTGGACAGCTCAGAAAAGCTCCTGAAGCCACAAATATTGCACCCAAGATGGATGAGAGCAGCCAGGCCCAGGCAGCAAGAGTCTGTCACTGGAGCCAGGACTTCCTGAAATGAGTGACTGAGCCAGGGTTAGTGTCCTGTTGTGGAGGAGGGCAGATGCGGGGAGTGCAGAGTGAGTTCCCATCTCTATTGGGATTCCAGCGCAGTAACAAGGAGCCAGCTTACCAGAGGCGAGCAGGGCAAAAGCAAGATGGCAGGATGGGGCACGATATGTTGGGGGTTGGGTAGCAGAGGGTGGACAGGTGAGGGATGGAGGGTTTTTCTAGCACCAGGGGATAGCAAGGGCAAGTAGGCCCCCTTGAGCTCATCACTGCCCTTCTTCAGGAGGAGCTAAAGAGGGGGAAAGACAGGGTGCATCTCTCCAGGGCCCCCTGCCCCAGTCAAACACCCCTGTGGCCATAGCTCCTGGGCTCCCAGTGTGCCATGGGGAAAGCACTTCCTCATCCGGAATCGCTCGTTACTCGTGCTACATGAAGAACTCAGACATCACAGAGGGGGCAGTCGCCAGGAAGCAGAGCTCTGGACTGTGATTCCATGAACTCGCGCACCCCCTCCTTCCCTTCATCCAAACAAGGCCCTTTGGCGTGAATAATAGCTCAGCGGCTCCGAAGCCGTATTGATCGGCTGCAAACCCGGCTCCGCCGAGAGCTGCCAGGGCTTTTCCTGGGGGCAGGACCAGCACCGCTCAGCACAGCCTCCTCTCCCCCTCCCACTTCCCCGGCCTCCCCCAGGTGTGTTCAGGAGGGGACAATACCTGGGGGAGCCCAGGCCCTCTCCAGCTCAGTGCCACTTCGTTACCGCAACTTTGCTGTTTTTCACTTATTTTGCCAGGGTAAGCACCTAAGTTAGAGAGAAATGTTTTTTCGTGACGAGGCCCCACAGAGTTGAGAATGAACACATCCTCCCGCTCCAGTTTCTCCCCAGAATGTTCTGCCAAGGACCCAGGCCATAGAGGCATCCTGGGCTGACACCTGTGGGGGCCCTATTATACCCCCAGCGCTGACAAGCACTTCGGCATCCTGTACCACATTTTCGCGTTACTCTCCCCTGTCTCATCCCATCAGAAAAGAGGAGCCAAGAACATGGCTAGGACTCACCACCTCCTTGAGGGATGGGGACTGTTGCAAAATTCAACAGACGTGCATCAGCCGCAGGCTGGGAGACCAGCAGAGACCAAAGCCTGCCAGCCCCACTCCCTGAGCCTCTGACCAGACTGTCCCTCCCCGTGTTTGCACCTCTTCTGGACACAGGAAGTGGTCAAGGCCTTGACCCTTTGAGGGATGCCAGGCCCCTGCGCAGTGACACCCTCGCGGTGGTGGATGCCTGAAACCCCACCCCTAGAGAGGCCGTCCTGTGGTTTCTGCCCTGGAACACTGGAAAAATGCAGATTCATTTTTCCCTAGACAGCTTCAGTCCTACCAGCCACAGATCCCTCTAAGTGAGTTGTCTGACCCTTTCCTGGGGGCAGATTTTGGGTTTGGGGGAAGACAGACCCACTACATGAGGGAGCCTGAGTGGTCTTTGGGAGAAAGGTTAGAAGGAAAGAGGGGCTTGGTTCCCTAGGACCAGCTCCCTGGAGGTTGCCCCGTATCAGCTGCCTTCAGCCTTGCCTTAAAACCCACTCCCTGGCCAGGACCCCGTTCTTCTAAGGATTGCGTTCTGGCTTAGGGCTGCATGCAGGCAAACATGGGAGCCTGAGAATGGGCTCTGCAAAGGAGCAGTAATGGGTTGAGGGTCTCCTGACAGGTCCCACAGCCATGCCCTGGCTGAGAAGGATCGAGAAAGAGCAGGGAGGCTGGGTTGGAGTTTGGACAGCTAACCCTGGGGGCAGGAAAATTGTGTCCCTCCTCTGGCCCTCCTGAGGCTGAAGGAAGTCCAAATCCGCTGTGGTGTACAATTTGGCATTTGGGGAAGGACCCAAAAGGGATTCTTTTCTGCCCTGAGCAGACCTTCCCCACACTGCCACATCCAGGGGTCTTGGCACAGAGGGGACACTGTGGCCGTCAGAGACTCTCCGCTCAATTTCCATCTTCTCTCATTCATCCACACCCACCCTTCCAGAGCTCTACACTGCATTTCTAAAGAAAGGGAGAAACTCGAGTGAGAACTAGAGGGCTTCACTGAGCTCATTATTATCCCCGACAAGACTTCTAAATAATCTAGCCTTTCCCTGTTTGAAGCATGAGAGGTGTAAGCAGATTTATTCATTCATTCATTCAATCAATATTTATTGAGCATCTACTATGTTCCAGGCCCCGAAGACACATGGTGAAGAAGATAGATAAGAAAAGAAAGAAGGTAGTCTCACAGCACTGGAAGTCAGAAAACTATTTTCCTTTCCAGAATCCTGACTCACTCCAATCCCGGGCAAGGTCATTCTCAGGGTCTCAAAATCACATTGCGATGCCTGTGCCTCTGCCACCTTCTACACTGCCCCCTGAGATGAATGCACCATCACTGTGAATTACTAGGCAAAATCTTCTCCAAGTGGACAATGCTGTATGTTCATTCCTCCTTGCAATCCCCATGACTGCATTAGCAAAGGAGCCCCGCTGAGGCTGAGTAGGGCTGACACTTGCCTGCAGGTGGGCAGGTCCCCATCAGCACTGGCCCTACTTCCAGGACTGGCCTAGGAGAGGCCAGGGATAGGAATGGGGACTGTTTAGATCGGGGCCGACTTGGAGGATTTTTTCCTCCTGCTTATTAAATGTTAAAGGTTTGACTTGGCAGGCAATCAGGAGCCCAAAATATCATAAAAGGGAAAAAAGTTGCCGAGTGGCTAAGAGGTGCACCACGGGAGTGTCACTGGGCCCGCCGGCGAGGTGAATTGCTAAGCAGAGAGCAGTGAACGGGGAGGAAATGGAGCAGCAGACATTTTCAAAGGCTTCTCTCCCCTTCTTCTCCTCTCTCTGTCCCCCATGCGGAAAGGGGAAAATAGAAGTAGAATCCAGATTGGGGCGCGTGGCTGATTTGGTCCTCCTCCCGCACCATCCTCCCCCAGACAGCAGAGAAACTTTGATGTCTGGGTGCATGGCATTCAGGGACAGAGGAGCCTGGGCATCCCAGCAAATGCAGCCGCATGTTCCGCCTCTGGACGGCCTCTCTGAACTCCTTTGTGAGGGGAGATGAAGCCCACAGAGCTGGAAAGAGCAGCGTTTTGAAATGAGGAAGTGTGGATCGGCATTCCTTGAGCTCAGTGCTAGCCACCTTGGCGATGGGGTGAGCCAACCAGGAGCTCAGATTTATAAAACTTTTGAGCTTTGTGGGCCCTAGGGGGCCACTGTGGCCTACCTGCTGATTTTCAGATGGGGAAATGGGGGCTCAGAGAGGGGACAAGATTTGCTTAATGGCACCTAGCAAATTGGTAACAGGTCCAGGAGTAGATTCCATGCCTTCAGCCTCTGGTGAGACGTCTTTCCTCTGCACCAGGAAGTGGAACTTCAAACAGCACCAGGGGTTGGAACTTTTGTTTCAAATCCTCTCTGCCTCATCCCCACCCACTGCCCAGCAACTCAAGGCTGGGTCTTTCGCCCCCTCAGGCTCAGAAGGGCTGTGGCCCAGCCACAGAGCCAGGGGGCCTCCTCAGTAGTATTGGCCTTCACACTCTTGGTGCTAAAGTTCTCCAGTTACTTTTTTATTAAACCAACATGTACAGAAAAACTCAGTTTTCGGCTGGGCACAGTGGCTCACACCTGTAATCCCAGCACTTTGGGAGGCCGAGGCAGGCAGATCACTTGAGGTCAGGAGTTCGAGACCAGCCTGGCCAACATGGTGAAACCCTGTCTCTACAAAAATACAAAAATTAGCTGGGCGTGGAGGCGCGTGCCTGTAGTCCCTGCTAGTCAAGAGGGTGAGGCAGGAGAATCGCTTGAACCTGGGAAGCCGAAGTAGCAGTGAGCCGAGATCGCGCCACTGCACTCCAGCCTGGGTGATAGAGCTGGAGGGAAACCCTGATACCACTTCTGGGTCCAGATGGCTGTGGCTGGAATGCGGCCACAGCCAGGAACAGCGTGGTACGGATACCAGTGGGGCTCTGGTCTTTTCCCAGAGGCTGGCACCTTTCATGCCGAGTTGGGCCTCGGGTCTCGGGGCTCTAGGCCCTGCTGTGCCAGTGGCCTGATGTGTGGCCTTATATGCCAGTCACACCCTGCTCCAGACCTCGGTTTCCTCATCCACAAAATGGGAAAGCTGGGCTAGAAAATCTCTCAGGAAGGTAGGTCTCTGCTAGCTCCCAGCCTTCCATGGCAGTGCAAAGGGAACCTTCCCAACAAAGTAAGAGCCAAAGGCTAAGATGGCAGTCTGTGGTTTGTAGAACCTTCTAGAAGACCACGAGACTTGGTAAGCTGAGCTTCTAAGTGGTCCAGGATGCAGGGCTGGTGTCACAGGTGTGTGACCAGTAGAGCTACACAGGGCTTTGTGCCCAGAAGGGCCCCACGCTTGGGAAATAAGGCTCTGCAGTCACTGTCTTCAAATTCTTAATAATTTTATCTTTGTCACTGTGTTTTGTAAGTGAAGTCCAATGGGACAGTGGAATGTGAACTGGGAGCATGGAGCCTCCCATCTCCCTGCGTCCAGGATCTGCTTCTCAGCTGCTTGCTCCTCTGCCCCCACAGCTCCAGCTCCAGCTCCACTCACCTTCTACCTCCCTGCCTCCCACCCAGCAACCACTGCCAACCTGCCCCCAACCTGGGCACAGGCACACCCTGTGGGGGAGGGGGACAAGCACACCCCACAGCATCTCAGAGTGGGGCATGGTGGCAGCAGTCCCCATCCTGCACTGGCAGCCCAGGGCACATTTCATGTGGGACTCTGCGGGGGTGAGCCTCTAGCCCCCCCCAGATCCAGTACCTCGTGTGTCCTGGTACAAAATTTGTAGTGCCCCGGGGGCTGCCCATCTGCTATGGGTTGGGGCAGGGGCCTGTGGGAGGATGCCTGGCTCAACCTCCTGCCCTAGGCCTGGAGCACAACATGTGGGCCCAGCAGCTCACAGGAAAGGGAGCCAGAAGATGGGTTCAAGTGTTTGTGTGTTCCCCAAGTCACCAGGGTGCCTGTGGGGGTCTGCACTCCCCCAGGAGAACCCTCATGTCTAGGGAGCACTCCATGGGGTCATCTCCATGCCTGAGAGGACCCTCTCTTCCTTCTTTCAACCTTCCGGAGCCCAGCTTGTCTCTTCCGGCCAGGTCAAGGTATCCTCCTGAGAGAACCGTGAAATACAGTGTGCCGCTTTGATAATTCCACATGCATGTTCAATATTCGGATATTTCCAGTTAAAACTGGCATTGCACAATATAAAAAGGAATGGTAAAAGTCATGCTAATAATTTAAAATTTTGACTTTACTTAGAATGGTATTAACTAGCAAATTTAAAACACCATGACAAATTGAAAGTGAGACTGGGGAAGAAAGCAAAAAGCATGTTTTCTGACTGTTTGAACAAGGGGCCCCACATTTTCGTTTTGTAGTGGGTCCTGAAAATTATGTAGCCAGTCCTGCCTGGTGAGCCACCTACCCTCTTGGGCATTTAGTTGTCTATCAGTAAACTAGATCATTAACACTGCGCCTGCCCCTCCTGCTCACGGGCACGTTAGGAACATGCGCTTGGATAAAATCCAAGCCAGAGATTTAGAAACCAGTGTGTGGTGCCAGCTCTCAGCCTTGGAACCACAAGCCCATTTTTCTTAAAAAGGGATCTGGACTGGCATCCAAAGAGATTTCAGTCCCCTCATATAGGTTTAACCACCATGGGCAAGGCAGTCTCTCTCCCAGGTATTCCTCTCACTAGGTGCTCTGCTCTAGAAATGAAGTCTAAAAGCAGCCCCATCAATACAGAACAGAGTTAGAACCACCCGGAGAGATTTAATCTGGAATCCCAGCAAGTTGTGAAATGGAAAGACTAGTCGGCCAGAGAGCTGAGGTCTCACAGTGTGCAAAGACCAGTCCTCAGTATCTGCACCCATCCATTTGAGTTTCAGGTGAAGCCTAGGATTTGGGAGCTCAATACAAAGATGCCAGCATGAAGGAGGGTGGGTGCCAACTAGGTTTGGATTTAGAGACATCCTCCTTTTGGGAAAGGAAAATATCCTGATTCCACTTAGGTTTCCAGGAAGAAGGCATCCCCATTTCAGAACAGTTTTCTAAGCCACCCTCATGGAGGTTTCACCTGCAGCTTTCAGTCTGCTTTGTCTGATGTTTGAGGATGCAACTGCCCAAAAATGGGTCTAAAGTAGCATCCCGTCACGTTCTGTAAAAAGTAATACTGCTTTAAGGTAACACTTATGGAATGAATGAATGCATGAATGAATGAGTCAGTTTGGATGAAGTTGCCTCAAATAGAGTCTAAATATAAGATTTCATACTCGATAGTGTCATTTCAGGATCAGGAAAAATTAGGTGACTCCCATTTGGTTTCTACAGCTTTTCCCCAATATCATGTTAAAGTTTTGGCTTTTATCTTATTTCACTTATTTCATTTTGAGTCATGTCTTCTGGCTCCAGCTCAGCTTCCTAGAGATAATTCATTAGGCCCGAGAGCTGCTCCAGAGTGGGATTAGAACCCGTGTAGTACATAGTCACATTAAACTGAGATCGGCTAATTAATCGCTCTTCTCCGTGTAACTGAGCGATCGCGCTCCTTCCCCGAGGAATTGCAATTTCATGGTTCCTAATGATGGTGCGATTACATTATGTGGATCACTTAGGCTGTGGGTGTCAGGAGCGGTACTTGGAGCCTCTCTCGGTGGGGATGGGAGAAGTCACTTCTAAAACCGGGGAGATGGAGGAAAGCAGTTAGAATGTCTGTTACTAATTTTTGTTAACGTGCTGCTGTTTCCTACATCTCATTCAGGCATTAGTTTCAAGTTCCATTTTCCCCCAGCACCGTGTGGCACCTTCCCCAGAACCCTCACATTTTTTTTCTAATATTCACAGGGTTATTGTTTGTAAAAAATCTATTTATTTGCTTTATTCCATCAAGTAATTTATTTTCATGAGATTTCTTGGAAATGTGGCTCTACATATCGTTAGTACAAGTAATACATTTTGATTGTTGTTTCCTGGAATAACTTGTATTATTTGATGAGTTAAATAAAATGCCTAATTCTAAAGTCGGCTATTCCCATCTTTTCCATTTGAATTCTTTCACTTACTTCCATTTCCTTTCTAATTGAAGGTTAGTTCAAAATCTTCAGTTCAGTGCTCTGCTACAGTTTTTGGACTGTGAATTAGACGCTGTCATTTTTTTAAATGATGAAACTTGGAAAGATAATATTCAAGGTTGTTTTTGAATGCAGGTTTTTATTTTTCTTTAATTTCCCAAAAATATGGCATTACAGAGCAATCACAGACTTGGATCTGAGCTCTCATTCTCTCACTGGTGAGCCTGGATAACCTACTGATCTCCTCACTG
Source organism: Homo sapiens (assembly GCF_000001405.40). Classification (NCBI taxonomy): domain Eukaryota; kingdom Metazoa; phylum Chordata; class Mammalia; order Primates; family Hominidae; genus Homo; species Homo sapiens. Next base: position 112,828,029 of record NC_000010.11, read on the forward strand.
AGCCTCAGTTTCCTCTACTGTAAAGCAGAGAAAATAGCACTCCACCCAAGGACTGATATGAAGATTCAATTAGGTCGCCGTGGAAAACACCCCCAGGCATGTGACAAACCATCACACTCATCATGACTAAATGTGTTGCTCAGTAACATGGCAGACAAATATTGCTTGGGGGGTTGTTGGTGTTTAGGGTTTTTTGTGTATGTGCAGAGTCCTCATGATTCTGGGCTTCAGATACCTAAAGAATGCCTTAATTCCATACTGTAGCTCCAGTGGCACAGTCAGTTAGCGCACGGTATGTGGAAGAACACCTTAATGGTAGAAAGATATTTATTTCTCCATTATTTAAAAAATTCATTTTAAAAATGTTTTAAAATTATTATTATTATTATTATTTTGAGATGGAGTCTCGCTCTGTTGCCCTGGCTGGAGTGCAGAGGCGCGATCTCAGCTCACTGCAAGCTCCACCTCCTGGGTTCACGCAATTCTCCTGCCTCAGCCTCCCAAGTAGCTGGGACTACAGGCGCCCGCCACCACGCCCGGCTAATTTTTTGTATTTTTAGTAGAGACGGGGTTTCACCGTGTTAGCCAGGATGGTCTCGATCTCCTGACCTCATGATCAACCCGCCTCAGCCTCCCAGAGTTCTGGGATTACAGGCATGAGCCACCCACCCGGCCTAAAATTATTTTTTAACAATAAATAGAGCTGGGCATGGTGTCTCATGCCTGTAATCCCAGCACTTTGGGAAGCTGAGGTGGGAGGATTGCTTGAGCCCAGGAATTCAAGACCAGCCTGAGCAACATAGTGAGACCTGGGTCTCAAAAAAGAAAAAAAAAAAACAAACCACACACACATAAGAATAAATATTAGACATGGCACCAGGATCATGAAGGCAGCATTTGAACCACAAAACTGAGTCTCTGCCTTCCCCAGAGCCCAAGGGTACTAAGGGACACCCAGCAGTTCTCTGGCAATTAACTGCTGTAGGAGTTCAGTCACAGAGAGACCTGGAAAGATAAGGCAGGCAGTCTTGGTCGCTTATGCTGGTTTGAGCCTACCTAATGTCCAGCATACAGTATCCTGAAGGAAATTTGAGGACACATTTGAAACATTGATTTTTAAAAATCTATTGATTGGGCTGGGCGAGGTGGCTCACGCCTGTAATCCCAGCACTTTAGGAGGCCAAGGCAGGCAGACCACGAGGTCAGGAGATCGAGACCATCCGGGCTAACACGGTGAAACCCCGTCTCTACTAAAAATACAAAAAATTAGCCGAGCGTGGTGGCAGGTGCCTGTAGTCCCAGCTACTCGGGAGGCTGAGGCAGGAGAATGGCATGAACCCGGGAGGTGGAGCTTGCAGTGAGCCCAGACCGCGCCACTGCACTCCAGCCTGGGTGACAGAGCGAGACTCCGTCTCGAAAAAAAAAAAAAATCTATTGATTGGCTGGGCACGGTGGCTCACGCCTATAATCCCAGCCATTTGGGAGGCCAAGGCAGGTGGATTGCTTGAAATCAGGAGTTTGAGACCAGCCTAGCCAACACGGTGAAATCCCGTCTCTGCTAAAAATACAAAAAGAATTAGCGGGGCATGGTGGCAGGCACCTGTAGTCCTGGCTACTCAGGAGGCTGAGGCAGGAGAACCGCTTGAACCCGGGAGGCGGAGGTTGCAGTGAGCTAAGATTGTGCCACTGCACTCCAGCCTGGGCAACAGAGAAAGACTCCATTTCAAAAAATAAAAAATAAATAATCTATTGATTGAGAAAATGGAGACTATGAGAAATGATAAATGCTGTGATGAGATGCTTTTAAATGAACTCATAACAACATCTGTGGGAATGTGAAAAGTGAGGCATCTAGAATGTAGTTCTTTATTCAGTCTGTGCACAATGCTTGACTCCAAATGGAATCCTGGACCCCTGGATCACTGTGTGGTTCTTAAATAATCCACTGCTGAGGGGCAATTAAAAGGGAAGTAGAGAAGAAATAACTCACCTGTGCTCTCCCAGGAACACTGGTAGAATCCTAGTCCATTCTCCTCCTCCCTGGTCAAGCTGCCACCTCTCACCTGCCATAGACTCCAAGCTGTTCTCCCCACTTGTACTAGGTAGGTTGTCCAAGCTCACAATAGCCAGGGTGAGGATTTGAAAAAGAAAATCAGATCATAGAGCCTTCTGGTTCAAAAGCCTCTGACTTGGCATAGCCTTTCGCATCAGAATTCCTTCCCATGGCCCGTCCAGCCTTGCATGACCTGACGCCTACCCCTGGCCAGGCATTTTATGTCTCCCCACCTCCTGTCTCCATTCCACTTCCCTCACTCCTTTCTCCCTCCAACACTCCAAGCTCTTTCTCCCCTCAGAGCCTCTGCCTGGAATGTTCTCCTCCTCTTCCCTCTTCTCCTTGGCTAGCTCTTTCTACCTGCCCTGTCTCAGGTTACATACACCATCACAGAAGCCTTCCCTGAACCTTCCTCCAATCTCAAGAAGGTCCACCTGATTCTTGCTCATCCTACGTTTTTCCTTATCATAATACATACTCAAGTATTTATTCCTGTGTTTATTCTTTCGTGTCCATCATCCACGTTATGTGGATCACTTAGGCTGTGGGTGTCAGGAGCAGTACTCAGAGCCTGTACCAGGGACCAGGAGAAATCACTCCTAAAACCGAGGAGATGGAGAAAACAGTTGGAATGTCTGTCACTAATTTTCATTAACATGCTGCTGTTTCCTCCATCTCAGGCATTAGCTTCAAGTTCCACATTTTCCCCCAGCTCCATGTGGCACCTTCCCTAAAACCCTCATATATATATATATATATATATATATATTTTTTTTTTTTTTCTTGTAGACAGGGTCTCACTCAGTCACCCAAGCTGGAGTGCAGTGGCACGATCATGGCTCACAGCAGCTTTGACCCCCCAGGCTCAGGTGATCCTCCCACCTCAACTTCCCAAGAAGCTGAGACCACCGGCACGTGCCACCATGCCCGGCTAATTTTTGTATTTTTTGTAGAGACATTTTTTTTTCTAATATGCACTCCCCAGCTAATCTGCATGCTCTGTGGAGGCTGGTACAAGGCCTGTTTATTTCTCCATTGTTTGGTGCCGGAAGAGAGGGTGGCACATAGTGAGTTCTCAGTAGATTATTGTTGAATGAATGAATGAATGAATGGGAGAGAACTTCTATTATTTCAGACAACCTGCTCAGCCAAAACTTCACCACCAGCAAGTTCTCTGTTAATTATCGTTTGTCCCCATCCAAAAGCCTGAGCACTGTGCATGGTGTGGGAGAGAAGACACGTGGGATCCACTTTCCTCCTGGACAAGAGGTGGGGCTGGGAAGAGGCGCTGGGCCATCGGCCACACCTGAGCTAATATTCCTGGCGCATCAGGTGCTTCTCAAGTGTTTGTGGACAGACGGCTGCCTTGGATGAAATGGTATTCACCAGGCGTGTCCTTTTACTGTCCAGTTTGGTCACCAAGATTCTCCCCTATTTTAAGAGGGAGCTGAGCAGCTTCACAAGGCTAGTCTTGTTTGGATGCGTAGCACAATGAATTTGTACCCGCCGAGCCTCCAGCGCTGGTATTTCAAAACCTACAGTACACTAAACGTAAAACTTTTGTTCAAATTTCAAGGATTTTGATAGCCCAAGTGAATAGACACTGCCTATTGATTTTTCCCTTACAATGACTCTTGGATAACCTATTTTCTCATTTATTTTTAAAGACAGCTCAGGAGATTTCATAGCAATTCTGCCTAACCTCCTAATATCAAAATCCCTCCTTGACCCTGAAAATTGTAATTCTGCTATAGATCACAGCTGCTGAATATTACCTTTTACTAAGATGGTTAAATAAAATATGTCCAAATCACTAGATCCCACAAGCCATGCGCTGCAAGTCTAATGATCCAGAGGCTGAGGTTTCGGCCGCTGTACACTCAGCAGCCCCGCGCTCTTGCCGGCCGACACCACAGTGTGGGAATCGAGAATATCGGCTTCGGCTTGGAATTTAAGGAGGAGGAGAGAAAAAGGATAGCTCGGCTGGTCTTCAATGATTTTCTTGTAAAACTTTTACAAGGGAGACTTAGGCTGTTTGATGTGTTCTAGACAATCAAATGCCCGCCGAGTCTGCGGCAGAGAGTGGCTGGTTTTCTCCCTAGTGGAGGAGGGGGTGTATTTTGATGTAGGGCAAGTTCAAAACCCCCAAAGCCTTGCACGCTGGTAGGTCGGATTACACTCGCAAGCTGGGGGAAAATACAACACGTAAAATGTGAAAAAGACCTCTGACCCTGAAAGTCTCATTCTGCCCAGGCCAGGGCTGTTAGTGGGCTCTTAGTTAGGCTGGAGAGGGCCTGGGTATCATTTACCCCATGGAGGCTTCTGCCCTGCCTGCACCCCGTCGGGCCCCTATGCATTCCTGCTCTCACCTGCACTTCATCCATTTTAGCCAAAGGGGCCCTGCCCACCAAGCTGCCCAGCAGCGCATCCACATCAGACTTACTTCTTCTCTTTCTCAGAAGAATGAAGGGCGGCACTGACCCAAGTTGGCTCCGGTGGAGTTGTGAATATTTCAAAGCTGAGGCTTAGATCAAAAGTCATAACCTCTGGCTTTCAGACTGTCCTCTTCCCTTACCTGGGTGGCCCCTGCATCCAATATGGAAATGTTTCCCAGAGAATCTCACTCATTATAGGTGAGCGGAGCCTGAAATGACTCATTCAGCAGAAATGTGGCCTCTCTCAGCAGTGGCCACGGGAGCCCATTTGAAATGCAAGAGGCTCCTCTGTGGGCCTGCCAAGCTCTGTAACTCAGCTCCCTCCCAGCCCTGGCCCTGCAGTAATTCTGCTAGACCTGGTGCCTCCCCTTGCAGGGTAGGCAGTGGGGCTTTGGCAGGTGATGGGTCCATGGAATAGATGCAAAGGTCTGCTGATACCAGCACCAGTTGGGTCTGAGTGAGCAGGAAACTGTCCATGAAAAACAAATTAATCGATAGCAGAGTCCTCCCCCAGCCCTGGTCAAGACCTGTCAGTGGATCAGAAGAGTTCACATGTTACCATGCTTTAAGCACACCTTATGCCAGGGAGGACAGGCATGTGGCAAGAGGTCCTCTCCTTCCCCTCCCCATGCTCCTGACAGACATTGCTAATCGATCCTGGCTCTTTTGTCCTCTTCCTCTCAGCATCTCCTGCAGCCTCTACTCATCAGAAAGAGTGGAGTTAGGGCATGCAATCTATCTAACCCCTAGCATCCCATGTCCCACATCCCACATCACCTGCATACCTCTTCCCCTACATAGAGCATCCTCATACCCCTCTCCAGTACCCTGCCTACTCCTTCAAGGTTCCACCCAGTCCCTGTTTTCCTGACCATCATTCTCTTCCCTGCCTCGCCAGCCACTAAGGAACCAAGCAGAGGAGTGAATCGGAGACTAGGGGTGTGAAGACTCCTAAGTTCTGGCCCTGGTTTTGCCTCTGAATTAGCTGGATAACCTTGGACAAGTCACTTTGCTTCTTTATACCCTTACTTCCCCATCTGTAGATTAATGATACTCTATGATCTCTACAGTGAATCTTAACTCCTCCATGTTACGATGCAAATACCTTTGCAGCTATCCCACTCTTTGAGCCATTTATTATGGCCCTTAGTCATTTCTTTCTCCACTCATGTGAGCTCTTGGAGGGCAGGAATCATGTCTGGGGCTGACACTCTATTTCTCCTTGGGGCATCAAAGTGCTGGGAGGCAGAGGACTCAGGGCCTACTGGTGCCATGTTCAATCCCTGTGGCATTGATCTTTAGCTCCCAAAGAAGGAGTATCCTTAGAAAAATGCAGTAACTTCAAATTAAGCATTGTTCAAAGGGGCTGACTCCATCTTCTATCCCTCCAAAGGGCTTCTGAGCCACTTCGGAGCTCAGGACCGTGAGCCAATGAGAGACAAGAGAGGTGGCAGAGGCTCAGGACCACAAGCCAGACTGCTGCTTGCTCTCTGGCTGGGTGAGCCTAAGCAAGTTAATCAACCTCCCTGAACCTCGTTCCCTTCCCTGCAAGTTGGTCATGATAACATTGCCAAGTTAGGGAGGTGGCATGAGGATCAGATGAGGGAATCCATGTGACACATGCAGCTCAGAACCTGGACAGCAGTGAGTGCTCAGTGAATGGAAGCCCATCACAGCCCTCACCAAGGCCACCAGCCTCGACCAGCCCACACCCCCGCCCCAGTCTCTGGTCTGTTCATGAGACATTACCCATGGGAGCTTGTTCTCTTAGTTCAAGTGAGCTGATGCCTGCTCTGTGCCAGCCACTAGTCTAGGAATACGGATGGGAATAAGCAATTCTTGGCTAGAAAGAGGAGTTGAGAACATCAAGAGCACAAACCAGATGAGGCCAAACAAGGAGGTCCCAATTCTGACAGTCAGATGGGATGCTTCCCAAAGAGACACCATCCCTAACCCCCTACCAACCTGTGATTGGTTCCATGCAAAGAACCCTCTCATGGTACAGCAGACCCTCCGCCCAGTGGACAGTGCCACCTGCCCTGGGGAGAATGCAAGCCACCAGGCAATAAATTTCAGCTCTTGTTACCACCTCTCCATTCTCCTCCATCGCTCCCTCTTGATCTCCCCTCTCTGCTGACAACAAGATATGGCTGGCATTTAGTTGAGGATTTAAAATCAGGAAAGCTTCTCCCTACCTTCAGGCTGGAAGCTCGCTCCCCTGGCTCTCTGAGGCCTCTTGAAGCCGGGCGTTTGCTGAGTGCCAGGAGACCAGCTCCTGAAACCGGAAGGGGCCTGCATTGTTGGACTAAAATAGCAAATGTGCAACATGAGTCTCTTCAGGGGCCTTCAGCGGGCTGGCAGCTTCCGGTGGGTACTCTACACAGGCCACAGGGAAGCAAACTGGAGTGGCCCTCCCTGCCACTTGAGAGAGCCCTTCTATGTACATGACTGTTCTGTCCCTTAGCTAGATTAGTTCATCCAACTGAAAATGGACTTTAGCTGTGCCTAGCAAAAAAGAAAAAAAAATGGCATGTCTGAGTCAAATAAAGCATGCTTAGACACAGGGCCCGTGCGCTTCTCGACTGACATAAATCTCATCTGGGGCTTGCTGCCCTGGATCTCCCAGGACAAAAGAGACCTCCCAAAGCCAAAAGGAGCCCTCTCTCATGGATGGCAGCCACACCCTGACCCATGAGGCCAGAACACGGAGCCCCAGAATGTCGCTTCTCCTCCCCGGTGGCAGTCAATTGATTACTTGTCAGTTTCCAAAATGGTCTCATCTCCAGAAGAAACAATGCACGAAAAAGCAGTTCTGAAAAGAGAATTAAGAGCTTGTTAGACACGGGCCTCAGGTCAGGATAGGTGGCCTATCTGGGGGGCCTTCGAGGAGGCATGCTGCGATTGTTTTTAAGCCAGCCCTCTCCCCTGCAGTTCTCGCTTAATGAAGCTGCTGTACAAGCCCCTTGGAGGGCCCGCATACTGCAAAGTAGTGCCAAGTGTCCCGTTACTGTAAACGGCCTTTTATTTTTAAACTAATGCTATATTTGGAAAGCAGTAATCCTGGGGAAATGATACTGGGACTAATGGGGAACATATTACCTTTCATGTGTTTTTTTCATGTTTAAGGTTTCTTTGTTATTATCTGAGTAGCAAGGCTCTGCACACACTCTTGGGCAAAAAATCAAAATAAGCCTTAAAGCAATAATATTTTAATAAGCATCAAATGTCTTCAATGAGATAAAAGTATTATATGGTGTTTTGATATTGGGCTTTAGTTAAAACCTCATTAAAAAAAGAAAATTTCTCAGATATATTGGGGTAGGGGGGGCAGTAATGTATTTTTAAATTCAGGTGGAGAAAAAGTTCCAGTTCAGGTCAATTATGCTAATTAAATGCCACAAATGACTGAAATTGCCCGCAAATGGACATTATTATTTGTTGCTTTCACTGCTTCCCATTGATCAAAAACAGCAGCTAATGACATTTGAGCCTGCAAAGGCCAAAGCTCCAGTCTGAATAAACATCGGCTGCCTGGACACCAATCACAGCCCTTGGGGTGGGAGAACTAAGCTCTTGTCCAGCTTGCGTCCAGCCCTGTCCTCTTCCCGGGTGAGGTTTCCAACAGCCGAGGCGGCAGTCACCTCTCTGAAGCTCAGATTAGTTTCGTCAATGAATGCTTGGTCCTGTTCCCAGCCCCAACTGGGAAGTGCTGGGGGGTGCAAGTTATGAAATGAAACTAAGTCTTTGATTTCTTCACCCATGGCCAGAGACCCAGCTAGAATCATGAGCTCTTTAGAACTGAAAGGAAGAAACTTGAAGATCCTTCCTTGGTTATATAAAATGAGGAAACTGAGGCTCAGAGAGGGGAAGTGACCTGCCCGAGGGCACACAGCAAGCTACTTGCAGAGCCAAGAATAGAACAGCAGTTTCCTGATTCTCAGTCCATGCCCCCTCACGTGCTCTCCTCTCCAATATTGTAATATAAAAGAGAACTTCAACTTTCCCTCCGCTACCTCATAGCAAATTTCCCTCCGTTTTCTCTTGTAACTGCATGTCAAATCTTAGTTGGGGGCTTCAGCACAAACTAACCTGACTCCAAGATTGGAATCAGGCCACGTGTAGTAGCACTTGAATCTGTCTTCTCCTCTGGTTGACCTAAAAGGGGAGTCTAATTTCAGTTACAAAATGAAATGCAGTTGACTGTGGATGGATGGGACATTGGAGCATGATGCGGCGGGGAGGGGGTATGGAATCCGTGGTTTCAGGCCCATCTGTGAACTCTATGATCCTGACTTTATCTCCTGAGCTAAAGTAGAAACCATACTCCAAGCTGCTACCAGTCGTTTCTACCTCAAGGTAAATAAACCATCTCGGAAGAATGCAGTGGCTTCAAGTTAAACATTGTTCAAAGGAATTGACTCCATCTTCTATCCCTCCAAGGATCTTCAGAGCCACTTCGGAGCTCAGGACTGTGAGCCAATAGTGCAGGAGAAGGAGTCAAAGGAGATCAAAATCCTGGGAAGGGGCTGGAGGTGGTGGCCCACGCCTGTAATCCCAGCACTTTGGGAGACCGAGGCAGGCGGATCACGAGGTCAGGAGTTCGAGACCAGCCTGGCCAACATGGTGAAACCCGTCTCTACTAAAAATACAAAAATTAGCTGAGTGTGGTGTGTGGTGGTGCACACCGGTAATCCCAGCTACTCAGGAGGCTGAGGCAGGAGAATCGTTTGAACCTGGGAGGTGGAGGTTGCAGTGAGCCAAGATTGCGCCACTGCACTTCAGCCTAGGTGACAGTGTGAGACAACGTCTCAAAAAAAAATCCTGGGAGGGGGAGGGGATAGAAGACTGGAGGATGGGTGGTTAAGGATGTCACAGTGACCCACCGATGTGGATCCTGAAGGCCATGACCCCTGCTTTTCCTCAGCCTGCTTGATTTCCAGGCGTGGTTGCGTGGGAACCCTCCCCCACAGCTCAATCAGAGCTGCAGCTGACATGAAGACAGCCCTACCCTCCTGAGGGCTTCAGGAATCCTTGGTTCTGCTCCAGCCTCTATCTCAGACATGTGACTCTGAGCAATTCGCTGGCCCTCTGGGCCTCAATTTGCTGATCTGCAAGATGGGAGGGCTTGGTCTGGAAGGTTTTAGGTTGAATGGCTCCCCAGGAACAGTTCCTGGGTCTTGGGAACATAGAGCAGGCAGCCAAGTCCCTAGAGATATACAGGTAATTCCTAGCCACAGGTAATCCTGAAGTCCTATTTGGGCTTTATAGGGAGAGTCTGGGGATGTCTTTGAAGTGCCAGGGTCAGATCAACTATCTGAATTTGGTTTGCCTCACAGTCATGAAATGAAACCACTTTTGGGTAACAGTAGAAAAGGGGAGGGAGGGAGTACCCAGCTCAATCCAGGCCTCGGCCAAGGGTTTGACCTGCATCATCTGATTAATCCTTAAAAGGGCCCTCTTACGAGGCAGCAACCTTCATGTTCTCCATTTTTGGATGGGAAAACTAAGGCCAGGATGCTGAAGTCATGGCACTATTCAGGACCGAGGCCAGTGTGAAGGCCCAGGCACACAGCTCAATGTCCTGGCCTGGTACTGAGTGCTTCTCCCTCTGCCCACGTGGCCTGGGAGGAAAAGACCCCAAGAGGGCTGGGGCCAAGCCCGCAAGGCAGGTGCTCCCCACTGCTCTGTGTATTCTGCTCCCAAGACAGCCCCAGGTGGCTGGGGCCAATCCCCAGGGAGGGCCTGGGACAGACCTCGGGTCCTCCTGGGGTCAGAGCCAGAGACTACTGCAGGTGGCTGCTAGGGGGTCCCAGGGACCTGGGAGCAGAGCCTTCTGCACAGACTGGGCAAACACCAGTACATGTGCCTGAAGGGAAGCAAATTTGAGTTACTGAAAAGTAAAAAGTGCTTATTGAGCTGCACATTATGTCATATATGGTGTAGATTACAACTGGGAATGATCCTGTATCAGATTTTTTCCCCCTAGACTAATTTGTATTTCATGTGTCCAGTATTTTATTGAAAGCATCAGGACACCCCCTCTTCTTAGTAACATAGGGCAGGAAGGGAGTAGGCAGGACGGGAAGGAACTCAGAGACCCTTCACTGCCCTTGCCTGTGGGTACCAGGTGACTTGAAGGGCAAGAACGGGGGCACAGAAGACGCTGGAGGGGCAGGGGGGTGGCAGAGAAGGAGCAGGCCTCGGTCACCGGGCAGCTCACTGCGCTTCCAGGCATCTGGCGCCACGGAAGTGCACTGCTCTAAAGGTTGTCAGATCTGGGTGAAATCCCGATCCTGCATCTCCCTAGCTGGGGGCTTCAGACAAGTTCCTTAACCTCCCTGAGCCTCACTTTGTCACCAGCGATGTGGATGATGGTGATACTGACTTTGCAGGGTTGCCATCACCATTTGACCAGATCCAGTCAGTCCCGCAGCCTGCAGAGTTTGCAGCTGATGCAAGAACGCCACTTTCTTCCCTGAGGGCTGCTGGCTGGGTCACCTCGCAGCTCAGCCCAAGGAGGGGGCCATGGGCAGCTACTGAGGCTGGTTCTGCTGGTTGCCCCTCCCTTGCTCACTGGTCAGGGATGGAGCTGGAGCCTTGTCTCAAGAGCAGGAAGAGCAGACACTGGGGATGGAGTCGAAACTCACTCATTCATCCATTCACAGGGTATTTCCTGAGCCCTGGCAGGGCCAGCCCCTTTCCCTCCTCAGGGGCTCACAGTCTGGCAGGGGAGGCTGACAACCCGCAAGCAATCGTGAGCCCTTGTCATTTCCCATTGTGAGAAGCACCGTGACAGTGATGGGGGTGGGGTCCCGGCCTGCAGGGGCAGCTGCTGAGCTGGAGGAGGTGACGCCTGAGCTGAGTCCCGAAAAATGCTGAGGAACCCGGTGGGGAGTTCCAGGCAGAGGGAAAGGCCAGGACGAAGGGCTGGAGGCAGGAAGGAGGCTACTTGGGGGAGCAGCCCGGGAAGGTCTGAGTGATGCCATCTGAGCTTTTTAAGGACTGCTGGCTGGTTGGGAGGGTTGGGGGGAGCATAGATGAAAGGGGGGACAAACATGGAATCAGAGAGACAAGGGTGGGCTCTTGGGGTTGATCCCAAGTGCTCCCCGCTGCCCCAAAGGGCGATTCTGAGTTAGGGGCACTGCTGCTGGTGGGCAGCCCAGGAGTCTTTCCTTCTCACTGCACCCCTACTCCTACCTCCACTCCAGTCCCCCTCCCCCATCATGATTTGCCAGACCTAGCACCCTAAGGCAAAGCAGGGCCACTTCCCTCTCAGGAGGGAGGAGCGCCTACCATCCTGCTGTCAATGGGACCATCTCCATGGGGCAGGGGTGGCAGGGGATAGAGGATGAGTGGTGACAGGCAGCTTGGTGTAGATCAGAATGGCCCAACTCCACATACCCAGTACAGCTGAGGGGCTTCAGGCACATTCCTGGACATCTTTGGGCCTCAGTTTCCTCATCTGTAAGTTGGACAGCTGTGAGGATAAAGAGCTGAGAGACTGGATACACAAATGGAGGAGGGCCAGGCTGTATATAAAAACAGGACTCTGCCCCACAGTCTGCAGCAACCTGGCCAGGAAACCAACCCCTTAGCTACACAAACAGCCCAGGAAGCCAGCTGGAATGACGGGAAGCCAGGCTGCTATCTCTGGTGAAATCCAGAAACTAAACAATAACCCCTGCCACAATCTACCATAAATGGCCAGGACTTGATTAACAGCTGACAGCTTCCCTAATTTTTGTCTCCATTTCCTACTTAGGACCATCCAGAGAAAGCCAAATATGCACCCCAACCAGTTAGATAGGATGCCCCCTTCTAGTTATCCCACCCACGAGTCCCCCAACCCAACAGCCTCCACTCAGGGCACACCGAAGGCTTCCCACTCCTCTGCCTGTCTCTGAGTCTCTGCCAAAACACAAGTGATGGTGGCTAGGCTAACTCCTTTGCTACAGCAAACTCAGAACAAATAGCCTTCGCTTGTTCTCATTGGCTGCTATCATTTATTTCCACAATGCCGAGGCATGAAAAGCTCCTACTGCTTCCCTAGCACTCAACAGGTGCTTAGTGAGGTTCTGTCCCTACCCATTGAGACCCCCTGGGCAGCTGCCCCACTGCCTGCTTGCCCAAGAGTTTCCAAACCCTGAGCTGTGAGGTAGGCACAGGTGCCCTAAGAATTGGCTGGTTCCCAGAACAACTAGACCCCTGGGGGGAAAGTGAGCCTAATAAAATTCTGTATTTCTTTATGTATGGTATTGAGGGGGTGGGATTAGGGAGAGGCTATATTTTGGGGAAGGAGGCCACTAGTATAATGGGAAGAGAGTGGGTTTTGCCTGGGTTCAAATCCCAACCCCATGCTAGCTCTTGGCCTTGGGTGACAGTTGTCTTAGTTGTTAAGCGGAGAAGACTAAATGAGCTAATTGGGGTTAGATGCTTAGCACGACACCTGCCATCTAGGACATGTGCCTTCAACAGAAACTAGCAGCCAGAAGTGGTGGTGATAATGTGCGGCCATCTCAGCCAGCACCAAAGTGAGAGGCCAAAGGTTCAGAAAACTGTTCAGGAGGATGCATGTAGGCACACCCCCCAGAGCGAACCACTTTCTGGAGTCCTCAGCGCACTAGCTTCACCCCAGGGCTTTCCTAGGGGATACTAAAGACACTGCGGGACTCCTGGGATCTGCAGCTGTGACCCTCTCCCCAACTAGGCCCCCACCTCAGTGGAAGCAAAGGTAGTTTCCCAAAGGGCTAACAGGGTAAGTGACATTCTATCACAAGGTGTGGGTCCCAAAACCATTAGTGCATCATCCCATGTATGAAGGCTAGATGAGGGTGTTCTGGAAAACAACCGAATTGCTGTTCATCCATACTTAGTCTTTATATTTTAATAGGAGGCAAAGCCCTGAGTCCAGAGAAACTCTATTAATGTAGGCTTTCAGGCAGTTTGGATACAAAGAAATTACCCTTGATTGAGAGAAGAGGGGCGTTGGGAGCCACACCACCAAGATGGTGCAAGGGGCATTGGTCATGCAGCTGGCCAACATCAGAGCCCACTAGAGGACCCTCTTGCTGCCAGGGACCAGGGAAAGTGGGCGTCTGAATCTGGAGCTGTCATCACAAAATAGAAAGGTGGTGAAGAATTCATTCCAGCCCTGCCCATGGCAGTCACAGCCACTTTCAGAGGAGCAGCACCAGATGTGGGGTGCGGCACTCTATGGTGGGGGCAGTGGGAGCTCAGTCACCAGGGTTTGGCAGCATCCCCGGTGGCATCCACTGAGTAGGGTGTAGTTTCCAGGAACAGTCTTCTGCCCTCTTGATAATTCTATCGCTCCGCAATAGTCTTCCAATAAATCCCGTCTCTGCTAAACCAGTGGCTTGCCACTAGGAATCTGCTCTGATGCAGCCCACAAGCCCAAGGCCGGTGGAGGCAAGAGAATGATTACAAAAAGCAAGCAACATAGTTGATTTTAATTTCATGACATGGTTTCCAACAATTGGATACAGAAACAAGGAGTTCTTTTCTTTTTTTTTTTTCCTTTTTTTTTTTTTTTTTTTTTTTTTTTTTGAGACGGAGTCTCACCCTGTCTCCCAGGCTGGAGTGCAGTGGTGCAATCTCGGCTCACTGCAACCTCCGCCTCCCAGGTTCGCAGAAACAAGGAGTTCTTTAAAATGAGATGCCTGTTACCAGATGGAAAAGTGATAGGGTTTCCACAGTAGGGTTAGGATTAGGGAAATGTGGCTTACATATTCTCATGCTTTCATGAGACCTGCCCCACCCTGCTTCCCCCATCCTGGGGAGGCTGGAGAACTCATCTCTGATCACTCACCTTGGCTTCCCATTACAGCCAGGTGTTTACTAGCTCACATCAAAGTAGCCAGCCTGCCATGGGACACATTTCAGCTTGGCTGTGCCTTGCTTACAAGATCACATGAATCTCCTTATTTGAGATCCTGAGGTCCAAGGATGAGAACTGGTCCAGGTCAGCAGGCCTGGCTTCCAGCCCCAGCTCTGGGACTAACTGGCACTACTCTCCTCTCTGGGCCTCAGTTTTTCCCATCAATAAAATGAAAAGAACCAAGCTGTTTCTGTATAAAGGTCCTTCAGCTCCAAATTCTATGATGCTATTATTCTGATTATTTGGCAGTCTCCCTGTCATTGCTTCCTTTTCTGCACTCCGTGTAGGTGGATCACAGACATAACACAGAAAACGGGGAGCAAATGCAGCAAGCATCCACCTTTCATGTTTGGCAACATGGAGAATATCCATCTTGCAACCAAGTTCTGTTCCCTGCCCTTAAGGTGTTAATGGAACTGTAGCTGTCAGGGGGGTTGGTCATGAAAACAGAAGCCACTCTGGGTATTCCAAGTAGGAAGGGTTCCAATACAGGGAATTGGATACTTACACAATCACTGGAAAGGCTGGGGAAACAAAGGTCAGGCCAGCAGCTGCCAGAGACTGGTGATTTACGGGAGCTCACCCAGAAGCTGCAAAGAACCCAGCAGTCTCAGTGGTGGCTGCAGCCACCAACCTCAACAGCTGGAAGCACCAGAGCATGCGATTCTCAAGGCTTTGGGTTTTACCCATGGGTCAAGCTGCAGCTGCCCCCAGAGAATGACAGTGATTCTCCTTCTTCGCCTCCCAATTCTCCCAGCAGTGCCTCTCATTGGCTGACTCTAATGTGAAGCTGTACAGGGAAAGGGATTCTGGGAAATGCAGTTCCAGGCTTCTCCCCTGAGATGCAGACTGTAGAAGTGTGTGACCATGATGCTAAGGACAACATTCAGCAAAGCCACAAACCAGGAAGAGCAGAGAGATTTTATCTGAAGGGCCAGCTCCTGGTTCATTGGTAATGGCTGACCAGAGTACTGTGTGGAAAATAATTTTGAGGCTGTATATAGGATGAGCAGGAAAAGGTGGTACGACTGATTAGCAATGCCTGTCATGGGTGTGGAATTAATGTGAGGAATCGTATGCAACACACTTGCACTCCTGCTCTAAACTGATGATTGGAAAGTTCTCTAAAGTGACTGCTAACAGCGTTTATTTCTTTTGTCCCTGAGTCAAACATATACGTTGTAACCATCTATGTGTGGAGTTAACACCCATAAACCTGGTGCTCAAGAGGGACCTCAGAATTAGAGCAGCTAATGAAAAACAGGGCAGGAACATTGAGGAAGCCGTGGGGGTCTCCAGCCTCCTGGAACTCTGCTCTTCACAGTCCACACAGTCACGTTCCTCAAGGTCATCATGTGGTCAGCTCTTTCATAACCACCCCCAATCCCCTGTCCTTATCTCATTTCACTTCTAAGCTTCCAGGCCCAGCTCCTCCAGGCCTACCACGTGATCTTAGAGAAGCCTTCCCCCACCCCATCTCCAGTTAATTACTTCCCCTCTCTGTACCTTGGTTTCCTCATGGGCATATTTAGGAGTTGGGTTAGATCCATGGTTTGCAGACTGTGTGCCCAGGAGCCCTGGGGTGTTCAGGAGGAGGAAGGTTAGAGGAATGCCAAGGCATAGGGCTTTGAGAGGCATTATTTTATCTGTTTTAGATATTGTGCTTTGGCTTAAGATGTCATCTGAAAAAAAAGGGAAAAGGGTCTGCTGCTATAAATAAAAATTAAAGGCTCAAGAACCTCTGGATAAACAAAAGGCCCCCCTGGAGTCCTTCCAGATATACCATTCTCTGGTGCTGCTTGTTTTGTCTCCCTCTAAAACACCAGCTCTTCTTCTCTTTCCACTTCCTTTCCTCATTTCTTTTCCCATCCCCTGTCTTCCAAAGAAATGAGTTGCAAATCTCCATCTTAACTTCCAAACTTGAGTTGAGAACCAAACATGAAGCCTGGATCTTTTCATTATGAGAGGCTCTGAGGTCATGGAAAGGAGAAGGGGACGATAAAGCCAAGACGGAGTCTTGCTCTGTCGCCCTGGCTGGAGTCAGTGGTTCAATCTCGGCTCACTGCAATCTCCACCTCCCGGGTTGAAGCGATTCTCCTGCCTCAGCCTCCCGAGTAGCTGGGATTACAGGTGCCCACCACCACGCCCGGCTAATTTTCGTATTTTTAGTAGAGACGGAGTTTCACCATGTTGGTCTGGCTGGTCTTGAACTCCTGACCTCAGGTGATCCACGCATCTCAGTCTCCCAAAGTGCTAGGATTACAGGCGTGAGCCACCACGCCTGGCGTGTAATCCTTTTTTATAATTGAAAATCACATTGAACCATGGAAAATGTAGTTTGACATCCTAGAGTTGAGAGATATTCACCCTTTCCCTCCTCTTAACTGTGCAGCGCAAAATTTCGAGAAATGAGAACATGCTGCTTTGAGTTGTTGTTTTTAATGTCACTGCGATGACTGGACAGTTTTTATTATTGTTGGCAAGAAAAGGCAGGAGGAACCATTCACATAGGGTTTTCTGCTCAAAATGTACTTTGGAGTTCCATCTTGGGGAATAGGAACCCTTCTGTTCCTCTTCCCGCTGCAGTTTCACCGAGGTCCCACTGATGTCAACTCCAGAGGACTATGACCGTGTCAGCCGTAAAATATGTCGGTTCGGGAAGAGGACAAGTTCATTTTCATTATTCCCTGGCGGAGAGAAAGGGCAGAGTTGGTGTGAGGCCTGGGAGGGCGTGTTTGAAGAATGGTGGCCCGAGTCCACCATTCCACGCCTGCTCTGCGGGGTCCTCTGGCTGGGGTCTTGCCTGGACGTGGCAGAAACCCGCACCCAACGGCCTTTCTCTGCACAAGTTGGGGCAGGACGGCCAGGCAGACACAGAGCATGCACAGACCTCGCCTGCTGATTGGCTGAATCCTGGGGGCAGCACATTCTCCCATTGGCTGTTCCAGGTTGGCACAGGTGGCTGGAGAGGGCGGGGCTTGTGGTCCGCAAATCCACCTGTCTCACCTGTTCTCTGGTTCCCGAATTCCCCCACCAAGGAAGAGGGGCTGCCTGGACTTCATTAATGCCTGGCTCTAGAGAAATGCTTTCAGAACTAACTTGCGCAGCAGCGACCCTCTCCCCGGGAGGAAAAGTAACCCACAAACGGGAGAAGCGGTAGCTTCGTCTCTCCTGAGAGCTCCTTGGAGACAGATTTCAGGGCACTGAGGGCTGAGCTGGAGGAAAAGCCTCCGCGGGAGGAGGAGGAAAGTCAGAGCTGTTTCACTCAGGACGAGCCCCAGGTTCTCCCAAGGTGGAGCTGATGACCAAAAGACAAAAGTGGGGGGCCGGACATGGTGGCTCACGCCTGTAATCCCAGCACTTTGGGAGGCTGAGGCAGGCAGATCATTTGAGGTCAGGAATTCGAGACCAGCCTGGCCAACATGGTGAAACCCCGTCTCTGCTAAAAATACAAAAATTAGCCGGGCGTGGTGGCACGCACCTGTAATCCCAGCTACTTGGGAGGCTGAGGCAGGAGAATCACTTGAACCCGGGAGGCGGAGGTTGCAGTGAGCCAAGATCACACCACGACACGCCAGCCTGGGTGACAGAGCGAGGCTCTGTCTGAAAAGAAAAGAAGACAGAGGTGGGAATTTTGATGTCCTTTCTGGAGAAGAGAAGAGGGCTCGAGGCAGAGCCTGGCAGGATGGGAACTTGCGTAACAGATAGGAGAGTTTACTCCCAAAATAAGCGAGTCATCTTCCATCCTGTTCACCATTTATTTTGGGGGTCTTTCCCCAGGCACCAAGGCCTGAATCCTATTATCAGAACTTTCATGTTCTGTTGGATCTCCTCTTGAACTGCATTTCCCCTAAAAGGGGCATAAGAAGTCCCATCTTACAGAAATGGATACCTCATGGCCTTGGGAGTGGCTGATGTGTGCACAAGCTGGACAGGCGGGAGATTGGCACAAGCACGCACTGTTGATATTGGAACAGCACTGGCCAATAAAACTTTCCGTGATGATGTTCAATAGAACTAACTCGTGCTATGTAATAGTGTATGGCAACTGAGCATTTGAAATATGGCCAGTGGGCGGGATGTGGTGGCTCACGCCTGTAATCCCAGCACTTTGGGAGGCTGAGGCGGGCTGATCAACAGGTCAGGAGATCAAGACCATCCTGGCCAACATGGTGAAACCCCGTCTCTACTAAAAGTACAAAAAATTAGCTGGACATGGTGGCGGGCACCTGTAGTCCCAGCTACTCAAGAGGCTGAGGCAGGAAAATCGTGTGAACCCAGGAGGCGGAGCTTGCAGTGAGCCGAGATCGCGCCACTGCACTCCAGCCTGGGTGACAGAGCGAGACTCCGTCTCAAAAAAAAAAAAAAAAAGAAAAAAGAAATATGGCCAGTGGAACTAAGGAACTGGGTGTTTAATTTTAATAGCCAAATTGTCTACTGGCTACCATATTGAACAGCGGTGATTCTAGAAAGTCTAACTTGGAAGAGACCCAAGATATACTTTGGTTCAGGAAGTCTCACCAGGTGAAGACTCCAGGAGGAATGCAGCCCTGCCAATGCCTTGATTTAGACTTCTGACCTCCAGAACTGTAAGATAATAAGCCTGTATTGTATTAAGCCACTAGTTTTGGTAATTTGTTACAGTGGCAATGGATAGCTAACACAGCTACTGTTGGAAGGGTTGGCTCCTGCTGTCACCAGGATCCAAAGAATTGAGAGAAATGGATGACAGGAGCTTATTTCCTTCAAATTATGTTTGTTTCTTCTGTTGAACAGTGTCCTCCAGCTGCGGGGTCTCTCCTCCCTCAGTAAGTTTTTGACTGTTGTGTGGGATTCCTCTTTGGTAGTTGGAGCAGCCGCTAATCTCCCTTGGTGCTCTAGAGAGCTGACCATCACCCCCTATTTCCCTTTACCTTTTTCCCAAGAGGCCTCAGGCACTTCAAGCAGACCGAATTTCCTAGGATTTGTCTTAATACTCCAGAGTTCTCCTTTAACACCTAACTTTCCCACTCTCTTCTATGTCACCTCTTCCTTCTATCCCCTCAAAAGTCTGACAAGCAAAGCCAGAAACTCAAGCAAGAATGGGAATCAAATTTCTGTTTCCCATCAGGAGCAAGGAGGGTTGCCCTCTGATTCCCAGGATTACAAGAGCCACTGAATCACTCAACCTTTCCCTGTTTCTACAGTTTGAGCAGGCTCTAAAGGCTACATTCTACATGCAGCTCCTTCTTGCTGCCAAGAAAGAAGACCAGGCCCTGACTTCATCTAGAGATCCTCAGGGAACATTCTTTCCTAATCATCCTGAGAATCTTTCTGATCATCACAGCACCCACCATTCACCATGCCAAATGAGATAACTTAGTTATTCTCTCTTACAAACCCTATGCTTTTGTGTACCCTCATTTATTCATTCTACCATTGAACATTTCCCTAGAATCTCTTGGGTGCCAGACACTGTGCCTAGTTACTGAAGAAACATATCTCCTATCTGAGGCACCAGGCATATAAGTAAAGAAGAAACCATCTTGGACAGTCAAGCACACACCAGATAGAGCGGAAGAACCACCCAGCTAAGCCCAATCCAAAATGCTGAATCATGAGAAAAAAAATAATAAACTGTTGTTTTAGGCAACTAAGATTTGGGGGTAGTTTTTTACACAACAATAGCTAATTGAAACATTCCCAGACACAACCGCCATCATGAGACTTTAGGTCTTGTCTTTTTGTTTCAACAGGCTCTTCCCAGCTTCTTGGCCAGCTCTCCCAATCCCCTCCTTGTCAGTTGCTTGTAGTTCTGTAACTGGCAGCAGTGCTGGGATCACCTGCCCAACCAGTTCTTTGTGTGGCCAGGTGTAATTAATTAACTAGCCATTTCTGGGCCCCAGACTGGAGATGCCATTGGTCTTCAATCTCCTCCTTTGATGAGGAGCCCTTGAGCTGGACCCATTAAGGGATAGGCAACGATGACTAGGGCAATTCCAGACACAGAACCCCACCCCTGCTGTCAGTTACAGATGACCTGATGACACAGTCCCTGGCAAATGACCCTGGTCAGACCTTGGAGAGCAGAGAAACCTCAAGAGAGACTTCCAGCAAATGGGGAGTCTCATGAGAAACAACAGAAGTGATCATATTTAATATCACAGGCTGGAGACACAGATCATGGCAGTTACAGGAAACCATACGTTTTCTGTGGATAAGGTCTCCTGGCCTATTACCTTATTCAAGAAACAATTCAATTATTCAGTCCAGCAAACACTTGTTAATTCTTGATGACCACAACCAGAAAGGGAAGCCAGAGAAGCAAAAAAGTGATTATGATGCCTTTTGATAGTGTAGAAACAGAAGTACATACGGAGCCCAGAGACTGCCCTGAGGAGGAAGGGAATGATAATTTCTGGGGGTATTCAGGAAGGCCCCCAGGAGGAGGTGACCATTGAGATGGATTTTGAAGGGCAAATAGGAGTTCACTAGCCATAAAGGGTAGGGGGTCATCTTTCATGGTTGGTAGCCATGATTTGTGGGTGGGTCTACCTGGTTTAAAAACAGAGGAGCAAAGCCAACTTTCTACATGCAGTTCCCAACATGCACACATATTGATCTGATGGTGGGGTGAGGCCAGCTTCTGGACCCATGACCAACTTTGGAGGTCATGACACCCACTGAGGTCTTGGCAGGAAGCAGCCTTAGAAGGCACAAGTGCTGGTGGAATCGACCAGTTACAAAAGTTATCAACACTATGTGAGTTTTTGTACATGGTGTAGCAAGACAGAAGGAACCAAGGAAGAACAAATGGAAAACAACACATGCTAAGCTGTTCATCTGCAACTGTTAAGACTCCAAGTGGTGGCAGTGCCAGCTCAGAGCCCTCCACCTGCTGGAGATGTTTCTAAATTGTCTTCACACATGGGCATTCATCCCGCAGTGGGGCTCTCTCTGCCTGAGCCCTGAGGTAAGGTTACAAGTCCTGAAACCCCATTTGTGGAGACGACCCCTCTAGGGAGCTGGAGCCTGGGGCAACCTCGCTCCTTCCTCCACAGTGAAATAGACTGAACCTCCAGCACACTGACCAGCACAGGTCTTGAATGGTGACTCCTGGTCTAGGGCTGGTCCCTTCTTAGAAAACCCGCCTTTCGATGATGGAGGGCTCTGCCTGGGTATCCATTGGAGGGGGCAGCCCTGAGGAAGGAATTACCCCTCTGAAAAGAGCTAATGTCATTCTTGTCACTTTAAATTAACTCTAGCCAAGAGGGACTGACAGAAACATGGATCTGGGTGAACTATATTTGACTGATATTCTGTCAAATATTGCATGGGGTTGTGATCCGCAACTTTTCCCATCTGCTGCTCCAGTCTGAGTCGCTGAATGCACAATGGCATCATTACCATATTTTGTTCAGATTTCCCTCCATCGGATCAGAGCCTGTGAATGTGAAATGTGCCCACAGAAAAAGGCAGCCCTGGCGAGGTGGGTGCAAGGGCGAGGGTGTCCCTTAGTTCTTCCTAAGGGGAGAGCTGGGAAGGGGTAGGGCTCCCCCGGAAGGCGTCCCGGCCCTCACCCAGGAAGGTGCACATCCTGGAAACAAAAGAGGAAGGTGGTGGATCAGGAGTAAGGAGTGGGATTAAGATCACACAAACCTGCAGCCTTTAGAAACTAGCTTAATCCATTTTATAAAGAGTTGGGAGGGTTTTTCTCTCCGTGAATATAATACCTTGCACATCTGATCAGCGTTTTTCCCAGAACATTTCAAAGCTCTCTGCAAATACAGCAAAGTCTCCTTAGATTAGAGCACGGCCTATTATTACCTGGCTTTGGAGACACCCCAGGTCAGCGGGTCACCTGGGGCCTTCTGAAATAAGACAATTCCCTACAACAAAAAGCCTGGTGTGATGTGGTTTGTCTAACTAGTGGTTTTCGAACTATGTGAGTCATGGCACCTTTAAAGGAAAAAAAAAAAAAGAAACAGCCTGAAGCTCAATTTCTAATTCAGAACAAAGTGAAATTAGGTTAAAGTAAAGGGTAAAGAAGAGGGTGAGGGGGAGCAAAGAGAGGTCCACCTGACACCCCATTCACTAAACCCCCAAGACTCCCAAGACCACAATTTGAAGACTACTGTGGAGGTCACTCCTTCCCCAACCAGAAGCAGATTTTCTGTGAAGTTAATGAAACTTAAGTTTCTGCAGAGCACCTTCTGTTCCTAGGTACCTCTTCCAAGACTTGGAACTTAATTTTATTTCTCTTATTTTGTGTTGTTTTTAAAATGAGGGCCCCCCAAATCATATAAGTGTCACAAAAGACCAGCTACATAATTTGGGCAGCCAAGTGCAAAATAAAAACGTGGGGCCCTTTGTTCAAAAACAACTAAAACTTTGAAGATAGCAACACCAGCGCCTTCTTGGCACAGGGCCCTGTGCAACTGTGCAGGTGGCATGTCCATGAAGCCGACCCTGATTTCATGCCCTACGAAACCTGGATCTGCCCCTTTCCCCAACTTTCCAAAGAAATGCCAGTTGATTCAAATAAACCTCAGCCTCTCCTGAGAATTCTCTTATGCCCTAGTGTGTCAGATTAGTCCACCTTGCAGCACCTGAGACTGAAGCTCCTCCCAAGACAGAGGCGCATGTTTCCTTCCGAACTCTGCTTTCACATGGAAGATTGGCTTTAAGATGAAGGCCTGCATTTGCAAACAGAAACTATAGCAGACACATAAAATCCATTGTATTTTCAGGCATTCAGATTGGAGCAGAACTTAAGAGAGTGTGTGGGGTGATCCTAAAAGTCTCAGAGCATTTGACTGAATCATTTCAAGGTGCTCCTTCAGAGCCTGGGCCACATGCATTCCTTTTCTGGGTCGCCTGTGATATTAGGGCAATGATAATGATTGAAAACGTGTCTGTTGAGTAAACATAGCCTCTCTTCCAACTAGACAATGTGCTCATGGCACATTGACATGATATGTGTCATACTCATGGTAATTGACAAACCTTCATATGCTTCTTCCCCTGCCCAGAAAGATCTTTCTAGTACCTCCTTCAATCGAGATTCTGTCTACACGCTGAACCCCTGTGGAAGTGGCACCTTCAGGCAGCCCTGCCTTTGAGATGAAGTAGGCTGCTCTGTTTGGGAAGTAAGGGGTGCCCCTTCCTCAAGGGTGTTTGGGTTAAGGCTGGACATCAATTAGTGAGCACACCCAGCAAAGTCCACCCAGGAAAAAGAAACCAGAAAGTATTGAAAACAGAGGGATGTGAGCGCAGGAATTGGTTTTTGCAGGAGATGGAAGAGCTGAGAAGCCATACAGGGGCTTCTGAACTGAAGCTTCTGAACTAGGGAGACGCATTTGAACTTGAGAACTGTAGGGAACCTTTCCAGCTCAGGGAGGGGCACTTGGCAGGAACACTCTTTACTTTCCACCACACTTCATATGATAATGGCCGTAGGAAGACTGTTTCTCAACCTCAGTGAAATTACACTGAAAAATCTTTCCATTGAATATTTAATATCCCACCATGTTAATTTTTCTTTATAACTTAAGAGAATGTTGTGTTTTCTGACTTGCAGATTCACTTCCTTTTATGAGACAAAAGAAAAAAATAAAATGAAAATGAGAATTATATAACCAATCATGTTTCCTTTTTTGCCTTAGCTACCAGGAAGCTCTAAGCTAAATTTGAAACTTCCCAGATTTTTAATTATATACCATCCCATTTTATATTTCTTTAAATTCACAATTTTTAAGTTAATACTCTCATGGATTAAATATGTTATAATATAAGACACCTCAAATACTTCTGAGTAGATAAAGTATACTGTGGCTTCTTTTAAATTTTAGATGATTCCAATGATTCCTACACCTCTAATTCTTCCCCATGTTTGGTCCCTATCTGCTCCCCTTCCCCCACAAAACTTCCTAGTGATTTGTCATTTTCCCACGTTGAGAAAGCCACAGGCCCTCCCCACTTCTCCATGGCACTCTCTTGCTCTTAAATTATTGCTGTATCTCTTTCACTTCCCAATTCTCTGCCTTCTTTGGAGATTTCCTCTCCAGCAGGGCATGAACCCTTTCTAAGCAGTGCCAGCATCATGGGGCCCACTAAAGAGGAAGCCGCAAGTCTGGACAGAGAAGTGAAGGCTCCTGAGGTGGGGGTTGGCACGTGGGCATTATTGGCAGCCCTTCTGGGCTTTGGGTCACTGACCTGTGCCACTCACCTTTTGTGACCAATGGATGTCTATGGTGCATATCTGCTTCGCAGTGCAGTGTCCCCTCCTTTGCTCTTGGTAACAGCACCCCAGTTTTCCTCTGGGGATTGCTCCTCTCCCATTGCATTCAGTCTGGATAGGACTGTCTTTCTTGGTTTTGTTTTGTTTTGTTTGTTTGTTTGTTTTTTGAGACAGAGTCTTGCTCTGTCGCCAGGCTGGAGTGTGGTGGCACAATCTCAGCTCACTGCAACCTCCACCTCCCAGGTTCAAGCAATTCCTCTGCCTCAGCCTCCCGAGTAAGTGGGACTACAGGCACACACCACCACACCCAGCTAATTTTTTTTTAATTGTATTTTAGTAGAGATGGGGTTTCACCATGTTGACCAGGCTGGTCTCGAACTCCAGACCTCGTGATCCACCTGCCTTGGCTTCCCAAAGTGCTGGGATTACAGGCATGAGCCACCGCGCCCGGCCAGGGCTGTCTTTCAAAGTGCCATGTTCTCCTTGTCCAAGGTACAGCCAGGCAACCTGGCCAAATCCATAAGACTCACTCTTCCAGGGGGGTAAATTCTGAATGGGGTGACAAGTTAAAGCTCACTATTTCGCCTGCAATCTCCAGTGACCATGTCTGTGAGCTCCTACTACCTCCAACCCCAGAACTGCCCACATCCTTGTCCTTGCAAGACCTGCTTGCTCAGCTTTTTCTTGAGTCTTTAAGAATGAGTTTCTGTTGCTTGCAGCCATCAAACTCCAAGTGATGCAGGGTCTGATAGTGGGCAAGGTGTGTAGCCTCTTTGAGCCCTGGATTCTGCATTTATATACTGGAGATACCAGGACATACCTCATGAGGCGAGGGGCAAGGTGCTTAGTCCATCATGTGTGTTTCACAAATATTTCACCCTTTCTTCCTTGCCCTGCTGAACAAGTGACCTTCAAAAGGTAATGGACTGTACCCACATTCCACAGGTGGCCAGTGGCAAACATCGATGGTCAAGTCTCCTGAGACCTCGTGTTGTTCTTCAAGACCTCTCTGCTTTTCAAGCATTTCCTTGAGTCACACAGATGGGTGAGCAGTGTTTTATCCATTTCAATGGAGGAAAAGTGAAATTTCTTTAAAAATAAAAACAAAACTTGCCAAAAACTCATCATAAGGAACAAAAGCAACAGATTCTCCAGCTGTGGCCCTTTACCAAAAGCTCTGGCCCAAGCTTCTACACAGCAAAGCTGCTACACTCCGTGGACTCCTCTCTCCATCAGACTGCCACTGATTTTGTTTTAGAAGCATACGTAGGAAGAGCCTTGGCTTTGAGGGACCTGCTGCCTCCCCTGTGACTCTGTATTGGTAAGCACAGAAGATCCTCAGATCCTCCGAGAAGTTCTCAGCAGACATCCTCAGCTCCAGGCCTCCCTTCTTCTCCACCCTGCTCAGCATGAACCTAGAGCTGGAGGCAGCTAGCCATGTCTGGCTGCCTCCCTGGGTCCTCATATGATACTGAGCCAGGTCTCCAGGGAACACTGTTCACATGGACAGAGTCTGAACTCAGTAGTGATGCTCCTGAGTGGGTTCCACAGGAAACACACCGGCTATTCCAAAGGCCTGCTGGCCACAAAGCCTTCTAACAATAATAAGTACTAGCAGTATCACTGCTGTTTATTGCTTCCTGTCAGGTGGGAACTAAGTCCATTAGCCCAAGTTCAGTAGCCCTGTTTTACAAATGCAGAAACAGGCTTAGAACAATTAAGAAACTTGATCAAGACCACACAATTATTAAGGGATAGAGTCAAGAATTTCACTCAGGTCTCCCTGACTCCAAAGCCTGTGCTCTTAACCACTATAGATGTCTCTAATGCTTCGGAGGGGAGGCCACCATGACCCCCACTTACAGTCACCAGCTGGGCCCCGGCCGCCCAGAGATCATGCAGAGTGAACAGAACTGATTTCCAGCACTGCTGTTCCATGGCTGTGTGACTTTCGACCGTCTCATTTCCCCTCTGTTTCTCAGTTCCCTCTTATGAAAGATGGAGGACACTATACCTGCCATGCCTCAGTGGGACAAGATCATCTATAATGTTCTGCATGGAAGCACCATGAAAGGCATTACCAGCTTGAAGAAAACCAGTGTCTGGAATGAGGCGACACCAGTATGTAGGGAGAGCAATCGGGAAGCGATAAGAAGGAGATTCACTAGGGGTCTGCTGGGCCGCCTGCTGCAGAGAACGCCTCTAGAATCCTGCACTCCCGTCTTCCTTCCTGCAGCTCAAAGCTGGCCCACCCTGGAGATGGTACCAGCTGGGGCTCTCCTTCCGGGCCTCAGTGAGGGAGGGGAAGGAGCCAAGAATGGGTCAGTAACCACAGGATTCTTTGAGTTCACAGAGAGTCTGCCTGCTGTGGGCCTCCAAAGAGTTCTGCCAGTTCTTCCCAAGTCAGCTTGGGCTTAAAGTCCTTCCTGCACCAACTGGGAAGGAGCTGGAGAAGCTCCACCTGGGATGGGAAGCTCGACCTGGGATGGGAAGCTCGACCCGGGATGGGAAGCTCGACCCAGGATGGGAAGCCTACTTTGTGTTGAACTTCCTATTTTGTCACTCTCTGCAGGCCCAATGACCAGAGAATTTTCTCTGCCCTTTCTGGCAAGATTAGTGGCTTCCCCTCACCCACTCTACCCCCACCTCCTCATTACAGAACAAAGGAACCTGGCTTCTTCCCGCCAGTCCAGAGAGGGTTCCTAATTGGCTTTCCATTAAAGAGAAAATAGACTACTGTTTCCACCTCATTATTTATGAGCCTTTCTGGAAGTGCATTTCCATGCACTCTGGGATTACTCACGCCCATTTTGCTTGGCCATATTTTATGATCTGTTTTATTTATTCAGGGCCGCTATTGGGTACTCACATCTGAAACCAATTAAAAACCAAGAAATAGGAAAAATCAAATAAACACCTGGCGATGTCCAAACGCAAAGTCTTCCTGAAGCCTGCTTTTGGTGGGACTGGCATAGCCATGCCACCAATATAGGCCATTGGAAGTGGAGCTTGCTCTCCTAGCAATATTAGGTAACACGGCCACACAAAATGGCAGCCCACAGATGCACAGACCTCCTGCCCACAGAGCTTGGGCTGAAGTTGCCTGGTTCGTTGCTTCCCCTGAGGTCTCCCTGTGCAGGGCAGGGGTATTACTTATTCATTTTTGTATCCTCCTTTCAGCCTGGCACATAGTAGGAAATCAATAACTCTTTGCTCAGCCTTGTTCTCATAGACACCATGCTTGCTGTGAGTGCACCTGTGGACACACTGTCTCAAGAGTTTAAAAGGACAATATGGAGAACCATCTCTATGAATTCTGGAGTGGTTTGCCTTTCATAAACAGTGATTTCAGCTCACTCTGGATGGATTCCTAGGGCTAAACACACTCCCTTTCAATCTCAGGAAAGCAGCTACCAAGCCTGGTTTTCCTAGAATCAGACAGTCTCACCTTCTGAAACCCTGCGCTCAGCCAGGTACAGATGGGGGTGCCATGGAAAAGAAAGCAGGCACTCCTATCTTTTTCAGGGGAGCCTCAGACCATTCACACATCTGCAAAGGGTTTGCTTTGGAGTCTGTGTGCATGGACAGCTCACCCTGCCTCTTGCTTTTCCACATAAAATGTGCAGAAGCCCCCCTTTCATCTCACCTGCCCTCACCCATCTCCAACTTCAATCTCTGCCAGAATTAAAGGCTCCTCTCTGTCCATTTCCCACCTCCACCCTGGAGAGGCAGCACGTTGCTTGGTGGTCTCTGTCCTGAAGCCAATGCCACACCCCTCCCATTCCTCTCCTTAGGCTGAGCTGGGTGTGTGGACAGTGTGGACAAGGACAGGAGCAAGTGGGAGCGGGAGCACCTGCGGGGCAGGCAGATGGGTGGGGGGTGAAAGGCAGCACATGGCAGGACTTTGCAGGGCTTCTGTTGGGATTGAAGAAAATAATAATACACACCACATCTGTTACTTTTTTTTTCTCTCTAGGATATCTATGATGCTTTTTGTAATTAGATTTTATACACATACACACATACACACATTTGGGGATGGAACTGGGCCCCTGAATTCTTAGGGATCATGCTGTTTATAGACTTATATCTCCCAATCTCCAGCCTCCCCTAGTAATTTATATAAGTCCTCTGTATTAGTCAGTGTTCTCCAGAGAAATAGAACCAGTTGGATCTAGCTAGCTAGCTAGCTATACACACATAGACAGAGAGAAAGGAAGAGAGAGACAGAGACAGTATGGGAATTGGCTCACAAAATTATGGATGCAAAGAAGTCCCATGATCTGCTGTCTGCAACCTGGAGAACCAAAGAAGCTGGTGGTATCATTAAGTTCAAGTCTAAAGACCAAGTCCGAAGGCCTGAGGACAGGGGAGCAGATAGTGTAAGTCCTGATCTAAGTCCAAAGGCCCAACAACCAGGAGTACCAATGTCCAAGGGCAGGAAGAGATGGATGTCCCAGCTCAAATAGAAAGAGTGAATTCACCTTTCCTCTGCCTTTTCATTCTACCCGGGCCATCACTGGCTTAGAAGATGCCTGCCCACATTGGTGAGGGCAATCTTCTTTACTGGGTCTACTGATTCAAATGCTAATCTCTTCCACTCCCTCACAGACATACCCAGAAATAGTATTACCAGCTATCTGGGCATCCCTTAGCCCATGCAAGTTGACACATAAAATTAACCACCATAACTATCATTCCTTCCTTCCTTCCTTCCTTCCTTCCTTCCTTCATTTGTTCATCAATCAGCCAACCATGTGTTGAATGCCTCTATTGGAAGACACTGGCTGCACATCTGATATAAGCTACCCCGTTGTTAGCTTCCAGCCTGTGCCTTCTCTTGAGATAATGCATTTCACAGGCTTACTCTTCACTTTGAATGTAAGAACTATGAAAGTCATCAACTCTTGAGACAGGAAAGGAACTAGGAAACTGACACACTCTATTTGTCCACAAACCACTGCTTCCAAATTTGAGGTCTGTTCTCCTATCTCTTGGTCACATTCTGGCAAATATGATCACTTCTTGCTGCCACAAATGTCTCGCCTGATGCTTCCAAATATGCAACGCAAAGTTACCCAATCTCCCTGTCCCCTTTCTTCATCAGCACATGGGGACTGATAGTACGGTGAAGATCCACGCAGCAAATAGGCAGGTGACTGGGGGGAGTGGAGAGGAGAATGCCCGCACAGCCACAGACAGCTTCCCACTCAGAGAAAGGTCCAGAGTTTGGCAATGTCAAGGTGGCTGAGTAAACCTGAATTACTCTGTGTGCCCATTATTGGCCCCCTGGGGAAGGCTAAGGATCCCTTCTCAGATTAATGTTTTTAAACAGATAAAACAAAATCCTAAGATGAGTAATCCAACTATATTAGAATACAGTTATCAAAATATTTTTAAAACTGTAATAGAGTAATTTGTGTGCTACTTTTTTTTTTTTTTTTTTTTTTTGAGACAGAGTCTCGCTCTGTTGCCCAGGCTGTAGTGCAATGGCACAATCTCGGCTCACTGCAACCTCTGCCTCCCAGGTTCAAGTGATTTTCCTGCCTCAGCCTCCCGAGTAGCTGGGATTATAGGCATGCACCACCACACTCGGCTAATTTTTGTATTTTTAGTAGAGATGGGGTTTTTCCATGTTGAACAGGATGATCTCAAACTCCTAACCTCTGGTAATCCACCCACCTCGGCCTCCCAAAGTGCTGGGATTACATGAGCCATCACACCCGGCCCTTTTTTTTTTTTTTTCAGACAGAGTCTCGCTCTGTTACCTGTCACCCAGGCTGAAGAGCAGTGGAGCGATCTTGGCTCACTGCAACCTGTGCCTCCCAGGTTGAAGAGATTCTCGTGCCTCAGCCTCCCAAGTAGCTGAGACTACAGGTGCCCACAACCATGCTTGGCTAAGGCGAGCAGATCACTTGAGGCCAGGAGTTCCAGACCAGCCTGGCCAACATGGTGAAACCCCATCTCTACTAAAAATACAAAAATTAGCTGGCCATGGTGGCAGGTGCCACTAATCCCAGCTCCTCGGGAGGCTGAGGCAGGAGAATGGCTTGAACCTAGGAGTTACAGTGAGTTTAGATAGTGCCACTGTACTCCTGCCTGGGCTACAGAGTGAGACTGTGTCTCAAAAAAAAATAAAAAGAGGAGGGGGCTTTGGATATCCACAGGTCATGGAGTACAGGGGTACGGAGATGATCTCATCTAGATCTCAGGGTCCTGGGACCCCTGCACATTGGGAGGCGGCATCTAGAAGGGTCACAGGGCCTTTGGCAGAAGAGAAAGTAGGTCATTCATGGCTCTGATGTCCAGGGGTCTGCAGAACGGCCATTCTGGTAACCCCCTTACTTCTCACTTGCTTTTTCCACAACACACAACCCTTCCCTGGGGTTCAGGCATCCAGAAAACAGGTGTGGCCTTCCCGGGGTGTGGGGTGCTCCCATCACCATATCTTAAGTGTTTGGCCCTTTCAGAAATCTGAGTGAGAGACTGGCTCCTGGCAGTTGTCAGCCCAGGGGCTGGTTGCTGAGGAAGTTCTAATGCGAATCCAACCAATGAACCCCCTTTGCCCTGCCCTGCCTCCAGCAAGCCCGTGCTTCCTCACACTGTCTTCCCCATGCTGTTTTGTAAGTTTTCTTCCTAATCTCAACCTCAATTCCTTTTTCCCATTCTTCTGAATGTTAAAGTCATGACCTTTGCGGTTTATGGGCCACCAGAGACTGAACTAAATGTGTTAGCTCAGAGTCCAAACAAGTAATAGCCAGCCAATTAAATTAATAATCCATACCGTTACAATGTTTAACCACGGCTGTTTCCTCAGCGGTCTGTTTAAATCACAGCCAAGGCCTGACCCATTAAAATGAATAACTGGAATTATGAGAAACTCCATTTAATAAACACAGCGAGGAACGCAGCACAATTGGGCATGAAATATTTATTACCACTTGAAGCAGAGAGCTGTTTGGGACTTTCAGATGGGATTAATGAATGCGTTTTAATTTGACTCACAAGGTGGGAGGTGGGGCTGGAACCGGGAGTCCTTTGGTAGATTCCTAGAAAAATCATCTCACCTTATATTATCACACTGTGATGGGGCTACTTGTTTATGTGTGGGCCTCCTTCAATCCATAGTAATCATGATCCTACAGGGACTTAGTACTTGCTTAGCAAATGTTACTGGATGGATGTACAGATGGATGGATGGATGGATGATCAGACGGATGGGTGGATGGATGATCAGATGGATAGATGAATGGATAGATGGATGGATGGATAGATGGATGGATAATCAGATGGATGGATGGATAATCAGATGGATGGATGGATGGTCGGATAGATGGATGGATGGATGGATGGATGGATGGATGGATGGACACATGGATGGATGGATGATTGGATGGACGCATGGATGGATGGAGTGATGGATGATCAGATGGATGGGTGGATGGATGATCAGACAGATGGATGAATGGATAGATGGATGGATGGATGGATGGATGGATAATCAGACGGATGGTCAGATGGATGGATGGATGGACAGATGGACACATGGGTGGATGGATGGATGGATGGATGATCAGATGGATGGATGGATGGATGGACAAATGGATAGATAGATGGATGAATGGACTAATTATGGTAAAATCCTTTTGACATTTTAGTATCTGCACTTCAGTGATACAGAACATATAAAACACAGCGCAGTGCCTGACACATTCAAGTCGTGCAGTCAATAATAACTGTCATTACAATTAGGAGAGCAAGATCTCATTAATTTACTAGAAAATCAGTTCTCACATTTGGCAACTCTTTGGGAGTTTCAGAGCTGCCCCAGGACCCAAGTTCCCACCCTGACTGGCCCGTTTATCTTTATGTGCACTTGGGAGCCTGATTTGCATTAGAGGTTTTTATTTTACTGTTTTTGGCTTTTCTCAGAGTTGCTCCCTTCTCTATTTTCCCAAAGCTCAATGTCTTATCCCTGCATTTGCCCCAGCATGTCCCTGTTCTCTCTGGTATGGCTACATTTCACAGGGTCTGTTTCCTTTTCCCAGACAATGTCAGCTCTGAAGTTTTGATAACGGGTTTAGAAAATGTGGTTGCTGTAATGATAGCCCTTAGCAAGTTTTGTAAGCGCAGTGATTATTGGGGATCTCTGAACAAGATAACTGAGCCTTTTCTATAGGAGAGCCCCAAATGGGAACAAGATGGCTCAACTCTGCCAAAACTTGCTTTCCAGAGAAAGGGGAAAGTAGGCAACCCAAGCTGTGTGCTGATGGAGCACCTTTGACATCGTAAGGTCTGGTTGAGGGGGTGGGGAACAGGAGGGAAAAGAGCCACGGAAGGCTTAGCTTTGGTTTTCCCTTTTGAGAACCAGTGGGCATCTCTTGGAGACTACAGAAATTCCGCTCAGGTTCAGTCATCACATTTGCAGGTCTGGAATTCAATGTATTGATAAATACAAGGCGGGCAAAGGGCAGTCTCATTTTGGATACGGAGACACTTGAAACTAAAACCAGAAAGAGGAATGCACTTTATAAAGGAGGGTAGGTCTCTGTGTTTGGAGGTGGTGTTGGAGATTTTTTTTCTTTCACTGAGGAAAAGATGGATCTAACTACATGGAGATTGATGGGATCTTGCCACCTCCCTACTAAATTCAAAAGCCCACCATGGTCCCAAAGAAGAGGAGTGTCACCAGGGGCCTACATGGCCTCACGGGATGTGGCATGGGGAGTTTGCCTGGTCCAAAGAGACCTTCAAGAGATTGGAACTTCAAAGGGCTCTGTCTATCTGGCAGTCTGCAGATATGATATCAGCGTTAGTATCTGTTACTTCTATTTCTTTAATCCTTAAGGATGGATTTGACACATGGCTGCGTTGGAATCATGTGTTTTCCTACATGGTGGAGGAGCCTTATATGGAATAAGAGAGCTCCAACCTTCCTGGTAGAAGGCTTCAGAATTACATAAATACAGAAGGTAGAGCTGCTTCTGTATCACCCATCCCTGCCCTACTAGATTGTACGTTCCTACAGGGTAAGACTATGTCTTATTCATGTTTGTATCCCCCACTGTGACTTGCATAGTAGCTGATGTCCTGTAGGTTCTCAGCAAATGTTTGTGGAAAGTAAAAGCCCCCATTCGTGGGGGCTGTGTGCTATCCTGAGCTCCGTGCTAAGTTTTTTGCATGTTCCCTCTCTTGTACTGTTTCCAACCACACTAAGGCTCTCTCTTATCCCCCATGTTATGGATGAGGCCACTGAAACAAAAGAGATTCAGCCCTTGTCCAAGATCATCTAGATAACAAGGAATTTGATAATAAGGAATTTGAACCCTCGTCTATAATATTCCTAAGCCTTTGCTTTCATTGCTGTGCCATTTGGTCTGCAAGAGTTAAACTCACACACAACTTAACCAAGCACAGAAACAGACAGAGCCTGAGCAAGGCTGTGAGGGTGAGGTTGCAGAGAGAGGAGGTGGAAGAGATTCTGGCAGCATAGGCTTGTCTCTCTCTTATGGCTTTCTCTTTCACATCTCTTACCCAAAGCATAATTGAGTTTTCTCCAGTGCTTTGTGCCCACCAAGCACATTGTTACTAACAGATAGTTCCATCCCTCAAACCTCTTAATGCATCCATGAGGTATGGCAAGAAGGCCAAGAGTAGAAAGCAAGAGGCATGGGTTCTTGGCCTGGCTCTGCCACTGATGTTTGGTATAAACTTGGGCAAGCCACCTGGGCCCAGCTTACCTGACAGTACTCTGAGGGAGTTGGATTAGCTGATCTTCATCTCTCTTCTATAATTCCTCAGATAGGCCATCATCACATTAAATGCCTTCTCCTAGCCAATCTGGCTTAGTCTTTGAGGGTCAGAAGATGGTGACTGAGGGGCTTATGACAGTTTCTGTGCCTGTCTACAGGATCCAGGAGCCCAGGTCTGGCTGTGTAAGTAAGAAACCAGCCAATGGTACATGAACACCAAGTGAACACAGAGTGAGGTCAGGCCACTCTGGGACTTACCGAGGTCTGCCCTGACCAATAGCCACCAAGTTCCTATGTACTTTAGCACTCTGGTTTTTGGTTTCACCTGTATATTGAGGATGATAAAGCCTGTGCTGCTTTCTTCCAGGACTATAAGAGGGACTAAATAATATCACAGATGCTTTGAAAGGTTGGAATGTGCCAGGCACGGTGGCTCATGCCTGTAATCCCAGCACTTTGGGAGGCCAAGGTGGGTGGATAACCTGAGGTCAGGAGTTCGAGACCAGCCTGGCCAATATGGCAAAACCCTGTCTTTACTAAAAGTACAAAAATTAGCCAGGTGTGATGGTGGGCACCTATAATCCCAGCTACTCAGGAGGCTGAGGCAGGAGAATTGCTTGAACCCAGGAGGTGGAGGTTGTAGT
Organism: Homo sapiens; assembly: GCF_000001405.40. Taxonomy (NCBI): domain Eukaryota; kingdom Metazoa; phylum Chordata; class Mammalia; order Primates; family Hominidae; genus Homo; species Homo sapiens. The sequence goes on from NC_000010.11 coordinate 112,863,027, forward strand.
GAGCTGAGATGGTGCCATTGCACTCCAGCCTAGTCGACAAGAGCAAGACTCCATTTCAAAAAGAAAAGAAAAGTTGGAATGTACTAAACAAATGTGAACAATTAAATTATTATTTCCTTGATTCCTCTCTGGGAAAGTTGAAATACCTTGATTAAATCAACTGTACCAAGCCCCTTTTAGAAACATAGATGATGATTTTGGTCACATAATATATCAATCATTGGATTTTCTATTTTGGATCTAATCAGAGCCGAGAGCTCATCAATTCAGCTTAGATATTTATCCAAACAAAGGTCAACTTTTAAACCACAGTAGTTTTCTAAAAAGTCCATCAATGAAGAATGTGCTTAAATAATTTAAGGTCCATTTATGTCATGGAATAATACTAAGTACTAAATAATACTAAATACTAAATAATACTAAAGTGAAAAGTCAAATTGTTTTATATATATGTATTTTATATATATACATATATATATATGTATTGGTCTTTTCTCATATTGCTAATAAAGACATACCTAAGACTGGGTAATTTATAAAGGAAAGAAGTTTAATTGAGTCACAGTTCCACATTGGCTGAGAAGGTCTCACAGTCATGGTGGAAGGCAAATGAGGAACAAAGTCACGTTTTACATGGCAGCAGGCAAAGAGACCGTGGGAGGGGAACTGCCCTCTATAAAACCATCAGATCTCATGAGACTTATTCACTATCATGAGAACAGCACAGGAAAAATCCACCCCCATGATTCAATTACCTCCCACCAGGTCCCTCCCATGACACATGGGAATTACAGGAGCTGCAATTCAACATAGGTGGAGACACAACCATATCAATATCTATTGTACAATCCCATTTGAAAAATATATAAATACATATCTATGAGGAAGCATGTATGTGTGTGGGTACGTGTACTCATGAAAACATAATAAAAAGTCTGGAAAAAAATGTACTCGTGAAAACATAATACAAAGTCTGGAAAAAACTGTTAACTGTGGTTACCTCTGGAGAAGAGTGTAGGACAGTGGTGATAAAGAAAGTGTTTTCTTTTTCCACATTGTATTTTTTATACTTCTAAAACTCTAGCTCTTTTTTTTTTTTTACAATAAAGATATATTACTTTTATAATTAAAGTGTTTTTTAAATGACCTAGAAAGGGAGAAGAGACTCAGAGTGAGTCCTGACAGAATTGTTCGGGTCCTAAGGGACCTTGGCAGGGAATGCTGGTTAACCCTTGATATCCTTCTCCCCACCTCCCCACCGTCTTCCATAGAACCTCAATTTTACATTCCCAGACTCCCTTGCAGCTAGGTGTGGTCATGTGATAAGTTCTGGCCAAAGGGAAGTGAGCAGAAATGATTTGCTAACAGCCAGTCCGTGGCCTTAAAGGGAAGGGGCTCTGGCCCAATTCAGCCTCCACATGTAACCTTGAAATCTTTAGGCCAAGATGGCTACATTAGAGAGAAATACACTTCTATCTTGTTTAAGCCTCTGTTATTTTAGATCCTTGTTTCAGCAGCTGAAACTTTATGCAATCCTATACAGAAAACTAGAAATTAATTAGTAAATATTAAGGAGTGTGCCCAGCCTCTGCCACTCCTTAAAGGGATGAAAAGAAACATGAGACTCATTTCTTCTGCCCAAGGGGCTCAAAACCTAGCAGATAAGGCAAGTCTGATTCACTTTTTCTAATTGTGCAGGAGAGTTTATCAGAGGCTAACTTGTGTGCCAGACACAGGAAGGTCTTCATTTCAATGCAGTGCATTACATGAGTCCTGCCCTGTTTTATCAAAGGATGAGAAGTTGGTCATACAAAATATAAGGTGAAAAAAAGAGACCATCCAAACAGAAGAAAGAGATGGACAAGAGGAAAAGACTTTTGGGTCCAATACCTTGGCAGGATGAGTTTTGTTGGTAAAAATAAACAAATAAATAAATAATGGCAGGGCCTAATGACCAAGGAGTGAGAAGAGGGAGTCCCTCTAGCTGTTGCTGAGTCCTTCCTTGTGCCTTCTATAGCCACTGCAAGTTAAATATCAAGCTGCATATACTTACAAATGCACCCAAATGTCCATCAAAAACCTATGTGAATTGCTTGCTCTAGACTGAGCATCAGTCTTTATCCGAGGAGCCCTACCTTTAGTGAGAAATAGTATTTAAGGACCATAATCTGGGCTCTCTTTGTTGCTGAATTGGTTGCTGTTTCTTAATGTTTAAGTGGAAAGTGCTGAAAGATATTTTTTTAAGGGAAAATACATCATGAGTTTAAACAAACAATCCAATTCTAATTCTATTGGGTTTTTACTTATTTGATTTTATATATGTATTTCTTTTATGATGAAAATCTTGATTCCTAAAGAGCACCAACGTAATTACTTATTTTGAAGACGTAAAATAGTATCAAAATAACATCAGTATTAATGCTAACAACATGATTTTAAAGGTACAAAATGAGAGTGGATCATCGTCATATCAGCAAACGGCTATCAAAGACTTCTGTAATTGTGTCAGAGGACATAGAACTAACCAAAAGTGGCTCCCCACTCACCGAAGGTGGAGAAATCTGCACAGTAAAATAATAACTGCTTTAAATCAAAGCACATCAAATATGTTCCAATCCATGAGTTCACAGTGATACTTTTCTTTAAAACTCTCGTAGTTAATTATTAGAGATGGCTAGGGACCAAATTCATTTTCTGAAGACTGGCAAGTAAGGAAAGAATCAAGTATTTACCTGCCCTACTGGCATGAACTATGTTTCAGAAAAATCAAATAATTGATGTAGGAAAGTTCTTTTTTATACAAGATTCTCAGCTAATCAGTGCGAAAGAGTGACAAAATTAGAATAACACCATTTTACAACCTCTAATGAAATAATGGATCCAGGGCTAGGCGTGGTGGCTCAGGCCTGTAATCCCAGAACTTTGGGAGGCCAAGGTGGGTGGATCACTCGAGGTCAGGAGTTCGAGACTGGCCTGACCAACATGCTGAAACCCCGTCTCTACTAAAAATACAAAATTAGCTGAGCATGGTGGTGCACACCTGTAATCCCAGCTACTTGGGAGGCTGAGGCAGGAGAATTGCTTGAACCTGGGAGGCAGATGTTGCAGTGAGCTGAGATCGTGCCACTGAACTCCAGCCTGGGCGACAAGAGCAAAACTCGATCTAAAAAAAAAAAAAAAAAAAAAGAAATAATGGATCCAGGTAATGATCAGCAATGGCTCCTGAAATCATCCAGTGAGAATCTAATGGGGAACTGGATAGTGAACAGACCAGGCTGATGATATCTGAGCCCACTGATCAATCTTATAACAAATAACATTAAATACCCTCTCACATAAAGTAATACAAAATACACAGGACTCTATGAAAGATTCTTGCCAGGAAATCAAACCTAAATCTGATCTTGCTGCTAGCTCTAATTACAACTGACAGAAGGTACAGGGGAGAGAGGAACAGGTTAAAAAACACCCACATGATACAGTCAGCAAAAAACAGATTGTGGGACTCTCTATCAGATGACAACCCAGTTCTTTCAACAAATAAAGGTCAAGAAAAGGAAGAGAGAGAGGAGGAAACTGTACACTAAAAGAGTCTTAAGATCAGACACAAAGCCACGTATGTTATGAATTTTTTTATATAAAGCATTCGGAATAGGTAATTCCATAGAGACAGAAAGTAGATTAGGGGTTGTCTGGAGCTGGGGGAGAGGGGAACAGGGAATAATTACTTAAAAGGGTATTTTTATGGGGTGATGAAAAAAAAAATTTTTTTTTTTGAGACTGAGTCTCACTCTTGTCGCCCAGGCTAGAGTACAGTGGTGTGATCTCATCTCACTGCAACCTCTGCCTCCTGGGTTCAGGTGATTCTCCTGCCTCGTCTCCCACATAGCTGGGATTACAGGTGCCTGCCACCATGCCTGGCTAATTTTTATATTTTTTAGTAGAGACAGGGTTTAGCCATCTTGGCCAGGCTGGTCTCGAACTCCTGACCTCAGGTGATCCACTCACCTTGGCCTCCCAAAGTGCTGGGATTACAGGCGTGAGCCACCATGCTCAGCCTGATGAAAATGTTTTGAAAATAAAAGAGATGGTAGTTGCACAACATTGTGAATGCACTAAAGGCCACTAAATTGTACCCTTTAAAATGGTAATCACATGTTATGTGAATTTCACCTCAATAAAAGAGAGAGAGACAAAGACTTAAGAGACATATCAACCATATGTAAATGTGTGGTATGGATGCTGATTCCAATAAACCAATTGTAAAAAAATAAAATAAAAACTGGCCAGGCACAGTGGCTCACACCTGTAATCCCAGCACTTTGGGAGGCTGAGGCAGGCGGATCACGAGGTCAAGAGATCGAGATCATCCTGGCCAACATGGTGAAACCTGTCTCTACTAAAAATACAAAAATTAGCTGGGCACAGTGGCACACACCTGTAGTCCCAGCTACTCAAGAGGCTGAGGCAGGAGAATCACTTGAACCCGGGAGGCAGAGGTTGCAGTGAGCTGAGATCGTGCCACTGTACTCCACCTGGCACAGAGCAAAACTCCATCTCAAAAAAAAAAAAAAAAAAAATGAGACAATTAGAGACTTATGAACATTGATTATATACTTGCTGGTATTTTAATAAATTACTATTTTTTAAGTTTGATAATGATATTTTGGTTATATTATCACCAAAAAAAATCATTTTATGTTTAAAATATATACTGAAAATGTACAATTTATATGATGCCTGGAATTTGTTATAAAATAATCTGGTATGTTTGTGTATGTGAGGAAAGAGAAGTAGGAAGATATATAAATGTTGAAACTGGGTGATAGCTACATAGGAGTATCCTTACTCTCTATTACTGAAAATTTTTGAAACTTTCCAAAATAGATTCTAAAAATAAATTTGCAAAGTTGGTCACCCAATACTTTAAATATAGTTAACCTCTCTAGTGATCAAAGAAATGCAAATTAAAATTACAATATGCAATTACCCACCTGTCAGATTGGCAAAGGTTATGAGAATGTTAATACGCAGTATTGGTAAGGATTAGGATAACAGGCACTCTTTTGCCTTCCTGGTTCACTTGATATGACCTTGGTATCACCTTACTACAAAGCAGCTTGGCAGTATGACTGAAAAGCCTTAAATACGTAGGTACCCTTTGCCCCAGGAATTCTGCTTAATTTATCCAAAGGAAATGATTAAACAAGGGCACAAGATTGGTCAAGGATGTTTATTACAGTTTAATTATAATAACAAAAGATTTAAATAACCAAAATACATACCAATAAGAAAATGGTTTTAAGACAAAGGTATATCTACATAATGGATGTAGATATACAGAGCCATTAAGAGCTGTGACAAAGATGCATATATTCATTTGTTTACTTGTTTATTTATTTATTTGAGACAGAGTCTCACTGTGTTGCCCATGCTAGAGTGCAATGGTGCATTCTTGACTCACTGAAGCCTCGACCTCCTGGGTTCAGGTGATCCTTCCACCTCAGCCTCCCAAGTAGCTGGGACTACAGGCATGTGCCACCACGCCCGACTAATGTTTTGTATTTTTAGTAGAGATGGGGTTTCACCATTTTGCCCAGACTGGTCTTGAACTCCTTGGCTCAAGTAATCTCCCCACCTCAGCCTCCCAAAGTGCTGGGATTACAGGGTTGAGCTACCGTGACTGGCGAAGATGTATCTTTTATTAGCATAAGAAGATGTGTCATAGATACTTTAGTAAGGGGGAAAAATCAAGCTCCAAAGGTTTTATATGGTAAGATAATTTTTTTTAATGTGGGAAGAACTTGCAATGATGACAATCTCTTGGTGATGAGAACACGGATTATTTTTATTACTTTCCTTTTGCTTAACTTTATTTTTTAATTTTTATGCTTGAGGTCTTTTTTCCTAGGGAGGGGAAAGGAGAGAGGAGGAGAGGGGAATTGGGGCATACCTTCTGCACACGTGAGTTTGGGTTTCTTTTTTCTCTTCTTCCCAAGGGTGTAAAAGGTGTGCAAAAAATAAGAAATTTTAAAGGGGAGGTTGAAATAAAAACACCATCAACAATAAGAACTCAGACATAAACAGCAAAGTGGAGGAAACCGAAGGTACAGGGGAGCTCATGCTGCTTCCGTTTTTCATTTTCCTTTTTTTGGAGATGGAGTCTTGCTCTGCCGCCCAGGCTGGAGTCAGTGGCGCAATCTCAACTCACTACAATCTCTGCCTCCCAGGTTCAAGCGATTTTTCTGCCTCAGCCTCCCAAGATTACAGGCACCCACCACCACTCCTGGCTAATTTTTGTATCTTTAGTAGAGACGGGGTTTCACCATGTTGTCCAGACTGGTCTCAAACTCCTGACCTCAGGTGATCTACCCGCCTCAGCACCCCAAAGTGCTGGGATTACAGGCGTGAGACATCGCACCTGGCCTAGTTTTTCATCTTTCTAAGTGGATTTTGAGTAGTTTTGGAATTCCAAAAAATGAATTCCTATATAATTAAAATCACCTTTGTCAAGAGAGTAGATCTTAAATGTTCTCACCTCAAAAAAATAAGCATGTGAGGTGATGGATATGTCAATTAGCTTGATTTAATCATTTCACAATGTGTGCATATATCAAAACATCACATTGTACTCCGTAAACATATTCAATTTTGTTAGCCAGATATACCTTAGTAAAGCTGAAGGGAAAATTAAAAATTTTTAATTAAATAAATAAAATGTCCTTTGCTTACTAAAATGACTTAAGCCGGGCGCGGTGGCTCACGCCTGCAATCCCAACACTTTGGGAGGCCAAGGTGGGTGGATTACCTGAGGTCAGGAGTTTGAGACCAGCCTGGCCAATATGGTGAAACCCCATCTCTACTAAAAATACAAAAAAAGAATTAGCAGGGCGTGGTGGCACATGCTTGTAATCCCAGCTACTCAGGAAGCTGAGGCAGGAGAATCACTTGAGCCCAGGAGGCAGAGGTTGTAGTGAGCCGAGATCGTGCCACTGCACTCCAGCCTGGTTGACAGAGTGAGACTCTGTCTCAAAATAAATAAATAAATAAATAAAATAAAATAAAATAAAATAAAATAAAATAACTTGAGATCTGGAATTTATTCCAAAGTTACCTAGGGTTGCGCTATGAAGGAAACAATTTGGGCTGTGAGTTGACAGCTCTTGAACCTGGGTAACCAGGTACATAGGGATTTGCTTTAATTTGTTCTGTACTTCTGTGTTTGGAATTTTTCTTCTTTTTCTTCTTCTTTTTTTTTTTTTTGGAGACAGAGTCCTGCTCTGTCGTCCAGACTGGAGTGCAGTGGTTGCTCACTGCAACCTCAACCTCTGCCTCCTGGATT